>NC_000005.10:75109807-76359807 GCF_000001405.40 Homo sapiens | reverse complement strand
GAAGATCTGGGAAGGAGTCAGTCAGAGAACCTTGGGCCAGAGTTCCAGGGGCTCTGGGAGTGGCTGCCAGGTGAGTTGAACAGTCCGATTTTCAGTGGGGTCCCGCACAGATGGGTCACGGCTTAGGAGGAATCCCGGGCTGCGGGCATTCCTTGGCTTGGTGGCCAGATTTCCGGCACGTGTAGCAAGCTCCTGGGGGAGGAGGTTCTGGAGGAATGCCTGGCCGCTGCGATTCAGGCGTTTGGAAGTTCTTGTGTGCTGGAGATGTGGCTGGGGTTTGTCTCACAGTGGAGGTAAGGAATTGCAACTTTTTTTTTTATTATTGTACACCTTGAAGGTGAGGTTAATTAAGTCCTGTTGTGGGGTTTGAGGGCCAGATTCTAATTTTTGGAGTTTTATTTAATGTCGGGAGCAGATTGGGTAATAAAATGTATATTGAGAATAAGACGGCCTTTTGACCTTTTAGGGTCTAGGGCTGTAAAGCGTCTCAGGGTTGCTGCCAAACGAGTCATGAACTGGGCTGGGTTTTTATATTTGATGAAAAAGAGCCTAAACGCTATCTGATTTGTGATAAAGAAAAAGGAGCATTAACCTTGACTATGCCTTTAGCTCCAGCCACCTTTTTAAGAGTAAATTGCTGGGCAGGTGGGGGAGGGCTAGTCACGGAACGAAACTGTAAGCCGGACCAGGTGTGAGGAGGGGAGGCGATAAAAAGATTATAGGGTGAAGGAGCGGAGGCTGAGGAAGAATTGGGACCTAGCTTGGCCTGGCGAGGAGCGGCCTGGGGAGGAAGGGAGACATCAGATGAGTCTGTAGAAAAGGAAGATTAGAAAGACTCAGCGATGCTTGGGGTTGGTACTGAGGGGACAGGTGGGAGGGAAAGAAGGAAGATTTGGGACGAGTTGCACTGGGCACAGAGACTAGGAAGGGACTGATGTGTAAAAGAATGCCTGGACGTCAGGCACCTAAGACCGTTTGCCTGTTTTACAAGAATTACTTAGATTTTGCAGGATGGAAAAATTCAAAGTGCCATTTTCTGGCTATTTGGAACTACTGTCGAGTTTGTATTGGGGTCAAGTGGCATTGCAGAAGAAAATAAGGTATTTAGGTTTTAGGTCAGATGTGAGTTGAAGAGGTTTTAAGTTTTTGAGAACACAGGCCAAGGGAGTAGAAGGAGGAATGGAGGGTGGAAGGTTGCCCATAGTGAAGGAAGCAAGCCGAGAGAAAAGAGTAGAGAAACGGAGGGAAGGAGTTCGGGGGTTCTTACCTTCCAGAAAAGTGGGAAAAGGGGTTGGGGCGCAGAGATAAGAGGTCGGGGCACGGAAATAAGGGATTGGGGTGCAGAGATATAAGAGGTTGGGGTGCGGAAATAAAGGATTGGGGCGCAGAGATAGGTTGGGGCACGGAAATAAGGGATTGGGGCACAGGGATAAGAGGTCGAGGCGTGGAAATAAGGGATTGGGGCGCAGAGATACAAGAGGTTGGGGCGCGGAAATAAGGGATTGGGGGTTCTTGCCCCGTAGAAAAGCGGGACTTGCCGCTAAGGGTGAAGGAGAAGGGGTTGAGGGGTACTTGCCCCTCACTCAGAAAAGCAGAGAAGGGGTAAAGAAAAGGAGAGAAGGGGTTGGGGTACTTGCCCCTTTCCCAGAAAAGCGAGACTTGCCGCTAAGGGTGAAGGACCAAGGCAGGCATACCTGCGTGGTCTGACACCTTTGAAACGTGGGTGAATAATCAGGCGTCCCTGCAATGATTAAACACCAAGGGAAGGCTGTCTTCCCAGTCTGTGACCGGCGCCGGAGTTTTGGGTCCATGGATAAAACGTGTCTCCTTTGTCTCTCCCAGAAAATGAAAGGAATTGAAATTAAGAGAAGGGAGAGATTGAAGAGTGGAAAGGAGAAAGTGGTTGAGGGACAGTGAGAGAGGCTGGAGAAGAGAGTAAGAAGAGGCCGCTTACCTGATTTAAAATTGGTGAGATGTTCCTTGGGCTGGTGGGTCTGAGGACCTGAGGTCGTAGGTGGATCTTTCTCACGGAGCAAAGAACAGGAGGACAGGGGATTGATCTCCCAAGGGAGGTCCCCCGATCTGAGTCACGGCACCAAATTTCATGCGCGTCCATGAGAAGAGACCACCAAACAGGCTTTGTGTGAGCAACATGGCTGTTTATTTCACCTGGGTGCAGGTGGGCTGAGTCCGAAAAGAGAGTCAGCGAAAGGAGATAAGGGTGGGGCCGTTTTATAGGATTTGGGCAGGTAAAGGAAAATTATAGTCAAAGGGGGTTTGTTCTCTGGCGGGCAGGAGTGGGGGTCGCAAGGTGCTCAGTGGGGGTGTTTTTGAGCCAGGATGAGCCAGGAAAAGGACTTTCACAAGGTAATGTCATCACTTAAGGCAAGGACCGGCCATTTACACTTCTTTTGTGGTGGAATGTCATTAGTTAAGGTGGGGCAGGGCATATTCACTTCTTTTGTGATTCTTCAGTTACTTCAGGCCATCTGGGCGTATACGTGCAAGTCACAGGGGACGTGATGGCTTGGCTTGGGCTCAGAGGCCTGACAATGGGGTTTCACCATGTTGGTCAGGCTAGTCTGGAACTCCTGACCTCGTGATCCACCTGCCTCAGCTCCCAAAGTGCTGGGATTACAGGTGTGAGCCACCACGCCCGGTCAAGAGTTGTTTTTTTAAAAAAAAATAGAGTTTACTCTCCAGCACTGCCCTTCCCTTCCTGGAGGTCAATGAATGGGGCTAATAGTTTCAACCCTCTAATCACTTGGTCTTTTTGATGACCAGCCCCATCCTGAGGCTACCTGCGGGCCCTGCCCTAAGTCACTCATTAGTGACTTAAGCTCAGATGTGATCAAATTGCTCCTTACGAATAACAAGACACTCCTATCTCTTAGGAAATGCCAGGACTTTTTTTTTTTTTTTTTTTTTTGGGAGATGGAGTCTTGCTCCGTTGCCCAGGCTGGAGTGCAGTGGCGTGATCTCGGCTCACTGCAACCTCTGCCTCCCGGGTTCAAGCGATTCTTCTGCCTCAACTCCTCGAGTTGCTGGGATTACAGGCATGCACCACTATGCCCAGCTAAATTTTTTTTTTTTTTTTTTCAGAAAGAGTTTTGTTCTTTTTGCCTAGGCTGGAGTGCAATGGCGCCATCTTGGCTCACAGCAAACTCCACCTCCTGGGTTCAAGCAATTCTCCCTGCCTCAGCCTCCCTAGTAGCTGGGATTACAGGCGCCTGCCACCATGCCCGGCTAATTTTTTGTATTTTTAATAGACATGAGGGTTCACCGTGTTGGCCAGGCTGGTCTCGAACTCCTGACCTCAGGTGATCCTTACCCGCCTCGGCCTCCACAAGTGCTGGGATTACAGGTATGAACCACCGTGCCTGGCCAATTTTTGTATTTTTATTTTTATTTTTTGAGACAGAGTTTCACTCTTGTTGCACAGGCTGGAGTATAATGGCGTGATCTCGGCCCACTGCAACCTCTGCCTCCTGGGTTCAAGAGATTCTCCTGCCTCAGCCTCCTGAGTACATGGGGATTATAGGCGTGCGCCACCATGCCTGGCTAATTTTGTATTTTTAGTAGAGACGGGGTTTCTCCACGTTGGTCAGGATGGTCTCGAACTCCTGACCTCAGGTGATCCACCCGCCTTGGCTTCCCAAAGTGCTGAGATTGCAGGCGTGAGCCACCGTGCCCAGCCAAGGAAATGTCAGGCGTTTTTAGGAGCCTTGTGCCAGGAACCAGGGACAAAGACCAAACACACATATGGCAATTAGGAAAACCAGAGCTCAAGTCAGCCTCCGTGTAAACTTGGACAAGTCTCTTAATCTTTTTGGGTCCTAGTTTCCTTAACCTTATCATTTATAGTTGAGTTAGGCAAGGGGTCTAAAGTCAAATCTCTGCAGTGGCCAGGCATATGACGTAAATGAAATGATCCTGACTTCAGAAAAAAGGAGGCAGAGTCTATTCTGCTTTCCTCTTAACTCAGGCTTAAGAAAACAACAGTGAGTAGCTGGGTGCTGTGGCTCACGCCTGTAATCCCAGCACTTTGGGAGGCGGGGACGGGCAGATCACCTGAGGTCAGGAGTTCGAGACCAGCCTGGTCAACGTGGTGAAACCTCGTCTCTATTAAAAACACAAAAAATTAGTCAGGCGTGGTGGCGGGTACTGGTAGTCCAAGCTACTTGGGAAGCTGAGGCAGGAGAATTGCTTGAACTCAGGAGGCACAGGCTGCAGTGAGCCAAGATCATGCCACTGCACTCCAGCCTGGATGGCAGAGTGAAACTCCATCTCAAAAAAAACAAAAGAAAAAGAAAAAGGAAAACAACAGTGCAAACCTAATAATAAACGGTCACCAAGGCTCTGCTTCAAAACCATAGAAGCCACAAGGAGCAGTGGGGACTAGAGTAAAGGGAAGAGGACATCTTCCAGGTGGGGCTGCCATAGCTTATCTGTAGCTAGGACTGTGGGCCAAGTGCTCCTAGGCCTTCTGAGTTTTCAACGGAATTAAGAAATACGGATTGTTTTTCCGATGTGAAATCTTCTGAAGTTTAAATTTTGGGCAACTAATTCAAAACTTAAGAAACAATCTCTGTGCCTTTCACTCCTGCAGGAGCCAAACTAAAACAAGTGTGGTTTGTTAGGCCACCTGTTTGTGATTTCTAGGTGGCAATGTAGTTCCTAGAGCAATGCTTCTAAAACAGATTTCTGGACTCATTGGGAATGTTAGCAGGTTCAGCCTCTTGAAACCATACACTAAGATTTCTGAGTATGCATTTTTGAGAGGAGACCATTCATAAGTTCCATTAGTGTCTTTCTTTTCTTTTCTTTTCGTCTTTCTTTCTTTCTTTTCTTTCTTTCTTTCTTCTTTTTTTTTTTTTTTTTTTTTGACAGAGTCTCACTCTGGCTCAGACTGGAGAGCAGTGGTGTGATCTTGGCTCACTACAACTTCCACCTCCGGGGTTCAAGCAATTCTCCTGCTTCAGCCTCCCGAGTAACTGGGATTACAGGCACATGCCACCATGCCTAGCTAATTTTTGTATTTTTGGTAGAGACAGGGTTTCACCACGTTGGCCCAGCTGGTCTCAAACTCCTGACTTGAAGTGATCCACTTGCCTCGGCCTCCCAAAGTGCTGGTTTTACAGGTGTGAGCCACCGTGCCAGGCCCCATTAGTGTTTTAAAAGGACTATTTGGCTGGGCACGGTGGCTCACGCCTGTAATCCCAGCACTTTGGGAGCCCAAGGCGGTTGGATCACAAGGTCAGGAGTTCAAGACCAGCCTGGCCAAGATGGTGAAACCCCATTTCTACTAAAAATACAAAAATTAGCCAGGCACGGTGGCAGGAGCCTGTAATCCCAGCTACTTGGGAGGCTGAGGCAGGAGACTCGCTTGAACTAGGGCAGCAGAGCTTGCAGTGAGCCAAGATCGAGCCACTGCACTCCAGCCTAGGCAACAGAGTGAGACTCTGTCTCAAAAACAAAACAAACAAACAAACAAAAAAACAAAAACACTCATGACCAGCAAACTTTTTTTTTTTTTTAAATACCCAGCTAGTTTTTGTATTTTTAGTAGAGATGGGGTTTCACTATGTTGGCCAGGCTGGTCTCGAACTCCTGACCTCATGATCCACCCGCCTCGGCCTCCCAAAGTGCTGGGATTACAGGCATGAACAACCACACTGGCCAGCAAACTTTTTAGCCCCAATAACTGGCCTTGCACAGCTTTTCAGCGCTAACTCCAGAATGCCAAGCAATTAATGATGATGTAATCAGACACTTGGTTCATTCACTCACTCATTCATTCCACAATAGTTAGTGAGCATTTACTATGTATGAGGCATCTTCTTGGCACCGGGAATATAGAAGCAAATGAAAGAGACAAAGTCTTTATTCCCATGAAATGGACATCCTAGTGGAGGGACACAGATAATATCTATAAAAGCAAAGAAGTACATATTATGTCAGGTGATGATGAGGGCTATGCAAGTTAAAAGCCTCAGGGTGGGGCAGAGGGACATTTTAAGTAAAGGCGTCTTGGTTAAGATTTTACCTGAGTAGACACCTAAGTAAAGGGAAAAGCCACTTAATCACCTGTAGAGAGCATTTCAGAGGAGGGGCAAGCAAAAACAAAGGCCCCTGGGCAAGTGTGTAAAGTGGTCTGTTTGTGGAGTTGCAAGGTTAACTATACCTCCTAGTGGGAATACAAGGAGGTTTTCAGAATTTTTTTTATAAGACAAAGAATTCCTTCAAATTGTTTGTAATGCTTTTCTCTCTTTATGTGATAAAGCCAAGTTTAGAAGCAGATCTTAGAAAAGAGGTCCACACCCACTAATGGCTCCTGCTATAAACTGGCTCCGTTGTTTCTGAGAGCTGTATAGTAAATTTAAGGAGAGCTATAAAATTGTTCACACTTGTTGACTTGGTTACTTCACTTTGTGGGATATTTCTACAAGGCAAAAGAGAGAGAAAAAAGACAACAATAAAGAAATCTACTAAGTTCTTAGCAAGACCTTGTATAATATATTTGGAAAATTTCAAGTAATTTTAATCCTCAAAAATGGAAAGAAAGCCAGGTGCAGTGGCTCGAGACTGTAATCCCAGAACTTTGGGAGGCTGAGGCAGGAGGATTGCTTGAGGCCAGGAGTTCAAGATCAGCCGGGGCAACATGGCAAGACTCTGCGTCTACAAAAAAAAAATTAAAAAATTAGCTGGGCATGGTGGCTCCCACCTGTAGTCCTAGCTTCTGGGGTGGCAGAGGCAAGAGGATCACTTGAGCCCAGTTAAGATTATAGTGAGCTATGATCATGTCACTATTGCACTCTAGCCTGGGCAACAGAGCAAGACCTTGTCTCAGGAAAAAAAAAAAAAAAAGAGGTAAAAATAAAAAAAAGAATTTCAATATGCTTAGATTCTATAAGACTGTTTAAATGACACATGGGAGCAATATTAATATGTGGAAATGTATTATATGAAAAATGTAAAGTAGAAAAAAACTAAGATACAGACCTGTGTATTTATGCTGATTAAAATTGTGGAAAATGTACCGATGCATATTAAAAAGACCAAAAGAGAATTTGGAGGGATATGAAATATTTATTGTCTAGCCAGCTTTTGTCTTAGTCTGTTTTGTGCTGCTATAACAGAATACCACAGACTGGGATCATTTATAAAGAACATATTTCTTTCTTACAGTTCTGAAGGCTGAGAGGTCCAAGGGACCAGCATCTGGTGAGGGTCTTCCTTGCTTCATCATTTCATGGTGGAAAGAAGAAAAGCAAGAAAGTCCAAGAGAGAGAAAGAGGGGGCTGAACTAGCTTTTATGACAAACCTACTCTTGCAGTAATGAACCCACTCTTGAGATAACGTTAATCCATTCATTAGGACAGAGCTCTCATGACCTAATTACCTCTTAAAGGTCCCACCTCTCAACAGTGTTGAACTGGGGGCTTATGTTTCCAACACGTGAACTTTGGGGGCACAGTCAAACCATAACAGCTTCCTTTTTGGATGGAGTTGCTTACGTTCATAATTAATCTTTACTTTTTTTTTCTCTTGTTGGATTACATGGCAGATGTTTTTGTTTTGTTTTGTTTTGTTTTAAGACAGAGTCTCACTCTGTCGCCCAGGCTGGAGTGCAATGGCGCAAGCTCAGCTCACTGCAACCTCCGCCTCCTGGGTTCAAGTAATTCTCCTGCCTCAGCCGCTCAAGTAGCTGGGATTACAGGTGCCCACCACCATGCCCAGCTAATTTTTGTATTTTTAGTAGAGATAGGGTTTCACCAGGTTGGCCAGGCTGGTCTCGAACTCCTGACCTCAGGTGATCCACCCACCTTGGACTCCCAAAATGTTGAGATTACAGGCGTGAGCCACCGCGTCCAGCAGCCGATTTTTTTTTAAAGTGAGATTTTATCCTCTGTAAAGTACAATCCCTTGATGATGATGCTCTAAATGACAGAACTATTTGCATGCACTGAGCTTGCCATGCGAGGGTGAGAAATTTGTATACCGGGTCCACAGGAGACACGGTCTGGCTAGCACTATAGTTGGAGCTATTACAGCAAGGTGCTTTTGTTGTGGTTTTAGTATCAGCACTATAGAACAGATACACTGACTGGGACAGAAGACCAACAGCAGCTCGAGTGGAGGCAGCTAGCTCTGTAAACTGACATTTCCACTGTGGCAGGGTGTAGAAGTGCTGAAGCAATTCCCTGCTGAGACAGTTCCCATACCTTTCTAGATGCAGCCTGGCATCCAATTTCATGCTTGTCTCTTTGTGGGAAGAGGGACACCCCAGCTCATAGAGGTTTCCAAAGCAAAATACTATCTAGCCCAGACTGAACATTGAGACTATTTTTTTTTTTTTTGAGACTGGATCTCACTCTGTCATCCAGGCTGGCGTGCAGTGGTGCGATCATGGCTCACTGCAACCTCAACCACCTGGGCTCAAGCTATCCTCTCACTTCAGCCTCCTGAGTAGCTAGGTCTACAGGTGCACGTCACCGTGCCTGGCTAATTTTTTTATTGTTTTTGTAGAGACAAGGTCTCACTATGTTGCCCAGTCTGGTCTCAAACCCCTAAGCTCAAGTGACTCTTCTACCTCAGCTTAACAAACTGCTGGGATTACAGGTTCAGCTATCTCACCTGGCCTAAGATATATCGTTGTTATTCAGGTCAATGGCCGCCTCCAGAAAGCTGCCTTCCCCGGCCATTCAATCTGAAGTTGCACCGACCCAGTGATGCAGATGCATCATCCTGTTTTGTGCTCTGCATACCATCTTAGAGAATTTTTTTTTTTTTTTGAGATGGAGTCTCACTCTATCAGCAGGCAGGAGTGCAGTGGTGAGATCTTGGCTCAATGTAACCTCCGCCTCCCGGGTTCAAGCGATTCTCATGCCTCAGCCTCCTGAGTAGCTGGGATTACAAGCATGTGCCACCACACCTGGCTCATTTTTGTATTTTTAGTAGAGACAGGGTTTCACTATGTTGGCCAGGATGGTCTGGATCTCTTGACCACATGATCCACCTTCCTCGGCCTCCCAAAGTGCTGGGATTACAGGCGTGAGCCACCATGCCCAGCCCATCTTACAGAATTTTGTTGATCTATTTGTTTACTTATTGTCTGTCTTTCCCCATTCTGATGTAGGCTCCTTGAGGAAAGGAACAATGTATTATTCCCTTTGGTGCCTAGAAATATTTCTGGCTCATTTTAGTTCCTTAGTATATATATTTTTAGTGACTGAATAAAGATACTTGCACCAGTCAGCAACCTGCTGTCTCTAGGCCTCCGTGGTGTTATAGCTAAAGCCACACTGAACAAAGGATTTCACACTGGAAAATGAGACCACAGAACCTGGCTGCTGCACTCATTAGAGTCTCAACAGGCATGTCACATTTCCTGAGGCCCCAGGAAAATAGTTGCTCTGGAGAAGGCAGATGACTGCCTTGCTTCTCCTTGGAGAGTTCCCCATATTCCCATATCCCTTCTTCTTCCTTCTCTCTTCCTGGCCCTTTGCTTCTCTGGGGAATGAGGGATAGAAGATAGGTAAGTCATGGCAGACAGACAGGAAATCTCATATTTTTTTCTCTAGCAGCTAAAGGGCCCCTAGAGAGGAAAATCACATGTATGGAGGGCAGGATGGAGGAAATGGTAATGGTCACTTAAGACATGCAGATTTGTGATCGTTTAATTCTTGCATCATTTTAAACATACAGTGCACAAAATAGCTCAAGATGAAGGATGTAACACACCTCCTTGAGTCCATAAAACCAGAACCTAGCATCTGAACATCAGTGGGAAGCTAAGGCGCTTGCAATGCTATTATCAACATGAAGTTGGTTTCTGTTGTGTGGACACAGAAAAACTGTCTTACTTGTACTTGCTATAGCAAGTCTTCAACTGCATACCTGGGGTTATTACTCTGGAATGTCTGATACACTGCTTCACTGTGTGAGGATTTTAAAAGTGTAGCCATTGATGGCCCAGCATGGTGGCTCCTGCCTATAATCCCAAGCACTTTGGGAGGCCAAGGTGGGAGGTTCACTTGAGGCCAGGAGTTTGAGGCTGCAGTGAGCTATGATTATGCCACTGCAGTCCAGCCTGGGTGACAAAGTGAGACTTTGCTTCAAAAAAAAAAAAAAAAAATGAAGGCTAAAAATCCATCTCTTTCCATGTGTTCTTGTGGAGAGCCAAAACTTTCAAGGATTTTTTCTAGTCAGTCATTTTCTGACAATCTAAACTGAATTGTTTAAAATATACATGTCTTTGGTAATAATCACTGGATTATTTTATTTTTTGAGATGAAGTCTTGCTCCATCTGGAGTGCCCAGGCTGGAGTGCAGTGGCGCGATCTCACCTCACTGCAACCTCCCCATCCCGGGTTCAAGTGATTCTCCTGCCTCAGCCTCCTGAGTAGCTGGGTTACAGGTGCGCGTCACCATGCCTGGCTAATTTTTGTATTTTTAGTAGAGACAGGGATTTTGCTATGTTGGCCAGCCTGGTCTCGAACTCCTAACCTCACGTGATCCCCCTGCCTTGGCCTCCCAAAGTGCTGGGATTACAGGCGTGAGCCACCGTGCTTGGCCTAATTACTGAAATTTATTGAGGGCTTACTCTGTGCCTGACACTGTTCTAAATACTTTACATTAACTCAACAACCCCAAGAGGTAGGTACTATTCTTCTTTTTTATTGATGAAACAAATGAGGGACAGAGAAGTTAAGCAACTTATCCAAGGTTAACTAGTTAGACATGATAGAGTATGGAAATGGACCCAGGAAATTTGGCTCTAGCATCCATGTTCTTTTTCTCTTTTTCGAGACAGAGTCTCACTCTGTTGCCCAGGCTGGAGTGCAGTGGTATGGTCTCGGCTCGCTGCAAACTCTGCCTCCTGGGTTCAAGCTGTTCTCTGCCTCAGCCTCCCAAGTAGCTGGGATTATAGGCACCTGCCACCACGCCCAGATAATTTTTTGTATTTTTAGTAGAGATGGGGTTTCACCATCTTGGCCAGGCTGGTCTTGAACTCCTGATCTTGTGATCTACCTGCCTCGGCCTCCCAAAGTGCTGGGATTACAGGCATGAGCCACCATGCCCAGCCCATGTTCTTAACCATTACTGCTCTACAGGGCACCTAAAGATTTAGCTTTATTATATAGAGTCACATTACTCATGTACAACCTTCTCTGGTACAGTTAGCTGCTGAGTTAAGTGGGCAGTGAAACCAAATGCTGACAAGGATGTGGAGCAACAGGAACTCTCATTCACTGCTGGTGAGAATGCAAAATGGTACAGCTTTGGAAGTCAGTTTCGCGGTTTCTTACAAACTAAACATATCCTTACAAATAATCCAGCAATCATGTACCTTGATATTTACCCAAAGGAACTTTTATGTCCATACAAAAACTTGCATATGGATGTTTATAGCAGCTTTCCTTATAATTGCCAAACTTTGGAGGCAACCAAGATGTTTGTTAGTAGGTGAATAGATAAATGGATGCACCGTGGTACATCCAGACAGTGGAATGCTATTCAGTGCTAAAAAGAAATGAGGTATCAAGCCATGAATATACATGGAGTAATATGCATGGAGGAACCTTATATGCATATTACTAAGTGAAAAAAGCCAATCTGAAAAGGCTACATACTGTATGATTCTAACTATATGACATTTGGAAAAAGCAAAATATGAAGACAGTAAATGATCAGTGGTTGCCAGGGGTACGGGGTGCTGAAAGAGGAATGAATAGTTGGAGCACAGAGGATCTTTAAGTCAGTGAAACTATTCTGTATGATTCTATAATGGTGGATACATGTCATTATACTTTTGTCCAAACCCATAGACTGTGCAACACCAAGAGAGAACCCTAAGGTAAACTATGGACTTTGGGTGAAAATGATGTGTCAAAGTAGGGTCATCAGTTGTAACAATTACCACTCTGGTGAGGGGTGTTGATAATGGGAAAGGCTGTGTATCAGGGCAGGGGATATTTGGGAACTCTCTGTACCCTCTGCTCAATTTCACTATGAGCCTAAAACCGTTCTAAAATATAAAGTCTATTAAATAACATAGCTAGGACCGGGCACGGGTGGCTCACGCTTGCAATCCCAGCACTTTGGGAGGCCGAGGCAGGCAGATCACCTGGGGTCAGGAGTTCGAGACCAGACTAGCCAACATGGTGAAATCCTGTCCCTATTAAAAATACAAAAATTAGCCGGGCATTGTGGTGCATGCCTGTAGTCCCAGCTCGGGAGGCTGAGGCACCAGAATTGCTTGAACCTGGGAAGTGGAGGTTGCAGTGAGAGGAGACTGCACCCCTGCACTCCAGCTTGGGCGACAGAGAGAGACTCTGTCTCAAAACAACAACAAAAAAACAAAACATGTCCGGGCATAGGTAAGAAATAAGAAGGTACATGGTGGAATGTGCAGCCCAGATCTCCCTTTAAGATCGAGGCACTCATTCCCCAGCTTCCCAGAGTGTTGTTTGCTGGTGGCTCACAGCCTAGTCCCTCTCCAGACCATGCCTTTGGCAAAGGGAGCTGCTTCACCCAAAGTTATCCCCCATCCATAGATGGCCATCATTCAATGATGAGGTACAAATGGGGGTAAAAAGGCCCTGTCCTTTGCCTCAATATGGCAAAATTCTGAAATCCATCCCATATGCTGAGCGTGCCGTCAATTTGGCTGAGGCCTCCATCACAGCTCAGCTTTCTCCTGCCCCGTCCCACTTTCTTCACTTCTGTTTTTCCCCCCTCTTTTTTCCCTCTCACTTCTTTATGAGAGTTCTCACCAAGAGCTTTTTATCAATACACTTCCTGCAGTTTAATCTCTCTCTTAGAGTCTGTTTCTGGGGAAATCTGATTTAAGAAAGATGCACGGTGGAAGGGCCTTCTAGGTAGCGGAGACAGCACAAGCCAAGTTGTCTTGGCAGTGTCTAGCAGCAAGCTGTGTGCAGGTGAGATGGATTCACTTGGGCATGGTGGGAAGGGAGGCGCCAGTGGGAGGCAGGGGCCAGATCACTGAGGGCCTTGTATGCAGGTTGAGGAGTCGGTTTCATCCTCAGCTTTTTCATTCATTTATTCATTCAACAAACATGAGTTTTGTGTCTGCTATGTGTAAGGCACAGTCCAAGGCCCTGGGAATACAATGGCAAAAAAGTGCAAACAAAATATATACATGCATTAATCTCTTTCCTAAGAGATCAAAGTGAGTGTAAAATGAAATAACATAAAGTACTGACCGCAGCGACTGCCACGTAGCAGGTGCTAAGTACTTGCTAAGACCTCTCCCTTCTCCCTTCTCTCCCTGGGGGTAATTTGTAGGGCACCTAAAGTTGCAAAGGAAGCAGAGGCAGGAAATTAGAGCTTAGACTCAAGCCAGAGAACCTGGGACTATATCCACTGAAGTGCTGGAGTGTGTTGTACTGGCTCACAGAAGCTGATGCTAAATTTTCAGGAATTTTTGCAAGCCATCGTTAAACACAGCCATTGTCAAAAGCTAAGTTATATAAACTTAAAATTAAACAAATTACATTAAAAACAAAGGTAACAAATCCTCAGAATGTATCGCCTCCTGATTATTTTCCTACATATACCATTATGTGCGCACTTAAGATTATTTACACCTATTGTATCTGTATGGTGGAAATACTATAGAATGATAGGATTGCACTTCTCCCAACTCCACATTTGGAGACATCACACTGGTAGCTTGAAATTAACCATGGTGGAAGTAATTACACCAAGGAAATCTGCAAACGCTACAAATCTGGAGAGATCGTTGTTAAATACTTACCAGCACAGGTCTGGCTATATCCCTTTGCTTATTGCGAACAAAAATGACCTTTGGGCAACTAGAGCTCTGAGGAGTGGTTTCATGCATTAGGTATTTTGGGGCTTTCTACACAGAGAGGCAGTTGAGGGTGATGGAGGGGTGCAGATGCTGGAGCCTTCTGCCTGGGTGCCAAGCTAGGCTCTTCCCTTGACTAGCTATGTGATGTCAGGTGGGTGACTCACTCTCACTGTGCTTCAGGTTCTTCTGTAAACAGAAGTGCTCCCAGCTAGGGTTCCTGGGAGGATGAAATGAGAAATGTTTTGTAAAGCACTAGAACAGTGCCTGGCTCATATTAAATGCTCTGTAATTGTTAGCTATTACTATTGAGTTAGCCAACAGATGAAAGAGTACTTTGGAAATCACGCTGACAGCCTGGACAAGCCAAGATGGCTCAGCAGTCTCTTGGCCTCACTTCAAGAGTATGAGCAGAGAAGGGTGGTGTTCCTCGTCTAGGGAGCCTTCCCTAACCCTCCTGTTGGGGCCTACTTCTAGGAGCCCTGATAATGTCAGAACTTCTGCCATCATAATACATGTCATATTGTCCTTGCCTATTTACTTGTCTGTCTCCCCAGCTAGACTGTAAGCTGGTAGAGGAGAAGCTGGGTCTATCTTTTCCACCCTGCCTGTCTCCAGCACCCAGCACAGTGCCATGCACATGGCGACTGATCAATAATATTATTGAATAAGTGTCCTAAATGAATGCTTATTTGCCGTTTGGAGAGTCTTCCAGGTGGAAGCTCTGTGAGGGCAGGGACTAGATCTGTTTTTCTAAGCCATTGTTTGTTGGTGCCTAGTTGAGAACTGGCACGTGATAAACTTGCTTACCCTTCAATGAATTCATTCTAAATACCAGAATGCTGACACTCTCCCTTCTACTTTTTGAGCTTGCCTTTCCCAGTTGCCTAAAAAGGCAAAAGAGAGAATATCGAGGATGTAACATCTATGCTGGGTTAGTCCTGAATATGCAAGTATGGTAGCCTAGTAGTTAAGATTGTGCACGTTAGAATAAGATTGAACAACTTAGGGTTGAATTGTGCCTGTCACTGACTAGCTGTGCATTTTGGGACAAGTCATTTAAATTCCCTGAGTGTCAGTTTCCTCATCTATGCAATGAGGATAATAATATACCCACATGGCTATGAAATAACTGTAACAAAATAGTTCATTCTAAATTAAGAAAGAAATGAATCACAAATAGTTCATTTTTAATTTAAATTATTTAAAATACAAATATGTCATAAAATAATTTTTTAAAAATTATTTATTTATTTATTTTGAGATGGAGTTTCACTCTTGTTGCCCAGGCTGGAGTGCAATGGTACAATCTCAGCTCACCACAACCTCCGCCTCCCAGGTTCAAGCGATTCTCCTACCTCAGCCTCCCGAGGAGCTGGGATTACAGGCGTGCACCACCACGCCCAGCAATTTTTTGTACTTTTAGTAGAGATGGGATTTCTCCATGTTGGTCAGGCTGATCTCAAACTCCTGACCTCCGGTGATCCGCCCGCCTTGGCCTCCCAAAGTGTTGGGATTACAGGCGTGAGCCACCGCACCCGGCCTAAAATCATTTTTAAATAAATTAATACAAACAATGTCTGTAAAGCACCAAGTCTCGTAGATGGAGCTCAATTAATGGTAACCATTATATTATAAGGAAGTCTGGAAAAAGAGAGTGTCTCTTTCCCATAGGGATGTATTTCTTTTGTAACAAATCAAGGGCAAGCTGCCTTTTCTGAATTTTCTTTAGTGATCTTGGCACTTAAAATCATACTTATTTTGGAAGCTGAGGTAAAATACACTTCAGAAGGAATCATAAAAATGCTGGAAAACAGGGAGAAGTAGAATATATAATTCAGGTGGATGTGTGAATGCTAGAAAGAAGATGGGCAGGGGGCAGAGGTTGGATGATAATGGGTGAGTCTAGGGTAATCTGATGAAGGCAATGTTTGTTGTTGCGGTTGTTATTTGAGATGGTCTTGCTTTGTTGCCCAGGCTAGAGTGCAGTGACGTGATCACCGTTCACTGTAACCTCAATCTCCAGGGCTCAATCAATCCTTCCACCTCAGCCTCCTGAGTAGCTGGGACTACAGGAATGTGCCACTACGCCTAGTTAATTTTCATAGTTTTTGTAGAGATGGGGTTTCACCATGTTGCCTATGCTGGTCTTGAACTCCTGGGCTCAAGCGATCCACATGAAAGGCAGCATTTTTCCATGATGTCCTATATTTGGCACCAGCTGCTACAAACCTTGTTGTACATGTCTCTTGGTGCACATATGCAAACCTTTCTATTGAGTGTATACCAAGAGGAATTATGCAGCTTTAGCAGGTATTTCCAAACATGTTTCTAATGTGGTCAGACCAATTTGCCCCCCTCCTCAGCAGTGGGAGTTCCTTGGTGAGTGCTCCTTGTCAGCACATGGTATTATCAGTCTTTTAAATTTTAGCCATTTGGGGGAGTCTCTAGTGGCATTTTACCATGGTTTTATTTGCATTTCCTTCACGACTAATGAAATTGAGCACCTTTTCATATGTTAAATGGCCATAATCTTCTGGATATTTTTTCGGTGAAGTTTATGTTTAAGTCTTTGCTCTTTTTCTATTTGGTTGCATGTCTTTTTTGTATTGATTTGTAGGAATTCTTCATCTTGTCTGAATCAAATACCTTTCTTGGTGATTGCAATTGTCAATACCTTTTCTAACTCTGAGGCTTGCCTTTTTACTCCTTTAATGATGTCTTTTGATCTTCTGATGACTACTAAAGATACACAAAAATGAATTCCAGCTGAATGTAGATCTAAATGTGAAATGAAAAACAATAAAGCTGCTAGGTGAGGAGAATGTCTTCCTGACCCTGAAGTAGACAGAAATCAAAGCACTGACCTAAACGGAGAGGTTGATAACTTAGACTACATTACAATTAGGAACTTCTGTGCATCAAAATACATCATTAAGAGAATGTGGGCCAGGTGCGGTGCCTCACGCCTATAATCTCAGCATTTTGGGAGGCTGAGGCAGGAGGATTGCTTGGGGTCAGGAGTTCGAGACCAGCCTGGGAAACATAGCAAGATCCCCATCTCTATCAAAAAAAAAAAAAAAAGAGAGAGAGAGAGACAATGTGTTCTATGTATACCAACATACCATGTTGTACACATTAAATGTATGCAATAAAAGACTGAGTGTGTGTTTTAAGCACTTGGATTATATTATTCAATCCTTTCAAACAAGAATATCCCAAATAAGTATCCTCGTTTTACAGATGAGGAATTGAGGCCCAGAGAGGTTAATGAACTTGTCCTGGGCCACACAGCTTACAAGTGGAGAACTTAGGTGTGAGCTCAGGTCTGTGTGAGTCTAGAGACTGAGCTCCCAACTCCTGGCAGTGCTGCTCCACCTTTACCAGCTCCAGAGTGTGCCCTGTGGGGCCTGGCACAGTGTTGGGCTCCAGACATTCACTGTTGGCTTCCTGTGGTACCTTCCTGTGTGTATAGAGATCACTTCACATGGCCTTGCATTCATCCTCGTAAATTATTCATTTTCTCCACCACCGTTTTGTAAACTTGGCCTGCTGTGAACAGTTGCTCTTTGGTCTTCTTTTTAGTCCTGAGGAAGCAGGACTCCTTCTCCTGGTGTGATTTGCTGAGGCTGCACCTGGAAAAGACTCAGAGCCTTGGACAAACATTCTGTGCCTGTAGCTTCTCTGATCTGACAAGATGAATGGCAAAGCCTTGGGTAGCAGGGGAAAGGCAGCCTTGACGAGTTGTGTCAGGTCTGCCAGGCTCTGTACTGTGTACTCACGGCCTGCAGGAGTTGGTAAGGTCCCCGTATATGCATGACCACTTCCCCTTCCTTCTCTCCTTCCTCCTCTTTCTGGCTGCCAGAGGCCCTCCCATGGAGCTGGACATCTGTGCACTGAGAAGGGCCCTGTGCAGGCTGCTTTTGTGGGAAGCAGAATCACAGCAGGGTTTGGGGTATGTGGGTAAGTCACTTGGAGTTGCTGCCGGGGTCACCACAGGCCTAGGTACCTGCTATGCATGCCTATGATAATAGAAGCTAGGAATTATTCGGTCCTGCAAAAAGTCTTGTGAGAGTTAGGCAATGCCAAGGTTCCACCCCCTCCCCACCACCCCATTTCGGCACCCCAAGGGGATCTGGCTCCCATGATCACCACATGCCAATATCCTCATAGTGAAAGGAAGTGTAGATCTGCCTCCAGGAGCAGATGTGAGCCAGTAGTGCTAATCACAGCGGCTATGATTTAGTGAGAATTTGTGTGTCAGGCACATTGCTGAACCTTTTATATACATTTTCTCAATCCTTATAAACCCCAGTGAAATACAAACTATCATCATTTCTAATTCACAGTTGCAGAAATGAATGCTTGGAAAAACTAATTTTTGCTTTCTCAATGCATCACATCACTGCTAAGTGGCCAAGTCAGGACTCAAACCCATATTGTCTGACTGTAAAGCTCAGAGAAATGTTTACTATGAAGCTACTGAGACTTAAGCCCCGGCACCTCCATTTGCATAAGTCCCTTCCCAAGTGCTAAGTGGATCCTAGCAATGTGTTCACATGGTCATATGTGTTTTTGTTGTTGTTTTTTTGTTTCATGTTTCTTGTAGAGATGGATGCTGTTCAGGCTGGTCTTGAACTCCTGGGCTCAAGCAATCCACCTGCCTTGGCCCCCTAGAGTTTTGGGATTACAGGTGTGAGCCACCATGTGTGGCTGGTCATATAATTTTTAAAAATCTGTGGCTGGGCACGGTGGCTCACATCTGTAATCCCAGCACTTTGGGAGGCCGAGGTGGGTGGATCACCTGAGGTCAGGAGTTTGAGACAAGCCTGGCCAACATGGTGAAAACCCGTCTGTACTAAAAATATAAAAATTAGCTAGGCATGGTGGTGGGCACTTGAAATCCCAGCTACTCGGGAGGCTGAGGCAGGAGAATCGCTTGAACCTGGGAGGCAGAAGATGCAGTGAGCCGAGATTGCACTAGTGCACTCCAGCCTGGGCGACAAGAGTGAAACTCCATCTCGGAAAAAAAAAAAAAAAAAAAAATTTTGTAAAACTAGGCCAGGTGCACAGTGACTCATGACTGTAATCCCAGTACTTTGGAAGGCTGAGGCAGGAGGATAGCTGGAGCCTAGGAGTTCGAGACCAGCCTGGACAACATACCAAGACCTCGTCTCTATGAAAAATAATAAAAAATTTTAAAAATTTGCAAAACTAGAAAATTTGCAATCTTAGTAGTTTGTTTCCTTACTCAGTTAAAACTACTGTTTCTTTCCATTCTGCCTTGCTTTTCTCCAATTTCCTCCAGTGTTGGGTGGAGCTGGGCATTTTGCGGATAGGCTAAGAGGAATCTGAGTTGGGATATCTTCAGTTTGAGTTGGTGGGATATATTAGTGTGCCTTGCAGTCCCTTCTGAGATTAAGTTATTGCTAGCTGTCCCACTGCAGGATGACTTCCTGGAATATCCTGCTGCCCACTGTGCCCACATGCCTGTGTCCTGACTTGATGTACAGAACTGTTAACAGAAAGGGATCCCAATCAGACCCCAAGAGAGGGTTCTTGGACCTCACACAAGAATTAGGGGTGAGTCCATGCAGTAAAGTGAAGACAAGTTTATTAGGAAATTAAAGGAATAAAAGAATGACTACTCCATAGGAAGAGCAGCAGCTTGGGCTGCTGGACTAAGGATACGTATAGTTATTTCTTACTTATATGCTAAACAAGGGGTGGATTATTCATTAGTTTTCTGGGAAAGGGGTGGACAATTCCTGTAACTGAGGGTTCCTCCCCCTTTTAGACCATATAGGGTAAATTCTTGATATTGCCATTGCATTTGTAAACTGTCATGGCGCTGGAGGGAGTGTCTTTCTGCATGCTAATGAATTATGATTAGTGTATAATGAGCACTGAGGATGATCAGAGGTCACTTTCCTCACCATCTCGGTTTTGGTGGGTTTTGGCCAGCTACTTTAACTGCAACCTGTTTTATCAGCAAGGTCTTTATGACCTGTATCTTCTGTCAGCCTCCTATCTCATCCTGTGACTTAGAATGCCTTAACCTCCTGGGAATGCAGCCCAATAGGTCTCAGCCTCATTTACCCAGCCCCTATTCAAGATGGAGTTGCTCTGGTTTAAACGCCTCTGACAAAGCCAGACGCTGGACTACAAAACTGAATGTGGCCTGTGTCTTCAGCACAGAGAGTATGTGGGAAGTGGAGGAGAAATGAGAAATCTTTTTTTTCTTTTTTTTTTTTTTTGAGACAGAGTCTCACTCTGTCGCCCAGGCTGGAGTGCAGTGGCACAATCTTGGCTCACTGCAAGCTCCGCCTCCCAGGTTCACGCCATTCTCCTGCCTCATCCTCCTGAGTAGCTGGGACTACAGGTGCCCACCACCACACCCAGTTAATTTTTTGTATTTTTAGTAGAGACAGAGTTTCACCTTGTTAGCCAGGATGGTCTCGATCTCCTGACCTCGTGATCCGCCCGCCTTGGCCTCCCAAAGTGCTGGGATTATAGGCGTGAGCCACCATGCCCATTGAAATGAGAAATCTTAAAAAAAACCAAACAACTATTACTAATCACAACCAGTTTTTATCTTTCTATTCTCTATATAGGCAATGATATCACAAAACTGTTGCCATATGAAAATGAAGAGGCAATCAAAGAATATGCACTGAAAAAATATAGAAAAATAATTTATAGAAATGTGTCAGGCAGTTAATAAAAAGGATTGTTATTTTTCTGGATTTTGTTAAAATTTGTGAATTTATCAGTTTTTTTAAAATGCGTAAATTGTGAGGACCTCTTTTCTCATTCTAGTTACTTTTACGTTAATTTTGTGTTTGTAATTTTGTATTATTTTTCTTAAAGAGGACCCGTCTTCCCAAACCTTGAGGTGACCCTGCTCAAACTCATGCTCTTAGCAATGGTGACACAGTGTCTGCCTCGGAAGCTTCCAGTCCTCAGTTTGGAAAGAGAAATGCCCAAGCCTGAGGGTACTTTAGAAAGTACTGTAAGCCGGGAGCGGTGGCTCACACCTGTCATCTCAGCACTTGGGAGGCCGAGGCGGTTGGATCACCTGAGGTCAGGAGTTCAAGACCAGCCTGACCAACATGGTGAAACCCCATCTCAACAAAAATATAAAAATTAGCCAAGCATAATGGCAGGTGCCTGTAATCCCAGCTACTCGGGAGGCTGAGGTGGGAGAATCGCTTGAACCCAGGAGGTGGAGGTTGCAGTGAGCCAAGATCGTGTCTTTGCACTCCAGCCTGGGTGACAGAGTGAGAATCTGTCTCAAAAAAAAAAAAAAAAGAAAAAGAAAAAGAAAAAGAAAATACTATGGTTGTCTTCTACTGAAGGTGGGAGGCTGAAGAGGGGGCAATAGCACAGCAAAGCCCCTCAGAGAGGGTTAGCAGCAGCAGACTGCAGTGGGGGTGGGATATGTCCAATGTTTGCAAAGAGCAAAAGGGGTGGGGCAACTTATACATCACTTAGCCCTTTGTAATGTATGGTGGCTTTCCTTATAGCCCCACCCAAACCTGAATTTGCTGATGCAGTTTCCTTGGAAATCTCAGTCCAAAGGGCATTTTTGGTGCCACCTTGAAGGTGAGGAAGCAGATGTTAGGGAGTGGAGCTGCTTCAGGTGCTGTCTGTTCAGCCTCCCTGAGAGCTCTGGAGTAGAGGAGGCAGAAATATGGCTGAAGGCAGGTGACTGCTGGTGCACTTGGAGTCAAGGTTGGAGCTTATCCTGTCCTATCTACTTCATTCTGGCCCCAGGGAGTTCCAGTGGCTGCAGGGCAGGAGCCTGGCTTTCCTTCAAGAATGTGTCTCCTTTTGTGGTTTTCATTTCTCCACCTGGTGTCTGGACTGCAAATTACAGGAGAGGATGATGCATTTGCTCTCCCCACCGAACAAAGGGATTGCAGTAGCAGTAGGTGGCATGGTCTTATCCAACTCCAGGCATGCTGCTGCCCCTGGCTCCCCTTGGAGCCACCAGGGCTCAAGCTGGTCACTGTCTTGGAGGAAGCTTCCCCTGGGGACAGGCTCACAGAGAAGGCTGCTTTGTTCAGAGGCTGTGGTGTAGGGAGAGGAAGGATGTGCCTACTGACTCCAAGTTTTTTTTTAAATTACTGTGCAGAGAGAGCACATTCTCATCTGGAATTCTAATAAATGGAGAGACAGAGGGAGGCAAATAACCACAGTTCTCAGAGTAGCCTAGCCAGGCTGCCCTGAGGTCTCCCCCAGAATTATCTGTTTCTGGCTTATGAGTGCAGGACCCTTGTTCCTCAGCCTGTCTTTATCATCCCCTCTGAATGAACAGCATGCACAGGTGTGAATGCATGCACACAGCCCATGCTACCTGCCCATCAGACCATAGGCACATTCCATTCCCTTCTATAACAATATATACACAGCAAACTTCTATACACAGTATACAGTATACATACATAATCAAATAGGTAGTATTTGGGACAATGCTGAATTGGGCTGAATTGTCTTCTTCCCAAATTCGTATGTTGAAGTCCCAACCCCGCAGTGCCTCAGAATGTGATTGAGTTTGGAGATAGGGTCTTTAAGGAGGTATTCGAGTTGAAAAGAAGTCATTAGTATAGGTACTGGATGGGGTTGGACTACCTCCTAATCCAGCATGACTGGTTTCCTTATAAGAAAGGGAAATTAGGACACAGATATGTAAAGAGGGAAGACTATCTGAAGACACAGAGAGAAGATGGCCATGCACAAGCCAAGGAGAGAGTCCTGAGAAAAACCCAACCCTCCCTGACACTTGGATCTCAGACTTCTGGTCTCCAGATCTGTAAGAAAAGAAATTTGGTTGCTTAAGCCACCCAGTCTGTGGTATTTTGTTACAGCAGCCCTAGCAAACAATACAGATAATGATAGCAACTTCATTGCATCAGATATCAACAAGCAGGAAAAGGTATACCTCAAGACTTATGTTGCCTTGTTTTAACACACTGATTATTAGGAATTTCACATTTGGGGCTTTGGAGCCACTGGTCCATGCCAGGCCTGTTGTTTCCTTCAGAACTCGCAATGACTTTTGCTAAAGTTATCTGCACCCCAGCATCCTCTGGTGAATTCCTGTACTTGCCATCATCCCTGATACACTAGGGGTTTTGAAGCCTGTGGACTTTTCTTTTCTCCCTCATTCAACAGCCTGATCATGAAGCAGGAAAGAAAGGAAAATGTGTGCCACGCCTGACTGGTTTTTGTGTTTTTTTGGTGGAGACGGGGTTTCGCTGTGTTGGCCGGGCTGGTCTCCAGCTCCTAACTGCGAGTGGTCCGCCGGCCTCGGCCTCCAGTGGTGCCGGGATTGCGGACGGAGTCTGGTTCACTTGGTGCTCGGTGGTGCCCAGGCTGGAGTGCAGTGGCGTGGTCTCGGCTCACTGCGGCCTCCACCTCCCAGCCGCCTGCCTTGGCCTCCCGGGGTGCCGAGATTGCAGCCTCTGCCTGGCCGCCACCCCATCTGGGAAGTGGGGAGCGTCTCTGCCTGGCCGCCCATCGTCTGGGACGTGGGGAGCCCCTCTGCCTGGCTGCCCAGTCTGGAGGGTGAGGAGCGTCTCTGCCAGGCCGCCATCCCATCTAGGAAGTGAGGAGCGCCTCTTCCCAGCCGCCATCCCCTCTGGGAGGTGAGGAGCGTCTCTGCCCGGCCGCCCCGTCTGAGAGGTGGGGAGACCCTCCGCCTGGCAGCCGCCCCATATGAGAAGTGAGGAGCCCCTCCGCCCGGCAGCCACCCCGTCTGGGAAGTGAGGAGCGTCTCTGCCCGGCAGCCACCCCATCCGGGAGGGAGGTGGGGGTCAGCCCCCGCCAGGCCAGCCGCCCCGTCCGGGAGGGAGGTGGGGGGGGTCAGACCCCCGCCCGGCCAGCCGCCCCGTCCGGGAGGGAGGTGGGGGGGTCAGCCCCCCGCCCGGCTAGCCGCCCCCTCCGGGAGGTGAGGGGCGCCTCTGCCCGGCCGCCCCTACTGGGAAGTGAGGAGCCCCTCTGCCCAGCCACCACCCTGTCTGGGAGGTGTACCCAACAGCTCATTGAGAACGGGCCATGATGACAATGGCAGTTTTGTGGAATAGAAAGGGGGGAAAGGCCGAGAAAGGATTGAGAAATCGGATGGTTGCCATGTCTGTGTAGAAAGAGGTAGACACGGGAGACTTTTCATTTTGTTCTGTACTAAGAAAAATTCTTCTGCCTTGTGATCCTGTTGATCTGTGACCCTACCCCCAACCCTGTGCTCTCTGAAACATGTGCTGTGTCCACTCAGGGTTAAATGGATTAAGGGTGGTGCAAGATGTGCTTTGTTAAACAGATGCTTGAAGGCAGCATGCTCGTTAAGAGTCATCACCACTCCCTAATCTCAAGCACCCAGGGACACAAACACTGCGGAGGGCCGCAGGGTCCTCTGCCTAGGAAAACCAGAGACCTTTGTTCACTTGTTTATCTGCTGACCTTCCCTCCACTATTGTCCTATGACCCTGCCAAATCCCCCTCTGTGAGAAACACCCAAGAATGATCAATAAAAAAAAAAAAAAAAAAAAAAAAAAGGAAAATGTGTGACTGTAGCTTTTCTTAAATAAGGAATAGGGCCTACATCTGGAGGAGTGGAAAGCTGGACAAAGGGTTAAGATCTATATAGAGCGATGGGCTGGGTATCAGAAAAGGGGGAAAGAAATTGCTACAGCAAAGAAGGAGGATCTAGCTGGGGGAGAGAACCTGGAAGAAGTGAGAGCTGGTTCCAAGAGAAGGAACAGCCTGCAGAGGGGTGTGAATGCACAACTAGTAGGATAGCACTAGCCAGTAGCACTTTTGGTGATGATGGGATATTCTATGTTTTCAGTGTTCAATATGGTAGCCTCTGGTCACATGTGGCAATCAAGCATCTGAAATGTGGCTAAGTGTAACTAAGGAACTGAATTCTTGGTTTTAGTTAAGTTTAAATATAAATAGCTACATGTGGCTATCATATTAGACAGCATGGTTCTAGAGCTCAGACACAGCCCACTGTTGCTTGCTTACCCAGCAGTTACCTGCCTTTTTCCTTGCTTACAAACCCCCCATTTTGTTCAGGCAGTCAGGAGCCATGTGCTTCAGGAGAGACTGGGCCCCTTACAGCTATAGGGGGAGAGGTGACTCTTGATTAGTCTAAGCCAGTTATGGTAATTATGTTCCTCTTGCTCGTGATTGGTTTAGGAGTTGGCAGATGATGCAAATCCAGCCAATGAGACATAATGGGGAGTCTGCTGGAGGATTCCGAGAATGTTCTCCTTGATCTTAAAAAGGGGTCAAAAAGAGGGACTAGTTCTCCTTCTGGCGCTTAGATGTGTGAAGATGTGATGCTTAGAGTTGCAGCCACCATCTCATGCCCATAGGGGGACAAAAGCCAGTATGATGAGGATGGCTGATCTAAAAGATGGAAAAAGAATCTGGGTCTCCAATGATGTTATCAAGCCACATCAGAACCAACCTTGGGATGGCCCCATCCTCTTTGTTAGTAAAGACAGTTTATTAGGAAATTAAAGGAATAAAAGAATAAAAGAAGACTTGTGTCTTCTGTTAAATGCAGTCACGGGAACTCTTTTGGGGATAGCAAATATGTGGCATTTAAGTCTGTTTCTGCCTCCAATGTGAATTCCCTAAAGTATAGCACTTTTTCTCATTGTTCTTAAACCACTGTTCCAAGCAGCTACTACCAATCAAGTGGATTTAATATGCTAAATAAAAATCTGTTTGCTATTCCTACTCTAGGGCAAAAGAACACAAGCATCTGCTTTGCCACAAACTCCCCCACGAACATATTCTTCCCACTGGTCCTGGCTAACAGTTGGAAAATACTCACGTAAGATCAACAACACATCAATACCCATGACACCAGCCCACAGAAACAATTCAAATAAACCTGAATTGGAGAAACAGGTTTTCTCTATACCTAAGGACATTAAAAAAGTGCTCATTTTTTGAAGGGTCAATTCATGCTTAGAAGGGAAGCCAGTCACACAGCAATCTGTATTTGAATATAATGGAGCAAAAAAAAAATGCTCTTTTATTAATCTGATATACACTAAATATCTTTGCAGCTGTTACATGAATGTTAGTTATCTGGCATATAAATGTATACACAATTCCAAGTTTGATAGATTTATGCTGTACACGAGCCATCCCACATGGAGCATGCCCTTTCACAAGGATACGCATGGCTGTCTCGGGATATTTGTCAAAACACATTTGGTCAAACATTTTGGCAATTGGAAATCAGACACAGAGGAGCATACAGGAAAGATGAGTTCACAACAGGACCAGCTGTACTTAAGATGAAAACTCCAAAACCTGAAACAGAATTTACACATGCAGCACACGTATATACAGTACAATAGGGGTAACTGGAACATTCATAGCAGGAGATCTTACACAGCATTAAAAACAGGAAGAATAAAAAAGGAAAACAAAGCCAAACAATCCAAACACCAAAACCGACAGGACCATTGCCAAGATCTCATTAAAATAGACAGTGGATAGTACGTTTAGCATATGTTCAAAATGGAAGTTCACCTGAAAGAGAAAACTCTTCTATCATGTTATTTAGTGTATCTAGATAGTAACAAAAGACATATGATCTGTTCAATATGTTCCTGGATCAGGATGAGGATACATAACTGCATGGATGCTAAGAAAGTGTATATTAAAAAAGACATTTCTTTTTTCTTCTGACTGACATAGGACATAGATTCAGTAAAGCAAATATATAACAATAGCAGCGGAGATGAAGTTAGGCCAATTTGTCAAGTTCTATCTAGGTAGGCCTGGTGAATATCAAGGCAAGAAAGGAGTTTCCTTCTTGGATGACTACGTGGGCGCAAGAGGGGAGACACTTTGCAACTTCAAACTAGTTTCATTTTGTTTGCATAGCATGAAATAGCCAATTTTACTGTACATTCTTTCTGAAGGAATGACACCCATAGATAACAGTGGATTCTCTGTACTGGGTCCTATTCTGAGTCAATACAAATGCAGAAAGAAACCCTTTGTGAATCACATGAGGTTGAGCTTGCTAAGTCTTTCCCCTTCCTTGGACTTAGGGGCAATGCTGACCCATAAATCCATGATACTCAATGTGATGTGGCCTGTGTCTATGCAGTGGGAGGCCAAGCATTCTTTAGGGCTTTAGATGGTGGTATGCTGGCAAATGTTTAACAACTGTCTTAGGGGTTAGGAGGAGTCTGATTTGCATGGCTTTGTTGCTTTCCATGGCTTTGTTGCTTTCCATGGTATAAATACCACCACTATAGCTGATCTCAAACTACAAAAATACTGTCACTTGGGAAGGTGTGTGTAGTAGTATACCTGTATACAGTATTTCTACCATACAGACATAATAGGCATACATTACCTCATGGGCACAGATAATGGTAAAATGTAGTAAAATAAGTAGAAAGTGATGAGCTTTGACTATATGTTGCCTTTGCTTTTAGCTATAATTTATCTAATCTTATTTAATTTTTTAGTAATAGCTATGTTTCTCAACTGACTCTCAAAAGTTCTGAAAGTTTAACAATCAGTTCGGATGAACCGGTTCAAAGCTATTCCAGCTCATCACTAGCTTTAGATGACTCCAGCCCCTGTGAGCAGGCTGCCTAGTCACTCCCCAGGCACCACAAAGCTGTTTTGGACTTTGCACCCCTGCTGCTGGGGTAGATTACCCGCTTGAGTTGAAACCCGTCTGAGTCTGAACAAAGGGTTGAAAACTGCTTTCTGCTCCTAGTCCTGGGCACTCTTGGATCTAAGGGGAGCATGAATGCAATAAAGTAGGCAGAGAGTGGACAATCTCAGCAATTTCAGCATTCAGACCTGACTGGAAGGCACCTAGCCTTCAGCACCAAGTGGGGAATCTTCTGCAGACATGGAGAGTACCATCTACCTCCACTAGCCAATGAATCTCAAGAACCCAGGTAGGAACATCCTGGTCTTTCAGGAGTCAAACGCTGAGCTCTCAGACTTCTGCTCTGGAGATGGGCTGCTCTGATTCCATACCAGCTGTGCCCATCCTATCAGGGCACAGGCACTGAAAAGCAATTGGAAATCCAGCCCTGCACAGGGAGCTGTGCCAAAGCCAGCAGCCTTGCGTTCACACTCCCCCTGCACCCATTCCTGTTCTTCACCTTCTCCTCCTCTGTGCCTCCACAACAGGCATGGATGGGCCTTTCATCCCAAGTGCCCCAGGAAAGCTTGGCCTTGCTTTTGTACACTGCTAGAATTAAGAGGTTGTCGACCAGAGGAGGAAAAGAAAAAAAACAAAAGGGAAATAAAGGAAATGAGTGGGCACTGCCCTGAGGAGGTAAGAAGAGAACTGGTGGGCAAAAATGGCAATGGGGCTCTCAGAGGAGGGTAGAGGGTCACTGACAACTACCCTCTTTCTGCTCTGCCCCCCTGCAGGCCCTAGAACCCCAAACATCCTTTGCAACTTCAAGACACTTGCAACAACACGCACCAGTTTTAAACTGAAACCCAAAATACCCCTGCTACTGGCTGTCAGAACCTGTTTTCTGGATGGCTTATCTGCTGAGGGTAGCGAGGAGGGAAGCTGCTTTAGGATGTCTGCAAAGATAATTGACTCACCCACAAATCTTCAAAATCAGAAAGGAAACACCCTGGGAGGCACAGACCAGGGGAGTGGCAGCAGCTGCAGGCTTTGCTGACTTAGCTCTGAAGAGAAAACCCCAACACTATTCGCTGGGGAACAGACCCCCTAGCTCCTGTCTCTGGTTTCACACCATGAAAAGAACACCTCAGAAGAAAGCGGGACTTTAGGCCAGGTGTAGTGGCTCATGCCTGTAATCCCAGCACTTTGGGAGGCCAAGGTGGGTAGATCACTTGAAGTTAGGAGTTGGAGACCAGCCTGGCCAAAATGGTGAAACCTCGTCTCTACTAAAAATACAAAAAATTAGCCGGACATAGTGGCATGCACCTGTAATCCCAGCTACCTGGGAGGCTGAGGCAGGAGAATTGCTTGAACCTGGGAGGCGGAAGTTGCATTGAGCCGAGATTGCACCACTGCACTCCGGCCTAAGTAATAGAGCGAGACTCCGTCCCCCGCCCCCCCGCCCAAAAAAAAAAAAAAAATGCTCTAGAGAGATGGGGCTATCTCTGCTCCTGATTCTTTTCCTTGAATAATATCTTAGTGCAATATCCTGCTGAGATTATTTAAGGGAACAACTTATGTGTGGTTTCATTTTTCTCATTTTCCAAGTACTAGTTAATAGTCTCTCCAACAAAAACCAGGTAATCAAGGAGCTTTCTCCTCTCATCAAAGGTTATCTCAATGACTGAATAGTTCCTGCACTGCCTGCTGAAGGCTATTATTTGTTTTAAATGTGGAAAAATAACACTTTGTATTTATGGGGGGGGGCGCGGAGGGTTCACATGTAATGGGGGTCAGTGTGAGAGTGTCTTCTCTCATTCTGTTTTCCTTGCCCTCATTTAAGTCCTCCATAGGCTTAATTATTGCACACAGCAGTGTCTCAATACGTATCACATGGGAGGTGCTCAATAAGTATTTACTGGATAATCATATGAAATGACAAGAGATCAGTGAAGGCTCGGCTCAGCTCTTCCCCTGCCCAACCATGCTAGCCTTAAGTAAGAGCTGAAACAGACCCATAAACTGTATTCTTGTAACTCAAAATCCTGGGATTACTAAACTGCATTTAGATATTGTTTAAGAAAGACTGAAGGGAGCCCTGGCAATGGCTCTGTGACTGGTTGGTGAGAGACGGGCGACAAGAGGAATGGTCAACATTTAGAGCAAAAGAACATCACACGGAGAACTGTTACGCCATACCTGAAACAATGAAGGGACACACAATACATCCAGAATATACTAACAGGTTTTTTTTTTTTTTTGTCTACATTACAGATAACAAGAGAAGCTTTACTTAAAATACATACTTTGCTGAGCATAAACAAAAACTGTGAGAAACATATAGTCCACTTCAGAGTTTCAGAAGTTGTTGCAATACTGGTGTTTTTAGGCTTAGTAACCAGACTAAGTTTGGCACGATGTGAGGATTAAAGAAAACCTAACATACAGCCGATATGCCCCTTAACACCAATATCCCAGTTGTCTTTCTGTGATACCAGGTGAAGGCCAAATTCAGACATTCCTGGCTCCAGAGCCTTTAGTGCATGAACAGATCAGGTATATTACTGAAGAAATAGGTAAAGGCCATTTTGACATCAAACAGAAAAAAAATTGGAGAATATCATATTCTATCTATTTTGATTGGCAGAGGGAATCAGAAAGTATTCCCCTGGACTGCTTTGGAAATGACCCCAGCATTTAGAAAGTCTCTGCTGTGTCCTAATCTCTTTGCTGGAACCTTATCAGTGGTATCTTGGACTCTCCCTTCTGTCACTACATTTCTTTTCCCACCTCCCCTTTGATCTCTTAAGGTATCTTGAAAGACAACTAAGCAGTTTTTGGTGAAAACCTGAACTCTGATTTGGTGAGATTTGTCTATTTGCCAATATAGGTAAAATCACTGAAAAACTGTTTCTGAAGCCTATGTATAATACTTAAGGCCATGTTTCAAGAAAATAATGGAATAAACAGTCAGGAGAGCTGTAGGGTAATATTGCAATTATAGTCTTCTAACCTAAGCGCGTTTATCTGGCAAGGCGGGGCCCTTTTCTGGCTGGGTGATGGTAACTGTCAAACCTGCAGTGAACAGAGATACTAGTCAGGATGCTGAGATGCTGGCAGGGCAGACAGCATGGGGACTGTGCTTTCTGGCCTATTCCATGCGGGCTTCCCAAACAACTTCCTACACTCTTTTTATGCGTGCCTATTTCCTAATTTTTCAGTTTATAAACTAAACCTATTTAGTGCTTGTAAAAATGAGTTGAGGCCGCCAGTGGCTCACGCCTGTAATCCCAGCATTTTGGGAGGCTGAGGTGGGCCGATCACTTGAGGTCAGGAGTTCGAGACCAGCCTGACCAACACGGTGAAACCCCACCTCTACTAAAAGATACAAAAATTAGCTGGGCGTGGTGGCGCATGCGTGTGGTCCCAGCTACTTGGGAGGCTGAGGTGGGAGAATCACTTGAACCTGGGAGGCGGAGGTTGCAGTGAGCAGAGTTCCCACCACTGCACTCCAGCCTGGGCAACAGAGTGAAACTCCACCTAAAAAAAAAAAAAATGAGTTTAGCATAAGAAGGCAGATAAGATGAAGCTATTTTCATTACTGTCTTCTACAATGCTGGAGAGTGGAGAGCAGACTAGTCCCAATCCTTTATTTTGTGCACGGGGAAAGTGAGAACTAGAGATGTTCAACGACTTACAGTCTCCACAGCAAGATCTGGGTCCCTGTACCGCTTAGTGGTGAAGGTCAGGCTAGGACCCATCTATCGCGTCTCCAAGGTCTGTACTCTGGTGTGAGATGATTCAGGCAGCAGGACTGAATGTGAGTTGGGTGCCTTAAAACCCAATACCTGGGATAGAATGTGGTACATACAGAATTCACAGTTTGAAGCAGTTGTTTGTTTTTCCCTACTGAGAAGATTCTGTGATAATAATGGGACTTGGGAGCATTCTGGATTGATTCCAAAGAGCAACAGGGAAATTTTAGTTAGAAAAGGTGGTAAAAATATAGGAGCAAGTGGACTATTTCCTAGGTTTTCATTTTTGTACAAATTTTCATTTTCCTTCTACTGTAGGCGAAATGAGATGCCAGTTGCGTGTTTAGGTGCCAGTGGCCTGCTACACTGATACAACTGAGAGTTTCTGTTTAATATCCTGGCTGTTTCTTAATCTCCAGCTAAATCTGGAGCAAGCTATACAGGCCACACCACATGCTTTGGAAATGATTTGAGCTCTCTTAGAAAATCAAGGTGATGAACAGTCTCAAGGAGGCAGGGAAGAGTGCACAAAAGGTGGGAGAGGTGGTGACCAAGAAGGTTTGTGACCACAGACTGTCCAGGAGATGAGAAAAGATCCCTCTTAGGCCACCAAGGATGCTTGGATTAGGTAACAAGTAGGCCAAGAACGGTCCTTCTGCAGGGGACACGGATGGCAGGTCTCATGAAGTAAGGTTTTGCTGGTTTATCCTATGCTGACCCAACCCAGTGTTCAAATAAAATTCTGAATAACTGTGCTCTGCAGCTTGGGAGATGTTTTATGCATTTAGACCCCAGAGCAGACATTAGAGATATTTTGAAAAGTAAAGGTAGTCTAGTTAGCAAAGTGAACTATCACAGAGGACTAGAGACAGCGATGCCCATGTACATTTCTATTTTTCTTTTGATGGGTTGATGGAGATGCACTCCTGGCTTTTGCAGTTATTTCTGCACATGCTGCATTCAACTAAAAGACCTGCTCAGGTCCCCAAATGTCTTTTTAAAGAAGACAAATCAGGGAGAGATAGGTGGGAAAATGGGTACATGTGGAAGAAGAAAAACATACAGGGTACTTTCTTGGGTTGTTTGACTGCTGTCTTTGTTCTCCAATAAAATGATAGGAGGCAGAAGTGAGAGAAAGTTGTTTCTTTCCCTGTGCGGTTGGTATCTTTCAAATGCATCTTGTCTAGCCTTCAGTGATTTTTCTTCTTCCTGCCACCTTTGCAGTTTTTGGTTCGGGTTTTCCTGATGTTCTAGCCCTGATCACAGACCCCCAGGGAACCACCCTCTTCCCACTGCCCCCAACACCAGTCTTCCCCCCTCTGCAGACCTGAATTACTTCAAGGGGAAGTCGATTAATGGCTTATGTTAATGAAAGAAGCTTTTCACTTAGTCTGAGCTCTGCGAGGGATCATTAGGAAGGGGAGGGGGAGGCAGGGGGGCCTCAGGGGAGTTAGGACATCTCTGAAAATAATGATCAGTGGAAACAAAAGCTTTCCCTTCCTGGAGGCCCCAAGCTATGGCTTGCCTGAAAATGCCTATAATAAGTAACAAGAATAAACCTCTATCGAGGCAGTTAAAAAAGGAATATTGTTTAAATATGGGATTTATTCCTGGCTTCTGGTCATTGGCTGCAAGTCTACAAGGAAGGTTCAGATTTCAAAGAAGAGGTGTAAAAAGGACGAGCCTGGGGGAAGGGGAGCCTGAGAGGCGAGAAGGTCATGTAGCTGACAGCGGGCCCGTGGGAATGTCCTGGCTGACCTCTTTCTTCCAAGCCCAGGCAGATTCCAGAGGTAAAATGAGCAGTCAAACAACCACAGGGAGATGGTCTGTCTGTGAGAGGGGCCCTCAGGAGTGCAGGCGGGCTGTGATTTTACAGGGAGCCAGGAGCGCATTGAGCAGTGGGCCAGCCCTGGGGAAGCTAGAGGGACAAACCCTCTTTGCTGATGCCAGCTGGGAAGCTGAATGTCAACTGCGGGCCAGGTGGGGTGGGGGTCCTGGCGGGCCAGTCCCACAGCAAAGAGGTACTGGAAAGAGGTACCATTTTGTATTTCCAAATGGCTCTGGGTGTGAATTTCTTCCTAATTTGCAATTTACAATTTAGCTATCCACTGGCAATCTCTAGACTAGAGACAGTGTGGGTAAGTGGCAGAATCAGGTAGGCAGACAGTTTTTAAGAAGCAGCTTTCTTTCCCTGAATCTGCTGTCTGGCAAGACCAAGGGCAGCTGAAGGAGTGGGAGTGGTAAATGGAGGCAGAAGCTCTCTCTCGGATCTCTGATTTTCAAACATTCTGAACCACATGCCACAGTCACAGATACTGTTACAGTTCTTTTTCCTCACACTTTTCAGAGGTTTAATTGGGCTTTCTGACAGAAATCTTGCTTATGCAGCACACTCAGATTTTTGCTGCTAATTGCAGAGCTTTTATTTTTCTTGTCAGCGGTCACCTTAATTGTCTTGCCCCAAAGAGCCCCACCCAGCCCTGTTTGGTGCCACATGGTTTTCTTTGAAAGGCTCTGCTATAACAGTGAGAATTACTGGGTGTCCTTTTCTAAGTAAACAGGAAATATCACTCTGTTAGAAAAAAAAAAAAAAAGAATCCCTCTTCTCAGCACAAATGCAATAATGTGCCGACTTATATTTCCTGTTAATGTTAAATTAGGAGCAGGATCTATTTCTTACACCAGCCCAGTCTTCTTAGCTTCTAAACTTTCAATGAGCAGAACCCCAGGGAAGCCTGGCTGCCTAGGGCATTTTAGAAATGCTTCCACTGATTTGCGGGAGGCAGTAGCATCACAGTTTGGAAAGATAACAATGCATTCAAACAAAACAAAACAAACAAACAACCTGTGCAAAATCACAAAGGGGCAAGATGATATGCTTCTAAATTTTAAGTCACAGCACGTGTTTATGTTCTGATACTTGATCACCTTTCTATATAGGAAAACTCTGAAGCCTTGAGTCAGGAAGGAGAATTGACCCAGGGCAGGAGGAAGAAACGCAGGAAGGATGGCTTTTTTTCCCATTACATCAGAACCTGGGTTCGTGTGTCAGGCAGGCACAGCCCAACGAGTCCTCCACACACGAGCACAGTAGAAGCCAGCAGGATGGGGATTGATTTGGTGATGCTGACCAGAGAGCCAAATATTAAGTTTCCCAGGACGGCTGCTGCCTTGCATAGCGCATTTAAGAAGCCAAAGCCTGTTGCCCTGCAAAGGAAAGAGACATGAACAAGGTTGAGAAAATGCCTCCCCATGATTCCAACTTTAGACCAAAAGATCCTAGATTTTCAATGATCTTCCCTCAGATTGTGTTGTATATCAGTGGAGCAAATCAATGCTTGTTAGCAAATCTGGGAGTAGAGAATCCTAGCTGTTGGTATTGTTCCTCCAGCCCTCTGTTGACTTTCTTACCATAGCTTCCATTGACTCTTACTCTGCCTGTAAGTCCCAATGTATTGTGAACAGAAAGAGAGAAAAAATTGTAGGGAGTACGAAACATCTCTAGTGGTTTAACGTTGTTGGAAGGAAGGGTCTTTTTCATTTTTATAGAGATTAGGTCTTGCTCGGTTGCCCAGGCTGGAGTGCAGTGGCATAGTAATAGTTCACTGCAGCCTCAAACTCCTGGGCTCAAGCAATCTTCCCACCTCAGCCTCCTGAGTAGCTAGGACTACAGGTGCACACCACCATACACAGCTAATTTTTATTTTTATTTTTGTAGAGATAGGGTCTTGCTATGTTGCCCAGGTGAGTACACTGGTACAATGATAACTCACTGCAGCCTCCACTTCGCAGGTTCAAGTGATCCTCCTACCTCAGCCTCCTGAGTTGCTACTTGGGACTACAAGTGTGTACTGCCATGCTCAGCTATTTTTTTTTTTTAAATATTTGTAGAGATGGGGGTGTCCTCCTGCGTTGCCCTGGCTGGTCTCAAACTCCTGGGCTTAAGCAATCCTCTTGTCTTGGCCTCCCAAAGTGCTGGGATTACAGGCATGAGCCACTATACCCTGCAGGAAGGGTCTCTTAAAACAAACTTTAATCCTCCTCTATCCAAACTCTTCTCTCAGGAACAAAACAGGCATAAAGCGCAGTTCATTAGAGAGAGGCAGGTCACCTCTGCTCAGTGTGGGAAAAGCTGGGTTACCTCCTCTTATCCCAGGCAAAGGGTGGAGAGGGTGATATAGAAAAATTGAGCAGTTTCTCATCTCTTTACAAGAGTGACTTGTTATTTTGTTTTGTAAATTCCCATAATTTCAGAAACATCTATGTTTAAATGGAAATTTAAATTTCATTCCAAAGTTAAAATGTATGGCAGGCTGAGCAGGGTGTCTTACACCTGTAATCCCAGCACTTTGGGAGGCTGAGGTTGGAGGATTTCTTGAACCTAGGAGTTTGAGACCAGCCTGGGCAACATAGCAAGACCCTGTCTCTATCAGATAAGTAAAGAGAAAAAAAACTGTTGTTAAGTGCAACAATATATTTACTTAGATTTGTTACTCCCTATTTTCTTTAATTAATTATGTTCATGCTAAGTGTTTTATTTTTTATTTATTTTGTATTTTACTTTCAGTTCCGAGATACATGTGCAGAACGTGCAGGTTTGTTACATAGGTATACATGTGCCATGGTGGTTTGCTGCACCTATTGACCCATCCTCTAAGTTCCCTCCCCTCACTCCCCATCCCCTAAACAGGCCCTGGTGTGTGTTGTTCCCCTCCCTATGTCCATGTGTTGTCATTGTTCAACTCTCATTTATGAGTGAGAACAATCGGTGTTTGGTTTTCTGTTCCTGTGTTAGTTTGCTGAGGATAATGGCTTCTAGCTTCATCCATGTCCCTGCAAAGGACATTATCTCATTCCTTTTTTATGGCTGCATAGTATTCCATGGTGTACATGTACCACATTTGCTTTATCCAGTCTATCATTGATAGGCATTTGGGTTGGTTCCAAGTCTTTGCTATTGTAAATAGTGCAGCAATAAACATTCATGTGTATGTGTCTTTATAGTAGAATGATTTATATTCCTTTGGGTACATACCCAGTAATGGGATTGCTGGGTCAAATGGTATTTCTGGTTCTAGATCCTTGAGGAATCGCTGTACTGTCTTCCACAGTGGTTGAACTAATTTACATTCACACCAACAGTGTAAAAGTGTTCCTATTTCTCCACAGCCTCGCTAGCATCTATTGTTTCTTGACTTTTTAATAATAGCCATTCTGACTGGCATGAGATAGTATCTCATTGCAGTTTTGATTTTCATTTCTCTATGATCAGTGATGTTGAGCTTTTCTTCATATGTTTGTTGGCCATGTAAATGTCTTCTTTTGAGAAGTATCTGTTCATATCCTTTGCCCCCTTGTTGATGAAGTTGTTTATTTTTTTCTGGTAAATTTGTTTACATTCCTTGTAAATTCTAGATATTAGACCTTTGTCAGATGGGTAGATTGCAAAAATGTTCTCCCATTCTGTAGTTTGCCTGTTTACTCTGATGACAGTTTCTTTTGCTGTGCTGAAGATCTTTAGTTTAATTACATCCCATTTGTGAATTTTGGCTTTTGTTGAAATTGCTTTTGGTGTTTTCATCATGAAGTATTTGCCCATGCCTATGTCCTGAGTGGTATTGCCTAGGTTTTCTTCTAGGGTTTTTATGGTTTTGGGCTTTACATTTAAGTCTTTAATCCATCTTGAGTTAATTTTGCATAAAGTGTAAGGAAGGGGTCCAGTTTCAGTTTTCTGAATATGGCTAGCCAGTTTTCACAGCACCTTTTTTTGAATAGGAGATCTTTTCCCCATCTCTTGTTTCTGTGAGGTTTGTTGAAGATCAGATGGTTGTAGATGTGTAGTGTTATTTCGGAGGTCTCTGTTCTGTGCCATTGGTCTATATGTCTGTTTTGGTACCAGTACCATGCTGTTTTGGTTACTGTAGCCTTGTAGTATAGTTTGAAGTCAGGTAACATGATGCCTCTAGCTTTGTTCTTTTTGCTTAGGATTGTCTTGGCTATATGGGGTCTTCCTTGGTTCCATATGAAATTTAAAGTAGCTTTTTCTAATTCTGTGAAGAATGTCAATGGTAGTTGGATGGGAATAGCATTGAATCTATAAATTACTTTGGGCAGTATGGCCACTTTCACTATATTGATTCTTCCTATCCATGAATATGGAATGTTTTTCCATTTGTTTACATCCTCTCTTATTTCCTTGGGCAGTGGTTTGTAGTTCTCCTTGAAGAGTTCCTTCACAGCCCTTGTAAATTGTATTTCCAGGTATTTTACTGTCTTTGTAGCAATTGTGAATGGGAGTTCACTCATGAGTTGGCTCTCACTTGTCTATTGTTGATGTAAAGGAATGCTTGTGATTTTTGCACGTTGATTTTGTATCCTGAGACTTTGCTGAAGTTGCTTATCAGCTTTCTATTTTCTTTTATTAATTAACATGCTAGGTCTTAAATAAGAAGAGCCCACGGAATTTTCTCAGAAAATTAGGGAGGGTGAGGTTATATCCCTCATCTTTCAGATACTATGGAGGTGAAATACTCTGCTATCTTGCCAATTATTTTTGGTAGCAGGCAGAAACCGAATACTGAGCTGGGGAGCACACCAGTGAGCCAATGTAACATTTGGGAAATCAAGTCCAAGAAAATATGACAGAAGAGAATCAATTGTGGGCCTAGGAAGATCTTGTTCCCTCTCTTTAAGATACGCAGGTATATAAGTAAGACACATCCCACTTCTTAAGACATTTTTTAAAAAAGAAAAAAATTATTATCTTTAGTACACATGAACAAGTGATCTTCTAGGCAGAAAACTTAATTTTTTTTTTTTTTTTTCAGAGATGATAGGGTCTCGCTCATGTCACCCAGGCTGGAGTGCAGTGGTGGAATCTTGGCTCACTGCAGCCTCGATCTACTGGGCTCAAGTGATCCTCCCACCTCAGCCTCCTGAACAGTTGGGACTACAGGCGTGCACCACCATGCCCAGCTAATTATTGTATTTTTTTGTAGAGATGGGGTTTCATCATATTGCCCAGGATGGTCTCAAACTCCTGGACTCAAGTGATCCTCCTGCCTTGGCCTCCCAAAGTGCTGGGATTACAGGTGTGAGCCACCATTCCCAGCTGAAACTTAATTTTGTTCATGAGCCTGCATACACCACTGACACCATGAGAGAGTATGAATTTCCTTCTGACTTTATGCCAGTTTACTCTTTTTTGGCTGTCACTGAGTTAAAGGCACATCGAATACAGGGCAATTTTTGGATACCTTGTTTTTTTTTTCCCCCTAAGAGGGAAATGCATCTTATAAGGGGCAAAATGCAGCATTTAGCACACATCTTTCTTTGTTTGATTTGTAAATTTGTAAGTGTGGGTTTTTCTTTGACAAGTCATAACTACTCATCGCTACTTGTACTGTACCTAATGATAGTTGTTTCCATAACGTGTGGACTCTTCATAACCGAGATATTTATTGTGGTTATTATCCAACCATCCTCCTTTCTGCACCATGGGAAAGGAATAAACACTCCTCCCTGAGCTGCACAAATCCAGTCTGTGAGTTAGTGCACAGCCAGTGATTTTGTGGGTTACATCACACCTAATAAAGGGCAGTAAGCACGGATTTTCTTTTTGGCTAAGACACCTAGAAAGTAGAGTATGCAGGCTCCTGAAGTGAGGCAAAGTTGCCAACTGTTTGGAATGTGGGAAGAGTATGACAGAATCTCTGACTGAAAGAAACTTCTTGAGAAGAGGGTAAGCTAATTTCATATTCTTCCTCTTCTTTTTTTAAAGCAAGAGACTAGTAATGGCAGCAACCACTAAAAACATAAGGAGATTTAATATACTGATAACTACTTTCAAATGAAATTGCTTGAGCCTATATGTTGTGTACCAAAGAAGACTTAATTATACTAGAATGACCCCGTCCCCACCTCCCCCACCTCCATGGATATGCCATGAGGCTAAACTGTCTTTTTGCTGTTTTTTAGAAATATGAATAGATGTTTTTGAGCAGCTTTAGGTTTACAACAAAAAAAGTGAACAAAAAGTAGAGTTCTCTTATACCCTCAGTTTCCACTAGTAACTTCTTGCTTTGGTATGGTACATTTGTTACAACTGATGAGCCAATATTGACACGTTGTTATTAGCCAAAGTTCAATTACATTACATTGGTGTTGTACATTCTGTGGGTTTTGACACATGTATAATGACATGTATCCATCATTACAGTATCATGTAGAATAGCTTTACTGCCCTAAAAGTCCCATGCTCCATCTATTCATTCCTCTCTCCCCACAACCCTGAACAATCACCAATCTTTTTACTGTTTCCATAGTTCTGCCTTTTCCAGGATGTCACAGAGTTGAAACCTCACAGTATGTAGCTTTTTAAAGACTGACTTCTTTCACTTAAAAAAAAAAAAAAAAAAGGAAGACGAGACGAGGCTATTGCTATGTTGCCCAGGCTAGTGTTGAACTCCTGGGCTCAAGCAATCCTCCCACCTCAGCCTCCCAAAGTGCTGGGATTACAGGTATGAGCCACCGTGCCTGGCTTTTCACTTTGTTAAACTAACATTTTAGTTTCTAGATTCTAGTGTCATAAATGACCAGATATATGTTGTAGTAGTAAGATAAGCTGGATTCTTCCGGGGAAAATGGCCTGAGTGTATGTTGCTGATAAGAAAAAGGAAACCACTTTTCTGTCATGAAGAAGTCTCTCAATGCTGAAACTGCAGAGTAACCCAGATAGGATTTGCATCTAGGTTAAAATAACCGTATTTTCCCAAACGACGAACCTCTGGTATAACTCAGAATAGCGTATAAAATGTGGGCTGCTATCTCCTTGTATCACTGAAACTGTACTCGAGGAATGGATGACTTCCTGAGATTCCTGGGCAGACTAAAGGCAGATGCGTTAGGAGCATCTGGTATCTGAGGGTTTTGAAAAAGACGATCAAATCCTTCTTAAGAATCTCCATTTTCATTTACCAAGCAAAGGCAGTTCTTTAGATGAAAATCTGGTGTGGATGCAAAGCACACAGCCTCCGTAAATTAGTGTCGGCATTCAAGAAAACGTGACTACCCTTTCCTTGGAAAAGTAAATTCTTCTTTCAAATATTTGCAGCTGAAGCGTGTAATTTTTCTTTTCTTTTTTTCTTTTTTTTTGAGATGGAGTCTCGCTCTGTGGCCCAGGCTGGAGTGCAGTGGCGCGATCATGGCTCACTGCAGCCTCGACTTCCTGGGCTCAGATGATTTTCCCACCTCAGCCTTTTGGTAGCTGGGACTAAAAGCTTGCACTGCCGCACACGGGCAATTTTTTGTGTTTTTTTTTTTTGTAGAGATGCAGGTTTCACCATGTTGCCCAGGGTGTTCTTGAACTGCTGGGCCCAATTAATCTGCCTGCTTCGGCCTCCCAAAGGGCTGGGATTACAGGCGTGAGCCACCACGCCCAGCTGGGCATGATTTTTCAATGCATCAGAGACACAGCTGTATTAGAAAAACCATTCACAAAGTGATTCTCCCTTGGGGTTATCTGTTTATAAAATAAATAGGCTTTTAGTTCATTTACTCTCTGTTCTTACTTAAAGGAAACTGTATTGCTTCTGCAGACACCCAAAGTACGAGTCACCTTTGCTCATAAAGTCCTTTGAGGGTGGGGAGCTCAGAGCTTGCAGAACCCTGACTTGCCGACTTCTCAGCTGTAGAATGAGTTAATGCATTATTTTTCAGATCAAATATGTTTTCATGCCTTCTCTTAAACAACAAGCACTGAAGGGAAAGAATGAAATGATCTAGTGTCATTCTATTGCTCCATGCTTTGCTTCTCATCTCTTCAGCCAGAAGCCTTTGCTCTCAATTTGTACTCAATCTACTTATTTAAAATTTTTAAATGTAAATTATTTCCCCCAAAAGTACCCTGTGACTGCAGCTGCCTTGTTGCTCATTCCATTAAGGTGGCTCTCCTCCCTGCATCATAAACTTCCTTGGTCTGAGACACATGTGCTGGTATATGGAGCTGGTTTGCAGCAGCACTTAGACTCACCTGGTGGGGATGTGGCCACCTCTGCAGCTGGATGGTGGCTCCCTCTCTGGGGCCTTCACGATTTATTGGGTTCTAGTTTATTTATATTGTTTCATGCTGTTTTTTTTTTCTTTCTTTCTTTTTGAGATGGAGTCTCACTCTATTGCCCAGGCTGGAGTGCAGTGGCACGATCTCGGCTCACTGCAACCTCCGCCTCCCAGGTTCAAATGATTCTCTTGCCTCAGCCTCCCAAGTAGCTGGGATTACAGGTGCGCACCATCATGCCCAGCTAATTTTTGTGTTTTTAGTAGAGACGGGGTTTCACCATGTTGGCCAGGTTGGTCTCGAACTCCTGACCTCATGATCTGCCCGCCTCGGCCTCCCAAAGTGCTGGGATTACCGGCATGAGCCACTGCATCTGACCCATTTTATGTTTTAGTTGGTGGTGGGGAAAAGAAAACTACTGGCTCCATTCTGGATAAAATGAGGATAATTTTGTCCTCACATCCAGCCTCTTTGTGGATTTTTCTGTCTTTAGTGCAGGGCCAGATATGGGTTTTTTTTGAGGCTCCTAGGAAGAAGAAAAGGACACTGAAAAATGGTGGCACTTAGGGCAGTGCCTGGCATGTGGTAGGCACCATGTGACTATTAGCCATTGTTTAAACACTGGCTGAATATCTACCCCACCAACTGATAAGATTATTAGAAAAGAACAATTAAGTGCTACATTTTTGAGGCAGGGCCTTGCTCTGTTGCCCAGGCTGGAGTGCAGTGGTGTAATCATAGCTCACTGCAGCCTCGACCTTCCAGGCCCAAGTGATCCTCCTCCTCAGCCTCTCGAGTAGCTAGGACCACAAATGTGTGCCAGCAAGCTCAGCTAATTTTTTAAATTTTGTAGAGATGGGGTACCCACTATGTTTCCCAGGCTGGTTTTGAACCCCTGGGCTCAAGTGATTCTCCCACCTCGGCCTCCCAAAGTGTTGGGGTTACAGGCATGAGCCACAGCACCTGGCCTAAGTGCCACATTTTAAAAAGGCCTGAAATGGTGTAGATCCAGACTTAGCTCATAGAATTTACCTGTTAAAGGGTAAAAGTGTGTGTGTGTATGTGTGTGTGTGTTGGGGGGGGTGGTTCTTTTTGTCTAGAATAAATTTTTGGAAATAAGCTTTTTCTGGACAACTCAGTTAAATAATTGGTAGAAGTTACAAGAGGGATACTCAAGACTCAGCATGGGGCATTTTGAAAAGTATAGGCAGTCCTTAAATCAGGAGGACATTGTGATCTAAAGATTCATCTGGAAGTTGGTTATTTGAAATACACAATGAATTTCATTTATCTTAGAGAAAAAATATTAAAAATGATGGCTAGGTCATCAGGTTAGCCTAAAAGAACTTTTGTAACACTGAATCCATCTAAGCTATCACATTACAATGCTAAAAGTACAAGAAACCCTTAAATATTTGTCTAATACGCAGATTTGTCCTTAATACACTCCTAATTTACATATTCTATGCGTTTTTTTCATATTCATATAATCATTCATTAAATATCTGCTAAGTGTCAAACACTGCACTAAGCTCCAGAGACCCCAAAATTAATAAGATGAAACCTCCATTTGCACTAAGATGGGTGAGACGAGATCATGGTAACATACATGCTGAGTGCAATGTTGAAGATACCCACAAAGTATTATGCAGCCAGGAGCATAGAAAGTGATATCGAGCTGAGGGTAGTGGCAGTTGAAGGAAAGCTTCTCAGGGGGGCTGGACAAGACTAGGAGTGTGCTGAAAGGAATAGTAGGAGCTTGCCAGGAGAAGGATGGCATGTGGATAGGGGTGTTCTCTGCCTCTCCCCGTACTCTCACATCTCCCTAACTTCCCTCATGGTACCCACTCAGGTTTGCCTTAGACACACCCCTAAAGGCTTCTTGAGGGCTAAACGGCTTACCTCCCTCCAGCCCCTAAATAAATTTCCTACTCCCAAGCAGGTGTTTTCAACCTAGGATTAGGATAGCAATCTGATTGAACCAAAGTGCACGTATAACCATGCCCTGAACTAATGATGCTTAAGCTTGGGTGCATCAGAATCACCTGGAGGAGCTTTCAAACCTTAGTGATGTGTTCAATACTGATGCCTAGGGCCACATGCACAGAGATTCTGAATTTATTGCTTTATTGGGGCCCAAGCATTAGTATTTTTTAGAAGCTCCACGTGACATGAAGGTGTATCCAGGGTTGAGAATCCTGCTGTCTTCCCAGGGATGTCTGCATTCTTTGAATTGATGTGGGTTTCATATACAAAGGAAATTATAAAAGCAAAACATCCACTCCACCTTTCTGACAAATGGTTTTCATTTCTGAATTCCCTTTAGTGTACTTCCAGTCATATAAATCACAGGAAATCAGAGGATTTAGACAATTTTGCTTTCTGCTTTTTTTTCATTCATATTACTGTTTTCTCATGTTGATGTTTTGTTTAAAATGAAATGATTTATTTAGCATGGAACCATTATTCTTGTAACCATGCCATTGGCTAATGGGAGCTTTCCAAATTTGGGGTAACAAGTGATTCTGCAATTAACACCTTCACATATATGACCTGCTTCGTTTGTGTGTGTTCATTAGGGAATATCAAGCAGCATAAAACATCCAAGGGAAAGTGTTTATGATGTGATGCAGGGGATACTGAGGCCAGCAAAGTATGCTTTGCACACTGGAGAGGAGAGAGAGAGGGATCCAACCCAAAGGCTTCCCATCCCTTTTTTCTTCTCCCTTCCTGCTTAGGCTCTTGTTAAACTCCCTTGTTTATTCTGCTTCTCACAGCACAGAGCTTAATTCATTTCACCAGAGGCAGCTTCTCACCTAACCTGAATTGTTTCCTTCTCTTCCAACTGTTACTCAGTTGCCTCAACTTGATTCCCTCCACGCTACCCTTCCCACTCCCCTCCAAGGGCTGGTTTATACCAATCTTGCACATCTCCTTGTCCAGAATTAGCCTTGTTTAGGTCCAGGTCACCTCTGGGGGAGTGGAGCTGGGTAGCCTTTGTAGTCACTCAGCACCACCTCTTCTCAGGACCGGTACAGATACCTATGTTACTTATTAAATGAAAGACTGAGCTAACAGATTTCCTGAGATCTTCCAAATATGTTGGAAGTCGATTTTTGTAATAGACATTTTAATGGAAATTAGTTGGGTCATATTTGTTTTTTTGATACCAGACTATCATATTTTTTTTTTCAGAGAGAAAAAATGAATTTCATATTAAGTCAGAAAAGACTGAATGCAATTGTTTTCTAATCTTCAAAGAAAGATAAAAATCTGTCTTACCCTAGTATCTATTATGTGTGTGTGTGTGTGTGTGTGTGTGTGTGTGCGCCTGGCCATGTTCCTTAATGAGGGCAAGATGGCACCCTGCACCCCTTCGAGCAGGGCCTTCCTTACACTCAAGTGGAGAAGGACTCACCTACAAGTTGTGAGCTGACAGGAATCCCTGGATCCCAAGTAGCCCTTTATCTCCCTCCCATCTCCACCACCATAAGGGGCTTTTGACTGCTTATTCCTGTTGAAATCAAATATTCTGGGAAGGTAATAACGGGAGCCTTTATGTCTTGTTTATCTGATTAACCTAGCTAGGGAGTGAGGGCCTGGGCCAGGGTAAATAATGATGGAATGACTGAGCACCCCTTGGAGTTCATCTGTGGCCAAGGTCATGAACATGGCTGTGCATCCCAACAGCCAAGTGAGCTGTTTAAAAATAGATTCCCACACCTACTGGGAGGGGAGGTAGATATGTCTGTGCTGGGAGCAGCACCACTGAGTCAGACATCTGGGTTTAAGGCTAAGTGATCCAGGACAAGTTACTTCCCCTCTCTGTGCCGCATTTTCCTCACCTGAACATGGGGTAAGAATACCTACTCTTACAGGATTGGGATGAGAATTAAATAAGTTGAGATCATTTAAAATTTCCAGCATCATGCCCGACCCACCCTCCACCACACAGATGAGGAAACCAAGGCTCAGAAGGGTGAAAGGCCTTTTCCAAATTATCCAGCTATTTTTCTGGCAGTGACTGCACCTGAATTCAGTGACCCCTAGATCAGTGCTTTCCTCCACTTTGTTGATGAAGTAGAGGGAGAGGGGGAGGTGGATCTCTAATAGGCAATGCTTTATGAGGAACGGGGAGCTGACAGCTGAAGGATCAGGAGGTCTCAGGCTGTGATGGAAGAAGTGGAAAGGGACCCAAAGGACAGCAGAGAGGACTGAAGACCAGTGCTCCCTCCCTTACACTGGCCCAAATGCTCACTCTGGAAAGCTGGGAGGCTGGACCCCATACGGGGAGGAAAACTATCATCCATAGCCAAATTAATTCTCAAATGCATATTTCATTCATTCATTCATTCATTCACCTAGAGTTATGGCAGTAAATAAGGAAGACAATGTCTTGCCCTCAAGGAGCTAACATTCTAGTGAGTTAAACAAGTACACATGCAACCTAACATCCTCTCATCATAAGGTCTGGGTGATAATTTCCTTTAAGTACTTCAGTATAAACAATATGATTGATAGATAAATTGTCTCTAATGCATACCCATATAATTTAAAGCACATTAATCAAGAATCAACAGGCCAGAGATGGTTACTTAGTGCTTTAAAGATCATTTTAGAAATCTGCATGAGAAGGTTTGTTAATGACCACGGAGATGATTTTTTCACTGATGATGTGAGTGCTGTTCTGTATAAGCAATGATTGGAAAGAATGTTCTGCCCTTAGCCTAATGAACATACAAGCGTCCTCCAAGCCCTGCAGCCTCAAGTTGGTGAAATGGTACTCCTGGTCTAGACTCCAGATTCTAGAGCCCCCTTATCCTGCACCCCACAATTAAAGGGGCATTCCCTTGTTTAGCTGGCCCACAAGTCTGGTGGCCCTGCTGTCAGCATATCAAGCACATGGCCCTTTCATGCAAGGGCTTGCTCAGTACCCAAGGACAGCGAGATGGACTTCCTTGGAGCTCAAAAACAAACTTTGTGACTGTTTTTGTGCTAGTACACTTGGCAGGATTTGCTTCCATTGTAATATATTGCCTGATGGCAAGGTTGTGGGAGCAGGAAGCATATATTCCCCACCCCCTTCACCCTCTACTTCTAACTACCAGAGACAAAATGAATCTGACTTTTGCTGGATAGCCAAAGCATAAACATATATAATATAATGATAAGGCGTATAAGGAAAAATCAAGCAGAGCAGAGGGCCAGGGATGGAGTGGATTACATAGGTTGGTTAGTCGCGATAGCTGAAAGATTCCTCTGTACCAAAATCTTCACAAATAAGTGAGATATTTATCTTTATATTAGACGTAGAATGTATTCAAGAAAGAATGAATGAAATTGCCATTACAGAATACCAGATGACGACAGTGAAGAGAATTCTAGAGCTAGAAAGGCCCTGAGATGCTATTTATTTCATACTCCTCATTTAAATCTCAAACAATCCAGGCCCAGCTAGGCTGAGTGGTGTCCCTGAGGTCGCACAGCTGGTCAGTAAGAGATCCAAGATGACAGACCTTCGGAACTGAAGAATGGGGAGGAAACAAGAGAACTCTGTCAAAACAAGGACAGTCCTAAGGGAAGGGCTTGGGTTGCTTAATTCTGGGAAAATGTTTTGATTTTAGCTCATCAAGGAAGAGACCAATCCCACTGCACTGGGTGATGGCAGCAGCTGCCCAGGACTCTCAGGGATCGGCAGGTGTGAACAATCAGATCCTCAAATCCTTTCTGACCTCATGTCTGAAACTGTGCATGCATAAGGGGGCATAAGGGGGAAAGAAAAGGGAAGAAGGTAGGCAGAGAAAGGCAGGAACATGCGGCCAAACGACACCATGAGACAGGCTTGCCTGGCCCTGGGAGTCTGTGCAGAGTTGCAGGACGGCCCTGAGAGCGTGGGCTGCATCTCACAAGGTGTGCGCTCCTGGCCCCGAGCGCCACGGAGGAGGGGTAAAGATGGCCCCTAATGGCTGGGCACGCTGGCTCATGTCTGTAATCCCAGCACGTTGGGAGGCCGAGGCAGGCAGATCACTTGAGGTCAGGAGTTCGAGACCAGCCTGGCCAACACGGTGAAACCCCGTCTCTATTAAAAATACAAAAATTAGCTGGGAGTGGTGGAAGGCACCTATAATCCCAGTTACTCAGGAGGCCGAGGCAGGAGAATTGCTTGAATCTGGGAAGCAGAGATTGCAGTGAGTGGAGATTGCGTCACTGCACTCCAGCCTGGGTGACAGAGTGAGACCCTGTCCCCCCCCCCAAAAAAAAAAAGTGGCCCCTGAGCCATAAGCACACAGGAAATGTGAGCAGGGGACTTGGCCACAGCCACATAGTGGCAGCAGAAAGTTAACACCTGGACGCAGAGAAACATAAAGGCCAAAACCTAGAACTGGAATGAGCTGGAACAGGCCTACACCGCGGGAGCTACATTTATGACTTTTGAGAGATTTACAACTTTCACAAAGCAGGGAGAGAAAAGTAGGGACCCTGATGGATGGAAAAAATCCATTTCAACCTGTCATTACATATACTTTCATTTTGAAGACTTCAAGAGATGAGGGAAAATTGACTTATTTTTCCCAGTTAGGGTATTGAGGGAAGCTGACCAGCACAGACTAAACCCAAAAAATGAAATGCATCTTCTGTTGGTGTTCTCAGTTCTACCGCAAAGAGGGTTGAAAGTAATTTTGCTGGTGGCAGGGACTGGGGACGGAGAAATGAGGGAAAAGGAAGCTCCCCCACACCAGTATGTTAGATGGTTGGGGCTCCTTTCAGATTTACGGCAAGCTGGAAAATCCATTCTATGTCTGGCTCATGTCACATTCATATTTCATGTCTATTAGAAGAATCTCATGCCACATCAATTGTTTGTGATCTACATTACATATAATAGGCTCTCTGCTTATCTTTGACACAGGTGAGGGGCTGATGTAGAAACTGTTAAAAGACTATACAATGACTTGTATATTCAATAATGGCTCAAACTTCAAAGGTCTATCATTTTGCCCTGCTCTTCATTTCTTTCCTCATAATGCTTCTCAAAGCAATCTTGTCTTTCCAGCCTCACAATCAAGGACAAATTCCTGAATGCAACATTTGCTTTTCCGTCTTCCCGCTTCACCTCACTCATCCCTGCAGAAGTACAAGTATTCCTGGCTTCTTCAAGTCTACGCCTAAGAATTAAGAGCCTTGGGGAGAAGGGCACTGCATCGACCACTGCATCTCAATCATTGTGGCAGACGTACCACAGCACTGGGAAGCTGGCCTTGGCAAGAATCTCAGGCTATTACTACAGAGTTGGGAAGAAGGTTTAGGATCAAGATAGAGGTGACTGACCAAGGTGAGTGCATGAGCAGAGAGGTGCCTTCAACTTCCACTGCAGACAGTTCTGATATCTTGCCTCTACCTGAGGTGAGTTCTAGCCCTGGGCAAGTCAGTCCAATGAATGTCATTGAGAACCAGCTGCAAACTACTACTGCCCTACTGACCTAAGCACAGAGGTTATAGGGAAGTCTAACTTGCAAAGCCTTCTCTCAATGTCATACACCATTTTTGAAGATCAAGACATCTTAATACTTTGACCACTTGCTTCCAGGCTAGTTTTTTTGTATTCCACTCTGCCAGCCTGAGTTTCTAGCTCACTGAACTCTTGTCTCCTGGCCTGGTATCCTAACTCTGGTGTCTGTTATTTCTTAGTCCAGATCTGTGTTACCTCTGGATTTTCTTACGTTGATGGATTTACCCCCAGACTCCAACTCTTGCCTCTCAGACATGTTATTTCTATGGAGGCCTTTGTTTTCTGTTTCCTTTGACTTGAACTATTCCAGGTCTCTCTCTTAGACATATTTTCAGAATCTAACCACTTTCTCACCACCTCCATTGGCACCATTACCTCTTGCCACATTTCTTGCTGTGGACTTCATAAGTCAGTTCATGTCACTCATCTGCCCCCAAACCCCACATTGGATTTCATTTTACTCAGCAAGAAGACCAAAGCCCTTTTATTGTCCACTCTGACCCCATGGCTTCTTACCCTCTACCTTGGTCATTCTGCTCCAGCCAGACAAGCTTTGCCTCTCTTCCAACTGGTCTCTCACACTCCCACCTCAGGACCTTTGCACCTGCTGTTGCCTCTGCTGTGAATACACTCTCTCCAGATGTCTGCCTGGGTCTTTGCTCAAATGTCAGCTTTACAGTCACATCCCCCTAGACCATTCTATTTACAGTTGTAACTCTCCTTACCCCAGCATTCTCTATGCTCCACGTAGCTTTATTTTTCTCTACAGCACTTAGCACCATCCAATATACTACATCTACTTTACTTATCTGTTTGTTGGACTGTCTTCCTCAAACTATTATAGAATATAAGCTCTATCAAGGCAAAGCTTTCTGTCTGTTTTGTTCACTGCTGTCTCCCAATGACTAAAATAGTTCCTGGCACAGGATATGCATTCCATAATCATTTTTTTTTTTTGAATGAAATAGTGAATGACCTCTCTATCCCCAGCTCAGGTATCTTTCTGGCATCCAAACAAAAATATTCAAATGCCAATCGGACAGCCCCAGGTTGATGTAAAAACTCAACATGTCCAAAATGGAACTTATTACCTTCTTGACCACAGCCCAGACCCACTGTCCCTCCTGTGTCCCAGCCTCAAAATGCCATTGTGCTCCTGCAGGTGGTTTTTAAAATTAAAAAACATAAACAAAACCTGCCATCTCCATTCACTCAACTGTACACGCAGAAACTGGAATCATCTTTCTTTGACAACCTCTTTTCTTCCCCCTAACATCTAATCAAGCACCAAGCTTTGTTGAATGTATCCCTAAATATCTGTGAACATGTTGAGTGTTGACTTTTCCCCTTTCCAACCTACATTTTTCTTTCTTTCTTTCTGTTTTTTTTTTTTTTTTTTTTTTTTTTGAGATGGAGTTTCGCTCTGTCGCCCAGGCTGGAGCACAGTGGTGCGATCTCGGCTCACTGCAAGCTCCGCCTCCCGGGTTCACGCCATTCTCCTGCCTCAGCCTCCCGAGTGGCTGGGACTACAGGCGCCAGCCACGATGCCTGGCTAATTTTTTGTATTTTTAGTAGAGACGGGGTTTCACCTTGTTAGCCAGGATGGTCTCGATCTCCTGACCTCGTAATCCGCCTGCCTTGGCCTCCCAAAGTGCTGGGATTACAGACGTGAGCCACCGTGCCCGGCCTCCAACCTACAACTTAAGTGTCTTAACCAGCCTCCCTGCCTTCTTTCTGGCCATTAGAGGGAGCTCTCTAAAGGCCAAGAATGATCTTGTCATTCTCTGTAAGACAGCTCAAAGTCTCCCCGTCCCCACACAATAAGGCAATGTGAAAGAGTCTTCATGACTTGTTCTTTGAGTAACTCTTTTACTTCCAGAGCTTGTTAGCTGGTATTTGCTCTAACTGAAATGTTCTTTCCATCTTTTTGACTGGTTATCACCTACTAGATCTCAATTAAATGGAACTTCTTTCAAGAAAACCTCTCTGATGCTCTGAGCATCATGCACTTCCCATGTAATAACCCTGACCACTATATTACAACTGAAGTTTGCTTGTGCTTATGAGAATAAAGACCACAACTGATTTACTCACGGTTGTATCATAGGTGCTCAAAAAAATAGTTGTTGAGTAAATAAACAAACAGTATTAAAATTCACACCGAGATGGAATAGATATACTTTTCTTATTCTTCTTGATAAGTACAACAAAATATCCTGCACATTATATATAAAACAAACAGAACAAGACTGAAAGAGGAAAAAGGCAGAACTGCTAGGGAGCTTGGGGATGGGGAGTTCCCTGCGTTTGCCTTCTGCTCCATAGATCTCAGACTTGGAATCGAACAAGTTGCCAACCCAGAAATGCCAATAGGCACAGAAAAAGAAAAGCCACAACCAAAGCCTGCTCTCTCTAGCCCAAGGACCAGGAAAACGGCAGTCTAGCAAGATAGAAAACTTTTAGATAATAACCTCTCTCCTCAGACCAAACACCAGGAAAAAATTGTAGCTCAACTGCCAGCTACATCAGCAAAGGTCTGGTGGTAGCCTAGACTTCCACCCTTGTGAAACTAAGAAGACCTGTCAACACTACCATTGGGATGCCATCAGAGAAGGGTAAGTAAGGAGCTGGGACTTTCATCCCTGCTGGGTGGTAATGAGCTCCTCCTTCCCTCCCTCCCATGGTATCCATGATCAGGAAGGGAGTGTGGACTCCCAGCAGTAATGAGAATGCCCACTCTTGGGTGTCACTGGAGCTTAAGTGGAGTACCTGGACTTCTACGTCCACCTGGTAATAATAAGGCAATGCCTCCCTTTCGCTTGCCAGAGAGGAGTCACAGAAAGCCAATTCAAGCAAAAGGCTTAAATAAGATCCAAATTCTCATAACATAATATGTAAATGACTGCTTCCAATCAGAAACTGTTTGTCATACAAATAAACAGGAAGATTTCAAACAGAATGAAAAAAGACAATCAATAGATGGCAACACTGATATGACAGAGATGTTAGAATTATCTGATGAATATTTTAAAGCAGCCATAATAAGGCTTCAATGAGCAACTATGAACACACTTGAAACACATGAAATTTAGAAAGCATCACGGCAAAAATGGAAAAAATAGAAAGCCCTAGCAAAGAAGTAGAAGAAATAAAGAAGAACTAAATGAAAATTTTAGAACTGAAAAATATGATAACCAAAATAAAAAGCTTAGTGGTTGGGCTCAACAGCAGAATGGAGGAGACAGAGGAAAGAACCAGTGAACTGGAAGACAGAACAATGGAAACTATCTAAAGTGAAGAACAGAGAAAACAAACTAAATCAGGGACCTGCGGAACTATAACAAAAGATCTAATATTTATGTTGCTGGAGTTCAGGCAGAAGAGAAAAAGGGCAGCACTGAAAAAGTATTCAAATAGTTAAATTTTACGGGAGGCCATTGTTTTGGGCTAGTCTCCTGCACCTAGGCCACAGCAGACCAGTCCTAAGCAGAATGGAGTCACTCAGGCTAAGTGCCACCTAATCAAATTGAACTTTGAAAAGAGCCAGTTTTCCAAAAAACAGGTGATTCCGGCCAACCCAAATGAGCATAATAAGGAAGTCCCCTCTGTTTTAGCCCTTTACAGAAAGGGACTTTGAAAGGGCTATCTGCTTTTTGTTCTCTGTATCTGCTCTCTTTAGAGCTTTTCTGCCTATGAAGCCAACTTTCTCTGCTCAGCTCATTAGAGCACTCACCCCATTTTATAGAGTGAGGTGTTGCCTGCTTCTAGAATAGCAGATAAAAGTCAACTAGCTCTTTACACTAAATTTGTTGTAATTTTGTTTTTTGACAAAATAAATAATGGCTGAAAACCTCATAAATTTGGCAAAAGCTGTAAACCTACAGATTCAAGAAGCTGAGCAAACCCCAAACATAGTAAACCCAAAGAAATCCATGGCAGGCAAAGAAAAAACCTGAAAAGCAACCAGAGGAATCAATAGTTTATTCCTATTGGGAAAAAATACTTAAGACTGTAGATCATCCCCCTCTACAAATGTGGTATCTGTTTTCAGAATTCCCACAACAGACTCAGCAGTAACCCCTCACTTGCCCCAGAGAACACTGGATCTTATCTATCTTTTAAATATTGTCTTCTCTGAATAATAGGAGAAAGCTAAATGTCATAATTGCTTTAATTTGTAATTAATTTTTACTATTAGTGAAGCTGAGCATTTTTATATGCTAAGTGTTTGTTGACATTTCTTTATGAATTTCCAATTTATATATTCAGGTTATTAATTCATTTCTGTTTCAACCCCCTCCTGCCCTCAATTTATCATTTATATGTGCCTATGGTATTTTTTGCTGTGTGGAATTCACATTTTGTTTTACCCAGAGAATTCTTTTAACCTTCTCCCTGATGGTTTCTGGTTTTGAGGTCATGCTTATAACTAGCAGCTAAGGTTTTAGGGAATGTAGATTTGTTTTTGATTTGCTGTCCAGGGGTACAGTTTCCCACCTTTTGCATAGCTAAATCCTCTGGATAATAAATTGCACTTTAGTAATAATCTCCAGCCTTAAATATAAGGTATAAGTAAAGAATAAGTATTTGGTCTTCATCCCCAGTTCCCGGCATTGAGCTCCTAAAACCCTTGGATAAGAGTATCTTTTGGAGCCTGGCACAATGGGTCATACCTATAATACCAGCTACTTCAGAGGCTGGGGCAGAAGAATTGCTTGAGGCCAGGAGTTTGAGACCAGCCTGGGCAACACAGTGAGACCCCATCTCTTAAAATAAAAAAAAATAAAATAAATTAGCCTGGCATGGTGATACACATCTGTAGTTCCAGCTACTTTGTAAGCTGATGGGGGAGGATCACTTGAGCGCAGGAGTTTGAGGCTGTAGTGAGCTATGATTGAATCACTGCATTCCAGCTCTGGTTACAGATTGTAGCTCTGGGCAACAGAGGGAGACCCCATCCTTCCCCCTGCTCCACCAAAAGAGTGTCTTTTGTAGGCTAATGAGATGACTCTTGGCTGAGGGGATCCTAGATAGCTTCTGGATTGGGCTGGTCTCCAGAAAAACCAACCATATGTCCAGAGGGTTGGAATGTTCAGTCCCCTCCCACCTCTTTTTGTGTCCCTTAAATCATCATGTCCCAGTCAGTGTGTAAGTGCTCTCTAATCTGGGGAAAAAGCTAGAATGTCACCATGCATCTGTTTAAGACTGCAATTGTTATGCTCATTTTTGATACTGAGGTTTTGAAGAAAGGAGGATGTTGATGGCATTTACAGAATGGAAAAATGGTTGTTTCATTTTTTTTGGCACAGAAAAGTGCTATTCAGTAAGTACATCTAGATTTAATTCCAAAATTTCCTGCCTCTTTATCAAACGATCTAGGTAGGATAACTTATAAAAGACACAAAATTAATAAAATGGGCATAAGAGGGGGCAAATCAAGATAAGGAAGAGTGAAACAAGTATCTGGACTATGCAGATTTAGCAGAGACACAGGCTCTCTGCTTCCTGATTGCACAACAGAGAAGGAAATGTGAAGAATTACACAATTTTTATCATATGAAGTGAGGACACATAACAGCTTCTCAAAGCATGGGTGGAGGAATACAAAATGATTCCTAGAACCCACCCCTGAGATGTTCAGTCTTCATGGTAGACTCTGAGTAGAAGAAGATGTGTCCTATAATGAACAACGTCCTCATTAGTGTTTTCACAGTAAATGCAAATGTAATCCTAATAGAGATTGGATGTGTGCCCCACCCAAATCTCATGTTAGAATGTAATCCCCAGTGTCAGAGATGGGGCCTGGTGGGAGATGATTGAATTATGGGGGCAGATTTCTCATGAATGGTTTAGCACTGTGCCCTTGGTACTGTCCTCGCAATGGTGAGTGAGTTCCTGTGAGCTATGGTTGTTTGAAAGTGTGTGGCACCTCCCCTTGAGCTCTCTTGCTCCTGCTCTTTACATGTGATGTGCCTGCTCCCCCTTTACCTTCTGCCATGATTGGAAGCTTCCTGAGGCCTCCCCAGAAGCAGATGCCACTATGCTTCCTATGCTTCCTGTATAGTCTGCAGAACCATGAGCCAATTAAACCTCTTTTCTTATAAATTACCCAGTCTCAGGTATTTCTTTATAGGAATGCAAGAACAAACCAATACAAATCCCAGTATTAAGAGAGGGGGGCCTTTAGGAGATGATTAGGTCATGAGGGCTTCTCCCTGGTGAATGGGATTAAGGCCCTCATAAAAGAGGCTTCACACAGTGTTTGGCCCTTCCTGCCCTTCTGCCTTCCACCATGTGAGGACACAGTGTTCGTCTCCTCTGAAGGACTCAGCAACATCTGGAAGCAGACAGTAGCTCTCACCCAAGACACCAAACCTGCCTTGATCTTGAACTTGCCAGCCTCCAGAACTGTGAGAAAATGAATTTCTCTTCTTTATAAATTACTTAGTCTCAGGTACTTTGTTAGAGCAACACAAGAGAATGAAGTAAAGCCTCTAGCCAGAATTTTTGTGTTCTATTCCTGTATTCTTGTATTCTATCCTGCCTCCATGGGGAGATGAAGCTATAGAGTGTCTCAACTGGTTGGGATTTTCCTCTAATAGCTGAGTTAGAGATCAGTGGAGACCTCCTAATGCAACCCAGAGAAACATGGAAATGGTGGAAGAGGTTTTAGCCTGAAATATTTTCAGATACTCACTAATTAGCTCATACTAGCGAATTTACCATGGCCATGGTCACGCTGCTCTGGAGCACAAGTCATCTTCTAGATCACCAAAGGAAATGACTTCCTGTGATTATCTGATGACATCTACTTAAGTGCTGGAGAGCGTCTGCCAGCAACAGCGTGACCGCGGTGAGAATGCACCTGGCAGACCTTTGTGTTATCGTGCTGGTGTGCACAGAGGTGTTTTCCCACATGCTGCTCCCAGACAATGACTGGACCTGACAGGACTATTACTGCAGGCTGCTTCCTGAGTCACACAGGACTCCTCTGAGGCTGATGTTGTCATGATCCCTGGGTCTCCAACAGCCTTGCCAAACCTTCCTTAGATTACTGGATAGTCTGGGAGATTCCACCCAAATACTCCTTCCTCCCTCCTTCGCTCAGGCTTAGAGTTGCATTGCAGCTCTCCCATACTTCACTCCCTCTCCATCTTCTCTCACAGTCATTTCCTCTAATAACATTTTTGCATGTTTAATCCCATCCTGACATCTGCTTCATGGAGGACCTGAATTAATACAAATAAGCAACATTTGTTTTTATTTCAATTGATATTTAACCTTTCTGACAACAGAAACACCGTAGGTCTGTACTTCTCACAGGAAGGACCTGACCAATTTCAATTTATGAGGGTCTTTTTTTTTTAAGCCAGATTTTTGTCCTAGGTGAATACTCATCCTTCTATTCCTTATGGCAGAGGGATAAGCAGCTGATTCTCCTAAAACAGTATCACACTCTTATAGTATACAAGAAAAAGGAAGGAGGCTATGACCTAGCCTTGCTTTAACATTGAGGAGGTTATTTTATTTTATTATTTATTTTTTGAGACAGGTTCTCTCTGCTGCTCAGGCTGGAGTGCAGTGGCACAATGGGCTCAAGCAATTGAGGGGTTCATTTTAAACGTATAGTGTAATCCACATCTAAGCTCTGTTTGCAGAATGAGAGGTTGATGAAAGAAAGCTCAATGAAGCTGCAGAGTCTTAATCTTGCTTTTGGCCGCACCAACTCTGGCAGGACCTCGTTCACAAAGACAGAGAATTAACATTTGTTGAATGAATGAAGGAGATGCCGTACAAAGATTGTATGGTTCCTTTCAGAGCCTAAATATTTAATAGGTGGGTCACTGAGGGTCTGAACTAGAATATTTGATAAGCAGACATCCAGGGTTGAGTGTTAGATGTTCTGCAGGGAGATGGATGGAGGGGTACCTACAGGGTTCTGCAAGCTCAGTAATAGATGTTGTTGAAGAAGAAATATAAGTTAGAGACAGGACAGGACACACACAGAATACACCTCTTTGGGGTCAATAAAAAAAGGGAATGAGCCCAGAGGAAGCACTCAAGATCAGTTGCAAATTGATATCCCAAATGTTTTGGCATAGTTCTAGGAAAAAACTCTCCTACATTTCAAAGTCCAGATAATACTGACTCCACCCTCTGGCACAGAGGACTTCTATGGCAACATAGCACAGGAGTGGTACATGAAGGCAAAGTCCATTTGTCTTAGCTCATATCAAATGGTAAAGCAGAGCTTCTTTTATTTTAATTTAGCTATTCAAGCTGCTGAAGCTATACCCAAAAGCCCTAGCCCTTTCTCTGATATGAGTCTCTGTGTTTCCATATTGGGAGCAATTTTTTTTTTTTTTTTTTTTTTTTGAGATGGAGTCTCACTCTTGTTGTCCAGACTGGAGTGCAGTGGCATGATCTTGGCTAACTGCAACCTCCGCCTCCCAGGTTCAAGCCATTCTCGTGCCTTAGCCTCCTGAGTAGCTGGGATTACAGGCACCCGCCGCCATGCCTGGCTAGGTTTTTTTTTGTATTTTTAGTAGAGACGGGGTTTCACCATGTTGGCCAGGCTGGTCTCAAACTCCTGACCTCAGGTGATCTGCCCGCCTCGGCCTCCCAAATTGCTGGGATTACAGGCATGTCCCACTAGGCCCAGCACAATTGTTTTTTATAACTAGAAATGTGTTTGGCTTTCCTCCAACAAACCAGGAAGGTCAAGAGATATGTTCTAGATACCTCTTTGTGGTTGCTTAATGCAGAGCTCATGCAGACACATCTGCAAACCTAAGGAAACGACCCTCTAAGGACTGGTTAGCCACTTAAAATGTGGGCTAAGATAGGCTATTAAACTCTAATCCTCACTGCTTCATTACAGCTTCCTCATATTGTTAGCCTACAAACTAAGTTAAGGACACACTTAAATTCCTTCACTGGCTTCATTGCCCTATTAATTCCTTCTAGCACATATGTTCCCCTATATTTTCTTTTTAAAAGATATGAGTGGAACCTACAACTTTGTGAAGCCAGATATTTTTGGATTTTTACTTTCCTGGGGAAGTGACAGTTTGGCTTTTTTTTTTTTTTTTTTTTTTGAGATGGTGTCTCACTCTGTTGCCCAGGCTGGAGTGCAGTGGTGTGATCTTGGCTCACCACAACCTCTGCCTCCTGGGTTCAAGTGATTCTCCTGCCTCAGCCTCCTGAGTAACTGGGATTACAGGCACCTGGCACCACACCCGGCTAATTTTTGTATTTTAAGTAGAGACGAGGTTTCACCATATTGGCCAGGCTGGTCTCGAACTCCTGACCACAGGTGATCCACCCACCTTGGCCTTCCAAAGTACTGGGATTACAGGCATAAGCTACCGTGCCCAGCCAGTTTGGGTTGTTTTAAAATAATTTTTCAGTGGTCTCACAGGGCTTAGAGTGCCTCTTACTAGAGGCCCATTTCAACATACCTCCGGTCTGTGGGGTACAGTTCCACAGTGACCACGTCAAGAGAGTTCCAGGCTGAGATGGTCAATCCATTGTACAGACACAGCATGCCTATCATCATGGATTCACTGGTGCCGAACCAAAGGAAGAAACAGCTGATCCCCGAAAGCACCATAGAGCCACCTGCCAACAATGCAGACAAAAGGCTGGAATGTTTCCTGTCATCTTAGTAAAGCAAGAACCCTTGGGTCCTTGGGATTGCTCAAGAAAACTGAATTCTAAGTGGAAGCTGCAGGATGGGCTCCATAAAGCTCAAGAACTGGTGCATTCACCTGAATGAAAGGCTCTAACTGCCTCTGAACACAGAAAGTATGAAATGCATATCATCTTTTACTCAGCTACTTGAGTGGGAAAATATACATTTTACACATAGTTTTTCAGTCTGTTAACTCATGGAAACCACTCAAATGAAATGTAATTAGACATAATTTTCACTATAATTTAGTCCCAACGTAAGGTCTAAAGGATTTCTCCTTATTGGATGCAAATCCCTAATAGATGGGAGTACAGGGGGAAACAGGGTCCCTCTGGATTGCAGGGGCAGCTCTTTTATTTGACATGAAACTGAGTACATACCTAGCATTGTTAAGCGCCCAATTCTGTCCATCAGCAGAGCAGACACAATGTTCCCTGGCAATACTGCCAATGTCCCCAGAAAGTTGACAAAATAAATCCAGTAGGCACTATAGTCATCATCAAAGGTAATCTGACATCCCGTCTTGTTGTGAAAAAACGAGCAGTTTTTAAATTCACTGTCAATGAATTTATATGGCTCAAAATCTGTAGAAACAACAACAAAGACAATTCATCAAGCTCTTACCAGGCATGCACCAGTATAAGAAAGCCTATGGAGGATTCGGAGAGGAAACCAGTATTGTAAATTCCTTGAGGGCTTTCAGGCCTATGCTAGCTTGACTTTTTGGGTCTTCTGGCCAAAGCATAGGATCTAGTCTGGGTCTTCACATCATAAAGTAGGTGAATGATGAGATACCTTTGCTGAATAAAGGAATACATTAAATTAAGGGGTCCAGTTATCTTCTGATTTCCTATGGTCGGCCATTGCTAATTATATTACTTGCTTACTCCTTTACAATATTACTATGTCCTAATTATCATGTTACATAAAGACTATCATTATAGTACTAATAGTGTCCATACTACAATTATAAAAACAATTTGTTTCAAAATGTGCATGGGCTGGGTGTGGTGCCTCATGCCTGTAATCCCAGTGCTTTGGGAGGATGAGGCAGGAGGATTGCTTGAGCCAGGAGTTCAAGACTAGCTTGGACAACATAGTGAGACACCATCTCTACAAAAATAATAATAATAATAATAATAATAATAATAATAATTTTTTATTTGAGGCCGCAGTGAGCTGTGATTGCGCCACTGTACTCCAGCCTGGATGACAGAGCAAGACCCTGTCTCTAAGGAAAAAAAAGTGCAAGAGTCAGCCTTATCATTGCCATTTTATGAGACTAGAGGGCACAGAGAAGGAACAAGTCTTTCCTGAGGCTGAATTTATAATTTAAAGTCTATGTGCATGAATCTACTGAGGAACAAGAGTCAGCCTCATCTGAAGGTCACCAGCATTCATTGCTAATCTTTTCTTGAATTTGAAACCATCCAAGAAGAGTTGCAGATGGTGGTGGTTTCTGCTAAAAGGCTGTGAGAATTGAAACTATCTTCCTTGCTGATCAAGATCTGACAAAATGTTCGTCTTCTGAGGTTTAATGGGTTAGAAGACAGGTAGATAGCATTGCTCAAAAAACAAAAAACAGAAAGACACCTGACCTCATTCTTCTTTGGAGCTAGGCAGAGCCCTTGTCTGAGCACTAAGAAGGCAGGTCTGGCAACAGGGCAAATGCTGATGCTCCTGCCAATGCCACGCTGTTATGCTGGATTCATTTTATAGGACACACAGACCAATGTTTGGGAGTGGGAAAGTGGAAGGCACAGGCTTTGAAATCAAATAAATCTGGGTTCAAACATCTGTTATTACTAGTTCTATAATTGTGGACAAATTACTTAACTTTCCTAAGCCTCAGCTACTGTGAAAACTAAATGAGATAATGAATGTCTAATGACCTAGAGTAGAAAACAGTATATAGGTGTTCAATCAATGCTTGTTTGCCTTCCTTTTTTTTCCCCCTGGGGAGTTTAAAATACCCCATTATATGGATTTGGCCAAAATATATATGTATCTGAGCATAGCCACATGTTGTCTATCTCTGTTGGCTATAGAGTTGAGGCATTTAAACAAACACCAGATTTTGAACCCAGGATTATCAAAACAAATAAACTACAGGTTAGGTCTTTGCTTTAAAAATTTATTCATCAAAGGATTTTTTTGTTGTTGTTGTTGCCAACTTTTGAACTTTGGCAAGCTCCATTTGCACTAAATCTGACAAAGACAAACAATACAAGCCAACCTTTGATCCAACCTGATTTAGAGAACTTGTTCCATTTATTCTTTAATATCCACTTCCCGCATAAGCCTCTGCCCACATTATCACATGGTTATCACAGTGGGCCCTTTGGAGAGGCCTCAGGTAGAGGCAGTACTAAGTAGCACACCTACCTGTGTTGTCAAAAACAGTGTCAATAAATGTGCAGTTCTTGAAGTAGGTGTTCACTGAAGTTACATCCTCAAAGGTGCAGGACTTAAAAACAGAGTCTTTGAAAGTTACAGATTTGAACTTGACCCCTATGAATCTGCCCAACACACAGAAAAATTCATATCAATCAATGACTGTGTCCATCAAAGTTCAAAGCTAAGTCAAATAGTTTTAGAGATGGAATGCCCCACTATGGACTGTCTTAATTATAAAGAACACAGAGTTCTTGATTTTCTTAGCTCTCTGCTTTTTCCCCTTTTTCTCATCCAGGCTGACCTTTGGCTATCTTATTGCTTACCAATATTATTTTTCACCAGGAAAAGAGATGACACTCCTAACTTCCCTTAGCTTTTTGTAATGTTGGTAAAAAGTTTTGTGGGGTATGCAACTGAAGATAGTTTGGGGATTACCTGGGGCTATTCTTTAGGTTTTAATCCTATCGTCTCTTCATGTATATCTTTATTTGAATATTCTCTATTTGGGGTTAATGGCTCTAACTTAAGGATGTCCTCCTACCCGATCTTTTAATAACTTTATTTTTCCCTAGCTGAAAATCCAAGTCTTCTTCATTCTAGTGTAGGGACCTGTAATTATCCTGAAGAGAGAGCATGAGAATTCTGTTTCATTTATGTGAGGAATAACTGACTTGGGGTTGAAGAAACTCATAGGTGACGCTCATTTCCAGGATAATTTTTCTTCTCACAGCCAACAGATAGTCCTTGAACCAAAAGGAATTATGAGAACTCTGCTTATTTTTGGAAACATGAAGAATGATGAAACCTGTTCAGGTATATTTTTGGGTATTATAAGGGGGAATTCTACGTGGTAAAAATGGTAACAGTCATAATGATAATAACATCTTAGAAGAGTCCATGATCCAGGCCTTATCAGCATTGATAAGGACTCCCAGCAGACACAGATAAATATTCATTAACGTGTCCTGGTACTTTATTAAGAGACTATGAATGTACACTTAGCCAGTCACTGAGAGGAAAATGCTTGTTCTCCTCGGGAAGGAGTTGTTATGTCAATACCACTCTTATTAGGGGCAGAAAGGGACTGATCCTTCTAGGTAAGTAGGTTGATTTAAAAGCAGTTTACTAACTATTGAGTACTTTCAAATTTATTCTCTCCCTAATACCCAATTACGTGTGTTGGTTCAAAATGCACATGGCCTCACAGACCAATCAGCTTAAAAAAGAAATCATTCCCATGGTACATTACCTGGAAATAATAATAATGATCTCGTTTCAATCCCCACTCCAGGGACCCAGAGTAAAAACATCTAAATGCACCAAAAGAGACTAAATAATGGCACATCTTTAAAAAGTTATCAATTTTTTCTGTCATGGAACTGAATTTGGAAAAGGGAATGAATCAGTTTTATTTTTTGAATGGATAATTCAGAGAGTACACATGGTGCACAATTCGAAAGGTTGAAAATGGAAAAAGTCAGTCTTTTCCCATCCATCCCCAGGCCACAAGTTCCTCTGCCCAGAATAACCATTGTTGTCAGTTTCTTGTGTGCTCCTCCAGGAGCATTCTGTGTCTAAAGTACACCTGCTTTATCTCCTTCTAGTCTACCTTGGAGGTTATTCCGTATCAGTATATAAAGAGTTGCCATTTTATGATGCTGAATAAAAAAGCTATTTTTTAAAAAATTTCGTTAATGGTATTTCAAATTTTCCTGAAGGACAAAAAAATTGTTTCTATCATCTTTTAAAATAAATGTGTAACATATGTTTTACAAAAACTGTAATACTATTAAAATTAGTAATCATTATATTGCTAATGTAAAAAAGTTCTAAGCAGTGACTGAGTATCCAGTTTAGAACTTTAACATATATTACTAAAAATATGACTGTCAGAGACACAAACATATATTAGAAATTTCTAATGGAGTAACAATACTTTTGAAAGTCAGTTTTCACCCTGGCATCACAGAGGACTTGACACTAAGCTTTCTGTGAAATGCTAAGTGCAGATTCAAGTCAGTATTTTATGTGGGAGAGTGAAGGTGATCCCACTTGGCTTGGATGATGATTAGTTCCTTCATTGAATTGCTAATTTGAACAATTACCTCCTAGTTAGTAACCCTCTTTTCCATTACATAGATCATAAGCATCCCACTGAATTCTTTTTCATCTTTCTGAACTGGTTTTTGCCCTGGGGAACTTTGATTATTTTAGAGTTTTATTTTATCACTTTTGAAATTGGGACAACTTCCTAAGAATGATGTAAACTATCATGAACTTACACTGGCAATTATTTGTTCAGGCAACAAAAATACTTGGATATAAACAAGTACTTGGTCTACTCTTTTCCATCTCTAAAAGAATGACCCAGGACCACCTCCCTGAGTCAGTTCTCTCTTGTCATCAAGAAGTATTTCAGATCCCATAAAGGAGACCCTTCCGTCTTTCAAAGCCCTTTACTTTGGGGAATGATTCCTGTTCTCTAATTGAAACTCTTCCTGATGCAATTTAACCTCAATTCTGGATTCAGCGTATTGGGAAGGATGAATTCTGAAAAGTGGCTCTGTTTCTCAGGAATAGAAGACTCATATAATCACATTTCAGATTTCTTCTGTGAATTAAATAATCCTATAGCCTGTCTTATTTTCCCATACTCTTCACTCTTCTCTTCCTTCCATTATTTTTGTTGCTCTCCAACATTGCTCTAAATTTTCCTTCCACACCAGTCAAGTCCACTACCTAATAAATATGAAGCAACTTAGCTGCAAAAATAGTTTTAAGTGAAGTAATGGATACATTTGTACCTTTTATTTAAAGCCTATTAAGAAGTATTGAAATTCATCATGAAAATGACTAAATGTACAAACTAAAACAAACAAACAAAAAACTATGCCTGTTTCAGTGCAGGGAAAGCTAAGAAGAAATAAGTTTTTGTGAATAGGTAGCAAATTAAATTATTTCAAGTTTCTAGACCTGCCATTGTCGTATTCCATTCCAGTATGAATCTGATTTTCCATTGTAAAGTTAATAGTGAAATTTGCATATTTATCTCTCTCCACATTTCTGGTTAGCAATGCATATTCATCGGACTGCAGAGGTTTAATGACATCAGGGAACCAAACGGATAATCCATAGTACCTGCAAAGACAAAGAAATGTGAGTTTGTAAAGGCACTAGCATGCCAGAGGCAATGAGCAACTCCCTGATGTTTTCAGACTGGTAATAGTTCCCGGAGAATGGCTGGCTCCCTATAACATTATGAGTAATTCATCATACAGCAATCCATGTGTCCCTCTCCCCCAGCATTAATCTGCAAAAATCAAGCTTGAGAGATGGCCTATGGTTAGCTGGAGAACCCCAGGTATGTAATTCCTAAACCCTTCCTTTGGGAAGAGACATGCAGAAAGCATCCGATCCTATGCCCATACATGGTGCCTGGTCTGAATGTGTCCTTCCAAAACTTATGTGTTGGAACTTAAACCCCAGTATAATAATATTAGAGGTGGGGGCTTTAGGAGGTGATTAAGTTATGAGGGCAGAGACCTCATGAATGAGATTAATGTCCTTATAAAAAGAGGTGCGAGGGTGCTGCCTCTCTCACTTTTTCCCTTCCATCCCTTCTACCACTGAGGACACAGTATTTGTCCCCTCTGGAGGACTCAGCGACAAGCTGCCATCTTGGAAGCAGAGACTGTGCCATTACTGCACACTGAATCTGCCAGCAGCTTGAGCTTGGACTTCCAGTCTTCAGGACTGTGAAAAATAAAATTCCTATTATTTACAAATTACCTGTTGTGGTATTTTGTTATAGCAGCAGAAATGGAGTAAGACATCTGACATCCTGGCCCCAATATCTTTCTCATCATTCCAGTCTGCTCTGAGAAACTCTCTCTCCTAGTCTGGTGGTACAAACTCCTGGGATCCAAGCACGGTGAGAGCCCCTAAAGAATGACCTCTTTTGCTAATGGGGAATCTTTCTTGGTTCCTACACTGCTGTGATACTGCTATCCTGGGGGTAGAATGCCAGTTCCCAAGGTAGTTAGAGGCTGGGAAGAGGACATTCGTGTTATTCTCAGAGATTCCAAGTTATTTCCCCTTTCTGCCTCTTGACCTCTAATGTGTTATTCTAACAGCTGTGTCATGCTGCTGTACTGTTCAGTACAGAAGCCACTAACCACGTGTGCCTACCAGGCAGTTGAGATGTGGCTGGTTCAAACTGAGATATACTATAAATATAAAATACCACAGGATTTTGAAGACTTACGGAAAAAAAGAAGGTAAAAATTGTTGCTAATAATTTTTATACTGATCATATGTTGAAATGACAGTGGCTCACGCCTATAATCCCAACACTTTGGGAGGCCGAGGCAGGCAGATCACAAGGTCAGGAGATCGAGACCAGCCTGGTCAACATGGTGAAACCCTACCTCTACTAAAAATACAAAAATTAGCCGGGCATGGTGGTGCACGCCTGTAGTCCCAGCTACTCAGGAAACTGAGGCAGAAGAATAGCTTGAACCAGGGAGTCGGAGGTTGCAGCGAGCCGATATCGTGCCAATGCACTCCAGCCTGGCAAAAGAGCGAGACTCCATCAAAAAAAAAAAAAAAAAAGAGAGAGAGAATGAATGAAACAAAATGTAGTATTAAAATTAATTTTATCTATTTCCTTTTACTTTGTGTGTGTGTGTATGGCTACCAGAAAATCTGAAATGACATCTGTGGTTCACACGATACCTCTATTAGACTGTGCTGCTCTAAAGTAGTACCTCCTAAGATAAGATAAGGTCCCCGGACCAGCAGGATCATCATCCCCCACAAACCCAGGTTCCAGTGAGACCTGATGAATTAAAAACTTTGGCAGGGGAGTCCTCCAGGGATTCTTCTGATGCACGTTCAAGTTTGAGAACCACTGCTCTAGTTTATTCCCAGTGACACTTAGCTACACAGGGAAAGAAGAGAGTATGGGCATAGCCTTTGCAGGAGGACAGGCTGGGTTTGAATCCTGGTCTTGTCGCTTACTAGCTGCCTAAACTTGGGCCAGTTATCTAAGCCTCAGTTGCCCATCTCTACTATTGGAATGATGGGAATATCCACCTTCCTGGGTGGTTGCTCAGTTTAAATGGGATGTCAAGTACCTAGCACATAGAAAGTGCTCAGAAGACAGTATGAGTCGTTTTTATCATCATTGTCATTAGGATTCCAAAAACATCTGTGCCTCAGGATTCCCACCCCTTTTCTTCATAGTAATGTCTGTGGGGGTGTGAGGGTAGTTATTGAGGAAGAAATGACTTAGGGGTACAACATTTATGGCATTGTTCTCTAGTCACATACATGGGGCACAAACCTTGAAATGGCAACAATGAGGAGGGCACATTACCTTGGAATGTCCATCCATCATCAATGATGTGGAGGGCTTTTGGCTAATTTGTCATTTATTTAGCAAACATTTACCGAACACGCACTAAATACTAGGCACTATTGAGGTTCCAGGGATATAGCAGTAAAACAAATCATAAAGCTTAAAATATGATCAATAATGAATTAGTAAACAAAATAAACAAGCCAGATAATGATGATTACTCTTTACACCTTGACAGCAGGACTTCCTTCTTGCTTATCTTTGTCTTCTTTGTCTTTAACCCCTTGCTTAGGTACAGAGTAAGCACTTAATATAGGTTAATATTTAGCCTTCCCTTCCTTCAGAGATTAATGGATTTTCTAGAGCTTGGGTGGGAATTACTTTACATATTCTAAGTCAACCCTCTTAATTTAGAAATGAGGAACTGAGAAATGTCTCCAAGTCACAAGCTAACCAAGTCACCCAGCAGAATGGGCTGCTAGGTCTCCTGACTCCCAGCTTCCTTCTTTCTCCGTATTCCACCTCCTCAGGCACTAAGAAAGAGTGGTCACCTTAGATCACTTGCCTGGTTTGATTTAGGGATGTTAAGAGATGAAACTTGCAACATAAATGTTAGGTTCTATAAGGTACTGAGTTCCTGCTGACCTGAAAGTGTAGAGTATTATCTAATTTTTCTTTTCTAAACAGCAAATTAGGCAACAATAGAGTTGTACACACACATTCTAAAGTGACTATGTCAGCGATTAACAAATAAAATCTTGTTATTTTCTCCCTATTTCCTCTTTTCCTGGAACACATATATGGCAGTTTAATTCATTTGGCAACAACTATTTATTGAGCTGCTATTACATGCCAGGAATATACATCAGTGAACAAGACATAAACAAAATTATTATTATTTTTTTAGAAATGGGGTCTTGATATGTTGCCCAGGCTGGAGGGCAGTGGCTAGTAACAGGTGTGATTATAACACTCTTAAGCTTCCAACTCCTGGGCTCAAGCAATCCTTCACCTCAGCTTCCAGAATAGCTTGGAATATAGGTGGATGGCACCACACTCAGCTTTGAACAAGGCAGTTAAAAACCCCTGTCCTCATGGAGCTTCCAGAGAGGGAAGCCAGAGCTTTACTCTTTATACAGAATAAAGGAGTGTTTTGCATATTAGAAGGTAGAAAGTGCTGTGGGGTAAAGTAGAGCTGAGAAGGGGATAGGGAGTGTGGAGGGGCTGCAATTTTTTAAAAAGAGAGGATGACATCACTGAGAAGGTGACATCTGAGGAAAGAGTTGAAGAGGGTAAAGAAATGAACTGGGCAGATGTCTGGAGGGGAAAGCAACTCAGGCAGAGGAACACCGCAAAGGCCCGAGATGGGAACTGTTCTAGAATGTTCAAAGAAGAGCAGAGAGGCTGGTATGGCTGGGGCTGGGCAAAGGAGGACAGGACAGAGAAGTCATGGGGCAAATCATCCAGGGCCTTACTGGATTTTGCAGATACAATTGGTTTTGCTACCTTAGCTTTATGACAAAACAAATAAAATAACTGGTTTATAAAAACCATAACTCTCAGCAAACCTAAGCTGAAAAAAATTTCTTCCTTAGCAGGTTAACAGCATCAAGCAGTATCAGAAAAGAAAGCAGCATGGCTAGGAGTTACAATGTGGACATTGAACGATTTTGCTTGCCAAGAATTTAAATATCACTTACCCAAAGGACAGGGTGAACCAAACAATTGTAAGCTTTATTGTATTATCCCTGACTGGGTAGTTGAAACATCTCATAAAAGTCAACCAAATCTGTGAAATATTAGAGAGTTAGTTTTCTCATGCAGTTACTTAGTCAACCCCACTCCCCGACCCCTTCCACCAAATTATAAAAAATGCTGAGTTGTCATTGGGTTGGATTCATTTCACCTTAAAATGTAAAAGTTAAAGGTAATTGGAATTTTCATTCTTCAGCTTCCTGGATGTCAATGGACAAGGTAACTCAAGATTTGAAGGCACCCTGCCACTGCCAAGACTCCTGGCCTAACACTTTCCCTTCCCACAGATGGAATGTATTGGCTAAATGCTGGTCGAGTGGGATCCAATTACCTGGCTCTAGTCCAGGAGTCAGGTGTCCTGGGCAGCAGGAAAGAACCTCGCTCATAGGGCAGGCCCAGTAAACCCCTCTTCTGACTAACCTCAAATGCAATAAATTAACATGCAGGTCATCATGGGACTTGTTACTTACTCCGTACAGCTCGGTGCGGATCCGAACAAAACACCTCCTATACCATGTTCCTGTGTCACTCTCAATTTCAATCAGCTCATCTATTTGTTTAGGAGTTTTTATTTTGTTTACCTGTAGAGAGAAACAGACCAAAGCGCTAAGTTACCTTCTCTGAAGTTGCTGAGTGTAGGGTTATAATTTGTTTTTACAGGAGCAAAAACTGACTCCGGCAAGAAGTAGGCGGTATTTGGTAATCAGTTCATACATATATGAGACCACTGCCATAAGTATATGGATCCAAACAGCACCTGGAAGAACTGAAGAAGGAATGAGTGAGAGGGAAAACCACAAAGAAATGGGGGAAGGGCAAGTAGTAATAGAATAATGTGAAACCAAAATGCCCTCCCTGAACCATTACTACAGAGACACACATTAGCAGACAAAACATCCAGATAAGTTAGATTCTGGATTAAGAATTATTTAGCTTGGGCTAAAGTGAGTCTACACATTTTTTTCTTTGAAACCTACTTATTTGATGAATTTGACCCCTAACTATAGTTCTGAAAGCATTCCCATCACTATTCTCAGAGCACCACTTCCGGTCCTTTTCTTCCTTCTCCCACAGCCTAACCCACAGTGGCTAGTCAGCAAATACCCACAGGTAGCCATGATTCAAGATTAAGTGAAGGATTTTTGACTGCAAGCATCAACATGAATTTCTCAGCCATATAAGGGAAATAAATGATAGAGGTTCAGCATGAAAAGCAGCATCTATGACTCAGTTAGCCTCTTTTTGCTAAGGAAGAGAACCACAAGATAGGAGAAGCACAGAGAATGAATCCTGAAAATAGAAAAAAATGAAGAATGGGTCCTTTGTGGGCCTGACCCGCCTTCTCCTGCTAATCAAGATTTACCTGTTTTTGATAAATCTGAGAGGACATGGAAATGTGTACACATTACCCCTGCCAGAGGTTTGAACAGGTTTTTCCGGACATCCTGCCAACATTTAAAGGGGTAACTCTATTGGCAGAGTACAGGTACCTAGGCCAGTTTTGGATAGAGGTGGCTTGGGGACCCTCAGCACCTTTCAAATTATACCAAGTAGGCAGTAGGTTCTTTCTGGCCAGGTAAACAAAGATGTCTGTACTTAGCAAAAATAATCTCTGAGTTAAATATGGAATTCCAAATCAAATGCAATCGGCTCAAAATAATCCATGTAGGAATTATGTTTTTTAAAACTCTAGATTTAAAAAGTTTTTTTTTCTTTTCTTTTTACATCATGGGATAGTCTTAATCCAACATACTACTTTTGGGAGGCTTCCGCTTTTTCACTCATCGATATTTGTTTGTTCATTTATTCATTGGCACCCATGCGGGATGCAAACATAGGCAGCCATGTGGCTCCAAACAATTACCATACAAAACGAAAAAAAGTACTCTAATGGGGATCTATAAAAGATGGGAAGGAAATACTGTTCAGAACAACCTACTTAACCTGGAAGTGAGAGAGAGGCTTCAGGAACTGCAGGCTTATAGAGAAATACGCTATCTGCCATGGATGTAACCTGCTTGGAGGATATTCCAAGTGGGAGAAATACCATGTGCAAACAAATGTCCAGAGTTAGGAGGGAAAATAGTGCACCGGGAAACTGCAAAGAGTTCGCGATTCCTGAAGGATAGTAGAAGGCCAGAGGGCAGTGAATAAGGAGGACTGCACCAAATCAGCAGCAGTGGAGTGATATTTAGGAGGTGGAATAATAGAACATAATGGTTTCTTAGATGTACCAAAGATAAAAGAAAGAATATAGTTTTTGGGTTTAGGTGGTGCTTGTGGTACCTACTGATGAAATTTAGGGCAATGATGAGGCTTGGAGACTGCTTAGGTGATAAATTCAGATTTAAAGATGCCATCTTTCCCCACCCCTCACTGCCCAAAGATGCCATTTTTGAAGGGCCTATGTGATCTAGAAGGATGCCCACAAAGTCCTTCAACCTGCATGTGTGGAGCTCAGGAGATTTGTGCATTAGGATACATGCAGGAAATAGCTGAGATCAGCTAAGGAGAGTGAATAGGGTTAAAGTGGAAGTTAGCTGAAAATGAAGTCTTCGAAAACAATATTTAAGGTAAGGGCACACTAAGAAGAGCTTCAGAGGACACCTTAAGAGGGCCAGGCATGGTGACTCACATCTGCAATTCCAGCCCTTTGCGAGGCTGAGGCAGAAGGATCACTTGAGCCTAGGAGTTTGAGACCAGCCTGGACAACATAAGGAGACCTGTTGTTAATTATCTACAAATAATTCAAAAATCAGCCAGATATGGTGGCACATGCCTGTATTCCCAGTTAGTAGGAAGGCTGAGGCAGGAGGATCACCTGAGCCAGGGAGGTTGAAGCTGCAGTGAGCTGTGATCACACCACTGCACTCCAGCCTGGGCAACAGAACGAGACCCTGTCTCAAAAAATAAGGAAAAAAAAAAAAGAAAAGGAGACCTTAGGAAAATGCATGCAACTTTGCTGTACCGTGGATTTAAAAAATAAAAAGATAAATTTGTTATGGCAGAATCATGTAACAACTTTTTGAAAGTCACATATAAATGACTTTGAAATTATCAATCACTTTTGGAGTATATCCATCTTATTCTCCTCTAACCTTCATGTAACAACATTAACACATCGCCATTAGTGGACTTGGTAACTCAACCCTTTTGGAAGAAAAGGCAGGTAAGTAGGGCAATGAGGCCCTATAGAGACACCTTCTCAGAAGGTCTGGTAAATAAAGGGTTTTTCTTCATCTGGCTGAGAAGAGTTAAGTGATGTTGTATATCCAGATAATGTCTCAAGATTCTTCCAGCCTTATGATCCTTTAAATTAAAATTTTTCCCCTCTATTGTATATCTACTCAAAAGAAGAGAGTCCTCAAAAGCTTCCAGGCCTTAATTGAGGATATCCATTACTTATCTTCATTTCTCCATTATACTGCAGAGAAAATTTTGCTAATTAAGAATCTGTGATAATTTGGATAGAGGCCAAATTGCAGTTTATCTTTACAGTATGAAAAATTCATTTCCTAAATAAAATGAAATTAATAAATGAGATAGCAGGGGACTATTTAATCAGAAGTGATTTCATGTGTTTTAAGAACTGTAATTGATGTTTGTTAGGTATAAGCCACTGAAGATCTTATTTAGGTTCCCACTTATGTCTTACCATATGTCCCTCCAACCTACTGTAGACAAAACATTTTTAGTCTATTTTTTTTTTTTTTTTTTTGAGATGGAGTCGTGCTCTGTTGCCAGGCTAGAGTGCAGAGGCACGATCTTGGCTCACTGCAATCTCCGCCTCCTGGGCTCAAGCCATTCTCCTGCCTCAGCTTCCCGAGTAGCTGGGATTACAGGCAGGTGCCATCACACCCAGCTGATTTTTGTGTTTTTAGCAGAGATGGGGTTTCACCTTGTTGGCCAGGATGGTCTCGATCTCCTGACCTTGTAATCCGCCCACCTCAGCCTCCCAAAGTGCTGGGATTATGGGTGTGAGTCACCACGCCTGGCCATTTTTAGTCTAATTATATGACTGCGTATATTGAAAGATTTTAAACAATTGTTCCTTCCGAAACATTTCCTGCAACCAATTTAAATTAATTTATACTGGCTTTCCCCATGGAGAATCAGCTTTGTAACTAGAGATGGAGGAATGTTCCATGCAGAGGGAACAGCAGCACTGTGGTAGTGCTGTATAGTAAGTCAAATGTTGAGTGTGAGGAGCTGAGGGATGAATGTAGCTGCAGAGAGAGGGGAACTATAAAGCAGGCAGGAAGGAGACTGGCAGGACCTTAGTGTCCGGAGGGAGGGTTTCTGTCTTTATCCTGAGAGCAATGGGAAGCTGCTAGAATGTGAAACTGGGGTATGTGTTATGTATGTGTGTGCCCATGTGCCTGCATGTATAATAAAATGAAATATATATTTTTGGAACTATATCTATGATTCTTTTATACCTTATGTTCATGTCAAGCTATATCAAGTTGAAGCCACATTCTTGGATTACCTTTCTCTGGTTTCCTATATAGCTACTTTCCTTTACCAAATTCTGATTAATTATTAACCTAAGAAATGGCCATGTGTGAAATGTCTGCCTTTATGTAAAAGTGTTACTGAAAATAATGTCCATTATATTGTTCAATATCCCTTATAATAAGGCCTATGAATAAACTTTTCACAAATTAGAACAAGATAAAATTGGCCTTTCCTGAAAAGTGAATACACTACCTGAAAAGCATTTCCTGAAAAGCGAACACATTGCTTTATATCAATAATGATATAATTCATTAAATTTATCCTTTGCTTTGGTTGTCAGGTGATATGGTTTGGCCGTGTCCCCACCCAGATCTCATCTCGAATTGTAGTTCCCATAATCCCCACGTGTTGTGGGAGGGACCCAGTGGGAGGTAATTGAATCATGGGGACAGTTACCCCTATGCTGCTGTTCTCATGACAGTCAGTGAGTTCTGACGGTATCTGATGGTTTTACAAGGGGATTTTCTCCCTTTTGCTCAGCATTTCTCCTTGTTGCCGCCATGTGAAGAAGGACGTGTTTGCTTCCCCTTCTGCCATGATCAGAAGTTTCCTGAGTCCTCTCCAGCCATGCTGAACTGTGAGTCAATTAAACCTTTTTCCTTTATAAATTGCCCAGTCTTGGGTATGTCTTTATTAGCAGCATGAAAATGGACTAATACATCAGGAAACCCAGAGATTAGTTTTATGTTGTTACATTGCTTTGATCCTTAGTATAATTGTTTTCTCACTTATTAGATACTGGTTTTTTTTTGTTTTCAATAAATAATTTTACCATTTACTATGTATTCCAAGGTCTGTTAAAGGCCTCATGGTGGTCCTAACAGAGGCATACCTCTCTAAGATGTCTCTCTGACATCTTAGAGAAAATGTTATGGGGCTGCTATGAGTATACACCTTTGTGGGGGCTGAGTGTCACTTGAAAAGGTATGACCTGGCCGAGTGGAGGAAATGGCCCTGCACAGCCTGGCTCTCTTCTGGTAGCAGGTCAAGGAGAATCAGCTGGCAGTCCCTACACCAAGAATCTCTTGTCCTCGGGTACTGAACCTGGGAGTCAGAGAGTAAGTAAGTCTGTGATGAAAATGCAGTCTTTCCACCTTAACCCCATCTCTTGGGTTGGTGTTATCATTTAACCAACCACAGAGCCCTCGAGTCCTAGATAGGCATAAGCAAGGTTGGCAACCTATGGGCCAAAAACAGCCCTCTGCCTGTCTCTGTAAATAAAGTTTTATTGACACACAGTCATCCCATTTATTTTAACATTGCCTATGGCTGCTTTTGCACTACAATGGCAGAGCTGAGTAGCTGTGTCAAAGACCGTATGACTTGCAAAGTCTAAAATATTTACAATTTTTCCCTTGACAGAAAACATGTCCCAATCCCTGGTGTTGAGGATTCTCTGGGGAGAAGACTCACCGTGAAGACCTTCTCAGGCTGACCCCGGGCTCTCATGTTGGTGTCATGAATTAACTTCAGAATCATCCAAGCTTCATCATGTTTTCCAACCTAAGAAATGAGAGTGGACAGTGAAGCGCTAGGAGTGACACACTTACCCTCCCTGATTTTCCAATAGCCGTCTTGCATTGTCAGATCAAATGAGGTGTAATTGTGCAAATGTATCTCAGTACATCCCATTGGAACATACAGACTATTTGGATATCACTGAATACATGAGCAGTTCAAATAATATGGTTATAACTAGAAATAGTATCTCCAGATGGTAAAATTTCGCTATAAAACAATAAATCATGTTTTCTTCATTGAGCCAAGTTATTTGTTTAAGGAGAAACATGAGTGCTTTCTAGCCATGAGGCAGCTTTTTTACATGTTGGTTGTTGAAAGCAGGTCTCCATGAAACCAAACCCTCCATCATTCTATAATAGGAAGGGAAAATGTACCTCTCAAATAGGCAAATGTGCTTTCCTAGAATTAACAAGGAACTTTTTCCAATAGAGGTGGGCTACCTGAGTATCTGCAATAATAAGTGTTACCTCCAACAAGAATCGTGGGCTTTCAGGCATGAATGTGAGGGCCACCACGGAGGAGACACAGGGGAGTGCACAGACGATGACAAACACACGCCAACTGTGAAACTGGTAGGCCGATCCCATGCTGAAGCTCCACCCTGGAAAAGGAGGACACGGAGAGTGAGGGAGAGCTCCTCCCAGACAGCCTCCTGGGAACATCACCCGGGATGCCCGAACCATGGACTTATTAGTCAAGTCTTACTATCCACAGAGCAGTGAGCTGATCTGGGCATCATCCATGGTGGCCAGCTCAGCTTTAAGACCCATAATGGCAGAGCTGAGAAGAAAGGTGCTTGGAACCAAAGGGGTCAAGGCCTAAGTATGGGGGTGCAGGTATGCATGTACCAAACCCCAAAGGCCAACATAAATTTGGGATGCTTTTTCCAATAGACCACTGTGCTAGTTATCTTTTGTTTGCTCTTCCAGATCACTCTCCACTCTTTCCCACTCTGCTGTGTGCTAGGGAATGGCCCTCTGTGGACTGCATCAACCGGCTCCCTTGCCCACTGGCTTGTAGCTAAGTTTGAATAAAGGAAGGAAGGCAAGAGAACAGAGTGAAGGAGGGTTGGGATATTATTTCCCTTGCTTCCCTTCTCCCTTCCCCCTGACTGGCTGGAGGTCTGGCAGTGTGTGCTCTCATTTCCTGGGCCTTCTTTCACAGCAGCCACAGCTCTTGTCAGGGTCTGGCCACCCCTCCCTCCTGTTGCTCTTTGAGGCACAGGTGGATCCAGGGTGCTTTATTATTCCTTATTGCTTTCTCTGAATGGTTCCCACATCTTCATAAAGAGTCCCTTCGCTAAACACCTTTCCACGGCCCCTTTTGAGGGTGTCACTAGCTTCCTGCTGGCACCCTGACCAGTACAATTATTAGGAATTGGCGGTTGCTGCATGTCTCCTCATCCACCTCATGAAATAGATCCAGAGAATTTTACATTTCTAAATAGAACACTTCAACTTCTAAATATTATAAAAATATAAATTTTTATATAATAGAAAAATAAGCATAATGGGATATAAACAGAAATCCTTTCAAGAACTAAAAGAAAGCTAATATTTGAATAAACATAAAATGGTTGAAAGCAAACCATTTTATATCCATTCAAATGAATATAAAATTCATTCCAATGGCTGGTTCTAAATGAGAAATAATGAGGCATATCAAATCTAATTGAAAACAGAGAGGAGATTTATAAAGGCATAGATGAATTATGTGAGGTGAAATTTTAATTTATAGCAATGCTTGGTATTTATATGCCTTTTTGTGAACAAAAATCAGATAATATACATCCTATCTCCAGGAGAGCTGTATAATTACTCATTGTCTACCTGGGAGCCAAGTGAGATTCTGAAGGTGATGTAACTTCCTCAAGGCCACAGAGCTGAAGTTACACCTTAGTCTTTCCTGCCAGGACTTGAGACAGAATCTTACAGCCACACACAGCCTCATGTGTGTGCATGCTTACTCATTCTTAAATGCTGAATTTGTTGACAAATGATGTAAACATCAATGACATGCTATATTAATCTTAGATTAGTAGACTCTGGGAATTTAATATATGAAGATAGTGTATATTACCATATTAATTATATCATAAACTGTAGGGTGTATGATTGCTATGATGTTTTATGTAGCAGAAGTTCAAAACTCTCACATATCCAAAATGCAGAAAAAAACCCTATGATGGATCAGAGAAAACAACTTGTTGACTTCACATTTGATCTCAGAGCTTCATATAAAGAACTTCTTTTTAAAAGCTCTAAATCCTATTACTTTAAGGCACTGAAAGAAAAATAAAAGCTTTAGGTGGCTGAGTTAAGCAAATGCAATGTTTTAAATTTCAGGCCACAGCACATTTCATAAAGTATAGGGGGAAACAACGAAGGCAAGAGAAGGGAAGGTCTCTGGTACCATTGTTCTTTTGCTTTTGTTTTGGTTTTTGTTTTGAGATGGAGTCTCGCTCTGTCGCCAGGCTGGAGTGCAGTGGTACAATCTCAGCTCACTGCAACCTCCACCTCCTGGGTTCAAGCAATTCTCCTGCCTCAGCAGGAGTCCCGAGTAGCTAGGACTACAGGTGCACACCATCATGCCCAGCTAATTTTTGTATTTTTAGTAGAGACTGGGTTTCACCATGTTGGCCAGGATGGTCTCGATCTCCTGATCTCGTGATCTGCCCACCTCAGCCTTCCAAAGTGCTAGGATTACAGGCCTGAGCCACCGCGCCCAGACTTGTTTTTGTTTTGTTTTGTTGAGATGGAGTCTCACTCTGTCGCTCAGGCTAGAGGGCAGTGGCATGATCTCGGCTCACTGTAATCTTTGCCTCTTGGGTTCACATGATTCTCATGCCTTAGCCTCCTGAGTAGCTGGGTTTACAGGTGCCTGCCACCATGCCTGGCTAGTTTTTTTGAATTTTTAGTAGAGACGGGGTTTCATCATGTTGGCCAGACTGGTCTCGAACTCCTGACCTCAAGTGATCCGCCTGCCTCGGCCTCCCAAAGTGCTGGGATTACAAGTGTGAGCCACTGTGCCTAGCCTCTGGTACCACTGTTCTAATCAATTGTGGAGGAAAAGTTAAATATTAAATTTGAACTCAGATGAACATGGACACAAACAATGGTCACCAAGTCCCAGAACAGGTTATGTGAGCCACTTGAGGCATTCATCCAGCACTGTTTCAGAGAAATCTCTATTTCAATCGACTCTTACACATTAGTTATTGAAAAACAATAGACAATCACAAAAACAGGTTGACTTTTTTGTGTTCCTTGAGCCTAGTCGAGAAGGGCCCTCATGACTGGGCCTCATGCCAAACAATTTGTTACAAAAAGAGCTGGGGTCCCAGACTGCGCCAAAGCTTCATGAGACCTCTCCTTGTCTGTACATGGATGAGTGGCTGACTTTGGAGTCCAGGCTGTTACTTCCCAGTCTGGGGGTGAATCCTCCATAGTCTGGTGAATGTAAATCTCTTTTCCCTTCTCTCCTTCCCATTGCAATTTGCTTATTATGTCAATCTGCTTATTATATCAATTTGCTTATTATATCATTTGCTTATTATATCAATTTGCTTATTATATCTGCATTGCCATTTACGTGGGATAAAGCTTGTTTACCCTTAAAGGTATTGTGTGTGTGCCTTTTCTTCTCCCCTCACATGTTTCTCACACAGAACCTCAATTAGTTCAGAAGGTAAGTTTTCAAAGGCAAATAGGATGAAGTGATTTAACCAAAGAGAAAGTCACTACAATGGATACAGCAGGAAGCTTCTTATGGTAGAATATTCCCTCACCCCTAAAGATGTCCTCATCCTAATCTGTGAATATGTTACCTTACATGCCAAGGGGCTTTGTAAGTGTTATTAAGTTAAGGATCTTGAGACAAAGAGATTATTTTATATTATATGGTTGGGCTCAATGTAAATACAAATGTCCCTAGAAGGAAAAGAGGGAGGCAGGGACAATGAGAAAGGGAGATGGGTTGAGGGAAGCAGAGATTAGTTTGGAGAGAGACTTGAAGATGCTGTGCTACTGGCTTTGAAGATAGAGGAGTGGGTCACAAACTAGGGAATGCAGGTGGCTGGTAGAAGCTGGAAAGACAAGAACACATAATCTCTCCTAGAGCCTCCAGAAGGAGACTCTAGAAGCCCTGCGAATCCGTTTAAACTTTTGATCTCTAGAACTGTCAGATAACAAATTTGTGTTGTTTAAAGCCAACATGCTTATAGCGATTTGTTACAGCAGCAACAGAAACCAATACACTTCTTCTTACAGTTAAAGCTCTACTGCTAACTTGGCTGATAGAAGTTAAGTTGGAGAACCGTAGCATTCTCTATAAAACTTCAGGCTCCCTGCCTTTTTTTTTTTTTTTACTTTGCATAACAAGTTTATTTTTAAAAAAGGCATATAGACAATAAACAAAGTAAATTTTAAATCAGATCTTAACTTCCGTCCTAGAATCGTTCCATTAAGTTCTAGTCTATGAAAACTTTTAGTTCAATAATCGTCATCTTCATCAGAGTCTATTACTTTTCTTCTGTTGAATTTCACTGTTGTTGTCTTTTCTGTTTGTCGGCTTACTTTTTTTAAGGATTTCTATTAAACCTAGTTGTGATACCTTCTCACTTAGTTGTCCATATCTTGTCATCTGTATAAGGTAATTCTCTACTGCTTTAGTTTTTTTAGTCTTTACACGTGCTAAGTTACTTAACCTGGCCAGGGGCCGACTGATTTAGAACTTGGGCTAAGATACTGTTTCTCATTTCTGCCTCCCTGTGCTTTGCTTCCTGTTGGGCCGCATCACCAGGATCCTGTCATCCTGGCAGGCTCAGACCCTGTCGCGCTCTCAGCACCAGGAACACAGCAGACCCTCACTTGTCGGCTGAACTTGGGTCAGAACAACTGAATTCCAGAAAAACTGAATTCGGCCTGGCTGCAACTGCTGGCTCCAAAAGCTGAGATTGTGCTTAGACCTAGGCTTGGCAGGATGAGCCTGCTCTGGGCCAGGGGACCCCACACCCCCACACCCGGGCAGGTCCCGCACCTGGAGGCCCCTGACGCCTGCCTCCCAGGCACCCCCCGGGGAAAGCAGCCAGGCCACCTCGGAGCCGGCCACGAGGCCGCCGGGGCAGGCTCCCTCCTTTTGCTTGGACTTCTCCAGAAGCCTCTCCAAGGACGCCGGGCTCCATCTTGACAGCTGGTCTCGGGAATTTTGTTGAATTTTATTCTTCACTCTTACTGCTCTGGAACATCATATCAGCTGATGGAGAGACTGATTGCAGCATGATTCCAGTCGGGCGGTTTTCAGCCTCCCAAGGAATTGGACCACAATCAAAACCCAGAAGAGAGCTAACTGATGCAGAGTCCAGCTCTGCTCAGCTTAGAATCGTTTCTTCAGGTGTAGATTCTTCCATTGAACAGCTGAAGTTTAGCCTACTTGTTGCTGTTGAGGTCCTTCTCTCCTTCATTGCTTAGTGTGTGTGTGCATATGTGTGTGTGACACACACATATGAACACACACATGCTGGTGGTGTCTCTCTCTCTCTAAAGGGTGTGTTGTCCACTCATTTCTCTCTCCATTTGTTTGTAATATGCTTTTTTTCCCCAGTATCCAAAACCATTTTATACCTTTTTCCATTTCTCTTCAAATCTCCAGCAACCAACTCCACTCCTGGCACTTGACCTTACTTCCTATTTCTTAGAGGAAATAAACACAGAGAGAACTACATACTCCTCATCTTCTCATCCTTGAATCTATTCATCCACCTGCCCCTGTTCCATCTCCCTGTCTTCTCTTTGATTACAACTGATGAGCCGTCCATGTGCCTAGCTAAGGCCACCCTGCTCACATGGGCGGTGGAGCTCATCCTTCTCTTTCCCTCAAGGACGGAACTCCTGTAAGTATCTGTTCCTCCTCTCCAACCCTCATCGTCATGTTCTCTCGCTTTACTTGATGGGTCATTCTATCAGCATATCTCTATCTGACACCTGAGAAAGAGCCCTTCCTCCACTCCCACAGGCTTCTCCAGCTGCACTGCTATTCCTCAGTTCCCCTTTACAGTAAAACCTCAAAAGGATGGTCTATAGCCAGTCTCCACTTTCTCCCCCAGTATTCTCACCCCAAACAGGCTGTTCCCAAATTCCACAGAAACTGCGCTAACCAAGGCCACCAGTCTTTGTCATATTTAATGGTTGCACTCTAATCAAACTCTCTAAATCATTCTGTATAGCTGTCCATTCCACTGTTTTTTGTAAAACTTATTTCCCTTGGCTTCTGCATCACTACATGCTAGTTTCGTTCCCACCTCACTGGCTTTCCTTCAGTTTCCTTAGCTGGCTCCTCTGACTGGCCCCCAAAGGTTGGCACAGTCCAAATCTTGGTCATTAGTCATCTCCTCTCTCCACAGGCCCTTTCTAGGGGCACTAATCTATCTCCAAGACTGTAAGTGCCACCTGCATGCCACTGTCTCTGAAATACATTCTTTTTCTGTTCCCAGAGCTCCAGAAATATACCTCGACCTGCCTACTTACATCTTCACAGAGATGCCTAATGGGTGTCTCAAAGTTACCATGTCTAAAATGGAATTTTGGTTTCCTGCCACACTATCAAGGAAAACTCTTGTTTCTCTCTTACCCTTCCCTATTTCAGCACTGTCAGACCCCAGATACACGTGTCAAAAACTGAGACCTCATCCTCATCTTCTTTTTCCCTCACAATCCCCAATGTTCAATCCATCAGTAAGTTCCAGCTCTAAAATCTACCTCAAAGCCACTCACTTCTCCCTATCTCCATGGCACTGCACAGGTTCTGGCCGACGTGGACCTTCCCCTGACCTTTAGCAACAGCCTCCTGTTTGGTCTCCCTGTCACTCTTGGTCCTCCATAGTCCACTCTTCCTATAGCAGCCAGAGTTATCCTTTTAAAATGTCAATAAGGTCACTTCACTCTGTCACTTGAAAGCCTCCCACAGCTCTGAGTACATTTGGAATGAAACCCAAATGTCTCATCGTGGCACCTAAGGCCTATGTAGACTGCTTCCTATTCATGTATCTGAGCTCATCTTCTGCTGGTCCTCTAACTGGCTTGAGCCAGTCCCATGGACCTGCTTCCAGTTCTCTGAACATAGAGCTTAATCCCATCCTGGGGGCTAAGCCTTTTTCCTGGAAGCCCAGCCACGCATGAGAAAGGATAGAAAGGATGTTTGTTGTATTTTAGCCAGGCTTTCTGAGTTTTGAAGTGAGGGTTTTCAATGTTGTCCCCTAGGAGTCTTGGAATGTGATGTTTTCCTGGTCTGGACAGCTCTACTTGAGTATTTGCATGCATGGCTGCAGGCTTCGTACCTTCCAGGATTCGCTTAAGGGTGTCTCCTCAGAGAGGCTCACACACAAAATCCCACTCACGTAGGCCTGTTTTATTGTCTTGACAGCTCTTATCACTATCTGAAGTTGTCATATTCATGTGTTGTTTACATATTACCTGTCCCTCTCCCACCAAGAGAGCAGGAACCCTGCTTTTCCCACTCATCAAGACCTCCTAAGCAAGTGCTAGTCCATAGGAAGTGTTCTTTTAATGTTTGTTGAACACACACACACACACACAATGTGTACATGAGCATGGGCAAAATCACTGCAGGTTACAGGACCACAGACCCAGATTTTCTTTTGATTATTTTCTTTCTGAATCTACACTAAACAGCAAAATAACCTTGATTCACTTTTTCAAATTAAGTTTGTATTATCTTCATAGAGTAAAACTTTATTTGTTTTTAGTTATACAGTTCTATGAGCTTGACAAATGCAGAGTCATGTAACCACCATCATTATCAGGGCACAGAACAGTTTCATTACCTCAAAACATTCCCTCCTGCTGCCCCTTGAGAGTCACCTCTTCCTCCAGCCCTAACCCCTGGCAATCACTGATCTCTTGTCTGTCCCTATAGTTTTGTCTTTTCTAGAATATCATATAAATGGAATCATATTGTACATAGCTTTTGGAATCTGTTTTTTTTTTTTTTGAGACAGGTCTCCTAGGTCACCCAGGCTGGCGTGCAGTGGCGTGATCTCAGCACTGCAGCCTTGGCTTCCCAAGTGATTCTCCTGCCTCAGCCTCCCAAATGGCTGGGACCACGGGCAAGCGCCACCATGCCCGGCTAACTTTTTGTAGAGACGGAGTTTCACCATATTATCCAGACTGGTCTTGAACTCCTGGGCTCAAGCCATCCTTCTGCCTCGGCCTCTCAAAATGCTGAGGTTACAGGTGTGAGCCATTGTGCCCAGCCTTGGTCTGGTTCTTACACTTTGCGTTACAGTCGAGATTTATGCAAACTGTTGCACATACCTGTGGTTTGTTCTTTTTCATTGTGTTGTAGTATTCCGTTGTGTAAATATATCACATTTAGTTTATCCACTCACCAGTTGAAGGACACTTAGATTGTTTCCAGTTTTGGGTGATTATGAATAAAATTGCTATATACATTTCATACAGGTTTCTGTGTGCCCCCAAAATTTCCTTGGGTAAATATGTAGGAGTGGAATGGTCGAGTCACATAATAAGCTCATGTTTAGCTTTACAGCAGACTGCCAAACCATTTTGCACACTGGTTGTGCCATTTTGAATTCCCACCAGTAGTGTATGCAAGCTCTAGCTGCTTCGCATCTTTCCCTTCACTTGTTAGGTTTCTTTTCTTAAATTTTAGCCTTTCTTATAGGTATCTAGTGGTATCTCATCACAATTTTAATTTGTGTTTCCCTAATGCCTAGTGATATCTTCATTTACTTTTTGTTCATTCATTCCTACTTTAGTGCCTATATGTGCCTGTCATAATGCTGTGATATGGAGACTGATTCCCTGATCTCAAGGAAGTTATAATCCATTGAAAAAGGCAGATATGTTAACAGACAAGGCCAGATGTGTTGGCTCACACCTGTAATCCCAACCCTTTGGGAGGCCAAGGCAGCAGGACTGCTTGAGGACAGGATTTTGAGACCAGACTGGGTAACATAGCAAGGCTTCATCTCTAAAAAAAAAAGAAAAGAAAGAAAGGAAGAAAAAAGCTAGTTGTGGTGGTGCATACCTGTGGTCATAGCTACTAGGTGACAGAGTGAGATGCTGTCTCAAAAAAAAAAAAAAAAGAAAAAGAAAAGGCCAGGTACTGTAGCTCATGCCTGTAATTCCAGCACTTTGGGAGGCTGAAGTGGGTGGATCACCTGAGGTCAGGAGTTCGAGACCAGCCTGCACAAAGTGGCAAAACCTCGTCTCTACAAGAAATACAAAAGTTAGCCAGGCACATGCCTGTAGTCCCAGCTGCTTGGGAGGCTGAGGTGGGAGGATCACTTGAGCCCTGAGAGGGAGTCCTGGAAAGGGTGTTGGGTACTCCTCCTGCCTTGTGGCATGTCCCATAGCAGGGGGCAGGGTCAAAGGCTGATGGGTGATAACCTGTGGCTTGAATGAGAGATAGACACCATGAGGGCCTCAAGAAATGACCCTGCAAATGCTTTGTAAAACTATGATACCATTCTCTGGGTTAAACATAGATATAAGAACGAAGGTGTAAAACACTGACAACCATCACTACTCAGCCATCAATTCTCAGGACCTGCTTTTGAGCTCCATTTTAAGTGGCTTAAATTTGAATTTGAGAGCTACACAAAGCCTACACTACAAAATCAGAAAGTGGAGAGACAGCAACGTGGAATAAAGGACAGGAATGGGAAAACAAGCCACAATCAACTGGGAAAGTGGGTTGTTGCTTTTGGATACTTACCTGCAGTTAGTAAAATGGATTCTTTTAAATGAACCTTTTATATTGGCACCACACCTTTTTGTCTTCAAAATATGTCTTGTATGAGTGATGATTCTAATTATCCTTTGGACTTTGTTAAGATACTCAAATGTTAAGACATTCAAATGTCATACCGAGGAATTTATCTACAGATAATATAAGTTCCATGCAAGGAAGGATCTCAATTTTACAGAAAGCAGTTCTAGCACAGCACTAATCAGTGTGGAGCTAATAAAAGTATTATATGTCATGAATAATAATCAAAGCTTTTTACCAGCCTTAAGCTGATGTGCTCTGTGACCGCAGAAAACAGCTGCCTCCCCAGTTGCCTGACTGTCTGAAACCTTTCAAGGTGCCAAGGCAGAGGTATGTGACACACATACAAGGATGCTGGCTTTCATGTTCTTGTCTGGGCTCTGTCCCTGATCCCCTGGGGACTTGACACCTACTTTGCTGATCTATATTTGTTTTGTTTTTGTTTGTGTTCGTTTTTTTTTTTTTTGAGACAGACTTTCGCTCTGTTGCCCAGGCTGGAGTGCAGTGGCACGATCTTGGCTCACTGCAAGCTCTGCCTCCCGGGTTCACGCCATTCTCCTACCTCAGCCTCCCGAGTAGTTGGGACTACAGGCGCCCGCCACCATGCCCAGCTAATTTTTTGTATTTTTAGTAGAGATGGGGTTTCACCGTGTTAGCCAGGATGGTCTTGATCTCTTGACCTCGTGATCTGCCCGCCTCGGCCTCCCAAAGTGCGGGGATTACAGGCGTGAGCCACTGCACCTGGCCTACTGATCTGTATTTGACTGTCGGTTATGTGATATTATTAATGAAATAGTTTTTGGTAGGAATGCAGATTTTAGGTACAAGACACAAACCCAAGGTTCTAAACGAAAACATTAAGTATCATATGTGAGATCAATTTTTAAGCTAAGAAGTAAATCACCTGTATTGATTTGTCTATGGTCTTCTTTACTCACAAGGCACCTGGCCAACTAAAATTTTCTTTAAAAAGGGGCCCAAAATCCATTTTTTCAAGGGCCCAACAAGCTTAGGAAGAGGACAATGATCAGATAAATTTCTGATTTTGTTCCTACAGATATAAAATTTTATCCCCTCAACATGTCACAGGTTTAAAATATAAATACTATGTAATCTGCATGAAACATTAATCCTTGGCTGGAAACTCAGGTTGTCATGCATCTGTGACTCCACCAGATTTAACCAGATGCAGCTGGATGGTTCCTGTTGCTAATACCAGCAGAGATTTTTCATCTCCTTCTCAATTTGTAAAAAGAAAAAAAAAAAAAGAAGGAGAAAAAGGAAAAAAAAGGCCAAGTAGTAGGTGGAGGGGGGCACATGGAGGGGAGATAGTTAAATAAACTATGGTATAGCCTTACAATGGAATATCATATAACTATTGGGAAAGAATGAGGTCGATTTTTCTAAACAGATATATGGAAAATGTCCAAGTGACATTGCTCAGTGAAAAAAGCACTTTTAAATAATAGTGATTTCATTTATATATATACATAAAACATATCAGTTTTTATATATATACATAAAACATATCTAGAAAATGACTAGGAGGAAAACCCACTAAACTATTTAAAGTGGTTACTCAGGGTAGGGAGGAGAAGCTCATGAGGACTTTTACTTTTTGAAAAAATTATAGTCCTCCATTCTGAAGATTTTCACTTGACATTTCTTTAATGTTTGAATTTTCTAGTGTCTTGTATAACTTTTTACCCAAAAAGGAAAAGAGAAAGCTTTTCAAAGAGTTGCAAGCCTTTACATTTTTTGAGACACAGGCCCTGATGGGAGAAGAGAGAGGAGAAAGAATCAAATTATAATTGTGCCACTATTCAATACTTACATATTTTTCTGAACTAAACGAATGTTAATTCTGATTGTGACAAATCTAAACACTGACAATACAGGTCTCACTTATGGATACCAAGGCGAAAGTGCCAGATTCTATCCTGGTATCTCTGGGTGAAAAAGAGAACAATATTCACAGACCTTTAATCTTTTGACCTATAACCGCAGTCATATTCTAATCTTGGACCCTTGGGGCTGTGGCCGTTCCCCTTGAGCTGAAATCCTGTGAACGCTATTGCCAACAGAGATGCACAAAGCAATCACAATAAAAATAATTGGCAGCGATCTGCCTGCAGCACATAATCATGCATTCAGGAAGTGAGAGCCAATTATACATCCCAGGGAGAGAGTCCAGGGGTTAAATTCCAACAAACTCCAATAGTCATCTGTCTTTAAGAGCAGGCCCGAGCAACAAGCCAACCTTTCCTGCGAGTTTTTCTATTTCTGTTTCCAAGCTCTGGTCTTGCCCTTTGGAATGCGCAGAGGAGCAGCCAGCGGTGGAAGGAAGTCACATTATGCCTCTGCTTCCTGAATTTGACTTATGACCCTAACCGTGCTTTCGAAGAAGCACATTTTCTGGTGGCTTTTGAAACTCACAAATTCATGGGCTTATTTTTTTAGGGTCATTTTTTTTTCTGGAATATCTTCTGTGAGTGCCCCAAATATGCAAAGAGTGAATGAGGGGAACTTTTCAGAAAGGGTTCCTGGGGCCAACATGTAAGACTGACTCAAGCATGGTGCTTCCCAAACTCCAGTGAGAGAAATGATGAGTCTGAGAGTTGAAAAAAGCTGACAGCATGAAATGTGCATGTGTATGTGTGTGTGTCTATATTTTAAGCAAAGGTCCTTTGGGATTTTCTTTTGTATATAGATAATAATATAGTATTAATGTTATGATAGTATAGGTCAATCAGCCTGAAGTTAAAAATATATATATGTGTGTATATATATATATATATATATATATCTTTTTTGTAAAAGATTTTTATGCAAATTTATACTAAAAGAGCCTGTAGGATAGTCAAATGTTGACCAAATGCAACTGAAGCTTATATCATAAATGCATGTTAAGTCAGCTCATTAGTCTATAAATAGACATTGTATATATTCATGTTATTATCTTAAAGCACAAATAGGCACACATTAAGTTTCCTTCTCTATTTTACTCACATAAATGTTTATTTAAAGTGAAATGTATACTTTTGTATTTATATATAAACTATTATATTAGCTGATGTCTGTGGATGAATAATAACAAATCAATTATGCTGATTTTATGAACACATACAGTCTTAGGAGACTGAAAAACAAACAAAAGTAAATATTGGCAATTCTTACATTGGGTAGAAAGTTGGAATACTAGCCTCTAAAGCTCATTCCAGAACTAAAGTTCTCTCTGATTCTAAGATCTTGTGTCTCTACCAGATAAGGCCACAAGAAGGTCCTTTCAAGTATAGATCTAAGGCAAGAAACGAAATACTTTCAAAACAAAAAACAAAACAAAACAAAACACCTTCTAAACTGCAGTTAGTCCTGAGACAAGTGTCCAAAAGTTGATAGAGGACTTGCAGCAAAATAGTGGTGCTTATTTCACATATTAGCAACTTAGTCAATCTGCTTTTCAAAGTAGCTGTCCGTAAAAACCCAAAAAGCCCAACAATAGTATTCCAAACAACTGCATGGTTCTCATTCTCTTCCAGATCAAATTTTCTTTTTGCTGTTTGCACATGGCCCCAGGAAGATCTTGCTCATGATCAACAAAAGCTCTCTGTTTATTCCTAGAAGATTTTTGTGATAACAATACAAAAATTCTAGTGGAATCCATTGTTAGGTGAAAGATTTTTCTCCCGGGGGCAAGGGGGAGAGATTACAGAGCGGGCTATAATATTTCCAGCATTAAGACAGCAGAGGTCAGCCCAGGTGCTCTTTGTTGCTGATGCCCAAAGGGCACACTTGTATACCTCTGCTAACTTGTTGACCTCTGTAACCTGTTTCTTTTTCCTAGCCCCATTTCTTGCCTTATAGTCTCTGATCCAGAACAAATCATTTAACACTTGACAATTGAAACAGCTGCTTAGCTCATGACTCAGGCCCAAAATGACCCTTAGAGTTTTGTCATTTTTGTCAAAGAAATTCCATTCTAATGGGTGGGGAAATGCATGCAACTACAATGACTGGGAGCTCTAATTTCTGGTCCTTGTGCCTCAAGCAAGGGGACATCATACTCTCCCTCCAAGTACAGTGGATGAAAATGTGACTCTGGAATTTTTAGAAACATATTTATTATGTTTCCTAATTTTCAAAAAGCTGATTTCTTGGCTTAATTTCACTGTGATAAGAGCACATACGCCGGGCGCGATGGCTCACGCCTGTAATCCCAGCACTTTGGGAGGCTGAGGCGGGCAGATCAGGAGGTCAGGAGTTCGAGACTAGCCTGACCAACATGGCGAAACCCTGTCTCTACTAAAAATACAAAAAAAAAAAAAAAAAAAAAAAAGAACACATGCTTAGTAGTTTTTTTGAAATACACTGGAGCTTGCTTTATAGCACAGTATATAGTCCATTTTTATAAATGCTCCACGTATGCTCCAAAAGATTGTGTACCCTACAGGTATTGGGTGCAGTGTCTACATACATCTATTAGGTCAAGTTTGTTGATTGTGTTGTTCAAATCATCTATACACTCACTGATTTTTTCCTCCTATTTGTCATGTTAAACTCTTTTCGGTTGTTTTTTGTGGGTAGTCCCAATAACATAGCCCATCACGTTACTGAAAATGGAACAATATACCTGTTATAAAATCAAGACACATCTATATTCCTTTGCCAATATACTTCCTGGCACCCTAATATTTGGCAGAGCGTATGTTAAGGAATTGGTGAGCCCCAAACTGTGGGATTGAGGAGGAAGAAACATAGAAAATCATGGTTACTTGAATTACCACTGAAGACACAAAATGGAATCGTTTAATTTTTATTTCTTTTTTTTCCCTTTTGACATTTCTTCTTGCCTGATAATTTCACTTTTAAAAATCATAGCGATTAGGTCAGACGTGATGTCTCACACTGGTAATACCAGCACTGTGGGAGGCCAAGGCAGGCAGATCACCTGAGGTCAGCAGTTCGAGATCAGCGTGGCCAACATGGTGAAACCCCGTCTCTACTAAAAATACAAAAATTAGCTGGATGCAGTGGTTGGTGCCTGTAATCCCAGCTACTAGGGAGGCTGAGGCAGGAGAAGTGTTTTAACCCGGGAGGCAGAGACTGCAGTGAGCTGAGATCGCACCACTGCACCCTACCCTGGGTGACAGAGTGAGACCCTGTCTCAAAAAAAAAAATAATAAAAATAAATAAATAAATAAATCATAGGGATTAAAAAATGAAACACCTTTCTGTTGAGTAGCAAAGCCATAAAAGGCTTCGCATCTGCTCGTTTGAGCCCCAACACAATATACATCCTGCCCCAACGCAATACACATCCCAGCTAGATATGTCCCCAAGCTATTCTGTAGTGTCATAGCTGCCATTTTGTATTACCTTGTTTCAAAACAGTTTCCCATAGACTTGCAACTTTTTATAAGTTGGAGATGATCAGCAAAGGCTCACCAGCAAGAATAAGCAAATGCAAATCTCCAGCCCACTCTCAGGCTTTGCTGGGAGCCATCAGAATCCTTTACTCTTGTTTTTCCTCCCCTGGGCTGTGATTACACTTCTAATGATTCATCTCACTACAGTCAGACAGGAACGGGGCTTTCCCCCAAAGCAATGAATGCATTTTTTTGTGAACAAACCTAGTACTTCCCCCACACACAACTTAGACTTCCTTCTGGAAAAATAAAACATCCAAGAGTTAATATACTGATATGTAACTCAAAGGAGGCTCTTCCTACAATACAGCTTTAAAGCATGTTTCCTTCAGGTTATATGAATCATAGAGATTAAAAGAAGCCCAAATTAATTAAATTGTTGGCAGAGATGCAATCCACTTTTGCCCATCCAGATTTATGACCCTGCAGGAGACATTCAAATGCTATTTTTCTTCATTCCCCATCCCCTTTCTCCTTTGTCTCAAAATGTCAGGCAACTACCCAGAGTTAAATTTCACCTCTGCTCTCTGGAAAGGCTATTTGGGTCATTCATCTTGGCTCAGAAATAAGTTCCTAGCTGCAACTGAATGTGGAAATGATTGGTCCTGCTGCATCCCAGTGAACGGTTTTCTAGGGCTATGCTGCTGGAAAAATCAAATGCAGAGTGACTGAGTCTGGGACTAATGCAGCAGTTTTTCATTCACTATCACTTCTCTGAATGCTACTTACCAGAAATGATCTAATGACTCAGGGAGACCACAGTGACAAAGTGCTCGAGCATAGGCAGATTGATGCTCCCTCTGGCAGAGGTGGATGTAAAACCAGCTTTGACCAGAATGCTAGTTCCCAGAACTTGCAGATTCAAATGTGGGCTTTCTATCTCCTCACACCCACTCTCATGACAGTTTTGGCAAAGGATAGGCAGGCTCGAGTACCAATTGCAGACTACAGCAGGGACACGGGTAAAGTGGATTCAAAGGTACGCAGCAGATACCTTGAATATTTATAATGCACCCACCATGTGCCAGGCACCTCACACGCATCCTGTTTCGTACATCAACGATCTTGTTGGCTGCCCAGGTAGGGCAATCAAATAAAATACAGGCCAGCAGTTACATCTGATAAAAATTCGTTTTTAGTGTAAGTATGTCCAATGCAATATTTGGGACATACTTCTACTAAAAAGTTTGTCCATTATTTGGAATTCAAACGTAACTAAGGGTCCTGTATTTTTATTTTATACATCTGAGAACTATACCCCAGGAGACATTTGGTAAAGCCTGGAGACATTTTTAATTGTTATGACCTTGGGAAGAAGGGTTACTACTGGCATTTTGTAGGTAGAGGCCATGGATGCTACTAAACATCTTATAATACACAGGACAGGCTCACCACCTTCAAACAAGAAGTATCCAGCCTAAAATGTCAACAGTGCCTAGGAGGAGAAATCTTGCTGTGAACTAGTCACAGTGTCCATCCATGTCATAGGTGAGGTACTCACAGGTAATAGACCAAAAGCTTGAGGATACTTCGAAACTTCGTTTTCTAACAGAGGTGTGAAAACCGACTTTTAGGAGACCCCTTTTTATTCCTGCATGAATGTGTTTTGTTTTTGTGTTAGTTTTTGCTATGCAATTATAAGCTCTTTTGAATATACTTTTTTGTTATAAAGTTAAACTATAGGGGTTTCCCATACTCTTTTTATGCACCTGGAAGCAACTTTATGTACCCTGAAGTTGACAAGTAAAGGTGACACACAATGAAAGAGTAAAAAGAGTAAAGAAGTGATGTTCCCCTTGGGGTTTTAGTAAGAGTGTAGCATTCTCCATCAAATACTTTCTGAAAACACCCACAGCTTATAAATGGTTATTACCACAGAAAAGTAATAACCATATATTTCCTAAAGCGTTTGCGTTCTTGTCTCATAAAAATGGGAGAAGTTGGTTCTCAAAATTCCCGTGAGTCCTCAGGAATAGGGAAACAGCATCCTTAATAAAAGCACCTGGCACTAACCACATGTCCCTACAAGTTTACACCAATAAAGCTGCAGCCATGCAGCGGGACGGGCCCACACTGGGTTCCACAAGACCTGCAGTGAGAATGCTGGGAATCAGTGTTCTCTTCAGGTCTCTCGAAGCTCCTGCCTCCTGGACTCCACGCTCAGTTCTCATGCATCATCGAGCCCCGTGAATCCAGTATCACCAGTATTCATTGTCTCTCAGCCCTCATCCACCATCACAACTCACCTCTCAATAAGAAAACTTGCTTCACTGCAGCTGCACTTTCCCTTCCCCCTCCCACCTTTTCCAGAATCTGCCCACAATCAGGTTATCTCCTTTCTGTCTACCTTCCAAATACAACTGCCTATAGTACAAGATCCTTTGCAACCTTGCCCCAGCCTGCTTCTCCACACTCATTTCCAACCAGGGGCTCCCCAGTCCAGCTCAGTGATCCCCTCCACTGCACTTTTGTGTGCTAAGAATCACGAGGAGGATATCGTTGAAAATGTATTCCCCTCCTCTGTTACTAGAAATGTCCCACTTAGGAGGGCTGGGCTGGGACCCAGGGATCTGCTTGTGTGGGATCCAAACAAGCACCCCAAGTGGTTCTTATGCAGGTCTGCACAATGAGAAACACAGCTTCAGTCCTACTGCATTAATTTCTGTTGCCTGTACCCACTGTCAATGTGATGTCCCTTGTGTCTCAGCCCAGGCTCTTTCCTTTGCTTAGAATATCCCCTCCTCACCCCTGTTGTCTGCCTGGAAAATTCCTACTGATTGCAGAAGCCACATCAAATGTCACTTTTAGAGCTTCCCCGACTTGTATCTTGCAACAGCCATGCTTGGCATCAATGCCTTTCTCTTTGGTATATTTACAGTGATGTAGACAACCACTCTCCCAGCATGTATCACCTGTTCTACATATTTGTTTATAATATATACTCTGCTAAATCCTGCTAAATTCCAGAGACTGAAAAATTTAACCTGTTTGAATCACCTTAAGTAGAATGGAATATACAAAAGAATACTTTACATTTTGATATACCCTCCACAGTTAAAAAGGCATGAAAGGTACAGGCCATCAAGTAATGAAAAAAATCATCATATTGTACTTGGACTTCATATAGATGTATTTTTTTAATATTAAATTTTCTTTTCTTTTCAGGCAGCCTCCTGAACCAGAATAGGTTCAGAGACTCCCTCATATATATGCATTAACCATAAATTTCCAAATATTTTCCGGTACCCACACATCTGTAAAGTTTTGCCCTTGTAGCTAGTATGTCTCTGGCTACACCAGGTATATTTTAAAAATAGAATTAGAATAACCACATCAGTCACTCATTCCCACATGTTACTATGAGCTGTCTAGTCTCTTCCTCTATTATTTCTGGAGATGACCAGGAAACATGTCGTGTGTTCAGGAATGTCGCCCTCCCAATCACCGTGTGGTGGACATTTGTTTCTCTTTTTGGAGAATCTTTTGCCACATATTTATGCCTTTGATGTCCAGCAAGGACCAACAGATGCCTGCTAGCTGGTGCCACCTCCCAGTTTGGAAGTGTCTCTGGAAAAGGTAGACAGTGCAGGCTCTGAACTGGAGCACCTGACTGTTAATCCTCATTCTGCTCATTACTAGCTCTGTGTCTTGGGCAAGTTACTTAACTGCTTATTTTGTTTTCATTGTGATAAAATATACATAACATGAAACTTCCCATTTTAACCTTTTTTTTTTTTACTGTATAATTCTGTGGCATTAAGTACATTTACATTGTTGTGTAACCAGCACCACCATCCAGCTCCAGAACTATTTCCATCATCCCAAACTGAAACTCTACCCATGAAACGATAACTCATCATTCCTGCCCTACCCTCATGCTCTGGTAACCTCTATTCTACTCTCTGCCTCTATGAATTTGCCTATTCTAGGGAGCTCATGTAAGTGGCATTATACAGTATTCATCTGTTTGTGACTGGCTTATTTCACTTACCATAATGTCTTCAAGATTCACATATGTTGCCTGGGTGCAGTGGCTCATGCCTGTAAACCCAGCACTTTGGGAGGCTGAGGTGGGTGGATCACTTGAGGTCAGGAGTTTGAGACCAGCCTGGCCAACATGGTGAAACCCTGTCTCTACTGAAAATACAAAAATTAGCTGGGCGTGGTGGCACGTGCTTGTAGTCCCAGCTACTCAGGAGGCTGAGGCAGGAGAGTCCCTTGATCCTGGGAGGCGGAGGTTGCAGTGAGCTGAGATTGTGCCACTGCACTCCAGCCTGGGTGACAGAGTGAGACTCCATCTCAATAAAATAAAATAAAATAAAAAAGGATAAACTACAATCTGTGGGCAAAGAAACTTCACTATCTCCAATGGCCATATTTGGGCCACTGGCCATATTTGTCTCTTTGGCTTTCTTTTCTCAGCATCTTTCTCTCCCTAGTTGCTCCTCTCACCTTCTGCAGGTAGAGTCCTTCCGGGCACACCCCACCTGCCTTTCAGATATGCTCAGATAACACACTCAGTTCAGGTTCCCCTGCCATAGCCTGTTTTGTAGATTTTAAAAGTGATGATTAAAAAAATCAGTCTTGAGGGCATCTGGCAAGATGGCCAAATAGGAACAGTTCTGGTCTGCAGCTCCCAGCGTGATCAACACAAAAGGTGGGTGATTTCTGCATTTCCAACTGGGGTACACTGTTCATCTCACTGGGACTGGCTGGGCAGTGGGTGCAGCCCACAGAGGGCAAGCAGAAGCAGGGTGGGGTGTCACCTCACCTGGGGAGTGGGGAGTGCAAGGAGCGGTGGAGGGGGGCCTCCCTTTCCCATCCAAGGGAAGCCATGAGGGATGGTGCTATCCAGCCCAGATACTACGCTTTTCTCATGGTTTTTGCAATCCACAGACCAGGGGATTCCTTCGTATGCCTACACCACCACGGCCCTGGGTTTCAAGCACAAAATTGGGCAACTGTTCAGGCAGACACCAAGCTAGCTGTAGGAGTATTCTTTGTTTTTGCTTTTGTTTTTGTTTTTTTCATACCCCAGTGGCACCTGGAACCCCAGTGAGACAGAACCATTCACTACCCTTGAAAGGCTTCAGCCAGGGAGCCAAGTGGTCTTGCTCAGCAGGTCCCACTCCCACGGAGCCCAGGAAGCTAAGAACCACTGGCTTGAAATTCTCACTGCCAGCACAGCTGTCTGAAGTCCACCTGGGACACTCGAGCTTGGTGGGGGGCAGGGGCGTCCGCCATTACTAAGGCTTGAGTAGGCGGTTTTTCCCACTGTCGGCACTAAGGAGGCCTGGAAGTTCAGACTGGGTGGAGCTCAACACAGCATGGCAAAGTGGCTGTGGCCAGACTGCCTCTCTAGATTCCTCTTCTCTGGGCAGGGCATCTCTGAAAGAAAGGCAGCAGCCCCAGTTAGGGGCTTATAGATAAAACTCCCATCTCCCTAGGACAGAGCACCTGGGGGAAAGGGCAGCTTTGGGCACAGGTTCAGCAGACATAAATGTTCCTGCCTTCCTGCTCTGAAGAGAGCAGCAGATCCTGACAAGGAAGGTTCTCCTAGCACAGCGCTCAAGCTCTACCAAGGGACAGACTGCCTCCTCAAGTAGGTCCCTGACTCCCATGTCTCCTGACTGGGAGAGACCTCCGAACAGGGGTTGACAGACACCTCATACAGGAGAACTCCAGCTGGCATCAGGCTGGTGCCCGTTGGGGAAGAACCTTCCAGAGGAAGGAGCAGGCAGGAATCTTTACTGTTCTGTAGCCTCTGCTGGTAATACCCAGGCAAATAGGCTCTGGAGCCGACCGCCATCAAACTGCAGCAGACCTGCAGAAGAGGGGCCTGACTGTTAGGAGAAAAACTAACAAACAGACAGCAGTAACATCAATGTCAACAAAAAGGACTCCCACACAGAAACCCCATTCAAAGGTCATCAGCCTCAAAGATTAAAGGTAGATAAATCCATGAAGACAAGGAAAAACCAGCACAAAAATGCTGAAAATTCCAAAACCAGAATGCCTCTTATCCTTCAAATGATCGCAACTTCTCTCCAGCAAGGGCACAAAACTGGATAGACAATGAGTTTGATGAATTGACAGAAGTAGGCTTCAGAAGGTGGGTAATAACAAACTCCTCTGAGCTAAAGGAGCACATTCTAACCCAATGCGAGGAAGCTAAGAACTTTGAAAAAAGGTTACAGGAACTGCTAACTAGAATAACTAGTTTAGAGAAGAATATAAATGGCCTGTTGGAGCTGAAAAACACAGCAGGAGAACTTTCTGAAGCATACACAAGTATCAATAGCTGAATCAATCAAGCAGAAGAAAGGGTATCAGAGACTGAAGATCAACTTACTGAAATAGGTGTGAAGACAAGATTAGAGAAAAAAGAATGAAAAGGAATGAACAAATCCTCCAAGAAATAGGGGACTATGTGAAAAGACCAAACTTACAATTGATTGGAGTCCCTGACATTGACGGGGAGAAGGGAACCAAGTTGAAAAACACACTTCAGGATATTATCAGGGAAAACTTCCCCAACCTGGCAAGACAGGTCAACATTTAAATTCAGGAAATACAGAGAACACCGCTAAGATACTCCCTGAGAAGAGCAACCAGCAACCCCAGGACACAAAATTGTCAGACTCTCCAAGGTTCAAACGAAGGAAAAAATGTTAAGGGCAGCCAGAGAAAAAGGTCAGGTTACCTACAAAGGGAACCCTACTCACCGGAAGAGAGTGGGAGCCAATATTCAACATTCTTAAAAGAATTTTTAACCCAGAATTTCATATCCAGCCAAACTAACTTTCATAAGTGAAGGAGAAATAAAATCCTTTACAGACAAGCAAATGCTGAGGGATTTTGTCATCACCAAGCCTGCCTTACAAGAACTCCTGAAGGAAGCACTAAATATGGAAAGGAAAAACCGGTACCAGCCACTGCAACAACATACCAAATTGTAAAGACCATCAACACCATGAAAAATCTGCATCAACTAATGGGCAACATAACAAGCTAGCATCATAATGACAGGATCAAATTCACACATAACAATATTAACCTAAAATGAAATGGGCTAAATGCCCCAGTTAAAAGACACAGACTGCCAAATTGGATAAAGAGTCAAGACCTATCAGTGTGCTCTATTCAGGAGACCCATCTCACATGCAAAGACACACATAGGCTCAAAATAAAGGGCTGAGGAGTATTTACCAAGCAGATGATGGAAAGCAAAACAAAACAAAACAAAAACAAAAACAAAAACAAAAAAGCAGGGGTTGCAATTCTAGTCCCTGATAAAACAGACTTTAAACCAACAAAGATCAAAAAAGACAAAGAAGGGCATCATATAATGGTAAAGGGATCAATGCAACAAGAAGAGCTAACTATCCTAAATATATTTGCACCAAATATAGGAGCACCCAGATTCATAAAACAAGTTCTTAAAGACTTACATAGAGACTTAGACTCCCACACAATAATAGTGGAAGACTTTAACACCCTACCGCCAATATTAGACAGATCAATGAGACAGAAAATTAACAAGGATATTCAGGACTTGAACTCAGCTCTGGACCAAGTGGACCTAATAGACATCTACAGAACTCTCCACCCCAAATCAACAGAATATGTATTCTTCTCAGCACCACATCATACTTATTCTAAAATAAACCACATAATTGGAAGTAAAACACTCCTCAGCAAATGCAAAAGAACGGAAATCACAACAGTCAGTCTCTCAGACCACAGTGCAATCAAATTAGAACTCAGGATTAAGAAACTCACTCAAAACCACACAACTACATGGAAACTGAACAACCTGCTCCTGAATGACTACTGGGTAAATAATGAAATTAAGGCAGAAATAATAAAGTTCTTTGAAACCAATGAGAATAAACAGACAATGTACCAGAATCTCTGGAACACAGCTAAAGCAGTGTTTAGAGGGAAATTTATAGCACTAAATGCCCACATCAGAAAGCGGGAAAGATCCCTTAAAATCGACACCTAACATCACAATTAAAAGAACTAGAGAAGCAAGAGCAAACAGCTAGCAGAAGATAAGAAATAACTAAGATCAGAGGAAAACTGAAGGAGATACAGACACGAAAAACACTTCAAAAAAATCAATGAATCCAGGAGCTGGTTTTCTGAAAAGATTAATAAAATATATACGCTGCTAGCCAGGCTAATAAAGAAGAAAAGAGGGAAAAATCAAATAGACACAATAAAAAACAAAAAAAGGGATATCACCACTGATCCCACAGAAATACAAACTACCATCAGAGAATACTATAAAACCTCTATGCAAATAAACTAGAAAATCTAGAAGAAATGGATAAATTCCTTGACACATACACCCTCCCAAGTCTAAACCAGGAAGAAATTGAATCCCTGAATAGACAAGTTCTGAAACTGAGGCAGTAATTAATAGTCTACCAACCAAAAAAAGCCCAGGACCAGACGGATTCACAGCTGAATTCTATCAGAGGTACAAAGAGGAGCTGGTACCATTCCTTCTGAAACTATTCCAAACAATAAAAAAAAGAGGGACTCCTCCCTAACTCATTTTATGAGGCCAGCATCAACCTGATTCCAAAACCTGGCAGAGACACAACTGAAAAAGGAAATTCCAGGCCAATATCCCTGATGAACATCGATTCAAAAACCCTCAATAAAATACTGTCAAACCAAATCCAGCAGCACATGAAAAGGCTTATCCATCACGATCAAGTCGGCTTCATCCCTGAGAAGCAAGGCTGGTTCAACATATGCAAATCAATAAATGTAATCCATCACATAAACCGAACCAATGACAAAAACCACATGATTATCTCAATAGTTGCAGAAAAGGCCTTTGATAAAATTCGACACTCCTTCATGCTAAAAACTCTCAATAAACTAGGTATTGGTGGAACATACCTCAAAATAATAAATCTATTTGTGACAAACCCATAGCCAGTGTCATACTGAATGGGCAAAAAACTAGAAGCGTTCCCTTTGAAAACTGGCACAAGACAAGGATGCCCTTTCTCACCGCTCCTATTCAACATAGAATTGGAAGTTCTGGCCAGAACAATCGGGCAAGAGAAATAAATAAAGCATGTTTGAATAGGAATAGAGAAAGTCAAATTGTCTCTGTTTGCAGATGACATGTTTGTATATTTAGAAAACCCTATCGTCTCAGCCCAAAAACTCCTTAAGCTGATAAATGACTTCAGCAAAGCCTCAGAATACAAAATCATTGTGCAAAGATCACAAGCATTCCTATACACCAACAACAGACAAGCAGAGAGCCAAATCATGAGTGACCTCCCATTCACAATTGCTACAAAGAAAATAAAATACCTAGGAATACAACTTACAAGGGACATGAAGGATCTCTTCAAGGAGAAATACAAACCATTGCTCAAGGAAATAAGAGAGGACACAAACAAATGGAAAACAATCCATGCTCATGGATAGGAAGAATCAATATCGTGGAAATAGCTATACTGCCCAAAGTAATTTATAGATTCAATGCTATTCCCATTAAGCTACCATCGACTTTCTTCACATAACTAGAAAAAAACTACTTGAAATTTCATATGGAACCAAAAAGAGCCCATACAACCAAGACAATCCTAAGCAAAAAGAACAAAGCTGAAGGCATCATGCTACCTGACTTCAAACTATACTACAAGGCCACAGTAACCAAGATAGCATGGTACTGGTACCAAAACAGATATATAAACCAATGGAACAGGACAGAGGCCTCAGAAATAACACCACACATCTACAACCATCTGATCTTTGACAAACCTGACAAAAACAAGCAATGGGGAAAGGATTCCCTATTTAATAAATGGTACTGGGAAAACTGGCTAGCCATATAAAGAAAACAGAAACTGGACACCTTCCTTACATCTTATACAAAAATTAACTCAAGATAGATTAAAGACTTAAACATAAAACCTAACACCATAAAAACCCTAGAAGAAAACCTAGGCAATACCATTCAGTACATAGGCATGGGCATAGACTTCATGACTAAAGCACCAAAAGCAATTGCAACAAAAGCCAAAATTGACAAACTGGATCTAATTAAACTAAAGAGCTTCTGCTTAATAAAATAAACTATCATCAGCGTGAACAGGCAACCTACAGAACGGGAGAAAATTTTTGCAATCTATCCATCTGACAAAGGTTTACTATGCAGAATCTATAAGGAACTTAAACAAATTTCAAGAAAAAAATAAACGACCTCATCAAAAAGTAGGCGAAGGATATGAACAGACACTTCTCAAAAGAAGACATTTATGCAGCCAACAAACATAGGAAAAAAAGCTCATCATCACTGCTCATTAGAGAAATGCAAATCAAAATCACAATGATATACCATCTCATGCCAGTTAGAATGGCGATCATTAAAAAGTTAGGAAACAACATGCTGGAGAGGATGTGGAGAAATAGCAATGCTTTTACACTGTTAGTGGGAGTTTAATTAGTTCGACCATTGTGGAAGCAGTGTGGCAACTTCCCAAGAATCTAGAACCAGAAATACCATTTGACCCAGCAATCCCATTACTGGGTATATATCCAAAGGATTATACATCATTCAACTATAAAGACACATGCACACATATGTTTATTGCAGGACTATTTACAACAGCAAAGACTTGGAACCAACCCAATGCCCATCAATGATAGACTGGATAAAAAAATGTGGCACATATACACCATGGAATACTATGCAGCCATAAAACAGAATGAGTTCATGTCCTTTGCAGGGACATGGATGAAGCTGAAAACCATCATCTTCAGCAAACTAACACAGGAACAGAAAACCAAATACGGCATGTTCTCACTCATAAGTGGGAGGTGAACAATGAGAACACATGAACATAGGGAGGGGGAACATCACAACTGAGGTTTGTTGGGGGTGGGGAGTGAGGGGAGGGAGAGCATTAGGACAAATACCTAATGCATGCAGGGCTTAAAACCTAGATGACAGGTTGATGGGTGCAGCAAATCACCATGGCACACATATACCTATGTAACAAACCTGCATGTTCAACACATGTATCCCAGAAATTAAAGTTAAAAAAAAATCAGTATTATTACTGAATAATCATTGATCAACACCATTAGTCTTCAGAGAAATGCAAATTAAAACCCCAGTGAGATGCCTTCCCAGGCCTGCCTAAGGTTGGTGAGGACACGGGGCAAGTGTCATTCTCATACGTCACTGGTGGGAGTGTAAAATGGTCCAACTTAGGAGAACTGACAGGTTTTTATAAAGTTAAACATACATCAACTCTATGACCCAGCAATCCCCATCCTGGGAATTTATCCAAGAGAAATGAAAACATAAGCAGAAGTGAGGCTGCTCAAAAGACAGGTATGAGAATTTTCAGAGAGCAGCCTTAAAAAAATTAATTCTTTCCCCAACCCTGTAAAAACCCCACAAAAAATTGGAAACAACCCAAATGTCCCCCAATAGGAGAAGACAGGAATTAGTTGTGGTATGTTTATATAGTGGGATGCCATATAACAATAAAAAGGAACAAACTACAGAGCCACACATGCAACAACCAGGATGAATTTTAAAAACATGCCGAGTGAAAGAAGCCAGAAGGCTCCATATTTTATTTAAATGAAGTTCAAGAATGGGCAGAACTAATCTTCAGTGACAAAAATTAAACAGTGGTTTCCTCTGGGGAGGAGAGACAGTGACTGAAATACGGGTGATGGGAATGTTCTATATCCTGATTTGGGTGGTGGTTACATGGGTGCATAAGATTGTCAAAATCCATTGAACTGTACACTTAAGATTCTTGCATTTTTTGAATGTAAATAATAACCTCAATCATAAAGAGTGGTGCGATAACAACAAAAAAACAGCAGCAAGATTACATTTCCACAAAATACCAAAGCTCCAGGCATAGACACTTTATAAACTAATCTGATTTGGTATCATTCAAAATGGTATTGCTGTGGATTTCGCACTATTTCAACTGGTTGTAAGGATTCATTTCCATCTGAACATTCTTCTTGCTGTTTACAGTAGAGGTGACCGAAGGTCAAGCTCCTTCTAGCCATCTCTGGCCATCATCAAGCTCTCACCAACTAAGATAGCTCCTGAAGAGGACATTTGCAGCCCTGGAAGACTAACAAAGCTGGTTAATTTCTCCTTGCCCAGGGGAGATTTCCTGAGGCAGTTGCCCCCTGCCCATGTCCTTCTGTCTAGAATTGTCTGTAGTAGACCATCTGGGTGGATCAAATACATCCAAAGGGCCGGGCAGCAGTTACTGTTTCTAAGCATTCAAGCTGCTGTGCAGGAAGCTCTGACCTTTGTGGTCGAAAGAGTACTTCACCTCCAACAAACTCCTTACACACACATACACACACACACACACCCCATATACCATACACCACACCCCCACACACTTCACACACACCACATACCACACCCCCCATACTACATAAACACATATATCATATACCATACACCACACAATCCACACCCCACACACTACACACACACCCCATACTACATACACCCATTTATCACACACCACACGTTTATACCCCACACACTACACATACACCACACACATACACATACACACACCACACACACCCATATATCACACCACACATGTTCAAACCCCACACACTGCACACACACACCACATACACCTACCACACACACCATCCATACTACATATACCCATATATTACACACCATAGACACACCATCTATACTACATACACCCATATACCACACACTACATGCGTCCACACCCAACACACTACACACTCATACACACACATACACCTACCTACACACCTATACATACCACACACCACACCACACACACGCCACACTTCCATGCACACTACACCTACATACCCACACCCACACACACTACCATCTGCTGACACTATAGACACCCCATACCACACATATCCATGTCCCCCCACACATACACAAACCACAGACTCATACACCACACGCTCATACACCACACCACACACCACCCTCACACACAGGACACTCCCACACACCCATACACACCGCTATCCCCCACACTACACACACCCATATACTGCACATTACCCACACACAAACCATACCACACTACCCCACACATACTACACGCACCCCCCACACCCCAACACATACAACCATGTAGTACACACACCATACAGATACCACACACACACTACACACCATACAGATACCACACACACACTACACACACACACACACACACACACACATACACTACAGCCCCCCACCACGAGCTATAGAGACTATTTAGCCCCAGTGACAACAATAAGTATAAAGATTAATATATAAGATATATGTTAATTAATAAGATTAATAAGTAGGAACATCAAGGAATTTCTTTGCTGAATTCAGTGGCTCTGGAAGTTTACGGCACATCAGAACACCTGTGCAGGTTTCTAAAATCTGCAAATGCCTAGAGTCTGACAACTGGCCTAAACAAAATGGAAATGTGCTTTGATACAGAGGTAGATTAAGCAAAATGAAAGGAAGAAAAAGACTTCAGATGTCTGGAGGCAATTTTCATTCAGCTAGAGGCAGGTAGAAGTTCAAATGCAATTTTAGAAACTTACAACCCCGATCAAGAGGAACTCGTTCATTAAGTCTGTTTAACAAGTTTTTTGGCCTTGTGAGAGCAAAATGAAGATGTAAACTAGACAGTGTTTGTAAGTTTTATGAAGGTCTGTATAAGGAAAATATAATGACATTTTAAAGCGGGGGGCAGATTAAAAGATGATTTGGTAGCAGGCAGGATTCTTGCTGGGAGATGAATTTCCCTGGAAACTGCTCTCTTTCAGAGCTCAATTTGCACAAAGGCAAATCAAAGTGAGTTTTTAAAAGTACCACATAAGCCCTCTGATAGACTGAATTTACAGAAGTAACAAAGGCAGGAAAAAGCTTCTGCAGAAAATTAAGAGTGATGGACACAAGTCACAAAGCTAAAACGTTTAAGGGTTGCTTCATTCTAGGGTGTTCTCAGAAACAGCGGCTTGTGATTAACCCTAGCCAACACTTGAGGGCACCCTGGGTTCACAAGAGACACACAGACGCTGCGCTATTAAAAGCCTCTTCCCTGATGACTTTCACTTGCATGCGTGAGTGGATGTTCCAAGCAATTCAGACTCTGGGGTTGCCCTGAAAGTGTCAAACCTGGGGGCCACAGAAGTGACAGTGATTTTTCTTTCCTCCAGGGCTCGCATTCACTCAATGAGTCTGCATTCTAAGTCAATTGCTGCATTCTTAAATTCAGCCTGGAAAGGTACTCCCCCAGGGGACAGATACAGACTGGAAGGCCAGCCCCACCCTCTAGCTCTGAGGGCCAGAGACTCAGGCAGAGCAGGCAAAGCACAAAGTGGCCTTGGTGAAAGTCTTAAGAACCCAAGGGTCAAGCATGTGCCCTTGAGAGCAAGGGCTGCAGAGAAGAAATGTTTAATGGGGCATTTTTTGCCTTGCATTTCATAAAAACAACCTAGCACATATTTTGCATTCTGTCCCCTTTATTGATTTTTAAAAAGGCATCAGGCAAACTGGCCTGACACTGTATTTCCTTTCTATGGAGATTGTAAGAATCTGAGCCCTCTTCCCCCAGAAGGGCTGAGATGGGAGCCAAGTTGAAGGAAGAGGCAGGAAGAACTGGGCATTTGGTGGGAGGTGGCTGCGGAGATGAGAGTCTCAGGTGAGGCAGTCCCTCCTCCAGTGGCCCAGTGGCTCAGCAGAACCTGAGGGGTGAGGGGGGCGCATAAGGTGGCCAGGCGTGACCACTCTGATAACGATTTCACCAGGTGAGGGGCTTGGCTTTCACAGGCACGGTGCTGACATGTAAGGGTTACTTGATGGCAACCCACGGACTGGGATTTGGTAGGGAAAATCTAATAGAGCAAAGGGATGCCTGGCTAGACAGACAGAGATCCAAGCTAGGACAGTGGGGCCAAAGGACCACTCTAGGGCCACAGTTAAGAAGGAAATGTGATACATTCCTGAAGGACTAGTGAGAAAAGGACTCTAGAACCAGGGACAAAGGAAAGGGACAACCATGGACATTCTGGGGTGGAGGAAGACAGGGTCCCTGCATGGGAGGCTTGGGTGACATGGGAAGATGGTCTCCAGACCGGCTGATCCTGTCTCCAAACCACGTGCTATCATTATAACCAGAATGCGTTTGTGAATTCCAGTCTGGGAAAACAGACAGATTCAAAAGAGTGAGCTAGAAACATATACTTTATGATTTTGATAATGCTTTATGGTTTTAAAAATCCCTGGCAGGAAAATAAATTTATCTGCAAAACAATCTTTGGCTACCTTGATGTATTAGAAATTACTGGAGAGATCCACAGAGCTTTTTAATGATATTAAGAGTGATCATTAATATTATATGAATAACTGTTCTTCTTTCCATAGGACAGAATAATAGGGAAAAGCTCAAAATCTTAGGTTAACAGAGTATTTCCTGACAGTGAGTATTAAAAAATGTAGACAAAGTAAAATCCATTTGGGGGTGGGGTGGAGAGAGGATTTATAAAAAATAAATATAAATCAACACTTAGAGTCTCATTTGTACCAGGAAAAGGGGTGGACCCCAGCCAATATGCCTGTCTCAGATGCTTTTGATCATTTTCTTCTACCCTCAGATAGCAATGTGATTGTTTCTTGGTTACAATAATAATACATGTCTATGTGGCAAGCAATACAGAAAATAAAAGAAGTAAATAACTCCAAGTTTCATCACTCAGAGATAAACATAATTAACATTTTGGATTTAGTACAATTATTAGTATTTAATTAAGCCATGAGAAGATTTAGTGACAGTCTTGGGGAAAGTAGAAGCTTCATTCATTAAGATTTTTGAAATCTGAATTATGGTTCAGAACACATCAGAGGCAGTCTGTGTATTTATTTCACATTGAATGTTTGGGCATATCTATGTCAGATGTTACCTTCCATGCCTGGAAATTTCCATGGAAAATAGGCAGTTCATAAGGGCTAAAAGAGTGAGATCAAGTGAGTGACACCATTGTAAAGCTAAACATGGAGGTTTGAGTAATGTTTGCCTTCTGTCTCACTCCAGCTGGGGCTCTCAGAACCACTTCCACCGACACTCTCAAGGAATAGATGGAAAAGTAGGGATGCAAATAATGCTGTTATTATGCCACATTGGCTGGCTGGATGTGTAGATGCATTACATTTATTTTTAAATTTTTAATATCTCTCTCTCTCTCTCTATATATATATATATATACACACACACATATATATACACACACATATATATACACACATATATATATACACACACACATATATATACACACACACACATATATATATATATATAATAACACATATATTTAATAATAGAGACAGGGAGGTGGTTTCTCCCTATGTTGCCCAGGCTGGTCTCAAACTCCTGGCCTCAAGCAATGCTCCTGCCTTGGCCTCTGAAAGTGCTTGGATTACAGGTGTGAGCTCCTGCACCCAGACAATGCATTACATTTCTACCTTCTGCCAAGTCTAATGAGGGAAGCAGTTCAAGTTTTTGAAACTCAGTGAGAATAGTCTGCAGCAGAATCTTTAAAAACTTATGATAGGGAGAAAATTGAACTAGTTTTTCTTCTCATAATACATGGAGATAATCGTTTCTAAGTTAAATTATGCCTGTAGGTAAAGCTAAAAGATTTTGACTCGGTGATATTAAATAACTAAGAAACATTGATTTCACAAAGATAAAATCTTCGTAGTAAGGAAAGGTGAGATTTTTTTTTTTTTTTTTTCCTTAGGGAGGAGAGGTGGTGGGGAAGGGAATAGAACTGTCCCAGAAACGGCTGGATGTGTTGAGTAATTAGAGGTGAGTAATATGGAACCACACTTTATGCTCATCTAATCCCAGAGAATTCTGAGAAACCATTTCCCTCCCATCCTAAATGGTAAAATTTCTGGCATATTGCAAATAACAGCATCTTTAAATAAAACCATGTCATTAATCTTTAAAATGTAGCCAATGGAATCTAAGTACCATAGCAATTTTGAACCTGTCACTGGCCACTTGAAAACCCCACAGACTAGTTTTGATCCAAAGGAGATTTTCGCTTGAGCCCGGGAGACCGAGGTTGCAGTGAACCAAGATCATGCCACTGCACTCCAGCCTGGGCGACAGAGTGAGATCTCGTCTCAAAAAAACCAAAAAGCAAAAAACATAAAAAAACAAAAATCAACCCACAAAAGGAGATTTTATGTTTCTTCTTTCTCTTTGACCTTGAATTTCCATTCCACTATCTGCACAGAATTCTAACCTAATGCAGTACATTTTTAGGCATGAATCATGCTTTTTCTGATTTTATTGATCAACCTGTTATAATTCTCTGCAACAAACACATGTATCTAAATTTAAAAGGTAAGAGTCCTGTGACCACAAGCTCTTTAAGTGATAAAACTCTATCGATTGAGCCATTATTGCAGTTATTATTACACAATTGATCAATATAACAATATGTATTACACAATTTTTGATAATTTTTAAACTAAAAAATAAAGTTGTATTGGATATTTATCTTTTAATAACATGAAGTGGAGGGTTTTTTCCCCAATTGGCTCATGTATCCATGGATGAATATTACTTGTTGATAGAATGAGACAGAGTTTGTCATTAATTCTTACTCATATAATAGATACAAATGGAAGGAGTTTTACTTTTATGGCTACATCACTCAATTCTGTGAACTCTGAGTTCACTTAGTTATCCATCATCAAAATTGTTAACGATCTACTAGCTTATTTGATTCTTTTTCAATGTTGTTAAAAGAAAAATATTCGAAACCACCTGACCACAAAAGGATTTATTACTTGCCTATTTAGAGTGAGTCATGTTCTCACCAGCTATACCAATATTTTGAATCACCTCTTTGTTCAGAGCCCAGAGGTTACTAACTTGATGCTAGTGAAAATTATATCTTTCTTTCATAGATTAGAAGAAGGTTGTGTTCTCAGGGAGATCAGTTTAAGGAAAGAGTGCTTATGGATGTGGAGTTTCTTAAAATTGACTTTCTTAAATGTATCACTGCGGCTGGGAGCGGTGGTTCACGCCTGTAATCCCAGCACTTTGGGAGGCCAAGGCGGGTAGGATCACCTGAGGTCAGGAGTTTGAGACCAGCCTGGCCAACATGGCAAAACCCCATCTCTACTAAAAATACAAAAAATTAGCTGGGCATGGTGGTGGGAGCCTGTAGTCCCAGCTACTTGGGAGGCTGAGGCAGAAGAATCACTTGAACTCAGGAGGCAGAGGTTGCAGTGAGCCAAGATCGCACCATTGTACTCCAGTCTGGGAGACAAAGTGAGATTCTGTCTCAAAAACAACAACAAAAAAAGCATCACTGCATATACTCCTTGGACAGTGAGTTTGCATACTCTAGTTTGAAGATCAAAAAGCTCTGGAATTAGTCTGGTTAATGCTCCTAATTCCGAACCTCAGTTTTGTCATCTGCAGAATAGAAATAATAACAATAATCTTTGGGCTTGTCTGCAGGCTTGAATGAGGTAATGGAGTAAAAGTGTTTTGTAAACTCAAATTCTATGTCAGTGTTATGTACTGTTGTTTTCATGCTAACAATCCTAGTTTAATGATTAAATTAATGATTAAGTGGTCATGTACATAAGTGATGTCAGTCCCTGGAATAAAGAGACCTTGTTAGCAAGCTCAAAACCCTGGTCTCCTGAACTTCAAACAATAAAATAAAGAATAGGTGCATGGATAGCTCTGACACTGGATACCACTGGTTCTTAAAGTGTGGCGCTTATATCAGCAGAGTGAGTATCACCTGGGGTTGTGTTAGAGATGCAAATTCCCTGGTTCCATCCAGACCACTGGAATCAGAAATGGTGGGGTGAGACCTGGCAACCTCTGTGTGTGTGTGTTTAATATTTTGTTTGTTTTTTGAGACAGGGTCTCACACTGTTGTCCAGGCTGGAGGGCAATGACACAATCATAGTTCACCGAAGCCTCTAACTCCTGGGCTCAAGCATCTTTCCACCTCAGCCTCCTGAGTAGCTAGGATGACAGGTATGAGCTGCCACCCCCAGCTAATTATTATTATTATTATTTTTTCTGTAGAGACAGGGTCTTGTCATATTGCCCAGACTGGTCTTGAACTCCTGGACTCAAGCGATCCTCCTGCCTCAATCTCCCAAAGCGCTGGGATTACAGGCATGAGCCACCATGCCTGGACACAACCTGTGCTTTGATGAGCCCTGCAGGTGACTCTATTGCATGCCAAAGTCTGAAAACATGGCTGCCGTGATGCTTTGTTTTATGTGTGGGGAACCCTACAATGTTTCTCAGAATAGTGAGTGACTTGAATAATAATGCATGACATAAGAGGAAGCATTTAAAGGGAATCAGTTCTGAATCAACATGCTACTACATTTCCCTAGATGTGGGAAATGCTCCTGATGCACATGCTGTGGTAACTGCAGTGGGTCGGGGAAACAATAGGACCCCAGGAATGGAGGTGTGGGGTCTACCTGGTAGTTTTCAGATCGTAAGTAACTTAAGAGCTCTCATAATACACAGCTGATGGCTGCCCTTCTTGTAGGCAAGGGCAAGAAGCCCTTTTAATCTTCTCTTTTATAAAAAGAGAATCACAAGAAAAAAAAACGTCCATTGAGATTTCAAGAGAAATTAATCTGTGCCCATCTGGCTACAAATAATTGGGTTTTGCTCTTGATGATATCGTTTTCTGCTTAGTACTGAGCCAGCATAGCCAGTGTAGCCTGTTCCTCCTTCACTCCAGGCTTCTAATGCTGACCCAGGAGCGGAGACCCTTCTCAGACAACCTCAATCAAGTGCAGATAGGCTGCTGTCAGTGGGGCAGGGGTGAACCCCAATCCATTATGACTCAAAGAGGAAGAGTGTCTCTAGCAGTTTTTCCAAGTGGACACATAGCACCTTTCCTCTAGTAAAACCTATTGGATGCATCTAGAACACGGGTGGAAAGCAGTGGCTCAGATGCTGTTTCCACAGAACGCTTATTCAGTGCAAATGAGGTAGCAACAACAACGTGAAATGACAGCAACAACAATAAACCACAGTGTGCCAAAGGAGAGAGGCAAGATTTCAGTCAGGACATTGCTGAGAGCCCTAATGTCCTATTTTAAAAATATAAAGTATTTTTTTGGTTTAAAACACATGTAGGAAACAAAAATCAAGTTAAATAATAGCAATGTTAGGTATTTTATTTAATTTACCAGTTAGGTTTGAACTTTTCTTCATCATATTTTAAAAAAAGCAGGACGCGCAATAAAAGAACAGCCAGAATGACATGGAGAAGAGAGTGAGGCAAAGATGGAGCACCTGCCAACATTTCTTTACCAAGGCAGTAACCCTCGAAACTTGGGTACACAATGAAGAATTAAGGTCTTCAATTATTTGAATTTCACACCTGATTTCTATGTTGTGGAGGAGTGACTTTGAGAGAGAACTGAAAGATCATTCCACAAAGCAAACGTTCAGAATAAAACGTTCCCATTGAGGGGTAATGTTAAGCCAATACCATGGAAAAATCTCATTACCAGGATTGTGGCACAAAATTGAGCTGCTGTATGGTTGACTGAGTCAGAGACTCTGAAGATTTATATACCCCATGGCTCTGCAGAGTCTTCGATTGGGTCTCGCTCAGTGCTGCCACTGACGCCGCACAAAAACACAGCCATGCGCATCAGCAACACACACCTACCTGCCATCATTTTCATCATAGCAGAGGGAGGCAATGATATCCTCACACTATCTTTTCATGTTAAAGAGAAACCTGTACAAATGGACATCTTAATGACAAGATGAATATATTTTCAGTATATTTTTGTTAAATATATTAATTATAGAATTAGTCATCTTACTAACCAAATAAAAGCAGCTGCTGGTATTAACACAATTATTCAAAAGCCTCAAATCTTATTAAAATGCTACCCAAATTGGCTTTAAATTACAGTGCTACAATATTTTCCAAAGCCAATGTTGAATATTTAATGGATAATGGGACTGCATCATGCATCTTTCCAATTTACTTCACATGGTCTTTTTTTAAACTTTGTGACTATGGGGAGATGTAAAATTGATAAACATTTTACATCTAGCATCAGGCATTTCTTGTTTGAATGCATTAAAATAAACAATGGGCTCTAGAGTAAACAAAATCTACTACAGAACCACCCACTTAACATTTTCATAAACTCAGAAGTGCTGCTAATTGCTTGCAATCAGCTTTAAATCACAAGATATGATAGAAGCAGCTCTTGGAGAACTTCTGTGTGTATACTTCCAACTGTGTCCCTCAAAGAGAGACTATCCAAGTCTTTTCTCCTTGTCTCTTTATAGGGGATCTAGAATTTTACTTTTCTTCCAGGTTTATTAAGGATATAAATATTTTTAAAAAACTGATTGCTATTTTCTCTGAATGGTCCAGTTGCAACCACAGCATCACCACACTCCTCCTAATAATACCCACCCTTTTCTCTCAACACAGGAACTTCTGGCTAATTCTTTTCATTCAGTCATTCAAAAATTGTTCACTGAGGCCAGGCGTGGTGGCTCACATGTGTAATTCCAGCACTTTGGGAGACCAAGGCAGGTGGATCACTTGAGGTCAGGAGTTCCAGACCAGCTTGGCCAACATGGTGAAATCCTGTCTCTACTAAAAATACAAAAATTAGCTGGGCGTGGTGGTGCATGCTTGTAATCCCAGCTACTTTGGAGGCTGAGGTGGGAGGATGACTTGGACTCAGGAGGTGGAGGTTGCAGTGAGCCAAGATCGCACCACTGCACTCCAGCCTGGGTGACAGAGCAAGGCCGTCTCAAAAAAAAAAAAAAATCACTGAGCACCTACTATGTGCAGGGCACTGGGCTAGAAAGATGGCTGCTGTTATGGGCTGAACTTAGTCCCCTCCAAATTTATATATTGAAGCCCTAACCCCCAGTACCTCAGATCTATATTGGATACAGGGCTTTTAAAGAGGCAATTAAGCTAAAATGGGTTCATTAAGGTGGGCCTGAATTCAATACGACTGGTGTCCTTATAAGAAGAGCAGATTAGGACACAGAAAACAGAGAAATGACCATGTGAGAACACAGCAAGAAGGCAACCATCTAAAAGCCAGGGAAAGAGGCCTCAGAAGAAACCAAACCTGCCAACCCCTTGATCTCAGATTTCTAGCTTCCATATTTGTGAGAAAATGAATTTCTGCAGTTGAAGCCACCCAGTCTGTGGCACTTTGTTATGGCAGCCCTAGCAAACTAACATAGCTGCCTATGAACATGTGTGCTATGCATTTGAGGGGTTCTAGATGATGCTCGTGGCAGGCCAAAGTACACAATAGTGTGTTCTTCCATTAAGAATATTTCCAGTTTTGCAGCATTTTAATGGCAAATAGGACATGCATATAACTTGATCATTAGCAGCTCTGAACCAAAAACTCTCCAGGTTTTGGGCAATTAATTTCTTTCCTTCATTACGGCCTTGCTTATTCTCTTTCAGTCACCTAATAATCACTGTCATCAAATACCTTGCCAGGTGAGGAAGGGATGGCTGAGAGCTGACTTTTGCATGCCTTATTATTTATTTATGAAATATTAGCATGCATGTAATCTTATATTGTCAAATTTAATCTCAGAAGCTAATGATATGGCATTGTAGAGGCTTTGGTTGGGGCAACTGTTTTCTGTTTTAATACAAAAAGAAAGACTACTTTTGGTCCACAATTGTTAAAAACTTTGACTTAAATTCAAAATTCAAGTGCACAGATTTTCTTCCCAATAGATTGTTAGAATTACCCTAGTTCCCCGATGTTGTATTACCCTCCCCTTGGCATTTGATATTCGCTCCTGTGTGCCAATGCACAGCAACTGGAAGAAAGAACAGGCATTACCAGCAGTAATAATTCATAATCTGAAATGAACACACAGATAATAAATAATCACGTTGCAGGAGAAAATAAGCTGTACTCAGTAAACAATGTTTTTTCTATTTCTCATTCACACTTCACAGTATCCACTTCAATCCCTAGATATGGAAAGGGAAAGTTGGTTTTAAGTGAGTGACAGCTACAGATGAATAAAGCATGAACAGGAAGCATACAAATAATCACAGCATATGGCCACGGGAAAGCATTATTCAATTAAAAGTACCTGTAAGTGTTTAGCATCCCATCTGTTGCACACGGCAGGTCATAAGACACAATCATTGTTCTGGCTCAGTTATTTCCTCTCCTCTGTAGCATTTGCTAAGGTCAATACAGCACTGTGATCCTTAGTTAGTCCTTCTTCAAGGTGTGTCCGCCTCACTGGCCCCTGTCTTACCAATTAGGGAACTAGGACACTCTGGGGCTAAAAGATTTTGAGTTTCTAATCTTTAATCTCTGGTTCTTCAATTTCCATTCTGTAAAGGTCATCAATACATCTCTCAGCACATATATCATTCCTAATCATTTCTTTGATAGTTTCAGAGGAAAAGCAAAGATGCCACCTGAATCTCTTCGTACCTCCACCCATACCATCCATCCATGGCTTCCATTTCTGTGAGTATTCCACTAACTTAGGCCCCAGATTCTTTTCACTTTAGAGTTGACACAAGAAGGGGCGTTAGTGTGGAAAAAGCAAGCATGTATGCATGTTAATGGGTGCATGTGTATATGTAGGGTAGGGGAGGGTGACAGAGGTGGGGACACTGAGTCTTAGTGTCTATGGGGAGGGAAGCAGCACCACTATGTCTTGCTTTGCTGGGCATAATTTTTCCCTCTTCCCTTTTTAACCTGATTTTCTAAGAAGAATTTCTCTTCTGCTGTGTGTGTGAGTGTGAGTGTGAGTGTGAGTGTGTGTGTTGCTATTTAGGATTTGTGCTGTGTGGACCCAGAAGGTGCCTACTTACACAGTTACAAACAAGTCAGAGATTTTCCTCCTGAAAGGACTTAACTGACCAATTGTTTTAATGGTCCACAGCTACTGAAAAAATGTCTAGCTGCCTGTCAGAGTTAGGTCTTCAGCAATAAATAAGACAGTCCACTGGACAGGAGGAACATAAGTCTAGGTTAACTCTGAAGGCACAAATAAACAATTATTCAAGACAATCACTTATATGTTACCGATAATCACTTATTTTTCTATTTAGATAAATACTGAGAACTTTTAACTTGCATCCTGGTTTCTTAGTGCCAGTAATTTTGACAAAGGTAACCGCAGACCCACAGGCCTTATGATAAAAATGAATGAATACTCAGGAATATGGAAAGATGACAACTCACACTGGCCCTTAAAAATTTGAATAAAAGGTATTGTCTTTTTTTTCCCACATGGTGATTCCCCTAACTCCCAGGAGTCCTCAGGATGAAATCACAGGGCTAGGAACTTGACATTTCCTGATGGTGATGGGTACATTGTAAGCAAACTTAAAAGATAAATATATGTCCTTCAGAATCCCCCAACCATAATCTCTATATGCTGGAAAAAAAACCTTCTATATCCTGTTTATACCCTTTAACACACACACACACACACACACACACATACACACACACACACACACACACACTCCCCTGCCTCAATAGATGGAACTAGAGTTCCTGTTTTAGTTTATACTGCAGTGTTTTAGTGGGCCATTTACTGAATTGTCTTCTTTGATTAATCACATCTCTCTTCCTGGCTCCAATAATTCCATCCTTTAAGTATCTTTAGATCAGATGCCCATAAATCACACGAAATGCCCCAAGCCAGCTGCAATTCGCTCCCAATTTCAATTAGCATATAGAGTTAACAGCTGTCATTGGTGGAGACTGCAGTAACTAGAAGAACCTCAGCTGACCAGACATTAAAACTGGACCACGGCCTTAGAATCCAGTCTACTCACAATATTTAAAATATCAAAAACTCTTAAACCAAGGACATCAATACATTTTTGAACTTATAAAAAAAGTATTGAGCTTAGGTTGATCTGATTGTCTCTTGTAGGCTCCCATAAAAGTGGCTTCCTGCTTATTAAGTCTGATCGTGTTTTCTTAGCTCACATCTCCTTGGACTCTTCAGAATCATTTGCCACTGGTGACTTTTGCATGAACTGAGCTTCTATCTTCATCCCTGGTCCTTGCCCCATCCTGGAACCCCTTCCACAGCCTGTTTCTCCATTCTAGCAGGGCTAGTCCTTCCTCTTCCTCTTCCTCCAAGTCTTGGCCATTTCATTCATTCATTCATTCATTCCTACAAAATTTATTGGGAATCTGGCATTGAGGAATTAACAGTGACAGCTCCTGGCCACATGAAGTTTATAAACTCGGGGGAAATGCAAATATAAATATATAGAGAGCAATTGAAACATAGAAGGGCAAACTGAAGATGGTAGACATACAGGGTACTCTGGGATCTTACACTTGAGGGGAACTAACCCAATTTGGGGGTACCATGGAAGATTTCCTAGAAAAGCTGACATATAAATTGAGTCCTAAAGAAAGAGACAGTTCCTGTCAGGAAGAGGTTGTGTACAAAGGCAGTATTCAGACTTTGACTCTCTTCTTTATATGATCTCTTCATGAATGTATTCACTTCCCCACATTTATACACCTCATCTATTCTGTTAGACCTGGACTGCCTAGTACAATATGGCAGCCACTAGCCACTGGTATTGAGCCCTTGAAACATGGCTAGTGTGACTGAGAAACAGAATTAGGACTTTTATTAATTTTGATGAATTTAACTTGATTCAGTGATTCAAAAACCATTAAGTATGTTTGGATCAACTTGAATATGAACTGACATTTTGTAAACTTTATGGACTCTAAATATAGAACAAGGGTTTCCAATAAAAACTTGCATCTGAATTGAAATGCATTGTAAATGTAAACTACATACCAGATTTAAAGGATAATACCAAAGAAAGAATGTAAACTATCTCATTTTTATATTGATTACATGTTGAAATGACATTTTGGATATTTGTTGGGTTAAAATAAGGTAATTATAAGAACTAATGGTACATATTTCTTTTTACTGTTTGATGTGGTTACTAGAAATTTTAAATTACATTTGTGGCTCATGTTATATTTCTACTGGACAGCACTGGGCAAGACCAAAACTCTTTGAAGGCAGGAACTTGGTCTTACTCATCTTTTGCCTTGGCACCATGTTTTGTGTACAACAGGGGCTCTATAAATCATTTGTCAATTAAGCAAGATATCCTACATGTGGCCAGCCCCAATCCACACCAGAAATACTTCATTTGACATCTCATTCTGCTTTTTGAGAGCTTACCGTGTTTGGTTCTTTTCTAGGCCTGGGGACAGAGTAGTAAGTGAGACAAAGTCCTGCCCACATGGAGTTTCATTCTAACTGAAGATGCCATATTGAATGTGTGTTATAAATCAGTGTAAGGAGCTAGGGGCTTGGACTGAGAATGGGTGTGCTATTTTAGGTATTTTAGGTAGGGTGGGAAGGGATGGCCTCTCCAAGCCACAGAGAACTGAATGCAGAGAGAGGGCGGTCCCTGTGGATGTTTGAGAGAACATTTCAAACAGAGGGGACTACATGTGCAAATGCCCTGAGAGGGAAATGTTTTTGGCGTATTCAGAGCAGAGCAAGGCCAGTGTGGCTGCATGTGAGTTGGAGTGGGAGGATGTGAGGTAAGCCAGGACCTGATTGGGCACACCCAAGGAGGGCCCGGCCAGGACTTGAGGTTTACTTTCAAGTGTGATGAGGAGACACAGGGGGTCAAGAATAGGAAATGACAGAAGAGATCTAGATTTTTGAAGGACCACACTGGTTGTCTTGTTGAGAATAGACTGCGGGGCACGGCACAGAAGCAGAATCAAAGAGAGCAGGCAGGAGGCTTTGGCACCAGTCAGCAGTGACTTATTGAGCATCCAAGGGTGTATGCAGCAGGAAAATAAAATGAGATGTGTTCAGAATCCCACTGTGTATTTTACTACAAATTGAAAAAGATCCAGGAAAAGCCATCTTTTAAAAAAATCTCTCTTCCCAGTCAAAAGCATTATGGCAAGCCCAGAAGATGCTCATGTGGACTGCCTCTGTGCTCCCAGCTGCTGTCCTGCACTCAGCTGAAAAACCCTCAGAGGAAGTCTTTGAGTTATACCAGGAAATAAAATCCCCTCAATACGCATTTGTTGACTGTAGAACTAATCTGAGAGCGTTCTTGTGGAATCCTTTACTTGAGGTTTGTAAGTCCCTAGCAGATTAACTCTGTTTTTAGAAAACATACATTTTTTTTGATTCCATGCATTTCTGTAGTGCAAGTATATTATAGCTCTGTGTGTGCACAGCAACCATTTACTGAGCACTTGCTATGGTGCCTTGCCCCTCACCAACCTCTTTACATGGCTCATCTCATTTTATCCTAGTAATGACCTAACAAGTAGATGCCACTATCTTCGTTTTCTTTCTTTCTTTTCTTTTTGTCTTTTTTTTTTTTTTTTTTTTTTTTTTTTAGATGGGGTCTCGATCTGTTGCACAGGCTGGAGTGCAGTGGTGTGATCTTAGCTCACTGCGGCCTCAAACTCCCAGGCTCAAGGGATCCTCCCGCCTCAGCCTTCTGAGTAGCTGGGACTACTACTAATTTTTTAAATTTTTTGTAGATATGGGGTCTTGTTATGCTGTCCAGGCTAGTCTTGAACTCCTGACCTCAAGCAGTCCTCCCACCTCAGGCTCCTAAAGTGCTGAGATTACAGGCGTGAGCTACCACACCTGGCATCATCTTCGTTTTCTTGATGAAGAAACAAAATGCTCCAAGATTATGCAGATGGTCAGTGCAGAGAATGGCTTCAAGTCAGACACACCTGGATTTTAACTCTAGCCCTGTACCCACTATCTGTGTGACCTCGCAGCATTTTGTTTCTGTACCAATAAAACAAAACATGTCTCACTTGAAGCCATGAGGCCAGCGTTTTTTAAAGTGTGGTTCCTAAACCACCTACATAAGAATCACCAGGGTTCCTTATTAAAAGTGCAAACTGGGCTGGGCGCATTGGTTCATGCCTGTAATCACAGCACTTTGGGAGGCCGAGGTGGGCAGATCATGAGGTCAAGAGATTGAGACCGGAGCAGTGTGAAGAAGAGGCGAGAACGACCCCCGGTCCGACCAAAGCCCGCGCGCCGCTGCGTCCCGCGTCCAGCACCTATGTCCCGCTGCCGTCGCTGCCGCCACCATGCCCAAGAGAAAGGCTGAAGGGGATGCTAAGGGAGATAAAGCCAAGGTGAAGGACGAACCACAGAGAAGATCCGCGAGGTTGTCTGCTAAACCTGCTCCTCCAAAGCCAGAGCCCACGCCTAAAAGGCCCCTGCAAAGAAGGGAGAGAAGGTACCCAAAGGGAAAAAGGGAAAAGCTGATGCTGGCAAGGAGGGAAATAACCCTGCAGGAAATGGAGATGCCAAAACAGACCAGGCGCAGAAAGCTGAAGGTGCTGGAGATGCCAAGTGAAGTGTGTGCATTTTTGATAACTGTGTACTTCTGGTGACTGTACAGTTTGAAATACTATTTTTTATCAAGTTTTATAAAAATGCAGAATTTTGTTTTATTTTATTTTATTTTTTTTAAAGCTATGTTGTTAGCACATAGAACACTTCATTGTTGTTTTTGGGGGAAGGGGCATATGTCGCTAATAGAATGTCTCCAAAGCTGGATTGATGTGGAGAAAACACCTTTCCCTTCTAGTTTTGAGAGACTTCCTCTTGGCTTCCAGGAGGAGGGATTCCCTGACTTTGACACACATGGCCACCTTGGCACAAAAGCCTTGTGGTATAGAAAAACAAATTTGTTTTTATGTCCTCGTCTCCCTTTCCCTCTTTCAGCATAGACTTAACTCCCTTAAGCCCAGACATCTGTTGGGACCTGACCCCTAGTCATTGGTTACCAGTGTGTTAGGCAATCTGGACTTTCCAGTGATGCCACTGAGATGGCACCTGTCAAAAGAGCAGTGGTTCTGTTTCTAGATTATGGATCTTCAGATAAATTCTGCCATTTTCATTTAACTTCCTGAAAGTCAGGGTCGGCTTGTGAAAAGTTGTTAAACAACATGCTAAATGTGAAATGTCAACCCTCACTCTAAACTTTCCCTGTTCAGAGCATCAGATGAAGACTTCATTGGGTTTTATAGTGGCTTTCTGATTTTTGGTAGTCCATTGAAGAAGGGAGTTTGAAAGTTGTTGTATACTGTTAACGATTGTCTGCCCATGTCCTGCCTGAAATACCATGATTGTTTATGGAAAGTATCTTTAATAAAGCTGGATACAGTTTGGCTTGGGAAAAAAAAAAAAAAAAAGAGATTGAGACCATCCTGGACAACATGGTGAAACCCCGTCTCTACTAAAAATACAAAAATTAGCTGGGTGTGGTGGCGTGCGCTTGTAGTCCCAGCTACTCGGGAGGCTGAGGCAGGAGAATCGCTTGAACCTGGGAGGTGGAGGTTGCAGTGAGCTGAGATCACGCCACTGCCACTGCAACCTGGGTGACAGAGTGAGACTCCATCTCAAAAAAAAGTGGAAATGGGGTGGGATCTGGGAGTTTGTATTTTTAATAATAGTGGATCTAATCAATGATAAATATTTATCTGGCATCTGCCTGTAGTGTCATAACTAGGATTAATATACTTCAAAAAATTGGTCATTTTATATTTACATTACTTTTCTGAGGCATTTGGAGCCTCGTGAAATTCTGTGTTTTGAGGTGGTGTCTTAGTTTGGTTTCCCCAAATGGAGCCTGAGACAGGGACTTGTGTGCAGGTGGTTTACTTGAGAGGTGAACCCAGAGCACAGGTGGAAGGATCAGAGAGACTGAGAGAGGAAAGGAGGAAAAGCATATAAAGAGTGTATAACAGAACTGCTTACTGCTAGGAACAAGAGGGACTCAATCCCACTTGGGGACCCTCTAAGGAACCATGTAGAATGTGTCACAGATGGTTCCTCCAGAGGACAATTATCCACTGCCTTCTGTTGTCTTTTAGTTGAGGGTTGATTCCTAGTTAGTTACTTCCCCTGCACTTCGAGGCTGAGTCTGTGTGGGGATGAGAGGTCTTTGGAGAGAGCCCTGAGGCAGAAAATCGGAGACCCTAAGGGGATGCTTGGGGTAAAATGTTGGTAATGTACACACTACTGTTTACACAGCTACACTGATATCAGGGGACAGGTGATGTGTCAAAATACATCTGCTTTAAGCAGAAGTTATCACACAACTGCTGTGTAATTATTACTTGCCACATTTGGGGTAGGGGTGTGGGAATGCAGTCTCCCTTGGCTGGCACTGAACCAACACTATGTTCTCCCTCACACGTGCCACAATTTTATGCTGTAGGGGTGCCACCAAAACAAATAGTAGGCATTAGATTCTTCTCTTTTGCTTTCACATTCTTCATCTTTCAAGATTTCAAAGAAAAAGGGCACAATATTTGATGAATGGTGCAGAATAAAAAGCATAAGAAAGGAAAAGGAACAAAAACACCAACATCTTAGCTTAAGACAGGGAGGAAAATATTTTTTCTGACTTCTTTCCAACACAAAATCATGTTGCAAAGAAGGGAAGCAGATAGCCCTCCTGGGAGTTGGGCATTTGTGACAGCTAGCCTCCAAGATGCCCCTAGCGATCCACATCACCTGGGATTCATACATTAATGAATTGTGGCTAGCATGGGTGGCAACAGAATGCTGTAGAAGTGACAGTGTGTGACTTCCCAGGCTAGGTCAGGAAAGGCATTGCAGATTTTGCCTTAGTTACTCTTTGATCACTAGCTTGGGGTTAGGGGGTGCTAACCTTTAATAGTGAGGACACTCAAGCAGGGTGGAGAGGCCCATTTGGGGAGAGGCTCATGTGGAGATGAACCAACTTGCCAGGACCAACTTGGTAGCCAAGTGAGTAAGCCCCCTTGTAAGTGGATCCTTCAGCCTTAGATAAGTCTTCACATAATACTAGGCCCCCAGCCTTTAATACTGCCAGCAAAGACCCCAGGTATCATGCGGCAGAGACAAGCCATCTCCTCTGCACACTGTCTAAATTCCTGACCCAGAGAAACCATGAAATAATAAATGGTTATTGTTTTAAGCCACGGAGTTTTGGAGTGATTTGTTATGCAGCAATAGAGCACAAGTACAGCATTTATTTGCTCTGCTATCTCCTTTGATTCCACATGGAGAACTTATTCTTGACTGCTCAATGGACATGGCAGACTAAATATCATTCTGTCATTTCAAACATCACTATGTAAGGGTAAAGGAATAAAGAACAAGAACAAAGAAAACTGGAGAGGAGATAATGAGGGATGAGATCTCGACAAGATTTTGGAAGACAGCAAGCAGACAGAGGAAGAATAACTGGCTTAGTGGAGCCAAGGAAACTGTGGTGTCAGGACATACAGAAGTGGGGGGGAAGACTATTTATTCCCTAGGATCCCAAAAGGGTCAGATGTTGAAGGCACCAGATACTTAGGAGGATAGGAGTGAGACACAGGCTGAAAATAATGAAATTCATCGAAAACCTGTGAATGCAGTGGGCAGAACTTCAGACTTCTCCCCAGCCAAGCAATCAGAGGACTACCCTTCACTCATGTTGCAATAGTCTGGACTTGGGTAAATCAATCAGAAAGAAAATGAGTTAAGTGTGAGACTAAAAGTAGAGGATTTAAGTCAAAGTTTTCACCAGTGTGAATAGTGTGGCATTCCCCTCCACATCCTTCTCAGAACCCCAGGAGTCAGGCTTACTCCTCCAATATGGAAAATGAATTGTTCGTTTTCACAGAAAATAGTCTTCTAAAAAAGAGACAAATTCAAACAATTAGAGTACCTTTGGATTAAAAGGCTGCCTGCTGCTAGAACGCCTGACTGTGACACACCCTCACCCTCAACCCTAGTTGACAAGCTCCCCTTATTCAGTTTTCAGTCAGATTTTCCGTGCTTCGCTCTTAAATATTAATAGATAACTGAAGACTTTCAGGTACTAAGAGAGTGTCCAACATGAAAGAGAGACCAAAACAACAGAAAAAAAGAAACTCAGAAGGACAGACACTACAGGGAACAAAACGCGGATCACTCCCATCCCAAAACCTCATAGTCAATCCCTTAGAGATGTAGGAGAACATGATACAGCCATGAAACAATGAAAGGTTGGATTAAAAAGGGCAAAGAACATACACACATACACACACACACACATACACACACACCCCTCCTTAGAAATAAAAATATAGTAATAACAGAAATAAAAACTCAATAGAATGGTTGGAAGATATAAAGAAGCTCCTAGAAAGGAGAATAAAAAGACAAAGGGATGGATAATAGGAATGAGGAGATCAAAATATTAGAAAATGGATCCAGGTAGTTCAACACCCATTAGACGGACATTCCAGAAAGTGAGAACAACAACAAAAAAAATGGTGGTGAGGTATATATATGTGTGTGTGTGTGTGTGTGTGTGTGTGTGTGTGTGTGTATGTGTGATTGTGTGTATATGTATGTATGTATGTATGTGTGTGTGTGTGTGTGTGTGTTAGTCCTCTGGACTAGGGCCATAAGCCTTCAAATTAAAATGGCTCAATAAATCTCAGCAAAGTGCAGAGAAGTAACAGACACATTTGAATATTATGATCATGATACCACAGATAAAGAGTAGATAAGAACTCACAGAAAATACAGGTCATATATAAAGCCAAGGGAATCATAAAGGCATCAGATTTATCAACAATGCTGGATGCTAGATGACAGTGGGCAATATCTTCAAACATTCTGAGGTAGAATGATTTCCAACCTAGAATTCTATGTCCAGCCATACTATCAATATAGTATGTGGTATGATAAAGACACTGTCAGTTATGCAAGGACCAAAACACAATAACAACAGCAACCTACTTCTGTTTAACTTTTCTATAGAAATTGCCAAAGATTATACTTCACCAAAAAGAAGGTATAAGTCAGAAAGTCCAGGGGTTCCAGAAATAGATCAACTCAGGGGAGCAGTGGAGAGAAGTTCCAGGATGACAGATATGCAGCAGACCTAAGAAACGGAAGGACCAAGAACTCTCGGAGAAATGTCTTCAGTAAAAAAATGGTGGTAAGATAGTTCACCCAATACATTTCATTATGTTGAAAACCTACATTATGAGACTATAGATATGGGAAGAATTTGTGAAACACACATAGAAAACCAGGCAAATAAAAACACAATATAATTGTTAACTCCAGGAAAGACAAAAGTTGTATGAGAAAGTAATCATACTCAATATACTACTTGGTTCAGTAGAAGTCAGAATAATGTAAATTCTGATTACTGATTGGTATAGATTGGTGTGTTTTTCCATTCTCACACTGCTATGAAGAAATACCCACGACTGGGGAATTTATAAAGGAAAGAGGTTTAATTGACTGACTCACAGTTCCACATTGCTGGGAAAGCCTCAGGAAGCTTACAATCATGATTGAAGGCAAAGGAGAAGCAGGCACCTTCTTCACAGGGCATCAGGACGGAGTGAGTGCAAGCAGGGCAAATGCCCGATGCTTATAAAACCATCAGATCTCATGAGAACTCACTCACTGTCATGAGAACAGCATGGGGGAAACTACCCCCAGGATGCAATTACCTCCACCTGTTCCCGCCTTTGACATGTGGGGATTATGGGGATTACAATTTGAGGCAAGATATGGGTGGGGACACAGAGTCAAACCATATCAATTGGTTTCATGTTGAAATTTGACCCCCAGTGTCGGAGGTGGGGCCTAATGGGAAATATTTGGGTCATGGAGGTAGATCTATCATGAATAGATTAATGCTCTCCCTGCAGTGGTAGAAAATGAGTGAGTTCTCACTTTATTTGTTCCGATAAGAGCTGGTTGTTAAAAAGAACCTGGCATCTCCCTCCTCTCTATTTCTCTCTCTCTCTCTTTATTTTATTTTATTTTTTTGATACAGGGTCTCATTCTGTTGCCCAGGCTGGAGTGCAGTGATGCGATCTTGGATCATTGCAACCTCTGCCCCCTGGGTTCAAGTGATGCTCCCACCTAAGCTTCCCGAGTAGCTGGGATTATAGGCACCTGCCACCATGCCTGGATAATTCTGTATTTTTAGTAGAGACGGGGTTTCACCATGCTGACCAGGCTGGCCTTCAACTCCTGAAGTGATCCACCTGCCTTCCTCCCAGAGTGCTGGGATTACAGGTGTGAGCCACCATGCCCAGGCCTAGTGTATTTGATTTTTAGGACTATGGACATGTTACTTTGATTTTCAATATTGACTATAAAAGGTAAAATGTATTCTGAAGCTATGAACTAACTTTTACGTGCTATCCATTGTGCCACAGAGCCAGTTTTGTTTGATAACTAAAGAGTTGTCTTAGAAGTCTTTGGGTATGCTGCTGACATGGTGTGTGGAGCATGTGCCAACAAAAAAGTTACCTCATTTTATCTTAGAGAAGAAATGGCTCAGCTAAGGCAAAAGATCAGTTTCTTTGTAAGAAAACATGGGAACCTCCACTGAGCTCTGCAAATACAATTTCTATATTAAGATCACTCTGTCTTCTACAATACATAAATTATTCAATTTCATATAGAACCGGTGGGGGGAAGACAACTCATATCACCAACTGTTCTCTATTTTAATCAATTTAGATGCAAAAAGAGTCATGCTCAGCTGTAGGAGACGCAATTAATGAAATGTACTAAGTAAGTGTGAGCTAAATGGAAAGGAAAAAAAATATGGATTCTTAAAATAATGATGTTTTTCTCTAGATCTGAAAATGAGTCCACAGATGTTTTATTATGCTTGAAAAAAAATCTTAATCCCTTTTTTTATTGCACTAAGCAAAGGCCATGTGAAATCGATAGCCTGGGATTTTCCATATAAGCATTCACAATACACCTCAGTGACAGCATTCTGTGTTCTGAGTTTCGGCCACACTACAAACATTTAATCACACTGCAGTACTCTTCCTATGTAAATGTTTACATTGATATGATTTTTATTATTTTTATTTGTAATTTCAATCTCTCTATAAATATACTTAAAATCATACTGCAAATGTCCCAGCTTCAGACATGTTTTCTTTCACCACTGATAAAGAAAGCTTTGCTGGCTTTCCCTTTACCAACCAATGTATATCATGCCTTAGAAAAATCCATAACATAACCAGAAAGAAAATCTAACGGGGCCTCATTTACCTTGCTGCCAAGACATTTCATGGCATTTCTGCATTTTACTAATGATATTCACTTATTCCTTGACTTTAGGCCTTTCAAAAATATCGTTAAATGTCTCATCACTACTTTACTTCCTTTTTTTTTTTTTTTTGCCCTTTTCTCCATGGATAATTCTCCCTTTGTCTTTTTTCTGATCCTTTTGTGAAAAAAAAAATCACTTAAAGCAAATCACAATTGGGTACAATCTTAAAAGGCCAAGTTAATTACGATAGGAAAAGTGGAATGTTAGCTGGCTTTAAAAGCAAAATGAAACACAAATGCATCGCCTTTAACTGTGTTAGTTCTTCCATCTAAACTGATCGAATGTCCCTGTCTTAGCAAACGCAGTAAATAATTCTGATGAAGTCTGGCCAGCATTTGTAGTTGCTCTAGCTTTTATCTCTTGATTACAGTCACTGTAGGATGAGCAGTGTGAAATCCCTCACTCGTGTCACCTTTCATTATAAATCAAGTAAGCACAGGCCACACTTTTGATTGGCTATGATATACTTCATAAAGGAAGCTTCAGTTTTTCACTGAAGTCTGCACCAGAGGGAGGCAGGGGAAAATGAGCAAATCAATAACCTTTTCCCTAAAATGAAACCATGATTTATAATGCTCTTGCAAAGGGCCAGAATGCTTGTTTTTAAGGACGGTGGCAGTGATTCTGTGGGCAACCAGGAGAAACAGAAGGCTGAAATCAGGTTGTTATGATGAAGTGGAATAATATATCAGAATAAAACTTCATCCCTTTGGATTCCTCCAATTCTGGAATCACAGTACCAAAGACATAAAGCATTTGATTCTTACTGAGTAAAAACTCCGGAAAACTTTCCTCTAAGAAAACTTGCCAGATCTTTTGTATAAGATCATTGAAAGAACACCTGGAATATGTTACACTGAGTTTGATAAAATGGACATGTTATTTATAAATCGTGCTTTAGAATTTGAGTGATAATTTTTTTCAGAAACATGCACAGACTGATATAATAGTGACCCTATTGCTCAGTGTGAACTGATACACTTAATTTGTTGCAGCAAAAAGAGAAAATATTAAATTGCTGTGTGAGGCAGTTCTAGGAACATGTCATAGGTGTTTCTGAATTACTAGTTCCTTCACATTTAAATATTTATTGAATAACACACCATATCATATACTATAAACTGATATGCTCAAATACATTATGGCTTATAAAAATCCATGACATATTAAGCAAATAACATTTGTTTAAAATAATTATATACATAGAAGTCTCCCTAAAAGAGCTTGTCCCTCCATGTTGTGAATTAATGCAATTTCATTGTTATGACATAAAAAATATTTCAATAAAAAACTTCCCAAGACTAGAAGAAATAAAATCAGCCATGAGCTCAGAGACACAACCAAAAAAGAGAATTTTAGACCAATATCCTTGATGAACATTGATGCAAAAATCCTCAATAAAATACTGGCAAAACGAATGCAACAGCACATCAAAAAGCTTATCCACCATGATCAAGTGGGCTTCATCCCTGGGATGCAAGGCTGGTTCAATATACGCAAATCAATAAATGTAATCCAGCATATAAACAGAGCCAAAGACAAAAACCACATGATTATCTCAACAGATGCAGAAGAGGCCTTTGACAAAATTCAACAACCCTTCATGCTAAAAACTCTCAATAAATTAGGTATTGATGGGACATATTTCAAAATAATAAGAGCTATCTATGACAAACCCACAGCAAATATCATACTGAATGGGCAAAAACTGGAAGCATTCCCTTTGAAAACTGGCACAAGACAGGGATGCCCTCTCTCACCACTCCTATTCAACATAGTGTTGGAAGTTCTGGCCAGGGCAATTAGGCAGGAGAAGGAAATAAAGGGTATTCAATTAGGAAAAGAGGAAGTCAAATTGTCCCTGTTTGCAGACGACGTGATTGTATATCTAGAAAACCCCATTGTCTCAGCCCAAAATCTCCTTAAGCTGATAAGCAACTTCAGCAAAGTCTCAGGATACAAAATCAATGTACAAAAATCACAAGCATTCTTATACACCAACAACAGACAAACAGAGAGCCAAATCATGAGTGAACTCCCATTCACAATTGCTTCAAAGAGAATAAAATACCTAGGAATCCAACTTACAAGGGATGTGAAGGACCTCTTCAAGGAGAACTACAAACCACTGCTCAACAAAATAAAAGAGGATACAAACAAATGGAAGAACATTCCATGCTCATGGGTAGGAAGAATCAATATCGTGAAAAAGGCCATACTGCCCAAGGTAATTTACAGATTCAATGCCATCCCCATCAAGCTACCAATGACTTTCTTCACAGAATTGGAAAAAACTACTTGAAAGTTCATATGGAACCAAAAAAGAGCCCGCATCGCCAAGTCAATCCTAATCCAAAAGAACAAAGCTGGAGGCATCACAATACCTGACTTCAAACTATGCTACAAGGCTACAGTAACCAAAACAGCATGGTACTGGTACCAAAACAGAGATATAGATCAATGGAACAGAACAGAGCCCTCAGAAATAATGCCGCATATCTACAACTATCTGATCTTTGACAAACCTGAGAAAAACAAGCAATGGGGAAAGGATTCCCTATTTAATAAATGGTGCTGGGAAAACTGGCTAGCCATATGTAGAAAGCTGAAACTGGATCCCTTCCTTACACCTTATACAAAAACCAATTCAAGATGGATTAAACACTTACACATTAGACCTAAAACCATAAAAACCCTAGAAGAAAACCTAGGCATTACCATTCAGGACATAGGCATGGGCAAGGACTTCATGTCTAAAACACCAAAAGCAATGGCAACAAAAGCCAAAATTGACAAATGGGATCTAATTAAACTAAAGAGCTTCTGCACAGCAAAAGAAACTACCATCAGAGTGAACAGGCAACCTACAAAATGAGAGAAAATTTTCGCAACCTACTCATCTGACAAAGGGCTAATATCCAGAATCTACAATGAACTCCAACAAATTTACAAGAAAAAAACAAACAACCCCATCAAAAAGTGGGCAAAGGACATGAACAGACACTTCTCAAAAGAAGACATTTATGCAGCCAAAAAACACATGAAAAAATGCTCACCATCACTGGCCATCAGAGAAATGCAAATCAAAACCACAATGAGATACCAACTCACACCAGTTAGAATGGCAATCATTAAAAAGTGAGGAAACAACAGGTGCTGGAGAGGATGTGGAGAAATAGGAACACTTTTACACTGTTGGTGGGACTGTAAACTAGTTCAACCATTGTGGAAGTCGGTGTGACGATTCCTCAGGGATCTAGAACTGGAAATACCATTTGACTCAGCCATCCCATTACTTGGTATATACCCAAAGGATTATAAATCATGCTGCTATAAAGACACATGCACACGTATGTTTATTGCGGCATTATTCACAATAGCAAAGACTTGGAACCAACCCAAATGTCCAACAGTGATAGACTGGATTAAGAAAATGTGGCACATATACACCATGGAATACTATGCAGCCATAAAAAATGATGAGTTCATGTCCTTTGTAGGGACATGGATGAAATTGGAAATCATCGTTCTCAGTAAACTATCACAAGAACAAAACACCAAACACCGCATATTCTCACTCATAGGTGGGAATTGAACAATGAGATCACATGGACACAGGAAGGGGAATATCACACTCTGGGGACTGTGGTGGAGTGGGGGGAGCGGGGAGGGATAGCATTGGGAGATATACCTAATGCTAGATGACGAGTTAGTGGGTGCGGCGCACCAGCATGGCACATGTATACGTATGTAACTAACCTGCACAATGTGCACATGTACCCTAAAACTTAAAGTATAATAAAAAAAAATAAATAAATAAAATCAGCCATGAGCTGCAGCAAGCCTCAGTACATTAACTCCTGGATCTTTTCATAAATTGACAAATAATAACTGTATATATTAATATATTTATGGGGTACAGTGTGATATTGTAACATATGTTTACATTGTGAAATGATTAAATCAAACTAACTAATAAATCCATCATTTCACATACTTATTAAAAGGTAAAAAATTTCAGTAGGACATGAAGAATAAACTTTAGTGATCTATTGCACAGAATGGTAACTGTAACACTTAGGTCTTTGAAGGCCAAAGAAAAACAACTGAACTGACGAGGGGGTGTTTTGTAACCTTGGAAAATGACTGTGGCTATACTGTATTCACAGGCACCAATTAACCCTGCAGGTTCCTGCACTGGGCAGAGAAATTTCATTCAGAGAGTTCCTAATCCATTCTTTGGCTTTTGCAAATTACTTACACAGGAACTCAGGATGTTATGTTAGAATTAAATAAACATTTTCTAGTTAATGTGTGTCAGGACTGAGGCTTCGAGAACCCAAGGGTGCAAAGGTGTAAGTAAGAAAATATAGCCTCTGATTCATAGTCCAGGACTATGTTATTCCTTTTCTTTTCTTACTTTCTTGCCTTTCTTTCTTTTCTTTTCTTTTTTTTTCTTCTGAGACAGAGTCTTGCTCTGTCACCCAGGCTGCAGTGCAGTGGTGCAATCTTGGCTCACTGCAACCTCTGCTTCCTGGGTTCAAGCCATTCTCCTGTCTCAGCCTCCCAAGTAGCTGGGATTACAGGTGCCCGCCATCACGCCCAGATAATTTTTGTAATTTTAGTAGAGATGGTTTCACCATGTTGGCCAGGCTGGTCTCGAACTCCTGGACTCAAGTGATCCACCCGCCTTGGCCTCCCAAAGTGCTTGGATCACCACGCCCAGCCATGCTATGTTATTTGTTCTTCATAAATCTTATGCTTAGACAATATTGCCTACATGAATAATTAAAATGAACTCCAATGAAACTCTTGACATTTTATTTTCTTTTCAACCTTAGGTGCAGAGAACTGAATTCATTACCCTCCCCATGACCATATCATGGTACCACATCATTGATGCTGTTGATACAGCATTGTGCAAATAATTGCATTGTTAATTATCCCTTTTATGAACATTCTTCACTCTCATTCTCTTCCATGACTGCCATCATAGCCAATGTGTTTTAATTGTGGATTTGAATGTGAGTAAATCCTTGCAAGATAAATTTGTGTCTTTTCATTTACATAATGACAACACGATATAGTCCTCACATTTGTCTTCCTTTACACTCAGCTGCTTTTATGATGTATCAAATTACCATGATTGTTTCTAATTGATGCAAAGTACTGCCCTGCCTTGTGCATACCCATTCCCGTAGTGATGGACAGACAGATTCTCTAACTCTCTCCTTTCACAAACAACATGTTGTGAACATCCTTACTCATGACTTACATGTGAATTTCTCCGGGCATATACCAGAGATGGGGGTATGCTTGATTGGTGTGTATATATTTACATATTTTGACAAGCATCATTGATTGTTCTCCAGAATGACTGCACCAGCATACAATATCTCATGTACTTCAGAATTTTAGTTCAAGCTTCCTCTCCCCAACCTCTTCACCCTCCCCATCACTCTTCTTTCTCAGTTATTGAGGTCCAGCCTCAGCATGACTTTGAGAAAGAGGGAGGGCTTTCGCCCTTGTTATGCAAGCCCCCCAGGGGATAAGGGCATTGTCCACATATATGTCCTCTCTCTCCTCTGCTGGGTGCCATCTTGCCCTGTCTAAACAGGAAATGGTAGGGGCTAACTACACTTTAGCTTTGGAATTTGGAGACTCAGACTTCATCAGAAAGTGACAAAGAACTTATGTACAGGTGAGCATGAAGGTGGGAAAGTCTTAAAGGAGTGAGGGTCAGCTGACATGGCTCCTAGTAACTAACCCCACTGAAGGACTTGCTCCAAGTCCAAATGGAAAGAAGAGGGCCAACAGCTTGGGCTGCCTGCCTGGAAGGAATAGTTCATCGCATCCATTTTACTACCCTCCTACCCATTTCTAATTGTCCAGCCTGAAGGAAGGAAGCAATGTGAAACCTGAGAGCAAATCCTATCTGTCCAGAGATCCTCAAGCTCTGAAGCAACCAACAGCACTGCAAAGTTGGATGGGGGTAGGAAGAACTCTGAATGGCCACATGGCCGTCCCGCACCAGGGTGAGGATCCTCAGCCTGGCAGACATAGGCAGCAGAGTGGGGAGGATGGAGGATGGGTGTTGGTGGGGTTTCCACTTTCACCCAAAGTTTATGCAAATATTTCTAGAAATTTCCCTGCTTTCTCAGCTGGGCCATTTGGAGGACACGTTTTGTGGGCAGGGGAGGAGGGGAAAAGGCATTGCCCTTGAACTTGAGGAATGTTTGACAGAAAGCTGGGCATGGGCCACAGTGAGTACCTGTGGCTTCTTGGGTGTCAGCCCAATGGAATGGAAAACCACATAGTAAAGCCACTAAGGTTGTGGTATCTGGAGGCATGGCATGGCCCTGAATCCTAGCTCCTCCACCTTACTAGCTGGGTGACCTAGGGCAAGCCATTTAACTTCCCGGCCTCAGTTTCCTCACCTGTAAAACATAGATAATATTAATGCGTACTTCATAGAAGAGTTGTAAAAATTAAAGAATATACCTTCACTTCTTGGAATGAAGTATGATACATAATAAATGCTCAATAAACATTAGTACAGGATGCTACTGACACCAAAGTTTTTATTCAAGGGGTGAGTGAGGGGTGTTTCTCCCCTACTCTCACCTCTCAGTTCCTCTTGTTTTCCCTGGGGGAGTGACCTCAGTCTCAAACATAAAACCGTGGCAGTCTGGAGGGCAGACTTACGGTTTCCTTGCCTTAATTTTCTAGCTGCTCCGTTACGGGTTTTTCCATCCTCCCCACCCTCCTGCTGAGCCTTCCTGAAGTGCATCATCAGGCAGCTTGCCCCGCTACCTGTGACAGTCAGATTTCTGATTTTCTGAAGCCTCTCCACTGTGTGATTCCTCTGTGAGTTACAGACCAACTCTGGGGTCACCACAGCCTGTCTTCTGCCCTGTCGCACTTCAACCATACAGCTCAGCCCTGTTCAAACCATTATCATGCTGACAGGCTTTTCTTTGAGAAACGCCCAGGTGAATCTGATTTGGCTGGAGTCGACGCTTAATAGCAGGGAAATTCTCCCTGATGGTGCAGTACTTAATGAATGCCTGACATGTTCAATAAATGCAAAAGTCTGGATCCCTTGAGCAGCCTGCAAAGGCCACTGATACAATGCCTTAGAAAAAAATGTGAGTCACAGGCTAGAAAAAAAGAGAGAGAAAGAGAGAGAGAGAGAGAGATAGAGAGAAAGAACCCCAGAAGCCTGAGAACCATTTCAATTACAATAATCTTGCAGTAGCTTAGCAATGATAAAACCTCGGGTGGTGGGAGAACTATTTGCGATTCTGCTGGCCCGCGTGTAAGCTCCTGCAGAGGTCTCAGCTAAGTGAGCCGCGATGGGACAAGATGAATGCCTCCCCTTCAAGCCCATCAGCTAGGGCCACCACCAGCGTGGTAACCCATTCTGGAAATGGCAGTTCACAAAGGAAAAAACAGCCCCACAGCACAAGCTTATTTAATAAAACTGATCAGAACTAGATGGAACTGTCTCAACCAGATGTGTGGAGGGGACTGACACCCCTGAGTAGCCTGTTTATTACAGGGCTCTGTGACTCAAGTCAGCAAAACACTCACCGTGGGCTTATCTGGCTCATGCATTGTGTTCAGTGCCACGGAGGTTATAAAGATAACTAAGACTTCAGCTCTGGCCTCAAAGAGTCCAGAAATTGCCTAGAGTTCTGAAGAAACATATTTATTATTTTATTGCAATTATAAAGACAATTCTGTAAGATAGAGATGTGTATCAGGCACAAGGAGAGGGTGGTAGGATGCCCTAGGAAGGCACTGGGTTACTGGTGCCTCCAGAACCCCCTTTGAGCCAGACAGGGGGGAAATGCCCCTTCTACAGCTTTTCTTTCTCTATGTTTGTGGAACCCCACCCTCGGTCCACTACAAGACAGAAACCATACCCTGGCTTGGAGTATCCTCGAGCACAGACCACATATGGCAGAGGGAAGGTGCTCCTGCAAGGAGCTGGCCCAGCTGCTTGTTCACTATGGGGTCTTCTGCCTGGCCAGCCCCTGTGCAGTACAGGCCGTCATGCAGTTTGGCTTTTATCTTATCTGCATCATGAGATAATGTTTCTGAAAATCTTCACAAATCACCAAGGGTACTTCTCATGTAAGGTGTCATCGCCTGCCAATCAGATGTTTGGTGTCTTTCCATCCCTCCCGGAAGGCCCCTGAGGTCCTTCCTTTCCTTGAGCAGGCCCTTTCTGTCATCACTTCCAATCTCTGTCTGAAACCAAGCTCTTTCTCTCTCTGGTCCCTGGAACTCTTTTCCTGTGGGGCCCGCTTAACTTCCTTTGGTTTAAGGACACAACTGCTTGCCAGACACAGCCAGTGATCATGGGCATCCCACCTGCCTTTCTCCTAATTCTGAGAATCTTCCCCTATTCAGGCTCCCAGAGAGACACATCTTTCTCCATCAGCACAGGCCCATCACCCGTGTCTTCCTCTCCTGGCCAGTGCAGCTCTCCTTAACATTGGGACACATCTGACATCTGACCTGCACGTGTGTTCTGTTAGGCCTATACCTTGCTTTGAAACTTCCTGAATTAGCTGCCAACATTTAAACATTGGAGGATTATGGGAAAGTGACTTTAGAAATAGTTTAGTAGTTTCTCATCAAGCTAAACATGTACTTACCAAATGGACATCTTTGGGAGACCATTATTCTACTTACCACATGTGTAAATTGTATCTCTATAAGAATACATAAGAATTAGACCATTAAAAATGGGAGAGATTTCATATAAATATCCAGAATTTTGCCTTTTTTTTGGAAATCAGATCTGGCCAAACTGGGCTTTAATATCTGTATGGCTGGAATCTGCTGCAGCTCAGTAGCTGCTAATCCTCTATAGAGGGTGTGGGCTTTCTCATTTGCTTCTGTTCCCTTTTCTGCCAGCTTCATTTATTCATGCCACCTGCTTGGTTCCTAGGATATTTAAGTTGCCCATCTCAGTCTTAAATTGTCAAGCCAAGACCCCTGGGACTCTTCCCAACTCATTTTCCTTCTGCCCCACTGCTCCCCAGCCATCCACCTAACTGCTCAGGCTAATGTATACCCTCCACCTAACTAGGAAGACCAGTGTAGGTTAAAGAACAGAGTGGAATTCAAAGTGGCCCCAGCAAGGCTGAACTCCCAGATCCATTAGAGTATTTGAGGAAGCGGTTCGTTGAACTCATAAGCTGAAACAGGCAAGATGAGAAGCAAGGATTTTCATCTTCAGGACTCTTTGCTCTTACCCCAGACCAGAGATTTCTTCGCAGTCCAACCTTAGCCTAGAAGCACCTCTGGCTTCCAGCATGGGGCCAGGCACAGACGGATGCCCAATGAGCATTTGCCAAACCCAAAATGTAGTGTTATACTCTCATCAAGTAATTTAAATGAAGGCTCAATCCCAGTTTGTTTAGCTGTAATGGAGGCAAAGCCATTGAATCCACTTCTTTGTTGGATACTTTAGACAGAGAAAATATATTTGCTCCATGGCCCTCAACCAGTTGCCTAACCCATGCTGGTTATCTCATTAAGATGTGCTACTAATCATTGGAAAGACTGGGCACGGAATACATAAATGGCTTAAATGGCTCATCTCTTCGGCTACCACTAGATTACACAAGAGCAATTTTTTTTGTTTGATTAAGATCTACAGTAACCACTTCACTCTGTTCTAACCCATACTGTTTCCTTTCATCACAGTCTGCCTCCTTTGATTTCACCAGATCTCAAGGCTGACCACTGCCATCTCCTGCCACCCAGTTCTCAGGCTCATTGTTTTCCAACCTCTTTGCAAGTATCCTGTCCAAGCCCCAAGTAACTCCCTTTTGTCTTATACATTCCATGGTGTGACAGACAGCACAGCTGAAGAGCTCCTTGAGGGCTGAGCATGGGAATGAGGAAGAAGTGGATCATGCAATTTAATTTATCCTCAAGTGGAAGCATGCCTCAGTGTTACATAAAAGATCAGAAACCTCCCAAAGAAGAAGCCCCTTCCATCATTGAGAAGGATCCCTAGGAATTACTTCACTGCATAATTAGATTCCCTGTCAAGCTTTCAACATCACACTCTGTCGTATTTAGCAATCTATTTTTCTAATGCTCTACTCTAGGCAGTTGATTGTAAATCTCAGGAAATTAGTCACATAGGAAACATCAGTGTGGCCCAGTGGTGCTGAATGGCCACACTGGCTAAGATGCCATACCCAGTGTCCCCTTGGATTCTCTTGAGACCTTCTCAAAGCAACTCAGGGCAAATATAAACTTGATTTTGACAGAGACAGCTGAATAAAATAGAAACACAAAATCAGCCCATAAGAGAATAGGGAACTGGTAGGTAATTTAACATCAATGCCTCTGATGGTAGGTTATGTAAAAAAATAAAGTTTGGCTTAGTCCTTGCAAATGAAAGAATACTGTGCTTGTGAAGAACAGATGGGTAGCTCTACAATTTTTTACCTTAACAACCTGGGCAAATTAAGGGAGTACTCCTTCTGGGGACCCCACTCTAGATATGGAAGAAAAAGGATTTTGAGGTTATTCAACTTGTACCCTAAGATATGAGGGAAGCATTCTCTCCCTTTCCACAAAATTGTAAGTATCTCTTGTCCTGTAAGTCACTTAATATTATTCATGGAAATCTGGGGAACAATTACAACACTCAAACAAGGAATATTTTAGAAAATGATGGCGATTTTTATGTCCCTACAGGTGAAAGTTAATTTAGAAACACAGCGGTGAGTTACTAAGACTTGCTAATGGTGTTAATTGTAAGCCTTTGATAAAGGATCTAATTAGGTTAATGATAAATTCAGCCCAGCAAGGGTATTTTCAGAACAGTTATTTTCAAAGAAATACACACATACACACACATACATATTTTGTCTAGTGCAGAATATAAAAATGTGCAGGAAAATGAGATGGGGCGTTCTTATGGAATCATAATGATAGCACAAGACCTTATTTTAGAGAGAAAAGATATCCGTGTTTCAAGTTAGGTTTGCAGTAGGTAGCTAACAATAAAACAGCAGGAAAAAAACCCCCAAAAAATCCCAGTGCCTTCAAAGGGTGGAGCCCTTCTAGTAGCTAGAGGGCCCTTTGTTTGCTAAGATCATAATGGGTGGTTTTATGGACTGAATTATGTCTCTCAGATTCATTGTGGAAGCTCTAACCCCCAATATGCCTGAAAGTGATAGGGTCTTTGGGAGGTAATTAAGGTTAAATGAGCTCATAAGGGTGGGACCCTAGTCTGACAGGACTGTGGCCTTATAAAAACAGAAGAGAGAGATGCCCATCCCCCCACCACTTCCCCATCCCCACCACGTACAGACACAGCAAGAAGGTGGCCAGAAGCCAACTCAGCCGACATGTTAATCTTGAACTTCAAGCATCCAGAACTGTGAGAAATAAATTTCTGCTGTTTAAGCCACCCAGTCTGTGGTATCTTGTTATGGCAGCCTGAGCAGATTAAGACAGGTATGCAAGTTTGGAGCCAGAAGCTGGAAGAGCTTGATTTCTCTGAGTAATAAGGGGTTGGGGGTGACAGTGGAGTTGATTCCTGGAGGAAGAGAGGAGCTAGAGAAGTTGCATGCTGTGTTGGGAGGAGAAGAGAGAAGTTATGTTGTCTTTGAGGGAAACACAAGTATCAAATCAGGATTTATCAAATGTGGGTTATAAAGCATGTGATGTAAAAAACCTCTTCAGTCTCTTATGAAATCTTTATATACATATACATATATATATATATATATATATATATATATATATATATATATATATATATATGTATGTATGTATATAAAGAGACAGGGTCTTGCTCTGTCACCCAGGCTGGAGTGCAGTGGCCTGACCATGACTCATTGTAACCTCAAACTCCTAGGCTCAAGCAATCCTCCAGCTTCAGCTTCCCAAATAGCTAGGAGCACAGGTGTGTGCCACCATGCCCAGCTAATTTTTAAAATTTTTATAGAATATATGTTGCCCAGGCTGGTCTCCAACTCCTGGCCTCAAGCAATCCTCCCACCTCAGCCTAAGATAATTTTTAAAACAACAAAAAATTCTGCATGCAACTGGTTTTTCTCATGGCAAATGATGAAGGCTTAGGTCTCTGAATGCTTGGCAAGGGGCTGTGAGAGCATCGCCTGGACAGACAAGGGGTAGCTGGCATCTGGGCCACACATGCACACTGTAGAGGCAGTTGAAATACCCCAGACACCATTCCAACTCTGTGTTGCTCTCTGGAGAAGTTTCTTAGCTTCTTCATGTACAGAGAACATTTTGAAGAAACAAGGATCAAATGATTGCTTCTAATGTCTAATCTTCCATTATCTGTGTCAATCTGGGGAATGACCAAATTTCTATGCAACAGGATCTCTATTCAAAAAAGGGTAGTAATAGTTACTGTTGTTTTTCCCCCCAAAATTGTTAGAATAAATAGATAATATATGTAAGACTGCCCTCTTGAAAGGTATTACTCATTTGTTTTCTACTTTTTATTTTGAATTAATTATAGATTCACAGAAGATTGCAAAGATAGTACAGAGAGATCCCATGTACACTTCATCCAGTTTCCCTCAATGGTTAATCTTACATAACTATAGACAACATCGAAAGCATGGAACTGACATTAGTGCAATGTGTGTATATAGTTCTGTTTTATTTTATCACATGTGTAGATTCACATAACCATATTGAAAACCAAGACACTCAACTATGACGTCAACGCAAAGTTCTCCCAGATGCAACTCCTTTATAGTCATACACCCCCCACCCCCCAATCATCCCAAACCTCTGCCAATAATTAACATGTTCTCCCACCTCTATATTTGTCATTTCTAGAATGTTACATAAATGCCTTTTGAGATTGGCCTTTTCACTCTGCAAAATGCTGTTGAGGTCCATACATGCTGTTATAGCAATCACTTCTTTCCTATTGCTGAGTAGCATTTTATAGTATTGCAGGACATTTTGGTTATTTTCAGCTTTTGGGTGTTACAAATAAAGTTGTATGGATAACCATGCATACGCTTTTGTGTGGATACAAGTTTTTATTTCTCTGGGATAAACACCCAGGAGTGATATGTTAGGTGTATGTTTGGTTTTTAAAGAAACTGTCAAACCACTTTCCAGAGTGTCCATAACTATCTTTCATTTCCACAAGCAATGCATGAGAGATGCTGTTTCTCTGTATCCTTTCCAGCATTTGATATTGCCATTAATTTTTTATACTAATTTTTTAATACTATAAAATGTATTCACGATTTATTCACAATTTGTTTTCAGGACAAACCCCAACATCAACAGCTCATGGAGTAGGCATCTATATCTACAATAAGTAAAACCAATGTTACTACTTTTATTTACCATAGGTATGGGTGCCTTTGTCTCTTCTGTATGTCAAGGTCTCCAGGATTTGAGGGGGATCTAGTCTGCTGGTAAGGCTCAGATTCACATTTGGTTTGGGGAAGACCCAGGATCTAGCCAACTGTGATCTGAGTACCAGGGAAGTCTAATCCACTCTGAAATGCTAAAGAGGAGTCACACTGGCTTGAGGGTCTCGAGACCCCTGTATCTACATTCTCTGAAACCAAATAGAAAGGCCACAGCAGCCCAAACTATGCCTACCTTCAAATGGGCCCAGATTCTCCTCCTAACACACATTAGTGTGTACTCAGCACTTATCTGAATGAGGGCACTGGGGTGACTTGTCCACAACGTCATGCTTGGGTAATTATGATTTACTAACAGCAGGCGGCACCCCTAAGGATTGCATCTTGCAAAGACAGCGACTCCCCATGACTTTGGAAGAAAATCTAACAATATTAAAAGCCCCTTGGGGCACTAAAACTGAAGTTGTGTAATTTGGGCCAATTTTTGTTAAACTGTAAGTGTTTTCTTTGGGTCTGAGTGCTGAAATTTTGAGTTTGCTGAAAGGCCATGTAAGCCATCTAAGGAAGGATTCCTTTGTCTTCTGCTGTTTTCTGAGCCTGTTTCTCCAGCCTTCCTGACCATTCCCTGAGCTATCCAATAGCCTTTCAAGAAATTCCTGTTGAGTTAGCCAGAGTTGCTTTCTGTTTCTGGCATCCAAAAATGGATGGAAGGGCCACACTTAAACATTAGATTATCAAATGCAGGAACATTCCTAAAAGATTTTCCAGAGTAAGAATGAAATGGTGCAGCAGAGATGGCCAGTTGCCTCCCTGTGTCCACTCTACACTGATTTGTATTCTCCCTGCTGCCGGGAATAAACAGCTACTCTACATTTCCAAGACTTTCTTTGTCTTGAAATTCTGGCCAATGAGATTCAAGTGGATTTGTGTGGGACTTCCAGGAAGATTCTTTCTGGGAGTACAGACATATCCTTATGAATCCTTCCCACTTTGTGCTGCCTAGAATTCCAACCCTACAGTTGGAACATGCTACGAATGGAGGAGCAGTAAGAAAAAAGGAATTGGGGCCTTTGATGATGACCGCTGAGCTACTACACCAGCCCCGGACTGCCTCTATCCAGACTGCTTTCATGTGATATAAAACAAACTTATATCTTGCTTATACCTTTGTTAATTTGGCTTTTCCTTTCTATCTAGTCAATTCTTTTTTTTTTTTTTTTTTTAAGACAGTGTCCCTTCCCGGGAAGTTCAAGCAATTCTGGTGCCTTGGCCTCACAAGTAGCTGGAATTATAGGCACCTGACACCATGCCCAGCTAATTTTTGTATTTTTAGTAGAGATGGGGTTTTGCCATGTTGCCCAGGCTGGCCTCGAACTCCTGAGCTCAAGTGATCCACCCACCTTGGCCTCCCAAAGTGCTGGGATTACAGGCATGAGCCACTGCACCCGGCTGTCAATTCTAATTTTTAACTAAAGTGAAGAAATGGATTCTGGAGAGAATCTGGGGTCCAGTGGTTTCCTAGGATTGAGAAGAATGCACCAGTTGATTTCCAGCTTCTACACTTGTATCTACTTCAAAATTGTGGTAGCTACTAGCCCTGTCACTAGATGTTGTTACTTAGTATGCTAATATATTTTGATAATACTATTTTGAAACAATTGATTTCATTTATAATCCTATTTATTTCGCTTTATGTATATAAAAACATTATTTTGGGAAGAGGTCTGTGGGCTTCACCCACTTACCAGAGGGACATATGGTCACAAACCCCGGGTTGACAGGGTCACCTGCAGTGCTATCAGCATAGGAACATGCAGTTCTTCACATGAGCACCAGAGCAGGAAATCGCCATATTTTAAAGCCCATTTCCCCATTTTAAGATCAGGTGCCTAAGATAACCTACCTGGTACAATGCCTGGGACACAGAAAGCTCTCAGTAAATGCCTGACATCACTTCCTTTTCTGGTGAGCTTGAATGGAAGAGTTCAGACTTCAATTCCACAATAATTGGCTTAATTCACAGTAGGGGAGGCAGCTCCTCTGAGTTCACTATACATACCTCAAAGGTCAGCGTGAGAATGTTGAAAAGTGTTTCCCAGATCTGGCCAGAACTCTCAATCTCTCAAGAAAGTAAATAGACGTCTTTTGGGTCTGTGGGGACGATCTGCATCCTAGCTGATAGATGCCTTCCCTACAGGCTCCATATTACCCCTACTAAACAAAGAGGATGGGGAGAGAGACAAGAGGCTGGGCTGGGAGACCTGGCTTGTGGCCATGTTTCAGCACGTGAGACTTTCCAAACACTTGCTTCTGGGTGCCATGAACAATGAAACAGATGCATTCAAAGAAATGGCCATGCACTTAAACACATGATAATTTTTTTAAAATTTCACATCTACTTTTTAAGCCCTTAAAGACTATATCATCAATGTTTATTTGACTGATGCATCTTATTATTGCATGGGGAAAAGTGAACCATCACTGAAGGAAATCGGAAGCCAAGGGTTCTTTCGTTGAGATAAAATATAAGATTGATCGTAAAATTAACAAATTAAATTAACAAATTAAGAAATAATACTGGTATAAGTCAATGTACCAAATCACTTCCCTCTGTCACGTCTTACTCTGCCTCTTGAGCATAAAATCATCAGGGCTGTAACACTCAGTGAAATATGGCAAGGATGAGAGGACAGGGCTCTGGGCCACCTGTCACCTGCCTGTCCTGGCTGGGCTGCTGAGAGGAACCCCAGTTATCATGTGAGGCCTGCCCTGACACCCTAGAGTAGTGGGCACAGGACACTTTGGCATGCCTTACAAGTTCTGTTCCTGTACTTCTAATCTTTCTTATCCATCTCCACAACTTCAAATGACAGGTGAACCATTGAGAAAACATGGTTAGGAAAAGGTAAATACAATCTTTTAAATATTCCTCTTTTTAATTCTTCCTCCCTGACCCAAACTTCAGTCCCAAATATGAAAATACGAGACTACACTTAATGAACATTTGTGCCAGGCACTGTGTCAGGCACTTTTTGTATGCCATCCTTTAATACAGCAATTGTATTATTTTATTTTATTTTACTTTGAGTTCTGGGATATGTGTGTGGAATGTACAGGTTTGTTATATAGTTATACATATGCCATGGTGATTTGCTGCACCTATCAACCCATCATCTAGGTTTAAAGCCCCACATGCATTAGGTCCTAATGCTCTCCCTCCCCTTGCCTCCCTCAACCAACAGGCCTTGGTGTATGATGTTCCCCTCCCTGTGTCCATGTGTTCTCATTGTTCAACTCCCACTTATGAGTGAGAACATGTGGTATTTGGTTTTCTGTTCCTGTGTTAGTATGCTGAGAATGATGGTTTCTAGCTTCATCCATGCCCCTGCAAAGGACATGAGCTCATTATTTTTTATGGCTGCATAGTATTCCATGTTGTATATATGCCACATTTTCTTTATCTAGTCTACCATTGATGGGCATTTGGGTGTGTTCCAAGTCTTTGCTATTATAAATAGTGCTGCAATAAACATACATGTGCATGTGTCTTTATGGTAGAATGATTTATAATCCTTTGGGTATATACCCAGTAATGTGATCGTACAGCAATTGTATTAGGTCATACTATTATTATCCCTGTTTTATAGATGAGGAAACAGAGGACCAGAGAGCCTAGGTTACTGTCCTAAAGATGACAAAGCTAGAGAGGGCAGAGGTGGCTTGGAAGTAGGGCCTTCCCTCTAAGCCCATGCTGTTAACAATTGCACTGACTGCCTGTCTCCAGGATCTCTGACATCTTGGTGCTGCGATAGAGCTTGGCTCTGGTGCTGCCCATATAACCCGCAGAATCAGCTGGTAGTTGATGCTCACAGGTTAGAGTTGTCAGACTCTCGTTATTTCTATCTGGGAACGATAGCACCATGGCCTTGAAAATGGGTCTTTATATAGTACATGCCCCTTGAATATTAAATTACCCAACAGAAAAATGGAGGATTCTGATTTATTGGGTAAAAAGTCATCAAGATTTTACAGTATTGTTTTAATACCTTGGTTCTCTTTTATCTTAGCTTCTATCCTTTTTTTTTTCTTTTCTCTGACTTCTCTAATCTCAAACTTTAGGCAGGGTTTATGCTTTTTAGTTCCTTCTCCCTCTTTTTTCATGTAGCTCACATTTGGGCTGCTCTGGCAATCTGGGTATCCCATGTAGGATGACCTGATAGCAACAAGAGCTACCATTTTTGAGCATCAAATACACACTGGGTATTCTAACGAGATTATTTTGCTTAATCCTTACTACAATGCTGACTAGGAGAGTGGGCTGGATCAGACTGAAAAGCTTTGACAGAGCTCACAGAAGTAGCAGGTCTGAGACTCAAAATACCTCTCACTTTATACCTCTTTCCCTTGGCCACAGTGCATTCCTTCTTGTGAACAAGGAAGCTGACTTTCTTCTTCCTTCTTGTTGAATATCTGTCTGGTTGAGGAATCAGGAATCCTTCCCTGCTTCCTTCTTCAATTAGATAGCTATTGCCTCTCCTGCCAGCCAAAGGAAGTAGGGATGTTTTGGTAATTTGGACAACCTTGGGAATATATGTATTTTTAAGCCTGGACATCGCATCATGGCTGGAGACGTAGGGTGGGGTAAGTCTGACGTTTATGGGAGCCCCAAGTTTGACCCTATAACATCTGCAGTGCAGGGCTAGCCAGATAGAGGCCATGGGGCTATTCTGGGGGCTAGATGAGGCCCAGTGTGCTGTGGGCTTTCAGAGCTGTGGCCTTTCGGGCTAAAACAAGAACTTTCCCATTTAGCTAATTGAACACCTTTGCTACACACTGTAATGCACACAGCAGGGGAGAACACCTCATCTGATGCGCACATGAATTTAAAAGGGAAAATGATGACAGAGGGTTTAATGGAGCGGACAGTGCCGCAGTCTAGCAGCAATTCCAAAGCCTGGGCCTAATGAAAGCTCTCAGCCAACATAGAAAGTGCCTGTGATTCAGCTCTCTGTTCCCATTTCCCCTGAGGTACTGGGGCTTCCATTAAATGCTGATGTGTCCTGATTATTACAGAGTGTGGAGAGAGAAAGGAAGGGCAGGAAGGCTGAAAGAGAACCTTTACACCTGACCTATCTGTTCTTGAAGATACTGCTTATTTATTTCTGAACCAGTAGCCAATTCCCACTATGGGTCAGAAGGCCTAGGCTTGAGAACGGGTGTTAGGTCAAGAAGAGCCAAATTTTCTCGAACTCCTGGCTTTAGGCAATTCTCCTGCCTCAGCCTCCCAAAGCACTGGGTTTACAGGTGTGAGGCACTGCACCCGGCCAAGCCAACTCTAAATACCTATTTTCAGCTCTTACAGGCACTGATTTTTGAGGCAAGGGCATTTCCTTCTCAGTTTGTTGCTCTTCCTCCTCCCTTGTTCTAGTGGACTGCTCTTTGCCATGGGGGAGACACAGATGGCCCAGAAGTTCCTGAATGGAGTGGTGGCAGGGAAGGTGCTGGTGTGACCACAGCCAAGCACTCTGCCTCCTAAGGTCTTGTCAGCATTGGGTGAGGTCCATTCATGTTGGGAACCTTCAGATGTTAGCAACCATCTGTCTCCGGGGAAAATTTCAACTCTGATAGCAGTGATATGAAGAGAAAGCACCATCATTATTCCACACTGGTACAAAAGCTAGGTCTCAGCAGGCTGAGTGGACTCCACTGTCCACCAAAAACTCCTGGCCACAGCCCATGTCTTAACTCACTAGCCCTTAGAGCAATCCAATCCCTTATTCCAGTGTCTAACTTCACAAGAATCCTTCCAGATTTCCTTCCAGAATCCTTAGTGACCCACTCAAGGTCTACTTTGCATCAGAGGCTTGTCAGGGGCCAGAATTCCAGTCTCACAGCATCAGGCTCAGGCTTTGTGAACTGACTGCTCTGCCCTAATTACTAAACGGCGACACCCAGAAACAGCGAACACCTTTGTCCACGAGCCTCTGTGTTATTTATCATTTGAAATACACTTGCAATGTGGATGCCAATTATCCATTCCTTCTCTCCAGAGCAAAGCCCATTACTAATATGAGAAGGCTGAGGTCCTGGCTCTGAGTCACTTTATTACACTCCTGTGTTCATTCTCTGCAGGGTGCAAACTCAATGCACAGGGAGTGGTGGGCACTCAAAGGCCTCCTCAGTGAAAGAGGACAGAGCAGCAGGGGCGGACCCGCTCTTGTTTCTGTGGACTGTGGCATCATTTATACAACGCAGATTTCAGAGGAGAGATATAAGCCTTTAGTTTTTTCAGAGGCTTCAGGGAAAGTGGATAGACTTTTAGCCCCTTGTCTATTTTAGGTAAAGTTAAAAGATGCATCACTGAAAAGAAGAGATATCTAGATGTCAAAGTTACTTTTTAAGTGTGATTCTAAACCAGATGGACAGGAAAGTGTTTTTGCGTGGATGAAACCAACAATACGGAAACTCAAACACTGAACAGATCAGGCTCACTGTTCTCCTTATTCTCATTCACATCCCCCCACTCCCACCCAATACATACCATCAAGTTCTAGGGTCCCAGCAGAAAAACAAACTTCTGAGGTCACCCATTGGGCCTTTCATGGACAGGAAGCTGAAGAATCTCAAACCTGGCTGCACATTAGAACCACCCAGAAGCTTTAAAAACTATTGATGTACCTTAACATAATCAAGGCCATCAATGACAAGCTCCCAGCTAACATACTCGATGGTGAAAATCTAAAAGCTTTCCCTCTAAGACTAGGAAGACTCTTGTCATTTCTATTCAGGATAGTACTGAAAGTCCTAGCCAGAGCAATTAGGCAAAAAAAGAAAGAAAGGGAATCAAAATCAGAAAGAAAGAAGTAAAACAAGAGTATGTTTCTGCAGGTGACATGATCTTACATATAGAAAATTCTAAAGATGTCACCAAAAAATGTTAGAATACATGAGTTCAGCAACGTGACAGCATACAAAATCAAGAGACAAAAATTAGTTGTGTTTCTACACAGTAATAATGAAGTATTGGAAAAGAAATTATTGAAACAATCCTACTTACAATAGCATCAAAAAGAATAAACTAGGAATAAATTTAACACAGAAGGTAAAAGATTTGTATGTTGAAAACTATAAAACTCTGATGAAAGAAATGGAAGATGGCAAATAAATGGCAAGATATATTGTATTCATGGATTGAAAGAATTATATTGTCAAAATGTCAATGCTACTCAAACAGATCTACAGAGTCAATGTAATCCCTATCAAAGTTCCAATGTTATTTCTCACAGAAATAGAAGAAACAATCCTAAAATCTGTATGGAACAACAAAAGACCCTGAGTAGCTAAAGTAACCTTGAGCAAGAAGAAGAAAGCTGGAGACTTCCTGATTTCAAATTATATTACAAAGCTATAGTAATTGAAATAGCATAGTACTGGCATAAACACAGATATGTAGACCAACGGAACAGAATAGAGAGCCCAGAAATAAACCCATGCTTATACAGTCAACTGATCTTTGATAAAGGCACCAAGAGTACCCCATAAGGAAAGGATAGTCTCTTCAATAAATGGTGTTGGGAAAGCTGGATATTCATATGCAAAAGAATGAAATTGGAACCTCCTTTTGCACCACAGATAAAAATCAACTTAAAATGGATTAAAGACTTAAATGTAAGTTCAGAACTATAAAACTGTAAAAACAGTAAAGCTTTAAAACTGTATGTGTATACTTATGTACATACATACACACACACATATATGCACATATTGGAATTTTGTTCAGCCTTTAAAAAGAAAGAAATCCTTCCCTTTGTAACAACATGAATGAACCTGGAAGGCATTATGTTAAGTGAAATAGGCCAGACATGAAAAGACAAATATTGCACAAACTCACCGATATGTGAAATCTGAAAAGTTGAACTCATAGAAAGAGAGAGTAGTTAAGAGTGGTTACCAGGAATTGAGGGATGGGGGGAGATGTTGGTCAAAGGGCACAAACTTTTGGTTATAAGATGATAAGTTCTGGAGATCTAATATTCAGCATGGTAACTATAGTTAATAATATTGTACTGTACTGTATACTTGAAACTTGCTGAGAGTAAGTGTTCTCATCATACACACATGAAAGATGTTAATTAGCTCGATTGTGGTAATCATTTCACAATGTACACATATATCAAACCTTCAAGTTGTACATATTAAATGTATATAATTTTTACTTGTCAGTCATACCTCAATAAAGCTGAAAAAAATAAGAATAAAAACTCTCAATGCTGTGTCTCTTGTCCAGAGAATCTGATTTGATTGATGTGGGGTAAATCCAAGCATGAGTGTTTTCAGGGTATGGGGGAGGTGGTAAACTTACTAAAAAGTGTTTGTGAAAAAGTGTAACATTCATATAGTAACATGCACAAATATTAAGCACTCAGTTTAACAAATTTTACAATTCAAAAATTCATTAAAAACCTCCACCCAGCTCAAGATATAGAATGTCATTAGCACTCCAGAAGCCTCAGCACAGGATTTTAAAAATTAAACTTTAAAACAAAAATTAAAACTCTTCAAATTGCAAGAGTACAACAATGACCTCAGCAAAGTTATTTTTAAAGCTTTTCATTTTTAATTTTAATTTGCAGACAGAATTGAATGAAATATATGTTTTTTTTGCCACACTTCTGGCCATGGAAAGCCTTTAGTAAAGCATGGGCATAAGGTTTTCATATTGACATTACTCATTTCGTAACCTGGTCATTATTTCTCAAGGTGTTGTCAACATAAAAGTTGATGTCAGCCTCCGACATTTAATTTTGTTGTGTCGTCATTGTTTTTTGTAACTTTTCATGCATTGTTTATGATTCCCAACTTTCCCTCATTCTAGTTATATATGAATTAATTAGCCCTTGTAGCTATAAACAAGAAGTATCTTAAGTGTACTTTGGAAAAAGGAAAGTGGTGATCATGCTTATTCTTTGTGGGTTGGCCACTGACTGACCGGTGACAAGGCAGGAGAGAAAATCTGGAACCATCCAGAGTTCAAGGGCAGGGATGTGTGAAAGGCAGAGTCAGAGGAACTGAATTCCTAGTGAGAAAAAAAACTAAAAATAAAAACAGTCATGCCCGGGCTTGGTGGACACACGGACACACGTAGGCTGCAGAAGCCAGTGTGAGTTACGTGTTTAAGAAGGCCAGCAGGTGAAATTCTGAGCGATATGATGGGAAGGGAGGACCAGGAAAGAGACAGCCATTAACCAGGGAGACAAGGGGCTCCAGAGAGCAAGCTCAGCGAGAGCCAAGGAGCAAGGCTCTCATCAGAGGCTGAAAAGAGAACAAGGCTGGCCTGAAGGCCGGCTAAGAAGGTATTAAAAAAAAAAAAAGAAAAAGAGAGAGAGAGAGAAAAAAAAGCACTTCAGCTGCTGTATAAATTTGCCAGGTTGAGCCCTCTGTGAGTAGTTGGCAGAGATGATAAGTGGGGCAGCACTTCTGGCTACCTACCTGGAGCAGCCCTTATTTGAATATGCACAAAGAGTATGAATGGATAGACTAGCAGTGGCTCTGGAGCAATGATGGGTAAAGCTGGACTCTGCATTTCCTATTCACCTTCTTAAACATAGTTCCTATAAAGCAATTCCTGAGTGGCTTTTCCACTTGAACCAGTGAGTTGAGTGGGGCATGAGTTAGATGCTGCTCTACCGAGGAAGGTTCTGAGGGTGGCTGAGGTCCTGAGATCTCAAATTAAAAAAAAAAAATCTTGAATTCCTTGGATGGTGGCAGAAGACAAGTCTCATGGTGGATATGGGGACCTGCCTGTATGAGGGCATCTCTGGCCCATAAGTGACCTAAGAGTTTAAAAATGAAAAACCCACCACTTGAGCTTGGCACCCTGAACTCAATGTAAATGTTCAGCAAAGAAGTTCTCTTCAGGCCAAGTAACCAATTCCTTATATCTTGCTTTTGTTGTTGTTAAATACGACTTCAGTTTTCATGTAACTTTTCAGGTTCATCAAAAGAAAGCGTGTGACATGATTTTGTAACTCAGCATGTTAAAACTCAGTTAAAAAAACAAGTTAAAGACATCTAAATACTAAAGTCTATGTCTGATTTTAGCAATGAGTCAATTTCACCAAGGTTGTTCCCTAACAGAACTGTGTTTTATAATGAAATATTACCATGTTCTAAAACAAAAGCAGAGAAATAAAAAATGAGCAAAGAATGAGTTTTTGAAATCTAATTTTTTAGATTAGAGCAGAGAGTGAGTTTCTGAAGTCATGTGGTTTTAATTTATACGGTATTCCTATTTTGCAAACTTTAGCCTGTTTGGGCACATGTGCACGTGTGTGTGCATGTACACACACACACACACACACACACACACACACACACGCAACCAGAACACTTCTCTCCCCTTTCCTGATATATTGAATTTGATTTCTGGATTCAATTGACCTTTCCATGCATTTCACTGCTTATAGATGAAGCAACTTGGAGCTTTTGGCTTCTGAGGGGTATTGCTCAGAAACATGCAACATGTACAGGTTTCTGAGGCAGCAGAAACAGTAAGAGCTTAGGAGAAACTGAGGAGGGGATCTGGGAGTGTGGACAGGTGGAGTCACCTCTAAAGTTCTGCAGTTCAACAGGCCATACAACAGGAGTTTTCCTGCTCCCATTCCAGTTCTGAGTTGCCAGAAGAGGTGGGGCTGATGTGGAGCTGAGCTTTGGACTGAGCCCACAAGAGTTGAGTAAAGGTGCTTCTGTGTGTTTGATATGTATGGCAGTCCCAAGAACAACTATAAGTCATGTTGTCTTATATGCTGCTGCTGATCTGTGTATCCTCCCACCTCTACTTAGGGTAGGAGAGGCAGAGGGGAGAGGAATCCCCAGCATTGATAGCACAGAGGAAACAAATGAAAGAGATTACTTTAAACACAGTAAAATGCAATAGTACACTATGATGCTGTGATTATAATAAGAAACATATGTGTTCGTCGTCATTCATGGTTCCTGACACTTCTATTTCCTGGGAATTTCCTGGGTAATAGGAGCATCTTTTATTCTAACGAGACAACTGTTGGTGGGCTCCTGAGTGGGACTGGTCACCAGAAAGACCAAGCCATGATCATAAGCTTGGAGCTTTCAGCTCCACCCCCATCCTCCAGGAAGGGGAGAGGGGCTGGGGATTGAGTTAATAATCAATCATACCTAATCAATCATGCCTATAGAAACCTCTATAAAAATCCCTGAACTATGGAGTTTGGAGAGCTTTTGGGTTGTTGAACATGTGGAGGCACTGGGATGGTGGTGAGGCGGAGAACTCATGAAAGCCCCTCACCTCTTCCCACATACCTTGCCCTGTGTTTCTCTTCACCTGGCTGTTCATCTACATCCTTTGCCATATCCTTTGCCATAAACTGGTGAATGAGAGTTGTTTCCCTGAGTTCTGTGAGCCATTCTAGCAAATGATCAAACCTGAGGGTGGGGGGTATAGGAACCTCCCATTTATAGCTGGTCAGTCAGAAGTTCCAGAGGCCTGGACTTACAATTGGCCTCTGAAATGGGGGGCAGTCTTGTGGGACTGAGCCCTTAATCTGTGCCATTTGACTCCAACCCCAAGTAACATAGTGTCAGAATTGAGTTAAATTGTAGCACACCCAGCTGTTGGAGAATTGGTCAGTGGGAGAAAACACCCCACACATTTTGGTGACCAGAAATCTTGTGAAAGCACAGCAGAGGAAAATATTTTCCCCCCATTACATTCATATAACCAGAAGGGCATTTGATACAGTCTTACTTTATACAGATCTCTACACAGAGGGGAAAAACTCCTGGACACTATGAAAGGGAGAAACATGATGATGAGTAGTTTTTCTCAAAGTGGCCCTTAGAAGAGAGGAAGAAGATGGGAATGGAGCCTGAAGCAAAATGAAGTGACTGCCCAGCTGGGGCAAGGCCAGCCTCTTACCGTAGTGCGGGATGATGGCCCAGGCCATGGCAGAGGCGTAGATGCCACCGATCATCCAGAACATGCAGAGCCAGCTCAAGTGTTCGCCCCGCTTTTCCCGGGCCAGGACTTCAGCAAAGTACGAGAACACAGTGGGTATGGCTCCTCCAATCCTGCCAAGAGGTACAGAGAATACATGAAATCAGGGTGTGGACAGCTCATGTGAGACGCAAAGGGCAGAGCCAAAGCAAACTCTAACAACACATGCTTTCTCCCTATCCCAGCATATCAACAAACATATATTTTCTATTATTTTACAATGTAAAAATTATAGTCTCTGTATTTAATATAGGTTTATTATGCCTCCAAAAAGTTGAACCTGCAATTAAGCTATGTTACCAAGAGGTGGCAGTGGTGTTTGTCTCAGGTGGTTGATAGAGCTTAACATGAGATTCCGTTGGCTTTTCAGCTCATGGTTGTGTTTTGTGTGATATTTATCAAAACTTACATTGATTTCCTATAATCTAGTGAATATTTTAATTAACTTGTTTTTAAAAACTGATGCTGTGCCATGTCCCATTCCTGATGTGGGGACTTTGGAAACAGCTTCAAACACCTCTAGGGTACTGTCTGCAATCTGTATTTACTCACTGCTACCCCACAGCAGCACTAAATTAGGTTAATGTGTTGACAAACATTAGTTGAAATGACTCACGGGGTCATTTCCAAGATTAGCTCTAGTCCCAATCCAGTAGATATTACTGCTAAATAAGTAAACATGAAAGGGACACTTGTAGAATAAAATAAGGAGCTGGTGGTTTAGATATCAATAGAATGGAATATAATGCTTCCTTTCAGTAGGAGCTAGTTATACAAGCTGCTGACTGAGCTCTGGGGAGATGACAGAAACAGTGACCTCTACCCAGGGTAAGGGTGCTCAAATGAGGGTTTATGGAATCAAAATAGTGCTCATTTTTAGGAGATGGGCCATAGATTTCATCAGAATTTCAAATAGGTCTTGGCCCTAAAACTTTAGGAACCACTGCCTCAAAAAGCAAGGTAGTAAAGAAAAATATTACTATCACTCCAAGCAATATGTGAATTTTAAAGTATTTGTTTAAAAAGACACACAACATAAGTACATTGTCGAGATGACACAAAATCTAATAGAGTTAGGAAGTGTGCACTGATTCATTTTTGTTCAGATTTCTGTAAGGTAAATTGCTATTGACATTTCATGCAAATTTGATGTCAAGGACTAAAGCATGTTTATTTATTTAGCAATAACTGATTTTCTTAGAGCCTTTGATATGATAAAGAAGTATTGGCAGTGTTCTTAACAAATGCAATTTAGGGAAAGGTCATTTTGGCAGCAAACTAGTGTACCAAATAAACCACGGGATTTACAATGTCATCCTGCATCAACTGGTAGGTGAAAATATGGCACCATTTCATGTATTTGCCTCTGTTTAAAGTGATGCCATAGTTACGCATCAGTGGACATGGGAAGACCACTTAGGCTGGTGCTTTTCAATCTATGGGTTGCAAAATTTAGTTTAGTAGCTATAAACGGTAAAGAGCATTTTAAAAAATGAGATAGTGATAAAAATATTTAAGTGCAACCTAAGTAATAAGGATAAGCATAAGTATCATTTCATGAAATTTGTGTTATAAATGTATTTGTAATGTATAATATACATATATAAAATATATAATGGGTCACAGTGTGTTTCTTAGTGGGAGTTCCTGTTCAAAGAGTTTAAAATTCACAAACTTTAGGCATCTATATCAGTTTCTCTGGGCTATGACAGCAGTGGTTCTACCTAAAATTCTTAGAGGTGTGACTCAACCTGTCTTCAGATTTAGCACCATCACACACAGAGGCAGCCAACCAAGTCCAAGTCCATAACCAAACCCTCAAACAAGAAACAAATGCATGTGGTGGGGGCTCAGAGCTGGCTCTATACTGCACCGTATTAGACTCATACAATTCTCTTGCCTGGGCTTCTTGAGGAGCTCATACAATGGATAGCTAGTTGAATTTTATTTTATTTTATTTTTATTTTTTGATGGAATGCAGATAGTAAAATTGAAAGACATCATTTAATTAATCTTCTGTGCCATGAGACTCCACCAGGCTGTCTACAAAGACCACTGGGAGGCTGAAGATCACTTGAATCCAGGAGTTTGAGGCTGTAGTGAGCCTTAAAGGGCCACTGCACTCCAGCCTGGGTGACAGAGTGAGGCCCTTTCAAGGGGTAAGCTGCATGCTTGCTTGCTATCTGTGATCATTAAAAGCCCTGAAAACAAATATCACATATTAACCATGACAAAAAACAAATGTGTGATGCTTATTGGTATAGTAAGCTAGTTGAATTTTAAAACTCAACAATATTTTGAACAGATTATAAGTGGTTTCATTATAACACACAATCCTAGTATGAAATAAAATATCTGTGTCACAAATAATTTAATACTACTCCTTTTCTTCATTTGATGTGAAGAATCCGTTTCTCTGCACCATAAAATCCCAGCTTAACTTCTCAATGCATAAAAATAGTCCTAGTTTTTACTGACTTTTCACTTCCTCATTAATGTTTCATCAGGACTCTGGACATCCTCTTAATAGCTATAACTTAAGCTTCATGAAGGCACTATTGTATGTCAGGATATGCCAGACCCTCTGGACCAAGATAAAGGTACTTCGGTGTGGCTATAATTTCTTTCTTTCTTTTTTTTTTTTGCAGTGTGGCTATAATTTCAAGTGGAAGACTGTAGATTTGCCTGTTAGTTTTCAACAAATCATTGTTACATAAGAAAACACCAACTTGTAGGGGCTTCTAGGCAATCTGGCTGGTTTTTATTCAATGCCTCTTTTGCACGTGGTTATTTTTTCTGGATGTCTCTCAATACTTGTTTGTAAAGCAGGCTGCAAGGAAGTGCTAAGGAATACTAAGGGATAAGTGAGTCTGAAGAATTAGAGAAGGCTTCTATTTAAATCCTTTGCAAAGTTATTTAGACTCAGCGATATATAAAACAATCCAAGCATTCACATTTCTTATTGTGGGCTGATGATATATTTTGGGGAAAAAATTACTCCTTGTCCTACTGTGATGTCCTTTAAACAGAGAAGAAACTATTACTATTACTAGTGTTTCACACCCCATAAACCCCTTGAAGGTAGGGACTTTATCATATTCATTCTTGAGTCCCCATTAACTGGCCCAGTGGACATGTGCTAAGTGTTTACGCAAAAGAACTGAATTTCCCAGACTCTTCAATGTTGTAGTTGGCATACCAAGTCTCCTGGAGTAATCTGTTCTCATGATTTAAAGATCTCCAGTGAATAGAAAGATACACCTCACTTTCTGAACCAATATGACCATAATAGAAGTTGAGGGTGCTAGACTGAAAGTTTTGACAGCAATGGAGCCCCCAAAGGGTTCCTGAGTTGCTCTATGCCTTAGTTGCTGTGGTCACCCCTTGACCAAATGACCTGACGGTCCTTGTTGTGGAGAGAGCTCCCTTGGAACTGCTCAGGGGACACTGGGCAATCCCACTGGGCATTCCAGGAGCTTCTATAACACCTGTGAGCATTTCAGAAAAAGGTTGCAGATGCTATAATGATCATCAGAAAAATGTTTAGGGAAGAGATAAAGCAAGGGCTTTCAGGTCTTACAACATAATTTGGTTCCTCTGGTAAGTTTTGAAGATAAGAAAAATCTGCCACTCCCCAACCCCCAAATCTTATAAATTAAAAAGAAGTTTCCCATTATGATTCTACCTCAATATTGCATGTGAGGGGTTAAAAATTTCCTTATTTGTTGTTTTTTGTTTGTTTATTACACTAAGATACAATTTCTGAAAATATATGAAGAAATTAAAAAAATGTAAATGAAAGTCCTTAAATTCCCATGTATCAGTAGGTCTTAAATAGAGCTGATTTTGCTCCTCTTTGCTCCCTGAAGATATCTGGCAATGTCTGGAGACCTTTAGGTTGTCATACCTTGGGGGCTGCTGCTGACATCTAGAGGGTAGAGGCCAGAGACGCTGCTAAACACCCTACAACTCACAGAACAGCTCCTTACAAAAAAGAACTATCCAGTCCAAAATATTAATAGCGCTAGGGTTGGGAAAGTTTTGCAGTGGGGGGCTAATGTGGAAAATATAATTGGTTTTATATAAAAGTCCATAATATAAGACACAAATATCTTTTACATTAACTGATGGGCAACACATCCTTAAATCCAGTTTACGTGGAGACCTTAGTGTTCGTTATAGAATGATCAGTTAGCTACTGTTGAAATCTGTTCAAGTTCATTTTTTTCAAGTTATATTTAATGGAACATTTACATAAATGAAGCAATGAGATCAGAGTGGCTTATAAAGAATTTTTCTCAGTATTGGATATTAAGTCTATTTTATTAGCTGTCAAAAATGTCAAATCTTAATTATCCTTGGTAATAAGAGGCACAGAAGGAATAATAATAGAAATTCACACTCTACGTAGGTGTGAGATTAGCCAGATTCAAAATAACTTAATTTATACAAATGAAATAGAATGTTAATATTTGGAATTTCAGAGTTGGAGTTATTCCTTAAGAAATATTAGTGCTAGGTTTTTGCAACTTTAATTATACAAATATAAAGAAACTAAAACATTCTGTATTAAACACATTTCTAGAATGAATCAGAATCTCCCCAATGCACAGGCAAGCAGACACAGACACACACACACATACACACACACACACACACACGCACAACACCTCAATAGGTCTGCACATGACTCAATACTAGGCATCTGGTAAATATCATGAAATATATTCATTTATTTTCCCCAATAATCTAAGGCAAATTCACAAGTGGCATATTGTGCAAGGCAAAGAATGTGTTAGCATTACAGACCAAATTTCTCCTCTGCTGGGAAATGTGAGGCACACAAGTTAAACCAGTTTAGCACAACAGGATGACAGAGTATGCCAAGTCTTCCTGTATGCACAAACCTCATTGGGAAACTGGGAAGCCTGACTGTGAATTTCACAGCCACGCCTCGTCTTACTCCAGTTCAGCTGGCAACCCAGTGGGGATTATGTTTGTTGCTGTGCTTCATCACACTGATGTACGCTGTTTCAGGCAAAGGTGGGGAGGGGTTTAGGTTTCTTCAATGAAAGAGGGAGGTTATAGATAAAAAGAGTAATTGTACTTAAAATGGCTTGAAGCATGGCATTTTAGAGAGAAATTATGGAATGTTTGATGATTCTTTGTCTTGAGAAGGGATTCTACTGAGTAATTCTATTCTGCTTTAATTTTCTAGCTAGTATGTAACAAAGAATAATTCATTCTAACTTATTTCACCATATAATTGTCAAGCAGCCCTTTACCTCAATCTTCCATTTCCCATTTCCACTGGAAGATGGGACATTCTGCAAGAACATAATTAAGGAGAAAGTTGAATAATCATTGTAAAGTCACATGTTCAATACAAATAATAAACAGAGGGCAGAGTCTACCAAGAGCTGACTCTGGCAGCTTTTATAAGACAAGTATTATAGGATTATAAAAAGATTAGTGAATGGTCTGGCCTATGTCAGGAATCACAATTACAAATAACTTGCATGAAAAATATTCTTTTAATTCTTACTCGGAATCAACAAAAAGGAGAGAAGACACTGAACTGTCAGGCAAATTGCAAAGCAATTCAGAGCCAATTTATTATGTTATAAATTGGACCCAGAAATAAGGGATTAGAGCAGCAGTCCAAAGATGAACCTTTCAGTCTCTTCCACTTTATGAAAGTAAATAGAGTATCACAGACCTTGGGGAGATTGCTCAGAGGCTTAGATGAAAGAGCACACACCTAACACTCTTTCTGAATAGGCTAGGTTGGCACAGAAAATAAGGTTGCTATATAGATCAGAAGGCACATGTTTGCTATCAGTGATAAAGATAGAAATGGGAGAAAAACACATACTGGTAACCTAACTCATCATCAAATCAAGAACAAGAATTTCCTTTGCCCAGTGGCAATGCCAAAGGATGGATGATTTGGGTAGCTTTAGTCTTCAATTTCCAAAGCCACAATTTGAAAAATAATATTCTTCGATATATGAAGTTGTCATTTTCTAAATATTATGTAAACTATGAATAGAATAATGAGTAGAAAATTTGGTTATTTAAAAAATATTGATCTTTAAGTATATAATTTGTGGGGAAAACTGCATTGCCAAGAAAACAGCTGCAATTCAACTCCCTTAGCCCTGGTTTGCTATCAGATTGGTGGCCTAACCCCCTAAAACTGTGGAGGTCTATGCATCCACAGTAGCAGACTTAGTACCACTGAGGGAAGTGGGGTAGTCATGGATCAAGACTTTAATACTGTCTTGAAAAAAAATTAGCTATTGATAGAGTTGGAAGAATGCCTTCCCATAGCATCTAAAGGTGCCATGAATAAAGATGGTGATGATCATTATGATGTTCTATAATTAATGATAGAACATGCAGATGTATCTAGCCTCTTGCTGTATACATTTCCTCATCCATTCCTGCACTCATCCTCCCACCCACCCTTCATTTACCCATTATCCACCCATTATCCCTCTATCCACCCCCTCACCCAATCAAACTCTGGGCCAGGCACATCACCAGTTGTTGGAGGTGCAGGCATGAAGCACACAAATTCCTGCTGTGGGCTCCAGAGAGTGAATTCTAAAGAGTGCATATGGCTAATTTTTCACAATTATACACTGTGGGTCTGGAAGATCTTTTGTTCTGTTCCTTCTCCTTTGTGATCAATAGTACCTTTGCTAAAGGGTATACTGGGAAACAAAATGTGTCCAAAAGGTCAGCCTTTTTGTTGGAAAGTAAAAAGCATTGCCTAAGACAGTGCTTTCCAATAGAAAATGTGAGCCACGTATGTAATTTTAAATTTTTCCAGAAGAGACATTAAAACAAAACAATCACGTAAAGTTAATTTTAATATATAGTCATTTAACCCAATATATGTAAAATATTATTTTAACGTGTAATCAATGTAAAATTATTGAGATATTTTGCATTCTTTTATATGTTCTAGGTCTTTGAAATCCACTGCTATGTATTTTATACCTACAACACATCTCAACTTGGACTAGTCACATTTCAAGTGCTTGGTAGCTACATGAAGCTAGTGGTTACCATGTTGGACAACGCAGCTCTAAGAAAACACTGACACACTGTTTACAATTTGGGTTTTATATTATTTTTGGATTAAAGATAATCTTGACTGTTGCCTCATTTTACATATTGGGGAAGGTCTTTCCCTTCTGATGCTCTGGGGCCAGAGATATTTTTGGACTGATCTGTTCAAACACGTATGAGCACATATCATGTATACGTTGTGCCATATGAAATCAGAGACATTTCTGGTTGAGTCTGAAGCACAGCACAGCCTGATGGTTATGAGCATGGGCCCTGGAGCCAGACTGCCTGGGTATGAAACCTGATTACATTACTTATTGTGTGACCTCAGATAGGAACTTAACCTCTCTGTACTTCAACTTCCTCATTTATGACATACAGTTAAGATATATGAATAATGAATAGCATCTTTCTCATCGGGTCACTGATGAGAGTCAATATTTACTAATATAAAGTGCTGAACACAGCATCTCTCACGCGGCAAGCACTATAGAGGTGTTTGATAAAATACATTTTAAAAGTCTTAAACAATTTTAAATGACTGCATTTTTCCAATATGATTATTTTAAGAAAAAGACTACTTTGAAGGGAAAAACCTCATAGCTCAGAATCAGACCAAAATTCAGAAGACTGGGTGTCTGTTGAATATTTGGAAGCAATAATCAATCCGTGCCTCAATTTTCTTTTTCTTTCTTTTTTTTTTTTTTTTTTTTTGAGATGGAGTCTCGCTCTGTCGCCCAGGCTGGAGTGCAGTGGCGCGAGCTCAGCTCACTGCAAGCTCCGCCTCCCAGGTTCGCCATTCTCCTGCCTCAGCCTCCCGAGTGGCTGGGACTACAGGCGCCTGCCACCACGCCTGGCTAATTTTTTGTATTTTTAGTAGAGACGGGGTTTCACCATGTTAGCCAGGATGGTCTCGATCTCCTGACCTCGTGATCCGCCCACCTCAGCCTCCCAAAGTGCTGGGATTACAGGCATGAGCCACCGTACCCGGCCTCTGTGCCTCAATTTTCTAATAAAAAAGGCACACAATTTTTACATGACAAATTATTTAAAACAATTGTGGAAATAAATGGGATGCTACATATAAAGCATTCTGAATAATTCCAGTTAATGGTGATGATTTCTACAAAGCCAAGGTATTCTTACTATAACTCAATACAGCTAATGAATGAATATTGCAAATAGCTATGAAGTACACATTTGGTAGGCTCTATTCACAGAGGAAGAAATTACTATTCTTTCATTTACGATATACAGACACGTTGAAATTTCATTTTAATTTCTGTTGCTATTATATTTTTCTCCTGACCTTCCTGCTTAGCAGTGCCAGGCCCTCAGTGAGAAGCTCCCGACTCTGATATTGCCTAGCATCCAAAGTACTATCATTCCCATAATTAACAGTGACTGGCTACAAATAATTTAATTCTGGGTCAAATGAAAATGAATCAATGGTGCCAACTCCATTTCCCATCTTTCTAATTTTCTATAACAAAAGAGGGGAGGAAAGTGTCTGTTTCTTGGTGTGAGATTCGTTTAGGAAAGTGATAGACAGATGAGTAATTGGTGATGTCCTAGTCCTCCTTCCCACACAACGCTGTTGTCCCCAGGCAGGAAAATCATTCATTGTACCGAATAAACATTTAAAGTCATATACAATATGTCAGCTGGACATATTTGTGTTTCTAAGAAGATATGCTCATGACTTGGTTTGATGAATTAAGAGGAAAGCACATTTGGAGACAATAAAAATATAAACCCAAGTAGATCTCAGTTTAAAACAAGAGCTTGGCCAGGTGCAGCAGCTCATGCCTGCAATCCCAGCACTTTGGAAAGCCAAGGCTAGGAGGATTACTTGAATCCAGGAGTTTGAAACCAGCCTTGGCAACATAGGGAGACCTTGTTTGTACAAAACATTTTTAAAAGTTAGCTGGGTGTGGTGGCATGCATCTGTGGTCCCAGCTACTCAGGATGCTGAGGTAGGAGGATCACTTGAGCCCAGGAGGTCAAGGCTGCAGTGAGCCATGATCGCACCACTGCATTCCAGCCTGGGTGACAGAGTGAGATCCCATCTCAAAAAACAAAATAAAACAAAAAATAAAATAAAAAAGAACTCCTTCCAGTCCCCTTTATTTGCAGAGACAGTGCTGCTAATGATGCTTCAGCAATGAAATAAGACACAGCAACTGGAAATCTGTAGCATTTTTGATAAAATCAACACACAGACAGGTAAACCTTGGATTCAGAATGTACATTTTACTTATTTACAGAGTTGCAAGTTTAAAATGACTTTAATTGCAATTTAAGTCCTAGCTGAGTTATTCCTGGTTCCACCACTGCACCTCAATCTGCAAAATGAAAAGTTTGGACTCTCTGAACTAGAACTTCTCTTTGTTCTAAAATTCCTAGTAAATGGAGCTGATGGACAGGCCCTGTACCAATTAAATGTGGGGATTCTGTACCAATGTGGGAATTCTGCCAGCTGCTGAGTAGGTCTGTTCCAATTATGCAGTCCAGAACTGTGGAATCAGGCACGGGATGGATTCAGTGCCTGACTCACTGGGCCCACTGTGAAACAGACCTGAGCTAAAACACCATTGATTACCTGCCTTCCATAAGCCCCTGCTCTGACTGGTTGACCACAGTGACATTTTGTGTCTCCTGGAATTAGTGTCAGTTTAGAGCCAGTGTCCACAAGCCCTGAGAAGACTGATTATTTCCTTTCTCCCATGCACACTCATCCTGGTAAAAGGCCTTCAGTCCCTTTGGGGAAGCTGGGAGAAAGACTAACAGTATAAATATTTAGCTGGGTACAAAGATCCTTCTTCAAGGAGGCCCAGCCTCCCCTTCATTCAGTTGGTTCTGGGTCTGTAAAGCAGCTCCAGTCTGGGAATGATGGAGGGGACATGACTCAAGTTAGATTTTCATTCACTAGTCATATAAGTTTTCTACTTATACAGATCAAGTAAGAATTGAGTAGGCTTCCTATCTATTTCACTTCATGATTAACTAGCCAATGACACAGATGGCTGCAAGTCAGACTATGCTGGTTGCTGCTTGAACTCCACTGTCTTTTACAATACCCATGCCCACTCTGCCATGGGCGATTAAGCAATGTTGAACAAGACGACAGTCCCAGCCCTTTGGAATTTACATGCTGGTGGAGGAGAGAAAGAAGAACATAAGAAGTAAATATTTTCAGGCATCAGTTGTAAGTGCTGCCAAGGAGACAAAACAGGAAACTCTCTGAGACCCACTGGGTGTGTGGTCTCAGGAAACGCCTCTGGGAAGCTGTGAGTGGGAGGGCCCTGGGAGAAGAAGCTTCAAAGCAGAAAGGATGGCAAGTACTGTACTCCTAGGAAATGCGTGGAGTGCGGGGGCCTATGTGCACCAGAGGCCCACAAAAGAAACATTCCCAACATTTTGGAATGTTATTTCACGTAGTTTTTCTCAATTTAAAAACTGGACCAGATATGGTTGGAGGGAGTTGTTTAAGTAGATAAAACATGGTCTTTTATTTAAGGTCTCTAGGATGAGAATCTTAATTCTCTGGCTTAAGTTTTAATAAAGAAAGTTTAAATAAAAAAAAGAATATATAAAACTTCAGCTGCTTCTGTACTGAGTTAATAAGTAATAGGAATGAAGGGTTTAAATACGATATGCCTTTGAAAACAAGAGGATCATTGAAATAGAAATTTTCTTATTCCAATGTTATTATTGTTTTCTCCCTCCTCTTTGAGATTCCCAAGCCCCTTGTGCCCTCTTTTCAGGCTCTAATTCCTGGAAGGTGGGAACTGGAAGAGCTGCCTGTCTGTACAGACTGTAAGCAACTTGAGGTGAGGGCTCAGCTATATCCATGAAAGTCCTTGCATGGTTCCAGTGAGTAGAGTAGGTGTTACAATGTTTTTTGAGTTGAATTGGAATGGAATTGGAGAAAAAGAGACTTTGATGAGACTCCTCAGAGATTCAGAAACAGAGTTCCCAGATAAACTCTAGACTGTTGAGAAAAACCCTGGGCCATGAAGGTAGCATTTCACAAAGCAAGCAAAAGTAAAATAGCCCATAAACTTTGGTGAAGAAGAAAAATATTGCAATGGTCAATTTTACATGTTAACTTGACTGGATTAAGGGATACCTAGACAGCTGGTGTCTTAGTCCATTTTTGTTGCTATAAAGGAATACCTGAGGTGGGGCAGTTTATAAAGAAAAGGGGTTTATTTGGCCATGGTTCTGTTGGCTGGAAGACTGGGCATCTGGTGATGGCCTCAGGATGCTTCCACTCAGGAGAGAGGGCAAAGGGGAGCTGGCATGTGCAGAGAACACACAGTGAGAGAGGAAGCAAAAGAGAGGGCTGGGGGGTGCCAGGCCTATTTTTAAACAACCAGCTCTCATGAGAACTAATAGAGCAATAACTCACTCACATTAATCTATTCATGATAGATCCACCTCCAAGACCTAAAAACCTCCCATCAGGCCCCACCTCCAACACCGGGGATCAAATTTCAACGTAAGATTTGGAAAGGTCAAAAATCCAAACTATAGCAGCTAGTAAAGCATTATTTCTGGGTGCGTCTGTGAGGGTGTTTCTGGAGGAGATGGGCATGCAAATTGGTAAACTGAGTGGAGAAGTTCTGCCCTCAGGGGTGGGTGGGCACCATCCAATCGGTTGTGAACCTGGAGAGAACAAAAAGGCAGAGGAAATTCTAATTTGCAGTCTCTCGGAGCTGGGACATCCTTCCTCTCCTGTCCTTGGACAACAGATCCCCAGGTTCTCTGGCCTTTGGACTTTGGGACTTGCACTAGCAGCACCCTGAGTTATTAGGCCTTTAGCCTTGGAATGAGAGTTATATTATCAGCTTCCCTGGTTCTGAGGCCTTCAAACTTATACTGAGCCATGCTACTGGCATCCCAGCATTTCCAGCTTGCAGAAGGCCTGCCATGGGACTCCTCAGCCTCCATAATTGTGTGAGCCGTTGCCTTAATTAGTCCTGTCTCATATCTATCTATCTATCTATCTATCTATCTGCCTGTCTATCTATTCTATCCATTCTTTCCTATTGGTTCTCTCTCTCTGGAGAATGCTGACCAATATAGATTTCTTCCCTCATTTTCCTTAATAACTTCATTTCTCAGGTCCTGTCAGCCGCTGGATCCCACAAAACTCTGCAGAGATTTTGCCACCTGGACTAAGGTAACTAAGCTCACATGACTCCCCCCTCAGCCCTGTCCCCAGCCTAGGTACTCACCATTTATTATAGAGATTAACTTGATTTATGCTTGATTTTACTTGCCATGTTTTCTCCCAAATATTTTGTCCCTGATTAGGCCTTTCTGTTTCTTGCATGGGCCAGACTTGAAATTTAAAAAGCCAGAAAGGAGTCTCTTTCTGCCTCCTCCCCTGCTGTCACTCCAAGGCAATCAACATAGAACAGCTTAGCAAAATGTATGTGAGGAGGAACAAAGGAGATAAGAAATGCCAAACTATGAGTGAGTGTTTCTAAACATTATCCTACATTATCTTCTCTACCTTGTACTTTCAATACATCATCTCATTTGATCTTCACACTCCAAGGTAACAATGCAAAGTCCTAATGTCTTCTTTTACAAAAGAAAAAGCAGGCAGGAGAGCCTGCATGACTTTCCTAAGACTCCATGATAATGGGCAGGAGTAGGGCACACCTGGATTTCTTGATTCCCAGCCCCCGGGAGTCCTGACCTGTTGGCTGAAGAATGATTTGTCTGCAGTAGGAATGAGGATAATATCAAGAATACATCTAAGTTGTCTCTGCTTTTATGTTGCCCTTGAATTCGCTTCTGGACAGGCCATTGGTTTGGAATATTTTGCAGCCACCACAGTGGACCTTTTTCTCTACAGTCTGTTGGGACGACCATGTCTCAATCCAGATTGGCAATTAAAATTGCCACAATAATTTGACCACAGTCATGTACTTTTGGGTCTTTGGATATTGCTTCAATTTCCCAAAAAAGATTGCAAACTGAAAGGACTGGAAAATTCAGCGCTTATGCTGTTAGCCTTCTGTTGACAGGCTAGTGGTTTTATTATAGATAATAAAAGGGAGAAGGAAGCTTGGCCTTTCCTGGTGGCAAGAATATCTTATCCTATGGACCTACTCACTGAGAAGGTCCTTTAACTAATAGCCCCAAGTAACATCTGTTCTTCATTCATTCATTCAATCATTCAACATTTAGGTCTGCTGAAACCCTTTGAGTCCATAATCCAAAATCCATCTTCAAGTCAGCAGCGTATGTAGCCAGTCTCACAGAAACTGAGCACCAAGGGGCTCCCCTGTGGAGAAAAAGCCTCCTCTCCCCTTTCTCCGTTGCTACAAAGCAAATGATTGATTCTGAACATTTTTTTTTCCCCAAGAACAAAATATTTTACACTTTCCCAAACTCTCCAGCCATCTTGGTTTACTGAAATGCACTGTCTTCACTCTAAGGAAAGCTCCTAAAATTTGTGCAACTTAGTCAAGTATTTGCTAAGTGCTCATTGTGTGCAGAATGTAGCATAGGAGCTGTGGGAAATGCTACTATACATAATTAAGAAAGACATGCTATAGTCCTCTGACCTCTTTTCACAAAACTGTGTTCTGCTTTGTAGGTTGTGGTGATGTATCACTAACAACCACAACTGATAGCTTTTAAAGTTTATAACCCAGCCCCGTTTCCCTCATTTTCTTCATTTATGTTTAAAAATTGTATATTATTCCTACAGATTCATTTTGTGTTAGACATCTTGAAAAAAAAGTCTCTAAGTTCTTAATCATGAATCAAAAATTTTATATATAGATATATTTAACTTTTAAGTTCAGGGGAACATGTGCAGATTTGTTATAGAGGTAAACTTGTGTCGTGGGGGTTTGTTGTACAGATTATTTTGTCACCCAGGCATTAAGCCTAGTACCCATTCGTTATAAAAATTTTATATTTTTACTATGTTTTTTTCTTATTGAAGCAAAGTTTCTCATATATTCCTTATTCAGCTATTAGGTTTTTCTATGCTTATGGATTCATTTAGTATAGTTATAAGTGCTTTAAGCTCTTTAAAGAAAATGAACATCGGCTACACTCTACCACTGCATTTGGGTAATAGCACAACTTCTGTTAATTCAACAGAAGTCAGGAACTTACTAAAAATTACGTCTCAAGGAGGCTTTCTACCAAGTTAAATATGCCAAGTTAACATAGACCAATAAAAGTGCATTTATTTGAGACACTCTAATCCTGAATTTAAGAGCATGCTTGAATGGCTCAAACCTTTAATTAGTTCATAACAGGTAGGACGAGAGCTATTTCCTACTTATGTTAAATTTTCAGAAGCAGCATATATGTGTGAATGTGTTCTACCATAGAAACAGCATTCCATTTAAAACAATACTCTTCTTCTAGAAGTAATAATCAGCTATGAAAACATAGGTGTGTGTTCCCTTCTGTCCTGTATTTAAAGGTTGATAATTATATTTCTAAGAACCAGCATTGTGGTTTCCAGGGCTGACATGAGGATATGGAAGGAGATGTGTGAAGGGATAATTTCCTCCCAATAAGGTTCTCTAGAGTGGAGAATTATGAAGAATAAACACATTACTATAAAATATGAAGGAGAAAACCTTACCCGAATCCAGAAAGTAAGCGACAGAAGAGAAAGAAGCCATAACCTTGGACAAATGAAGAAAGGAAGGCAAAGAATCCGTTGACAGACATGCAAATCAGAAGAGACTGTTTCCTTCCCACTTTGTCTGCCAGTCCTCCCCAGAAGAACGCCCCCACCATCATCCCGAGGTACACTATGCTGCCTGCAACACACAGAAAACAAAGAAACACATCAGAGGTTGGGAGTCAATGACACATGTAACAGCAAGTGAACAAGGAACAAAATACATTCCAGCATTTTGCATGAGGAAAATTTCCTTTAAAAATATAACCTTCAGGACACAGTAATCAGTTTTCAAGTTGAAGAGTAAGCAATATGGAAAAAACACTTGGCAAGGTCTCACGACCCTCACATCAATAATGCAGGGATGCTGTTTTGCAGATAGCTGAGTACACTCAGCTACAGTGAATGGTGAATGTTGTGAGCAATTGTAAAATAAAAGCTGTCTTTATTTAGGCTGGGTTACTACAGAGAATAGGGTGGTCAACCTTTGCCTGGGTGTGGAGGGTATATTTTTCTCTGTACTATGGTGCTGACTATGGACAGATCATCCTTCTCAATGGAGATTCCTCCTGTCATGAGACCCAGTGTGTGTCCTGGAGACAATTTAGAGAATGTATAAGTGCAGCACGAGGGATTCCAAAAGCAGAAGGATTGACCCAGGGAAATGCCTATGTAGCAGATCTCTTATTTACAGCATAAGAGGCTCAAGTTTGCCGCTCATGCCTCTCAGAAGATAATCACTAGCTAAGCATCTTTATAAGAATATCTGTGTCTTTTAAAATGCCTACAAATCAGAAAGTGAGCTTTTATAGATCAGGAGCGGCCTGTGGATGCTGTGATCTAAAGACTTGGGAGTCTTTCATATAGCTCCAGCCCAGGGAACAAAGCCTCGCCTATCCCCTTCTCCTTATGTCTTTCAGAACTGCCCCCACCCAGCCCCTGAGCCCTGGGGTAAGCCACCTTGATGGCAACAGTAAACCAAGATCTCTTGTGGTCCACCTGAATTATCTGACTACAGAAAGCATGAGTAACACAAAGACAAGCTGTCTGCATTCAATCAATAACCACTTATTATCTTTTAAAGATAATAGTAAACAACAGCCCCTGGTACTACTTTCACTGAGTGAGCATCTGTTTGTGCCAGGCACTCTTTGAGGAACATTCCATATGTTGGTTCACTTAATCCTCACCACAGTCCTGCAAAGTGAGTATTATTAACCCATTTTACAGATGAGAAAACTGAGGCTCAGACAGATTATTCAACTTGATCTAACAGACAGTAAGTGGCTAGCCAGGGTTGTGAAATGATGTTTCTCTGACTAAAGCCTGGGGGTCTTTCTCAGGGCTGATATTCCATTTCACCAGGCTCAACTGCCCTGGCCTCTCCACTGGGAAGTCCTGGACTTTCCCTTGATCCAGTAACTAAAGGGTTAAAACCTGATGCTATAGGGTAAACCTTAGAGCTATAAACATGCTATTTTGATTCCCTGGCTATCCTTGTTATTAATTATTTTGAATATTTCCACTGTTCTTTCTGCTAAGCTCAACTTGGGAGCCCCTGTTATGTGCAAACCAGAAACCAGGTGATGTGAAGCAAAGTCTTTAGCTGGGTGTTAATTTCTGCTTGAGCTCAACCCTGTTGTGTTTAAAGAAAATGCATCTGAGATCTTGGGGCAAGGCAGGTTAACCAAGATTCCTACTGCCCCCTAGACTATCACCATCCACTGCTTTCTGCATTCCTCCTACCACCTTTCCCTGAAGGCATTTGGACTTTCAGACCCCTGAGAATATGGGATTTACAGTCTGGGGAAAGTGGCTTATCAAAAACGAAGGCAGAATGGCCTCCTGGGATCATAGGATCAGAACAGAACAAAGTGTAAACTCATGTACCTGTGCTCCAAGTCATCCAAATTTTTTTCCTACTCTGTCAGGATGGCTTAAGGAGCTCGTAATTCAGAGAAGGACAAAAACAGATACAAAACTAAATGAGCTCAAGCCCAACCATGTGGTGTGCACCCGAACAGCAGTGTAAATAGGAGCAGAGGGGCAGAAGGTGGCTACTAATTCTCACGTGGCCTCTGGGAAGATTTTACTAACAAGAGAACATCAGAGGGGAATCCGAAGGATAAGAAAGATTTCAAAATGGTATTAAATTCCTCCATGACTGACACAGTTAGTATAAAAAATGTCATATCAAACTGTATCTTTACTTGCACTCTGTTTAAAAATATTTTTAAGATCTAAAGGTAGTAATCTTTTGTGACTACACTTAGTTTGTATTGAAAACTAAACTGTTCCATTGGGCATTCTGTGGAAAGAATTAATCCTACCCAACAGCTTATTGGAGACAAACACAGCACAATTAGAAGGTTCATTTGTGGATTGTGTGATCTAATTAAAGCCAAACCTTTAAATGTTGGCAAAGGCATCAGGTGAATAATTGTAACCACTCTGGGATTGTCAGACACAAACTGTATTTCCTTCCCTGTTTGCATTCACTTTTCCTTTCTATATTCACAGTGTTATAACGGGGAGTCCTTGAAAACTCAGAGCAGACATCAAGCTCTAGACAATCTCCAGCCTTCTCTCTCTCTGTGCCTTGAGATGCTGCAGACGGGCAGACTTAAAAGGTATCTTCATCCAAAGCCTCTCATTTTACAAGTAAGAAAACAGTTGTCAGAAGTCAGAACTTGAAATCAGGTCTTTTAGATCCTCACTTCTCAAAGTATGACCCATGAACCAGTGAAACCAGTCCCTCCCTCCCTTGCCCTGGGGAGCTTACTGGAAATGTAGACTCTTAGACGCCACTCCAAACCCACTGACTCAAAGTCTGCATTTGAATAAGACCCCCAAGTAATCTGTGTATACCTTAGAATCTGAGGGTGCTTTCCAATAACACAGACAACATTTCTAATACATTTTTAACTTAAAGTTTGTATTTTTTTAAATACATGTTTGAGGGGAGGAGATGAAGGCTACAGAGTATTTTAACTCCAAAGATGTGAAACAGGCAAGACCTGCTAGATGAGCTGGAGCTCTCAAAAGGGCAAGCAGGAGCTGTGGAATTAGAAGCTGCTCACCTCCCCTGGGACCTGCCTTCCACAGAACTAGAAGCTGACTTTCCATTCAATTCCAGGAAAGCGATGTTAAAAGAGGCCAGGCTGTGACTCTTGTGTCCTTTCATGAATTTAATGAAGACTTTAATTCAGCTGGGATTTCAGGAGGTTGAACCTGACCTGAGAAATAAACTCAACTTACTCTTCCTACCATAGTTCTGGTGAAGGCCATTCCTGGCCAGTCCAGGCTCTTAGTCTTTCAGAAGATGACACAAAGGCCTCAAGTATGACTTCCTCATTAAGGTATTTTCTGACATGGAGGCTGGTTCCATTTTATTTAATCATACCCTCATTTCCCCTGATAAATATCACATTTACATTTCTGTCTCTTTGCTAAGCTGCTTTAGATTCTTTCTGACAATCCCTAAGGGGACATGTCTTTTCCCCCAACACCATTTTAAACCATATTTAAACAAAACAGAACAACTTTAGGAAATGATATATAGTGTTTTTCTCATACCAACTTTTAGTCCATCAGTTTTTAAAAATTATCTTAAGCACTTCAGTAATGCATGGCTAATGCATTACTCTAGAATTCCTTGCACCATTTATTTATAAACTGATTTTCAATGAAAAACATTCTGTATTAGTATTCCGAATTCACTGATGATAAGGTTTGGGTCTGTGTCCCTGCCCAAATCTCATGTCAAATTGTAATTCCCAATGTTGGAGGTGGGACCTGGGAGGTGATTAGACCATGGGGGTAGATTTCCCTTTTGCTTTTCAAGATCTGGTTGTTTAAAAGTGTGTAGCACCTCCCTCTTCTCTCTCTTCCTTCTGTTCCAGACATGTAAGACATGCCTGCTTCCCCTTTGCCTTCCACCATGATTGTAAGTTTCCTGAGGCCTCCCCAGCCACGCTTCCTGTACAGCCTGCAGAACTGTGAGCTAATTAAACCTCTCTTCTTTATAAATTAGTCCGTCTCACGTATTTCTTTACAGCAGTGTGAGAATTGACTTACACAATTGATAATGTCCATGAGGTGACAATCACAATCACTTTTTATATGCAGATCTTCTTAGGTTAAAACAAAATTTTTGAGTCAAAGAAAAATAAAAGTAGATTTTTGTTGAATGATAAGGACATTTCTGGAAATGGTTGAAAAGAATAATATGGACTGACATTAAATAAAGCTTTGTTACTCAAATAATGCTTCATTTTTTTAGATGTTATTACTTCTTTCATAAGAAGTAGGTGCATTTGTTTTCCCAAAGGTAGAGTTTCTTCCACAAATCTGAGGTGTGTCTACAATAGAGGCCCAGTGACACACAATCTCTCCTTGACCAAACCCTAGTCTTTGGACCACTCTTCTCAACTAGACTATGAAGTATGGACTTCTGTGTTCATTTCTGCATTGCCCAATTTTAGCAAGAATCCTGCCAAGTCAGCGAATCCCCGACTCTAGATGGCTGGTTGTCTTCAATATCTGATCAGATCCCCTGGGCAATATCTGATCACCCTGCTCTGTCTTCAGCAAGAATCCAGTTAGGTCAACTTACCCAAAGTCTTCTTTACCCCTAATGTTTCCTCTTGGTAATTTTCTGATGAGACTGGGTGCATTCAGGGTGATATGGCGGTAGATCCCTCTTGGTAATTTTCTATCCACTAACTCTCCCACCCTGGACCTTGGCTCTAAATTCACACTTTTCCTTTTTGTACTAGGAGTTGAGCCTGATCTCTCTTTTATACTGCAAAACCCATTGCAGTGGTCCCTAGACCTGTTATGATGGTCCTGACTATGCTTTAACAAGCATTACAAATAATTTTCCCTTTAACATCAGTTGGCCAGTTTTCATTTCACCAACCCAATAAAGTAACCACCCCTCCCACAAACACACCAAAAACCATCACTGCAAGTGTTTTCCTTTCACTCACCCATCTTCCTTCTGCTTCCACCAGCAGCACTTTATGTTTCTGAAGAGTTACCTATGTTTGTACCCAACTTTTTTATGCCAGTTCTGTTTGTTATTAATTATGCATTTAATTTAACACCAATCACATAAATAATGAAATCTGAGTGTGAAAGGAAAGGGAGCTATTTCTATGAAAGTGAATGTAAGAAAGACTTGGGGAAGATGACTTGCAAAAGAAAATCATTGCAATGTGAGCAATACAAAAAAAAAGACTGAGAAAAATCATTAAGATGAAGGATCCTGTGCTCAGATTGAGGCACATGTGTTTTTACGGTCTCACTCCACTTTAAAGAAACTTAAGACTAAAAATCAAAGCTGCAGAATGACTGTAGTGATGCAAAGAAAACAATGGGGAACTCCAGTTTGAAGAGCCCAACTCAAAGGAAAAATCTCTCACTCTGCATCCAAAGATGATCAAACGAATGTATGCTTATAGGTTAAAACACCATATTTACATACATATTTATATTTTTGCATGTTTTCCTGCATTTACCAACTTTTCTACTAACCAACTAATTACCAGACCTGATTTAGTCAGGTAAGGGGGTTTCTACCATGCCTCTGAAGACCCCTAAAAGTATGCTTTGTGCTTAAAGAAATCAGCTACTGGAATAGTCACTGCAAATTGGTTTGTTTTATTACCAAAGGCAACACTGAAAATGATATCCTCTTAAGGTCAATTCTAGGAAGCCAAGGGAAGACCACACTCAGCCAACAATTTTGGGGTTCCAGGAGCAGGGACAACAGGGCAGCAGCTGTGAAAGCTTACACATCAGTGTAAGCTCCGTCTCTCCTATTTCCTCAAAGAGTCATTTTTTTTTTCATTTTATGCTAGAAAAATCCTTGGACAAAGGTGCCAAGGTACCCTGGACTAGCTCTAGTCTCCCTCTAACTATACTTAAGATCTCAGGCCAGTCTTCTAGCTTCCGCCTGTGTCAAATGCTTGGTTTGGGCTAGATGTTGGGTCAGTCAGTCCTGCAAAGTTGGCCCAGCCTTTCCTTTCTGTGTGCATGGGGGTGGGAGTGGGGTGCCTCTCTCCCTTTTTGGCCTCTTATGGACCCTCCCCACCTAATCACTGAGGTGTAAGCTTTCACAGCTGCTGCCCTGTTGTCCCTGCTCCTGGAACCCCAAAATGGTTGGCTGAGTGTGGTCTTCCCTTGGCCAGACTCCATCAGAGTCCATAGAAGGCTGACTCCAGGGACCACTGTCCCTCTCCAGCTGTCCCTGCCCCCCACCCAAGATGCTAAGTAGGCTGTAACATCTCCTTGTTATCCACAATTTGCTATTTTTTGTCATTACTGGTTACAAATTCTGTGTCTGATTAGAAATGATAGCATGAAATCTCAAGCTCAGTACTTGTTCTATTAAATTCTTTCATTAATAGTGCTGAGAAGTGAATCCATTATTAAAGTAATGGGGGTTAAGATGGGGGAAAAATAACTTTATTATTTTTTAAATCAAATGCAGTATGCTTAGTCTTCATTCTACTACCATTTACCACTCTGAACTTTGGGTCAGGTAGCAAATAGTTAAGAGCCTGGGCTCTTAAAACAGATGGCTTAGATCTGAACCCTTCCCCAACCAGTTCCTAGCTGTGTGACCTAGAGTTACTTAAGTTCCTTGTGCTGCCTCAGTTTTCTCCTCTGTATAGTGGGGCTAATAACAGTACCTACTTCACAGGGTTTTGAGAGATTAAATGAGATAAAGTGCTTAGTACTGTGTAAAACACACAGTTGTCCAATAAGCAACAATTATTATTATTATTTTTGAGAGGGGGTCTCACTCTGTCACCCAGGTTAGAGTGCAGGGGCATGATCTCAGCTCACTGCAACCTCTGTCTCCCAGGTTCAAGTGATCCTTCTACCTCAGCCTCCCAAATAGTTGGGACTACAGGTGCGTGCCACCATGTCCAGCTAATTTTTTGTATTTTTCGTAGAGATGGGGTTTCACCATATTGCCCAGGCCTGGTCTCTAACTCCTGAGCTCAAGCAATCCACCTGCCCTTAGCTCCCAAAGTGCTGGGATTACAGGCATGAGTCACTGCACCCGACCAACAATTATTAATATTACTATTGGCATCACGTAAAGAGAAAAGCGGAGAAATAAAATAGTGATGGAAAAGAAAAAGCAGGAATTAAAGAAGATGGATCTGGAATGGTAGAAAAAGTGGAATGACAACTTTTCACCTTCCTTAACTCAAGTTCTGAAAAGAAGATACCTGAAACAGCACTGAAAGAGTAATTTTCTAAATCCCTAAGACATATTTTTTTTTTTTTTTGCAATTTGAAACTATTTAAATACATAATTAATAGGCTTCTAAAACTGATCCCTCACTTTTTCAATTACTATTTTTAGTAGCCACAAGTAGGGGCCATTATGTGTTCAAAAGCATCTGTGGACTTTCACAAAATCAAATAAAAGCAAAGAAAGTAATAACATCAAAGGCATATGTACAAAGGGGGGAAAACCTTTCTAATTTGCATGAGAGAATATTTACCACAAAAGCCAGCTCTTCTTAGCTAGAAAGAACTGTAAATATCAGATGCAGTCTATAGCATATCTTTGACTTTTACCTTAGGGAAGTCTGACATTTAAGTTTGCTGGTCCAAGCAGAGACCAAACATGGGCAGATAATGCCATGTCAAGCAATAGTGCTACTTGTTACCTAAGTTCACCTGGGCACTAAAAAGCACATGCGGGCCTAAGACAGTTTTCCTGAATCCAATGAGCAAACTGTAGAAGAAGAGGCCTAATAATGAAGCCCAATCTATTCTCTAATGTCGTTCCTCAAATGGCTGTTGTACAGCATGCCCATCAGACAGGGGAGGAGACATTACAGTGTTTTGTGCATGTATGGCTCTGCAGGCCCCCTTGTTATTTGAAGCAATTTTTTAAAAGTCTTAGGAATCAAGAACATTAAAGCGAATCACCTTGTGGTGTACCATGGACATCGCATATCAGTTTAACACCAATGGGATCCCCATCCCTTGCGAGGTTCTCCTACTCCAAGTTCTGTGCTGAGGGAGAAAAGTGGTGATATGCTCTGGCTCTGTGTCCCCACCCAAATCTTACCTCGAATTGTAATAATCCCCATGTGTCAAGGGCAGTACCAGGTGGAAATAATTGAATCATAGGGGTGGTTCCCTCATTCTGTTCTCATGATAGTGAGTGAGTTCTCATGAGATCTGATGATTTTATAAGGGGCTTCCCGCTTTGGTCAGTGCTCATTCTCCTGCTGTCCTGTGAAGAGGTGCCTTCCACCATGATTGTAAGTTTCCTGAGGCCTCCCCATCCCTGTGGAACTGCGAGTCAATTAAATGTCTTTGTTTGTTTGTTTGAGATAAGGTCTCACTTTGTTGCCCAGCCTGGAGTGCAGTGGTGTAACCTTGGCTCACTGCAACCACCGCCTCCTGGATTCAAGCAATTCTCTTGCCTCAGCCTCCTGCATAGCTGGGATCACAGGTGTGTGCCACCATGCCCAGCTACTTTTTGTATTTTTAGTAGAGATGGGGTTTCACCATGTTGGCCAGGCTGGGATCGAACTCCTGATCTCAGGTGATCTGCCTGCCTTGGCCTCCTCAAGTACTGTGATTACAGGCATGAGCCACCATGCCTGGCCAACCTCTTTTCCTTATAAATTACTCAGTCTTGGGTATTTTTTCATAGCAGTGTGAGAATGGACTAATACACTAAATTGGTACTGGGTAGTGAAGCACTGCTCTAAAGATACCCGAAAATGTGGAAACGACTTTGGAACTGGGTACCAGCCAGTTGCTGGAACAGTTTGGAGGGCTCAGAAGAAGACAGGAAGATGTGGGAAGGTTTGGGACTTCTTAGAGACTTGTTGAATGGCTTTGACCAAAATGCTGGTAGTGATATGGACAACGAAGTCCAGGCTGAGGTGGTCTCAAATGAAAATGAAGAACTTCTTGGGAACTAGGGTAAAGGTCACTCTTGCTATGCAAAGAGAATGGTGGCATTTTGCCCCTTCCCTAGAGATATGTGGAATTTTGAACTTGAGAAAGATGATTTAGGGTATCTGGTGGAAGAAGTTTCTAAGCCACAAAGTGTTCAAGAGGAAGCAGAGCATAAAAGTTTGAAAAACTTGCAGCCTGATGATGTGATAGAAAAGAAAAACCCATTTTCTGGGGAGAAATTCAAGCCTGGTGCAGAAATTTGCATAAGTAACAGGAGCTGAATTCAATGGAGATTTCTCCATTGAATCACCAGGACAATGGGGAAAATGTCTCCAGGACATGTGAGAGACCTTCATGGCAGCCTCTCCCATCACAGGCCTGGAGGCCTAGGAGGGAAAAATTGTTTCACCGGCTGCTATGCAGCCTTGGAACATGGTGCCCTGAATCCCAGCTGCTTCAGCTCCAGCTATGGCTAAAAGAGTCCAGATTATAGCTCAGGCTATTGCTTCAGAGAGTGCAAGCCCCAAGCCTTGGTGGCTTACACATGGTGTTGGGCCTGGGGATGCACAGAAGTCAAGAATTAAGGTTGGGGAATCTCTGCCTAGATTTCCAAGGATGTATGGAAACTCCTGGATGTCCAGGCAGATGTTTGCTGCAAGGGCAGAGCCCTCATGGAGAATCTCTGCTAAGGTAGTAAGGAAGGAAAATGTGGGATACAAGCCCCCACACAGAGTCCCCACTGTGGCACTGCCTAACGGAGCTGTGAGAAGAGGGCCACCATCCTCCAGAACCCAGAATGGTAGATCTGCCAACAGCTTGCACCATGTGCCTGGAAAAGCTGCAGACACTCAATGCCAGCCCATGAAAGCAGCAACTGTACCCTGCAAAGCCACAGGGGCAGAGCTGCCCAAGGCTGTGGGAGCCCACCTCTTGTATCAGTGTGACCTGGATGTGAGATATGGAGTCAAAGAAAATCATTTTGGAATGTTAAGGTTTAACTACTGACCTACTGGATTTTGGACTCACATGGGGCCTGTAGCCCCTTCATTTTGGCCAATTTCTCCCATTGGGAATCTGTGTATTTACCCAATTCCTGTAACCCCATTGTATCTAGGAAGTAACTAACTTGCTTTTGATTTTACAGGCTCATAGGAAGAAGGGATTTGCCTTGTCTCAGATGAGACTTTGGACTTGGACCTTTGGGTTAATGCTGAAATGAATTAAGACTTTGGGGGACTGTTGGAAGGGCATGATTGTGTTTTGAAATGTGAGGACATGAGATCTGGGAGGGGCTTGGGGTAGAATGATATGCTTTGGCTCTGTGTCCCCACAGATCTCACCTTGAATTGAAATAATCCCCACGTGTCAAGGGTGGGACCAGGCAGAGATAATTGAATCATGGGAGTGGCTTCCTTCATGCTGTTCTCATGATACTCAGTGAGTTCTCATGAGATCTGAGAGTTTTACAAGGGGCTTCCCCCCTTCGCTCAGCACTCATTCTCTCTCCTGCCGCCCTATGAAGAGGTGCCTTTTGCCATGATTGTAAGTTTCTTGAGACCTCCCCAGCCATGCAGAACTGTGAGTCAATTAAACCTCTTTTCTTTATAAATTATTCAGTCTCAGTTATTTCTTTATAGCAGTATGAGAACGGACTAATACAAGTGGTAATAGACTGAACCTAATCTTCAATAATCCCAATCACTGACTGAACAAATGAAGCAGGTGATCATTAATTCCACAGCTCTTGCTTGAGCTCCTGCTATAAACCAGGCATCTTGCAAAGTATGAGGGTAGGGAGGGAGGAGAGGTCCACAAACTTGAATAGGACACAGTTTTCACTCTCCAGGAGATCACAGCCTAGTGCAGCAAGGTTTCAGACTCTGGCTGCTCACTGGAATCATCTGAAGAGCTTTAAGAAAAACAAAACACTGATGCCAGGCCACACCCAGAGGTTCTTTATCTATAATTTGCTATTTCTTCTCTATCCAAGAGGCAATGTGAAGCTTAACACCAAGGTTTTGGCATAGGGTTCAGATGACAGTATTTCTTAAAAGCTTTCCAAGAAATTCTAATATGAAGCCGGGGCTTTGAACCTTTGGTTTCCTGGGAGATTAAAAACATGCAAAAAGTAATTACCACAGAATGAAACACGTGCTATAATTAAGGTGAGTACATTATGCTTAAGGGGAAAAAAGGAAAGACTACTTAATTAGTTCTAGGGAATTCTGAAAAGCTTCACATACAGGGTGATGGTTGTACTGGGTTTTGAATAATGAATGAGAAGCCTCCAAGTAAAAGGCACTCTCGGAGGAAAGTTCCAAGGGAGGGAAGAATATCATCTTCAAAGGTTTGGAAGTGTGTCAGAGCATAGCACACCAAGAGGACTCTAGGTAGTTCAGGGTAGACGGAATGTGGAATTCATGGGTTGGGGGAGAGTGGCAAGAGAGAAGGCTGGAGGAAAAGTTGGAGTCAACACAAGGAGTTGAGCTTTATCCTTGGGGCAGCTGAAAAACAGACTAGATATTATCTGTTCCTTCAAATATCATTTTAGCAACTGCAAGGATAAACTGCAAGGAGGAAAGATGGAGAGAAGGGGAGGGTAGAGGTGGTGATATACTTTGGATATTTGTCATGCCCAAATCTCATGTTAATTCCAATTTAACATGAGATTTGGATGGGTTTGAGAGCACAAACCCCAGTGCTGGAGGTGGGGCCTGGTGGGAGGTGTTTGGATCATAGGGGTGGATCCTTTATGTCTTGGTGCTGTCTTCAAGATGGTAGGTTCTCAGCTGGGCATGGTGGCTTACACCTGTAATCTCAGCACTTTGGGAGACCAAGGCGGGCAGACCACCTGAGGTCAGGAGTTTGAGACCAGCCTGGCCAACATGGTGAAACCCTGTCTCTACGAAAAATACAAAAAATTAGCCAGGTGTGGTGGCAGGCACCCGTAATCCCAGCTACTCAGGAGGCTTGCTTGAACCTGGGAGGTGGAGGGTGCAGTGAGCCAAGATCATGCCACTGCACTCCAGCCTGGGCAACAAGAGTGAGACTCTGTCTCAAAAAAAAAAAAAAAAAAAAAAATGGTAGGTTCTCATGAGATGTGGTCATTTAAAAGTATGTGGCACCTCCCCCTACTCTCTCTCTCTCTCTCTGTCTCTCTCTCTCTCTCTCACATACACACACACACACACACTCTCTCTCTCAATCCTAGTTTCACCATGTGGCGTGCCTGCTCCCACTTCACCTTCTACCATGATTGGAAGCTTCCTGAGGCCTCCCCAGAAACAGATGCCGCTCTGCTTCCTCTATAGCCTGCAGCATCACGACCCTTTCTTTATAAATTACCCAGTCTCAGGTATTTCTTTATAGCAATGCAGGAATAGCCAAACACAGGGAGGGAGAAAGGCCACCAGGACTAGGGCAGGTCACTGAATCTCCTGAAGTGCCTGGAGCACAAAATTTAAGGAGCCTCACTCTCACGTGCTGGCTCTGAATGTGCACAACTCTGAGAGTGTGTGCTTCCTTTCATCTTACGCCCGAGGCACCTCGCTTTCCTCATTCTAGTACTGACCCTGGAAAAAAGACCAGCTGAAGGACTATCCCTGAGCAAATAACTGTAGTAGGCCAAGGAAGAAATGATGGCCACCTGGTCTAAGGCAAGAAAAAGAGAGCAGGCTTGGAGAAGAGAGAAAAGGCTGTAAGTATTTTCAGTTATCAGAGACCATAGTTGTTGTAAACTGACAGGTGAGGCAAAGAAGAGTTGAAGTTCACATTAAGGATTCCAGCTTGGGATAGGTCATAACAAAATTGATAAAAGAAATACAAGAGGCGGGTAGGTCTGGGGGGTCATGTCTTAAACAAGCGAGGAAGATGTTCACAACAGAAACCCTCATTCTACTCTATGTGAACAGGGCAGGATAGGGCAGAGCAGGCAACACATGCAAATCAATAAAGCAGTGGTCAATACAGCTGACCATCAGGAAATGATTCAGGAGCTTCAAAAAATAAAAATAAAAACCAAGGAGAATATGAACAATGAGAGGATAGGTGGAATGGCATTTTTGCTTTCTTTCAGGACTACACAACAGTCCTGGAGAAGGTCTAACGTAGGAGGCATGAGAAGGTTGGAAAGGTCAGGAGGATAGGTGTCTGGTGGGAATGACTGGGTTTAGTGTGTGGAGAAATATAATTGGGCTGGATGAGTATGAGAAGACTCCTAAATATCAAAGCAAAAGCATTTAAATTACTTATACAGACAATGAGGAGTCACTTATGGGTTCCTGCGTGGGGAAGGAAAGCAATCAAAGCCTGATATTGTTTGGCTGTTTGTCCCCACCCAAATCTCAAGTTGAATTGTAATCCCCACATGTTGAAGGTGGGGCCTGGTGGGAAGTGGTTGATCATGGGGGTGGTTTCTAATGGTTTAGCCCTATCCCCCTAGTGCTGTCTCCTCACAGAGTTCTCACGAGATCTGATGGTTTAAAAGTGCAGCACATCCCCCCTTCCCTCTCTCTCCTGCTCCACCATGGTAAGACATGCTTGCTTGCCCTTCACCTTCTGCCAAGATTGTAAATTTCCCAAGGCCTCCTAGCCATGCTTCCTGTTAAGCTTGTGAAACTATGAGTCAGTTAAAACTCTTTTCTTCATAAATTACCCAGTCTCGGGTAGGTCTTTATAGCAGTGTGAAAACAGACTAATAGAAAGCCCTAGTGTGAAAAGGCAAAGGCACTGTAGAACAGGACTGGCAGACTTTCTGTAAAAGGCCAGATAGTAAATACCTCAGACTCTGTGGGCCATACGGACTCTACTGCAATGACTCAGCTCTGCTGCTGCGGCATGGAACCAGCCATAGACAACATGTAAACAGATGGGTGTGGTTGTGTTCCTACCAACCTTTATCTACAGAATCAGGCAGAGGGTTGGATCGGAGCTGTTGGTTGTCATTTATGGACTCCTGCTTTAGAGGAAGCGTTTGCCTGAGGGTAGGTGTGTATTAATTGAACAGGTAGGGGGATGGCTGAGAGGCAATGGAAAGTGTAACACCAAGGCTGGGGTAAGGAAATGAAGAAACATACTTGGGAGGTGGCAGCATAGCAGGGCAGTTGAGAGCCTTGCGAAATGTGATTTCCCTGCAAGAGTAAGTGAAAGGATATGACCCAGGCTCAAAGGATATGGCCAAGAAGAAGTGAAAGAGTCAACCCTTGAGGATGGTGACATTTAGACGGCAAGAAGGAAAAGAAGTCAGAGGTAAGAAAGTGTGGACAAGGAAATAAGAAGAAGGGTCTGGATAGAGCAGAGAAGACCTCAGAAGAAAAACTGAAGAGGAAAGGCTGCTCAACAGTGTCCACAGCATGAGAGCTCAGAAAAGACCTTTGGGCCCGTCCTGGAAGAGGTCACTGGCAAGGTTGAAGGGGCAGTCTCGGGCCAGGAGGAATGACGAAGGCAGAGAACAGGAGATGAAAGCAGAGGGGGCAGTGAGAGGAGGAGGCCAGGGATGTAGCTAAGTACAACTGCAATTCAGAGGAGCAAGAGGGTACCATGTCACTGGACTGAAAAGAACTGGAACAAATGCGTCAGCACAGGGCATCAGTGAAGACAGAAGAAAAGCATCAAGTATATTAATATGGACATGATTGCCTTGAAACCACAGCCGCAGATGTAATAGACTATAGCAAAGGGCTTATGCTATTGGAAGAGTGGGCTATTTTGGAAGAAAAGTGCTACTATGTGTCTTGTCAGAAAATGCGTGAAAAACAGACTTATGAGAAATATATTAATCTTCTTAAGTTTAAGCATAACTACCTTAAAAAATATTTTTCCAGAAAAGTCTCCTTTATATTAATATCAGCACAGTGAATAAACAAAGCATAAAAATCTAAAAGGAACTGGTATTTTAGAGGAACAGAACAAGAAAACAATTTTTGATCTATGTTCATATTAAATCTTTTGATATTGTACAGCAACAGAAAGGCCTGGAGGGGCAGGGACTCTCACTGCTTAAGTCCGTGCATTTCTAGATGATGGGAACATGATTGTGTATGGCAGGAAAACAGGACTGAAAATGAACTCAAAGATCACACAGTGCTTGATCAACATTCATAGGAAAATAATTGCACAAAGCCTCCAAGATCCCTCTCTTAAAAAATTATCTGTAAGTTTTTTTTCTGTTGTTGTTTTTAAAGTTCAGATGGCAGATATCAAAACAACCAGACTAGATCATAATAGATTCCAGTAAATGTCTAAAGAGAAAATCCAGCAGGCCATTACTGATACTCCTATGTGACCTTTTGTTTCCTGAAACAGGCAGACACCTAAGTTGTCAGCCCAGAGCAGTGAGTGAATAAATAGCGGGATCTACCTTGCACTAATGGATGTTGCCCCTAATCCATTGCTGATGGCAAAGTCGAGGTGAATTCAGGGCAGCACTTCTTGACACTTGAGATTTATTTTGTCATTAGTGATGAAGCATCACACGAGGGCTCCTCGATCCCAAACTGTCAGAAGCACTCTTCGGCATTTTAGGAAAGGTCACCCAGATATTCAGGTGCTGACCTACAGTACTGAAGCTGTTACTTAGTAGCTGATTCTTTTTATTATGACTATTAATGATTTATGTCTAGAATGAGCAGTCAGCCATCCGCTTCTCAGAGAAAAACATGGTCACTTTGAGAGTAAGAAAAAAGTAGGAATTTTAATCAATTATTATATTGTGACTCAAAAACAAGCAAAAAACAATGCTGAATCCATTTTGTTTTCTGCTCTGAAACCTAAGATAAGGCACGTTAAAAACCATTGTATCCTAGAATCCCTAAATGGCCCCTAAGCACACTGCATTCGTTCATTCATTCTTATCCACGAATCCTCATTCAATTAATCATATATGCAACATGCTCCTTTTGCCTTTCATCCAAATCATGTACCTTGAACTTCAACTGCACATTCATAGTGAAGACACCCAGACTACTATAGTTTGCGTGGGTAACTCCTATACATTCTCACCCACATTCTAACTTGCGTTATTTATCAGCATTTCATAAGCATCAGTCCTATCTCTATAATTAATTTTCAATTTGACTCCTGGCAGGAACTATGTATTATGTCATCCTTTTCTGAAACTCCATGAGGCTACACTATTGTAGGCACATTTTGAAAATCAGTAAAACCTCGTTGATTTAATTTAGAAGGTTGAACTCAAACTGCAGTCCTCCTCACATAAAGCTATGCAATTGACAGAACTAACTCAAAAATGAAATTATGACCATAAAATCTTGAGTGTCCCAAGAAAGTATAAGTGGCATACTTGAGACCTTTTGTCTAGAAGAATAATTCCCAAATCCAATCTGCCAAAAAGGCAGGCTCCATGAGACAGTTTCCACCAGCCTGCAGTTAAACAAGAAAAACAAGGAAAATGATATGTCTTTTTCATAAAGATAAATTTATTCAATTTAAAAAAGGTCCTTTAAGAACATGCCCTTCCTATTATTTTAATGTGAACATGCCTTTTGTTTTATAAAATGATAGTGAGTATAAAGAGTAGTGTGCATGTTATTGCAATCATTATTTTTAAATGTTCTTCCTTAGTAAAATAAAGGTGGGCTTCCCTCTGTCAATCTTGCTCATTCTTTTTTTTCAAAATTGGAATTAAAAATCCAAAAGACTGGGAGCCACTGCTATAAAACTCAATGGTGGGAACAATATTTTGGAAATACTACACCTGAAAAAGAAAAGAAATTTACTCTAACATGTAATAGAATGGAGATGTCTCCTGTGTGCATGTTTGGTGACTGTACAACACAGCTGCAAATTCTGCAATGCTCTTCCCATGAAAAGGTGAAGTCTATGTTGCCTCTCCTTGATTCTGGGTAACTGCTTGAATGAATAGTGTATGACAGAAGTGATGCTATGTGACTTTCAAGATTAGGTAATAAAAGGCCATGCAGTTTCCACCTTGTCTACCATAGCACTTGCTTTTGGAGCCCTGAGGCCCCATCTGTACATCTGACTACCCTGAGACTGATATGCTGAAGAGGTCACAGATAGGTGCTCTCACCTACTGTCCCCACTGGGCCCAAAATGCATGAGAAACAGACTTATGAAAAATGTATTTATCTTCTTAAGTTTAAGCATAATTATAAACAATGAAAGTATGGTTTTCTTTTCAGAGAAATCTCCTCTATATCAGCACAGTGAACAAACAAAGCATAAATATCTAAGAGGAACTGGTATTTTAGAGGAACAGAACAAGAAAACAATCTTTCAGCCATTCCTGCCCAGATGTCAGTCATCTTAGACCCTCCAGCAAAATACCACTGAGTGACCTCTGTTTAAACCACCAAGAACAGAAGAATCACCTAGCCAAGCCTTGTCCAAGTTCCAAAGTCACACAGGAGTGTGAGATACAATAAAATGGCTATTGTTTAAAGCCACTAAGATTTTGGATAGTTTGGGACATAATAACACATATCTGGAATAGCATACAGTAGTTCCCCCTTATCTGCGGTTTTGCCTTCAGTGGTTTCAGTTATTCGCAGCCAACCATGGTCTGAAAATATTAAGTTATTTTGAGAGACAGAAATACCATATTTAGGTAACTTTTATTATAGTATATTGTTATAATTATTCTAGTTTATTATTTTATTATCAGTTATTGTTATTAATATCCTACTATGCTGAATTTGTAAGTTGAACTTTACCATGGGTATGTATATATTGAAAAAACAGTATATATAGGGGACGGTACTATCTGCGATTCTAGGTATCACTAGCGGGTCCTGGAACATATAAGGGAAGATCTCTGTACTTCCCAAAACACTGCTGAAAATATTTCATTCACTGGGATACCCAGACTATAAGAAATACAGCATTAAGAATCATATATACAGATTAATATATTTGTATATATTATTTGTATATATTAATATATAATATATTGATTAATATAATTGATTATTAAATATATACACTTCTGTACTTTCTGTTTTTTGTTGTTTTTTTTTTGAGACAGAGTCTCGCTCTGTCGCCCAGGCTGGAGTGCAGTGGCGTGATCTCGGCTCACTGCAAGCTCTGCCTCCCGGGTTCACGCCATTCTCCTGCCTCAGCCTCCCGAGTAGCTGGGACTACAGACGCCCGCCACCGTGCTCGGCTAATTTTTTGTATTTTTAGTAGAGACGGGGTTTCATCATGTTAGCCAGGATGGTCTCGATCTCCTGACCTTGTGATCCATCCACCTCGTTCTCCCAAAGTGCTGGGATTACAGGCGTGAGCCACCTTGCCGGCCTCTACTTTCAGTTTTAAAGAAAATCAAAATGGCTTAATTGCTAATATTTCTTTCAATGCTGCAAATCATTTCAAAAGAACATCAAAAGCAACCTCATTCTACTTTTCCCCCATAATTCCAGCCATAAACTAAACAGTGATTGGGGGTTAGAAAGTTTTCCCTCTTGGTCCTGTCAAGTCTTCTCCAGGCAATCCCAGGAAAGATGTTTTTGGCTTTTGTTTTGTTTTAATGAATAGATTTTAAAAGTAGGGGAAAGATAGGAATTAAGTAAATGGGGACCAGGATTGAAGCAGAGGGTGTTTATGGGTGGTGGTGGTGGGTGATTTGGTTTTAAGATTGGAGAATTGATCATGATGCAAGGAGAAGAAATATGTGGAGTGAACTTTCTCACCAATAAAAATACATTAATTAGCTCTTAGAGGAAAGAGCACAAGGACATAAATTCTGTGTGTCCTGGAGCATGTCACCTACAATATGGCTGATTAATAAAGCTCTGAGACAGGATGAAACAAAACCGCAGCTCTTCTTAGAAAACTGGGTAGCAGATTCACTACCATGGTTTTCTATTTGCACAACCATTCTCCCCCGAACTGAGAACCTCCAGGCCACTTCCTATTTTCCCCATCGGTAATCACTTAAGTCTTGAACATTTAAATCTCAAAACCCAACTTAGACTAAACGTAGTAAACTTTGGCTCCCTGTGTGTGTGTTGGGGTGGGGGGTGAGGGAGAACACCATGCACACAAGGTTGTCACAAATAACAAATTGCTCCTGGGGGCCTGGCTGGAGCCTCACAGCTGTGTGTGCAGATAAGCAGAGCAGTGTGGAAGGTAGGGATCCCAGGGCTTTGTGTTACCTTCACTTTCTCATAGACTTTCGGATGATGCTGTCACCATCTGCAACCTGACCCATCCCCATGCGGAGATTCTGACAGAGTGCAGTGGGGGCTGTCAGACAGATCTGACAGGGCTGGACTCATGCCTTTATTACTGATTGCAATCCACCTCTCGGGGACACACACGCTGGCTTTCCCAAACAGACTCTGACTTGTTAAACCCTTGGGTTGTATGGTTAGCTTTTATTTAGAAAGTTCTAATTTCAGCTGTTGGAAATAAATTGTATGTGATTTTCTAGATCTTACATCTTAATTACTTAGCAATTTAACATACAATTGTAGATGATAATTTTTCTAAGGTCCACTGCCCTCAGGATTCGTGTTAAAAGTATCTCATCAGCACATCGAGCTGCAAACAGGAAGTTGTCTGGGATATGGGGGAAATTTTAGCACCATGTTACTCTTCTGTGTTAGATCTAATTTTCTCTCTGCACTTTAACAATGATGACTGTCACTAATACCTAAACATTCACTGTTAGATTCTGTGTCCATTTTTCTTTTTAGTTAAAGCCATATATATATATCCCCCTACTTTAAAGGACAAATTCCCTTTTTAATTGAATTATACCTAACCCCTGGGCCATTTGAGTAAAATCTCGTCATGGTCAGCTTTCCTTTTGTTTTACAGTAAAGAGCAATTCATATTGTGTTTCAGGTCCTACCTGTCGTTGGCAAACTCTAGCCTCCAGGGGGAGCCAAAGACTCCCCCACACTTTATCTAGCAAAGAAGAGCTCTGATTCTGTGAAGGCCAACATGGAAACTGGACTTAAACACCAGGCCAGCGTAGGGGTTGGGGAACTGACCTCTTCATTTGGGTCATCTCTTTTCCGTGTAGTGTTTTTTCTGGTATCTCTCACCATGCCCCCTCTCCTTCCCTTCCCCTTCTGCCTCTCTCAAGAACTGTGAGGGGTCTGAGATTTCACCTTACCTGAAATTTAGTCAGTTAGACCGCCAGGCTCACGGGTGCCAGCAGAACACATGAGATTCTTGGCTCTGAGACTTTAACATTCACAGCAACAGCAGTAAACAGGGTATCAGCACTTGTGCTGGCCAAGAGGGCATGAAGCAGGAGCCAAAGCCTGCCTCCAGCATCAGCGTTGGGCTAGATGAACAGGAGGACCCTTGCTTATCAGGATAGGAGACCATGTCCACATTTGGAGACATATTCTTAGCTAGTAACAAAGAATGTGCAGGTTTGTAGCAGGGGTCCACGAACTATGCTTTCGTGCAGCGTACAAGCTAAGCATTCTTTTTTACATTTTTTAAAATGGCTACAGTAAAGAAGAAAATGTGATAGAGACCACAGGTGGCCTAAAAAATTTGACGTATTCACTATCTGGGCCTTCACAGACAAGCTTGGTGATTCCTGGTCTATAGCATCGTCTGTGCTTAGGGCCCGAGGTGGGAGTGGCAGTGCCATGGCAAAGAAGATTCAGGATCTCTCTCTTTCTTGTTCCATCAGAGACACACATTGCAGGCCTGATGGGAACAAGTACATTATGAGATTATTTTGCTCTTTCATTATTAACTCCCACCCCAACATAAACACCAGAGGCAGATGGATTTCATAAAATAGGATTGAGAAAACCTCGCCCAGATTCAGGCGTGTAAACCAGCCGGAGCGGCGCGGCAGCGGCAGGACCGCCGTGGCGCCTAGAGTAGCGACCCGCGGGGAGCACGGGGCGACGCTGGCTGCAGAGACCCGGTGACAGCGTGAGAGGTTCGCAGAGTACTAGGTTTTGACAAGCTTGCATCATGCGTGAGTATAAGCTAGTCGTTCTTGGCTCACGAGGCGTTGGAAAGTCTGCTTTGACTGTACAATTTGTTCAAGGAATTTTTGTAGAAAAATACGATCCTACGATAGAAGATTCTTATAGAGAGCAAGTTGAAGTAGATGCACAACAGTGTATGCTTGAAATCTTGGATACTGCAGGAACGGAGCAATTTACAGCAATGAGGGATTTATACATGAAAAATGGACAAGGGTTTGCATTAGTTTATTCCATCACAGCACAGTCCACATTTAACGATTTACAAGACCTGAGAGAACAGATTCTTCGAGTTAAAGACACTGATGATGTTCCAATGATTCTTGTTGGTAATAAGTGTGACTTGGAAGATGAAAGAGTTGTAGGGAAGGAACAAGGTCAAAATCTAGCAAGACAATGGAACAACTGTGCATTCTTAGAATCTTCTGCAAAATCAAAAATAAATGTTAATGAGATCTTTTATGACCTAGTGCGGCAAATTAACAGAAAAACTCCAGTGCCTGGGAAGGCTCGCAAAAAGTCATCATGTCAGCTGCTTTAATATACTAAATGCATTGTAGCTCTGAGCCAGGTCTGAAGAACTGTTGCCCAATTCAACAGTGCCAGCATTCCAACTTTGTTAAACCTACCAACATCTTAAATGGACTTTCCTGTGGTGGTACCCTTTAAGAGGCGGATGAAAGCTACTATATCAGTTTGCACATTCTAATCACTTTCCAGTATCACAAGAGAGATTTTTACTTATATAATAGTCCTAGAGTATGCAGCTGGTAAAACCAGAGGCTACATCCAGTATTACTGCTAAGAGACATTCTTCATCCACCAATGTTGTACATGTATGAAAATGGTGTACTGTATACTTTAACATGCCCCATACTTTGTATTGGAGAGTACAATAATGTAAATCCTAAAAGCACCACTATTTTAGCATAATAAAAGAAAGTCCAAAGAGCTCCTATATAGACTACTCCAGATAACTTCGCTTCTTTGATACTTGTAGCTTATTGTAATTTTTTTTAAGAAATTCAAGGTCATTATTATTGTACAAAATAAGCGCTTTGATTAACACAGCTATATAGTTTTTTTAATTTTTTTTTTTTTGTATTTTTTTTTAATTTATTTTTTTATTGATAATTCTTGGGTGTTTCTCACAGAGGGGGATTTGGCAGGGTCATGGGACAATAGTGGAGGGAAGGTCAGCAGATAAACAAGTGAACAAAGGTCTCTGGTTTTCCTAGGCAGAGGACCCTGAGGCCTTCCGCAGTGTTTGTGTCCCTGGGTACTTGAGATTAGGGATTGGTGATGACTCTTAACGAGCATGCTGCCTTCAAGCATCTGTTTAACAAAGCACATCTTGCACCGCCCTTAATCCATTTAACCCTGAGTGGACACAGCACATGTTTCAGAGAGCACAGGGTTGGGGGTAAGGTCACAGATCAACAGGATCCCAAGGCAGAGGAATTTTTCTTAGTGCAGAACAAAATGAAAAGTCTCCCATGTCTACTTCTTTCTACACAGACACGGCAACCATCCGATTTCTCAATCTTTTCCCCACCTTTCCCGCCTTTCTATTCCACAAAGCCGCCATTGTCATCCTGGCCCGTTCTCAATGAGCTGTTGGGCACACCTCCCAGACGGGGTGGTGGCCGGGCAGAGGGGCTCCTCACTTCCCAGTAGGGGCGGCCGGGCAGAGGCGCCCCTCACCTCCCGGACAGGGCGGCTGGCTGGGCGGGGGGGCTGACCCCCCCCACCTCCCTCCCGGACGGGGCGGCTGGCCGGGCAGAGGGGCTCCTCACTTCCCAGTAGGGGCGGCCGGGCAGAGGCGCCCCTCACCTCCCGGACAGGGCGGCTGGCTGGGCGGGGGGGCTGACCCCCCCCCCCACCTCCCTCCCGGACGGGGCGGCTGGCCGGGCGGGGGGCCGACCCCCCCACCTCCCTCCCGGACGGGGCGGCTGGCCGGGCAGAGGGGCTCCTCACTTCCCAGTAGGGGCGGCCGGGCAGAGGCGCCCCTCACCTCTCAGACGGGGCGGCTGGCCGGGCGGAGGGCTGACCCCCCCACCTCCCTCCCGGACAGGGCGGCTGGCCGGGCAGAGGGGCTCCTCACTTCCCAGTAGGGGCGGCTGGGCAGAGGCGCCCCTCACCTCCCAGACGGGGCGGCTGGCCGGGCGGAGGGCTGACCCCCCCCACCTCCCTCCCGGACGGGGCGGCTGGCCAGGCGGGGGGCTGACCCCCCTACCTCCCTCCCGGACGGGGCGGCTGGCCGGGTGGGGGGGCTGACCCCCCCATCTCCCTCCCGGACGGGGTGGCTGGCCGGGCTGAGGGGCTCCTCACTTCCCAGTAGGGGCGGCCGGGCAGAGGCGCCCCTCACCTCCCGGACGGGGCGGCTGGCCGGGCGGGGGGCTGACCCCCCCACCTCCCTCCCGGACGGCACGGCTGGCCAGGCGGGGGGCTGACCCCCCCACCTCCCTCCCGGACGGCACGGCTGGCCGGGCGGGGGGGCTGACCCCCCACCTCCCTCCCGGATGGGGCGGCTGGCCGGGCGGGGGGCTGACCCCCCCCCCACCTCTCTCCTGGACGGGGTGGCTGCCCGGCGGAGACGCTCCTCACTTCCCAGATGGGGTGGCTGCCGGGCGGAGAGGCTCCTCACTTCTCAGACGGGGTGGTTGCCAGGCAGAGGGTCTCCTCACTTCTCAGACGGGGCAGCCGGGCAGAGACGCTCCTCACCTCCCAGACGGGGTCTCGGCCGGGCAGAGGCGCTCCTCACATCCCAGATGGGGCGGCGGGGCAGAGGCGCTCCCCACATCTCAGACGATGGGCGGCCGGGCAGAGACGCTCCTCACTTCCTAGATGTGATGGCGGCTGGGAAGAGGCGCTCCTCACTTCCTAGATGGGATGGCGGCCGGGCGGAGACGCTCCTCACTTTCCAGACTGGGCAGCCAGGCAGAGGGGCTCCTCACATCCCAGACGATGGGCGGCCAGGCAGAGACACTCCTCACTTCCCAGACGGGGTGGCAGCCGGGCAGAGGCTGCAATCTCGGCACTTTGGGAGGCCAAGGCAGGCGGCTGCTCCTTGCCCTCGGGCCCCGCGGGGCCCGTCCGCTCCTCCAGCCGCTGCCTCCCGGGCGGCGCTCGCCGGCGCGGCGGCAAAGACTGAGACAGCTCCGCTGCCCGCTGAACTCCATCCTCCCGGCGGTCGGGCGGCGGCGGCTGCGGTCGGTCGCGGCAGCGGCTCCGCTTCATAGCTGCAGCTGGGGCCCGCGGGCGTCAGCGCCGCGACTGTCCCGGCTCCGCACTGCCCCGGGCCGCAGCGCAGCCGCGCCAACCACCACCCGCGGCCACCATGGCCGGACGGGCTCCCTAAGCCACCGACCCCAGCCCGCGGCGCCTTCGAGCCTTCTCAGTTTTTTTAATTTTTAAAAAACCTGTGGAGACAGTGATCTTGTCTTTAAAATATGATAGTCCTTTCAGTATAATGTCTTAGATTAAAGACGTTGCCTTTAATATCTGTTGGGAAGGAAATGTCCAGACTTTTCAAATCTCTTATTATATGTTTCCTTTTTTTGTTTACATAGGGAACAATGTTTATAGTCGTGTGTACAGTGGGGGTCTACAACAAGAAGTGTATATTTTCAAACAATTTTTTAATGATTTAACAATTTTTGTAAATCATTTTCAGGCTTCTGCAGCTGTAGATTCTCACTGTGAATCCCTTGCTTGCTCATGCATAAGTGTATTTGCAATACCAAATATACAGGTTTAGTATTTTTGCCTGTTAGTGATTGTTTCACATGTGTAACGTTTTGGTTGAGATGTTAAATGGTGGACGAGTACTGTGGATGTGAATGTGGGAAGTAATTTTAATCATATGTAATTGGTCACAAGGCCTAATTTGCAGTAACTATTGCTGTTTTATTTAACAATGCCTTGTTGCTTTGTATGCATTAATGTTTGGATGTAAAGATTGTGTGTCTATCCAACAGGGAGCCACAGTATTTAAATTGACCAACCTAATGTTACAACTACTTTGAGGTGGCCAAATGTAAACTAAAAGCCTTAATTAAAGTGGTGCAATTTTGTATAACTTAAAAAATAAAAATAAAAATAAAAAAATAAAATAGGATTGAGATGATGACTGGTTGTCACATCAACATTTTTGTAGAGAAAATTGTTATTTATTTATTTATTTATTATTTTTTACCAATATCTTTCTTGTATAGTTTGACTTCTAATAGCTGCCACCCAGCCCTCTAGAAGACATCTCTGACCTTCTTTGGGGAAACCACTTTTTTACTACCAGACACAATCTTTCTCCACAAATTGACACCACTATTCCACTAACATGGTTTCCACAGCTGGCCAAATGATCTGGCTACCTAGCAAGCTAATTCCTCGAGGGCTGCCTTTCTCAAGCCCCTCAAATTCCACGTGCTATTGTTGCTAGGACTGGTTTCCAAGCAGCATCAACAGTGTCTGTGAGCTTCCTTAATCGGTTTAATGTGATGGAACCAGTTAAGGGCATTATGAATGCCAGTCTTCAGTTGATGCAGGATTTACCCAAGCTTTTGTTAATTGGGGAAGGTTTGATGCAGTTGATGGATTCCCGTAGTGCTACTGAGAAACATAACAGTTTTATGCTATCTTCTTTGATCCAGTAGTTCTGTCGGCTTTAGAAACAAAATCCTAACTGACAAGTCTGAGATAAAATATACCTACTTATGCCTTTGTAATACCCTTAATTCCCAGTTTTTCACCACCCTGCCCCCTACAACTAAGAGGGTTCCTGTGAATATTACATCATGTCTAGATGCTAAGCACAGTGCCCTAGTCATACAGATCTGAGCCCATCTCGTCACATCAGTAAATTGGAATGACAGCCATCATATTGCCACAGTGATTCTGGAAATTGGAGTGCTTCTAAACAGAGTCCCCAGCCAGACCTCACCAACTGCTGACCATCCTGGGCTCCTGCATTAAATCATTTCCAACACACATTCAGAACTTTCCTCCAAAGTGTTTGATGGGATAATTGTTCATTCTTCTACTTTGTCCAGTAAAATATATTTTATCCTCTTGTTTCATTTTATTTTTCTTTCATGCCCAGAGTAGTAGAACTGCCTGACTCAGGAACCCAGAGAAGTCAGCAGTACTTTAAATAACAGTTCATTAATTAATAGGGAAAAATAGGGGAGGCCCACTAGAGTACTGACTTCAGACTTCAGCTACATTAGCACAAAATGAGATCCCCAGGATAAATGTCACGCTGGAGGAATTAGTAAGCAATAGTGTCTACAGGTCAGCCTTTGAGAGCAACTCAAGAGCGGGGCAGGGATTTCCTCTTCGGGGTTAAAAGTGTCGCTGGCACTGCCCTGGAACATGATGTCAGAACTACTGAAACCCCCACAGTCTACATATTCTCCCAAAAGGAAGGTGGTTTTATATTTTACGAGAAAATCTTGTGAGAACACAGTAGAACATAATTTAAGAGAGAAGTAAGGGCTGACAAGGAAGGGAAGATATATTCACTCCAGGCTATCGTGAAAGCAAAATGAACGGAGAGAGAGCAACGCGGCATAAGAAATGCAGCGCGGCCCGGAGCCGACCATCTTGGGGCATTTGGTCAAAGATCACCATACCTCCTTCACGACATCATCTCCAAAAGGAGATTCAGAATTTTATGAGCACATTTTCTGCTACTGTTTTTGGCCAACCTGATTAAAGGTGGTAAAGGAGTTCCACATATTATTATCTGACTGGATCCAAGGTAAGGAGGGGTCCAGGGTGAGTCATCCTGGTGGGCAGGGGTGGGGGCAGCTACTGCAGTTGGGCAAGCATGGAGTTGAGTCAGCTAAAGTAGCGAGCATTAGACAGGGACACAGGGTTCAGTCCCAGAGGTCGGGGAAGGCCAGTGAAGGCTGCACTGGCAGAAGGAACCATCCAGTGAAAAACAGTTCAGCCCTCCCCATGCAGGACTGGGGAGGAGATACAATTGGGCAGGAGTAGGTACCTCTGGGCCATGGACCTTGACTCTATCTAGAAGAGGTCAGTAGCTTGTGTTTAGGGTCAAGAAGCCTGAGGGTGATTGGAGACTTGTGCATTTATACAGGAAACTCAAGGACCATTCTACCAAGATGTCCTAACCAGGATTTACAAACGACTGGATTTCATTGCAAGGAAGAAGAAAGCAATTAGAAGCTATATCCATGAATGTGGATTCCATGAATTTTGTCTCTAGATTAGAAGCTGTTTCTCTGCCCCACATACTGAGCTCCTGACTTTCCTGTATCATTTTAGGACTAAAAAAGGGTAAAAAGTGCCTCTTCTAGGTTGGGATTAAAAACAAAAAGCTTCAGTATAACTCAGCTGATAAAGATTTGGATTCGGGTTCCTGGGTCTGAAGACTCTTCACCACCAGCCACTCAGTGGAGCCAGACTGCATGGCTTCCTATCCAGCCTCTGACACTTATTGGCCATATGACCTTGGACAAATGAACTAACCTCTCTGACCATCATTTTCATCAATTGTAAAATCAAGATAATAACAGTCCTTTCTTCATAGAGTTCTCATGAAAATAAAATGAATTAACTCTTATAAAGTGCTTAGAACTGTATCTGGCACACAGTAAAACCTATATAAGTATTTGCCACTATTATTATCCTGGCTTTCCCCATTTGTAAAGACAAGCTAATGCTGTCCACTGCTAGCTCACAAAAATAACATGAATGCAGAAACTCAACTCTGAAAGAGTCATGGCAGGTTGGGGCTTTCCCCCTCATACTAATCAATCATGTTCAAGGCTATCAAGACACAAAGACAAGGAAAATACAGAGCTAAAAGGGACGTGTGAAACTGAGTCACACTACTCATTTTACAGATGAGAAAACTAAAGCTTAAAATTACTATGTCCCAAAGTTAATTTGTCAATAGAACAAGGAATAGAAATTAGTAAAGTGAATTTCCCAGTGTCTGAAGGTGTAGATTCACATATTAAAATCAGGTGCCTGCTAGGTCAGTGTTACTGTTGTTTATTGTCAGCCTGGCCTATTCTCCTTTCCGGTAGCATGACAGAATATGAAAACGTCTTGAGCTCTGCAGAAGAGGATCACTATGTAATTGTGTCAGGGCTGGCTAAGAGTGGGGCTCAACCATGATGCAAACCACAATATAGTAAAATTGGAATGGCTTGACTTCCTTTAAGTGCTGTAATTCTTCTCTACCCATGTCAAGTGTAGAGGAGACCTCTTGGGTCATAAAACCCCATACCCAAGCATCCTTTCTGAAGAGAAGGACTCTTTACCCTGGCAAACTTGATCCTGAACACAGGATTCTATCAAATGGAAAAACATCTCTGCTGTTGAAAGCTTGGTCTGTGACATTGAATGAGGTTTGTGGATGCCTAAAGAAGGGTTCTGGTGTTAGGCTGAGTAATCCAAATCATTTCTGTACAGCTTTGTGGAAGGGCCAAACATAGCTGCATTCAGAAACTGGAAGGGGAGGGGAAAATACTTCAATAAAAAATTTTCTGAGGCAGCACTTAATAGATGCTGCTATCTACTGGTTTGACCCTAGCTCCTAGATATTTGTGGGACTGCTCACCATAATACCAAATGATGACATCTACAAAGGTAGCTTTATTTTAATTCCTAGCTCCTAGATATTTGTGGGACTGCTCACCATAATATCAAATGATGACTTCTACAAAGGTAGCTTTTATTTGAATTTGTTTCAAGTTCCATTCCTTCTATCTCTTTACAATCAGATCTTGGCTAAGCAAAGATGTTTAGCTACCAAATAGGGGTTTGATGGTCCTAATTATAAACTTGGAATTAAGAAACCCAGTTTCTTCTTCTCTCTCCTTCTTCCCCACCATGAAAAAGCTTTGGAATTTGAGCCAGATCACAGGTTCCACACTGCAGGGTTGTGGAAGCTACTGTGTCATTATGTGTTAGGTCAATGCATAGGAATTTGCTTTACTTTGAAAAAATGCATAAAACTTTTGACCACGGGGTATCTTTATTTCTATTCTGGGCATAATATTAACATAAGATACTACAGAGCAGAAACAATATCAGGAAATTCCAGGAGAACAGTGTCCCCTAAGGCCTGGGTAAGCCAGGGACAGGCGGAGGGAACACTCAGCTATTATTCTCCAACTTCCCCTGCTCAACTTTCCTTCTGGGAACCCCTCATTCTTGACTGGAGTTGATTCTGGGCATGCCTCTGCTGCAGTTCTCACTCTCCTGGTCTGGGTTGGAGCATGGCCTCACCTCTCTCACTCTCAATCTCAATTCAGTTCCTGCTTTCCACTCTGCTCTGTACTGCTGCCTCTCTCCCAGCCCCAACCTTGCCTTGTTTGATTCCAGTTCCTGAATCTACTCAGCTACTGATTTGATCTTTCTGACTTTGGTCTTAACCTAACAACAAATACACCAACAAATCCAAGCTCAATGTATATTGCTCATACTAGTCAACAATAAATAGGAACAAAAGATTAATACACATAACAACCGATGGGTGTCAAGGGCACTATGCTAAGTAAAAAAGAAAAAAAAAGCCAATCTCAAAAGGTTTCAGACAACATGATTCCATGTCTATAACATTCTCAAAATGAAAAAATTATAGAGATAGAGAACAGATTAATTGTTGCCAGGGGTTAGGGTTGAGGACAGGGTATGGCTGTGAAGGAGTAACATGAAGGAGTTTCTTTGTGGTGATGGAACAATCTGGACCCTGGTTGTACTGGTGAGGTTATATAAATCTACATATGTGATAAAACTTCCTAGAACTATACCATTCCTCCACACACACAAACAGAAACAACAGTGGATGTAAAAAAAAATGGTGAAATCCAAATAAAGTCTGTATTTGAGTTAATAGTATTGTACCAATGTCAATTTCCTGGTTTTGACAATGTACTAAGGTTATGTAAGATATTATCATTGGGGGAAGCTGGGTGAAGGGTAAACAGGAATGTTGTACTATTGCTACAACTTCTATTGAGTCTTAAACTGTTAAAAAAATCACACACACATAAACACACAGACACACACACACAGTCAAGACTTGCATACCTGTGGGTTCCACCTCTGTGGACTCAACCAACTGCAGATCAAAAATATTTTTTTAAAAAAGGATGATTGCATTTGTACTGAATATGTACAGACTTTTTTTTCTTGTCATGATTCCCCAAACAGTATAGTATAACAACTATTTACATAGCATATACATTTTATTAGATATTATAGGTAATCTAGAGATGATTTAAAGTATACAGGAGGATGTGGGTGGGTTATTTGCAAATGCTGCACTATTTTATATAAGGGACTTGAGCATCTGTGGATTTTGATATCTGTAGAGGTCCTGGAACCAGTGTCCCAATCCCACACAGATACTGAGGGATGACTATCTATATATATGTTTACACACACACACACACACACACACACACACTGAGTTCCATCCCCAACAGTAGCAAATCCCAAGAAAGGACAAAAAGTGACAAGCAGAGTCTAATGCATGGCATTCTTAATGAAAGCATTATATGGAATTCAGTGTTAAGTTGAAAAAGCCTTGGTATTAAGAAAACCAAAAGACCAAAAACCAGCTTAGTCACATGATTTAACTTCAGCTGGCAGAACTCAAACTGTGGGCATATAAAATGGAGACAACATAAGTTAAATGTGCCACATCACTCAAATCTAGCTGACTTTTCCTTTGGCAATTGTTTTCCACCACATAGATCTACTACATAGGACATCCTATTGTGGAGCTCGTAAATTTCTTTCTGACACAAATAATGGTCCCTAACGTATGTGGCTGTTGCATGGAAAATGATCTTGAGACTTTCTGGAAAAGGAACTAGGTAATTCTTTAACAATTTATAAGCTTCTGAAAGGTATCAAAGGAGCCAGGGGTATCAAAATAACCTTTAATACTTCTAAATAAGATTATTTAAAAGAAATATGGCATCTTAAAGAATTGTTTTCATATGACTTGAGTGCTTTAGGAAGTTTAAGAAAGGAGGTAGTTGAAGTTCTTTGCTTAAACTTGACAGCTGACTTAAGGCATAAATAATCCCCATCTTTGTTGAAAGAAGAGCATAGATGGGTGAATACCTATTTTCCCAAATTTCAGAAGACAGTAGGGTGAAAGTATTTACAGCATACCTATTGGACTCTGAGGATTGTAGAAGGCATATAGCCAGCCAGGAAGCTCCAACATCAGTGTCTGCCCTACTGTCCCTAACCGAAGAGCTCAGGAGACATTTATCTTTGCATTTGCAGAGGTTCCTTCCATTTGCCCTGAGCCTGAGTTTATGGAAACTCAAAAAGAATACATAAAAGCTTCTCCTTCTGAGGACATGGGGGAAAGTATCAGGTTCAAGGGTGCAAAGAAGATGTTGGTCTTGGAGTAGAACATTTATAATGATGGGGCATCATAGGTCTTATTTGGTTTTCATTACGAAAATTCTTAAAATGTTTAATCTGTGTGAGAAAAAGAAAAAGACCTCAAAGAGGAGAAGGGGGTCTGTCAGTGAGGCTGGAACTGCAGGGCTAATGGAGCACCAAGGTGGTGCTGGGGCAGAGTCAGGCCAATGCCACCAATAAAAGACATGGCACCAGTACAGGTGGTTATAAACTAGCTGGTGTGACAGCACCCTTCAGATCTCAAACCTGAAGCTCTGGTTCATGGGAAAAATCCTTAACAAGCAGAGCTGATTTATACTATGCAAGCTTAATGCGTAAATATTGATTAGAAGAGAGATTAGCTGGCTTTTGTCCCCCATGTACACATTCATTTGTTCATTCAATTATTATTCCACAAACATTTCTTGAGTAATAACTGTGTGCCAGGCTTTATAATGTCAGGAACTGTGCCAGGCACTGGTAACGCAAGGATGAATCAACACAGTGCAACCACAGAACAGGTCTAATTCGGTTTTCATTATTAAAATTCTTAAAATGTTCAATCTGTGTGAGAAAAAGAAAATGACCTCAAAGAGGAGAAGGGGACCTGTCAGTGAGGCTGGAACTGTGGGGCTAATGGAGCACCAAGGCGGGACTGGGCAGGGTCAGGCCCAGGTTTTCTGGTGGCAGTGAATTTTTATACCTGTTTGGAGGTGTCCAAGGCAGACAGGCCTCTAAACTGGATTCCTCTGAATTCTGGTTCAGTGAAGTATTAATATGTGCTCCATGATATAAAGGGCTTCATCAGAGTCTCTTCATTTTGGAAATGTTGTATTGGTTGTCTCAAGTTAGCATGTTAATAACTGAGAAGTCCTGCACTAAAGACATCAGGCAAACTTTATTACCTTACAAAATCCAGTTTGGAAAACCCTGCTCTCAGGACTACCGACTGGTAAAAGAGGTGGAGGAGCATATCTGTAGTAAAAAGACAGGATCAAGCAAGTCAGTTTTCATGTCCCATGAAACATTCCAGGGCCCAATTCGTGTAAGCCAGTTAATCTCCAGAAATGTCACTGCTACCCAATTATCTGAAAGGATTTTGTGTGACATGTATGTAGTACTTGTACTAACTTCCTTCTGCCTAAAATACAGAGATAATCCATCTTTCACAGGAGTTCAGCATCACAGAGGTTGGAGGTGATAAGACTGTCAGGAAGCATCTGGTACAATCCTCCTACTCAACAAATGAGTCTGGACTAAGCTAATCGGTAACCCAACTCTTGAGAAACCTGGGCTCCCGATTCTCAGCCCAAAGCCCAGATGAATAAGTACCTGTCTTCTATATGCTCATGCTCCATACAGCATTCAGTGTACTGTGGGTGCCGTGACAATTACAAAGTCCCTAAAATAAGTTACAATATTTGTAACATCGCAACATAAAGATCAGAACAATAACAAAACATTCTGCCATTTCTTTGGAAGCATTCATTGAACATTTCAGGGAAAAAAGAGTGTACTAGGGCTAAAGAGTTAACATTGCTTCAACCTCAAGAATATCATTATCTGACAAGATCCCCTCCCATCACCATGTCATTGAGATTTTTAAAAATATACCTTTGGTGTTGCTATAATCTTATTAACCTACTGGCTCACAGAGCTTATTACTCTGAAAATAGCTTTTTTTTTTCTTCTAAGCCAAACTTATCCAAGAGCATCAGTCTAAAGACTATAAATAGCCCAAGTATAATGATCAGTGACATGAAAATGTAGGCTACAGTTAATAGAACTGAGGAACAGGTTTAATTTCAAACTGGAGAACTAGGTGATAAGGTCCCACCACTTTATTGTTTCTGTCCTGGATTTTATATAATCACTAAAATGGCACTGTTCACAAGGAATGTATACAGATATACTTGGCCTAACTTTACAACACAAGCAGTCAATTTTCCAAGCAACCTTACATGTCTACTCTCTTTTTAAAAAACAGCTTTATTGAGATATAATTCATGTACTAATTCATCCATTTAAAGGGTAAAATTCAGGAGTTTTTAGTATATTTACAGATATATGCAACTGCTAAAACAATCCATTTTGGAAAACTGTCATCAGCTCAAAATAAGTCCTGTACCTAGGCTGAGTGTGGTGGCTTGTACCTGTAATCCTACCATTTTGGGAGGCTGAGGCAGATGGGTCGCTAGAGCCCAGGAATTCAAGACCAGCCTGGGAAACATGATGAAACCCCATCTCTACAAAAATAAAAAAGAAAATTAGCCGGACATGGTGTCATGTGCCTGTTGTCTCAGCTACACTGCACTCCAGCCTGCGTGACAGAGAGAGAAGAAAACAGAAACCCTGTACCTTGTAGCTGCCACCCCACCACCATCCCATCCTCTCATCCACCGCATCCCTAAGCAACAGATAATCTACTTTCTGTCTCAATAGCTTTACTTTCTGTCTCAATAGCTTTACCACATTTCATATAAATGAAATGGGGTCTTTTGTGACTGGTTTCCTTCCCTTAGCATAACATTTTCAAGGCTCATCCAAGTTGTAGCATGCTTCTGTACTTCATTCCTTTTTATGGCCAAGTAATATCCCACTGTGTACATATTCAAAATTTGTCTATTCATTAATTTATGGTCATTTGGGTTGCTTTCACCTTTTAGCTACTATGAACAGTGTTATTAGAAATGTTTTTGTTTTTCCATGACTTTTGTTTTCATTATTCTTGGGTATGTACCTAAAAAATGGAATTGCTGGGTCATATAATAACTCTGTGATTACCTGTCAGAAACTGCTAGTTTTTTCCAAAGTGGTCACACCATTTTACATTCCCACCAGCAGTGTGTGAGGGTTTCAATTTCTCCAAATCCTTGCCAACACTTCTTATTATCTGACTTTCTGATTCAAGCCATCCTAGGGGCCTTGAAGGGGTATCTTCTCTGGTTTCAATTTGCATTTCTTGATAATTAATGATGCCAAGCATCTTCTCATGTGCTTATTGGTCATTTGAAAATATTTCTTGGAGAAATGTCTATTCAAGTCCTTTGCCATTTTAAGTGGGTTGTCTTATTAAATTGTAAGAGCTCTTTACATATTCTGGATACAATTCTCTTATCAGATATATAATTTGAAAATATTTTCTCCCATTCTGTGGGCTGTTTTGTCACTTTCTAGACGGTGTGCTTTGAAGCACACAAGGTTTCAGTTTTATTAAAGCCCAATTTATTTATACTTTACTCACTTGCATTTGGGTGTCATATTTAAGAATCCTTTGCGAATAATATTTTTCCTACATTAGATGGTCTTGGCATTCCTGTTGAAAATCAATTAACTATAGAGGTTTATTTCTGGATTCTCAATTCCGTTTCATAGAGCTGTATGTCTAACTTTGTGCCAGTACCACACAGTCTTTATTACTGTTGCTTGGTAGTAAGTTTTGGAATTGAGAAGTGTTAAGTGCCTCCTAGTTTGTCCTTCTTTTTTGAGATTGTTTTGGCTATTTTGGGTCCCTTTAAATTCCGTATGTTTTGAAATCCCATATTAGTTTTGAAATTCTATAATAACCTATAAATTTCTCTAAAGAATCTAGCTGGGATTTTGATAGTGATTGCATTAAATCTGTAGATTCATTTGCAAAGGATTTCCACCCTAACCTTGTCTTCCAATCTAGGATCATGAATGTCCTTCCATTTATTTCAGTCTTAAAATTTCTTTCAACAATTTTTTTTAAGTTTTTGAAGTATTTATTTATTAAAATTATTCCTAAGTATTTTATTTTTTAATACTATTATAAATGGAATTATTTCCTTAATATCATTTTCAGATTGTTCAACGCTAGTATATAGATACATAATTAATTTTAGTAATTAATTTTGTATCTTGTAGCTTTGCTGTTATGTTTGGATTGTATCCCCCATCAAAAAGATATGTTGGAGTATTAACTCCCACTACCTCAGAATGTGACCTTAGAAGTAGGGTCATTACAGATGTAATTAGTTAAGGTGAGGTCATACTAGAGTAGGGTAGGCCCTTAATCTAATATGATTGGTGCAATTACAAGAAGAGAAGAGAGACACGAAGGATGAAGACAGTCATATGATGATGGAGGCAGACCCTGGAGTGATGCATCTACAAACCAAGAAATACCAGGAAAAGCCAACAAATACCAGACACTAGAAAAGGAAAGGAAGGATTCTACTCAGTGTCTCAAAGGGACTCCCAACACCTTGAGTTTGGACTTCTAGCCCCTGTAACTGTAAGAAAATAAATTTCTGTTGTTTTAAGTTACCCAGTTTTTGGTACTTTGTTATGGCAGCCCCAGGAATCTAATGTACTTGCTGGACTTGTTTATTAGTTTTAATGGTTTTTTAGTGGAGTCCCTGGGATTTTCCATATACACGATTATGTTACTTGCAAATAGAGATACTTTTGTTTCTTCTTGCCAATCGGGATGTCTTTTATTTATTTTTCTCACTTAATTGCCCCAGCTAGACACTCCAGTACAATGTTGACTAGAAATAGCAAGAGTGGGCATCTTTGTCTTGTTCCTGATCTTAGAGAAAAAGTATCCACTCTTTTCCAATCAAGTATGATGTTACCTGTGAGTTTCTTGTAGATGTCTTATCAGACTGAGGATGTTTCCTATTACTAGTTTTTTGAATGTTTTTACCATGAAAAGGTGTTGAATTTATCAAATGATTTTTCTGTGTATTGAGATGATCATGGTTTTGTTTTTTATTCTATTGATACGGTACATTACATTAATTGATCTTGGGATGTTAAACCAACAGGGCATTCCTGAGATAAATCCCACCCTGGTGTATAATCCTTTTCATACGTTTCTGGATTCAGCTTGCTAGTATTTTGTTAGAAATTTTTTCCATGCATAATAAAAAATATTGGTTTGTAGTTTTCCTTCCTTGTGATGTTTTTGTCCATTTTTGGTATTAGGGTAATACTGGCCTCAAATAATGAGTTAGAAAGTGTTCCTTCATCTTCTATTCTTTGAAGAATTTGTAAAGAATTGGTATTAATTATTCATAGTGTTCTGAGAATGTCTACTAGGTATTGTTGGCTTTTAGTGTTGTTCATGCCTTCTATTTTCTTATTGTTTTCTGCCTAGTTGTTATATCCCTCTTGAAAATTGGGTATTGAAGTCTTCAACTACCATTGTTGAGTTATCTGTTTCTTCCTTCATTTTTGTCAGTTTTTACTTCACATATTTTGGCACTCTGTTGTTTACTGGATATATGTCTATAATTGTTATATCATCCTAATAAATTGTCTTTTTTATCACTATAAAATGTCCCTCTTTACCTTTGGTAACTTTTTTTTTTTAACGTCTATTTTGTCTGATATTAACATAGCCTCTCCAGCTTTCTTGTGGGTGCTGTTTACATGGTATATCTTTTCCTTTCCTTTTACTTTCAGTCTATTTGTATCTTTGAATATAAAGTGTGGCTCTGTAGACAGTATATAGTTCAATCTTGCTTTTTGTTTTTAACTAAAGATTGTTTAACTCTCTGCCTTTTGATTGGACTGTTTAATTAAAAGTATTTAATGTCTTTATTGATACAGTAAATTTATGTCTACCATTCTACTTTTCGTTTCCTATATGTCCCATGTTGTCTTCTCCTCTATTCCACCTTTATTGCTTTCTTGTGCATTAAGAGAATATTTTCTACTATAGCATTTAAATTTCTTTAAGGATTTTTTTTTTACTACTTTAAAAAATCATTTTCTTAGTGGTTGCTCTAGGCCTTCTCAGATACATCTTATCAGAATCAGCTTCAGATTTACACCAATTTTATTCCAGTGAGATATAGAAATGTTACTCTTATATAGCTCTATTCCCTTTTCTCCCCTTTTGTGATGTAACTATACTATTACATTTAAAATGTTATAAGCCCAATAGTACATTCTTATTAATTATTACATTATATAACATTATGTCTTTTAAGGAAGTTAAGTGAAGAAAGGAGAACAAATATATATATACATATTTATATCTTTTGTTATGTTAACTTTATTTATCATTTGTGGATCCCTTCGTTTGTTTATGTGAATTTGTTACCACTAGAGTCATTTTCTTAGCCCAATATAATATTGCCTCCACCTACCTCCTTTGTTAGCAAATATGCTACATTTCTATAAGTGAAGTCTCAATGATAATATATATATGTATGTGTGTATATATGTGTATAGTTTAATGCAATTGCTTTTTAAATCAGTTTTTAAAAAGGGAGGTGATATATCCATTAATACTGTCTTTTACACATATATATGCTCATTGTTTTTTTCTTGAAGATTCAGATTATTGTGTGAAGTTACTTGCTTTCAGACTAAATAACTTTAGCATTTCTTGTAAGGCAGATCTGTTAGAAACAAATTATTTCTGTTTTTGTTCATCTGGGGATATCATTATTTTGCTTTTATTATGAAAGATAGCTTTGCTGAATATAAGATTTTTAGTTAACATTTATTTCTTTATGTAATTTGAATCTGGACATCACTATTTTCTGGCCTCTACTATTTCTGAGGAGAAGTCAGGTTAGTCTTTGGGTTCCCTTATAAGTAGTAAGTCATTTTTCTCTTGCTGCTTTCAAGATTCTCTCCTTGTCTTTGGATTCTCAGCATTTTTACTATAATGTCTCTGACCTCTTTGTGTTTGCTAATCTTCCTTGGAGTTTTTTGAGCTTTCTAGATATGTACATTAATATTTTTCCAATACATTTGGAAAGCCTGGAAATAATGAAAAGCTATTATTTCTTCTAATATTTTTTCTGCTCCTTTCTCTTTTTCCTCTCCTTCCAGTATTCCCATTACATATAGGTTGGTGCACTCAATGGTGTCTTGTAATTCTCTAAGGCTCTGTTCATTTTTTTCTCTCTTCAGCTTGTATAACCTCTGTCAATCTTTCTTCTAGTTCATTAATTCTTTCTTTTGTCAGTTCAAATCTACTCTTGAACCTCTTTGGTTAATTTTTCATTTCAGTTATTATACTTTACAATTCCAAAATGTTCATTTGGTTCTTTTTTAAAATTTATATCTCATTTATATTCTCTGTGTGATATGACATTGTCATAATACCTACTTTTATGTATTTAATCATGGGTTTCCTTTAGCTCTTTGAATGTATTTATTATGCATATTTTGAAGTCTTTTTCTTTTAAATTCAACACCTGTTTGCTCTCACAGCCAGTATCTATTGCCTAATGCCCCCTAACCCCTAACCCTAGTGTATAGGTCATATCTTTCCGTTTTTTGGCATATCTCATAGTTTTTCTGTTGGAAACTGGACATTCTACATAACATATTGTAGCAATCAGGATGATAGATCCTCCCTCTCTCCAGGGATTGCTATTGTGATTTGTTTATTTCTTTAGTGATTAGTTGGATTATTTTACTGAAGTCTGTTTCCTTCCCCCCATAGAATGAAGCCTCTGATGTTACCACTCAGGGGATGTAGCCTTGGGTATGTCCACAGCTACCCTAATAGGGCTTTGGCAAGATTCTGTTTCACTATCTCTTTCCCTGACCATTCCTAGCTGTTGAATTAACTGAAGGTTGATTGCTATGGGTATATGTTGTTTCCTAGATTGATTCAATCAAATTTGGCTCCTTTGAAAAGACAGTTTCCAAGGCCAGTGCTTAAGATTCACTCTGACTCCAGGAATGCTCCTCTCAGCTGTCTCTTTCCCTAGTTCCCAGCAAACTAGCTGGCCTACAACTTAATCTATATCTCCAATGAATCTACCAATCTCTTCCCCATTGCCTTTCACTACAACCTCTACTTTTTTTTTTTTTTTTTTTTTTTTTTTGAGAGAAACCTTGGGCATAAATTTCTCCACACTTTGTTGCAAACAAAGTCAGCTCCTTTGGTAAGATACTGAGAGGTCTCTGTTTTACAACCTACTTCTCCCCCAGGCAAATCTCTGAGTTAGGGCTCTAGAACTGCAGATGGAGACAATGGTATGCTTCTCTCTAAGTGACACCCCTACTCTTATAGCTGAGTTCTCAGTGGTGGTGGGGCAGTAACCATAGGTCTTCTCAGCTTGCTTCTTCCTGTGAGAAACCACAGCTTTCAAGCAAGGGCAAGGATAATGTAGGTCCCAGGATTCTCAGCACGCCACATTCAAGGTAGATTCCTCTGTCCTATGGGTGGAGGCTGGATGAAAGAAAGAACCCCACACCTCTGGGCTGCACTTGCCTGGAACTTAGTCTCAAAAACAGGTTGCTGAGGGCAAGATGAGAAAGGCTGACATACTGTCCTTTCCAAGACAACAGGTCTCCAATTAGGAGCTGGGGTAGAAGGAGCTCTGCATTCTTGGTTGCACCAGTCTAGAGTGAAGTTTCCATCTCTCTGAGTTTGGAGTGGGGGAAGAAAAGTGGAGGTCTTGCTTCAAATACTACAGCTCTCACCTTTGTAACTGAGTTTTAGTAGATTTTCCTGAATAAGTATTTCTTAATTTGCTGAATGCCCATATGCCTGGTGAAAGGAAAATAAAATCTCGGCATCCCAAATTCACTATGCCAGGGAAAAGTTAAGCTGGAAACTGAGTCATGTAAGCAACTGCCTTTCTTTTTGTTTCTAAACAAATAACTTAGAAGACAGAAGGCTAGATAGAAGGCCAGATGGCTCCACAAATAGCCACTCTATGTTTACTTTATCTTAGGTAGAGTCCTAATTTACTGAGTGTGAGAAGAATGCATAATGACTATTTCTCTATGCTTTCTTTTCAAAGGTAAAATGTGAATTCAGTGAATGCTGATCAAAGACTCAAAGGAATGCAACCCCTCTCTTCTTTTATCTACCCTCCTCTTTTATTTTTCTCTTTCCTCTTTGTGCTACTACCTGCTCTTTTTCCCTTTAAATATAGAAGTCCCAAAACCCTCTTTGGAAAATAGCATGTATCACAGATTGTTCCTGTGGTTTTGTGTTCCTTTTCTCTGGACGCATCCTTAACCTTGGCAAATAAACCTCAAAATTGATTAAGACCTGTCTTAGATACTTTTTGGTTTACAGGCCATTTCCAGATACTTTAAGTGGTTAGTTTTATGTTCTTTAGTAATTTTCAGTTTTTCTGTGGATCAGGTCCACAGAACTCATGCTATCATGGCGGAAGTGAAACATTCACATCTACTCTTAAGGGTTCCAGGTGTCCGTAGAGTCTGCAGAGTACAAATTCTGCTATGCATGCAGCTCTGTGTGGTCTGGAGTGTGATGCAGCGTAGCACTCAGGATGAGCTCTGAGACAGATGCTGAATACCACCTAGTGATTCCATCCTCATTGAATAAATGCACAAATTTCCTCTAGGGAAATCCTGTTTCAAACAATGAATGCTTAAGAGCTCTTAAATCTGTGGCTCTCAGTGACCCCAGTGGTCATCATCTTCCCTTACATTCAAATCAGGCCATCACTGGTTTTATACATTAACAGAAAGAGAAGGCAAGGGAATATGAAGGAAGCAAAAGACAGAAAAGGCAGATACTAAAGCTGAGTGATCCTGGAGGACACCATTAGCACTGACAGCTGTGGAAGAAAAAGGAGGGAACAGGGCATTTTTGGAAGGTGAGTCACTTGGCTTTCTGGTAGCAGGTTGACAATGAGTGGGAGATGTATTGATTAGTACTGTTCTAGTACTAGATGCTTTTTGTACATTGTCACCAATCCTGACAGCACCTCACTAAGGTAACAGACTCTGTGGTCCATGCTTTCTTTACCTTGTAGTCCATGACTACTAACAGGTCACTGATGAGTCTCCTTACCCTGGTTCTTGTCTGCATGCTAACACCCCTTGATTAGGAACTGAGGATGAGAAGCTCTGGAAAAGTGATGATCACAGTATTTTTCAATCTGCAAGATAAAGAATATTACCTGTTTCCTTGTTCCAGAGTGGTAAATTCCTAACTGACAGATCTAGGATTCAAGTCCAGCTCTGCCTCCAAGCCTCTGTCCATTCTTTCTTTCTTTCCTGCACAACCTAATGGGAATATCTAACAAAACATTTGAAGCCACAAGCCTGCAAATCATCAGAAAAGTCTAAGGTTGCCTCTACTAAATCTTTCCAGTCTTGCCCTTGCCCTCTGAGAGCACTAACCATTCCTTCTTTTGAATCTCCTTGGTATAGCATCTGTAAAAATTAGGTGCCCTACTTTGTTATATGTCTGTGTCCCTCTCTGGCCTGTAAACTCTCAGGAGCAGGGATCATGGCTTTGCAACTCCATCACCCAGTCTGAAACCTGTAGCAGAGGTAGATATGAAATAAGTGTTTGCTGGATGACTAAGAAAGGCAATTTGAGTCACAAAACACAGACAACCAAGCACCAAGGGCCAACTCTTGGGAAGTCCCTCTTCAGGAAGCAGAGAGAAGACTACAGGAGGAACATTAGGAGAGCCGAGAGACATCAGAAGGATGCTGAGCTGCCAAGGCCGAAGGAAGGTACAATATCAGGAAGGGTAGGGTGGTCAACATTTTACTGAGCTCAGCCTCCCAACTTAGTTCCCTCCAAACTCAAGTCAGTCCACTAAGATGAGAGGAAGCTCAGGGAGAGAGGCTACTCCTAGGAACTCCTTTCAGCCTCTGAGCTGGGGAAAGAGCTCGGGGTCCCTACAAAATAGGAGCAGCTCAAGATGCCCCAGAGGGTTTGGAGGAAGCAACGTTCCCAGGCTGGAGAGAATTTGGCAGTACCCTGGCCTTTCCTGGGTTCTCCCTTGGGCTTCAGGCTTCAGAGTGATCCATCCAGGGTGTGCCACTCCCATATAGCAGCTATATAATTTATTTCTCTTTAAGGAGGAAATAATGGCATCTCTGGGGGAATAATTCACTGCCTTTTGGCAGAAAAAATATGATCCATGATCCCACACACCATGTGATGTGCAGTACCAGCCTACAGGGATAAATATCACATTAATATCAGCCACATAACTGCCTACATCCCTACCTTATAACGGTAGTGTGCCCAGTGTTGGGAGGGGCTGGGGGGCAGAAGAATTCTTTACTGATCCAGCAGAAACCCACAGGGCAAAGTTGTAGTGTGCAGTGTTAGAGGATCCTCTGACTTTAGTCAGCTCAAATCAAAGGAAGGAGTGATCAGCTGGTAGCTGTCTTCCCACCACACCTCTGCCCTGGGCAATTCTGTACCACATTATAATTGCTATTTGACTATCCACATGTTAACATTTCAGCAAAGTTCATTTTATTTTTAATCCAGAGGTACTTGTAACTGACACAGTTTTCAATTTGGAAAAATAAATAAAATGAGATAGCAGCAGCTGACCCAGTCCTCTCCTATTTTGCCAACGTATCTCCTATATATACATACCCTGGATGTGATTACTGGCACTTAATGACCCAAATGGCTACAAAGATGGAAATTTTCCCTTGCAGAAGATGACTAATATTTTTTCAGCTGCTCTAGTCTATAGTATACTTTTGTTATTAGAAGCGTTATCTAAAAAATATATCAAAGTACCTTGTAACCAATGTTTAAACACTGACTTGTTTCCTTCCCTTTAAAAATCTACATTAAAACCAAATCGAGCAGTTCATCTGACATCTGTCCCTGCCACCCTCCAGAACAGCTTTCTCATGGCCACTGCCTGTGTCCTTTTCTCAGCCCCGTCCCCTCAGAAGCACTCATCTATTGTGCCCACTTGCTCCTTCCTGAAATCCTTTTTGTTCTTGGCCTCCAGGCAACTGAGACTTTCCCTACATTCAAACCATTTATTTTAGGACTTCTCTCACCCCCTAAGGCATCACTAAAGCTCCGTCTGTAGCTTTCTCTTTCCTGAGGGCTCTGTTACACTATTCCAAGATTGCCCAAGTTCCATCTCTAGGGCTAGCTTCCCCGTGAGGCCCCAGGAGCCATTTCCAACCGCCTTCCTGGACAGCTTCCTCTTAGCAGCTTGGCTGGCATCTCAACCTCAACAAAGATTCACTGGGTGGCACCACTTGCCACCCAGGCTCTGCTAAGGGCACTGTGTGAAGAAGACACACTCAATTCTTGCTGTTACAGTTCAGGATAACCAAACACATCTTCCTTCCTACAAGTGGGCTCTCCCACCTCCCCGCCAACCTCAGAACTCTCGTATTAAGGCATAACGCCTGGTCTGGAGGTCCCAGTACCATATGACATGGCCCTCCTCCCTGCACCCATAGCTCATGGTTGTTAAGGTTCAGGAATTTGCCCATAAACACCTTCTCCCCTCCATCACTCACAACAAGGCCCTCATCACCTGAAGGCTAGACTATTTCAGATGTGTCTCAGCTGATTCCCATCTCAAGTTTGTGCCTGTCCAATCCATTCCACACACAGCAGTCTCCCAAATGACATTTCACCATGTCACTCTTCTGCTGCTCACACGTCAACCACTCCCCATTGGCACCAAAATGAATTCATTTCAAGCTCTCCAACAACAGGTAGGTCCCACCCACGTTTCCAATTGCTTCCCTGTAAGCATGCTACACTTCGACAAACTGGAACTGTAATCTATTCACAATACTCCATCCAAGATTTCCATGCCTTTGTGCCTTTGCTCAGTTTGTTCTGTCTTTCAGAAACACCATTTACCCAGCTCCATCTCTGCAAGTCCAAATTCTATCCACAACTTGAAGCCTGGCTCAAATACCACAGTCTCCTGAAAGCCTTTTTTAAAAATCCACTCCTCCTTCAAACAGAATGAATCTCTCAGTCCTTTGCTTCCTGTGTCATTCTGATGACAAGTGACTTTTGCAGATAGTTTGTATCTGGTTGATCTTTGTATTTGCCATACAACAGATTACAGTGGCTTGCACCGACTAGGTAAGAATCTGGTGAATGGGCTGAGTGCCATGTTTCAAGCCTGTAATGCCAACACTTTGTGAGGCCAAGGTGGGAGGATCACTTGAGGCTCGGAGTTCAAGACCAACATGGACAACAAAGAGAGGCCCCCATCTCCACAAAAAAATAAAAAAATTAGCCAAGCGTGTTAGTGCACATCTGTGGTCCCAGCTACTCAGGAGGCTGAGGTGGGAGGATCACTTGAGCCCAGGAGGTTGAAACTGCAGTGAGCCATGATTGTGCCACTGCACTCCAGCCTGGGCAACAGAGTGACACCTGGTCTCAAAAAAAAAAAAAAAAAAAAAAAAAAAAAGAATTTGATGAATAAACAGACGAATAGTTGGGCCACTGCTGGTGTGCTTTCTGTGTGAGAACTGCTAAATTTTGAAAGGTGATATTCCACAAAGACATCTCCAATCTAACCTCTGCTCATCTCATAACTACAAATTAGAAAAATAAACAGAGGCTGGGTGCCGTGGCTCGCGCCTGTAATCCCAGCATTTTGGGAGGCCAAGGTGGGCGGATCATGAGGTCGAGAGATTGAGACCATCCTGGCCAACATGGTGAAACCCCATCTCTACTAAAAATACAAAAATTAGCTGGGCGTGGTGGCACACACCTGTAGTCTCAGCTACTTGGGAGGCTGAGGCAGGAGGATCACTTGAACCCGAGAGGCAGAAGTTGCAGGTTGTCACCAGCCTGCAGACAGAGCAAGAGTCTGTCTCAAAAAAAAAAAAAAAAGATATTAAATCAACAGATAAAGGGACTGAGAAGCTGACCACCTGTCACCTACATAATCTGCCTTCATTTGAGTGTGCATGTTTATGGCTAAAGTGATCGTGCAGCAGGACTTTCTTTTGTCCTTGTGAGCAGTTTGATTAACTCTTTCGATTTTCCATCAGTTCTTTGACACAGTTGTACCTTAAATATTTCTGATCTAACTAGATTCTGCTGAGTAAACTAAGCTACTCTCAATAAAACCATTTAATTTCATGCAGCTAGGAGGGAAGAAAATGGAAGGAGTCACATTATAACTCTATCACCATGACTCTGGCACTGAGAAACTATTTCCATAAAGCCAAGTCACACTGTGCCCTGCACATCTGGAGTCCATTCTGGGATTTGAAGCTGTAAATGTGATTAGGGACAGATGTCCCCCCACTGTGTATAAGAAAGAAAGACCAGCATAAATAAGCCAATATCCACTTAGTGGAGGAAAAAAATGTGCATCCCTCAGCTGCGGGTAAGACATTTACTTTTTGGAAAAAAAAAAGTTTCCTAAAAAATGGCACACAAAACTTCACCCTTCATACATAGATGTTACTGTATATTGGTGAATAAGCCAAATACTTCCACTTATATCCCCACCTCTGATTATTTAAAAACATAGTATCATTTATAATCTTCATTATCACAACTGCTGGGGGTGCTGCTGCTTCTTGGCTGGGAGGCTCAGGACAGCACCACTCCAAGTGGGATTCACAACCAGCAGCCTCAGCGTCTCGTGGGAGGTTGTTGGCATGCAGAACCTGAGGCCCCACTCCAGGTCTGCAGTATCGAAACCTGCACTTCAGCTCTAACCTCAGGTGACCTGCATCTGCATGATGTCTGGGGGGCACTGGTCTAGGTCATGGTGTTTCTGTAACTCCCTTTGAATAGGAATCACTTGGAATGCTCATAAGACATACACACAATTTCCCAGGCTCCACACCTAGCACTGATTCAGAAGGTCTGGGATTGGATGTGATTCTGATTAAATGAGATAATGAAATTAATATGACTGATATGACCATGCCTGGCATACAGAAGGCAAGAATCAAACTCTAGTCTCTCCTCCCTCCTGTGGTCATCAACACTAGTGGTAGGGTTGCCCGGTGACATTTGAATTTCAGATCAACAACAAATAATTTTTTAATATAAGCATCTGGCAACCCTAACTACCCCGACCTTGGAATATCTTGGGGAGGAGAGTGAGTGGCAGATTAAGACTGGAAAAACAGGCTCAAATTGTGCAGTTTTGAAGGCCATTCAAAGACGTTTAAAACAATCTATGTACTAACTAGCCAAGACTAGATGTGACCTGAACCCTCCACCCACTTTCTCCCAGGAATAGTCAGAACAACAATGGCAAGTAGGCTGTGGGGACAAAAGCCTCTATCACAAGACCCATTAGAAAGGGAGGCCAGAGGCCAGACATCGTGGCTCAGGCCTGTAATCTCAGCACTTGAGAAGCCAAGGTAGGAGGATCATTTGAGCCCAGGAGTTCAAGACCAGCCTGGGCAAGATAGTGAGACTCTGACTCTACAAAAATTTTTTTAAAAAATTAGCCAGATGTGATGGTGTGCACCTATAGTCCCAGATACTCAGGAGTCAGAGGTGGGAGAATTACTTGAGCCCAGGAGGTTGAGGCTACAGTGAGCAGCGACTGCATCACTGTACTCCAGCTTGGGCAACACAGTGAAACACTGTCTCTAAAGAGAGAGAGAGAAAAAGGAAGCCCAGAGGATGAAAAGAATAGTCACGGCCAGTGACCATATAACAAAGAATAAGGGAGTTAAAAATTTTAAATCTTAAATCCATTTTGTATTAATTCTAAACTCTTAAACTATTTATACCCTGGCCAGACACATAAAAATAATTTAAGCCTACTACTTGACTTTTCTAACTGGTGCACAGTTGAGCACTGGCCCTGTTTGCAGAGAGCTATTTGCGGTTTGAAAAAAAAGATATATAGTGACATATCAAAAGCCAAATTTCCAGTGTCCTTAGCCCACTCTTCCAGAACCTTGAACTTGGTTTCTGGACACCCCACATATCTGGCCCAAAGCCCGGTTGTAAAACCAAGCAATGACTCCATAACTATTTGCTCTTATTTAATATATAATTCTTAATGAGTCTCTTTATTTAGCATCCTAAACCATAGCACAGAAACATCAAAGAATGAATTAGGGGCAGTTAAAATGACAGCAATAACAGCATGACAGAAAGGTGTATAGGAAAAAAATGTATTACATAAAAAATAAAAATAGATACCGTGAATCATCAGGAAGCGTTTAAATTATGTATGATACATTTTAAAAAGGGTATATACAACATGTTTGATTTCCATTTAAAAAATAAGCTTAAGCAAAAAGAGCTTTGACTCTTGTAGAGGTAAGCTTTATTTACCTAAAATAAATATCTTGTCAAAAAAGTTACATAAATGAAGTCACATTTTTTAATCTAATGATGATTTTATCTGACTGCAAGTGAACTACAAATGACCTACAGAATGTTTTAGGTTGCATACTTGTTCCCCTCTGATTTCCAAGTAGCCTAATTCGGCCATAGCCAAGTCCCACCCTCTACTCTCAAATTCCCCAGGAAGCTCAACAGGAATTCAGCAATCCAGACAGAGGAGAGGCCGTTGTGGCAAACTCCATGCTGAAGTGCTCTGGACCCCTCAAGAAGAAAGCTACAGGAACAGCTGGCACAGACACAGAATTGGGACCACATATGCATCCTGATTCCTGTGAAACTTCAAGACACAGAGTAGAAAAGGCTGTCCTGTTAGGACATATCTGCCTCTACATATACACACAGGATGTACTGCCAGTCCCAGGATCTCCTCAAACACAGGAAGAGTGAGCCCTCCCTATCTCTGAGTGTGACTAGGAGCACCCACTCACCTCCAAAAGGACTTCTTTCTGACTTTTTCTTTTTGTATTGTGTTAAAATTTATGTAGCAGAAAATTTTCCATTTTAATTATTTTGAGTGTACAATTCAATGGTATTGATTACATTCACAATGCTGTCAGCCATCACCATTGCCTATGTCCAAAACTTCGTCATCACCACAAACCTATAGCTAGCTGTACACATTGTACCTTCCCATTCCCCTCTCCCTTGGATGGAGCTCTGGATAATTCTAAAAGAGTCCCTCATAATTCTAATCCATTCCCCATCTCCATGAGTTTGCCTATTCTAGATAATTCATAGGCAATATTTGTCCCTTTGTGTGTGGCATAATATCATGTTTTTCAGGTTCATGCATGTTGTAGCACAGTCAGCACTTAATTTTTTTCTTTTTAAAACTTTTTTTTTGTTTATTTTCCATTTGGTATCCTTGTTTTGTTTGGCTTTTTTTTTTTTTTTTTTTTTTTAAAAAAAAACTCATTCCTTTATCATCTTTCTTTCCAGTTCTGATGTCATTAGCCCCCATGTCAGAGACATTTGAACCAGAGCAACTCGGTCTTGAATAGGAGCTGGGTAAAATGAGGCTGAGACCTACTGGGCTGCATTCCCAGAAGGTTAAGGCATTCTAAGTAACAGGATAAGATAGGAGGTTTGTACAAAATACAGGTCATAAAGACCTTGCTGATAAAACAGGTTGCAGTAAAGAAGCTGGCCAAAAGCCACCAAAACCAAGATGGTGACGAGAGTGACCTCAGGTCATCCTCACTGCTACACTCCCACCAGCACCCTGACAGTTTACAAAGGCCATGGCAATGTCAGGAAGTTTCCCTATATGGTCTAGAAAGGGGAGGCATGAGTAATCCATCCCTTGTTTAGCATATCACCAAGAAATAACCATAAAAATGGGCAACCAGCAGCCCTCGGGGCTGGTCCATGGAGTAGCTATTCTTTTATTCCTTTTCTTTCTTAATAAACTTGCTTTTACCGTGGAGTCACCCTGAATTCTTTCTTGCGTGACATCCAAGAACGTTCTCTAGGGGTCTGGATCAGGACCTTTCCTGTAACACCTACATGGCTGCTCTTGTCCAAGCTTTCCCTGGTCGACTTAAGAGGCAGGAGATGCTGATGCCCCCTCCAGGTGAGTAGCTTCATGACACTTCAGCTCAGTCCTTGTCAGGAAGCACTTTGCTGCAGAGACAGCACTTGCTTTTCATGTGGAGTGGAACACATTGTGTTTTCATTTCCACATGAACCCCTAAGAGAAGAATTTTTGTGTGTGTGGTAGAAATATATTTGCTACACCAACTGAAATGAGCTTACAGAAGGCAAGGACATATAATTATTATTATATGAGTGTTGGAAGGAGAGTTCAAACAAGGCCACAGGAGTAAATTGGATTCTTAAATGTGAAGGTGAAACTGTGTTCCCCCAATCTCTCCCAAATGTGTCCCACCTATCTTGACAATGGCACCACCATCTCCCAGGAGGAGAGGAGGGGCCACTTGGGTAGATTTGGTTTAATTTAGTCATTAGGAAAGGGTAAAAGGACCCCTCCCATCCCCACTGAAAGATCTTGCTTGGGAGCTTAAAACTGGGACTCTCCCTGTCGATTCTGTCTCCTCTTTGGTGCCATGCCATGTTCATATTAACTGGGTTAAGGGCAGGCCTTTGCATCATGTGGCGTCAGCTTCTTTGCAGAAAAGGGGACACACAGACTTCATTCTCACTTTGGTTCAGCAAATCCCTCTCAAGGACTAAGATATTTTTGGTAATGACTTAAAGCATCTCTTTCTCTTCTCTTTGGACATCATAATTATCTAAATTTAAATATTAAAATCCACCAGGACTGTAATTTATTTTGTTTATTGATCTTTGGCCATTCAAGCACTACAGAAATATTCCACAAATGCTTCTCTGAAGAACAACAACAAAATCTTAGTCTCTTAGAAGAAAGGTATGTTCCAGTACCTACTTTGAAGTAAGTACCTTATTGACATCCCATACTAAGTAGAGCAGCATCTGACTTTAACATCTTACCTCCCTAACCTCACAAAGTACACACCAAACATTAAGCAGCCCCTTTAACTTCCACTCTAGGAGCTTGCTCTTCTGCTATGTACCTAAACAGAATTGCTCTCCCAAGAACTCCTGGAGAGGGCAGCTATGGTGATGCAAATTGCATGGGCCCCTCCCAGTATGGAGGTAATCTTCCCCACAAAATCCCTGGTGGCTGTAGCTTAGTTCTGCTCTGTGTGAGCTCTTCTCTTGGGCCTGGGCCTCAGCTAGAGAAGATGGTCCATTCTCTCCAATTCTATTATTCTGGGTCATTAACATGCAGTGTACTTATAAACTCAAAATTCCCTCATTTCTCAGAATTTCCCAAATATTTTAAGTTAATTAGACACATGATTTGCTAAAAAAACAAAAAACAAAAAAAAACCTCCTATCAATCTGACTGTACTTAAAATCCAGAACTGTAACTGCTTACATGAATATTTACTGAATTATATTTGCACTTTAGTTACATTTTCCCTTTAAAAGGTTCTCATCTTCTGAATATTCTGCATCTGCCCTCAGTTCTTGGAAGGGTAAGGTCATGGTTTCTTATATCCCTTCTCCTTTTGTATCTCCTCAGGTTCCCCACTGTCTAAAGTTGATCATCAAGTAACAGAGCCTCCTGGCACAGAAGACACTTCTACATGAATTGGGAAAAGGCAGATTCATCTGGGTGGATTAATTACGTAAAGGAGCTCCTTCAAGGAAGAGGAATTAGCAAAGATCATCCTTTCCTCCAGATAAATAAAAGCAGCCCTAAACCAAGATGAATGGTGAGTGAAAGGGCTGGATTCCAACCCCACCCCTTCCACAAACCCAGGTCCTTTTGTGCAGGTCACAACCTGCACAATTTTACATGGCAGCCCCACAAGGTAAGTTGGATCTGGAAAGTGCTTTCGTTAGGGTTTTCAGCAGTTTCTCAGCTGTCAGCTTCACTGTTTCCAGGCTCGGTCTTTACAGTGAAAAAATAAATTTTATTGCAGAAATAAGCAATATTCCAATATTGATAAATAGCTCTTCATTCCTAAATGCATAGGAACACTGCATTTTTTTAATTGTATCAAACACACAGAACATAAAATTTATCATCTTACTATGATGTGATGTTGAGTACATTCACATTGTTGCGTAACCACCACGACCAACTGAGATTGTGCACTTTTTGGATGAAGAAAATCCCAGTCTGAAAATTAGGCCATCAAGTTTTTATTCCTACCTCACTGGTAATGGCATGTGCCTCTATGTGAATCATTTCCTCTTTATTTGACTTCAGTTTTTCTCTTCTTCAAATTTAGGGTTTTTGATTCTGTGAGCACTAAATCACCTTTCCTCTCTAAGCTCTACAACTCCAAGAACGGCTCAGTTGATGACCAGCTTGATTTTCTAATACATATTCGTTAGTTTGAAAAAATTCAAGACCATTGTCAAGATCAGTAGAAGATCCTCGATGTTAAAACCACAATCCTAGAAGATGTAGAACCACTACTAGGAAGGCAGAAAGCCAGCACAAGAGACAACTCTTCTGTTTCCCCCACACTGAACTCCAGTCTCCACTGCTGTTGTGGTAATACCACTACCAGAGCCTGAGTCCTGGATCCTATTGCTTCCTGGGGGTCAGGTAGAAATATGTATTTGAGAGGCCTTGTCTGGAGTGTGGTAAGGCACATGTTTTAAGGAATGCCTGGGAAGCACTGCTCACATTTTGTGGACAGAGGCCACAGCTAGTAAACATCCTGCAATGTGTGAGACAGTGTCACACAGCACAGACCTGTCCCTGTTACTAGGGCTCCGGTTGAGAAATGCTAACATAGAGTTGGACGTGGGAGAATGAACTTGTTTCTGGGGTAAGGGATTAGGGGCTACTTCAGTGTTTGGAGGGTAAGTACCTAAGATGGGACACCTTTATCGTCTCTCTGTGTCTCATCATCTGACCACTAATGTTTTCCCCTGGGCACACTAATGCCTTTTCATCATCATCATTGCAACCAATTTCCTTAAGAAAAAATTGAAGAGGCCAGCCAGGCGTGGTGGCTCACACCTGTAATCCCAGCACTTTGGGAGGCCAAGGCAGGTGGATCATGAGGTCAGGATATCGAGACCATCCTGGCCAACATGGTGAAACCCCATTCTACTAAAAATACAAAAATTAGCCGGGTGTGGTGGCAGGTGCCTGTAACCCCAGCTACTTGGGAGGCTGAGGCAGGAGAATTGCTTGAACCAGGGAGTCAGAGGTTGCAGTAGTGAGCCGAGATTGCACCACTGCACTCTAGCCTGGCAACAGAGCAAGACTCCGTCTCAAAAAAAAAGGAAAAGAAAAAGTTGAAGAGATACCATATTTGGAGAATATGCAAAGGACTTCCTAGTCAGCCTTGACTGTTCCCTGGGCCTGTGTTGTCTGGCATTTCCAAAATTATTGAATATTTGCCATATTATTTTCTTCTTTCAGTATTACTTATGTTAATGTTTTTAAAAAAGAAATTAAAATATCATATACTCTTTAGTAACTTTCACTCCTGCTTTGGGGAAAACATGCCAACTAAATGTCCCAAACAAAAGAGTAATTTTAATAATGACATTAATTGGAGCATTATTTTCATATAATAAGCAAAGGACTGGATACATTCAAATGCTCAGTAACAGATGGCTAAGCAAGGGACTGGAACAGTGAATTATGAATGACCATATACTCACTGATGCCCACAACACACTGTATTGATTCTCCAAAATCTTTATGTGAAATAATGTGAAGTTAGCAAAGATGAACTAATCTGTATTTACATAATTGCAGTTATGACTATAAGCACATTAAACAGAATCAAGACAGAGAGATGTGAAAATAATTTAAAGATCATTAAATTCTATTTTTAAGCAAATTCCTTACAGTAAAAAAATTTTTAATTGGAAAAACTCATTGTTTCCTCATCATTTTCAATTTGATTAGAGACCTCAATTTTGAAATTAAAGGTAAGAACTACACTCATTTACTTCTTTTACTTTTTCTCTCACAATCTTACAGGCCAAAAAGAAATTTCTAAATTTAGGGTAAAAATGTTGGTTTGCAAATATGTGTGTTAGAAATACTTAATCAGTAATTTATCAGACTAATTCGTTAAGATGAATCTGATGAACAGTTTCTTACACTGAAGTGTTCAGCAGTAATCTCAGGCCATTTAAAGGCCCTTGCTCTTGTTTATGTGAGAATACTTGGATGTTAGATTTCACATGAAAGGGTGCAACTGCATACTGATAATCTGAAATCAAACCTATGAGTCTGTATTATTATATTTGGCTTGATCCAATTGTTAGATAATTAACAATTCAACTGCCTTATTTATTTTTAATTTTTTAATATTTTAAATTTTACTTTTTTTTTTTTTTTTTTTTTTGAGATGGACTTTTGCTCTGTCACCCAGGCTGGAGTGCAGTGGCGTGATCTTGGCTCACTGCAGCCTCCACCTCCCAGGTTCAAGCCATTCTCCTGCCTCAGCCTCCTGAGTAGCTGGGACTACAGGCACATACCACCACGCCTGGCTAATTTTTGTATTTTTAGTAGAGATGGGGTTTCACCATGTTGGCCAGGCTGGTCTTGAGCTCCTGACCTCAAGTGATCCACCTGCCTTGGCCTCCCAAAGGGCTGGGATTACAGGTGTGAGCCACCGCGCCTGGCTTCAATTGCCTTATTTAAAGTGAAGTCCACATGAACAAATTCTCCAACCTGAAATACATCGGCAAGTTCTCCAGTGACTTTAGGTAGAGTCTCAGACTGGATCAATGTATGTAAGGCCAGTGCTCTCAGCGTTAGTGAGGATTCCTATCAGAATCCTCATCCTAGAGTGTTCTAGGATATAGGGATACAATGATTCAGAGTGTAGAAATAGAGAAATCTGCCTTCAGGTTCAGAGCTGTATTATGGAAAACCCTCAGTGACCTTCAGGGTGGCAGAAGGATATTTTCCTATCAAATTCTCACCGTCTTAGAATGCTACTTATTGGCAAGTTTCAGGAATGAGGCAGAGAGTTTCTGTTCATTTCCTGTCCTGTGAAAGTGAACCCGACTCTTTGGATGGAAGAGTCTTTTCAGGCTGCTCAGTCCACCTCCACTCGGATGTCAGAAGCCTCTCTCCTCCCAGGAGAATTTGAAAGGCAAGAGGAAATAAGATCCAGGACCATAATGGCGATAAATTATTGAATCTTCTTTTCCAATTTTGCAATAATGAATCCAAATAAGATTTTGCTAGTGTTGGTAGACAGGATGTGCTCTATGAGCCAATAACTTTTTAACTCCAATTAGGATCACTGTGATGCCTGAGAGGCTAAACAGAGACAGAGGGTGCATACACAACAAAGAATAAAGTTCCATGAGAGGTACCCACATAGATGCTGAGGACAAAGAGATCAAGCAGGGTATAGAGCTGCTGATCCTAAAGTCTGCAGTGTACACTTGTAGGGAAAAAAAGTTATGGGTCTTAAAATTTAGGCCACACTCAGATGCCAAATCATCACAAATTTGGAATAAAGCTAAAAGAGGAAAAACTCTGTGTCCCTCTATGTCATCAGCTTGGATATGCTGGTCTACCTGGCAGCACTGAGCAGGGGTTAGACACACTCTAAAAAGATTGGTTCAATGCACCGTGAGCCAGTCACTATACTCCACCTGCAGTCTAGTGGAAAATAAGAGTCTATGAAACTAGCAAAGGGGAATCTTAGAAACTTGAAGCTGTTGTTTTCAGACCCAGCTATCTCTCAATAAAGCAGCTAGAAATCCCAACAGAATATTTATCCTTTTGTTAATCCCTAAAGGAATAAGGGTTTCAGGTCATATCTATCCAGCTCTTCTCTCAAAGAAACTACCCTTCCTAGAAGGTCAAACAAAGCAAAGGGGCATGGGAGGAATGAATTCTGTATATTTCAAGGAATTCCAGCATCCAAGTAAAAACTACAGAAAGAGAAGCTGAAAACATGCTCAAGATCTACCAGAGATATTTTCTGTTTTATTACTATTATATTTCTAGAGTCCAAATAGTGCTTGTCACATAGTAGATGCTCAATAAATTTTGGTTGAGTGAACACTCTAGCTATCAATGGAAGATATAGGAATGCCAAGTAGTCTGACTTGGTACAGTTGAAAGGAAAGTTTTAAGTAAAACAAAAACAACTACTCCATTTCTATCCAAAAATATATCCCAGATTTGTAAATATCTATATTTATTCTAGAATTATTTAGAAATATTTTAAAAACTTTCAAGAGCTTCTACGGAGCTTGCAGTGAGCCGAGATTGCGCCACTGCAGTCCGCAGTCCGGCCTGGGCGACAGAGTGAGACTCTGTCTCAAAAAAAAAAAAAAAAAAAAAAAATACTTTCAAGAGCTTCTAAAAATGGAAAAAAGTCAAGTAAAATTCCAGTTATATGTAAAAGTATTGTCTTTTTAATGCTTTGATATTATTGGTCTAGCTCTGTTTTCGTCCAGTATACCAATTGACTCTAGCTAATATTGCAGATGTTTTAAAGAAAACCTAGTATCTATGAAGTTGGAATATTTCTCCAGGAAACTAGGTGAACACCCAAGTAGGTCTCCCAGGATGCAAGACTGGTTTGGACCTCAGTCTTATATGTTCAGAAACCCGATATGTCAGCACACTAAAGACAGATCTATCTCTTAGAAGCAGTCTCCCAATGGTCAACCTCACCACGACTGATAGAAAAAAACAGAATGCCAGTTGGCCAATTAAAATGAAAAACAGGACTCCCAAGAAAACTGGCAATCTTTGGCCAGCATATTTCTGATGGGCAAGCTCTAGAGAAAGCTGAATTTGAAATCCTTAAGTTGCTTTGGAACATGTAATGAGAATGAGAGGTCTTAGCTACAGCATTCGTGTCTTCACAAATCCCAGGCCAAGGATGTCTAATGCATCTTTCCCTACAATAGAGATACATGTGGCCCCTAGATAGATAGGCTAAATCTTTAGGTCAGGGCACCTCAACCCTGAGCACTATTTGGAGGGGCACTGCCAACATCTGCATCTATGACTTTCTCTTTGGTATTCCTCCTCTACTGAGTTTCAATTCAAAATAATACATTCTTTTTTTTTTTTGAGATGGAGTCTCGCTCCATCGCCCAGGCTGGAGTGCAGTGGCACAATCTCAGCTCACTGCAACCTCTGCCTCCCGGGTTCATGCCATTCTCCTGCCTCAGCCTCCTGAGTAGCTGGGACTACAGGCACCCGCTACCACACCCGACTAATTTTTTTGGATTTTTAGTAGAGATGGGGTTTCACTGTGTTAGTCAGGATGGTCTAAATCTCCTGACTTCGTGATCTGCCTGCCTCAGCCTCCCAAAGTGCTGGGATTACAGGCGTGAGCCGCTGTGCCCGGCCCAAAATAGTACATTCTTATTTTAGATATGTTCATATCTTGAGTTAGTTCTCAAAGTGTTAAAGATCTCAGAGACTGTCATTCATTCATTCAACAAATATTTGTTGAGATCCTATTATGTACCACACACTGATCTGGGCAGGAGGATACAGTAGGGAACAACAGACAAAATCCCTGGTTCCCATGAGGCTTACATTCCCTTTCTTTATTTTTTCTGTCACTCTGCCTCTTTAAGATGACTTTGCACTATGGGCTAATTTGATAGGTTAATTCTCTGAGGCAATCAAATTTCTCATTTGTGACCATATATTTGCCATTATGTACTGTTTATAATTACAAAAAACAGGTGATATCTTCTATTAAGGTTTTTGAAAAGTTCAACAGGTGATTACTCTGTTGGACTTCACAAGCAAAAAGTGAATTTCCAGATCATCTTTCTCTTGCTTGACATACCAGAGTGGTGTATTTTCACCAAGAATGGAGAGCCTTGTGTTCTTCTCAGGGTTATCCCCATTGAAAGTGCTTTAAATGAAAACGTGAGGGAACTGGAAAGGAACATAGGACTAAGAGTTGGTATATGTGTTCCAGAGTCTGCCTCAGCTAATACCCAGCTACAGATCAGGCAAGCCAACCGAGCTCTCTAGGTCTCCTATCTTCATCTTTAAAATGACAGGGTTTGCCTAAATCACAAAGGAAACAACAGCTGGGAAATATTATGATTCCCGCTGGTAATAGGAGCCAAACCTTATCCATCTCAATCTCTCTTTCAGGGCCTTGGGCCATGACCCACACATCCTGGCTACTTCATAACACCACTTCATCAAACACTGAACCTGTAACACTAGTGTGACAGCTGAAGTCACTGATATTCCAGATAAGATATTAAAATTTTTTTGTTGTTTAGCTATGGAATCCTTTCTCACCTAAATGGATGAATCTGAGTCTGCTCTGATGAAGAAGAGGAAAGGGATGCCAGAAGGGGTCCTGTCAACCCTCCTCCCCACTCCCACTCCAGCTTCAAAGAGGGCTCTGTAGAACAAGCACATCTAATTGGCATGTCTAGAGAAGCACATAGACCAAATTTTAAACATGGCTACTGGTTCTGAAGGGAAACAGGAGATTTAAGAGGATTGTAATATGATTTTTTTAATTAAAAAATACAAAAGTGTCATGCAGAGGAATTTACTTCTGGCTGTTAGTTATTTTGGGGCCGAAAGACTCTCTAACCCCTTGCTAAGCTGTCTGATACCTTCATTAGTCATTGTCCGCCTCCTGTTTAGCTGTGTTCTCTGGTTAAACCTCCCTTTTCAGAATCTCACATCTGCCATTCTGGTCCTGACCTCTTCTACCTACCAGACTAACACCCTCCAAAATGAACTTCATCAGCCTCCCCATCTGCTCTGCCTTCCCTGTACCTGCCCAATGCCTTGGCTATCATCCTCAACTACCTGCTTATCTTTCTCATTCACCAAATTTTTCCATTTCTCTTCCAGAAATGCTTCCGATTCTGACACCTCTGTCACCCTATTAACTGATACAGTTAGGGATTTCTTCATGTTTTGCCTGGGCTATTGCATTAGCCTCCTAACTGATATTCACCCTTCTATTAATTATTATAGCAGCTATCATTTATTAGTGTTTGCTATATATTCAATGCTTTGCTAAGAGTTATACATATATTATCTCATTCAATCCTCCCAATCTAATTGGGTATTCTTATTGCCAACGTACAGCTATGAAAACCGAGGCACAGAGAAATTTAAATTACTTGCAAATGGTCACACAAGTAAGTGGCTTAAAGTCTATTTGACATTTTAAGTCTCTCTCCCATCTCATTCTCTCTCCACACTGCTGCCAGAGGCAGCTTTCTAAAACACAGGTCTAATGATTTCATGATAAAGTCCAAACCCCTATCTTGGCATTAAGGTCTTCACAATATATCCACAATGTGACCTGTCAGCTCCAACACTACTACGCCTACCACAGATAAGTTCACATAATTGCCTACCAAGTCCAGGCTATTGGGCAATTATAACATCTTCCCGAAGTGCCATCCTTCCTTTTATCTGCCCGGTAAACTCTTGTCCAGCTCTCAAAACCCTGTTTATATTTTTTATTTTAAGTTCTGGGATACATGTGCAGAATGTGAAGGTTTGTTACATAGGTATACACGTGCCATGGTTCAAAACTCTGTTTAAATGTCAATTCCTAGATGAGTTTTCATCAGTTTCCAAAGGTAAGCCTGGTAGTTCCCTCTTCTGCAATCCTATAGCATTTTATTCAGTATCTTTGTCACAGAAAAAAAAAAACATAAAGCACTAAAATTTATCACAAGTGTATTTGTCACATTGTAACAACAAAAAAAAAGTTCCTGAATGACACAGATCACAATATACTAATCAGAATATCCTCTCAATGTACTTTGCCAGGTACCTGGCTCAGAGTTGGTACTCAATTAATGCTTATCAAATGAAATGTTCTTGCTGTCTCCATTTTTCTCAACAACATTCATGTTTCTTCCCAAAGCAATCTGGCCCTGTCTCAATTATGCTGCTAAAACTCCTGTCCTGAAAACTACCAATGCATACGGGAATTAGGGGTAGCAGTTGATATTTGCCTTGAAAAGGATAAAAGAAGCACAGGATGTTTCACTATTAATTAGCTCAGGTTTAGTTATAAAAGTACATTTGGGGTTAGAATATGTTGCTTTGCATCTATTTTGTATTAGTCAACACCTGGCTGTGATAATATTTTAGTTCCTAAATATCACTCATCTTTGTAACCCTCAGCAATAAAGCAGTTGAACCAATAATGATCATTTTCTCTGCTTCACTGGATGGGTCTTAGGAGGAAATAAGCCAGTGAGTGGGAGGCCAGCCCCTCTGATGCAAGGGAAGAGGTGCCAGCACGCTGCTTGTTCTGCCCTAATGGACTAGAGTCGGGGTAGGGCTGAGCTGAAAATGGCTGCACATCTTTCCTGCCTAGGGGTAATCTTAGAACCATACCTGCCCCCCTCAACAACCACTGAACAGAAGCTAAGTCAGAGGGCTCACTTCCACAGAATCCACTCTGAGTCACAGCAAATGGGAAGGGAGAATGCCTGATGTCCTGGAAAAGCCTGCCTTGTGACCAGGGGCTGGAAATCAGCAGGACACATTTTCACTTCATTCAATAAGAAGTCTTAAAAACTTACTAGTCTGGCTCATTGTGTTTATTGTGCTCACTGTGTTCATCTTAAGAGATGTCTGCAGCAGCCAATAACTCTTAATTGCCAGCCTCTACTGCAAGACTGCGGCGCCTGAAAGCTATACATCCCTTCCTTCTTCCAGCAAGTTCCAGACCTCCCCTTTCTCCTGGCTGCTCCTTTCTCTGGCTTCTCCTCTACCTCCTTAATGATTCCTCCTCCACCACCAGCCCCATAAATAGTATTCAGCGGGAAACCATTCTCTCCCTCATTAAGGTCATTGGCAGTGTTGTCTTAAACAAGATGACTTCCAAATCTCTGGGCATTTCAGCTCAAATGGGGAATAGCCCATTGGCACTCCTCTTTGATTGTCCCCAAGGACCTCAAAATGAGAGGGTCTCAAACTAAACATTTTCATCTTTCTCCATCCTGCTAAAATCTATATTCTGCCTTACCTAATTTAATGAACTGCCATTCTTTCATTAATTGGTCCCCTCCTCCCCACTCGAAGCTAATCAATGAGCAAATCCTTGCTGACTCTACCTCTGGAGTAGCTCTGAAATCCATTCCTTCTCTCCACTGCTTTAGTCAGGGCCTTACCCTGTAACATGTTCTCCCTGCTCGAAGTCTCTTTATTTACACTTGTCTTATGGCTACTGACACTTGGTATCTAGACTGGTAATCTACTCATTTGTGATTTCTCCATTACTAGACTATAACTTCCTTGGATAGAGAAACCTTGCCTCTCTTTTTTGTCCTATTATCCTTGTGACAATACTGTGCTTTACACACAGTAAGTGCTTAATAAATAGACTTTGGCAATAGAGAACAGATTATCTTAAAGTGACTGCCCTTGTTCTTCCAAAGAGCAGATCATTAGATAATTAAATATTTACTCTAACTTCTTCTGGCCCAATTAACAATGTTATATATACACACAGACTATATACACAGATACAGGCATACACTGTATGCCCTTAGATACCTTTAAGTCAATCTTTTAGCAAACACAAAGAGAGGCTCAATCTCCCAAATAATTAAAACATAAATTGGGCCATATTTTTGTTCCTGGTCTTCCTTGAGGAAAATGACACAATGCTTAGTAGCAAATGAGAAATTATTTTGCAAATCTATATCCTCAAAATGCCACCAAACATGGGTCATGCATCCTGCTTTCTTGCATTTTGATCCTATTGCTATGACTTAGTGTGGTAATTATATTACAAAGCTATTATTCGATGAAATGAAAATGGCAAAACAATTTAAATGCTTGTCTAAAAAGACTCTGTTAGAATGCAATTATGAGTGAAATTACAATGGCAAAATAATTGAAATGCAAGTCTGGAAGGCACAGTTATGAAAGCATTAAAATGCTCCTGTTGGGGACTCACAACACTGAGTGAAACTATACACTCCTGGGGACATATTTTTAATTCACTAAAGCAGGCAACATTTATGGGCAGATGAGAATATCTGTGCTCCAATTGTTCTGCAGCATTATCTACACTTCTAAATGCCACCTGGGGGTGGGTAACATCACCAGGGTTTCTGGGTTTGGAGGATAGTTTGATAAGAGAACCGTATGTCATACTGTGCTTTCATACAGCACCAGGAAGATAAAGGCATAGGGCAAGTTTGGCTTAGATTTTTCTGTAGTCTTTCCAGTATAAATGGTGGGACCATAACATTAAAATATTTTTTATTCTAAATTTAAGCTGGCAATTATTAAATATTTGTGTGAGTATATTTCTCAGGGTCTATCTTCTTTACACATTCTGCTGACATATTCCTTTAGCAAAATCTGAATACATATTTTGATGTCTAGGCTTACAGTTGGATATACTTGCTCACCAAAAGAAAAAAAACAAAAATGATATACAGTGCTAGATACAAAACCAGTCTGCTGAGATGATCAATTTGACAAATGACCAAGGACCCTCCTCTGAAGCGTGGTGATGTCTGCATTTGATAGTGGAACACACAAATGAGTGTACCAGCAAAATATGCACAATATGCTCCTGACTCCCACCCCTTCAACCTACACAATCTACTTTCATGGATCCATTTATTTTAGCTAAGCATAAAGAAACAAATACTAGGAGTGGGTCATATAAAAGAAACAAGTGTTAAAGGAATAAAAAGATGTATATCATTTTCTCATTCATGAGTATCTCTCTTGTGTTGTCACAGAACAAATTAGGATATAGCATTTAATTTTAATCACCCAGGAAATTTCTCAGCCTCAATGATAATAACATTACTTAATAAAGTTACTAGTTTTCAAGAATTGTATACTTTTGTTTTTGAAGCTTTAGTTTTAAAGAAGTCCCTTGGAAACATAGATACTAAGTATTCTTTCTTTCATAGACTCTGAAACACATAAAGATTTAACATGCACATAAACGTGTTCTCTGAGGCAGGATTTGCAAAAGCAGTTTGGAAATCCTCCTGATTTTATATACCAGGTGTTTGCTGTGGATCCTTAAACTGCTGAGGGGAGAGTTCACTGCATGCTTGCTTCTTACCTACTTATTTTCCCTTGCACAAACTCGGAGAGTGTTAACTATAGCTTTGTAAAAATATAAACCTGAGTCCATGGTAACTTCAAAACAAAAATCAAATCTGCTGTATAGATATTTTATAGAGAGGTTATATTATTTTTAACACACATTTAAATATTTATATATTTAAAATAATATAAAGAAATGAAGTTTTTCTAGTTTGGGCACAAAGTTACACAGCTTGAAAAAGATTAAAAATCACCTATAGAAAATTATACGAATAAGGCTAGTTGAAAATCTAAGCAAACATACACATAGATAATAGAAAAAATTAAAGTTATCAGGGTCCTAAAATATTTAAACTACTGTATTACACATAAAAATTGACATTTGAAATCACAATTGTCAGAGTTTTACAGAACTAATCTCTGTATTTAGAAAAGTGTTAAATATAACAGCATTATTAACTTCCAAGAGAGTAGCTTTGGAATTTAATAAAGGAGAAACCAATGCAACTATGATAAAAATATAAGTTAAAACATACTCTAACTTACTTTGAAATGCATAAAAATAAATTGGGTTGATGGAGAGATGATAAAGAAAATATAGTAAATGTTAACTACAGAATCTAGGTGGTGGGTATACACAGGTGTTCACTGTACAATTATTTTGATTCTTTTGTATGCTTAAAGTTTTTTGTAATAAAAAATTTGTTAGAAAAAATGCAGTACTCTAGATGAAAAGTATTTATTCTCTATGTTGATAACTGTGCTTAACAAATAAGCCAGTTTCAGAGTTGGCCTCACTGACACCACACACTCACCTAGCCATCCAGATCCTGAATTTGGGATGCAGAGGTCTGTCTCAGCACTGGGTAACACGAAGCCAACGACAAACACCTCTACACCGTCTGCCATAAGAGCCATGCCCAGGACGAAGAAAAGGGCCCACTGAAAACGACCATGACCGCATTCTTGGATTATCAGCTCATACTGCTGGGCTAACTCTTCCTCGTCAGCTCTCCTTTCTGATTCCAGCTCCCGCCGGTCCTTGTACTCATCGCCCTTGGGCTGCCCCACTGACACGATGCTGTCCTTCGCTTGGTTCATACTGGGGATGCCCTGATACTCCCCCTCATAGATCTCATCATCTTCATCATGCCCCTCAGTGGCTTCACTTGAGCCTTCGTCATCGTTGGCCTCACCATTATAGGTTTCTCCAGCCGGGTAGTAGTCATCATCATCTTCTTCATCTTGGAACCGACTGTAGGACCTCTGGGTGTATTCATCCTGGGCTCGGTCCACAGCTTGATTCACCTTCTTTACTGTTTGTTTCTTCACCTCTCTGGCAATGTCCTTGGCACCCTTCATCAGTGAAGTCCTATCCTTGTAAGAGTCTTCCATCTTATCTCAACTGATGGCCAATGAGAAGATGGGAAATTTTCACAGCCTCCTTTCAGTGGTTCAGCTCTGACAGCATCATCCACTTTGGGTTCAAAACAGAACTGCGAAAGAAGAAATAGAGGAGATACTTATTATTCCTTTCTATATATATATTTTTTACCGTCTATTTCTTGACCTCTTTTCAGTGTCCCACAAACTACAACACAGAATTAGTTTTTCCTTTTTTTTTTTTTTTTGATCTCACTGTATATACATGTACACCCTAGGCTGCTTCTCTGCTTAAGTGTGAGCATCACTTGGAGTATTTAGGGTTTTCGCTGCTATTATTATTGTTTTATTTTAAGGAATTCTATCCCCAGGGTAACAGTACACAGGAATTCCCCTGAGAATAAAACAGAGCATCTTGCATCTTTAAAAGCACGCCCAACACATTTTGAAATGCTACAAGCATATACCTTGATTGAGAAAAATAGTATTGCTCACAGACACGTACAAATATTGCAAAGACAAACCAGAGTATTAGAAGAATCCTACTGGGCCTATTTCCTCACACTGAAAAGCAAGCAGCCCCATATACAATTGCTATCAATCAAACTATAGCTATATTTGTAAAATTGAATTTCTCCCCTACTTAACATTGTGTTTCCTTCCAACAAATGGTAACAGAGACTCACATGGCACCCCAAACTGGCAAGGAGTATATTCCCATAGCATAGTGTCATATCCACAGGATTGTCAGAGTTCATCAAATGATTTTATGGCTGCATTTGATATTGAATTAGAACATATGGCTTGTTTGGTGGGAGTCTGCCCTTTCAGAAACTACCCCCAGGCCTTCAGGGACAGGTAAGCTCCATGCCATGTCCCTTCACAACCCCACTTCTATTTTCTTCATCTCTGGATACCCAGTACGCACACACACTCTCTCTCTCTCCCTCTCTCCCTCTCACATCCTCCCACCTGCCACTCTGGTTAGCTGCTGTTTTGGTAGTAAAGTCTGGACCTTCCAGGACCTGTTATTTGGTTTTCTTTTTCACTGATAGTCCCCTCATGCCTTGGTTCCTTAAATTCAGGCTGACCTCAAGGTAACTTATATTCCATTTGTCCACTCAGCTGCCTCTTCTGGTGGCTCATGTGAGTCACTGACAGGTTCATCCTTGTACACAGATGATAACAGAGGTTAAAAAAGTCTTTCTCCCCCATCATTAACTCCCCAAGCCTTAAGCTATGGCAGCATTCCAAACATTGATTTATATAATCGTCATTTCTACTTTTTCATTTTGTAGCTAGTTTAAAATATTTAAAGTAGCTATTACTAACATACATTTAATTACTCCTCCAAATGCCACAAACAAACCCAGCAATAAAGACAAACAGATGTTTGTTTATAAATGGACCATGCTTCATTCCCACTGAATACCTACAAATGCCCAGTAGGCAAAACAGGAGTATGGTTCTCACAGGCTGCGTTTTGGAAAATGATAAAATGAAATTAAAATAAACATATGATTGCAAGGTTTTTAACCAAATGTTTTAGTAAATGATTTTTCTGTTTGTTCTCCCCCAGCTCTTTTTTTTTTTTTTTTTTTTTTTTTTTTTTTTTTTAAGAACTGAGAGGAAGAGAAAGGGAGGAAGAGAGACATGGGAAAATCCATGAGAACAGTAAGAAAAAATGGAAAGGTGGTGAGAAGGGAGGCTGAGGATGGGGTGCTCAGAAACTCAAGAAGTCAGGGAAAAGGGGCAGAGAGGACAATGATGAAGTTGAGAGACATTTCCTACTTTAAAAATTAACAGAAAATCTGAATATTTCACACAATAAATAAAATAAACTGCCATCCTATCCATTGAACGGATGACCACATCAGACACTGCATATCAGCTGCTTCCTGTACATAATCAGCTCCAGAAATACCATTAAGTGAGCTCCAAATTCTGGTTAGTTGAAAGCAGAGTCTGAATGACCCTACAGCACTACCCCAGTGCCTTTCATAATGGAAAGCTTCTGCCATAGCTGTTTCCAAGAAATTGTATATCAACTGACTGCATTTGGCTTTTTTGCTTTTGTCCTCAGCCACAGGTATCCTTACCACATGCTTTACAGGGTTTTCATCCCTAAAGAGGTCCTTGTATAGGAGCCACCTCTGTAAGAGGCAAGAGGTATGATATCTTAAATGTCATAGTTATGGCTGGAAAAGTGGACAGTTCTAATCCCCTAAGTAGTCTAAGCACTTGAGCAATGAGAAATAAAATAAAACAAGAATTTTACAATTAAACATTCCAATTTTGAAAAAATTCTTGCAGAAATCTTAGTTTTAATTCCAGGACAAAACAAAGGATGTGCACATATAAGTTCTCTTTTTGTCTTTCAAGATTTCTCATCCCCCAAATCGAAGCTCAGGTAAGTTCCTTGAGGGAAGAGACTTGTTCTTTAGTTTGTAGTCTTACTAAAGCAAAGAAGATTTTTCTGTGCCCTTTCATAAACAAGAAATATGAATACTTATTCAAAAATGCTATATAAAATTAGATGTTTGTAGATATTGCCATTGGGGTTAGCTGGTGAAGGGTACAGGGGTCTCTCTGAATCATTCCTTACAACTGCATGTGAATCTACAGTGATTTCAAAATACGGAGTTAAACCAAAACCCCAAGTTTGTACTATCCTTATAAAGCCATCTTGGAATATGTGCAGGATGATTGGCTGGGGGCAGACTGTTCAGGGGCAGAGTTATAATTCTATGGCTATTATCTCCCTCTGGTAAATGGAAAAATGTGAAGAGCTTGGCTCATTCCAGATATTGCCAGGAAAATGGCAGATTTGTATCTACATGGGAAGGTTATGCTTGAATTAAAGCAGCACTTCTCAAGGGTGGGGCTTACACACCGGGTGTGGCCTATAAGAAGGTCCGCAAGCAGCTGTTTATAGCATCATCAATATTTTCTTTTGTTTCTCGAATCGATTATGGAGTTATGCCACATAATATATGTCAGACTTTGTTTCAATGAAAAACAAAACAAACCACCTTGATTTGGTGCTTACTATATGTCAGGCATTGTGCTAAAAACTTCCTGTACATTGTTTTATTCTTTTATTTAATCTTTACTTCAATCCTACAAAATAGACATTATAGTCTTCCATTTTACAGATGAAAAATTAAGGCTTAGAGAGATTAGCCCAAAGTCACAAAGCTTGTTAGAGGAGATGCCGGACTCAAGCTCAAATGTGTCTGACCCCAAAGCCTTACCCCTTATCTTCATCTGCCTCACCCAGTGGTCTCACTGAGGTCTTATTAAATGCAGTGGCCTTCTTCCTAGTCATTCCAGTATTCCAGTAACTTTTTTTCCTACACTAAAATTGTTTTATAACCGCTTCTCTAAATTGTCTTCTACATTCTGAAGTAAAGAGAATTGTTGTGAGACCTTTAATCAGTGACGAGCTTTATATGGGTAATAATTTTAAAATGTGGTCTTGTTTGTTCCAATAAACTACCCTAGGATGGTGGCTGTACTTCAAAAGATAATGTAACCCTGTTAAATAAGACATCAGTGGGCCAGGACGGCAGGAAAGTAGGCAAAGCAATGAAACTCTAACAATCTCTAAGTACATGATGCTCCTCGTTTACTCAAGTCAGTTTCCTTCTCCACGAAATAAGGGTAATAATAACCACCTTCCAGTGTTGTGAGAATTAAATGAGTTGTTTACCCCGGTTTTAGGACAGAATCTGACATATATTCAGTGGTTTCAATTCAGTTTCCCCAGGAACAGACCTAGCCATAAGGAGTCAGCTGCAAATCATTTATTAAAGAGTAAGGGAGTCAGGGAGCAGGGCGGGAGGGAGCGATGGAAGCAGGGCGGCAATTTTAGGTATTCTACCGTGGAGCAAGCTTCAGGAGGAACTCTGGAGTATAAATTATGCCTCGGAATTTTTCCCCACTCGGGCAAAGGTGCTAGGCTTTCATAACCCCATGCCAACTGTTGGCTGAGGGGTCCTGGGGGCAATGGTGGAATGTAGGAGCTTCCTGTTCTCCGCACCAAAAGGCAAGGCAGTTCCACTAGCCTGAAGGCAATCCTCTGAAGGTGCTGGCCGAGGAAGGCAAAGGCACACTGAAGCCAAGTGGGGAGAGCACAGAGATGATGAAAGGGGTCCAGGGACCCAGGGCATTAGCAGTATCTCCTGTAAAACCACTTGATAAATATTTGTTTAGATGCCCTACTCATCATGCTAAGCTGCAGGATACATAGCCGATTGAAACTGCATTTATAGAAGCGGCTGTTAAACCAAACAACGTTCACAGCGAAGTGAATCTGATATAGTCAATGACATGCACAATCATTGTGTGTGATATTTTGCACAAATATGTAAAATATAAAGAATAATTATACACACGGGCATTATTCTGGCAAAACACAGTTTTTCTTCTTTTTGCTCCTTTGATGGTTCATGACAAACACACATATCCAATACCACTACATACTATTTTAAAACTTTCCTACACAAGCTCCCACCCTACACAACCCCCAACACACAGATGTTTCTCTTGGTGTTTCCCCACACCGCCCAAACATGCAGTCTTCCCTTTGCTTTACTCCTCATCACCACCATCAATCAAAAGATCTTGGATAGCTCCGCCTCCCCCAAATGTTCTAGAATCTTCTGGATGCTGGGAGAGTCCATTCTTCTAACAATTGTATTTATGCAGCTTTAAAACCATTGTGCCCTGATAGAGTAATGATAGCAATAATAATGGCTAATCCGTTATTATGTCAGCCATGTGCCACGCACTTCAGATGCATTATCACACAATAATGCTCACAAACATTGTATGGGGTAGGTACTTTTAAAAATGCCCACTTCACAGATAAGAAAACTGAAACCTGGCCAGTAACAATGCGACCCTATGCAATGCTACTCCAGAGCCCAACCACATACCCACTACATCTGCCACGTTTTTGTGGAAATGGGAGCCTGTGATGGAAACAGGGATCTGAAACAGCATGGGTGTGTAGAAGGCAGCCCCCATGCCAGCAGACTCGGGCTCTTCTAAAGTACTTGCAGATATGTAGTGTGCTGGGATTGGGCAGAGGGGCTCATAACATCCCTCTTCCTCTCTTAAGCTTGGATCTAGAAGAGACATTCAACACAGAAGACAAATGGTGAACTACCTGCCAGCTGACTGGACAACTGTGTCCAACTTTATCCCTGATGCCACACCTCCCTCCCAAGTCAGGCATGCTGGGCTACAAAGGACTCCTTCTGGAGTGGGGTGGGGTTGAGAGGGGAGCTTTCCAAGAAGCTTTCCGCACTGAGCACATCTTTGAGATGAAGAAATGGAAACTGACCCATCATCCCAGCCTGTCCAAATCCCTGACATTAAGTGTTTATTATTTAGAGACACCTCTTGCCCTCCAACCCTGTAAACTACCTGTATGCCTACATTCTCATTCTTTAAGGTGCAGTGCAAAAATCACGGTTCAAAAATCACTTCTTTCATGAAACGATTTCCTTTCTTTATTGCTTAGCCTAATCACATCTTGCAAGTTAAGTGTAGCTGGTTTCCTCCTGGCATTCAATCACATTTTCCATTATGCTCACCAATACATGTGATGGCCTTCCCTATTACAGTGTAACTTTCCTGAAAACAGGAAACTAGTAAAAAGGAACACCATAAAGTAATGTTATTGGGTTTTTTGTTTGTTTTTTGAGACAGGGCCTCACTCTCCCACCCAGGCAGCAGTGGCATGATCATGACTCACTGCAGCCTCAGCTTCCCAAGCTCAAGCGACCCTCCCACCTCAGCCTCCCAAGTAGCTGGGACTACAGGTGTGCACCACCATGCCAGGCTAACATTTTATTTTTTGTAGAGATGAAGTCTTTTTATGTTTCCAAGGCTGGTCTAGAACTTCTGTGCTCAAGCAGTCCTCCTACCTCAGCCTCCCAAAGTGCTGGGATTACAGGTGTGAGCCACTGCACCTGGCCTTAATGTTATTAAATGAGGACTCAAGCACCATAAGGGGTCAACTCTTAGTTCCTCCACTTTCTTTATCAGGCAGTTGTCTGGATCAGTAGTCCCCCAAGGTGCAATCTGCACCTTGTGGTCCTATAAAGTACTCTGACTTTATATGACTTTATATGCTCTCACACTTACTTCATGTGGAGTATGAGTAGGAGGGTTACAGTACAAAGCCTGTTATAAGGAACCTTGCTTAAATTTGTTACCCAATCATTTCCAAACTTTCCTAATAACAGAATTCCCCACCCTCAGCATGACACCAGTGAGCAGTTCTCATTATACATTTTATGGAAATACTGTATTAAGATGAACACTAAAATCCTTTAAATTCTAATGTCTCTATTATAAAATACCATAACACTAATTAGAATTAATTGAAAGAAGCAGGATAAAAGGCAGAAAATCTACATTAAAATAATATTTCTAAAATAAAATACAGTATTTCTTTCAAGTGTATCAAAAACTGAAACTAAGTTTTCCAAATGTAATTGCTTATGATTTTTAAACAGACTTGCTATAAAAATAGAAAGTATTTAGCATATCTGTGTATTTTTAAAGCAATAAGTCATTCAAAGAGCCTGGAAATTTTAATTTTAAGTATATTAACGTTCATTTTTATGCAATTTTGACACAGTTAATTTGCTCTATGAAGAATAGATCTCATAAACCAGGGTAAAGACCTCAGCAGTTGTCCAAATCTCTACAAACCCCAGATTAGTGAAATCTAAAGGCCTCACACAAATGGCAAACCTGTTTGCATATATAAACTTTTGTGAAGGTCCCAGAAATATCCTCAAGTGAGTCAAAGTGGGCACTATCCTTCTTTGAAGAAATACTTGAATTCAATTTAGTACAGAATCTTTCTTTCCGATTACAAAACCAAAGCATGCTTATTTTAAAAAGAACTGGACCAATGCATACCAATTTGGATGGCTACTAGCAAAAATCAACAAAAAACAAACAAAATAACAAAATAACAAGTATTGGCAAGGATATGGAGCCATGTGCACTGTTGGTGGGAATATGAAATGGTACAGCCTCTGTGAAAAATAGTGTGGCAGTTCCTAAAAACATAAAAATAGAATTACCATATAATCTAGGAATTCCACCTCTAGGTATAGACACAAAAGAATGGAGAGCAGATTTTGGAGAAGATATTTATACATCTATGATTCTAACAGTGTTATTAACAGTAGCTCAATCAAGGAAGCAACCCATTGGCCCATTGACCAATGAATGTCTAGGCAAAATGTGGTATACACAGACAATGGAATGTTATTCAGCCTTAAAAAGAAGGAAATTCTGAAACATGCTATAATATGGGTGAATCTTGAGGATACTATGCTAAATGAAATAAGCCAGCCACAAAAAGACAAATACTATATGATTCTATTTATATGAGATACTTAGACCAGTCAAAATAATAGAGACAGGATATAGAATGGTGGTTGCCAGGATCTGGGAGAAGTGGGGAATGGGGAGTTTTCATCTGATGGATACGGAGTTTCAGTTTTACAAGATGAACAGAGTGATGGAGATGAATGGTAGTGTTGGTTGCACAACATTATGAACATATTCAATAGCACTGACTGTACATTTAAAAATGGTTAAGTGGTAAATTTTATGTGATGTGTATTTTATCACAATAAAATTGGGGGAAAGTAATACTTTAAAAATCCAGGAAGTCATAAACAAGAAAATAAAAAACATTTGTATTTCTGCCACCCAGAGATGCCCACTCTTGACAATCAGCAATTTTATTTCCAATATTTAGACTATGCAGATGCATGAGCATATAATTAATTTAGACCATATCATACATTTGGAGTTGAAGTCTATTGTCTCTAACTATTTGGGAGTGAATTTTCTCATTTGTTGGGTTAGTGACTATCTCAAATAGGACAGAACTTTATCACAAGTTTAGTAATTCTTGGCTGTGAGCATATCTTCCATAGTAGTGGTTCTCAAAGTGTGGTCTGAGGATTCCCAGAAAACTCCCAAGACTATTCAAGAAATCTGTGATGTCAAAACAATTTTCCTAACAATAGAAATGTTATTTGACATGAAGCGTTGTTGAACTTTGGCCTTTTCTGCATCCATTGAGATAATCATGTGGTTTTTGTCTGTGGTTCTGTTTATATGCTGGATTACATTTATTGATTTGCATATATTGAAACAGGCTTGTATCCCAGGGATGAAGCCCACTTGATCATGGTGGATAAGCTTTTTGATGTGCTGCTGGATTCGGTTTGCCAGTATTTTATTGAGGATTTTTGCATCAATGTTCATCAAGGATATTGGTCTAAAATTCTCTTTTTTGGTTGTGTCTCTGCTAGGCTTTGGTATCAGGATGATGCTGGCCTTATCAAATGAGTTAGGGAGGATTCCCTCTTTTTCTATTGATTGGAATAGTTTCAGAAGAAATGGTGCCAGTTCCTCCTTTTACCTCTGGTAGAATTCGGCTGTGAATCCATCTGGTCCTGGACTCTTTTTGGTTGGTAAGCTATTGATTATTGCCACAATTTCAGAGCCTGTTATTGGTCTATTCAGAGATTCAACTTCTTCCTGGTTTAGTCTTGGGAGAGTGTATGTGTCGACGAATTTATCCATTTCTTCTAGATTTTCTAGATTATTTGCGTAGAGGTGTTTGTAGTATTCTCTGATGGTAGTTTGTATTTCTGTGGGATCGGTGGTGATATCCCATATCCCCTTTATCATTTTTTATTGCATCTATTTGATTCTTCTCTCTTTTTTTCTTTATTGGTCTTGCTAGCGTTCTATCAATTTTGCTGATCCTTTCAAAAAACCAGCTCCTGGATTCATTAATTTTTTGAAGGGTTTTTTTTGTATTTCCTTCAGTTCTGCTCTGATTTTAGTTATTTCTTGCCTTCTGCTAGCTTTTGAATGTGTTTGGTCTTGCTTTTCTAGTTCTTTTAATCGTGATGTTAGGGTGTCAATTTTGGATCTTTCCTCCTTTCCCTTGTGGGCATTTAGTGCTATAAATTTCCCTCTACACACTGCTTTGAATGTGTCCCAGAGATTCTGGTATGTTGTGTCTTTGTTCTCGTTGGTTTCAAAGAACATCTTTATTTCTGCCTTCATTTCGTTATGTACCCAGTAGTCAGTCAGGAGCAGGTTGTTCAGTTTCCATGTAGTTGAGCAGTTTTGAGTGAGTTTCTTATAAATTAGGTATTGATGGGATGTATCTCAAAATAATAAGAGCTATTTATGACAAACCCACAGCCAATATCATACTGAATGGGCAAAACCTGGAAGCATTCCCTTTGAAAACTGGCACAAGACAGGGATGCCCTCTCTCACCACTCCTATTCAACATAGTGTTGGAAGTTCTGGCCAGGGCAATTAGGCAGGAGAAGGAAATAAAGGGTATTCAATTAGGAAAAGAGGAAGTCAAATTGTCCCTGTTTGCAGACGACATGATTGTATATCTAGAAAACCCCATTGTCTCAGCCCAAAATCTCCTTAAGCTGATAAGCAACTTCAGCAAAGTCTCAGGATACAAAATCAATGTACAAAAATTACAAGCATTCTTATACACCAATAACAGACAAACAGAGAGCCAAATTATGAGTGATCTCCCATTCACAGTTGCTTCAAAGAGAATAAATTACCTAGGAATCCAACTTACAAGGGATGTGAAGGACCTCTTCAAGGGGAACTACAAACCACTGCTCAATGAAATAAAAGAAGATACAAACAAATGGAAGAACATTCCATGCTCATGGGTAGGAAGAATCAATATCGTGAAAATGGCCATACTGCCCAAGGTAATTTATAGATTCAATGCCATCCCCATCAAGCTACCAATGTCTTTCTTCACAGAATTGGAAAAAAACTACTTTAAAGTTCATATGGAACCAAAAAAGAGCCTGCATCGCCAAGTCAATCCTAAGCCAAAAGAACAAAGCTGGAGGCATCACGCTACCTGACTTCAAACTATACTACAAGGCTACAGAAACCAAAACAGCATGGTACTGGTACCAAAACAGAGATATAGATCAATGGAACAGAGCAGAGCCCTCAGAAATAACGCCGCATATCTACAACTATCTGATCTTTGACAAACCTGAGAAAAACAAGCAATGGGGAAAGGATTCCCTATTTAATAAATGGTGCTGGGAAAACTGGCTAGCCATATGTAGAAAGCTGAAACTGGATCCCTTCCTTACACCTTATACAAAAATTAATTCAAGATGGATTAAAGACTTAAACGTTAGACCTGAAACCATAAAAACCCTAGAAGAAAACCTAGGCATTACCATTCAGGACATAGGCATGGGCAAGGACTTCATGTCTAAAACACCAAAAGCAATGGCAACAAAAGCCAAAATTGACAAATGGGATCTAATTAAACTAAAGAGCTTCTGCACAGGAAAAGAAACTACCATCAGAATGAACAGGCAACCTATGGGATGGGAGAAAATTTTTGCAACCTACTCATCTGACAAAGGGCTAATATCCAGAATCTACAATGAACTCCAACAAAGTTACAAGAAAAAAACAAACAACCCCATCAAAAAGTGGGCAAAGGATATGAACAGACACTTCTCAAAAGAAGACATTTATGCAGCCAAAAAAGACATGAAAAAATGCTCATCATCACTGGCCATCAGAGAAATGCAAATCAAAACCACAATGAGATACCATCTCACACCAGTTAGAATGGCAATCATTAAAAAGTCAGGAAACAACAGGTGCTGGAGAGGATGTGGAGAAATAGGAACACTTTTACACTGTTGGTGGGACTGTAAACTAGTTCAACCATTGTGGAAGTTAGTGTGGCGATTCCTCAGGGATCTAGAACTGGAAATACCATTTGACCCAGCCATCCCATTACTGGGTATATACCCAAAGGACTATAAATCATGCCGCTATAAAGACACATGCACACATATGTTTATTGTGGCACTATTCACAATAGCAAAGACTTGGAACCAACCCAAATGTCCAATGATGATAGACTGGATTAAGAAAATGTGGCACATATACACCATGGAATACTATGCAGCCATAAAAAATGATGAGTTCATGTCCTTTGTAGGGACATGGATGAAATTGGAAATCATCATTCTCAGTAAACTATCACAAGGACAAAAAACCAAACACCGCATGTTCTCACTCATAGATGGGAATTGAACAATGAGAACACATGGACACAGGAAGGGGAACATCACACACTGGGGACTGTTGTGGGGTGGGGGGAGGGGGGAGGGATAGCACTGGGATATACACCTAATGCTAAATGACGAGTTAATGGGTGCAGCATACCAGCATGGCACATGTATACATATGTAACTAACCTGCACATTGTGCACATGTACCCTAAAACTTAAAGTATAATAATAATAATAAAAAAAGAGAAAAAGAAAAAAAGAACAATTTTCAAAACAAAAAACAAAACAAAAAAAATCTTTGATGCGTAGCTGAAAAAAAAAAGAAATGTTATTTGACTTTTTCACTCTTATTTTTCATAAGTATATAGTCACGTTTGTGAGATGCTACATGATATACAATTATATCATTGCTCTGATGATTTATGAAATGTGTGCTGGTAGATTCTTTTTAAAATTTTTTGACACATTATAATTGTACACATTTATGGAGTACAATGTTGTCTTTTGATACATGTATACATTGTATAAGGATCAAAGCAGAATTGTTAGCATTCCATCACCTCATGCACTTAATATTTCTTTGTCATGAAAACATTCAAAAACCTCTCCTTTAGCTTTTTGAAATATACAATACCTTACTGTGCTTGTAGATTCTTGTGTTTAAGGAAGGTTCTCAGTTTTAGTTTCTACTACGGTAAATATCAATAGATATTACCCATAAAATAAAATCTCTTTCATCGTTAATAATTTTTAAGAGTGAAAAATGGGTTGTGAGACCAGACCAAAAAATTCAGAACAGCTCTTCAATAGGAATGTTTGCCTGCTTGGACCCTACATTGTGGAGCTTCCCCATAAGGCTGTTTTTTTGTTTTGTTTTGTTTTTTGTTTTTTGTTTTTTTTTCCCTATAGGGTTTTGAGTTTGCCTCTGCCAGAGCCCCATGGGGTCACAAACTTCTCAATTAGTTTTTCTGTCGGTGGCTCAATTCTGGATTTCCACATTGTACAGAAATACTGGCAGGCTCAGGGTTTCCATTTCAGGTGGGTGATATTTCCTACCTCTCTTTATGCAGGGCAGTTGTGGACTGTCCCTTCTTCCAGGTAGGAATGGGCAGTATGGCTCCCAGCTTGCCTTCTGACTATGTTTATGTCCTGGTCATAACTTGGAATGTGCAGTGTCAGCTCCCACACACTGCTATATCTTCCTTTTCCACTTCTGGCATCTGAGATGTTTTTCTTCTTTCTTTTGAAGTCAGTCATTTGTTATCCAACAGTACTTTGAAATATCCTCCACACATGTGCAATAGGGTGCAGGGTGGAAAGAGGGGGTTTAGCATGTGCTTCAGCCACCATCTTGACCCAGAGGTTGACATGTTTATAACCTGCTTTAATCACACACTTTATATTGAAAATGTCCTCATGCTTTAAAATATTCTTCTACCATTTTTTTCCTATGGTACACCATAATTCATTTAACCTGTCTTCTGTCATTGGGCATGTAGGCTGTTTATATCACCTTAGTGTTATTAATATGTGGTGATGCATACCCATATGGGAAGTCTTACTCAGATTTCCTGAGGTCAAAAGGAGCACATAGTTTTGATGTCTTTCCTTTTCTTTTCTTTTTAAGACAGGGTCTCGCTTTGTTGCCCAGGCTGGAGTACAGTGGCACGATCTTGGCTCACCACAACCTCTACCTCCTGGGTTCAAGCGATTCTTGTGCCTCAGCCTCCTGAGTAGCTGGGAATACAAGCATGTGCCACCATGCCTGGCTAACTTTTGGTATTTTTAGTAGAGATAGGGTTTCGCCATATTGGCCAGGCTGGTCTCGAACTCCTGTCCTCAAGTGATCCACCTACCTCAGCCTCCCAAAGTGCTGGGATTACAGGCGTGAGCCACTGTACCCAGCCAGTTTTGATTTTTTTAATATATAATATCATACTGCCCCTCAGAAAGGTTGTGACAATTTATAATTCCAGAAGCATGTAGAAAAGCCCCTATTTCCTTAGATTCTCACCTATACTGGAAAATATCAGTTGAGATTAGTTTAAAAAAAAGGTGTTTTATCATTTTTAGATACATTTGATTATTGGTGAAGTTGAACATGTCTTTTCTTGTGAAATCTTTTATCCTTTTCCCATTTTTGTATTGAGGTTTGTAGTAGATTGAACAGTGACCTCCAGAAGGATACCCTAACCTCCAGAACCTGTGAATGTGACCTTATATGGAAAAAGATATAAATATATTAAGGATTGTGAGATGAAATAATCGTAGATTATTCAGGTGGGCCCTATATCCAATGACAAGCATCCTTATAACAGACAGAAGAGAGAAGACACAGAGACAAAAGGAGAAGACCATGTGAAGATGGAGGCAGAAATTAGAGTTACACAGCCACAGGCTGAGGAGCACCTGGAGTCCCCAGAAGCTAGAAGAGCAAGGAGGGAGTCTCCTTAGAGAGAGTGCAGCTCTGCTCACATCTTAGTTTGGGACTCTGGCCTCCAGAACTGACAGAGAATAAATTTCTATATTTTAAGTCATCCAGTTTGTGGTAAATTGTTAGGCAGCCACAGAAAATTAATACAAGATCCTTTTCTTGTTGAATTTTAAGAGCTCTTCATATAGGAAGGATATAAACTCTTTGGTCATATATGTTGTAAATTGTTTCTCAGATGGCCTTATGCACAGTGTTTTTCACTGTGAAAAGCTATTAAACAATTTTTATATAGTCTATTTTAAGGTTTCTTTGTTCATGTTTTCTGCTTTGTTGTAAGTTTATTAAGGCCCTCCCGAACTTCCAAAACATTCATCTATATTCGTTCTAATTAACTTTAGTTTTATTGTTTAATGTTTAGTTCTGGAACTTTTTTGTTATATGAGGAAGGGATTTTTTTTTAAATAAATAACCGAATATCTCAGAAATAGTTATTAAAATGCCCATTTTATAAGAGAAAAAATTCCTACATGTATTAGTATCTGTTCAGTTTTTTTATTCTTCTGTTGCCTTTATACCATTTAGCTTTAATTTTTGTCACTTTGTTACATGTTTTAATCTCAGTGCATGTATCCTCCATGCTTCATCTTCTGCAAGTATTTATTGATTATCCTCATCTCCTTTTTCCTCCAAATAAACTTTAGAATTGCTTAGTTACTTTTCAAAGAAAAATTTCATTAGGATTTTGCTAAGTTTATAAATTAATTGCAGAAGTGAGTCATCTTATTTAGAAAGACATCTATTATTCAAGCTTTCGTTTATGTAACTCAGTGAAGTTTAGATGTTTTCTTCTTACAGTGCCAGTTATTTAATGAACAAAATACATACCTATATATAGAAAATATACATTTAAACATTTTAAAATTCATTTTATATTTGCATATAGTTTTCTCAAAACCATGATATATAATTGGCCACAAACTAGTTTCTGCCAGATCCATTGGTTGGGTCAGGAAATGTGCTGTCTCCTGCAGTAAAACATCAGGATTCATGGAGAGCAACTCACTGAATTCCATTTGTGGAACAGAGTGGATACACTACAAATAAGGGACAGACTTGCTTAAGGATAATTCAGAAAGACAAGGCTCTGAACCATGCTGACAGTCCTAGCTCACTTTTCCTCTCCATATCCTTCTGTAGATCTGGACCCATCTCGGGTAAAGTATGTACAGGAGCAACTTTGCAAGAAGAACTGGCAAGCGCACCCAGAGTGTCTTCATTCGAGCCCAGGAGGAGTGCAATACTCCTGGATTCCTGTCCCTAAGTAGTTACCAAGATCTCATAGCTCTTTGGGGGAAAGAAGATGCTCAAGGAGCATCAAAACAACCTGCATTATGAAGCATAATCAGCTACAACACTGTCGTATGCAATTCCTGCTCTTAAGTAACAGTGAGACATTCTCTTCCATCCAATGGCCAAAGGCATTCTGGCAGATGGTTTTCCCTGCATTAAACAGGCACCACCAGACTTGAAAGGGACCATCTGTGAATGTGGTAATGACCACTCAAAGTCAATGTGGTCAGTTCTGCCTCTTTCACTGGAACTTATGTGAGGGAAACTCAAAGAGAAACAAAGCCAGGACCTGAATTCCTTCCCAGAAGGCGAGGCTTAGGGAAGGCGGTGGGGACTGGGAAGAGCAGAAGGCAGAGGGGGGACTTCCCTCAACAATTCTGCTTCCCTCTCCTGGGTTTAAAAGATCCAATCACTCATTCAGGAAGTATTTATTCTGCACTTGTGATGTGGCAGGAACTCTTCTGGGAGCTAAAAGTCAGAGACTGAACAAAACACACAAAGTCCCTGATTGTAGGAAGCTTGCTTTCTTGAGGCAAGACAGATAGCAAAACAAAGAAATGCAACTCCATGTAGTGGTGAGTGCCACAGATAAAAATAAGGCAGGGTAAGGGGTTAGAGCAGCTCTGTCCCATAGAACATTCACAATGGTGGAAATTCTGTATCTGACTGTCCAATAAAAATACAGTAATTTAAATTCAAATGACCACACATGGCTAGAACCTACTCTGTTGGATGGTGCAGGGTTATAGGGTGCAGGAGGTGCTGCTCTTCTAGGAAGAGTGGCCAAGGTAGGAGACTGAGCAGAGGAAATTTAAAGAGAAGCCCAATTAAGGCTAGGGCATAGGCCATGCTGCTCCCCAGAGGCTCAGAGCTTTCCTGACATGGAAGACAGCAAGAGTAAAGGGGCTCAGGCAGAGAATGGCAATGAGGCCAAGTGGCTGAGCAGAGCCAGGGAGAGGGGGTCAAGGAAAGTGGCTGGGACATATCACCCAGGACTTTTGAGAGCCACAGTAAGGGCCTTGGGTTTTCTAAGAAAGATGGGTTTAGAGTAGGGGGAGGTGACAAGATCTAGAAGAATGTACCCTAGTGGAGCAAAAAACAAGAAGTTCTTTTAAAATCCTATTTACCTAGATATTGGCAATGCCTCCTTTTCTTTTACTAGATCTCATTATCCCTGCTCTTTCACATTTGTTATCCTTTTTATTCTGACTACGATCACCTTATAATGAGCATGGCATCTTTGAAAATAGGTAGCATTTATTAAATCTCATTAAAGACAGGTTTGAGGAAGGAGGACAGTCAGAGCGGAAGTTCAGCAGTGCAGACAGAGCAGTCAAAGAGAAAAATCCAGCTCTTCATTGTACCTGGTAGGTGCTTGATACGTATCTATGATCAACTACCCTTCTTCACCTCCACGTTCACTCAGTCTCTCACCAGAGCCATTACAAAATAAGACTAGTTTCCCTTTCCCCTGTACGCCTATCACTAAAAGTAGAAGAAAAAGACAATCTATAAATTAGATATTCCTATCTTGCATATTTAAAACTTGGCTATAGAGCCAAATACTGGTGTCAAGCAATTACTTAGACTCAAAGATGGAAAACTAAAAGCAGTCACGCCATCCATATACTACCTCAGTGGGACCAACGCGCGATTGTTCCTAAATTTATACAGAAACTCTACAACATCCCTTGAGTAAACAGGTATCCCAGACATATTAAAATGACCTAATTTAATAGACATAAACGGTGAGTTTGTTTATGAGTCAGACACATACTTGGGCTCCCATACTGCCTTTAGCACTTACTAGCTTTGTGACATTAAAATGGGAAATAACAGTGCTGTTGTTAAGATGAAATAACATCAAAAAGGCAAATCATGGTACGTGGTACCCATTCAGTAAATGCTAGTTTACTTGAATTTAAAAAGAATAAAAGAATGTAATTTATAAATATAATTCATCAGCCAGCAGTGATAATACTGGCAATTTCCTATTTTGAAAGGAAAGATGATTGTGAAACCTAAGTTGGTCATGCCTTTCCCTAGCCGGCGAGCACAGGCTGGGAGCCATGAAGCCACAGCACACTATTTCAGAAAAGGCTCACCCCCAGTGTTTACAGCTGTTGCTGAGCTACACACCCTGGGGTTTAGCCCACAAAAGAAAGCTCAAAGAAGAATGTCTACTTGTCTGCCTGTCTTTTCTGAGGGAATCAGGGCAATGTGATTAACATACTTGCAGAGTTTTAATGCAATTTAAAAGCATAGCCAGATTGATCAAGTCGGCCTCATTCCTATTACACTGATAACAGCAAAACACATTTTCCTGGACCTCAGGAAACTCTCATAGATGTCAACAAGAGGAGGAAACAGAGCCCCCAGAGCTTGCACTGTTCTCCCTTTACTGGCTAGAAATGTTGTAGTTTCTCTTTCTACTTTGTGTTTTACTTAGTAAATATTTCATTTTGCAAGGTTCTTAGGGTGGTGGCTATAAAAAGCAGCCGCCTTTGTTTATTCAGCCCTTCCTGAACACCATGATAAAATCCACTCCCATGGCATTATTCCCATGGTGATGGGGGATGGGGAGGGATGCTGTACTCGTTGTTTCCCTTGCTTGTGGCCTCTAGAAGGGAGGCATCAGGGACTTACTGAACATCTCCACCGGTGCTCTGTAGCTAAATGGGAGCACAGCTTTGAGACCAAGGTGTTTCAGTGGTGCACAAGTCCCCACAGAGCCGTCTGCAAAGCATGAGAACTGGAGCATTCATTTACTTAGCATGCAGTGTTCTGCCCAGGGTTCTGTTGGTACATAAGAGATGTGTGCTGAGAAAACGCCATTCGAGGCAGGTCTCTGCTGCCACAAGCCTGGTGTGTATGTGTATATATGTGTGTGTGTGTGTGTGTATGATTGTGGGGAGGAAAGTACAAATCTATGCGTTAGAAAGAGTAGCGTAAGAGATCTAGGTAGCCACTGAGAATGGGCATTCTTTCCTGTCTTTTCCAATAAAACCTTCTCTTTATTGTCATTGGGAGAGAGTTGCTAAACTAATTCACAAACAACATGTAAATAAATGGCTAAGGAGTTCCTTTCCCCGAGGTATTTCTCTCTTAATTCCTTAGTCCAAGAAAATGGGTAAATTGTGGAATTTCAAGCTCAGTAGTTGGGTTTATAAGTTAGATATTGGGGGACAAGGACTTCTTGGCTTAAATCCTCCCAAGTGGACTACTGAATATTCCACCAATGTTTGAGAACTGATCTGGCCTCCAAAGCAACAGTCACAAGGGAAGTCAGAATTCATCCATCCACCCTATCAGACTACAAGTGCCTAAGGGAAGGGACCATGTTTTAGCTCATCTCATATTCTTCATAGCCAAGACAATCCTGGACATTCATTCATTTACTCATTCTTCACACAGCTATTTTGCACCTGCTCCACAGAAGGGTGTAAACCATCCTTAGATGCTATGCATACAAGAACTAAAGGTACAGCCCTTGCCAGCAACGTATCTTCCGTTTACTGGGGCCACCCAGCAGACAAACAGACAATTATATTATGATGTGATAAGAGCAATGTGCTGGCACATGGTATTATGATATTATGGAGTGAGGTCGAAGCTGAGCTGGCCAGGCAAAAGGTGGACAAGTAGAGGTATTCACTGATTAAGGGCTTGCTTATTAAAAGACATAGTAAGAATTCCATGCGTATAGGTATAGGCTGAAATTTTTTAAAAACACAAACACGTACTGAGAGGCTTTTGCAAACTTATACTTGTGCTAGATGCAAAACGAACAAAAATAAAAACAAAAACAGATTCCAATGCCTTCTTCAACTGTCATACCTCTGGGCCAGTACTGTAACTCCACCTTGGCCTTACTTGCTAAACTTAAAATTCTAAGTTTCTTTCTTTAGCTTTTTTGTGTCTTATCTCCCTGACATTGTTATCCACTATAAATTAGTGCCATGGAGGAAGGTATAAAGGCACTTTTGTGACTGACAGAAATACATGATTGACATCTGATTACATACAACAGTATTTTCCAAAATTCATTATGGGAAACAATTTTAAAGTGTTCCTAAAAAAGAAGGTTTATGGCCAAATATGTTGAGGAAACACTTGTCACTTTCTCACCACTTCCACTACTCTTTACCTGGTCTAAGCCACCATCACGTGTCACCTGAACACTACCAGGGCCTCCCTCTTGGCATTCCTCATTCTACCTTTGTCCCTCAGAGTCCCTTCTCCACAGAGCAGCCAGAAAAAACTCACCAAAGGTGTGGCAGGAAACCTCACTCCCCTACTGAAAACCTTCAGGGTCCTCCCCCCCATCCCCTTGGCGCACAAGGCCTCGCCTGCCTCCTCTCTGGTCTCGCCAGCCAGACTGGCCTCTGAGAGGCCAAACACTTCCTGCTTCCAGCCCTTTGCACTTGCTGTTCTCCTGTGTTGCAATTATCTCCCCCCAGAGAATAGAGGCTGGCCTCCCTCCTGCACTTCCTTTTGGTGTTCTTTCAAATGTCACCTCTACATAGAGCCCTTGACCACACCACCTAAGAGTGCCAGTGCCTCACATCACCATGCCCTGATCCTTTATGCCATTTTTCTTATCATCTCTCACCATCTGACAACATACAACATATTTTGTGTTTGTTCATTGCCTGACTCTCCTTGCCAATCATAAACTTCATGAGAAAAGGAACTCTTCCTATTTTGTTATTAGCTAAATTCTAATACCTAGCAGAATGCCTGATACATTCTAAAATATTCATTAAACAAATGACTGAATAAAACACTAAGTTAAGCAAAGTTAAAACTTTTTTGCAGGCCTTCTCAGAGCCTTTGATATGCAAATGTGGATTGTGACCTTTTAAGAAAGGAAATGGGTGGCATCACCCAAATTTATCTGACCTGAAAGCACTTTATTGATAAAGCACCTTACAGAACAAGCATTCCCGGGACAAGTGTCCAGAAACCAGGGATGACAAATATCAGGGTGAAAACATTTTTCTGGTGTTGCCAACAGGAGAAGTTTCAAGAAAGACCAAGGCCTTCTCTTGCCAACAAACATGACTCACACGATGCAGGAACAGGAGAAATGCCACGGCCTCTCAGTATAATACTGAGAAAGTAAATTAACTTTGATATTTCCTGGTCTAATCCTGGGGGGGCAAATTAGCTTGATGCTGTCACTGAGTAGTGAGCTGTTTCTGCCACGGCCAGTACGGTCTGGAGAAAGACGCCTGCCTTTGTCTTCCAGTCTCCATCGGCAGCAATGGAATCTAATTATAACAGACCCATAGGTCACTCTCTAAATGGAAATGCACTGCTGAAAATATTCAGGGTGGAGGGAGAAGGACAAAATACATTTCCTCGCTGGAAAAGTGCCTCACTTTACCTTCTTTCAATTTCTCTCACATAATTCACATGAATTATTTAAAAATATTCATCATTAATAACCACCTTTGCTTTAGTCATAAGAAAATCATACATGATTCCTTAAGACAGGCAGGTCTAGATATAAAAGAAAGAAAGAGTTAGTGAAGAAACTTATAATTCAAAGGGCATTAAAAAAATAACTCCCAGAGCAGACAGATCTGATAGATTCTGCTTCCATTTAGAGGATCTTTTAGAATCCGTCCCCACTTCTCCTCCCCCAAAAAAGGTTCCTCACCTGGTGCATAACACAGAGATTCTAATATAGGCAATATTCAACTCCCAGCCCTTGGATTTTCAGGGATATGCATTCATGGGACATCATCTGCATTGCACATTTATACTTATAAAGTAATTTAACATGTTTTGTCTCACTTGATCCTCATAAGTACCTAGGGTAGATCTTGTAGAAAAAATAATTGAGATGGAGAGATGCATTGCGACTGGCCCAGAGTCACACAGAGCCGGTTCTAGCAAATGTGAACCCATATCTAAGATTTCTGGCTCTGAATCTTGTTCTCTCTCAGCTGCTGAGCCCTGGGGAACTCCCAACACTCATGTTCTTTGCACCACTGTGGCAAGCAGGCAACACTGCATCAGCTTTCCAATATGTTTCATCCCATCCTGGTTTCAGAATTCAGTTTCTAATTTCTCGATAAAATGTCCGTAAGGAGACAAATTGCGAACAACAGAGCTATGCCGTGAGGCTGGTGCCCATGGGCTGCTAGGCTGGCTCCTGTGCCCAGAACTCACTTCTGCACACCAACCTTGCAGCCTCTGTGATCAAATGTGTGCTTCAGCACAATTACTTCAATTCAGTGACTCATGAGACTTCTCTCGATTGTCCGACCACAAATGTTAACTCCAGAAACCCCGAGGGTCTGCTGAATTAGAAAAATAGCTCTTTCAGGAACGTGCCTTTGCTGGAGAGAGTGCCCTGCCTACTAACTTCATATGAAAATGCAGCAATTCCACCCAAGTAGATTCTTACCAAAGACATTCATGCCCCTACTTCCTGCAGTCACAGAGGAGGTACCAAGTGATACTGTCCACCATCCAAGCCATCCACTTCCCAACGAGCACAACAAATCACACTCCATGCCCTTGACTTCAGGTAAAAGTTTTTTTTTCTGCTGCCTCTGTTTCTTTCTCTGCTGCCTCTGCCCCCACCAGCCCTTCTCATTGTTTTGACATAACCCCATAGCTTCTCCCCTATTCAGCAGGGTTCCTTTCCTAAAGATTTCAAAAAATATAGAAGTCAGTCCTTTGGGGTATGCATGTTAGAAAACACGATTTGATTCAGAGGGACACCACTTACAGTTGTTAGGTGACTAAAAATACTGTGGATGGCCATACCTCTGAAGAACTGGACTGGTCATAATGAAATGTAACCACTAATTGTTATTCTATTTCTATGGAAAATCAGAGTTGACTTAAGTCATTGTGGATTTAAATGACTTTCCTAGACATAAACCACTGTATTAGTTCCCCAGTACTCCTTTTCCAAGTAAAAATATACCACAAACTGGATGGCCTAAAACAATAGAAATAGATTGTCTCACCTATCCTGGAGGCTAAAAGTCTGAAATGAAGGTGTCAGCAGAGCCACGTTCCCTCTGGCACCTGTAGAGAACCCTTTCTTGCCTCTTCCCAGCTTCCCACGGTGGCCAGCAAGCCTTGGCATTCCTCGGCTTGTAGGGGCATCTTTCCAGTCTCTGCCTCAGTTTCTCCCTATGTGTCTGTGCCAAATTTCTCTCTTTTCATAAGGACACCAGTCATATTAGTGCCCACCCCAATGACCTTAACTTGATTGCATCTGCAAAAACCTTACTTCCAAACAAGGGCACATTCACACGTATGGGAGATTAGGACTTTAACATTTCTTTTCGGGGACACATTTTAACCCGTAACACCCATCCTACTAAAGAACTGACTGTATATGAAATGAACCCACATTTGATTATACTTAAGAAGAATTATAACATATTTCATTGGTGTTTTCCCTATAATCCTTCCCCCTCAAATTTTTAAGTGAGGTTTGCAGATACTTCAAATCTCAGCTAGATACTGTTCATTGGACATAGTAAATGGCACTATTCTTGTAATCTCAAGAGATTGAGCCCTTTGCAACTCTTCTGATATTAGACTAGAAAGAAGAAAGATAGAATATTTATGAGCACACATGAACAATCCTATCACTTTCCTTTGCTCTTTTCATTCCTTCTCATTCACTGAAACTTTCAACATATTTTAAAGATATATGTAGTAATACAGTAAGCAGTTAAGGCTTGGAAATTAGTCCTCTAACACAAATTCTTCTTCTGAATCTCCTCCTCCAAGTGTTTAAAAGCAAAAAGGATGGTTCTATAATTATAAATTCACAAAGATCATCAAAAGAAAAAGAAAGTCACTCACATCTCTCGTTGGCCAGATATTGGCTGGGGACCTTGGGCTATTCACATCATCTCTAACACTAACAGGACAATGTTGAGATACAAGAAAACACCACCAGCAGATAGCTCAAAAGTTAGTCAACTTCTTTGTCTACATGACGCCAAACAACCAAATTATATTTTTTTCACCACAGTTAATGAAACTAACATGTTATCGCCATTTGCTTTAGGGTGGGACTCACATTTGATCCATTTGATCCCCAGGTCAAGCAGCAAAAGATAATTTAAGGCTTTAGCTTGAAACCAAAACATGATCTTTTATATCCTAAAAGGTTAAATGAAGTTAAGGTTATCCAATGAAAAAAAATTTTTGGCCTCGATGGAATACGGGTATTTATTTTTTGCATAAGAGAAAGGTATTCTCCCCTCTAATATGGTGAAGAATACAATTTTAAGAACACCTGTGCTTAAATATTTTATGTTAAAATATAGAAATTTAAAGACTTCCTTAGAGCAGCTTCTGCAAAAGTTGTGCATGTCTCTAATACTCGGACTCTCTGTTCCCATATTTCTACATTTGCCTTTCTGTATGACTCTTCCAAATTCTTTTATCTCATTCCGTTTCTTGTGTCCTCTTTTATCCCTAGAGAACGCACATCACTCCAATTTTATCTCTTTTAACTGGCCACATTATATAAGTTAACTTTACTATTCTCACATTATTGTTTAACTACCTATCTTTGCTATTACATTTTGAAAAGCAAGAACTTTAAAAAATGCTTTCTAAATACTCCAAAAAAATCCTTAAGTTGCTTTCATATTACATAATCTTTTGTTGATTCCCCACTCTCTGTCAATCACAGGTCAGTGGTCCTAAAATAAGGTGCCCTATGCTCCATGTAGACCAACATCCAAAAAAGTATCCTGAAAAACAAATATATGCAACATTTGCCTACTGTGCTGTATGGACAAAATGTGATTGACCTTTTCCCAAAATGTGATTTTTGCATACTTAGGTGCAATGCAAAGTTTAAGAAGATCTGTAGATATTTTACCGACTTCAAGAATTAAACATTATTTTAAAATGACAAATCTTAACAAAACCTCATGAAAATAAATTCTGTTAATAAACTTGCTTTTGTTTTTTTTTGAAATAGGGTCTTCATCTGTTGCCCAGGCTGGATTGCAGTAGTGTGATCTTGGCTCACTGCAACCTCGACTCATGGGTTTGAGTGATTCTCCTGCCTCAACCTCCTGAGTAGCTGGGACTAGAGGCACACACCACCATGTCTGGCTAATTTTTCATATTTTTGGTAGAGACGGTTTCACCATGTTGTTCTCGAACTCCTGACCTCAAGTGATCCGCCTGCCTTGGCCTCCCAAACTGCTAGGATTACAGGCGTGAGCCACCATGTCCAGCCAAGACGATTGCCTTTTTTGTGGGTCTTCAAAGATACTTTATGTAACTGCTGTAATCAATTCTTAACTGTCACAGTATCAAATGAAAATGTAATTAATAATAATCTGAAAACTGCAAGGTATTATTTCTTATTATACATAAATGCATATATGCAAAATCTAACTCACGAGCTAGTCAGTATTTCATGGCAGCATTTCCTAAACCGTGTGAGGTATATTGTAGGTCAGAGAAGTATTAACAGGTATTATTGTACACTAAACATTTAGAATTCACAAAAGCAACAAGCTCTCATCACTCTCAAATTGTTGGAATTAAACAAAAAATTTATAATCCTCATATTTGGAAACACTCTGTTGCTCCTAAATTAGAATATTTTGACTTGTTGTTAATCACCTCATTTTTGGATTGCTTACTGATTTTCTTGAGAAGTCTAATATTGGAATTGTATATTTTGCCATTGGATTATTTGGTTATTCCTGGCAGTCTTTAATTCCTTTGTATACTCATTTTTGTGGTCTACTTTACCTCAACTGCATAACACATTTCTTGAGTTTCTATTTATGATTTGTGAATACGTTCATTCTTTTAACACTCACGAGATATAAACTGCTGTGTGTCAGGCACTATTCTGGGCACTTGGGATGCAACAATGACAAGCAAGACCCTGCCTTGTGGAGTTTACTTGCTAGCATGGGGAGAAAGACAATGAACAATAAGCACACTAAAATTAGCCACATGTTTATTCGAAGATGATATATGCTATGAAAAAAAAGAGTAAGGCAAGGGGGATTGTGAGTAGGGAGGGGATAGGTTGTGTGATAATTAGAGAATTCAGGGTAGGCCTCATAGAGATGAGATTCAGGCAATGACTTAAAGAAGGAAAGAGACATCCAAGAGGATCTATGTAGTAGGAATGTTCCAGGCAGAGAAAACAAAACAAAATCCCTGAGTCAGGGGCATGCTTGATGTATTAAAGAAACAGGAAGGAGGCCAGTGTGGTTGGAACAGAGTAATGAAAGAGAAGAGCAGAAGATGAGCCCAGAAATGTAAGAAGGGGTCATAGGATATAAAGCCCTGTGTACATCTGTAAGGACTTCGGCTTTTACTGTGAGTATGCAGAGGAGTCACTGCAGGGATTTGCACAGAGAAGGGACATGATCTGACTTCTTTTAAGAGATTGCTCTGGTTGCTATGCTCAGGATGAACTCCAGGAGGACAAAAGTAGAAGCAGAGAGGTATGTGGGAGGCTACCTCAGTAATTCAGGTAGTTCAGATGGGAGGGGGCACGGGATAGTAGACAGCAGTGGGAGTGGCAAGAAGTGGTTACATTCTGGTTATAATTTGAAGGCAGAGGCACAAGCACTTCCTGATGCGGTACACAAGAGGAAGAGAGGAAGGGAAAGGATGTATTTTCTATCAACTCAGATGGGGTAGGGTAGAGAAGCAGCAGGTTTTGGTGGGGGCAGGTGCAGAGAAGGCATCAAGAGTTCAGCTTTTAGGCATATTAAATTTAAGCTATTGATTAGACATCCAATGGAGATGCTGAGTATGTAGCTGAAGTTCAGGGGATAGAGGTCTGGGCCAAACATATGCATTTGGGAGTGAACAGCATATAGATGGAGTTTGAAGCCACAAGAATGGATGAGATCACCAAGACTGTTAGTGTAAGATGAGAAGGGAGGAGAGGTGAAGAGAAGATTGCTCCCCGGATCACAGGAAAGCTAAGAGATTGGGGAGAAGAGCGTAAACCAGCAAAGAAGATTGAGGAGGTACCTAGGTGGCAGGAGGAAGACCAAGAGACTGCAATTTCACTTGAAATTAATGGTGAAAGACTATCAGGGAGGGTGTGTATATGTCAGCATCCAGCTGGGAGACTGAACGCAGATAATTTAATGTAAATAATTATTAAGTATGAAGTTGTTAGCAAGGTCACAAAAAGGGCAAAAAGAGAACTGTAAAATATCACAAAGGTAGCAACTGCAAGGAAGAAAAACTATAACCTCTAGGGCTGGGGGAGCAAAGGTATGAGTTTTAATTATTAAATAAACTTAGAGAAAGGGCCCTACAGAGCTGAAACTCAGACTTCTGAGAAGCAGGTGCTACTCAACTGGTTTGAGGGACCGAGAGAGAACCCCTGGGTTCCTTTGTTTAAAAAAGGGTGCTAGCTATCTGGGGCTTGTGTCTGTGAGAGGGCTATGATGAGGCAGTATCCATTTCCTAAGGCTGCCCCACAAATTACCACAATCCTCATGACTTAAAGCAACAGAAATGTGTCCTCTGATAGTGTGGAAGCTAGAAGCCTGAAATCAAGGCGTTGGTGGTGGCAGGGCAATGCTCCCTCTGGAGGCTTTGAGGAGGAATCTATTCCCTGCCTCTCCTAACTTCTGGTGGTTGCCAGCAATCCCTGGCATTTCTTGACTTGAAGATGTATCATTCCAATCTCTGCCTCTGTCTTCACATAACCTTCTTCTAAGGACACCTTGGATTTACGGCCCACCTTCATCCAGTATGACCTCATCTTAACTACTTTCATCTGCAAAGATTCTATTTCCAAATGATATCACATTCTAAGGTTCTGGGAGAACATGACTTTTTGGAGGAAATTATTCAACCCATAGAGACAGCTTCTGCAACTGTGGGAAAAAACTGCAAACGAGAATCATCTGCTGAAATAGGAAGAAACTGCCTCTTCTGGGGTGAAGAAGTTTTTCTAAGGCATGACACCCACAACAACCGCATGTAGACAAAAGCCCATGAAAAGAGAATGAGAAAGAGCAGGTCCCTTCTTCCTCCTCCAGCTTGCCAGTCTCTCTCATCTCCCTCTAGTGTCTCCTATTGGCAGAGCCTACCATGGAGCCATCTCAGGAATATAGTCTGCAGAGTCCCATCTCTAGTATCGCAAACAGAATGTAGAAAGGTAGGTTAGGAGCTAGAGAGTATGTTAATAATTAGCACAAGAAGGAAGTGATTAACTATGTCAGAGGTTGCTGATAAAGCTCTATTCACTAGTATCTATTGAAGAAACGTTTTTGCAGCCAGGCACAGTGGCACACACCTGTAGTCCCAGCTCCTTGGGAGACCAAGGCAGAAGGATTACTTGAGCCCAGGAATTTGAGGCTGCTGTGTGCCATTATCAGGCCTCTGAATAGCCACTGCATTCCAGCCTGGCCAACATAGCAAGACCTTGTCTCTTAAAAAAGTTGCTGATAAATATAGAAATATGAGAACTGTGAATTGTCCCCTGAATTTAGCTTCAGTTGTTCCCTGATCAAATAAGTTGAGGAAATTCTGTTGTAGTGCGTTTTGTTGGACTGGCCAGGCATTTCAGCACTTTGGCCAGCTCCCTTCCCGTGGGCCTTGGCCAATACTGACATTAGAACAGTTAACAACTGTCACATACAGGCAGGCATCTACAAAATGCTCATAGTGCTACCTACAGCTATCATATATCCTGTCACTCCTCTCTGCTGACTTTTATTCTGATGTTAGCAAATGAGTTAAAGTCACCTAAGAAATGAACATATTTCTAGGGCCTTCCATAGACTACATAGAATAAAGTTAGTCATGATGTATATACTTTTTATACATTTCTGGATTCAATTTGCTAGTATTTTCCTGAGAGTATTTGTGTCTATGTTCATGAGGGATATTGGTCTGTAGCTTTGTTTTCTTGAAATATCTTTGTATGGTTTTAGTATTAAAGTAACACTGTCCTCATAAAATGAGTTGGAAAGTGTATCCTCTTTTGCTATATTCTAAAAGAGCTTGTGTAAAATAGATATTATTTCATCTTTAAATGTTTAGCAGAATTCATCAGAAAACACCTTAAAATTGTACCAATCTCCTAGAACTGTGAGGTTTAAATAAGATAATGCATACAAACAGTCTAGGTGCCCTAACAGCACCCAGGCATTCAATAAATATTTGCTATTATTAGTCTATTAATCAAACTTAATATAAGTAACTAGCATATTGCTATAAGAGCATACAACTGTCTGGTGAAGCTATGGCTGTCTTTATGTGCCATAGGCTGACATGCAAACCCATCTAGGTTGGCCAGAAGTGGTAATGGTGAAAACTCCAGAGATTAACATAATCTGAAGGAGAATTTTGGGTTTCTTTGCACAATCATTATATTCCCTTCTAAGACACATAGTGAGGGGACATTAATATTTAAGATAATTTCAGTATTATACTACTTGAAATATTTTGTTTTATAAATTATTGTTTAAATTTCTATGTGCTCAGGAAAAACAACGCTATTTACTACAGTCTTTAAATTAGGAATAAGCTCAGATGCAGGTGAATAATACATCAAAGTTTCTCTCTCTCTCTCCCTGCTTTGCATTTCAGTGACTACAAAAAGGTATGAGGACTAAATACATACTGGTAAATAATGAATCAAAGGTGCTACAACTTTAGAGACCCATTAAACAAAATACTAAATATTTCAGCAGTTTTAATTATGCATTATTGCAATCTCCATTTTTTTTTACACATTCCTGTATGGTCTTATGGACTGATACTCTAACAGAATGGGGAGAGGAAGCAGTGACACATATCAGGTGCTGTAAGAAAAAGCACTTTGTCAACGTCCAATAGAATATTAATGAACAAAACTAATAAAAAAACAAAATCTAGCTCTTCTAAATGTTAAGGCTGCCTCTGGATATAAACAAGTGTCAAGCCTTGGCAGTTCTAGGTTGGTGATAATCACAGAAGCACATCAATGAAAGAGACTACTAAAGTCAGGGGCATGTTTTTCTGAGTGATTAATAACGTATATTTATTCAACATCTCTCAACAAGGCTACAAGTAAACCATCTAAGCCAAACGAGTCTTTATAAGGCTCTCACATGGCTCTGCAGAACACACAGATTCCCTTGGTATATGGGCAGAACTTGGGTTTTTAAGCCTGACAGGTATAAAAGCTCTATTTAAAACTCTGTGACCTTGAGCAAGTAATATGTGTTCTCTGGGATTATGCCCTTTCCTTTCTAAAATGCTGATTCATTCCCTCTATAGTGATTGTGCCAAGCCCTGTGTCACCTCCTGGGTTCACCAGAGTGAACCTTCAAAATACAGACAAGAGAATGAGCATTCACAACATAGAGTAATTGCTACTGGATAACACAACCCACTGGGAGGGTGCACATTGGAAGGGTGCCTAAGGTGGACCTTAGAAGACCAGGAATGACTTCCCTAAGGAAATCATCTTTAGTTGAGTCCTGAAGGATGAGTGAGAGTTAGCTATGTGATCTGGTGGGTGGGTGGGAGGTGGAGAGTCTCCAGGCAGGCATAAAGGATCAGAGGAGGCAGAGGAGAGCATGATGCCATCAAGGACTTGAGGGAGTGCACTGTGGTTCTGGTAAAGAATTGCTAATTTATATTAAGGGAAGAAACAGCCACTGGTGATTTTAAACACAAGAACAGACATGGTGTTTTGGTGATTTTAAACACAAGAACAGACATGGTGCTTTTGTGTTTTACAAAGGTCATTCAGGTAGGATAATGGTATGAAGATGGACAAAACTGAAGTCCAAAGATCCTGTTAGGAAGTTGTTATATTATTCCAAGTGAGAGATGACAGTGACCTGGACTGAGGGTGTGATAAAAACTAAATATCAAGTGCCCAGCAGCACAGCAGCATGTGTTGGGAACCTTGCAAATGTTAGTTGCCTTCTTTCCTCTTCCCCTTCTACTCTGTCTCAATGTCCTCATAATCATGCAGTAAAGCCTCTCTCCAATGAATAAATTTACCAAAAAAAGTTCTTCATAGCAGAGACATTCATGTGCCAATAGGAGAAACATATATTCTATTTTACCTCTATTTTTGGCCACCTTTGGATGAAATTTCTAATAAATGTTGATGTAAAAAACTATGAGTATGTCTGAGTTTCTTATAATGAATTTTATAATAATTATTAGCAGTCACTGTCCCTGACATCAACTGCTGCACTGTCTTCATAGCTTTTAAGTACTGTTTGAAAGTTCTTCTGATAGTTTCATTTTTATTTGCTAATTGTCCATCTCAACCCCTCTAGACTGTAAACTCCATGAGAACAGGCACTTTGTCTTCTAGGTTCTACCTCCCACAGCTGGGGCAGTGCCTAGCACTCAAGAGACATGATAAATACATATGGGCTAGCCACTTCACAGAATGAATGAAGAACAGAATTTCATCTCTACAAAGTAATGGAAATTGGCCACTCCTAACTGGTATTTCTACCTCAAGGCTGTTCCTGACCTAAGCCACTGTACACCTGATTTCAAATTAATCTTTCTAAATGTGTGGTTCCGATAAAGGTAACTTCTGCTGAAATTGAGCCCAAACTGCTGCACCTGACCTTCACAGAGTCCCACCCACCCTTCAGCTCAATCTCCCACCACTGCCTGTGTTTCTGTCCTCTCTCCCAGACCAAGAGGATCACTCGCCACTCCCCAAATCACCCAGGGTGCTCCACCTCTGCACCCCCATTCACAAGATTCCCTCTCCTCATACATCCTGCATCTCCCTCTTTTGGCCTGATAAAACTTACTGCACTTTAGGGAGAATGTCAAAAGCCATTTTCTAAATCAGTGGTTATTAAACGAGGGCAATTCTGCACTCCCCCCAACCCCCAGCCTTGGGGACGTGTGGAAATATTTGGAAACATTTTTGGTTGTGACAATGCAGGGGAAAATGCTACTGTCATCTACTAGGTAGATGCCAAGGCTGTCATAAGCCATCTTACGATGCACAGGACAGCCTCTGTCAACAAAGAATTATCTGGTCCAAAATGTCAGTAGTGCTGAGGTTGAGAAACCCTACCTCGAGCAAACACCAGACTGTTGCCTTCAAACCACCATGGAGTTCTGGACTTCTTTTACTGAATCCTCACTCTGTTGCACAGGGCTGATAGACAACTTGTCTGAGCTCTCCCTCACAGGTATGCATGCTTATTGAGATCCCACCCACCTCAGTTCTCCTAATTAGCATAGCATATCCCTTGCACAAGGGAGATGGTCAATTTGTTGATTGATTGAAATTTCTATTTCATTTTTTAAAATATTTCAGTTATCTCCTAATGTCTATTTTCTTCAATCCTGTTAAGAAGAGAAAGTAGGCATTATCTTTTGGCATATGCCCTTTAAATACTTAAAGACTGTTATTAAATCACTAGTGTGACTTTTTATCTCTAGAGAAATTCCAGCACCTTTTATGATCCCATAGGAAAGAGTGCTCTTTAAGGGCAATAACTGATGCTAAGTTGAATTAAATGTATAATTTAATTCAAACGTAGAAAAAAGTTGAATTTGATGCTAGTTTTCTTACATACTGTGAAGTTGCATTTATTTCATCTAGCATAGCTGTAGCTTATGAGCTAATAAGCAAATAAGTCGCCAAACTGGACCTCCAGTTGACCCAAAGGCAGCTTTACACAAACCAGAACTAAAAAAAGGTCATGATTTCTCTAAAGCTCCTCCTTTTCCTATTATCCTAATATTTAACAAAGCTAAAAAGAATTTGCTAATTTTATGGCTAATTGATACAATAAATGCTTACTGAGCATCTTACAAATAAAATATTTTGGCCAATTTGCTGACATGGCTGTACATTCAGAGACTTTGGGCATGTTCTAAAAATTCAAATAAGAGCCAGAATTTACATCTAACCACAACTCTCAGTGTTACCACTTCTGAGACATGAGAAATCTGAGCCTAAAAAATACACTCTCAGAGACACATATTAGTTCTTAGAATTAAACTTGAAATGGTGGATGAGAAATTCAGCTCGGATGAAGAGAAGGAAAACCTGGTATGATCAGAAAATACAATATGAATCCTTCTTACTGTTAATAGAAGGTTAAGCTGAACTACCTTGAACATAAACCCAAATGTCCTACAGGCTAAGAATGAAACCAATAGTTAGCCTGAGAAGATGTTATGTTGAGAAGCTAGAGATCCTGATTCCCAGTGCTGTCAGTCAAAGACACAGTGAAAACTGCTATGAAAGAGAATTCTGTGTTGTCATATGTCAGCCAGACTAAAAATCAGTGGTTGGTTATCCTGAGAGAGAAGGAAACCCTTATAAGCAGAAAAGTACAGTGTGATCAGAGAACCCTGAGAAGGCATTTAACGATGTCATCATTTCCTGAGTGAAGATGTTACAACTCATCACTAGCAGCAACAGGACATGAAGACAAGACACACACACACACACACACACACACACACGAGCAAAAGAAAGCACTAATATGGCAAACAGGAAGTACAGTAAAAATATTTCAAAAACATCACTAGGAGTCTCAGGAGCTCAGGTATACATTTTATAGCACTTCAATCTTAGGCAAAGATCATACAATTTTTAAATTTTGTAGTACCCAATTTCAAAATCGTCTAGTAAGAAAAAAAATTCTAAGCCAGCAGATCACATACAGAATGAACTGTTATTTTCCATCATATCTGGGACTTTTATTAAGTGAAATATGATGTTACACCAACTGTCTGACATGATAATCAACATAGCAACTCATAGGGTAATAAGGTAATAATATATAATATGGTAATAAGGAAGTACATAATGCCCCAAAGCTGGGAGCAAATAACTTAGTTCTTCATTGCAAAGCATCCCTTTAATCTTGGCTCAGATTCTCCCCATCAGTGGGCAATTTAGGCAGCGCTCCAATGCCTCCACAACTTCTAGGGCCAGCAGGTTTTGCTGATGTCAGCCCGTAAGAAGAATTGCATCATTCTCCTGATATTAAATAAAGGTACAGGTATAAGATGACCTGGATTCATGGTCTCACATTTAATTATATTAATCACTGGCTTTTCTCCTCAGGCTTTCTGGGAAGTGGATGTTAACCTTTACAGGTTTATTGTTTGATTATTTGTTGTTTTTGTTTTGTTTTGTTTGTTCATTTTGCATTTACTGCTGTTGAATATAATCAAACTTTGTGCACACACATCTGTATGCCAAAAGGCAGGCATGATTATTACGTATCAGGTTCAGAGTGATGAATGTTTGGGAAAACAATTAGCTGTAATGTATTTATCAATAAATGAGGATAGCTTTGCCCCGACAACAATGTCTTCTGCATGCCGCAGATAGAGTGTGATGCCTTTATCAATACTCCAGCTTTAGACAAAAAGGCCCACTGAGCAGCATCTGTTATTTAGTCCTGGGTCACTCTTTCAATGTCTTCTGATTTATTTCTTCTGAATTGCCCTTAAATCAGTTTCATTTAATAGGAAAATATAATATCCTTGAGCTTATGGACAAAGATTGGTCACCAGGCCTTCAGCCCCTCTTTTGTAAGAGTCTCTTCAGGAAGCAAGTCAGGAGGCTCCCACTCTTATACACAGAAGACTCTGGCAGGGGACTCCCACAGGAAACACTGACTGACAGTGACCTCTAAGAATAACAGAATTTAAAAAATAGTATTAGAAAGAAACCACCAGATTCCTACTGGGCATCTCCCACAGTTGTTGAAGCAGCCATCTTTGAACACCTGTTTCTTTTCTCCCTAAGCTTCCCCTGTTCCTACTCATTACTAATCAAAATTAGAGCTGCACAGTAAAAAACTCAGGACCTTCACAGGACAAGCCTTCGGACTGCCTGGGTTTCAGGAGAGCCTCAGAGGCAGAATTATGGTAAACGCTTGCACATTTTCTCCAGATCACCCATCTCTGTAGGTAGGCCCAGCTCACACACTACCCTCTCTCAACTACTGCCAGAGAGAGAATAATGTGACTGCCTTCACAGAAAGAACATGTTCCCTTCAGACACAATATTAAGATAGAAGAGCTCTCTGTATTATATCCTTCTCCTTTCCCACCTCCAAATATGTCAGCTTACTACAATGTAGTGCTAAAATATAGAGGATTTAGAGATGTTCAAAAGCACCTAGTAATAACACATATTTAGCAATGCCTTATTAAATAATATTCATAGATATTATAATCTACCTCTACACATAAATTTAAAATATCAGCATAATGCCTTAAGGTCAAATAGAAGAAATAATAACAAATTATGTTTTAAAATATGTATATGTTCCAGTGTAACAACTCTCAAATACAAAATGAAGACATTGGATGCTAATATCTAAGTGTAGAATAATCACAAATGCAACAAATGCCAATGTAGACAAATACAGGTGTGCTTATTGGCAACTTAATGTCACAAATAGGTTTGTCACCAGTGGCAATGTGATATGCAGAAATGATGAACAACTCTCAGTAAGACTTTAAACACAACAAAATATAGTCTTCCCTTGATTTACAAGTAGTTTTACTCCTAAAAAATTTACAACATATCAAAATTGTGCAAAAGATACTGTGTTTATATATAAAACAGAATACAATTCTAGGCTTAAATTATTAGAAACAGATTTTTTTACCTAAATAGATATCTGCTGGGACACTGGAAAACTGTGCGACATGCAAGGCAAGGCTTTGCTTATGTGGAACTGTATTGTGCACTGTAGGTCTTTGGTCAATGGAATGTGGGCTGAGTGGCAGTGTACCAGCTCTGAGTCTAGGGTTAAGAGGTAGGTATTAGCTTCAGAGAAACAGAACTAGAAGGATGCATATGGATATAAATATAGAGAGAAATAATAAAGAGACTTGTTATAAGGAATCGGCTCATGCAATTATGGAGGCTAAGAAGTGCAGACCCAGGAGGGTCAATGGTATAATTTAAATCAAAGCCTGAATCCAAAGGTAGAAGATCAATGTCCCAGCTCAAAGACAGTCAGGCAGAGAGAAAGAATTCTTTTTTAATCAGCCTTTTATTCTATTCAAGCCTTCAACAGATTGGGTGAGGCCTAGGAATCTGCTTTGCTCAGTCTGCCAATTCAAAAGGTAATTGCCTCTAGAAATACCCTCACAGACAAACCCAGAAATAATGTTTAACCAAATATCTGGGCACCCCATGGCCCAATTTAGTAGATGCATAAAACTAATCATCACAAGGCATCACATGTTTCTGCTCACCTTTCACATACTTCTGCCACCTCCACGCAGAAAACATGAACTGGGTAATTTATTAACCCAGGAGGATAAAAGACCTGAATTCAAAATGCAACTTGAAAAAACCCCAGCCATGCTCAGTCTAGACCACCTAGCCCTCAGCCAATTTACAGATTTGTGGATGAAAATAAATGATTGTTGCTTTATGTCACTAACTTTTAAAGTGGTTGATGTAAGCAGCATGATGTGGCAATCAATGTCTCATATATCAAATGAGACAGTTTTCCTTTTTTCTCAGCATAAAGAATACAAGTATTGTTAAAAGAAGAATAGGGAAAGCCAATAAGAAATTTATGATGTTGGACATGGAATTGATAGATATTAGGAAAAAGAAGCAATGGATAAAATATAGGGAAAAGATAGAAGTTAACCAGTGCAATATAAACATAAATGCTCAATCCAAGCCATATGAGGTGCTGGGTATTAGAAAAACCCTTCAACAAATCATACCAATGTGTATTTCATGAACTCACTCCCCTACAATCACGTGGAAAGATAGAATATGTAAAGCTTCTGTATCCTGACAGATTCATGTAAAAGCAGGCAGAGATGTAATAAGGATTAAGACCGATAGTTTTCACAAAATAAAGCCTTTGTTATCAAAATTCAAATCAGAATTCATTTATCCTTTTAGATTTTAAACATATACAGCATTAAGTAATGAGTAGACCCAAAGAAAAACCCATGAGTAATTCATTTTTTTATCAACAGTTTTGCTTTCAAAGGGATTGGTATTTTCCACAAACCTGGCTTCTATCACTTAGTTATTTTTCAAATTAACTAAATATACCATTCTATCTAGTTACTAACATTCTGATATTTTTAGAGCTTTTATTCAATGACAAAAAAATAAATTATGAGTTTAAAAAACTTGTATATAACCACAGGCAACTAATCTTCCACGTTCTAATGAAATAGAAATGATTCTTAAATAATTCATATATATTTTTAAAGGTCTTTGGATAATGCCACATGACTTTGGAAGACTCTATATAAAAACTTGACTGACCTGAGAAGTCAAAGCAATGAAATAAATACAATTAGATACAAGAATCACAGAGTCTACAAGATAAAAACAAACTAATGATGATAAATAACTATGCAATAAGTTTGACAATCCAGATAAAATTGACAAATTTCTTTTTAAAGGCAGCACACTAAAGCTGACATAAGAAGAAACTGAAACTCTGGATAGCCTTTATTGAAGAAACTGATTTGTTAATTAATAAGAGGCATATCAATGAAATTCTACTACTTCAGTTAATAATAATGTATCAGTAATGGCTCATCAATTGTGACAAATCTACTACATGGATGCAAGAACTGGGACCTCATGAGGGTGGAGTAACTGGGAACTCTGTACTTTATTTTCAATTTTTCTATAAACCACTCAAAAATATAAAGTCTGTTAATTTAAAAGCCTCTGAAACTATATATTTCATTTTAAACAAAAATTAAAATGGAGTATAGACCCAATTATAAAATGTAAAACTATAAAATCTCTAGAAAAAAAACATTGAAAGAAATCTATATAACCTTGGGCTTTTTGGTGAGATTTTTAGATACCACACAAACAGCATGATCCATGAAAGGAAAAAAAAGAGAAAAATTGGACTTTATTAAAATTTAAAACTCTTTTTCATCAAAAGACACTGTCAATAGTATAAAAAGACAAGCCACACTAGGAGGAAATATTTGCAAACACATATCTGATTAAATACATATCTGGTATCCAAAATACACAAAGAACTCTTAAAATTCAACAATAAGAAAGCAAGCAACCCAATTGAAAAATGGCAAAATATATAAACAGACACTGCATCAGAGAAGATATACAGAAGGTGTGGTATGCAGAAAAATGGTTCCCCAAAGATATATTCACTTCTTGATCCCCAGAACCTGTGAATACTACATTACATAGCAAAACATGCACAAGGATGTTCATAGATACTTTATTGATAATAGCTCCAATGTGGAAACAACTCAAACATCTACCAACAGATAAACAGAGAAACAAATTGTGGTATATTCATATAATGTAATACTATGCATTCAGCAATGACAAAGAATTGACTATTGATACACAAAAAAACATGAATCTTTTCAAAAATACGGTGTTAAAAAAAAGAAAACAGACACAAGAGTACATACTGTATGATTCCTTTTATTTGAATTTCAAGTATAAGCAAAACCAATCTTTGGTGATAAAAATTAGGACAGTGTCTCTGGGAAAGGAGGCAATGAATGAAAAGGGATACAGGGAACTTTCTAAGGTAATGGAGATATGCTTTTGGCTACACAGATGTATACACCTGTCAAACTGATCCAGCTATATATTTATAATCTATGTTTTCTGTGGAAAAAAATTATACCATCATGAATTTAATTGATAAAACAAAATCATTTCTCAGGAGACTCACAGTTTCTTATAGTGCTGAAACTCCAAAGACATTTTATTTATTTATTTATTTACTTGTTTGTTTCTTTATTTACAGAGTCTCACCATTTTGCCCAGGCTGGTCTTGAACTCCTAAGCTCAAGCAATCCTGTTTAAACCTCCCAAGTAGCAGGGACTACAGGTGTGTGCTACTGCATCCAGCTCCAAAAACATTTCTTGAATAGACAGTAATGAATAGGGCAACGGGTAATATAATGGGCAACATCCTTAAAATAAATATGGGAAGTTCCTTAAAACTGTTCCTTGGAATAGTGATGTCAAAGGGAAAGACATTAGAAGCAAGTCTACAAGGGGGAAAATAATTTGATAAGAGCCCAGTGTTCTCCAATGAGTTTCTTGGCCTTGTGATAAGAATTCAGAATATTTAGTACAGAGAGAGGGATGAATGCAATGTGCTTTATCCAGATCACTGCGGCTCAGAAGCCAGCTGATAGAGGAGAAATTTGAACAGTCTGGAAGTCAGTTTGTTGCATTCCGATTCACTGGAATGAGTTCATATTTGGAGGATAAGAAGAATAAGGCCCAGGTCTAAAGGACCGTGCAAGAACAGTTTTGTGAAATTCTGGACAAGGCATGGAGGTCAAATGATAGAATTGCTCATGAGGGGCTTAGAATTTGGTCACAAGCGAAGCTGCTTTGCAGGGCCAATGGCTAAGTGTGCAATTAATTAGGGGCTCTTTTCTCTGCCTCTACCTTGTGGACTGGAAGTTCTGGGCACCCAAACAACATTCTGGACACAGTCACACCACTCGCATGTCCACTGGCAGAAGCAAGACTCTGCCAAGCAGCTTCTCAGACCTTGCGCAGGGAACAATGGAATTCAGAGCAGGAGAGGGAGAACTTGATAAGCACCTCCAAAGGACTGAAGTCAGGATAGTGGGAGATAGTTATGACTGGAAGGAGCATGCAAGGGACCTCTGGGGCATTAGAAATATTCTTTCTGATTTTCGATGGGTGCTCTATAAAGAGACATGTTCAGTTTGTGAAAAGGCAGCTATACCCTTATTAAATATGCACTTTTCTTTCTATATAATATACCTTAATAAAAAAGGTTTAAAAATAATTTAAAATGCTTCCAGCCCCTATGTGTCCAGTGCCAGGAGTTACAAATATCTCAGTGGCTTGGCCTCTTCCTCAAGGTATAAAAGTCTAGTAGGAAAATACACATAGAGCAGCCACCATGACATAATATGAGACGCACTCCACAGCTGGAGCTGCAAGGGGCCTAGGAGAGACTGAGAAAGAGCTGTGGAGTGTCATGAAAAGGGACCTTCGAGCTGAGGATTGAAGGATGATTAGGAGACTTTTCCACAGATAAATATGTGTATGGCGGGAGTTGGGGAAGAAGAGATGGTAGGAGGGAGAACATTCCCAGCCCACAGCAAGAGAAGATAAAAAAATGCCAATCTCCCATCCCGTCAAATACACAGTCGAGTAGAGTGAAAAATGTGCCTAAAAGCAAAATATTCCAAGTATTAATACAGGCTTTTGACAGCTATTGGACAAATAAGATTTATTGAGGATGGGGGTGGAGGAATGGGGGTCGATCCTCAGCTCTAGTGACCTAAGTCAGCAATGAGCAGCCCCTGCTCAAAGGTCACTGTATTGAGTGTTTATAGCCATGTTCCTTTTTCATTCAAAATGAAAATAGTTGTATTGAGTACCAAAGCAATTTACGTTCTCACAACTTAGATGACCTCACCTACATTATTGCCTGGAAAAAGATCCATGAGAAAAACTGGCACCACTTTTTTAGCCACTAGAACACTAATACTTACACATGCTTGAAAAACAGCATTGCAGGTGTATATTGAAATTAATATTTACCACCTCTACTGGTGCCTTAATTACAAAAGTCATGTGTGCTTATTGTTGAAAACTCAAACAATTCAGAAATATATAAAGTAAAATATGTAAGGTCCTTTCCATACGCTAAAAGATAAGAGAGTTTGATCTTTATTCTTCCAAACTCTGTAATGTACCTTAAATTCTTTTTAGTAGAATCATACTATATCGGTTCTACTAAATATGTATATTTATATTCTGGTCATAAATTGCTATATTTTTAACTAACAACATCTTCAAAATATTTCCATTTTACCATGTAGGTTCACCTCATTCATTTCAGTGGCTGTGTAGTATTTCATTATTTGGAGTAACCATAATTAATGTGATCAGGTTCTGATAGACATATAGGTTGTTTCAATTTTTCACCACTGCAAATAATGATGCAATAAACATATAAAATTCTGATGAGTATTCTGATACCTCTGAGCATGATTAGAAGGGGAGGGACTAAGAAGTCTCTTGGGATTTTATCTCAACTTGGAAGCTGAGCAGGGTCAGGCCTGATTAGTACTTGAGTGGAAGACCACCTGGGAACATGAGCTGTAGGCTTAAAAAAAAAAAAAAGTCTCATAGAAAGCTTATTCTGAGTGAAAGGCAATTTGAGGCCCATTATTTATGGTCCTAGGACAAAGGACCTGCATTAGAGAGGGGAACTGATTGTAAATACAGTACACTGTATCACTTGGCATGTTCGTACACCAGGCCTCATACATTCACAGATTCTCTAAACTCTCCAGGGACATCAACAGCACAGGGCAGCATCAGCAGATTCCACAACACTGGAACCAAGGCATTCTGGGCAGTGAGAGGCAGGCTGGGCAACACTGTGGTGATGTTGCTGCAGGGACCAGAGCAGGAGACAAGAACTACAGAAGCAATCTTCAAGGACTCAAAGAATAGTGAGGAATCTTTGAAGCAGGCGGGGAATGCCACAATTGGGGTCAGACGAGAACCACAGAAGTGATTATGGTTGCTATTGTGAGTCTGTAATTTCTGCCTTCACATGGATGTGGCCAACAGGAAACACAGGTTGCAGATTTAATTGGATGCTTCAAAAAGTAATAGACTTTACACTTAAATTGTTTTGTGTTCAATGCAGCTAGTGATGTGTTTAATATGCATTGACTGGAGTATTCTGTCTTGTGTTGAAAAGAATGGTGTGAGGGCAAACACGACAATGGCTCCATGGATTTATTAGAATATCACTTCTTAGATATGAAGCACAAAAATGAAATCAAGAAAATTGGCGTGCTTAGAACTACTAAAAAGTGATATTAAAATACGTGCATTTTAAAAGAGGCTAGTCGGAGCTTGAAATGACAAAGTGGGTCACCTTCTCTACCCACTGCCAAAATACATGGCTGTTCCTTGCTGCAGAAACTTCCGTGCTGCGTGACTCAGCTGGGTAATTTAAAGCAAAGAATAAAACATCTCAGATATTTCTCCTAGATAAATTTTAGCCCCCCAAAGTTCACTACTTATCTTGCATACATTTGCAGATGTTAAAACCTAAATATTGGAAGAGATAGCATCTTAGAAATCAAGCTGCTGGTGTTCCTGGTGTTTCTACAAAGGCAGAACTAGAACTTTAAGTTCCATTTGTTCAGCAATTACAGGAGCAGTGATGGCAGTGAGGATTCACTGCAGTCACCGAAGAATAGGAGACCTAAGGATATAGTCTTTAAAAGCTCCAGATGCTCATCTAAAGGTCTGAACACACTAGATGATTGTAATTAGGTGAAGACAGGCATGATGTAGCAGAAAGAACACTGAACTAGGTGTTTGATTACTTGGTTTAGTTAATTATAAGCCATGCATCTCAGGAAAATCACAAGTTCTCTGAGTAAGGAGAGGGCCAGGGTTACCACGAAGACTAAATACAATGCTCTGCATGCATTTGCTGGATACAAATATGCATAGCTTAACAAGACCACCTACACAATTGGCAGGGCCCAATGCAAAAGGGAAACATGGGACCCCACACTCACAGAATTTCAAGAGGTGATAGCAGAACACTAAACCAAATGTAGCATTCTTCTAAACGTGAAGCTTAGTGTGACTGTTAAGGCTAAAGACCCATGAAGCTGGCCCTAGGTGTTATCAGCCCACAGATAGGTGCTCCTTGAGAACAGGACTTTTGTAACTGCATAGCTGAATCCTCTGGACTACCTTGCATTAGGTAAATACTTGGGAAACATCGATTGCTTCTGAAATTGCAGTATAATGAAAACAAAGTGGAATTTTATACATCAAAAAGGTATCCTCTCATTTTACAAGATACATATGGAGACAAAAGAAAAGATACCTTTTAAAGTACAGTGCCTATGAAGTAACATGCTAGGAGCTTTGCGTATATTCTCCTTATGCTGTCTCTACATGCAATCCCAAAGAGTAGATTACAAAATCATCTTTTCACAGCTGAAAAAATTTAGGCTTAGAGAGGTTAAGAAACTTGTTCATGGTTAAAAAAGCTCAACATATCTGATCATTAGAGAAATGCAAATCGGAACCACAATGAGATACCTTCTCACACCAGTCAGAATGGTGATTATTAAAAAATCAAGAAATAATAGATGCTGGCAAGATTGCAGAGAAATAGGAATGCTTTTCCACTGTTGGTGGGAATGTAAATTAGTTCAATCATTGTGGAAGACAGTGTGGCGATTCTTCAAAGATCTAGAACCAGAAATACCATTGGACCTAGCAATCCCATTACTGGGTATATAACCAAAGGAATATAAATCATTCTATTACAAAAACACATGCACATGTATGTTCATTGCAGTGCTATTCACAATAGCAAAGACATGGAATCAACCTAAATGCCCATCAATGATAAGGTGGATATAGAAAATGTGGTACATATACACCATGGAATACTATGCAGCCATAAAAAGGAATGAGATCATGTCCTTTGCAGGGACATGGATGGAGCTAAAAGCCATTATCCTCAGCAAACTAATGCAGGAACAGAACGCCAAATACTGCATGTTCTCACTTATAAGTCGGAGCTGAACAATGAGAACATATGGACACAGGGAGGGGAACAATACACACTGGGGCCTGTTGGGGAGGGACTGAGGGAAGGGAGAGCATTAGGAAAAATAGCTAATGCATTCTGGGCTTAATACCTAGATGATGGGTTGATAGGTGCAGCAAACCACCATGGCACATGTTTACCTATGTTACAAACCTGCACATGTATCCCAGAACATGAAATTAAAATTAAAATTAAAAAAGAAACTTGTTCATGTTTATACTGTTTTTCTCCAACAGGTCATTAATTCATTTGACAATATTTATTGAGCTCCTACTATGTTCCAGATACTATTTCAAACACGAAGGACAAATCAGCAAGATTAATACAAGACCAATTTATCCCTAATCCTGTCCTCAGTCTTCTAGGATTTGTAGATTAGTGAAGGGGGACTGGCATTAATGAAAAATTCCCATTTTTTTTTAAAAAAAAGGAAATTGTAAAATTAGTGAGCTTCATAAACAGAATTGCTAGATTTGGCAAATAAAAATATAGGACACTCAAATACTTTTAAGTTTTCAATAAACAACAAATAATGTAAGTATGTCTGCTATGGTCTGAAAGCTGGTGTCCCTCTCAAATTCATATGTTGGAACTTACTCCCCAGTGTGATAGTATTAAGAGGTGAGGCCTTTTGGAAAATAAGTAAGTCATGAGGGTTCCACCCTCATGAATGGGATTAGTGCCCTTATCAAAGACGCTGAAGGGAGGTGCCTTGCTCCTTCCGTGTGAGGACATCTATGAGGAATAGGCCTTGACCAGACACCAAATCTTCTGGGAACTTGATCTTGGAATTTCCAGCCTCCAGAATTGTGAGCAATAAATTTCCATTGTTTCTAAATTACCCAGTCTAAAATATTTTTGTTATAGCAGCTGGAAGGGACTAGGACAATGTCCCATGCAATATTTGAGACATATTTATACTTAAAAATTTTTATTGTTTATCTAAATTCAAATTTAACTGAGCATCTTATATTTTCTCTAATAACTTTATGAGGAAAAGCACACTGTATTAAAAGTAACCTCATAACAGAGGCTTAGAGGCTGGACTGAAATCTGAAGAGCATAAGGAGTTAATATATTAGAGGTAAGCGGGGGCAGGTTGCAGAAGGAGACTGATGATTGAAGGTTGCTGGGGATGGAAGTGGTTTGGGGCTCATGTAAAATGAGGCTGCAGAAGTGAGCAGAGGCCAGACCACCTAGGGCTCTGAAGGCCATGCAAAGGTTTTCAGCCTTTATTGCACTCAACTAACCTGTCATTACAATGTTCCTTCTGCCAATGCCCTTCCCTTCTTTGCTACCAAATATATAACTGTCTCCATGGAGTCATTCCCAACCACCCATGTCACTCACTCCTATGGCTTTTACCAAAGAAGTTAGTCCTCTTTACATTTGTCTCACAAAACAGAATGGTATTTCACTGAGGGCTTCCAGCAGATACTTGGTAAATATTAAGGAGGAAAACATAGCTTAGAAAGTCCATGCATGCTGGGTTCTTGCTATCCTATCTAGTACTAGTTCAAATGCATCTGCATATGTGGTTCCCCTAATGATAACATCCGACTCACTTGGCAGAGCTTGATAAACAGCACATTCTGGACCCAAACATGGAACCATTAATTTAGAATGTCTAGAATGGGGCTCAGAAATTCCCACTTAAACAAGCTCCCCAGAAAAATATGATATACACAACTATTTGAGAATCGCTGGTCTATTTGGCTACTCTAGGATTCTAGGGTTTCCAAACAGTGGAAAATGATAAGAGAAAGCTCTCTTGGTTTCACTTGTCATAAATCTCACTGTACTCTTGACTTGTAAGAGGGTCCAAGGTTGTCAGAAGACTGAAGCCCATCCCTATAGTGTCCAGTCTTAATCATTTGTATTATATACTATCTATGGGAAAAGATGTAGCAAGCATAACGCACATTAGGTGATCAACAGAAAATATTTTAAATGTCACACTAAATTGATCTGAGTATCTTCTTTATGTTAAGCAGGAATTATTTTTCAAATTTGATCCCTAAAATTGTTTTAATTCATACATCTAATGGCATAATACAAAATCTAATGGACCACTTATCTACAAAAACAGAGCCTATAGCTTCATGTAAAATTTTAACATGAGTTAATTTATTTTAAAAACACATTTTCTATACTACTTATAAGCAAACTTCAAACTTAAAATATAACTCATCATATATTTCTCTATTTCCTGGAAAGAAAGAATACTAGAACTAGAAAGGACCAAATCATCCAATCCATCCTGTCCATTTATTTCATTTTGTTCAATACCTCTCAATAGGTAAGCCATCCTCAAGTGCAAATACTACTGCTGTCCCTAATTAGGAGGGGTTGTTTGTAATAAAATAAAATTGTGTTTTAGTATCCCATTAAGACATATTTCTAGCAAGAATTAAAATCGTAACTTCATTCCCATTGTTATTTTTAGCTGTCTCAAATAAAGAAAAAACCTCCAAATTCAAACCACTGCAACATTTTACACTGGTTGCTCAACTGTGCAGAGATTGAAAAAGCAAAGCAGAGATTGAAAACAATGTGGCAATGTTGCATCAAAACTATATATGCCAGGGGCTGCCTTTCCTGGGTTTACAAACAGACTTCATTGAAATGATGAGTTTGTGTTTAAATGGAGAATACTATGTATGCTGTGAACCACAGTCAAACAGGAACCTCACCAACATGGAACCAAGAAATACGCTGGTGTATTGAAGGTTTTCCCTTGATATAGCTGCACAGAAAAAGAGGCATTTTGCTTTCACTACTCACAGAAATCTACCGTCATCTGGAGTAATATGAATAACAACAGTGGGCTGGTTAAGGAGCCATTTTGACAAATCACATGCTTTTATTCATACAATATGTCATCAAGTTTGCTTAAGAATAAGAGATAACACTCCTAATTATAGGAAATGGGTTTTCTGGTACTTGTCGTCACGTGATATATTGCACATTATGATGCCTTTGCCGTAATCTCCTGGAGACTGGGAACTGGATCCTATTATTTGAAGCATTTCCACACTTAAGGAATATGATAGGGTTAATAATGAATAGGAGTTTTACTACAAGCTGTTAGGCCAGTCTGCTGCTCAGATCAGAGAAGCTACTTTCACTGTCATTGGGTCATGAAAAATAAAGCTGATTTCTCCACTACATGAACAAAACACTCAGATGTGATCCAGAGCTTCTTTTTTTCCTTCTCCAGACAGTCAGTAGCTAATGGCATTGGATTACATATTAGACTGTTAGGAAAAGTCTGCTGTCTGCATTTGCTCACATTGAGGGCCAAATTTCATTAAAAAAACAATGCTGGGAAAAGTCTCTAGAATTTTTTAAAAGAAAATTCTGTGTGTGTGTGTGTGTGTGTGTGTGTGTGTGTAGGGGCTTTGTTTGCTAATATTTTCCATTCATGGAAAATTTGTATTTCCAAAGCCAAAGCTCTCTGAGATTATCTCTTTTGTCTTCAAAACAACCCTGTAAGGTACATAAGAGCTAGTATAAGCTATTTTTCACAATTCTCAGAGGTGGAAGATGAACCCAAGAGGGTGAGTAACCTGCCCAAGGTGACATAACACAATATTTGGGGAAATGGTGACTAGCATCTGTGTCTCTGGGTTCCTTGATAATTGCTTTTCTTCCTCCCTCCCTTCCTTTCTTTCTTTTTTCCCAACCCCGTCCCCTTTCATTCATTTTGCCTACATACTGCAGATTTGGGCTCCTTCAGTAAAGCCAGTAGAAAAACTTTGTCACTGGGTTTCCAGAAAGTGGTCTTTAAAAAAAAGAATAAAATGGATCGTGGATTTGATTTATTATTTTCCACCAGAGAATGCGTTATCAGTAGTGTTTTTTAACGCGTATTTTTATGCCATGAAAGAGGAATGCGGCATATTGTTTTGTAAGACATTCTTAAACCTCACTTAGAGGCCAGGCCTCCTGCCAAAAATCCTGCAGAATGGTGGCGCAACGGGTTGGCACTACAGAACCTCACGAACCTCAACACCTAGGCGTTCACATGAAAACTTCCCACGAGCACGAGGCCTTTCGGAACTTGCCATGGAAAATGAGTGAACGCCTGAGAGATTAATGCCACATTCTTCAGAATTAAGGATAAGAATTAAACGGAAGCTACCGCGCTAGCAGTCAGCTAAGTATGAAGGGATTAGGTTCAGCGGGAGAGGAGACCATCACGGCATCCCGGTCTCATCTCCTTAAGGCTCTCATGAGCCTTAAAAGACGCCTCATCTCCTCGGTCCCCCGGGGAGCGCCCGGTAGCTGCGGCTCCTTCCCGGCACTGCGGCGCACTGCGGAGCCGCCTGCCCGCCAGCCCAGGCCGTGCGGGGCTTTCCTCGCCGCCCCGCGCCGCCGCAGTCCTCCCGCCCCCCTCTGCCCCGCCGGGTCGCCGCTCTCCGCGCCAGGCGCGCCGCGGGGCATCCATCAACCCAGAGCTTTTGACGCACACACGCGCGCTCCCAGACGGAGACTCCGTCGCCTGCCCCCGCCCGCCACCCCCGCCCGCCCCTCGCGGGTCTGCATTTGCATCACTCGCACACGTAGAAGGTGACGCGAGCGCCCCCAGCTCAGGCCGTCCAGGCGGCACCTCTAGCCCCCGTGGCTCAGCCCCTCCCCCCGCCCCCGCGCGCCGCCTAAGGTCCCCGCACGCCCACAGATCTGCTCCCGATTGTTCATCTGCCGTGGGGTGCTGGCTGCCCCAAGCCAAGTTCATCCCCGTATTCCGCAGTCCCCGTGGGCCCAGCCCGGGGCGCTCCCCGCGACGCTCTGGAGAAAAGTCTTCCCAGTTCTAGAACCCAGGCGGAAGGGGAAAAGCCCACTAAGAGAAAGGGTCAGAGGGTCGGCTGATGGCTTTTGCTGCCCTCATCGCCATCTAAGATTACCTCGGTAGCTTATTTACTGCGATTGGTCCCTCTCCCCTCTGAGCTTCACAGCCTCGGGTCTGCTTCGCCTGGCCTGGCGCACAGCAGGCGCCCAAAAGGTTTTTGCTGAATGAAGGCGTTGTAACGTAGGAAGTGCAGGCGCTGACAAAGAGCCTCAGCCCCGCGGGCTCCCCTGCTCTCCAGCCCTCTCTTGCTCTCTCTTAGACGCCAGACAGGCGCTTCGGGAATGTATGTGGGAGAGTTTGAAAATTCATGGTGTTTCTTTCAGGCTCTCTCAGCACTTACTGCGGCTACCTCTGCTCTCCCGCCACCTGCACGTCTGCAGAGGGATCCCCGCCGAAAAGTTGAGCCTAAGGCAGCTATGAAGGTATAGGTCCAGGTACCCAGCCCGGGGCTCTAGGCTGCTAGATTTGAATCTGCCTATCCCTGCCGGTCAAACCACACAAGCAAAAAAGAGCGTGGCGGTCGCTGCAGATGCGGCCCCTGCATCCCCGCTGCTGCCCACCCACCTCCTCTGGGAATCCCAGATAAAGTGCGACCCAGTCCCCAGACCTACCCTAGCGAACCCTGGGGTCACTGCATCTATTTTACCCCTACTTTCCTGGTCCCTCTCCAACAAAGGCGCCTACAAAGCAGCGGGCACCTGCAGCCGCTTCCCCGGGGGCAGGCGGGGCAAAGTTGCGCTTCCGAAAGGCTGCAAAAACTTCCCCAGGCTGCAGCGCCCGGCCACCAGTCGGGAAGAGAAATCCAGCAGCGGGGGAAAGTCTCCCCGCGGATGCCCGCTTCACCTCCCCCACTCACCGCTCCAGCCGTCGGACACCCTTGCCCTGAGTGGTGTCAGCACTGCAGCCGCCTCAGTGCGGGCGCCGCTCCGGCTCGCTTCCCCGGGCTGCCTCCGTCTGCCACTCTCGCCTGCAGCGCGCGGAGTGGTGACTCCTCTGAGCGTGTCAGCGGCGAGAGGAGGGGCGGGAAAGTGGCTCCCGGCTTGCACGCTGCGGTCCTCCTCCTCTCCTCCGCCTGCCTCCTCCCCCTGGTGCTGCAGTGCCGGGCGGCGGCGTGGCGAGAGTACCAGCGGTGCGCAGGGAGTCACGGCGCGCGGGGGAGGCGGGACCCGCGCGCCACTCGCGGTGCTCCGGCAAGTCGCGGTGCTGAGGCGCTGCTGCGGTGTGGGACTGGGGCAGGGGGCGGGGAAGGAGAGCCACCTCCAAGTGGTAGGTACTTCTGGAGAAGTCAGGGCTCTGAGTTTGTAGCAGGTGAAGGAGAGGGGCGGCAGTCCTTAATTAGTCACCAACTGTGACTGTGCGTTGCGCACTTGGCGGCGCCCCGGGTCAGGTCCAGCGTGAGACGCGAGGGAGTTCTGACTGCTGGACTCTGTTAGCACCGGACAAAAAGAGGGTTTGTATTCTATTTCCGGGCCTGGGACTGACTTGTTCACTTCGACTTGGCTTCCAGGGAGCAACCAGGCAGAGCTAGGTTGCCTACTTCCCCCAGCCCCCACCCCGACGCTGGAAGACAAGTCCAGAGGAAACTTGGGCACAGCAAGAGCAAACAGAAGAAAACTTCGCTGGGTTAAGTCTACTGTCTCCCCAATGCTACATAGGGCCAGACAGCTGGGCTCACAGGCAGATATTGAAAGTGGCCCCTTAGAGGGGAAACAACCAAATATGAGGGGGGGGGGGTGGAGAGAGAGATAGAGAGAGAGAGAGGAGGAGGAGGAAGAAAGAAAGAAAGAAAGAAAAAGAGAAAGAAAGAAAGGAGGAGGAGGGAGAAAGAGAGAGGAGAGAAGAGAGAGAGAGAGGGAGAGAGAGAGAGAATTTTGCTTGTGTTGTTAGAAACAAACATTTCTCCCCTTGGCGTGCAGGAGAGAGAATTTTGCTTGTGTTGTCAGAAACAAACATTTCTCCCCTTGGCGTGCAGGAGACCCCAACTCGAGCTTCACTGTTCCAAAGCGGTGGGCCAGGCGGCTGGAGAGAAACTCGCTCCCGTGAGGCCACACCCAGGCCTGGCGCACCCACCCCGCGGCAGCAGTGGAGGGCGTCGCCCTCCCGGGCCTTCCGACGCAGACCCTGCCATCCGGATGCTGCGGGAAGTAGGGCATCCTCACGTCCCTGACTCCTCCGGCTCCGCGCGCTCACGGAACCCAAGTGGAGTGGGAAGCGGTCACACAGGCGTGTGCCGTCCCCGAAATCGTTGCTCCTGTGGTGGTGACCCAAAGCGAGACAAAGCGCCGCGCCAATACGGGCTGCAGTGATTGGAACTCAAACACACACATCTCTCCGCGAATGTGTTCCATCCGTGTAAATATGCCTGGGTGATTGAATGGATGGCTGAATGAACGCTGTGTGGATAGAAATATAAATGTTACATGTATAATACAGGCGCCGGGGAAGGAGAGCTGTCAGGCACCCCCAGGCTGGAGCCTCCTGCCCAGAGGAGCCGGTGGAGACAGGCGGTTCGCCCAGGGCGGTGTTGTTAGCTTGGGCTTTCCAGTTCGATTTGTGCCACTATGCAGGATACTGTGAAGAGAAGAAAATGGAGACAACTCTTGGCCTCTCATTTTCCCTCCTCTCTGGTTCAGACACTCTGGCACTAAAAGTTATGATTCTCATGTGCTGTTGAACCTACACTTCCTTGCTGGTCTGTCTTGTTCCGGTGAGAGGCTTTGCAGTCTGTGACCATGGTGCTATGAGATGGTCAGGCAATATGAAAATTAGTGAACGTGCTCATTTTCATTTCGTGGATTCTTCTTAGTAAAATAATTATTTAAATAGTTAAATAATTTAAATAGTTAAATAATTTAAATAATTATTTAGGCTAAAATTAATGTGCTGCTACTATGACAAGGAAGTGCCTATGAATCCAGCATTGGAAATACAATTGTGAAATTAAAAAATAAATCCTATCTGGATTCCCCGCATGTTATTTATAAAAATTTGAGCTTCCAACTGCAAAATGTGCTGGCAATTCACTGAGTTCTCAAACGGTTACCTTTTTGAGAACCTCCCCTAAACTGTTGCAGAATAATGGATTGTTTCTCCAAGTGATGGAAGTTCAGAAAACCATGAAACAAACTTTAAACGTGATCAACGTTCTTTATGCTATGCTGTATCTTCCTTAAATTATTCTCCTATCTTGTCCGTGGAAGATATTTTTTTAAAGTGGGTTGATTTTTCTACTTCTGGATTTTCGTGTCTTGATGCATTTGAAGGTAACAGCTCCTTTAGGAAAATCCCTGATTGTGATTTTGCCTGAAACATCCCATTTAAGACCAGGTTGCACTGGAAAAGGCTATTTTAACGTTGTGTCTTTGGAGGACATGAAACATTGTGTCATGATGATGTTGTGCCCTGGTTCCTGGACTTGCCCTCTAAAGCAGTTCTGGTTCTAGGGTCCTGCCTGGCACACACCTTGGCCCCAGGCCCCTTGGATCCAGCACTCAGACTAGTTTTATTCATGCCTTCATTATAATGAAATGTTTTCTCTCTTCTGAAAACACTTGTCTTGTAGAAGCGGATGGAGTGAAAAGGGGTATACCCTCCATCCCCACAGAATCCCAGTACTCTAAAGTCATTGCTCTCCTACACCTCAGGACTTTTGTTCCTCAATGCAGGGTGTCGTCTTGTGATGCTAAAAAACAAGCTGTGAAAGACACCTAATGAGCATGAGAGGTCTGTTTTCGCATCAGCAAAGTGGTTTTCATAAAAATAATTCACACTAAGTACAGATGCTATAGTGGTTATATTTTATAATATACACAAGAAGCACAGTGCCTAGTACACAATGGGTATAGAATAAATGTCAGTTGCTCTTCCTCTTTTAGTAGTCAGGGCAAGGTTTTCCAAAGCCTGCGCTTTGGAGAACTGGTTTTGTAAGATGCTCTGGAAAGTCAGAGTTACACCTGGCTTCCACAGCAGATGTCTGAAGACAGCCCCATACTCTTGGACCAAGTCCACACAGCTCTCCACTTCTCCTCACTATCATCAGGAGTCTATAGCAAAGTGCAGACACCTACTCTTCTTACCCCAACACTCAGCTTCCACAACACTCAAAACTATTTTTTGTCTCTTTTGTAATTTTAATCGAAGTATTACTATTCATTTTTTTTAAACTCTGTCTTATAAGCACCACATTTTAATATCTAAGTCAATATTGGGTGAAAGAAACACCACCAAGAACTTCCCTCCAGAACAAAACAATGATGTTCATTCCTCCAAACATCCAAATTGAAAGTCTATCACAACCAAAACAAAAAAACAAAGCCCACGGAGAAATAAAAAGTAACAAAAATCACATTCTAGGGTGTTAGTGCATTTGGCAGTCTTTGCTGTGCTGTTGAACCATCCTTCAGCTGGCTTTCAAAAAAAAAAACACCCTAAGCTCATCAAAATATACATTTGCCATTTGCTTTTTAAAATTAAAAATAATAATTAAAAAGAAAACTTCAAGGAATTCACAATCAATTGCCTGACTTGTTTCAATGTCATGTACAGCATATGGAAGTGAAAAAGGCCATTTGCAGCACCTGTGATTAAGGGATATTCATCTTCAGGGTTTAGCTTTCTTCCAGACAGCGTAAAATACCCACAATTCGAAGTTTGAAGGGACATAGACGATCTCCTTTGAGAATTCCACAAGGCAATACAGGCACCCAAGCTGTTCTTCATAGAGTGGCAGGGCTTCTGTCAGATTGACACAGTTTGCCTGTGTAAAATATTTCCCATCCTGTTTCAATACATTCATTCATGGGTCAAAAATCAGTCTGAGAAACTCCCACATGGAATCTTGTTCCAGAGATGTGGAGATTGGAACAGCTGTCAAATCGTTAGTCACACAATCCAATTCTCTCCCTTCTTTGGTGTGCCTCTTCAGTATTGGAATGCAGTCTTCTATCAGAGCCTGATAGCAGCCTCCTTTAAGATTGTCTACAACATCACCACATGTTTTTTGCATATATTTCTTACATCCATCAATCACCATTTGGTCAATCTCTACCATAGTGACCATCTTTGATTTTAGTTTGACTATTTCTCATAATATGCCCCCATCTCAGCCTCTGAGAAGCAGTACCTCTTTGCCAGTGAAATCTGCTTTGCTGCTGCCCGTGATGGCCCAGGTATATGCCAAATCACTCTGCCGAATCAACATCCCTACTAAGGATGAGAATATTTCCAAATTGCTTCTAGTGTAGAATTGTAATGTTCCAATAAGGTGAATCTTCATTGTACACCACTTCATCTATGTCATATTCAACCAGGCGCCCATCGGTGGTGGACCAATGTCTGTTGATGGCCCCTCTTCAAACTACAGGTGGTAATCGCTTCACCAGCCCAGTACTGTCTTGACTCAATTCTTTCATTCTTTTTTCTACATTGTTTGAAAGGCTGTCGATCTCTTCTTTGCCCTGCAAGTCATCATTGTAACTCTGAAGGTCCAGCAACACCAATCCATGTAGGTAAATTCTCAAATTGGCAAAGATGCTGTTTTTGTGTTTCTGTCTGTAGGTTGCTAACTAGCCATTAACCTGCCAGGTGTGCAGACTCTGCCATCCCCTGCTCCTGGAAAATGGACTGGAGGCCTTTTAGAATGGTCTTGCCATCAGCTTTGGCACCGAGCATGAAGTTGATCTTGCTGTGCCATGCTGCTGTGACAGTGAGGCGAGGCCCTCCCTGTGCCATGCCTCCGGTAGGTGGCTGTGGGAGCCAGGGGGTAGGGGCATGCCCGTGTCAGGCTGTGGCCCGCGGGAGTCAAAACAGTATGTTTTGAGTCTACCAATGTTCGTCTTGTTAAGCCCTTAATGCCTGCTTGTATCAGTGAACACAAGAAGCCCCAAAATCTCAAGTGCTTTTCTCATCTCTTACATTCTAATACTCATAAGGCTCAGCACATCCAGTATTCTGTCCCTTTCTCACTATCCAGCTCCTGAAACCCTCTGACTATGCCTCCTGGACTTCAAAGTCCACTGTTAGCAAAATGCCCAATATCCTCAACCTCATCTCCAAGTATTCTCTTCACCTTTCTATTCTCATGGAAGTATGGCTTGCCCTCCTAAGAGGCTGCTCTCCCACAACCCTCTCAAGTGATGGCTGACTTTTCCCTCCAATGCTTGCATCACTTGTGTCTGGAGATAGGAAGGTGATGTCCTTGTTCTGCATTGCTACTTCCAGAACATTCTTCATCCCTCCTCCCTGAAACCTACTGCTATAAATCTCCTTTCATCAGGTTATTTCACCCACTACTCTTAGATGTGGCTAGCATGCTCAGACCTCCAGGTCACTCTACAACTTTCCTGATTGACTCCTAAGTTGATGTCACTTCCTGAACACTAATCCTGCCTTAATCCTTGGCAATTTAGTATACACACAGGTATTCATTCCAACCAGTACAATCCTTGGACCTGGGCAAACAAGGGGTTGGTCTCCATGCTCCATATATTAAACAACTCTAAAGTTTAAGAGGCCACCTCTCTGGTGGCCAGGTTCTATTGGTGGGGTCCTTTAAGCCTACACCCAGATCCACATGGACCCTATCCCTGTTTCTCCCCTTCAGTGTGCTCTTCAGCTTTCCTCTGACTCCAAAACTCATTGTAGTCTTGACCAAATGCCCCAAGGAGCTGCAGAGCTCCCACTTATGAAGTCAGCCATGGACATGTGGACAGGTCCTGGTTCTAGGAAGGCAGTTTGGCAAGTGGATTGCTCTTGTGGCTGGTGCCCCCATTTCCTTTCCAAAATTGTGGAAGATCAGCAACCAGAACCAGAAGGGTGCTGCCACACTGAGTTTGGGTAACTCACATTGTTTCCATAGACACCCCTGTCTCCTACCTTCCTACTCGCCCTCTTATTTTATGTTTTTAAAAATTAGTTTGTTTGAATCAAGATCCAAATAAGGTCTACCATACATTGCAATTGGTTGATATGTCTCTTAAATCTCTATTTATCTATTGGTTCATCCTTCCTTTCTTTTCCCTTCAGAATTTACTATGGATGAAGAAACCATATGTCCTGTAGAGCTCTCCACAGTCTGGATTTTACTGATTTCGTTCCCGTTATGCTATTTAACATGCTCTGCTGCTCCCTGTATTTCCTGCAATCCAGAAAATAGATCGAGAGGCTTATCAGAGGCAGGTTTTGTTTTTTTTTAAATGAAACTACTACATATGTGTCGTTTAATTAGGAGGCATATACTAATTGTCACTTTTGTGATGTTAGCAGTTGTTGATGATTATTGCTACTTATCCACTATTTCATTTGGGTTTTGCTAAATGGTAAAATTCTAATGAATACTTCTTAAACAGCCATCCTCCTATCCTTTTACGAGATGTTTGATAGTAATATGATGGGGTAGGTTTTCGTTGCCTTTTTAACGTGAGGGGGATACAAGACAAAACCTAGGACCTGCCCAAGTTATTGAATCTAATAGTGAGGCACAGCCCACCCTCCATTACAAGCAACCTGAAGGTTTACACTTTCAGTGTAAGGGAAACCAGAGATCAATGCTCCCTACCTCTACCAATATAGGGGACTGCTGAAAATGTTGCCTTGATGCTTAGTAAAGCAAGAGAATGTGGCTATGCAGTAGAGGTAGAATATGCTTACCTGAGAAATTTCAACTGAATACAAGTCATAGAGCTCTCTAGCACCAAATTCTCAACAAACTATGAATTCAGTTTAATATTGGGTTGGTAATTTCCCAGATCCCTGATAGAAAGAAATGCAAATCCTATGTGGAGGAGCCCTCCCTCATCCTGGACTTCAAAAAAAAATCACATAAATAAATGAAAGTTAGAAAATAATGAAGCACATAAAATAACAACACACAAGGAAGCATGATAACATGAAGTAGCACCAGCAGATATAACAAAAGAAACTTCAATCTTTTCCTGAAGAAAGACTTCTTTAGTTAAACTTCAATAGTTAGAACTATTGGTCATAATTTTCACTGTACTTGAAGAAAAATATGTGCAGGCAATAGGAAACTATAAGGAATAACCAATCATATTTAAAAAGGCACCAGATCAATCTTCTATCCAACTCTGCTGGTTGCCCTACCAACATCCAGTCCAGCTTCCATACACATATGATACTTTATGCTTACCTCAGAGAATCCTGATTTTATTTAGGGATTTACCTTTTCAAAAACTACACACATATATTTAACAATACAGTTTTATACAGAATGCTAAGAGCACTTTTCATATTTTACAGCAGGGCTTGAAACAATATGGACCTTCTATTAATGCTCATTCCATAGCACAACCAAATATAACTCCTACATAGATGCATTACAGTGTGTTTAGAGTTTAAAGGCTCAATGGAAATAAGATGAAAAAGACTATATAAGGAATTTTACATAACTAATTGGAAAATAAATGCAAAAAATAGTAAATAAAATTTAATATGGTCTCATGTGCCCTGAGAGAAGTGGTGCCTGGTTTGGAGGAGTAATTGCTATGTGCAAATAATCTATTTGGAACTGCTGCCACTTTAGGGTTATTCATCATTCACCCCTTTTCTACCAGACATGACACTTCCAGTTTCCTTTACTTGATAGCAATGTCTTTTAAGATCCATAAAACAACTGCAAAATTGAAGTTTGTGCCCTTCTTTCTAGCTTCTGGGTAGACTTCTTTTACTAATCTAGTCAGTTAATTCAAGGTTGCATCCATCTAAGTGTGGATCTGCCACTCACTGGACCACAGGACAGCTTGGACATGTCTTCTCTTGGTTGGTGGGCATCTCCAGATCTTTGTTAATTTCTTCCAGTGCAACGCATGACTCCACTGCCATCTTCTTCTGACAAGCTCTCGAGATTCTTGCCCAGAGCTCCGACCCCCTCAGCAAACTGAGATCTACCACTTTTCACATGACCTTTAGGGAGTGGGCTTTAGGGAATGGGCTCATTACATTCTAATTGGTCCAAATCAGTCATGATAATTCCTCTCTCCCTTTCAGTTATTGGTTTGGGCATGGATTTGTAACACAATTCTGCTCAATGACATTTGCAGGGAAGATTTCTAGACAGCTTTTGGGAAAGCTTTCCTTACTCCCGAAAATATAAATGCAGCAAAGAAGTCCCATTTGTGTCTTTAGACATTATTTGCTTGAATGTGACATATAGAACTTTGCAAATATCCTGGAATCATGGAGGGGAGGGAGCCTGATGACATAACACATGAAGGATGTAAGAGTCAAGTGAATTTCAGAGAAGTGGTGCCAGAACCCTGGTGTGCCATGTCTGGAACAGCCCTACCTCTGTTGTGTAGTAATACATTTCCTCTTTTTTATTTTTTAGAGCCACTTTAAGTTAGAGACTTTTGCTCACAGCTGAAAGCATCCTTATACTCTCTCCAGCCCTAAAAGAGCACCTGGCACACAGTAGATACTCCACAAATGTCTACTGATTTGAGTTGAGCTGTGTTTCAAGTTTATTTCTGTTGGGAAAACAAGATGGATGTCTCCATCTGTTGTATTCCAAGGTTCTAGCACAGTTACTACATCATAGAATGTGTTTGACAAATAATTGCCTAAAGTCAGAATGGCTTCAGTATCTTAACAAGCAAAAGGGAAGAAGCTGCCCCAGGCAGGGTCAGAGAAAGAAACTCGGAAGAGGTCTCTAGCCTCCTCTGGTGGCTCAAAGGGGAAGGCAGTGTGTCACTTAGAAGTGTGTGGTAGGGTAGAGATGAGAAAGGAAGATGAAAATGCCCACAAGAGATACTTTTTTCTGAAAGAGGCAGATTTTGATGTCTGGAAAACATTCTTGTTAAGAAGGAGAGAGATGAACTAAAGGAAACTCTAGGCCATTCAGGGCCGTACCCTGAGTTTGCTTTATAGGCCAATAACTGAATCTCTCTATGTTGTTTGTTCCTATATTATCTGCACATCTAGGATAAGGTAGTTTTTGTCACTCAGAAAATGTCTCGCCTCAGTAAATGTGGCATCTGGTAAGATGCAAGGAAGGGGGATGTTCCTCATGTCTCAGTCCCAGGAAGAAGAGCTACCATTACCTGAATGGTGGCTGAGAAGAGTGGAACCGCATCACACAGCATTGTGGGGTCCCAGGGATTGGTTTGGAGACTCCAAAAAGAAGTACAGCTTCCCAGAAGAAGCACAATTTACCTGCTTTAAATCACTCCATGATTACACAGTGATTTAAAGTGCAAACTCCTTTGCCTGTTCGTGTGTCTCAAATCAATGCCCACCAGAGAGCCAGAGCCTTCACTGCAGAGGAAGTTCTGAATGACACAGGCCAGGATGGTTTGACCCATCTCTGCCCTTGGCCACCCCAGTGCTTGCACAGTAGGTCTGTGAACCCTCAACCAATGAGGGATGAGAAGACATGGATATTCTGGGCTAATTGGCATACCCCACAGACTCATCAAGTTTCTCTACTTCTTTTTTTAAAATTAATTTATTTTTTATTTCAATAGGTTTTTAGGGGGCAGGTGGTGTTTTGTTACATGAATAAGTTCTTTAGTGGTGATTTCTGAGATGTTGGTGCACCCATCACGCGAGCAGTGTGCATTGTACCCAATGTGTAGTCTTTTATCTCTCACCGCCCTTCCACCCTTTTGCCTGAGTCCTTAAAGTCCATTGTATCATTCTTATGCCTTTGCATACTCATAGCTTACCTTCCACTTATGAGTAACAACATATGATGTTTGGTTTTCCATTCCTGAGTTACTTCACTTAGAATAATAGTCTCCATTTACATCTAGGTTGCTGTGAATGACATTATTTCATTCCTTTTTATGGTTGAGTAGTATTCCATGGTGTATATATATATATATATATATATATATATATATATATATATACACACACATACATACCACATTTTCTTTATTCACTCATTGATTGATGGGCATTTGGGCTGGATCCATATTTTGCAATTGCGAATTGTGATGCTCTAAACATGCATACAGCCAATTAATCTTCGACAAAGCAAACAAATACATAAAATTGGGAAAGGACATGCTTTTCAAAAAATGATGCTGGGATAATTGGCAAGCCATATATAGAAGAATAAAACTGGATCTTCATCTCTCACCTTATATAAAAATCAACTCAAGATGGATCAAAGACTTAAATCTAAGACCTGAAACCATACAAATTCTAGAAGATAACATTGGAAAAACCATTCTAGACATTGGCTTAAGCAAAGATTTCATGACCAAGAAACCGAGCACAAATGCAACAAAAACAAAGATAAATAGATGGGACTTAAACTATAAAGCTTCTGCAAAGCAAAAGAAATAATCAGCAGAATTGATAGCCCACGGAGTGGGAGACAATCTTCACAATCTATACATTTGACAAAGGACTAATATCCAGAATCTACAAAGAACTCAAACAAATCAGTAAGAAAAAAATTCCAACAGAAAGTGGGCTAAGGACATGAATAGACAATTTTCCAAAGAAGACATACAAATAACCAACAAGCATATGGATAAATGCTCAACATCACTAATTATCAGGGAAATGCAAATCAAAACCACAATGAAATACCACCTTACTTCTGCAAGAATGGCCATAATCAGAATCAAAATAATAGACGTTGGTCTGGATGTGGTGAAAAGGGAACACTTTTATACCATTGGTGGGAATGTAAACTAGTACAATCACTATGGAAAAAATGTGGAGATTTCTTAAAGAACTAATAGTAGAACTACTATTTGATCCAGCAATCCCACTCCTGGGTATCTACCCAGAGAAAAAGAAGTTTCTCTACTCCTGTGTAAAGTTAATCAAGCTATACCCACCACCTGAGATACCAAATACCACCTTCTCTACTGTAATTCTGCAGCCATTAGGGAAAAGCATCCTGCCCAGCTTCACACTTGTTAGCTCTTAGGGTCAACTGCATATATGGCTCTCATTACTTACCAGTTTCATTATAAATAATTCCATTTCATTTCCTGTAGTACAACAGCTTTTTGAGGGCAAGGACATCACATTTTCTACAATATTAAATCCCACAAACTCTCCAACACAATGCTTTTCATATGAAAGGTGCTAAACACATTTTGAATAATTGTTCACACATTTAATTAATTTTTCACATTTTTTCTTGAACTTTGTTTTCCAAAATAAGGATTATCAAGAGTTTTTCTATATAAGGAACTCATGGCTTTAAATTCTGCAGTGCCTTCTTTGGAGGGGTAATGGCATAACAATATCTGGAGAAACCTGCATATCTATAGTTTTTTTAAAATTTAGTTAAAAAAACAAACAAACATGTGCCCCTTTTCTGACAAGGGTAATCTCTTTGAATTTTTTCTCTCTCCTTTTCGTTCAGTGATTTCTCCTGCTGCTCTAAGCTCTGGAGCAAGTGTTGTGGATCCTCTGTATCCAGATGATTTATAGCTCAACTCTGAATATTCCCGTAGGTCTTCCCCATTCTCACTGCTAGAATTTCTTTTTAACATTCTACTATAGGTCTATTAATGCATTGAGTTCTATTAAATTATTTTCCTGCTCAAGGGAAAATTATCATCTTCATGTTCAGAATTTGTCTTGTATAATCTTCCTGCTCCAAATTAGTGTTCTAACACTCAGCTTTTCTATTTTAATAATAGACATGCTGATTTCCCTACATGATCTAGCTATTAAAAATGCATGTAGTAAGCTCTCAGGAAGTTAGGTTCACTTCTATTTTTAGCATGATCTAAAGGTATTGGTGCTGACCAACTTTTGGGTCACAAATGGCTTTTTGAGAAGCAGCAACACAATGAGTGTTAATGATGGAAACATTCGGTATTAATAGTCTGTCTAATTGGTTTTCCCTTTCTCTACACTTAGACTACAGCTCTTCCCTGATAATAAAGATATTTTTAAAACTATCTCTTCACTCAACTCCCAGTCCCAAGTTTGGTTTCTGGGTACTCTATTAGCCATTTCCTGCATGACAGTGCATCCTATACCAACATTAAATCTCCCATAATGCAATTTGTGCCCACTTTTATATGCATCGGCAGCTCAGAACTGCAGGTTCTTTTATAACTCCTGCTCGGTGCGTCTTCTCCACATACTTTCCAGAGATTCTCTGCAAATCACACTTTTATGACTGACATAAAGTCAAATCAAGCTTATCCTAGGTTATTGTCAATTCCAAGGGAAGGAGAAGGAAGCCCCATTTTGGCATTAGGTCTAAGCTATAGTTTACTAAAAGCTCTGTGTTTGAGGACTGTGGAGCACTTGCCTGCTCTCTCAAAAAACCTAGGAAAGAAGCGTCTACCCTTTTTCCACCTCCTTCTCATTCATCCCACGGGAGGTGGAGTCACATCACTAATGGGTACCCTAAAAGTATGGTGGGTTCCATCTTGTCCCTCTGCCTCACTGCCTCAGATATCACCTTAAGGCTGTGCAACTCCTGCATCCAGAAGAGGTAACTCATCTCCGAAGACTTCCTGAAAATGGAGGCATAGGGAGTCCTTGGAAGAAGAGAAGCTGGTATAGGATTTCCATCAAAGAGATCTCAAAACACATTTCTCCAAACTGTCCCAGAGGGAATGCAGAAGTAGCATAGTGGATAGAAGATATTCCAGATCATCACTTCTCAGAATGCTCAGTGAAGAGATTTCCTTGATAGGTAAGACCAGAAGAGCATAGAGCGCAGTGTTCATGAACTACCAAAAGATGGCTAGAACTTGACATGCAGGCTTGACATTTTGGTACCATATCATTTTTATGGCCACCTTCTACATACCACCCTTCCCAAAGAAGACAAAGTCCAGACAGTGTTCAAAGATAAGTGGGAATGAGCAGTGCTCTTAGAGGTGATTGTGCTGAGACCTCAGAGTCCCAGAGAAGGCAGAGCTATGTATTCTTACTTACAAAGCATGTCCAGATTTACCTCAGGGGAGAAGAAGAGACTGAAGTGCCACTGAAAATTGCTATCTTCTTCCTTACAGAGTGCCTTAACCTTGGGGACAGTAGAAACCTGCCTGATAGAACAAGGCCTGGGCAGGAGACAACCACAGTTGTCTCTGTGGTGCGAGATTTCCTGTTACCTGGAAACACATGCACATAAACAGGACACTTGATGAGGCTCTTTAGAGTAAAAGGAGCAAATGGAAAGAACTCTGCTTGGATCATGGGCAGGTGGGCAGTGGAAATCTGATGAGGGTTCAGGTTGGTGAAATCCCCCAGGAACTGTCTCCTCTCCAGGATGAGAGAAGCCTAGCATCCTGGGTGTGGGCTGGGGCCCTGGAGACCTGGGCTGTTCTCAGGTGTGGGGCAGGACTGGACTCCAAGCTGCAGACTGTGGAAGATGACCTGAGAGACAGTTTCCAGGAATAAGTGATAAGCCAGCACACAGTACAACTCAGGTGTCAACCCAAAGGGGCTGCACAGACCTGGAATCTAATTTTGTGTCCTGTTATCAGTGTAGGATCTGCAAACATCAGAAAATGAACCTGAGACTAACTTAGGCCACGAAAGGGTGTGTGTGTGTGTGTGTTTGTGTGTGTGTATGTGTGTGTGTGAGAGAGAGAGAGAGAGAAACGGGGGTTGGAGACAGTGAGAAAGAGAGAGAGGAGAGAGGTTGGAAGAAAACCAAAGAGAGGAGAAGCAAAGACAATCCCCAAAAGAAATGAAGAACCAGGTTTGGGAAAGACAGGAGCCAGGAGATGGCTGAACTCTCAGAAGCATCTTTTCAGGCTCTGCCTTTAGAATGATTCGGCTGCCTCTGCATTTCATCCTTGTGTGACTAGCCTGGGATTCCCGGGAGAGTCTGAAAGGCCCAACCTGGGGCACATGACAAGTGGAGGGATAAGCTGCCTGACTGATATACTCACCAGGACCACAGGGAATGTGAGGCCTGAGCGGAGGGGCCCTGTACAGGACAAAACAAGGACCTACACTACAGGGCAGCAGAATGACGATCAGGGATGTCAGAGGCTTGACTGAAAGGTAGAGAGTGCAACATGGAGAGATACCCAAAGGCAAGGGTCACTCTCCAGCACTTCCACAGCCTCATTGAGATGAGAGGATGGAGCCATGAATGGAGCTGCTCAGACAGATGGAGCAGCCATAAAGTCAGACAGATGGCCTGGAAGGGGAGGCAGCCCCTGTCCTCCTTGATTGATTCTCAAAGCATATGGTGTTGATATAGAGAATCTGCACCCCAGATTCTTGGCAGAGAGCAATTACAACTTCAAACCTTCTTCTGCTCATTTCTTATGAAAAGATCAATTGTAACTAAAACATATTTAGGAAGGAGCTGAAGACCATGCAATGCATCCATTTGATACTTTGAATGTTACACCCCTATTATGTGAGACCAACTGGGTGAGCTGCATACCTGAGCTGTTTTTCTTTTCTTTTCTTTGCACTTCATTTTTTGTATACTTTGCAGATGGTATTAATTACACTGATGCATTTGTGTTATGCCATGAACCTGTATACAACATATTATAAGAAACATTTTACTACTGTGGGGATGGTGGCAAGGGCTTTGCTCTCTAGGTCGGGCTGTGTATCCTTTAAGGTGACCTAAGGAACTTTTCTTTCAACTCTCGGTATCAGTAAAAATTATGATACATATATGCAAATAGTTTATTTTGTCTTAGTTACATTTTGTCCTCTTATATAGCTTTTGGTAAAACCTCTTTCATTCTTCTTGGAATGTTTTAAGTTATAAATAAATAAGAATATAGACAATTATTTCTTCAACTTTTTTTAGATCAGATAATTGCTACTATGTTAACTATTTTGAAGAGTACAAAGACATTGAAAACTTTCCAGTCAATTATGAAACTGGAAAACCATGACACACAAAAACCTACAGTGATAATACAAACACACACATGCACACACACACTATGGAACAATCTCAAGTGTGGACGAAGATGCAAAAATCCTGAACAAAATCCCAGCAAATTGGATATGGCATTATATATATTTTTTAAAAAAGAGTAAACACAACCTCATAGGTTTCATCAGGATGAAGGCATATTCTAGTGTTAGGAAATACATTAATAATAATCATATGATCACATAAGAAAATTCCATGATTGTATCTCAATATATGTTAAAATGTTAATTCTTAAAATTTCACACCCACTCCTGACTCTTTAGAAATCTAGGTATAAGGAAATACATTCTCAGGAAGATAATATTTATGTCAAACTGACAACCATGTTATCCTTACTAAGCAAACACTGGGGGCATTCCCATTAAAGTGAGAATGAAATAAAGAGGCCTATTATCATCAGCATTATTTAGCTTGGTTTTACAAGCTCTGGCTAATGGAATACAAATATGGACCAAAGATTTGAGACGTAAGAATAAGAAAAAAGTAGAAGAAACTATCATGATTGATAGTTTTAGAACTGTAAATGGATAAACATCAAGAGAAAGTTAATTTAGTAAAATGGCTGAATATAGACACATGGGCAAAAAATTCATAACTACTCTACATATTGGCAATAATCCATTATAAGGTATAATTGGAAAAGATACTATTTATAAAAGGAAGAGAAAACATAAAATACCTAGAATAAACTTAGCAAGAAAATTGTGACAACCACATGAATAAAATCACAACATTTTACTAAAAGATATATAAGAAATGTTGAATACATAGAGACACATATACTCTTGAATGGAAAATCTGAATATTTTGAAGATATCTATTCTTCCAAAGTCAATGTATAGATTTAACAACATACAACATCTTAAAGGAATTTTAGGGGAATGAGAAAAAAATCAGTCTAGATCCTAACCACATGAACTTTACCAAAATTAATTTCAAATAAAGAGTTATTATAAAATTATTAAGGCAGTTAAATACTAGATAAAATTGAAGTTTATATTTGTCAAACCTCTCAGTCAGTGCAGAATTTCTAAGCTTAAAAGCAATGGAAGAAATTACAAATAACAATAATAATAATTCATTGACTGCTTCCAAAGATACTGTGGAAAATTATACTAAATAACAAAGAGACTTTTTTAAGTCAAAAAATCACAGTCAGAAAAAATAACTGGAAAATATTCGTGACAAATATGAAAAAGTTTGATAGGCTTGATAGTCTTACCACACAAAACACAAATTATAAAGGAAAAAAAAAGACCTCAGTAAGTAAATGGACAAAGAAAATAAATTGCAAACCACCAAGGAGGAACTATAAATGAGTAATGAAGAAATACTCAATTTTACTAATACTCAGTAAAATACAACTCAAAGTGACAATATCTTTTTGACAAAAACATTTTAAGGGAAAATTATGTATTAGTTAATTTAGATCACATCTTTTTTCTTTAAGAACTTAAAGTAGTTAACAAATCAATTGTAAAAATTGTTTTTAAGGTGAGAAAACTAGATTGAAGCCAAAATAAAGTGAAACAGTAAGCCTTCCATGACACTGCAAAGTGAGCTTTTAAACTCCCTACTGGCCAATGGCAAAATAAACACACATAGCTGTAAGACTCCAAATGACTATGGATACCAGTTGTTCACTTTTCCTTGGCAATGAAGTCTGAGAGCAATTTCTCTACCATGCTTTTTTTTTTTTTTTTTTTTTAACAGGGTCCTTTGGTGACACAGAGGACCATGTCTTCAACAAGATCTGTACAAAGACAGTTGTGCATGGTTCTTTCTCAGAGCATCCCTTCATGTGAACCTCAGTTCAGTTACTTTTTAAAACAGGGAGGAACATATGAAGATGAAACAACACAGAATTCTGGTTCTTTTTTTTTCTTCTTCTTCTTTTTTATTATGCTTTAAGTTCTAGGGTACATGTGCACAACGTGCAGGTTTGTTACATATGTATACATGTGCCATGTTGGTGTGCTGCACCCATTAACTCATCATTTACATTAGGTATGTCTCCTAATGCTTTCCCTCCCCCCTCCCCCCTCCCCCCACCCCAAGACAGGCCCCGGTGTGTGATGTTCCCTTTCCTGTGTCCAAGTGTTCTCATTGTTCAATTCCCACCTATGAGTGAGAACATGCAGTGTTTGGTTTTTTGTTCTTGTGAGAGTTTGCTGAGAATGATGGTTTCTAGCTTCATCCATGTCCCTACAAAGGACATAAGCTCATCCTTTTTTATGGCTGCATAGTATTCCATGGTGTATATGTGCCACATTTTCTTAATCCAGTCTATCATTTTTGGACATTTGGGTTGGTTCCAAGTCTTTGCTATTGTGAATAGTGCCGCAATAAACATACGTGTGCATGTGTCTTTATAGCAGCATGATTTATAATCCTTTGGGTATATACCCAGTAATGGGATGGCTGGGTCAAATGGTATTTCTAGTTCTAGATCCTTCTAAAATGTCAGGAAAGGTCCTTTCTGATAGACCCTGAAAGTGGTTTAAACTGGTGCTGCTATTTGAGGGGTTAAGGAAAAAAATTGCAACACATGCCAAGAGCTCTAACACCATTCCTACTGTTTGGTGCAATAATCCCCCTTCCGGAGTCTATCCTAAAGTAGAACCCTAAAAGGAAACATTGCCCGCAAAGCTGTTCAATGCAGTGTTATTTCTAACAGCACAAACTGGAAATATCTTAAATATCTAAAAATAGAAGACTGGCTTAGCATATTATGGTGTACCTGTTTGATAAAATATCAAGTAGCCATTCCAATGATACCAATGGACAGTTTCTAATAACATAAAGCATTAAATTATATTAAGCGAAAAACCTAGAGTGTAAAAATTGATGTGTAGTGTGATCTCAACTACATATACTACAGCTAATAGAAACACAGGAAGGAAGTATTCAAAATGTTAAAGATTATTTCTTATTTCTCTATGCCGTTCATAAAAAATTACGTATTTCTTAACTAGAAAGAATAAATTTTGAAGTTCATTGTAGGCAGACGGCTTACTAAACAGATGTAATCACTGTGCTTAGTGTGAACTTTGATCCCCATGAAGAGGAAGCTAAGATAAATGTGTTTTTCCCATGTCTTTGATTTTTATAATTTCTGGTTTGCCACCTTCTGACAGATATTTAGACTTCTGGCCTCGAGGTATTGATGCACGATGTTTAAAAAGAAATATTTTACTTTAAAAATGTATATTCCATTTTCTATTTTCAGTCACAGGTTGCTGTTGCATAAGGTATTATAAGAAAATTTTATCAGGCAAGGGATACAATTATATTTTAAAAACCACAAAAGTTTCTATTTGCTGAAGCTACATGCACTGAAGGTTCAGATCAGTATTTTGTTCTTACTTGAAATCTTGTTTTTATATTATACGTAATAATTTTGGGGAACCAAAACATTCAGAGAATTTTTTCCAGCGAAGCTAAAAATGTGATATTAAATAAGCCTATCAACAACATCAAAACCAACCACTCACATAACAAAGGCAGTAATAAATTACAAGGTTTGTTTTCCCTTTTAAGATTCTTTTAGATCTAATACTTACGAGAAAAAGGAAGACAGGAAAATAGCTTTCTCTGTTGTTCTTTTGATTATTCATAAATACATTGTTCTTAGAATTTAGATGTGTTTGATCTTAAAATCACTTTAACAATAGAAAAAATATTAGCAGTTAATATAGCATTTTGATGTTCTCAGAACACGATATTTGAAAGAGGAAAGGTTAGGGAAAGGTTGACCTTAACCTTCTGACCATCTCAATCCAGTTCCTGCCAAAATATAAACTGGATTTCTGCTACAAGGGATCCGGAGAAGAAGGAAAACGATGGGGCCCTTCCTTGGTATTTGAATTGTAGACTCCCAGTGGCCAGGAACCATCTCTTCCTGATTTGCTCTGAGTAGGACCTAACACAATACCCCACAAAGAGAAGGCTTTAACAAATGCTTTTGGGGATGATGACGGAGCAAGTGATGTGCAATATGCAAAACTAAAACAGAGGCTCTTAAGGGCTTCACTCCAAGTAGAAACAGCTATTCACATAACAAGTTTAATGCACACATTTTTTATTCTTTTTTCTTGTGTTGCTTTTGCTTGTTTGTTTGCCACATTCATGCTTCAAGGAAGACTCCCGCCTGGTGGGAGGAGCCCTTGTGGAAGGCTCACATCTCCTCTCACGTCCAGGGCCTGAGCTCTGTGGTTTCTTTGAAGAAAGAGAATGGAATCTGGATCTGGAGATCTGGAATCTTTCTCCTCCAGTCCTTTCTCAGATTTCTGTTCCACACTCTCCTCACCTGTCCTGAAGTCTAGTATTAGCTTTAATCTCCCTCTGCATTGTGCAGCAGCGAGGGCTTATTATGAAATACCCAAAATATCTGTGTGGAGTAAGAGGATAGTCTTATATTTAGGCTGCAGCCCTCCTCATGCTATGCTGTTCTTTTCCTCCCTTGTTCCCCACCACATTGTTATCATTATGTATTTTATTCTTTTTTTAAAAAATCGTTTTTGTAAGTTGTGATTGACAAAACTCATAGGCATCCAGGGTACATCTGCCTTTCTAAATAATTCAAAGGATATCATGTAAAATTGTTTAAATGTTGTTTATATCTCCTCAAATGTGTTTTAAAAACACTCAGTAAAAAACAAATAAGTCCTTTAGGAATAAAATGCAAGTTTCTTGGAGAGGCAAGGTTATAAAACTGTGGTGTTGAATTATAAAATCTTATTACATGTTTCAAAAACTCCATCTGTATTTCTCTCAGGGTTCTTATAAACAAAAGAGTATGAGACAATTCAATTGGAAAAGGAATCTATTAAATGATGTCAAGCTGCTCAAAGGATATTGGGTCCTTCGGGAAGTCCTCTGGGAGGACCATAGGCTCAGGAGTAAAAGCCTGCATAGTGGGAGTGAATGTCCAAATCACATTATGGGCTGCTCAAGTGAAGATCTCCTGGCCATCAGCACTGGGCACTACTACCATGATTCTACCACCGATGGAAGGCCAGACCCTTCAGCATTGCTGCCTTCAAAGAGCCAGACACCTTCACTGACACTTTTACCAGTAAATAGCTGCAGCACAGTGTATGTTTTGCCACATTCTTTTTTTCTCAAGTGAAGCCTTCACAAGGTGTCCTAGGATTGGCTGAACCTAGGACACATACCTACGTATTTGCCGCAAGGAAAATGAGGAAAGAATTCCTAGCTTCCCCTCTAGAAGGTGGGACACAAAATGTAGGAAATCTCACAAACACATAGGACAACAGAACAAGACAAACTTGCTCTCGATAGGAGTGAACAATTCATCAGCCCCAGGAGGGAGAGGAGTCCAATGAAGGGGACAATTGCCTTCTGACTGGGTAAAGATTATCACATATTATGAATACATAAACTAATTTTATCTTCCAGTGTAAAGCAGGTCATTTTAATAGACCAGGTACAGTGTTTATAGAGTTAAACCAAAGTATGAAGAAAGCCCTCACCATCTCAGGAGGAAGGGCAACATGGCGGATAAATAAGATGAGATAACACTCCACGTTTCTCCATAACATGCAAATTTGAATGCCTGCTTCGTGGTCAGAAAAATCAATGCAATTCAAAAGAGGTATTGCTTTATTCTCTGTACTGCTGTAAGAGCTCATGTGGGTTTAATTAAAAGCAACCCCAATGAGTTGGCTGGCTGCCATGGTAAGAAATGTAATATTACTTTTGATACTTTCATCTTCAAATTGACCCAGGCCTGTGACATGGTTACAATAAAGAGCCTTTCTTATTTCACTGATGTTTTTGCCAAGTCACCAGGGTAGACAGCCATAAAGCAATAACAGAAATTAAACATAGGAAAATTACACAGTTTTTTTTTTTTTTCAGACACAACCAAACCCTGATATCGAAGTTCATGTAAACATCTGTCTTAGTCCATTTGTGCTGCCACAAATCAAAGTACCACAAACTGGGTAATTTATAAAGAACAGAAATTTATTTCTTACAGTTCTGGAGTCTGGAAAATCCAACATCAAGGTGCCAGCAGGTTCATTGTCTGTTGAGGATTTGGTCTCTGCTTCCAAGATGGTGCCTTGTAGGCTGCATCCTCTGGAGGGAGGAACATTGTCTGTCTCATGGCAGAAGATGGAAGGGCAAAAGAAAAGCTACTTCCATCAAGCCCTTTTATAAGAGCACCTAATCCCATTCACAAGGGCTCTACCTTCATGATGTAATCACCTTCTAAAGGCCCCACCCCTTAATATTGTTACATTGGCAATCAAATTTCAATGTGAACTTTGGAGGGGACACAAACATTCAAACCATAATACCATCTATCAGACTCCTTCTCATCCCCTCCTTTCCATACTCTAAAAATTACACCAAATAAAAAAAAACTACCCAGTTTCTATTAGATTGAAATGGCAGCAGGTTTAATAAACGTTTTAGGGGTCACTAAGCTACTATACCCAGGGATAAAGAAACATCAGGAAAAATGGAATCATTTCAGCTAAACACTCCTTCCTGATTTTGTATAATAACAGGTTAAAAAAAAGCCAAAATTTGCATCATTCTCTGTAAAGAAAATATTGTATCTTTGCTTTGCACTTGACATTAATATCATCGTGATTACTTGATCCATTTTTGCAATTATCTTCATGTACATTTACTTCAAAATGTCCATTTTAGAAAGAAAGTTTCAAATGAATGAACACAGTAGCATAAAGTTTATGGGGCACGTTCCTATACCTCTCTAAATACTCTATAATTCTGCATGTGACAGGGCTTCAATTCATATAAGCAGATAAGGATAATAATGTTTGATTCTCTATCGCCAAAATTAAAGCACAAACACGAGGTCTGATTTTATTCCACATAGATACAACACACTTAGATATAATTCTTACCCAGAATAAAATCTGGGGGCAGAGGAGGACAGAATTTTATCTTTATCTGACATAGCTATCTCTGAATCAAACAGGGTTCCTTGCTGGAATAAAGGTGACAAATCCAGACTTTGAGAAATTATTAGAAATTAATATGGGGAAATGATTTTAGTTATTTGATTTTGGTAACAAAGGTAACGCAGTGATTCACTGTTTGTCATGAGTCAAAATATTTGTGATCCTTTACAGACCTTTGGAAATGATTTAATACAAGCATACTTTGTTTCTTAAATTGCACTTGGCATTATTGCATATTTTTCAGATATTGCTTTTTTTTTTTTTTTTTTTTTTTTTACAAATTGAAGGTTTGTGGCAACCTTGCATCAAGTAAATCTATGGGGACCATTTTTCCAACAGCATGTGCTCATTTTGTCTCTGAGACACATTTTGGCAATTCTCATAATATTTCAAACTTTTTCATTATTATTACATTTGTTATAGTGATCTGTGATCAGTGATCTTCGATGTTACTATTGTAATTGTTTTGGGGCACCACAAACTATGCCCATATAAGATGTCAAACTTAATCAATAAATGTTGTGTTTGCTCCACCAACCAGCCATCTCCAAGTCTTTCTCCCTCTCCTCGAGCCTCCCTGTTTCCAGGGACATGAAAATATTGAAATTAGGTCAATTAATAACCCTACAGTGGCCTCTAAATGTTCAAGTGAAAGAAAGAGTTGCACACCTTTCACTTGAACTCAAAAGCTAGATATTAATAAGCTTCGTGAGGAAGGCATGTTGAAAGCTGAGATATAGGCTAAAAGCTAGGCCTCTTGCACCACACAGTTAGCCAAGCTGTGAATGCAAAGGAAAAGTTATTGAAGGAAATTAAAAGTGCTACTCCAGGGAACACCAAATGATAAGAAAGCAAAGCAGCCTTATTGCTGATACAGAGCAAGATTCAGTGGTCTAGAGAAAAAAATCAAACCAGCCACAACATTGCCTTAAGACAAAGCCCAGTCTGGAACAAAGCCCTAACTCTCTTCAATTCTATGAAGGCTGAGAGAGGTGAGGAAGCTGCAGGAGAAAAGTTTGAAGCTAGCAGAGGTTGTTGGTTCAAGAGGCTTAAGAAGCTGGTTCCATAATTCAAAAGTGAAAGATGACGCTGCACTTACACAAAAGTGCAAGTAAAAGTATTGATGTAGAAGCTGCAGCAAGTTATCCAGAAGATCTAGCTAAGATCATGATCATCGGTGAAGGTAGCTACACTAAACAACGTATTTTCAGTGTAGACGAAAACAGCCTTCTCTTGGAAGAAGATGCCATCTAGGACTCGCCCAGTTAGAAAGGTGAAGTCAATGATTGGCTCAAAGGACAAGTTGATTCTCTGATTAGAGGCTAATGTAGCTAGTGAATTTAAGCTGAAGCCAATGTTCATTAACTACTCAAAAATCATAGTGCCCTTAAGAATTATGCTAAATCTACTCTTCCTAGGCTCTATAAATGAAATAAGAACGCCTGAGCGACAGCACATCTGTTTACAGCGTGGTTTACTGAATGTTTCAAGTGCACTGTTGAGGCCTACTGCTCATTAAAAAATTTTTCTTTCAAAATGTTACTGCTCATTGACAATGCACCTAGTTACCCAAAAGCTCTGATGGAGATATACAAGGAGATTAATATTGTTTTCTTGCCTGCACACAACATCCATTCTGCAGCCCACAGATCAGAGTCACTTCAGTTTTCAAGTCTTAGTATTTAAGAAATGTATTTTGTAAGGCTATAGCTGCCATAGATAGTTATTCCTCTGAGAGTTCTGGGCAAAGTAAATTGAAAATCTTGTGGAAAGAATTTTTCACTTTAGATGCCATTAAAGAATATTTGTGATTCATAGGAGGAAGTCAAAATATCAACATGAACAGGAGTTTGGAAGAAATTGATGCCAACTCTCATGGATGATTTTGAGAGGTTCGAGACTTCAATGGAGGAAGTAATTGCAGATGTGGTGGAAATAGTAAGAGAATTACAATTAGAAGTGGAGCCTGAAGATGTGACTGAATTGCTACAATGTCATGATAAAACTTGAATGGGTGAGGAATTGCTTCTTATGGATGAGCAAAAGAAAAAAAAAAAGGATTTCTTCAGATGGAATCTACTCCTAGTGAAGATGCTGTGAACATTGCTGAAATGACAACAAAGGATTTACGATAGGACATAAACTTAGTTGATAAACCAGGGTTTGAGAGAATTTGCCTCAGTTTTGAAAGAAGTTCTACTGTGGGTAAAATGCTATCAAACATCCTCGCATGCTACAGAGAAATCCTTTGTGAAAGGAAGAGTCCATTGATGCAGCAAACTTTATTTTTATTTTATTTTAAGAAATTGTCACAGCTACCCCAGCTTTCAGCAATCACCACCCTGAGTGGTCAGCAGCCATCAACATTGAGACAAAACCCTCCACCAGCAAAAAGATTATAACTCCCTAAAGGCTCAGATGATTGTTAGCATCTTTTAGCAATAAAATATCTTTTAATTAAACTACTTTTTATAGACATAATGCTATTGCATCCTTAATAGACTAGAATATAGTATAAACATAACTTTTATATGCACTGGGAGACCAAAAAATGTACGTGATTCTTATTACATTATTTGCTTTCTTTTAGTGGTCTGGAATCAAACATTCAGTACCTCTAAAGATAAGCATACATTCATTCTAAAGCATTCAAAATTTGAATAAATGCGAAAGATCATAGTAAAGTATTGTAAAAGGCTATTATAATAGAGTTTTATAAAATCTACATGTACTTAACTTAGTATTCAGCAGGAATCATGAACTATTCTTATTTATATTGTAAACTGTGATTAGATTTGCTTTACTATACTAATTTTGAATTCTAACTTCTAGTCACATTCTTATTATAAGGCAAATTATCTCACAATTTATTCTGTTCCAGATTTAATTTTATAATAATGAAAAGATAGAATATTCAGCACTTGGAATATTCTCCTTCAGGTCTTAAGAGATTCTTAATCTATGTCTCTATTCTAATAAGCAGTTATGAATATGTCTTTGCCAACATTTATTTCTCTTCACTCTAAGTTCCATAGAAATGAGAATTTAATCAGATGTGATAGTTGGAGCAAATAAACCTGACTTTGTTCTGGGCAGGCTTCAGGGATGTAAGTCAGGATTGGATAAGAGACAGTTAGCTTGAAGTTGTCCTGGCAGTAGAACACCGAAGTGTTGCAACAAGTTTTTTCCAGGGTTGATGGGGGAATTTGGTGCACTCCAGGGTAGATCAAAGATCTGAAATGAATTTCTTTTGGAACAGAGCATAATTCTCACATCAGACCCAGACTCTGCCTGAGTTATTCATGGTCGTTTCAATTAAGGAAGCTCAGGTGTAGATACAGTTTTAGGACTCTCCTTGGGTGCCCCTCCTCTCACCATAGCCAATTTTCTGTCTGCACCTTGCACCTCTGGCATTTATCCAGACATAAGACACAGCTCAAAGTAGATTTATCAAATACATAAATGCAAATGAAAGAAGAAATGAAATATGCCATAATAGTATCTCTGTGTTAAACAAGTTTTAACCACACCTTTAAAAAGTTCCCTCTAAAATAAAGAAATGGACGTTACATAGTCCCTATAAAGTACATCATTGTCAAATAAAGGATACAGGAAAAAGAAATTACTGAATAATTCAAATTATTCATAAACACGCTGTTTCAAGGAAAAATATTTGCTGTTTGCCATAATTTTTCAGGTTGGCCATAAACCTTGATCAAAATTATTAGTCCAATTGGTGAAGCCTTAACTTCATTTAACCCAGAATAATTATGATAATAATAATTGTAGTCAGTCACATTTCTCTGTGTTTTTGCATACTATGTAATCTATAATACTCACAAAACCCATGGATAATAGGCATTGATATACAGTAGAGGTGAGAAAACTGAAACATTTAAATAGCTTGTTTAAGGTCACATGTCTAGTTAACAGCAGAACCAAAATTCAAACCTAGGATATTGAGCTTATAAACAAAGACCTGCAGCTTCAGTTATATTATAAAGCTAATTTTATTTAAAACTTCACCATCATTCTCAGCAAACTATCGCAAGCACAGAAAACCAAACACCACATGTTCTCACTCATAGGTGGGAATTGAACAACGAGAACACATGGACACAGGAAGGGGAACATCACACACCGGGGCCTGTTGTGGGGTGGGGGTAGGGGGGTGGGATAGCATTAGGAGATATACCTAATGTAAATGATGAGTTAATGGGTGCAGCACACCAACATAGCACATGTATACATATGTAACAAACCTGCACGTTGTGCACATGTACCCTGAAACTTAAAGTATAAAAAAAAACAAAAAACTTACTTCATTATTTGAAACCAATGAGAACAAAGAGACACTGTATTAGAATCTCTGGGACACATCTAAAGCAGTGTTAAAAGGGAAATTTGTAGCACCAAATGACCACATCAGAAAGCGGAAAAGATCTCAAATCAATACCCTAATATCACAATTAAAAGAACTAGAAAAGCAAGAGCAAATAAATCCAACAGCTTGCAGAAGACAAGAAATAACTGAGATCAGAGCAGAACTGAAGGAGATAGAGACACAGAAAACCCTTCAAAAATCAATGAATCCAGGAACTGTTTTTTTAATTAACAAAATAAATAGACTGCCAGCTAGACTAATAAAGAGAGAAGAATCAAATAGACACAATAAAACATGATAAAGGGGATATCACCACTGATCCCACAGAAAAACAAACTTCCATCAGAGAATATTATAAACACCTCTATTCAAATAAACTAGATAATCTAGAAGAAATGGATAAATTCCTGGACACATACACCCTCCCAAGACCAAACCAGAAAGAAATCAAATCCCTGAATAGACCAATAACAAGTTCTGAAATTGAGGTAGTAATTAATAGCCTACCAACCAAAAAAAAAAAAAAAAAAAAAAAAGAAAGCCCAGGACCAGACAGATTCACAGCCACATTCTATCAGAGGTACAAAGAGAACATGGTGCCATTCTTTCTGAAACTAAACAATTGAAGAGGAGGGACTCCTACCTAACTCATTTATGAGGCCAGCATCATCCTGATACCAAAACCTGGCAGAGATGCAACCAAAAAAGAAAACTTCATGCCAATATCCCTGATGAACATCCATGCAAATATCCTCAATAAAATACTGACAAATGGAATCCAGCAGCACATCAAAAAGCTTATCTACCACAATCAAGTCGACTTCATTCCTGAGATGCAAGGTTGGTTCAACATGCACACTTCAATAAACGTACTCCATCACATAAACAGAACCAATGACAAGAACCACATGATTATCTCAACAGATGCAGAAAAGGCCTTTGATAAAATTCAACAGCCCTTCATGTTAAAAACTCTCAATAAACTGTGTTGATGGAACATATCTCAAAATAATAAGAGTTATTTTTGACAAACCCATAGCTAATAGCATACTGAATGAGCAAAAGCTGGAAGCATTCCCTTTGAAAACCAGCACAAGACAAGGATGCCCTTTCTCACCACTCCTATTCAACACAGTATTGGAAGTTCTGGCCAGGGCAATCAAACAAAAGAAATACAGGATATTCAAATAAGAAGAGAGGAAGTCAAATTGTCTCTGTTTGCAGATGACATGATTCTATATTTAAAAAACCCCATTGTCTCAGCCCCAAAACTCCTTAAGCTGATAAGCAACTTCAGCAAAGTCTCAGGATACAAAATGAATATGCAAAAATCACAAGCATTCCTATTCACCAACAACAGGCAAGCAGAGAGCCAAATCATGAATGAACTCCCATTAACAACTGCTACAAAGAGAATAAAATACCTAGGAATACAGCTTACAAGGGACATGAAGGACCTCTTCAAGGAGAACTACAAACCACTGCTCAAGGAAATAAGAGAGGACACAAACAGATGGAAAAACATTCCATGCTCATGGATAGGAAGAATCAATATTGTGAAAATTGTCATACTGCCCAAAGTAATTTACAGATTCAATGCTATTTGCATCAAACTACCATTGACATCTTCAAAGAATTAGAAAAATCTACTTTAAATTTTATATGGAACCAAAAAAGAGCTTGTATAGCCAATACAATCCTAAGCAAAAAGAACAAAGCTAGAGGCATCATGCTACCTGACACTAAACTATACTACAAGTCTACAGTAACCAAAACAGCATGGTACTGGTACGTAACAGATCTATAGACCAATGGAACAAAACAGAGACCTCAGAAATCATACCACACATCTACAACCATCTGATCTTTGACAAACTTGATGAAAACAAGCAATGGGGAAAGGATTCCCTATTTAATAAATGGTGCTGGGAAAACTGGATAGCCACAAGAAGAAAATTGAAACTGGACCCCTTCCTTACACCTTACACAAAAATTAACTCAAGATGGATAAAAGGCTTAAATGTAAAACCCAAAACAATAAAAACCCTAGAAGAAAACCTAGGCAATACCATTCAGGACATAGGCATGGGCAAAGACTTCATGATGAAAACACCAAAAGCAATTGCAATAAAAGCCAATACTGACAAATGGGATCTAATTAAACTAAAGAACTTTTGCACAGCAAAAGAAACTATTATCAGAGTTAACAGGCAACCTACAGAATGGGTGAAAAGTTTTGCAATCAACTCATCTGACAAAGGTGTAATATCCAGCATCTACAAGGAACTCAAACAAATTTACAAGAAAAAAACAAACAAACAACCCCATCAAAAAGTGGACAAAGGATATGAACAGACACTTGTCAAAAGAAGACATTTATGCAGCCAACAAACATATAAAAAAAAGCTCAACATCATTGATCATTAGAGAAATGCAAATCAGAACCACAATGAGATAAAACCTCATGCCAGTCAGAATGTCAATTATTAAAAAGTCAAGAAACAACAGATGCTGGCAAGGGTTTGGAGAAATAGGAATGCTTTTACACTGTTGGTGGGAATGTAAATTAGTTCAATCATTGTGGAAGTCAGTGTGGCGATTCCTCAAGGATCTAGAACCAGAAATACTGTTTGACTCAGCAATCCCATTACTGGGTATATACCCAAAGGAATATAAATTATTCTACTATAAAGACCCATGCACACATATGTTTATTGCAGCACTATTTACAATAGCAAAGACTTGGAAACAACTCAAATGCCCATCAATGATAGAATGGATAAAGAAAATGTGGCACATATGCACCAATGAATACTATGCAGCCATAAAAAAGAATGAGATCATGTCCTTTGCAGGGACATGGATGAAGCTTGAAACTATCACCCTCAGCAAACTAACACAGGAACAGAAAACCAAACACCACATGTTCTCACTCATAAGTGGGTGTGGAACAATGGGAACACATGGATACAGGCAGGGGAACATCACACACCGGGGCCTGTCAGGGGGGTGGGTAAAGGGAGGGAGAGCATTTGGACAAATACCTAATACATGCAGGGCTTAAAACCTAGATGACCGGGTTGACGGCTGCAGCAAACCACCATGGCACTTGCATACCTATGTAACAAACTTGCACCTTCTGAACATGCATCCTGGAACCTAAAGTAAAACAACAACAACAACAACAACAAACTTACTTTAACCATTAAAAAAATTATAAATTATTATTAATAATTTTCATTCCTATAGTATCCTAATATATAATATTACATTTGATCTTCACCACAGCCTATGAGATTTGTAGGGCAGATACATGGACCTTCTTATGGACAAGAGAAACTGAGATTAGTAGTTTTGACTTTGCTAGTCACAAAGCTGTGTGAACCCAGAATCCAGTAATCTCTTCAAGATACACACTGCCTCCTCAAAGCTTATCTCAACATTAACAGAGAACTGCTATTAAGGAAGCACAATTGAGTTGCCTAAAATCCAAACCAATCCAAACAAAAAACACCATGGATGTTTGACAAAATGATAGCTCCAAACCGGAACTACTGATAGAATCTTTTTTTTCTTTTATTGTAAAGGAGAAAGCCATCATAGTATCATTTCCTAAAAAGTAATTATGGACAATGAAAATATCACACTTGGTCTTTGACTAGTATAGCTTAAACAGACCATAAATTGTCACACGTTAATCAATTCGCTTTCTCCCAGTCCACGACTAGAAGCTGAATGATATGGAACTCCAGAACCATAGGATCAAAGTATCTGATATTTGGTCTGATGGCTCACACGTTCTGGACTAAAAATATATTTCCCTTATTTCAATTCCAGAGACTAGCATTGTATCACAGAACTTGTGTCAATTGGGAGTTTTATTGAGCAAAGTGACATAGACGTGTAACCTGAAGTGCTGAGCTGAAAAGACAAATGACACTTGGAACAAAAAAGGTCAGCTTTCTTCAGGCATGGATGCTTGTTACAGATTTTAGAATCCGCAATAGCTCTCTGAAGTTCTTGAGTATTCTACTCTTTTTTTTTTTTTGGCCCATATTGAAAAATTAGGAATTAAGATGTCTTGTACAACCTCTGGGCTAAGCCAGAATACGGAGTGTGGTATGGAATGTGCGGGAAGTCCTGACTCAGAAAAGCTCTCCTCCATTGGTTTAATCACCATGTCTGAAATTTTGTTATAATGTTTTTTAAAAATCTTGGACTAATATTTGAATGTTAACATAATACTAATATATAATATTATAATAGTAGATTATTATATATAACTTATAAACCCTCCAAGAGAGGCTAATAAACATTATTATAGTAGTCAGAATTTATTTCTTATACTTTATTTTGAAGTAACAGCTAGTTTTCAGAGTTGCTTTGTTGAAAGAAAGTAGATTTCAAAAGGGAGATATTGTAGGGACTGAGTGTTAATAAGAACCTATGCTGGTGATGACAGACCTTGGTCAGGACCCACTTAGAGAGTCTGAGAAGCCAGCAGCATGATGTGTTGGGCACAGGCCATGTGTGACACACATCCTTTCCTCCAGCACCCTGGCCATCAGACGGGCTCAAAAGGATGAAACACGACAGACATGCATTCTTCCTAGGTCCAGGTCCCAAGTCCCTGGTAGTCACAGCACCTTAGGGCTTCAGAATCTTAGGAGGCTTTGATGCCACATGGAGCCCATCATTCCATAGAAGTCAGCCAGGAGCCATTAATAAGTTTTAATTCTTCAGTCCCTTCTTTATTTGTCTCTCTGTTATAGCCTGCCCATCATGAAGGCAATTCACCTAACAAATGAGACAGCAGAATTTTACCTTATGCCTGCAATCTCTGAATTTAAATATGCTTAAAGCTTTCTCTTTCTGAAGCACACTGATCTCAAAACTCAAAAGATGTTTAATCAATAATATAACTGAAACTCTAATGTTTTAGAAAAATGAAATTTAAAAATTTCTCAGAATTGATTGGAAGAAGGAACATTTTCCTTTAAAAGCAAGCACTAAAAGCCTTGGGGTTTCTTTTCAGTTTTTAATATAGCTCCCAATGGTGTCAAGACTTGGGTTTGCAGACCCAGATGCTATACTAGAGGGAAACTTTGGGAGATGACCTGGATTTAACATGCAGGCTCCACATGCTGATCATGGGCTACAATGAAGATAAAATAAATTGATCTATTACTTTGCAGACAATAAAATTGATCTATTACTCTGCAGAGAATAAAGAAGTGACAGTTCGATATTTTCCTTTCCTCACAAGTTTACTTTTTCAATTATTACCCTCATTTTTTTCTAATATGAAAAGTAAATATCCTTATTAGAGATCATTCAAAGAATGCATACAATCATGGATCAATTGAAAGAAGGAAAACTTTATTCCTAGTCCCACCACCCAGAAACCACTGTTTATTTGCTATTTTGATATATTTTGTTTGTTTTTTGGGTGTGATGGTTAGATTTTTATGAATTTATGAAAGTTAGTTTTTAACAAAGTTTTTGCATTATTGCAGCCATGCTGTATTTTTATGACCTGCTCCTCTCACTTAACATTATTGTAGAGCTCTTCTGTTATATTGCAAATTATGTAAACATTATTTTTCATAGTTGTATTTAATAGAATACATAATAATTCTTCTAATTTTGAGTGGTTTTTACTGTTTCACTGTCTACATAACACTGATGGATATTTTTGTTGATTAAGTTTTGCTAAATTTTTGAACACTTACAATAGATTTACAGAAGTGGAATTATTGCATAAAGTAATGAACATCTATATGACACATACTTTAAAAATTAAATCCAAGAATATACTAATTTAGTCTCTCATCTACACAGTTACTGTGTCCATCTTCAACACCTCTGAGTATTATTATTTCAACACATTAATCCAAGAATCTTCATCAAAAGAAATGTTTTCTGTTGTTTTTGTTAGCATTTCTTTATTACTATTGTTGTTGAACTTTTTTTTATATTAGCTAAGCAGTTAATGACATTTTCTGTGAATATTTTACTCACAGACTATTAAGGTCTACATTTTTGTTAATGTTTTCTATGAATATTTTATAAAGATACTTTTTACTCATTACATTTGCTGCACATTTTCCTTGTTTAATTTTTGTTTGTGTTGACTGTATTTTTAATTTTGAAAACTACAAACATTTTAAATTTTCATATGTATTCATACTTTACTTTTTAATCTGGCTTGCTTATCATTATTTTTTATTCCAGTCAAAAACAAGGAGATTTGGACGTATTCCTCCCTGTAGCTTTCCCTTAGAAAGTAACTTATCTATATTTGATAAACAGGAAGAAAATCACATCCTTCCAAACTAAAGATTCATCTTGGCTTTACTCTGTTTCTTGGTACAATTCTGAATTGTTACAGATCACCTCCTTTTGACACTTCTGTTCCAGAACACACAGATAAAATGTAATGAACACAAGTAGAGGCTTATGAACAGGTTTAATACTAGAGCTTTAAGTGCTCCGGAGGGTTTTGACGAGGCTTTGGGTAGAGAGTACTAAGGTGGTAGATCCTTTATAGGAGAAAAAGAGAGAGAGTGAAAGAGAGAGAGAGAGAGAGATCAAGAATTAGATGAATTACTAAGGAACAAATGAGTGAAGGAACATTGCATTATCCATGCATATTCCAACATTCTCCAGCCCTTGTGGGGGAACCTTGTTGTTACCTGGGGCTCATTTTATCTAGTTCAGGATCTCCAAGGCTCTGACAATGAAGATCCTCTAGAGATAACACCAAGGATTTTCCTGCACATTCTCTTTCATGCATACCAGTGATGTCATCCTGCTGGGTTTGTGTACTTCTCTTTAACCTCCCTGACATGTTTAGTCATGAAAGAAAAGGTGATCACCCTACATTGAAACCAAGTACAATTTATAGCATCTCTTTAACACTAAGCATTTTCATGAATATTAATTAAATATTTGGGCAGTATGTAACGAATGTCTACAATATGAGTGACAGCATTTATAACAAAGGCTAATGCTGATCAAATGCTTACTATGTGTTGGGCATTATTTCAACCACCTTAGGTGATTATTCCTCTCAGTGCCTTTATGGGGTAGGCACCATATTGGCCACATTTTGCAAATGAGGAATTCAAAGCATGGAGAAGTTAAATAAATTGCTCAAAATTACACAATTAATAAGTAGTGGAACTAGGTAAGATTCAACCCAGGCAGTCTGGCTCCTGAATTTCTGCTCTTCATAGTCATGATGTACTGTTTTACTGAGAATTTTGTTTTGTTTTAGTAGAAACAATAATATCACTAAAGCCACGTGATGTAACTATAGAAGTTTTATTACAAAATAAACAAGAAAATTAAGCAAAATCAACATATAGTGAAAGCTGCTACTCATTGAAACACTGGTTTTCTTTGCTGCTTTGGGGAAAGTGTTTAATGTAAAACAAAACAAAAAATAAAAACACCAAAACCCAATAACCTACAAACAACTTATTTCCTCTGCTCTTACTGACTTTCAACTCAAAATGACATTACTTGTGTAATTACAACTTATTAAATAGAATTCTAGCACCTTAGAATTGGGGGCACCTACTTCTAGCAGCCCATACCCATTGCAGAAATTTCTTCTTCAATTATCCTGCCAACCATCATTCACCCTTTGCTAGAACATCTCCATTGACAATAAGCTCATTGATTAGTAAGATGGCTTCCTATGTAGGTATTTTTCTTACCTAACAATGAAATCTGTAAAGTTCATTTATAAATTCATCAAATATTTGCTGAACCCACTGCATAGTAGCCTTGGATACAGACCTTGATTTTTTTTTTCTTTTTTTTTTTTTTCGCTCTGTCACCCAGGCTGGAGTGCAGTGGCGCGATCTCAGCTCACTGTAAGCTCCGCCTCCCGGGTTCACGCCATTCTCCTGCCTCAGCCTCTTATGTAGCCGGGATTATAGGCACCCACTACCACGCCTAGCTAATTTTTTGTAGTTTTAGTAGAACGGGTGTTTCATCATGTTAGCCAGGATGGTCTCCATCTCTTGACCTCGTGATCCACCCACCTCGGCCTCCCAAAGAGTTGGGATTATAGGCATGAGCCACCGCGCCCAGCCCCTCCCCTCCCCTCCCTCCCTCTTTTCTTTTTCTTTCTTTCTTTCTTTCTTTCTTTCTTTCTTTCTTTCTTTCTTTCTTTCTTTCTTTCTCTTTTTCTTTCTCTCTCTTTCTTTCTTTCCTTTTCTCTTTTTTTCTTTCTTTCCCTTCCCTCCCTCCCTCTCTCCTTCCTTCCTTCCTCTCTCTCTCTCTCTCACCCCCTTCCTTTCTTTCACCTAAACAGCCCCAAAATTTTTTTTTTTTTCACAATCTGGAGGCTGAAAAAGGTTCATCAGGTTGATTTCTCTTGAGATTTCTCCTCTCAGCTTGTACATGTGCACCTTCTCACTGTGTTCTTACACGGTCTTTCCTCTATGTGTGCAAATGTCTGACTCTCTGGCTCTAGCTCTCTCTCATGCTCTCAAAATGTCCTTTACTTGCAAGTACACCAGTCAGGCTGGATTATGACCCAGTCTAATATCTCATTTTTACTTCATCACCTTTTTAAAGGCTTGTGATAATTGATTTTTTGTGTCACCTTCACTGAGCTAAGAGATGCCCAGATAGCTGGTAAGACATTATTTCTGGGTGTGTCTGTGAGGGTGTTTCTGGAACAGATTAGTGTGTGAATCAGTAGACTGAGTAGGGAATATCACCCTCACCAATGTGGTTGGGCATCACCTAATCTGTTGAGGGCCTGAATACAACAGAAAGGCAGAGGAAGGGCAAATTCATTCTCTTCGTTTGAGTTGGGACATCCATCTTCTCTTGCCCTCGGACATCGGTGCTCTTGGTTCTCAGGACTTTGAGCTTGGACCGAATTACATCACCAGCTTTCCTGATTCTCCAGTTTGCAGATAGCAGATTATGGGACTTCTTAGCCTCCATAATCACATGAACCAATTCCCATAATGTATCTTACTCTCTAATAGTTCTCAAAAAAATTCAATCAACAGAAAAAATTGTATGTATTTATTGTGTATAACATGATATTTTGAAGTATATATACATTGTGGAATGACAAAATCTTACTAATTAATATGTGCATTACCTCAATTATCACTTTTGTGGTGAGAACACTTCATATCCACTCTCTTAGAATTTTTTTAAGAATACAATATATTGTTAAAATACAAAAAAATTAGCCGGGAGTGGTGGCGGGTGCCTGTAGTCCCAGCTACCAGGGAGGCTAGGCTGAGGCAGGAGAATGGAGTGAACCCGGGAGGCGGAGCTTGCAGTGAGCTGCGATCGCGCCACTGCACTCCAGCCTGGGCGACAAAGCAAGACTCCGTCTCAAAAAAAAAAAAAAAAAGAAAAGAAAAAAAGAATACGGTATATTGTTAACTATAGTCCCTATGTTATACAATAGATCTCTTGAACTTATTTTTTCTATCTAGACCTTGTTTTCAAGGAGTTTACTGTCTAGCATAATTTTTTAAATTTAGAATTCCTCTAATAATGATAGAATATCCATTAATAGCATAATATTTTTTTCTTTTCAATCACATAATTTTCACCAATTTAAAGCAATCAGCTAAATGGTTTAACCACAAACTGGGAACAACCCAAATGCCATCAGAAGCAGAATGAATAGATACCTTGTGATCTATTCACTCCATGGAGACATTCTACAACCTGAGAATACACAAACTGCAGCCATTGGCAACTGCATATCCAAACATAATGTTGGATAAAATAAGCCACACACAAAATAATACATACTATGTGATTCCACTTATATTTATATAAAGTTCTAATTAGGTGAAACTAATCACTTGTATTAGAAGTCGAATCATGGGTTACTCTTGAGGGTGGGAAACAGTGACTGGAAGAGGAAGAAGAGGGCTTCTGGGGGGCTGGGAAGGTTCTGCTTCTTAATTTAGGTGCTGGTTATCTAAGTGTGTTCACTTTGTGAACATTCATCAAGCTGTACGCTTATGATTTTTGTACTTCTCTGGATGTACATTACATTTCAATCAAAAGCATACAAAAAGAAAGCCATTATTAGACACATTAGAAAAAAGGCCATCCACTTAAGAAGAACATGAGTCAGATAATGGAAAAAATTCAATTCACATTCTTCAGGAAATGCATGTAAGCACTCAGTTAAGAAGATGGTTTGGAAGATAGCCAAAGCATTACAATTAATAAAGACAGGCCTGAAAAAATAGTCCCAATTTCCGTAATGGGTGAAGCCACGGACAGAGCTCTGTGACAGAAAATGAATGAGCAAGGGCAGTCATACTGCGACCTCCCCTAAGACCTGAGGAGTTACTGCAGTTGAGAGGCCATCTGAGAGCATCCCCTCAGGAGGGGCTTGAGCCTCAGCCACCTCCTTTTTGGGAGAGGTCTTTCTGGCTCAGAGCCTCAGGATTTTTTTTTTCTTTTAAAAATACTGACTTGGCTGCTCTCTTCCTTATTATGATAGCGCTTATTTATGTCTTGGCATTTTATTTGAATGTTGTAGTGCTGTGGAATGCAGTTGGCTTTTAGTAAATAAATTCCCATTCAGTAGGAAAACTTTTTGAGGTTTCATGTTTGAGATAGTAAGACCTTTACACAATCGTGTGGATACGAGCTAAAAAGTCAATGTTTTGAAGTAGACATATACAAATGTATTCTGAGTTCTCTCTTGGATCATCCTCCCTCTCCTCTTTCAAGACTCAATTGGATGTCACCTCTTCCATGAAGCGTTCTGGGAAGCCCCTTCAGAATTCACTGCTTTCTTATTTGCTTCCATTGAACTTTCCTTGTGTCTTTATTTTAGCATATTTTAGCACTGTACCATATCACATGGTACAGTGATGGGGTGGCCTTTGGATTATAAAGATCAAAGTGTCTTAGTTTCTCTAAACCTGAATTTTCTTATTTTTCCAATTACAGGATAGGATTATTTTGATAATCAAGAGTGCCTGTGAATAGCCTGACTTATAGAAGACACTTCCTTCCCCCTCACCCTGGTCTAATTTTTTGTGTCACCTTCCAGTGGGAGATAACTCTCATACATTAAGCTTGTGATTTAGTGCCTATCTCTTCCCACTATAGTAAGCTCTACAGACTCATAGTCTGTTTTGTTCACTGATGAGTTCCAAATACCTAGCACCTGCAACATTATAGATGCTCTAAAAGTATTTGGAGAGTGAATTAATTCCTTTTTACCCCTCCCCATGTCCCACTCAGACAGCCTACTAAACCTATTAACCATCACTAGATTTAAGCTTTTTGCAGGCAGGAACTCTCCCCAGCACAGCTTCTTTTAGCCCCCACAGAATAAGGAGGCCTTGCAAGTGAGAGTCAATTGAGAAGTAAACAGCAAATTACCACGCTATTTATACTCATACCTAGAAGCAAAATAAAATAGATTTAAATAATAAAGTTCAAGGCAACCAAACACTGGCATTAGCAGCATGAAAGAAAACAAACATCTTAGCCCAAAAGCAGCATTCTGGATCATAATAGATTAATTTATGTGTTTGGCTTAAGATTGCAGCTAATTCGCTCAATGCATATTGGCATACAAAAATAAAATGAGGCTCATGGATAGGAAGAATTAATATCATGAAAATGATCACACTGCCCAAGGTAATTTATAGTTTCAATGCTATTCCCATCAAATGACCATTGACATTCTTCACAGAATTAGAAAAAACTACTTTAAAATTCATATGAAACCCAAAAAGAGCTCATATAGCCAAGACAATCCTAAGCAAAAAGAACAAAGCTAGAGGCATCATGCTGCCCAACTTCTAACTATACTGCAAGGCTACAGTAACCAAAACAGCACGGTACTGGTAGAAAAACAGACACATAGACAAATGGAACAGAATAGGGATCTCAGAAATAAGACTACACATCTAAAACCATCTGATCTTCGACAAACCTGACGAAAACAAGCAATGGGGAAAGGATTCCCTATTTAATAAACGGTGCTGGGAAAACTGGTTAGCCATACGCTGAAAATTGAAACTGGACCCCTTCCTTACACCTTATACAAAAATTAACTCAAGGTGGATTAAAGACTTAAATGTAAAACACAAAACTATAACCCTAGAAAAAAATCTAGGCAATACCATTCAGGATATAGGCAGGGGCAAAGATTCCATGATGAAAACATAAAAAGCAATTGCCACAAAAGCAAAAATTGACAAATGGGATCTAATTAAACTAAAGAGCTTCTGCACAGTAAAAGAAACTATCATCAGAGTGAACAGACAATCTACAGAATGGAAGAAAAGTTTTGCAATCTATCCATCTGACAGAGGTCTAATAGCCAGAATCTACAAGGAACTTAAACAAATTTACAAGAAAAAAACAAACAACCCACCCCATTAAAAAGGGGGCAAAGGACATGAACAGGAACTTCTCAAAAGAAGGCATTTATGTGGCCAAAAAAAATATGAATAAAAGCTCAACATCACTGATTATTAGAGAAATGCAAATCAAAACCACGAGGAGATACCATCTCACATCAGTTAGAATGGCAATCATTAAAAAGTCAAGAAACAACAGATGCTGGTGAAACTATGGAGAAATAGGAATGCTTTTACACTATTGGTGGGAATATAAATTAGTTCAACCATTGTGGAAGACAGTGTGGCGATTCCTCAAAGACCTAGAACCAGAAATACCATTTGACCCAGCAATCCCATTACTGGGTATATACCCAAAGGAATATAAATCATTCTACCATAAAGATACATACACGTGTATGTTCATTGCAGCACTATTCACAATAGCAAAGACATGGAATCAACCCAAATGCACATCAATAATAGACTGACTAAAGAAAACGTGGTACATATACACCATGAAATACTATGCAGCCATAAAAAGTAATGATATAATGTCCTTTGCAGGGATATGGATAGAGCTGGAAGCCATTATCCTCAGCAAACTAATGCAGGAACAGAAAAACAAACATCGCATGTTCTCACTTGTAAGTGGGAGCTGAACAATGAGAACACATGGACACAGGGAGGGGAACAACACACTGGGGCCTGTTGGAGGGAGAGCAGGGGGAGGGAGAGCATTAGGATAAATAGCTAATGCATGTGGGGCTTAATATGTAGGTGATGGGTTGATAGGTGCAGCAAACAAACATGGCACACATTTGCCTATATAACAAACCTTCACATGCTGCACATGTATCCCAGAATATAAAATTAAATTAAATTAAATTAGAAAAAGAAAAATGAAATAAGGAGGAATAAAAGTCAGGAGGGAGCACTGCCTGATGTTACATTGCTAAGTGAAACTTTCTTCTACTTTTTTGCTTTGTTTTATTTTACACTATGGAAAAAGGAATGATGTACAAATACACACAAAGCAATGAAACAAAATCCTTGGACAAAGCACTGGAAACATTAAAAATAAATAATTAAAGTTATACACTCTGTGGCACTTGGCTTCACTAAAATAAAGTTTGAAGTATAATAAAGCTAATGCTATTTCACCTCAAAACAAAATATGCATTAACTTGTGTATGAGGTGGAATGGGGTTGGGAGATTATTACTAAGCAATAAGAGAAGTATATTTTGGGGTCTCCTAAATTTTACCAAAAGAGGTAGAAAGTGCAGTGGTTAATTATCTGGGCTTTGAAATCCTGCAGCCTAAACTTGAATCTGGGTTACTAGCTATGAGTGACTTTTGACAACTTATTTAACTTCCATGACAGCTAGACTTCTCCAGAGCAAGTGAGGAGTGAGAAAGACAGAGCAGTATTTTACACCTTAACCTTGGAAGTGATATACCCACAAGTACTTCAGCCATATGTTATTGGTCACACAGACCAATCCTGGTACTAGATGGGAGGAGACTAGACAAGAATATGAATACCAGGAGATGGGGATCACTGAAACCATGTTGGAGGCTGGCTGCCACAGATGGCTAACACAGCTGGGGGTTGGCAGGCATCCTTCTCTCTCCAAATGGGCTTTCTGCATGGCTAGTGTAAACTTCGTTATTGCGTGGAAGTCTCAGGGTGGTTGGGTTTCTAACAAAACAATTGGCCTAACAGAGTAAGCATTCTAAGGTATATCATGGAAGCTGACAGTCCTAAAGCCTGGGCTCAGAAATCTTGGAAGACACATCTAACCACTATTCTATTGGCCAAACCAATCAAAGTCCATCTAGGTTCAAGGGAGAAGAAATAGACCTCATTTCTTGGCAAGGTCACATTGCTATAGAGTATGGGATCAGAGAGGTCAGCTGCAGCGATTGTCAGAAACATACTCTATCACCTGTGGAAAGGAAAATGCAAAGAGAAGACAGCCATTGGCTCTTTGGAAGATGTGAGTACTGAGGTAGGGCTTGAGATAGACTGAAACCTGGAATTGGAGAAAGGAGGTCCAATGGCAAGACAGTTCAGGGGCTGAACACACTGCATTTGGAATAACAGGAGCAGAGCCATGGAGGACAGAAAGTGTGAGTCACTTGCAGGGATGTATGAAAATTACTTGGCAGAAACAAGAAAGTCATCTCAGGGACAGACAAGAGATGAGGACAGAGGCAACTGCCAAAGGGCCCTGAATGCTAAACTGAAGACCTAGACTTAGAAGGAGGATCTATAGATTTGGGAGGAAATGACCTCCTTAAAAATAGTTTTGAAGGAAGGGCCTCAACATTTATGAAACATTTCTGATGTGTCAGGTACTGAACTAAGTATTTTACATACATCAGTTTATCTAATTCCTATAGCAAATCTACAGAGTGAGTATTGTTCATTTTTTAGATGGTGAAATGGAAGCTTAGGAAGTTTGAGTAACTTGCTGCAGTTCACAAAGCTAGTAAGTGGAAGACCCAGGTTTCAAACTCAAGTTTAGTTGAAAGCCTGTAACCTTAACTCACTCATTTTTTTGTCATTGTAAAATCCCAAGATAAAGAAATATTTAAGGTGTTATTAAGAAGAAGGGCCTGAATGAGGCAGACCCAAGGGACTGACTTGTAGTGAAGACTGCTACAACATCCAGAGTAACCAGACCCTGTGAGCAGCACCCTGGACAGAGCCAAGGGCTGTCCTGAATGGCGGGTGGCAGGCTACACAGGTGGGATGGAGGAGCCTGGGCAAACATCGGGCCTGAAACATGGAGCCAGAGGAGCTGCTGTGGGTGAGAAGGCAAAGCAGGGGGAGCGTTCTGGATTTTGGGGGGAGTTCTGCCAGGGGAGGACGCTAGATTCTCTTCCGTCAGTGAATAAACTCGAAGTCCTGTGGTGCAGCTTTAGGAAGGACTTGTATAGAGTAATGAAAGATGACAACAAGGTCCTTATCAGAGAGCCAGATTGGCTGAATCAACCCTGATGCACAATGGAGCTGAGGAGGGGAATGTTGATGGGCAGATCTTGCACTTAGATTGTGCTTACAACCAGTATTTAGTTCCTCACCACCACCTTCAGACCAAGGCTAGAGGGCTTTCCTATGACCCGCCTCTGGCTGCACAAAGTTCATAAGATGAGGGGTCTACCAGCCAAAGAGATATGTGTGTCCATGTGGAGCCCATTCGCTGTCTCTAAATACCTGGGATCCCAGAATTCCTTGCCCAGATGTCCTGAGCTTGCTTTTAGGCTCTCTGCAGTCCTGCTACCTGGGTCCTTCTTCTCTAGGGTGAACTCTGCTCTGCTCTGTGCATCCCCAGGGATGTGCAGGCCTAAGGGGTAGCTTTCTAGCTGTCTGGAGAGAGGGTAGCAAAATTTCTTGGATATGTAGGCTAGGATGTTCACACACATGTGCATGAGGCCCTTTGCAACAGGGCTAAAGCCAAAGGTGAGAAGAGAAGGAGCTGACTGTGTGAGTCACAGAATTTGAGGTTTTACATTTGAACCTGGCCTTCTAGTCCAGGTACATTTATGCAAGTAGAAGGATAGGAGGTATTTTATCTATCGTTGGTTAGCTTGATTTATAATTTTAAAATAGTTGCACAAACAGAATGTGGGCTTCTATTTGTATTCTTGCTCAAGCCCCACAAGAATGGGCCAGTGAATCAGCCCTGGTACAAGCTTGAAGAGGCTTCCCTAGACCTGCCCTCTCCCTTCTGCCCCTCCCAGGCAGCTCAACTCACTGATTACTCTGCCAGACAACACCCCACACTGCAGTTCCTCAGACTTGACAGTGGTAATTTTTAACCACATACCTTGAGACCAGTAAAAAGTTGCCTGTTTTGGTAGGCTATGATACTGCAACTTCCGCTACTTCTTAAAACAAATGCTTTTTAACTGTGCTGTATTCCTAGTTTCTTGATTTGAAAACATGTCAAGAAGAGTAGCATTCAAAATGCCTGTGACTACTCAAGGTAGCCAGCACTGTGAGGTTACAGAGTTGTAAATGAGGGCTCAGTTCTCATCACTATCAACTGACTAGAGGCTTCTGAGGGAGACTTGCACTTCCACACTTAGTTGTGCAACTGTTCACATTCAGCCCATTTGCTTCGAAAGAAGCAACTGGGGTCTAAAATATTACCTCCTGGCTACATCATTTTCCTCTCCATTTTTGCTTCCTCTGTGACAACTCCCTTATACCAACCTACACATATAATTCAAAAAAGTCTTCACAGAATTTAATATTGTACTTCTATTCAAGTGAATATTCTAATTTGGCACATGAAGGGCATTTTTGCATCTTCTATATGATGGTATCAAAGGCATTGTCTGTTGCATTATTCGATATCCTTTGAAGAAAAACCATGCAATAAAGTTCTCTTGTAATTACTTACCAGGAAACTGTTTCACTGGAAGAACTGGAGTGGTTCCTTTAAACAGATAGCAGATGACTTTTTAACCCATTATCTTTCCTTTTTGCATTGGCTGCTAAGAATCTCAGAGTTCAATTTAATGCTCATTCTAATTATCTTTTGCCAATTTTCTGACTTAATTATCTTCTGTGTTCCTTAGTTGATATGCTACTAGTCTCACTTATTAATCTTTATTTTTAACTATTCTATCATATATGTGTTTTACTGTTAAAAGTTAATGTGAAAGAGTTAATTCTTTCTTAGAAGCAAGGAGATATATATAACTTATTATAAATTAATACACATATACGTACATGTATTATATCTTGTTATGCTGTCCTTTGTATAAAAGATGCCATTACTATTACTAACCTCTTATGTAGCTTGAATTTTGGTGGTAATGAGTTAGACAATGATACCCATTTTCTCTTTTTCAGTTCCCTTTAAGCTATAGTAATCTACAGAAGATTGGGCATCTATCCATATGGAAAGGGCATTGACTGTTCTTCTAATCACTGATGCAATCCTCCATAAGTAGTTACCACTCTTTAGAAGACTCAATTTCTTTTTTCTTTTCTTTCTTTTTTTTTTTTTTTTTGAGATGGAGTTCCACTCTTGTTGCCCAGGCTGGAGTGCAATGGCATGATCTTAGTTCACTGCAACCTCTGCCTTTTGGGTTCAAGCGATTCTCCTGCCCCTGCCTCTCGAGTAGCTGGGATTATAGGTGCCTACCACCATGCCCGGTTAATTTTTGTAATTTTAGTAGAGACAGGGTTTCACCATGTTGTCCAGGCTGGTCTTGAACTCCTGACCTCAGGTGATCTGCCCACCTCAGCCTCGCAAACTGCTGGGATTACAGGCGTAAGCCACCACACCTGGCCTCAATTTCTTTTCTGTACAAGGTGGGTGTTGGGCTAGTTAAGATCCCCTCTAGCTTTAATGTTTTCTATTCTATGCACTGAAATTTAACCAACTAAAGGCAGCAAACTACATGGACATGAGATGATCCCTAGTTTTCCTACTTGGTCACCTGGCACGCTCTAGTAGGATTAGCCTCCCCATGAAGGAGATATGAGCTGTATCTCCAAGACTGGACAGCAAAATGTCAAGAACTGAACCAAGTCACGGGCAACAGTTGGTCCTCATTGTTGAAGGCTGATCAGGAAATAAAGGACAGAGCAGAAGTCAAGCCCATGCTGACCAAGCTTGATCATTAGACTTGAGGTCTCATCAGTTCCACTTCTTTCTCCAAGGTGTGTCCATTTCTTCTGCTGACACATCTTGAATGTCTAGTCCTGTATAAAGCAATTGCTAAAGAAAAAATAGCCAGCATCTTTTTAGAAACATCCAAATTGGAACCTTTGAGAAATGAAGCTTTGTATGTCATATTGTGCTGTTCTACTGTTTCTTCTGGAAAGGAGGAGACCTGATTGAAGTTTCCCATGGCTTATCTGAGCATTTACAAAGTAAAGGTGCATATTGACTTGATTATGTGATTCCTCTGAGCTGTTACAGAGTTATTCATTAATGCAAAGAAGCAATGATTGATGTTTTCTCAGTTGTCTTGCAGAAAGCTTTAATTTTCTTGAAGATATTTCATGAGCAATTCAATAATTATGCAAAATATAATTTTTTGACCATTGGCTCAGGGTATATTGAGAACATTTGTCCTTTATAGACTAAGATAAGTTCAATTATGCTTTAAGATTAATATTTTTAGTGAATAATGAGTGGCCAGTAATGTGATAAAGTTTCCACATTTGTATCACTCATTATGTGCCTGAAGCTTTATCTGCCTTATTAACATTTATATGACAACTCTGCAATGTAAGTATTACAATATTACTTCCACCCCACAACCTTCACTTTCTAGGTTTTGGAACCAAGGCAAATAGAAGTTAAGTGATACACACAAGGCTATATGATAGGAAAGTGCCAGAGAAACCTGGGATTCTGGCCAAGATCTGCTTGGCTCCAAAACCCATACTATTCCCACTTTTAGAGCACTTTCCCCTAACCCTCAATCCCCTACTTCTAGCTTAAGGAGGGGCTTTCATTTATCCATTCACTCACTGATTTCCTCATTTAAACATTTGGTTTACATATTCAGTGTACTGAGTCTTACATATGTGCTGGAAGAAGAATAAATAAGAAGATATGGGATTTCTGCATTTCCATCTGAGGTACCGGGTTCATCTCACTAGGGAGTGCCAGACAGTGGGCGCAGGTCAGTGGGTGCACGCACCGTGCGTGAGCCGAAGCACGGCAAGGCATTGCCTCACTCCGGAAGTGCAAGGGGTCAGGGAGTTCCCTTTCCTAGTCAAAGAAAGTGGTGACAGACGGCACCTGGAAAATCGGGTCACTCCCACCCTAATACTGCGCTTTTCCGACGGGCTTAAAAAATGGTGCACCAGGAAATTATATCCGGCACCTGGCTTGGAGGGTCCTATGCCCACGGAGTCTCACTGATTGCTAGCACAGCAGTCAGATCAAACTGCAAGGCGGCAACGAGGCTGGGGGAGGGGCGCCCGACATTGCCCAGGCTTGCTTAGGTAAACAAAGCAGCCAGGAAGCTCCAAGGGTGGAGCCCACCACAGCTCAAGGAGGCCTGCCTGCCTCTGTAGGCTCCACCTCTGGGGGCAGGGCACAGACAAACAAAAAGACAGCAGTAACCTCTGCAGACTTAAATGTCCCTGTCTGACAGCTTTGAAGAGAGCAGTGGTTCTCCCAGCACGCAGCTGGAGATCTGAGAACGGGCAGACTGCCTCCTCAAGTGGGTCCCCGACCCCTGACCCCCGAGCAGCCTAACTGGGAGGCACCCCCCAGCAGGGACAGATTGACACCTCACACGGCCGGGTACTCCAACAAACCTGCAGCTGAGGGTCCTGTCTGTTAGAAGGAAAACTAACAAACAGAAAGGACATCCACACCAAAAATCCATCTGTACATCACCATCATCAAAGACCAAAAGTAGATAAAACCACAAAGATGGGGAAAAAAACAGAGCAGAGAAACTGGAAACTCTAAAAAGCAGAGCGCCTCTCCTCCTCCAAAGGAACGAAGTTCCTCACCAGCAACGGAACAAAGCTGTACATAGAATGACTTTGACGAGCTGAGAGAAGAAGGCTTCAGACGATCAAATTACTCCGAGCTATGGGAGGACATTCAAACCAAAGGCAAAGAAGTTGAAAACTTTGAAAAAAATTTAGAAGAAGGTATAACTAGAATAACCAATACAGAGAAGTGCTTAAAGGAGCTGATGGAGCTGAAAACCAAGGCTCGAGAACTACATGAAGAATGCAGAAGCCTCAGGAGCTGATGCGATCAACTGGAAGAAAGGGTATCAGTGATGGAAGATGAAATGAATGAAATGAAGCAAGAAGGGAAGTTTAGAGGAAAAAGAATAAAAAGAAACGAGCAAAGCCTCCAAGAAATATGGGACTGTGTGAAAAGACCAAATCTACGTCTGATTGGTGTACCTGAAAGTGACAGGGAGAATGGAACCAAGTTGGAAAACACTCTGCAGGATATTATGCAGGAGAACTTCCCCAATCTAGCAAGGCAGGCCAACATTCAGATTCAGGAAATATAGAGAATGCCACAAAGATACTCCTCGAGAAGAGCAACTCCAAGACACCTAATTGTCAGATTCACCAAAGTTGAAATGAAGGAAAAAATGTTAAAGGCAGCCAGAGACAAAGGTTGGGTTACCCTCAAAGGGAAGCCCATCAGACTAACAGCAGATCTCTCGGCAGAAATTCTACATGCCAGAAGAGAGTGGGGGCCAATATTCAACATTCTTAAAGAAAAGAATTTTCAACCCAGAATTTCATATCCAGCCAAACTAAGCTTCATAAGTGAAGGAGAAATAAAATACTTTACAGACAAGCAAATGCTGAGAGATTTTGTCACCACCAGGCCTGCCCTAAAGGAGCTCCTGAAGGAAGCACTAAACATGGAAGGGAAAAACCAGTACCAGCTGCTGCAAAATCATGCCAAAATGTAAAGACCACTGAGACTAGGAAGAAACTGCATCAACTAACGAGCAAAATAACCAGCTAACATCATAATGACAGGATCAAATTCACACATAATAATATTAACTTTAAATGTAAATGGACTAAATGCTCCAATTAAAAGACACAGACTGGCAAATTGGATAAAGAGTCAAGACCCATCAGTGTGCTGTATTCAGGAAACCCATCTCACGGGCAGAGACACACATAGGCTCAAAATAAAAGGATGGAGGAAGATCTACCAAGCAAATGGAAAACAAAAAAAGGCAGGGGTTGCAATCCTAGTCTCTGATAAAACAGACTTTAAACCAACAAAGATCAAAAGACAAAGAAGGCCATTACATAATGGTAAAGGGATCAATTCAACAAGAAGAGCTAACTATCCTAAATATATATGCACCCAATACAGGAGCACCCAGATTCATAAAGCAAGTCCTGAGTGACCTACAAAGAGACTTAGACTCCCACACACTAATAATGGGAGACTTTAACACCCCACTGTCAACATTAGACAGATCAACGAGACAGAAAGTCAACAAGGATACCCAGGAATTGAACTCAGCTCTGCACCAAGCAGACCTAATAGACATCTACAGAACTCTCCACCCCAAATCAACAGAAGATACATTCTTTTCAGCACCACACCACACCTATTCCAAAATTGACCACATACTTGGAAGTAAACCTCTCCTCAGGAAATGTAAAAGAACAGAAATTAAAACTATCTCTCAGATCACAGTGCAATCAAACTAGAACTCAGGATTAAGAATCTCACTCAAAACCACTCAACTGCATGGAAACTGAACAACCTGCTCCTGAATGACTACTGGGTACATAACGAAATGAAGGCAGAAATAAAGATGTTCTTTGAAACCAACGAGAACAAAGACACAACATACCAGAATCTCTTGGACACATTCAAAACAGTGTGTAGAGGGAAATTTACAGCACTAAATGCCCACAAGAGAAAGGAGGAAAGATCCAAAATTGCCCTCTAACATCACAATTAAAAGAACTAGAGAAGCAAGAGCAAACACATTCAAAAGCTAGCAGAAGGCAAGATATAACTAAGATCAGAGCAGAACTGAAGGAAATAGAGACAAAAAAAAAAACCCTTCAAAAAATTAACGAATCCAGGAGCTGGTTTTTTGAAAGGATCAACAAAATTGATAGACCGCTAGCAAGACTTATAAAGAAAAAAAAAGAGAAGAATCAAATAGACGCAATAAAAAATGACAAAGGGATATCACCACTGATCCCACAGAAATACAAACTACCATCAGAGAATACTACAAACACCTCTACGCAAATAAACTAGAAAATCTAGAAGAAATGGATAAATTCCTCAACACATACACTCTCCCAAGACTAAACCAGGAGAACTTGAATCTCTGAATAGACCAATAACAGGAGCTGAAAGTGTGGCAATAATCAATAGCTTACCAACCAGAAACAGTCCAGGACCAGATGGATTCACAGCCGAATTCTACCAGAGGTACATGGAGGAACTGGTACCATTCCTTCTGAAACTATTCCAATCAATAGAAAAAGAGGGAATCCTCCTTAACTCATTTGATGAGGCCAGCATCATCCTGATACCAAAGGCAGGCAGAGACACAACCAAAAAAGAGAATTTTAGACCAATATCTTTGATGAACATTGATGCAAAAATCCTCAATAAAATACTGGCAAACCAAATCCAGCAGCACATCGAAAAGCTTATCCACCATGATCAAGTGGGCTTCATCCCTGGGATGCAAGGCTGGTTCAATATACGCAAATCAATAAATGTAATCCAGCATATAAACAGAGCCAAAGACAAAAACCACATGATTATCTCAACAGATGCAGAAAAGGCCTTTGACAAAATTCAACAACCCTTCATGCTAAAAATTCTCAATAAATTAGGTATTGATGGGATGTATCTCAAAATAATAAGAGCTATCTATGACAAACCCACAGCCAATATCATACTGAATGGACAAAAGCTGGAAGCATTCCCTTTGAAAACTGGCACAAGACAGGGATGCCCTCTCTCACAACTCCTATTCAACATAGTGTTGGAAGTTCTGGCCAGGGCAATCAGGCAGGAGAAGGAAATAAAGGGTATTCAATTAGGAAAAGAGGAAGTCAAATTGTCCCTGTTTGCAGATGACATGATTGTATATCTAGAAAACCCCATTGTCTCAGCCCAAAATCTCCTTAAGCTGATAAGCAACTTCAGCAAAGTCTCAGGATACAAAATCAATGTACAAAAATCACAAGCATTCTTATACTCCAAAAACAGACAAACAGAGAGCCAAATCATGAGTGAACTCCCATTCACAATTGCTTCAAAGAAAATAAGATACCTAGGAATCCAACTTACAAGGGATGGGAAGGACCTCTTCAAGGAGAACTACAAACCACTGCTCAAGGAAATAAAAGAGGATACAAACAAATGGAAGAACATTCCATGCTCATGGGTAGGAAGAATCAATATCGTGAAAATGGCCATACTGCCCAAGGTAATTTACAGATTCAATGCCATCCCCATCAAGCTACCAATGACTTTCTTCACAGAATTGGAAAAAACTACTTGAAAGTTCATATGGAACCAAAAAAGAGCCCTCATTGCCAAGTCAATCCTGAGCCAAAAGAACAAAGCTGGAGGCATCATGCTACCTGACTTCAAACTATACTACAAGGCTACAGTAACTAAAACAGCATGGTACTGGTACCAAAACAGAGATATAGATCAATGGAACAGAACAGAGCCCTCAGAAATAACGCTGAATATCTACAACTATCTGATCTTTGACAAACCTGAGAAAAATAAGCAATGGGGAAAGGATTCCCTCTTTAATAAATGGTGCTGGGAAAACTGGCTAGCCATATGTAGAAAGCTGAAACTGGATCCCTTCCTTACACCTTATACAAAAATTAATTCAAGATGGATTAAAGACTTAAATGTTAGACCTAATACCATAGAAACCCTAGAAGAAAACCTAGGCAATACCATTCAGGACATAGGCATGGGCAAGGACTTCATGTCTAAAACACCAAAAGCAATGGCAACAAAAGCCAAAATTGACAAATGGGATCTAATTAAACTAAAGAGCTTCTGCACAGCAAAAGAAACTACCATCAGAGTGAACAGGCAACCTACAAAATGGGAGAACATTTTTGCAACCTACTCATCTGACAAAGGGCTAATATCCAGAATCTACAATGAACTCAAACAAATTTACAAGAAAAAAACAAACAACCCCATCAAAAAGTGGACAAAGGACATGAACAGACACTTCTCAAAAGAAGACATTTATGCAGCCAAAAAACACATGAAAAAATGCTCACCATCACTGGCCATCAGAGAAATGCAAATCAAAACCACAATGGGATACCATCTCAAACCAGTTAGAATGGCAATCATTAAAAAGTCAGGAAACAACAGGTGCTGGAGAGGATATGAAGAAATAGGAACACTTTTATACTGTTGGTGGGACTGTAAACTAATTCAACCATTGTGGAAGTCAGTGTGGCGATTTTCCGGGGTCTAGAGCTAGAAATACCATTTGACCCAGCCATCCCATTACTGGGTATATACCCAAAGGATTATAAATCATGCTGCTCTAAAGACACATGCACACATATGTTTATTGCGGCATTATTCACAATAGCAAAGACTTGGAACCAACCCAGATGTCCAACAATGATAGAATGGATTAAGAAAATGTGGCATATATACACCATGGAATACTATGCAGCCATAAAAAATGATGAGTTCATGTCCTTTGTAGGGACATGGATGAAACTGGAAATCATCATTCTCAGTAAACTATCGCAAGAACAAAAAACCCAACACCGCATATTCTCACTCATAGGTGGGAATTGAACAATGAGAACACATGGACACAGGAAGGGGAACATCACACTCTGGGAACTGTTGTGGGGTCGGGGGAGAGGGGCGGGATAGCATTGGGAGATATACCTAATGCTAGATGCCGAGTTAGTGGGTGCAGCGCACCAGCATGGCACAGGTATACATGTAACTAACTGCACATTGTGCACATGTACCCTAAAACTTAAAGTATAATAATAATAAAAAAAGATTATTTATCACAGGAAAAAAAAAAGAAGATATGGTCACTGTCCCTAGAGAAATCATATTATTTTCTTGCATGTATCAGTTAATCAATAACAATAAAGTAACTCTGTTCTTTGAATATTCATTAGTTATCACTTAATAATCTGTGCTTATACTCCATCTCATTCAAAAGGAAAGATTTTAAAAGGCTCCTTTCAAAAATAGAAACAAATATATGTAGAGTCTTCCCATTTTAGTAGGTTTGCTTTGGGTCTTATGAACTAATGACTAAACTACCTTTCCATCTTACTCAGGCTGGGCTATGAGAATGGAATCCATATATTACCTCAGGGAACTCAAGGCAGCCAGTAAGCTTTTGGAAAGCTGAAAACCAAATATTTCGGAAAGTCCCTGGACAAGTTGCTAAACTCTTAAATCAATTCTGTGCCAGTTGTAAATAATATAGCGATAGCAGAAATATTCTTAATAACATAATTTCTAATGTCAACTAATTAATTCAAGCTGATGGTATTAGAGTATCACTCTGTCCTTTAATAAATGGGCCTCCTGTTACATTGTGACCTAGGTAATAATAAAGATATTGAATATATTAAGGTCTCAGGCAGTCTTTTATGGGCAAGATAATCCTTAATGTAATTGCTATTTGATCAATAGAGGGTTTGAGAGGGTTAAGCACCTCCATCAGGAAGTGCAATTTCTTAGTTACTGAACCTACAAGCCACTTGATGATGCTGCCCAACTGCAGAGTCAGGTAACTGGGCCTGGGAGCAGCCCCTGGCAGGCACCGAGTGGATCAAGGTAACAGCAGCAAGAAGGGGTGTGTAGGTCTTGCCTACTGCTCCAGCGACAGCCAGCATTGCCGTGTGACAGCCCAGTCAGAGGGATTGGTGATATGGGCAGTGGATGCCATTATTGGCAGGGTCTGGGATACAGACCCTCTGAGTGCATATCATGTGGAAAGCACTGGCATCAGGTGTGTAGCTGGCTGTGATGAGCAGGCAACATGCCCACTGACACTGGCTGTAATGAGAGTCAGAAGCCAGGGACCAAATGATGATCAGTTTGGTAGGGAAGTTGTGGGAGAGTCTGATGCAATCCCTTCACCAAACTGTGACTTGGAGGCATTATTTCATCTGTGACAGTTAGATCAAACAAAAGATCATACCTGCAATATTTAAAATTCATCACATCTTTTCAAAAATATCATGATATGCTGATGAATATTTTGCACCATTTATATTGCTTGGTAATCCATTGTATGCTCTATTGTTTAGTTGATTTCGAGAACAGAAAAAAATTGTTGAAATATTTGATTTATGTATTAATTTATATTATCATACTTATTATTAACTATTGTTAGGTATTTTGAATATCACCCCTGGAGAGGCCCCAGATTGTAGCCAGCAAAATATTCAGTGGCTACTCTCCACTCCAGAGGGAGGCACAAACCTTTCTTTTTTCTTTTTTTTCTTTTTCTTTCTTTTTTTTTTGAGACAGAGTCCCACTCTGTTGCCCAGGCTGGAGTGCAGTGGCACGATCTCAGCTCACTGCAGCCTCCGGGGAGGCACATTTCTAAGCTAGACTGCCCTGAGAGAGACAGAATACGGCTGCCAACCACATGGATGGTGCTTCTTACAATTGTGCAAAGTGATAGCTCCAAACCATATACATATCATGAACACATCTTTTCTTAATACAGATGACGTCACTATTAGAGCAAATCAGCATTACTTACTTCTATAGGTCCCTTTCATTGCTAGGGTAATAGTTCCCAGATGGCATCTAACTCTGTGAATCCTTGATCTGTTACTTTTAGAATATTCTGTGACCAGTGAGTCTGTGAAGTGCTCAATACGCCCTTTCTTCTCCAAAAGATTTCTGGATGTGTGGGCAAATAATTCTTATTCCCTACACAAATGAGATGGAAACTTTTCCAAAAAGAACTTTACAGGAATAAATAAAAAAAAAAAAAAAAAAAAAAAAAACAAGCCTCTGACCAAAGCATTCTGTCTTGTAGGAAAATTATTAAACCAAACCAAAATGTGTAAATATTTACACATTTTGTCAAGGAGTCCCTTGACAGTGGCATATATTAAGAAATAAAGCCTTTGTTAGTTACTCAGAATTTACTGGAATTTAAAAAAATAAATAGGTAATCATTAAAATCCTTCTATTTAAAGTGGTTTCCCTGACCCTTCAATGCTATGAAGTACCCACCATAGAAACCGGGGTCTGCAGTCACCTGGATCGAAATCTGCCTCTGAAATCGAAAGGCTCCATTCAATAAGTTCTGAAAAGAGGAACTGAAGCAGAGACAGAACCTACTTCAAGAACTTGCTCTGATTACAGAATCTGGTCAATGGCTGTACCCAGAGCTCTTACTAAAAGATGCCAGACTGAGGTCCAAGCTGACATTCTGCTGATTTTTATTCCAAAGTAAACATCGCCACGGTAAATGGTATTGTAATGGACAGTTGCAGGTTAAGCTGAATGTTTTTAAAGCAAATTCTTGGATCTGTAGAAGAGCCAAATATTTGTTTACTTGTCCCTGAAATTACACATGCTGGCTGAATAGGGTGGATAAAAATGGCTAGAGACTTTCTAATAAGTGTAAAAATAATAAGTGTAAATTTTTGCCTCAAATACTTCTTAGTACTGTAGTCTGATTTAGTACTGTAGTCTGAATTTTTGCCTCAAATACTTCTTAGTACTGTAGGGCTTTCTCAGATTTTGGTTGAGGAATCACTGTGGTGTTTGTTAAAATGCAGATGACTGTATCCCACCTCATGTCTATTCAATGACTCTCTGGGAGTGGGATTGAGAATCTGTGTTTTAACGAAAACTCTACTGATCATTAAGAACAGAGAGGTTAGGGGGTTGGGGAGATGGTCAAAGAACACAACATTTTCAGTTAGGTAGAAGGAATATATTCAAGAGATCTATTGTATGACATGGTGACTATAGTTAACAACAATGTATTGTATTTTTGAAAATTGTAAGAGGATAGATGTTTGGTGTTCTCACCAGAAAAATAACTGTGTGAGGTAGTGCATATGTTAGTTAGTTATATTTAGTCAATCTACAATGTATACATACTTTAAAATATCAAATTGTGCATAATAACTACATACAATTTTTTCTGGCAATTTAAAAATCATGAAGTTTGAGAACACTTGTTCTATAAGACAGGATGGGTGGTATTCATTCATTTATGTTGCTCATTCATTTGTTCACTCCACAGCCACTTACTTATTGCATTCTCCTGAGTGCTGGGGTTATAGACATGAATAAAATACGGTTTCTGTTCTCTGGCAGCTCAAGGTCTAGATTTAATCTGCAACTATACTTCTCAGCTAGAGGCATTATTGCCCCTCAGGAGACATTTGGCAATTTCTGGGAAACATTTTTGGTTGTCACAACTGAGAGCAAAGATGGCATCTAGTGGGTAGAGGCCATGATGCTGCTATACATCCCCAGTGTACAGGACAATTCCCTCCCTGGCCCAACAAAAATTATCCATCCTAAAGTGTCTGCAGTGCTAAAGCTGAGAACCCTGATTGGCACTGTACTGATTCATTCAGCCAGATCAATCATCAGAATCACATAGAAGCTTTGCCAATACTGCATCTTCCAGATTATTGTCTGGGAAATGTGCATCTAAGTTCAAAAGCGGGGCTGGAATCCAGGCCATGATGATTTGCTGCCACTGTGTAAACAAGAGAAGACATTTTCATTTGTGCTATAAGAAACTTCCAGGGACACGACATAATTACTCTTCTCACATGATTTTTAAAAACCTACAGCCAAACTGGTTTTACTCTATCTATATATTTGTTCAATTAACTAAAATTCCAGAAAATGTTTAATGAATAATTTACCATCCTTACAAAATATTGTGGACTTCCACTTCCAGCCAAGATGGCAAAACAGGGATTGGGTTACCCTCCCATTTGAAACAACAAAGACAATAACAGCAAAAAATCCAGACAAAATACATAAAAAAAATTTTCAAGATGCTGAATGAAGGACAGTGATCCAGAGAGACAAAAACAAATATGGGGGGCCCTATGGTTGTTTCCAAGCTGAAGCTGGAAGACAGTTTCCAAGCCATGATGCGGGGAGGGACAATGGATTTTCTGAATTGAGGAAACATTGCTGAGAGTTCAGGGAGTCCAAGGCGCCCACATTTTGCAGGATAGAGTATCAAAGAGGAGAATGCTGCACAGAGAGATAACTACAGAGATCTGTGTAGGGATCCCCTCAAGTATTCAGTGAGTACTGATAACACATGCACTTGAAGAAACTACCTGAGAGGAGAATCACCTAAGAGAATTAGAGGTAATAGTACTCATGCAGGACATGTAACAGTGTCTGTTCCCACCATCCAGAATGGAAAACCTCATGATTCACGGAGCACAGAGTAGAGTATGCAGAGGGTGTTGACTCAGTAATGAAGAATATTTAACTCTGGACTGAGCATTGGTCCAGTACCACTTAACACATCTTAAAAGCAAGATCCAGAAAGGATCAAACTGTTTCTAAGTAACTTAACTGCATCCCAGGACAAAACTCAAGAATATTTACTGATATAAATATGATAATTAGTAGAAAAGACTGATTATAATTGTATTCTGTATATTCAAAAAGTTAAACAGCACTACAGATTATATCAATGCTAAAACAACTTCGAAAAAGAAAAGTTGGAAGACTAGCATGACCTGTTTTCAAGACATTTTGTCAATTAGAATGTAAATAAATAAATGTTTCAAGAAATTCCTTTTGAATAACAGAAAGAACAACTGCTTTCTAATTCATTCAATGAATAAGTGAGAATGGACAAGATATAAAATAAGAAATGACAAAAAAAAAGGATAATAAAAACTGAAAAAAGGTTGGGCTTGGTGGCTCACACCTGTAATCTCAGCACTTTGGAAGGCTGAGGCGGGTGGATCACCTGAGGTCAGGAGTTTGAGACCAGCCTGGACAACATGGTGAAACCCTATCTCTACTAGAAATACAAAAATTAGCTGGGAGTGGTGGTGGGCGCCTGTAATCCCAGCTACTCAGAATGCTGAGGCAGGAGAATCACTCGAACCTGGGAGGTGGAGGTTGCAGTGAGCTAAGATCATGCCATTGCACTCCAGCCTAGGCAACAAGAGCGAAACTCCGTCTCAAAAAAAAAAAAAAAAAAAGACAACTGAAAATAATACTTTTTTTCAAAAAATAAAGTTTACCCAAATTGACTTAATCCAAGCTAAAAAGCTGGCAGAGTAATTCCCTTAGAAAAAAAATAGGAAAAGTCTAAAAAGTGGGGGTTGGACGACAACGTCTGGATGCCAGCCCTCCAACTGAGGTGCTTGTCCATTTGCACCTCATCCACCTCCATCCTCAGGAACTCCCACTTCCCCAGCGCCATCCTTAATCTTTCCCGTTGTAGCACCGTCTGCTCTTTCTGTGAACAATCTCCAGGTCTCTCCTAGGATCATCTTTATTTGTTCTCTTTATTTTAAGCTTTCACAATAAATACTTTAGTTAGGCTCACTATCTCTTTTTATTCACCCCACTCCGACTCTTGGAATTCCTGTAATCTGGCTTCCTACGTCTAGCTCTCTAGTGATTGATTTCTCAAAGTTATCAGCATTCCTTGTATTCTTGATCTTCATTTTGGTAATTATGGGTTTCTCCAGTGGGAATTATTTCTATGTATTTGCAGTGGGAGGATAAGGATGGCAGACCTTGCTTTGTGTTGTTTCTCTTTGTGTACTTGCCTGAGTACATCAATTAGACTGTGAGCCTCCAGAGGGTAAGGATCAACCATTAGACATTTTAAAGCATAATCTCCCCCTAATAGATCTTCCATAATTATTTGTATGGTCAATAGTATTATGTTGGGCTCAGGATTTTGGCTGAAAGTTGAATAAAAGTACATAGAAAAAGTCTTCATTTGCACACTTCACTGTGCCTAGCTCAGTCTTGCCTATAGCTGCCTTTTAATATTAATAGCATTGAAGTGTGTGTGTGTGTGTGTGTGTGTGTGTGTGTGTGTGTGTTTGTAAATTTGCCAGGCTGGTTTCTACTTGAAGAAATCTCTTTGAGGTTTTAGATCAGTAGTTCTCAATCCTTTTCCATGCTCAATTCACCTGAGATGCATTATCCATTTCCAACTATAATTGGCTTACCTGATTGTCATTTGTGTGGAGGTGATGGATAGGATGCCTTATAAAGGGATTATCAGAATCCTGGGTGAAATGTGTCATTTTAAAATATCTTCTCCACCCACCTCCCACCATCCTGGTTGAAAATCACTGCCTTAGTCATCCAGACAAACTTCTGAAAAACATGTCTCATCTAAGCTAAAATTTCCCAGTGTTTGTTGTTCACTTTGCATCAATATGTGTTTGCAATGGCCAGGCATGAACAAACATTAATGCTTTGACTGCCTTCCCCAAAGCCATACAGAAACCTAATAGAGTGATACAGCAGAAATGGGCCATCTGACTTCCATTTTTCTCAATGTGCTATTAAACACAGAAACTCATGGTCACCATACTACATTTCTTTTGGTATCCAGCTGCAGGCATGTATTAAACAGTGCTGCAAATCATGCATACAGAAATCAAGGGGCTCAATATCTCAATACATAGAATAAAAATTTGGATGTTTTTGTTGTTTTCAAAAACATATACTTTTAGCACATGTGATGATATTTCAGGAAATGTTTTCCTACTACATCCACTCTCTTAAAGGGTAGTGATTTCCACTGTAATATGATGTTTAAGGTGTTAGGTAGAGCTTTTTAAAAGCCTTATTTCCTTCTGCTACGAATAAACAGCCCAGCAGTTTGTGAAAAGGCATTATGCCATCTGAACATATTAGTCTCCTGGCTGTCTTATTCAGACTAGCTTTGCACCTCCTCACCAATGTTTGCTGGCAGAATTCCCAGCCAGGAATGCCCCTCAGCCATCTGCTCTGTCTCTGGTACCCTGCCTATGCTCCAGTGGGACAGCAGTCTCTTCCCCAAGCACTGCTTAGGTGTTTGGGTTATTATAAAAGGGCAGCATAAAAAAAAAAAAAAAAACGTGCTCAAGGCATGTGAGCTGTTTTTGTGTTATGATATTTTATTACACTTTGCTGTCCTGTGTTTTCAAATTGATTCCATTTGCTGTGAACACACACAGATGGAGTGTGGTGGAATAAGAGCAGAGTGGGAAGAGCAGCTTCCCGAAGGCAGCACTGGGTAAGGAAAGGGGGCCTAGGTGAGGATCCGTGTCTATCTCTGCTCTGCATTTAACTGAACATGCAACTTGGAGCAGGCCACTTCTCCCTTTTAGATTCCATACAGTTGACCCTTGAACAACACAGGTTTGAACTATGTGGGCCCACTTACAAGCAGATTTTTTTCAACCAAACACAGGTAGAAAATACGCTATTCCCAGATTAAAAACCTGCATATAGGGAGGGTCAACTTTTCTCATAAGTGAGTTCCACAGGGCCGACTGGAGGTCTTGAATATGCCTGAATTTGGTCTATGTGGGTGTCCTGGAACCAATCTCCTACACACACTGGGGCACAATATATTTTAAATGAGGGGTTTCCTCACATGATTGACCCTATAAAATGGGAAAAGGATTATTGCATCTAAAATAAAATCCAAAACATAAATGATTGACTGGAGAAAAAAACTGGTTTGTAATGCTTATGGAAAAGGGTGACTATCCATAGCAAAAAACTCCTACAAATTGGTGAAAATAAAAAACACAAATAACCCATAAAAAGAGGCAAAGGATATGAATTGGTTTCATGGAACATGAAAAGCAAATGACCAATAAATAAGTGACAACATGTTCACAAACGGTCAGGAAAATTAAACATCAAAGCAACATTGGGACACCATTTTTATGCATATAACCAGCCCAGCAAATATATATATTTTGAAAAGTTAGCTACTGCTAAGTGCTGGTTAGAGTGCAGGGATACTTTCTGACATCGTGGTGGGTATATGTAAATTGCTACAAGCTGTTAGGAAGGTAAGCTAACAATGCTTATAGAAATCCCCAGAAATCTCATTTTGGTAATCTATCCTATAGAAACAGAAGCAACATGATTTAAAGATACATATATGGGGATATTATGGCAGAGAGTGAAGGAAAAAACAGAAAATAACCTGAATCTCCATTACTAAAGAAATGGTTGAATAAGTTACTCTCTATCAGTGATTCTCAGCTAGGAGTGATTTTTGTTTCCCCTACCCCAGGGGATATTTGGAAATATTTGAAGACATTTTTTATTGTTGCAATGGGGCAGAGTGCTACTGGTATCTAGTGTGTAGAGGTCAAGGATATCATTAAACATAAGGCATGGGAGACCCACCCCAAAGAATTGTCTGGCCCAAAATATCAATAATGCTGAGGTTGAGAAACCCATGCATATGTGGGCATATGTATTTTGAAGGCCAGTCTCTGAGAAAATATTAAGTTAAAGAAAAAGTTACAGAGTAATTTATAATATTCCATGTTCTTAAAATATAGAAAACTCTGAACAAACATACATACATATATATATATATACACACACACATACATATATATGTATATATACACACACACATTATATGTGCTAGGGATGGAGGAAAAGTATGAAAGTATTCATACCAAACTGATAACATTGCTTACTTTGGGAAGGGCTAGGGGAAGTGGCATGGAAAGAGGCCCTTGCCCAACACACACACACATCATACACAAGCTCTTGTACTCCTGTTCTGGGATGGCTACATAAAAGTCCTATAAGACGCATTTGAAAAATTCATATATCCTGGCCATATTTCAGAGCTCTTGGATCAAATACCATTGACCTAAACATTTTAAAAGCTTTTGAGTCCCCCCACAAAATGATCCTTTGGAAACGAAGGAGCAGCTTCCTATTTAAGTCTTTGCAAAGTATCTCATCCCACGGGGTCTCTCTTGACTACTTTATTTTGACAGCACTGTACTATTTGGGGGAAAATACAGTAGCTTGAAAGCTGGGAACAATGCTTGTAGAGGTCACCTGACAGACTCAGCTGAACAAAAATTAATATCAAAAAAGTAGGAAAGAAATTTAACTCAGATTTAGTAGCTATTCCAAGAATAGAACCTCACATCTACAAATATTGGGTGTCACTGTGAATCAGCCTTTAAAAAATGACTATAAAAGTACAGTTAGTTGTTTCACTGTGAAGTGTGGATATACATCTACAGGGGCAGAAACCACCGCTGCCACAACGAAGTATTCTAAGGTTGTATAAATTGGGACAGGTGGCTTGGGCCATAAATTTTCCAGTGCCAACATATCCTATACAGACATTATTAAAATTGCTATGTGAATCTCAAACAACTTAGATGTAAAGATAATATGCATTGGAAAACTGCATTAATAAATCAAAATACAACAAAGATGCTGATGTAGCAGAAGCACATAAAGTGATTTCATGAAATTGAAGGGAAAAAAAGTATTTCTAAATTAATGCATTATTTTATATGTGATTCTAAACATGTCTATCGACCAAATTAACAAACTATCAACAAAACCAAAAAGCTTACAAGGGAATTTTCGGGTGCAGACAGCTTTGAGAATGACTGGACAGAGTGGTTCCCAAAAATTATCCCTGTTACCGCATCCGGTACAGAAGGTCAGCCATTGTGGGTGTTTATGACCCTGCTATGGCTGATTACTTCATGCCTTTGCCTTCTGAAGGAAGATGAAGTTTCCCAGGGGAGGATTATATTTTAGCTGGTATAAAGGAGAGAGAGAGGAATTAATATGGGATAGGCTTAGCAGGTGAAAGAGTGAAAAACACTCCTCAATGCTAATGCAATTTGTTATAATGCATGAGGCAGTCTGGGGAAAAGAAAATACGGAGCAGCATGGGTCAGAGGCTAAGCCTGATGATCCTGAAGTGTGCACTGTTCTGTTCTCCTGGCATCTGTCACTCATGGGCAGTCAGGTACTTGGGAAGATACTTTGACATTTTAAGGCCAAGAGGGCATCTGTTGATGCACCAGGCATGCTGAGAAAAGCAAATCATCCTTCAGTGTGCTAAATGACACCAGTGAGTTAATGCCGCTGTGAGGCATTAGGCACCAGAGAGAAAGAGTGAGAGGCAGAAGAGTGCTGTAAGCTTCAATTTCTCAGCCTAGCCTTGTCATGACTGCAAAATGGTTGGGACAAATCGTTTTAACCTTGGCTCCTTGTTCTGTTAATTATAGGATTATTAATGCCATACCTTGAGAATGAGGACTAGAAATGATCCAAGAATAGTTTAAGAAGACACAACACAACATTAATAATTTCAATGATTTTGACTGTAAGAACAGGATGAAGTAACTTTTACTCACCTATAAGATCCTAAGGCCAGTTAAAAGCTTCCATAGTGACTCAATATCCCAAGCACTTTTAAGTATTAAATTATGAAACAAAAAACCTCCATAAAATTTAATGGGATGAAATGAAAGGTAGAGAAATTTCAAATGAATCACCAGCAAAAATGTTCTTTCAATTATAAAATGACTTTTCCAGGAGTAAAACTGATGTTGAAGGAATAAAACTGATGTTACTGGATAAACACCTAAAGGATTTTTAGACCTCTCCTGTATCACTTGTAATTTCACATTTTCAAATTAAGTTCAGTTCCCCAATATTAATTTGGCCCTTACTATGAGTGAGGCATATTGCTGGGTACTGAGAATAGTGAGGTAAATGTGAAACAAGACAAAGCTGGGACATCAGAGTTGTCAGGAAGGCAGCTGAAGGGATTGATAAACATTGATCTGTACCATCGTAATTGAATAGGAAACCTGATGCTATCAATAAGAGAATAAACATTCATTTGTTTTGTCCAAATAGTTTTTCTTTCAGTGCTTGGGAATGTTGCTTTAAATTTATATAATGCACACATTCAAGTTTTAAAATAAAACAATTCAAGTCATTGAGTATTGATGGTAAATATATGAATTCAAAAAACTGAACAAGTTAACATAACTTGCATTATTGTTTATTAGGGTAAATAAAGTTTCCAGAAAAAGCAATCTGATTAATCAGCATATTAGTCTTATAAAGAGCACTGCTGCCTTATCTCCTTTTTGGCAGATGCCCAATCAATGGCCTCAGACTTCAATTAGGTGGAAAACCAAAACAATCACTGGATAGACCAATGATTTCTTCATGTATCTGCCTGTGTATTAACTAAATGCTGTACTAGTAAGTCCTCAAATTGTAGTGACCTGATGCAGTAAAATTTTATTTCTTGCTCACTTATTAGTCCAATGTTAGTGTTCCTGTTTGGTGACTTCAGTAAAATCATTCAGAGATCATCTCTTTTCATCTTGTGACTTGGCCTTCCCTAGTGTGTCAGAATCTTCTGCCTTCAGTAAGCAATGTGGAAAGAGAGAGGGTGGAAAAAGCACACCTGCTTTCTTAACCCATCTTGTCCCAGAAGAGACACCCAGCACTTCCACTTACATTCCACTGGAAAAAAAGCAGTCACCTGGCCGTGCCCACTTGCAAGGCAGGCTGAGAAACACAGCCTAGCCTGTTCCTAGAAGAAGGAAGAATGGGCTTGTTTCGTAGTCACACTCCAACCATCAGGTCCTTGCAAAGGGAAGACATTCACTACCTCTGAGAGGGAGACAATAAAAAGTTCTGCTCAGTTACTGATTCCAGTGCTAAGTCCAGGATTTCCAGGTGATGAGCTACCCTCGCCGTTAGATCTGTATGTGGCTTCGAATGATCATGCGACCTATGAACTAAAAAGTCAGGTTTTCTGCTACTTTATGCCCCCCATTCTCTACAATAGTAGAGCACGGACAGAATGACTGTAATAGAACTCTCATCCAGAAAAGTGAAGAATGGAAAACATACAATGGCCATTGGTCCATAGCAATGATGAAATTCCGTAGACATTTGTAGAGTATCTTGTGCCCAGTGTAGATGGATTTGACACAGACTCTACACTCTGCAAGGAACTCCTTTGTCCGTTATTCTTCACAGCCCCTGCTCTTCCCTTCAGGAAGTTCTTCCATATCTAGCTTCTTCCATTCTCACATCCAAAATAGGCCTAGAAAGCCATATAGCCCACTTTGAGCTAATGCAAGCTTGGGGACTCGAAGGCTGTTTTAAAGCTGTAACAGTGAAAGGTTTTAAAACCTGAGTTTTTTTGACAATATAATTCCCACACAGCCTCAGTAGGCTCCTGATCGTTTTACGTCATTAAGTTTTGGGCTGCTACATAACCTTAGTAACTGGACAACTACCAGAGACTTAATCTAATGACATGCCAAGTGTGAGTATCACTCAACACTTAGAGCAATTCCACTATTTACTCGTATCCGTCAAAGAATTCGCAAAAGCATCCAATTCATTATCCATGACAATGTTTATTAAAATCCCTTTCATTCGTATTATACTGTTTTAAACTTCCCTCCTTACCCTTCCCTCTCTACCAATATTTTGTTAGTTTTCCCCAATTGTATGGCCTTCTTGTCTTCCCCTCTCCCTCTTTAATGTTTTTTCTCTCATTCATGCGTACAAGACACAAATCTCTCATCCGAGAGTCTTGGGTTTTTTCACCAATTAGCCCAATTTATAGAATAAGGACCAGATATGTGGCAGTGGTGAAGCTATGAAGCAAGAAATATCCAATTTTGACACTGTAGGTAGAGAGAAGGAAAAGAGGTGAGCAATACTCTTGTAGAAATACTTTTTACCCTCATCACGTTTGAAGGTTTATTACCTCTTCTTCACTGAACGTACTAAAATATACTCAGTACAACGCTCAAGCTGCTGCCCCATCGGTCTTTCTTTTACTCCTCTTCTCAAAAGGAGGGTGAGCACATACATTTAGTGTCTCCATTTCTCAAATTCCATTTACTTCTCAACCCACTGAATTCTGGTTTCTGCCCTCAAAAATCTATTAAAATTCCTCTGAGGTCACCAAATGGTCAGCAAATTGTTGCATCCAGTGCTCTCTCTAGAAAATACAGTACCTTTGTACTACCACCTAGAAACTACTCTCTTGGCTTCCAGAACTCCATACATGCTTCTCTTTCTCCCTCCTGTACTACAGCTGAAACAGTGAACTGGCTGTTGATTAGATTTTCCAATGATAGGGGTTTTTATTTTCTCTCTCTCTCTTTTTATCATAGTCTCCTTTCCTCAAGGAAGTTGGGACAATTCCCCAGGAGGGAGGTGAAAAGGTGATCTCCTAATACCACACTCAAAAGGATCCCTATTGCAGATTGGAAATCCATAAGAGCCTCTAGAATTTCTTATCATTTTCCCATTTCAGGTTACGTTTTATATCGACCCAGCACTGTATAAAGAATAACTGTAGTTTTACTTCTCCAATTTACTTGTGAAGCTTAATCCAATCTTCAGGGAATCAATGGTCAGCTTTTAAAACCTCTTAGGGTTCATGTACGCATAGGATTCTTTTCCTTGAACAAATACGTGGAGTTCTTGTCTAAACAAATATTTTTCCTTAACATTCTTCCCCAACCTCTTCCTTCTGGCCTTTTCCATACTTAATTACATCATTAAAATAGCGGCATTTAGGGAGATATCCTATTACCATTGATACATTATTGAAAAATCAACTATTGGCCTGAAAAATGGTAGACTCATTCTCTATAATTTATATGTTGTAAAATTTGGGTTTAAAAATTCAAATATCTTAGCAATATCTTGCACATATCTCTGTTTTAAGCAATGTCATTATAAAACACCTTTTCAAAAATATGCTGATGTTTCTATTATTTTTCCCTTGAAAAACCCCTTTACGTTTATTCATGTATAATTTAAAAGTCTGTGGAGAAAAGACTTTTTGAAATTAGAAGGAAAACAAAGGCCCGTGATTATGATTATATGATAAATTTTCTTAACTTTTTAGGAAAGAGATAAGTCAATTACTATCTCAAGTTGAAATATGACATATGAAATAAATAGAGAACTGAAGACATTTTTAATAAAATTTGAGGGTTAAGTTGCAGGGAACAGTGTCCACCATTACTAATTTAATCAAGATGAAAATTATTACGATCTATTAAATGGCTTCAGAATCATGGGGATGGCTGAAGAAAGAGACTCTTGGATCAGTTTCCACACTATAGAATCAGGCCACCCAGGGATCTGCTGCCTTTTCTACAATCAGGAAGCCACCAGCTCCAGAACAACACTGCCACTGCCACAACCAGGACTCTAAAATCATGAGGCTGTGGCACCGTGACCACATGCATGAGCAAAATGGATGCCTCATGCCTCACCTCTCAAAACCCATGAAACCTGTGACAGGACAGTGGGATCATGATCCCCCCAAACTGTGTTTGTAGCAAAAATAGTGGAAGCAGCATTAGTGTAGTTTTTCTTCCTACCGCCACTTCCCAAATCTTGCATGAATGCATCTGATTGGCACCTCAATCAGACACAGAAACAGCAGCAAGTCAATTTGAGGGAGGTGGATTTTAGCTTTCCCCTATCCTCTTATCCACCCCAACAGGAAAAGATGGAAACACACGCCTAAAAACAAGTGGCTGTAAAATGATTTTTGTGTTGGTTAAATAATGAAGTTTCAGAAGAAATGCTAACCTACACTATGGAGATTAATGAGGAAATGCTAAAATGCCAGTTTTTAAAACCAGTGATAGCCTGGCTCAGTGGCTCACACCTGTAATCCCAGCACTTTGGGAGGCTGAAGCAGGTGGACCACTTGAAGTCAGGAGTTTGAGACCAGCCTGGTGAAACCCCATCTCTACTAAAAATACAAAAAATTAGCCTGGTATGGTGGTGCACACATGTAGTCCCAGCTGCTTGAGAGGCTGAGGTATGAGAATCGCTTGAACCCAGGAGGAGGAGGTTGCAGTGAGCCAAGATTGCGCCACTGCACTCCAGCCTGGGCGACAGAGCAAGACTCCTTCTCAAACAACAACAACAACAACACTTCAGTGATAGACCACAAAATTAAACCATTATTATTAATAAAATATTAGACACTGTGGAATGGCAGTTTCTCATTAGGTCTCAGAGTACATATTCTGTAGAAAAGTAAAACAATGCTGAAGGTAAAGCTAAGAGCTGATGAAGTCTTGAGTGGAGCCATGGAAAAAGAGACAATGAATATTGCCCAGGGCAAATGTCATGTTTATCTTTTCATGATGAAATTATACAAGGTATATTTATAATCAAGTAAAATATAACTCTTCACTTTTTGATAATGAGTAAGAAATTACTGTGGAAGTGTTGGTAAATTATGACAACAAACACAGATGCTTTGACGCACAGCGCAGGTGGCATTTTAATGATATTAATGACATGCACCACCTTTGCCTGCTGAGCAAGGAAAGGAGATTCCCTCTTTGAGTGAAGTGAAGCAAAAAGAAAGCCATGCCTCCAAGTTTTCTATAATGGCAATTATGAAAGGACAATGTTTCATGCAGTTCTTTTACACAAAGAGAACTGGATTCACAGTACCATTTATTGAGTACTCTCTGCAGTCCACATTGAATCAGATGCTTTATGTTACTTTCTGCAGTCCACATTGAATAGGATGCTTTATGTTGTTTTACTCATTACATCATCACACAAACCCTGGAGAGCTGGTATTCTTTACCATTTATACCATTTTACAGATGAAAAATGTCAGCCTCAGGAAGGATAAATAATTTACACAAGGCCATGGAGATAGTAAGATACTGAGAGGTTTCAAGTTCAATATCTGAATCTATAGTGGAAACATGTTTTTGCTCTCTCACATTCTCCCCCTTGTGGTGAGAGACCCTTTGGGGAGCAATTCCCTCCTCATCCTCATTCCATGTGGTTTGGTTGGGTTGACTGCCCCTCTCCAGGTTGGTCTGGGACCCAGGTAGAGTCCATCAGGTTGTTATGTCGCAGTGGGCACAGTGGTCAGGAATGTCATGTGATACAACCACAGCCTATAGAAAGAATTGCACAGCTTTTTTTTTTTTTTTTTAGAAAATTAAAAAAGGAGACCTTCCTCTTTTTTCTGCTGCACTGGAATTTTGAGGGTGTAATTCCTATGATGGCTGGCAACCTTGTGCTTCCAAAAGCAAAGAGAGCATGCTAAGAATGGGGCCACCCACACAGTGGAAAGCAGAGATGAAAGATGGAGAGAGACTAGTCTTAATTATATCTTTTATAATTAAAAATCCAGACATCCCTGAACTCAGAGAATTCATGGACTTTTTCAGGTATATAAAGAAACTAATTCCTTTACTTTCTAAAAGCCCATTTAATACAGACTCCAAAACCCATGTTCTTTCCATTGGATCATGCTGTCTTATATATCAAAGATAAAACAACCTTCAAAAGGAAATAAAAATAAGATTTACTATAATAATTTTATACATAGTTTGTTTATGATATATTCTCTAGCTTCTCTGTAAAAGTAATTATTAAAATCATTTTAAAAGTTTGAGTAAAAAATATTTAAATGATTTTGCCGCAGGGTAAATTAGTTGAGCATGTTGTTAAATTTTATTGGGAAATTTCTCCAGACAATTATACATTAAAAATAGCTTACCTCTCTTATAGTTTGATTGTGCTTTTGTCCTTCATCATAAGCTAATGATAAATGACATGAATTAAGGGGATTTTTAAAACAGAGAAAACAATTAGTTCATAAATATATAATATATTTAAGATTATTTCTAAGAATCAGATTTATTGGCCATTGTAATGTTTACCCACAGAATTTGACTCAAAAGCATAGGTTATACTAAAGATAGGCAAGATGCAGTGGCATTGTGGGTAGGGAAGAGAGGATCCAGGATACTAGCACCTTCTTACTCATTAAATTATTAACAAAGTGCATCTATCAGACAGGCTAGGCTAGGCTAAGGTAGGCAGTTAAGTCCCAAATTTCAGTGGGCTTTATTTTTGTTTGGCTTTATTTTTTGTTCATGCTACATGTCCAGTGGGAGTTAGTGGGGACTGTGCTCCACATAAGTCATTTCATGATGCAATTTAGTGAAGGTTACTCAGAGATGGAGACTTCACTAACTTATGCCATCTAGGAAACAGCTCTCTAATCTGCTGTGGCAGAGTAAAACAGAGAATGAAGAACTCACGCCTTTGTTAAGCACCCATGCTAGAAGTGACATATATATCATTTCTCTACACAGCCTTAGCCAAAAGTATTCACATGACCCCAACCTTAACTACAAGGGAAACTGGAAAATTATATGAATCATATGGAATATTGGATGGGCAATGACTATGTCTTCTACGGTGTCCAAGAGCAAAGAATGGAATGTATTTAACTGTGGTCCCTTAACTAGGCTGTAACTATATAAGTTTATAGGTATATCTTTGGTTTCTCTGTTACTTTATGTAGGCTTTTTAAAAAAGGAAATTTCTACATCAATCAGATGGGCTGTCGTAAACGTAGACATTGAAATAATCAATGACTTTGGAGTGTGTATAATTATATCTGGTAACTTGCACCTTAAGTTAAGCTGATCAAGTAGGCAGAACATCCTAAGCTGTGAAGGGCAAGGTGTGTGAGTGTATGTTAGGGGGTGTGTGTGTGTCCATGCATGTGTGTGCGCACATGTGTGTGTGTGGCAGTATTCAATGGGTGCCCATCCTTACTCAGTCTTAGGAGAACCTGTGTGTGCCTGTTTAGTCTGCCTCATCTTAATGGATATGTGGGAAAGATGGAACATTCAAAGTTGAAGAGTGATTCAAGAATGCTTTGATATAATTTCACAGAGATCTGAAATTTCTGAAAACAGAATTTTTTTTTCTTTCAGTAGTCTGAACTCTTAAAAGTCTAAATTATGCCAGTAGTTCTTAATGGGAGTGGTACTGCCCCTTAGGAGTGTTTTGAAATTTTGCAGTGGGGCTTTCTGCTGAGCTTTTAGTTTTTCTTTCTTTCTCTCTCTTTCTTTCTTTCCTTTCTTCTTTCAAAGAGAAAGATTTCTTTCTTTCTTTCTTTCCTTCTTTCTTTCCTTTCTTCTTTCTCTTTCTTCCTTTCCTTTCTTTCTTTTCTTTTCCTTTCTTTCTTTCTCTTTCCTTCTTTCTTTCTTTCTTTCTTCCTTCCTTCCTTCTTTCCTTCCTTCCTTTCCTCATTCCTTTCTCTCTCTCTTTCTCTTTCATCCTCTCTTTCTTTCCTTCTTCTTGGCTGTTAAAATAATTTGCAGGCCCCCAGTGGCATTTAGCTGGTAGAAGTGCTGCATTTTTTGACATTCAGAAGTCCCACTTAGCATTCACAATCTAAGCCTCTATAACTAAAATATGCTTTATGTATAAACAACAAAAATGGACTTTTATATTTATTAAATTTTCCAGGAATACAACTATTGTATAAATGGAGGGAAAGTTGCACTTTGTTTCTCGCAGAGCCTTACCAAATATTGTTTTCTATTTCAGAAAGTCATGTTGCCTCTGGCAACACTGCTCATAATATTTACATTCATAATGACTCTCCACATACATGCAAGTGCCTGATGACATTATTATATCTTCTAATGTGGTCATGCTTGATTATTTACATACTTGAATATACATTATTTTTATAAATTACTTTCTTTTTATCTCTCCTTTTCACTATGTTTAGGGTACTTTTCATTGGAAGTTCTGGGCAGGGCAATCAGGCAACAGAAAGAAATAAAGCGTATCCAAATAGGAAGAGAGGAAGTCAAATTGTCTCTGTTTGCAGATGACATGATTGTATATTTAGAAAAGTCCATCTTCTCAGCCCAAAATCTCCTTAAGCTGATAAGCAACTTCAGCAAAGTCTCAGGATACAAAATCAATGTGCATAAATCACAAGCATTCTTATACACCAATAATAGACAAACAGGGAGCCAAATTATGAGTGAACTCCCATTCACAATTGCTTCAAAGAGAATAAAATACCTAGGAATACAACCTACAAGGGATGTGAAGGACCTCTTCAAGGAAAACTACAAACCACCGCTCAAAGAAATAAGAGAGGACACAAACAAATGGAAAAACATTCCATGCTTATGGATAGGAAGAATCAATATCATGAAAATGGCCATACTGCCTAAAGTAATTTATAGATTCAATGCTATCCCCATCAAGCTACCACTGACTTTCTTCACAGAACTAGAAAAATCTACGTTACATTTCATATGGAACCAAAAAAAGAGCCCGTATAGCCAAGGCAATCCTAAGTAAAAAGAACAAAGCTGGAGGCATCATGCTCTCTGACTTCAAACTATACTACAAGGCTACAGTAACCAAAACAGCATGGTACTGGTACCAAAACAGATATATAGACCAAAAGAACAGAACAGAGGCCTCAGAAATAACACCACACATCTACAACCATCTGATCTTCAACAAACCTCACAAAAACAAGCAATGGGGAAATGATTCCCTATTTAATAAATGGTGTTGGGAAAACTGGCTAGCCATATACAGAAAACTGAAACTGGACCCCTTCCTTACACCTTATACAAAAATTAACTCAAGATGGATTAAAGACTTAGATGTAAGAACTAAAACAGTAAAAACCCCGAAGAAAATCTAGGCAATACCATTCAGGACATAGGCATGGGCAAAGACTTCATGACTAAAACACCAAAAGTGATGGCAACAAAAGCCAAAATTGACAAATGGGATCTAATTAAACTAAAGAGCTTCTGCACAGCAAAAGAAACTATCATCAGAGTGAACATACAACCTACAGAATGGGAGAAAATTTTTGCAATCCATCCATCTGACAAAGGGTTAATATCCAGAATCTATAAGGAACTTAAACAAATTTACAAGAAAAAAACAACCCCATCGAAAAGTGGGCGAAGGATATGAACAGCCACTTCTCAAAAGAAGACATTTGTGTGGCCAACAAACATATGATAAAAAGATCATCATCACTGGTCATTAGCGAAATGCAAATCAAAACCACCATGAGATACCATCTCACACCAGTTAGAATGGCAATCATTAAAAAGTCAGGAAACAACAGATGCTGGAGAGGATGTGGAGAAGTAGGAACGCTTTTACACTGTTGGTGGGAGTGTAAATTAGTTCAACCATTGTGGAAGACAGTGGGGTGATTCCTCAAGGATCTTAAACAAGAAATACCATTTGACCCAGCAATCCCGTTACTGGATATATAGCCAAAAGATTAGAACTCATTCTACTATAAAGACACATGCACATGTATATTTATTGGGCACTGTTCACAATAGCAAAGACTTGGAACCAACCCAAATGCCCATCAATGATAGACTGGATAAAGAAAATGTGGCACATATACACCATGGAATACAATGCAGCCATAAAAAAAATGAGTTCACGTCCTTTGCAGCGACATCGATGAAGCTGAAAACCATCATTCTCAACAAACTAACACAAGAACAGAAAACCAAACACCACATATTCTCACTCATAAGTGGGAGCTGAACAATGAGAATACATGGACACAGGGAGGAGAATATAACACACTGGGGCCTGTTGTGAGGTGGGGTGCTAGGACAGGGATAGCATTAGGAGAAATACCTAGCGTAGATGACGGGTTATAGGTGTAGCAAACCACCATGGCACGTGTATATCTATGTAACAAACCTGCATGTTCTGCACATGTATCCCAGAACTTAAAGTATTAAAAAAACATAAATAAAAAACAAAAACAGGAAAAGTATAGGTTAGTCGGTAATATCTATTAATTTGACTTCAGAATAATAAAGGAACATAAAATATTTGCTATGAAAAGAGGTTGGATCTGATAAGGTTAAGAAGCAATGTGTTAGGCATCATGTTTAAAAGCACAGAGTTCAGAGATAAATAGTTCTGAGCTCAAGACCAGCTCTAGTATATAATCTCAGGCAAATCATTTAACTTCTCCAAATCTTATTTCTCTCATCTCCAGAATGGGAGAACTAGCTATTATACTAGTTATTTTGAGGGTTAAATGAGACAGATGTTTAGCCTGATGTCTGGCCCTTAGCAAGCAGTAGATAAATCGTGGCTATTATTTCAAAGTTTCTATTAATGATGAAACTTAAAACTCAACTCAACATAAAACATATAGAAGCCAGAGTCTCTGTGGGAAGTAAAACTTGGTGTATCTACATAGAACCTCCGAATTTCTTTGTCAGTATCTTTCTGTCTTCTTTTTTCCTTTTTAAAAATGATCACTTTATCAACTAACAATGCGCTGTCCACTCTCACCAGTTGCCACATTGGTGGGTGTGGAAGAGGGGCCCTACCTGCCTTCACAAGTGTGCTCTTTGAAAACACGCAGCTTTGCTTCATAGGCTAGCAATGGGTTTCTCTACTTTGCTTTAGGATAATCAAAACAAGGTTCAATGAGCCCACCAGTAAAATGTGTTTCATGAGATTAGCAGTCTACACCAAATTGTGCAATTAGAACCCTCTTCTTCTTTCTAAGTTTAGTTTCATAATATGACTGCTAATTGCACAAAAAGAGACATTTCCAACTCTTACTTTGGACCCATACAGACTTAATACATACTGCCTGGACCCTTTTTTCCTTCAGAACACCTAAAAAATTGTGTCATGCCAGAGAAAATACACTTAAGCTAAAGTTTCTAAGTCGGTACCCAATTTTAATGTTAGAGTTAGAAGTAATTTTAATGTCATTGGAATAACTTAAACTGATCTCTTATCTTGATTTAATATCCTTTTTTCCCCAAAAGTTGATCGGCACATTACAGGGTTAACAAATGGAAATAAGGAGGAAAAAGATGATTTCTTCAGAGAATTTTGGAGCTCATTTTTCCTTCTATCTGAAAGCTATTTTCCTATAAACTCCCACAAGACTGAAGTCTAAAATTGTGTAGGATCCATACCCTTGAACACGCACATTAACCAATTTTAAGCAAATTGCTGCATTTTGCAAGCAATACCATACATAATTCAACCGTCTTTTCCCTGGATAATTAGCGGTGAGTGATCCCCCACCCTGACGAGCAGGCATGAAGGCTTGATTGAGCCCACAGCTGGGCTCCCGTAATTATGAATTTCTCTGCATCCTGGGAAGAGCCTAGGGAGAGAGGGCCTGATGCCTGTTCACTCTACATTCTGGACTGCAACTGTGTCTTTCTGAAAAGATGACATACTAATTCAACAAATAGGTATTGAACTCCTCCTGTGTAACAGGTGCTATTGTAGGTGCTGGGGATACAACAGTGAAAAACAAAACAAAACAAATCCCTGCCTAGGTAGAGTTTGCAGGTTAGTGGGAGAAAACAGACAAAAAAAAAAAAAAAAAAAAAACAAAATAGATAAGTAAAGTTTACATGACATGAGAAGCCAATATGTCTTTTTCAATTTATTTATTCTTTTATTTTATTTTTCACTTTTATTTGAGATTCAGGGGGTACATGTTCAGGTTTGTTACCTGGGTATATAGTGTGATGCTGAGGTTTGGGGTACAAATGATCCCATCATCAAGGTGCTGAGCATAGTATCCAATAGTTTTTCAACCCTTGCCCACCTCCGTCTCTCTGAGCTCTAGGGGTCCCCCGTGTCTATTGTTGCCACATTATGTCCATGTGTACCCAATGTTTAGTTCCCACTTATAAGGGAGAACACGTGGCATTTTGTTTTCTTTTCTTGAATTAATTTGCTTAGGAAATGGCCTCCAGCTCCATCCATGTTGCTCCAAAGGACATTTCATTCTTCTCATGGCTGTGTAGTTTTCCATGGTGTATACGTACCACACTTTCTTTATCCAATCCACCACTGACAGGCACCTGGGTTGATTCCATGTCTTTGCTATTGCAAATAGTGCTGCGATGAACATGCAAGTGTGTGTGTCTTTTTGATAGAACTATTTGTTTTCTTCTGGATATATACCCAGTAATGGGATTTCTGGGTCAAATGGTAATTCTGTTTTAAGTTCTTTGAGAAATCTCCCAACTGCTTTCCATGATGGCTGAACCAATTTACATTCTCATCAACAGTGTATAAGATTCCCTTTTCTCCACAGCCTCACCAACATCTGTTGTTTTTAGACTTTTTAGTAATAGCCATTCTGACTGGTATGAGATGCTATCTCATTGTTTTAATTTGCATTTCTCTGATGATTAGTGATGTGGAACATTTTTTTGTATGTGTTTATTGGCCAAGAAGCTAATAAGTCTTAATAGAAATAGCAAGGAAGGATATTGAGCATTCCAGAGGGTGGGTTGCAGTTTTCTTAGAATGGACATGGTGGGCCTCACTGAGCAGGCAACATTTGAGTAAAGACTAGAAGCAGCTGAGGAAGTGCACCATGGAGATCTCTGGGGGACAGCGTTCTAAGCAGAGGGAAGAATCCACGGAAGGGCCTGTTTGAAGAACAGGCTTGGAGTCTACTGTGGACAAAGAGGGTGAGCCAGAAGGTTGTATTGGTGAGGCCAGGTAGGTCACGGGAGCTAATAGGCCTGTGGACCATCCTCAGGACATTGACTTTTACTCTGAGTGAGATGAGAAGTCATTGCAGGGTTTAGATTGGATAAGTGAAATGATCAGAAATAAGTTTTAAATGGACCATTCTGGATTGGGAATGTCTTGCCTCGGGACAAGGGTGGAAACATGGTCTCATGGTAGGCTCCTGCCATAACTCAAGTGGGAGATGCTGGGGACTTGGACCAGTGTGAAAACTGGGAGGAGATGAGCAATAGTTGGATTCTGGACATATTTTTATGGCAAAGCCAGCAAGATTTCCTGTAGTATGGAGATGGAATGTGATAGAAAAAGAAGAGTCCAGGATGACTCCACAATTTTAAGACTAGAGTTTTGAATCATCTGGACTCGTTGCGAGGAAAAAATGGTCTTGAATTCACAGTTAACTGTGTACCCTTCCTGGAATGTGTTTGTCTCTGTGGATATAGGTGAAAAATATTCCTTCATCTCCAGCGGCTTTTAACTCCTTTTGAAGAGTCTCTGAGCTAACAAGTCAACATCAGCATAAAGTAATGCAGCCTGTTTGAATTTCACAGGCTCCCCTGCTGAGACAGACAAGTGTTCACCTTCAGTTCATCCTTAGCTGTCTTTATGACTTCCCCCTGAAGAGGACATTTGTGTTCAGACATTGTTTCTGTAAAATATGTAAATGAAACCATCTAGTCATTCTGTGAGAATGTAAGCAAGAGGAGACATTTTCTCTTGGTCATTGCTGTGGGAAAAATTCACACAGCTTTTGACTCTGCTGAAACTTAGAAAGAATCTAGTAGCTTGCCTACACCCTCACGGAATGAGGCAAATGGAAAGGACAGCACCTGTTGCCACCGGCATTAGGTTTCTTTATGGACCTTGACCCAGGCAAGGATCCTTGGTCACACATTACCATGAACAGCAGTCAAATCCTAACAGAATCTCCCTGTCAGCAACAGGTGAGGAAAGCAAAAGATTACTACTCTTAATAGTTATGCTCTGAAGTATTGCAGCTGATTTCCATAAGTCACATGAGATGGAAGACTTCTCATTCATTTGGAGACAAACATAGAGAGGGTCTCCTAAAAGTTTCATTAATACAGGCTCGATGAGAGCAGAGACTGTTGATCACTGTCATGTCCCCAGCACCTTTCAGAGTGTCTTCAACATAGTAGTTGCTCTATAAATATTTTCTAAATAAATTAATACAAGGGAAGATATTCCTAGTTTCCTCTCAAATGTACTAACTTACCCTGACGAAGTACTGTACAGTTAATAAGCTAAAAGGAACTCTACTACAAGTTTCAGTGATGTAAACACAAAAGAGAAGAGTGCCAATGTTTATTGAATACCCATGATATGCCAGAGCCCCAACTAAGAAACTTTTACCTATTATTTCATTCACTCTTCCTCACAGTTACACTGTAAGTTATATGTTATCACTCTCTTTTTACAAATGAAGAAACTGAGACTCAGATAATTTCAGTCATTTGTTCAAGCGAAGTCTGTTTGCGTTCAAATGCCATGATTATTTCACTATACGCTTATGTTTTCATTGTTTGTGTATGCCTCCCTTCCCCTAGTCTACAGGGAGCTTGCAGGCTAGGGGAAGGGAGGCATACACAAATAATGAAAACTTTAGAGGCCAAGAAGAACCATGAGATGTTTTAGCAATACATTCTAGAAAATCACTGCATAGACTCTAGAGCCAAACAGCTTAAATTCAAATCATTTCTCTGACACTCGCTGGCTGTGTAATTCTCCTCGGGGAAACTATCCAACATCGCAGTGCCTTTATTTTCTCATGTGTGAAATGGGAATAATTTTAGTACTTACACTGTGAAGTTGTTGTGAGGATTAAGTGAGTATATATAAATACACATAGCATGTGACATGTACATGTTGTTGATGATGACGAAGTCCAGGAAGTGCTTCAAGGGAGAGAAGGCATTGTAAGAGTGAGTGAAATTTGGATAGATAGGAATTCAGGCAAAGCTCTCAAACATAGGGACTAATGTGACTGAAGGCATGGAAGCTGTAGAATATCAGAGGAACAACAATGATAGAGTTTGGCTGGAATGTAGACCAGCGATTATTGATGGGGTGGCATGCCTAAGTTTTCTGGGAGTGCTGTGTCAAAGAACAGCCCCAGGACCAAATGCTGATTTAGGCCTTCCTCCAGGAAATTGGAGGTAAGGGGACCAACACTCCCAATCCCAGGGAGAAAGCAGGCAGGAGATGAGGCAAGAAGGCAGACTGGGGTCAGATCATAATGTCAAATGCCAGGTTCAGGGATTAGCCTTTATATTCTGCACACATTTTCTGCTAATAAAGAGTTCTGATGGTGGAATGCTGTAATCAGAGATATTCCTGCATGGGAAACAAGGTAAAACAATTCCAAAATGACTTATGAACTGCCCCCATATTGTACACTGCAGAATAAGCTACATTGCCTAAACAAAAACCATTTTTCCTCTTACATAGCATCTCTTTCTGAAAGCAGGGAAAAGAAGAGGATGGGCAAAAAGAGACCACGGAAATTCACATATATGAAGGGAAGGCATGTGGTAATGACCAGAGCTGAGGACATGGTCACAGCACACATGTCCATGAAGCTGGCACTGGGTCAGAGTTTCTAGAAGAAGCAGACAGTCACTTCTTATTATAAAAAGGCAAAATGTTCAGCTTTCTGTAACCAAGAAGTGTTACTGTCCTCTAGAGAAGTCAAACACTCAATCATTATGAGCCACTGAGAGGTTATAGATATTTAGGCAGTAGCCCCTTCCCTGAGGAAACTGCTTCCGTGGTTGAGGAAACAGACGCTGTCTCTGTTTAGAATAAGTAAAGGAAGTTTTTTCACAATAGTATTACCAACATGCACACATGAGTATTGCACAAAACCTCAAATGCAGGGAGACAGCAGATAAGATAATCAAGATCAATGGGATTAATCTTGGAAGGCATTCAGAAAGAGGTAAAATCTTGGCTTACTTAAAAGGGAAAATTCAAGTATGAAAATGCCTTCAGGTTCAGCTGGATCCAGGGGCTGAAATGATGTCACTGGAACTCTGATTTTCCCTCCATTCTGCATTCCATTCATCCTTGCATGGTTTCATTTGTCAGCTAATGCTTTTTGTACATTATGAGCAAGAAGTCTATCAGCTTAGCAACCTCAGCAGAGTGTTTTTCTGTCCCAATAACAGCATATTGATCTAGGAAGGGACTCAAATTTATTCCGCTACAGCCACATATCCATTCCTGAACCAGTCATTTTTACTGTGGGATGAGATGCATGATCAGCCATGTCTCAGTAATGAGCCTTCCTAGTCATACATGAAATTATTAGAGGGAGGTTCTCCAAAAGAAAACATTGTTCAGGGAAAACCAACTAAAAAACCATGAAGGGTATATAGAGCAGAAACAGACAATTATTCCTCAACTCTTAGAGGGTAAGAAATGAGAAGAGCGCATATTTGCATAAATTATTTTGGAAAGATAAATACAAGTGTTACCAACAACAGTTTAAGGCTTTGGTCTTTCAAACATTTATATTTTTAGTCACCAAACTTTTTTTCCCTCCTAGTAGATATCTTTTTATGTGAACCATAAATATAAAACAAATAAAAGCAAAACAACTGTGAATGAGGCAAAGAGAAGGTGTGAGGCTGGAAACTGCACCCACTTGGTCTCCTCCTGTGATATTGTATTAGCTACAAGTCACCTCAGAGAAACCCTGGGGCTATTTAAAGTCCTGCTGGCTGAAAATATAAACAGCTTCAAGAAAGGTTTAGAAAACACTGGACAAACCTATAAATCTATGATGGACTATAAGGAAAGTGGAAGAACTTGGTTGATATATCATGAGATTTAGGTCGTGCTCACTCCTCAGGCCCTCTGACAAGGTATGCCCCAAGTCACTGTGAAAGCAAAACACTGGCTTCATGCTCCTGTGGCTTCTCTTATTCCAGGTAGAGGCTTTGGAATTACACAGGACTAGATTCAAGTTCCACCTCCAGACTTACTGGTTATATGACCTTGGGCAATTTGCTTGCTTTTCTAAACTTGTTTCCTAATGTATAAAATGCATTTCTGTTTATTCGCGGGGTCATCATGCAGGTAACAAGAGATCACATAAATAATGCATGCATCTGAGGGCGTGTCACACAATGAGCACTCAGGAGGCCAATGTCTTCATTTTCTTGGCCAACAGCATTATCAAGAAACCTAGGGATGCTGCTTAATTGCCAGATAAGGATCCTTTTTTGATTAGTACAAGCCCCAAGATTGTGGGCCTCAATGTTACTAAGAGCAACACAAATATAAACATTAATACTGATTCTGATGCTGAAAGTAATGTATATCATGTGACAAGGACCAGTCTATATGCTTTATACACCTCATCCCTCTAATCCTGACAATAATCCTAGAAGGTAGGTCCCATTATTAGTCTCATTTTACAAACAAAGAAAAAAACTCTTAGAGAGCTTAGTTGACGTCCAACACATCCATAGCCAGTGTGTGTTGATAGCCCAGCCAGAAAGTGGCCAAGATAAGAAATGTACTGTTTGATGTAAGGAAGAATTTTCTGGTAGTGTATGTTGTTAAGAAACGGATCTGGCTACCAGCCCAGAGATCCTTAACCATAAGCGCCATTATCCTTGGAGGTTTTGCTGACCACCTGGCTGGTGGAATTATTGGATATCATAATTTCTTGATTTGGCTCTAGGAAAAGTTAAGATGGAAGAAGGAATAGGGATTGAGTCCCTGAGTCTGAGCTTTATCAACCTTTTTTTTTTCCTTGTCCCTCCTGTGCTCCATTCATCAGAGCCTGCAGCTCTCCATAAAAGCCACTGGAACCACCTTTCAGCTCCATCTCCACCCTTTGCTCCAAATCCTCCCTTCTCCTCTGGTTTCTCTCTGGAGCCTGTGCATTTAGTTCTCTCTCTCAGCTTTGTGTCTTCTGATTGGCAACTTCATTAGACAGTCGGCCTGACTTTTGCTTTGATTTCTCCCTCTGAGCTCCACACCCTATGGCCCTGGGCAATATGATGTCCTGACCCAGAGGCCAAAACCTCCTAACCCAAATGGCCCCTGCTTTTTATACAGGTAAGTTAAATGGTACTAAGTTTGCTCACCACTTGGTTCCATTTTCTGAGGTTTGAAGGGCTCATTACTTAATCATCATATTTTGTTGTTTTTGACTCCTTCTCACCCTCCCTAAAGCCCTAAAGTGTTTTGGGTGATGCTGCTTAAAGAAAAGACATTATTGTTACTGAGCCTTACAAGCACACAAAACAAAACAAAACTGAAGAAAAGGATTTCACGGTTCCCAAAACATCAAGTGGCAACAGAGGATACAGGCTAGCAATTATAATTGCCTATCTATAAATTCCTATTTTGGAAAATGCAATTATTATAATAATAGCCCATGAAGGATCTTACTCATATCACCCAGCCCATATCATCTCAGTGTCTGCTCTTGAGATGTGCTGTCATATGTAAACAATATATTAAATTTTGGCTGAAACGTAGCCCACACTCCCACCTCATCTTTATAGTCTGTGTTAGTCCGTTCTCATGGTGCTATAAGGACATACCAGAGACTGGGTAAGTTATAAAGGAAAGAGGTTTAAGGTTTCATTGACTCACAATTCTGCATGGCTGGGGAGGCCTCAGAAAACCTACAATAATGGCAGAAGGGGAAGCAAAGACGTCCTTATTCACATGATGGCAGTAAGGAGAAGTGCCGAGCAAAAGGGGAAAAAGCCCTTTATAAAACCATCAGATCTTGTGCGAACTCACTCACTATCACGAGAACAGCATGGGGGAAACAACCCCCATGATTCAATTACCTCCCACCGGGCCCCTCCCATGACACGTGGGGATTATGGAACTACAACTCAAGATGAGATTTGGGTGGGGACACAGCCCAACCATAACACATTCCCTCTGGTTACTTTATTTACATATTTTAAAAAAAACACACGCACAGAAGTAATGGGTAGCTGGGTAGCTGATGCAAAAGAAACAGATCTTTTTATTTTTATCATTTTTATCTACACTTCTTAGTGTTTCATAATTACCTTCACCCAACTTGGATAACAACACATTTCCTGCAATTTTCCCTCAGCTTTTCTGCTGTGTAACTATCAATGCTTGGCCAGAGAGTCAGACTGGAATGCACAAAGAGGCTTCACCCTTTTCTGTTCTTTCTGCCCCTAGATATGTTTCCAGTGATTTTTAAAATGTATATAAACAACTTAATTGAGATCTAATTCACATAGCATACAATTTACCCATTCGAAGAGTACAGTGTAATGGTTTTTAGTACATTCACAGAGTTGTGCAGCCATCAACACAATCAATTTTAGAGCTCTTTTATCACCCTCCAAAGGAACCCCATATCCACTAGCAGTCACTGCCTCTTCTTCCTCCCTGCAGTGACCCACCACCTGTCACAAGTGAGCAGCAGAGATTGTGGAAATACTGTTGCACCTTTGATTCACTCTTCATTCCAATTTCAATCTGGAAGGTTCATGACTGGTATTATATGAAAAAGACACATGCACACACATGTTTATAGCAACACAATTCACAATTGCAAAAATATAGAACCAACCTAAATGCCCGTCAACCAACGAATGCATAAAGAAAATATTATATATATATATATATATACACACACAAAATGGAATACTACTCATCTATAAAATGGAATGAAATAATGGCCTTTGTCACAACTTGGATGGAGCTGGAGGCCATTCTTCTAAGTGAAGTTACTCAGGAATGGAAAATCAACCATTGTACGTTCTCACTTATAAGTGGGGGCTAAGCTATGAGGATACAAAGGCATAAGAATGATATAGTGGACTTTGGGAACTCAGGGGGAATGGTGGGAGGGGGATGAGGAATAAAAGACTACATGTTGGGTACAGTGTACCCTGCTCAGGTGACGGGTGTACCAAAATCTCAGAAATCGCCACTGAAGACCTCATCCATGCAACTGAACACCACCTGTTTCCCCAAAACTACTGAAATTTTTAAAAACAAGGTTCATGACTGGGCTGGGGGAATGGTGCACTCTCCCAAGAAGCTCAAGAGGAACTCCAGTGCAAATGACTAAGGGTGATATTTCAATATTTCTACCAACATCTGCCAATAATTTTCCACACAGACCTAACTCCCTGTAAATAGCGTATTTACAACTTTCCTTTTTCCCAGGAGCCATTTCTGAACTGGACAAAAGATTTTTTTTTTTCTGAGATGGAGTCTTGCTCTGTCACCCAGGCTGGAGTGCAGTGGCGCTGCAAGCTCCACCTCCCGGGTTCACGCCATTCTCCTGCCTCAGCCTTCTGAGTAGCTGGGACCACAGGTGCCCACCACCACGCCAGGCTAATTTTTTGTATTTTCAGTAGAGATGGGGTAGACCAGCGTGTTAGCCAGGATGGTCTCAATCTCCTGACCTCATGATCCACCCACCCCGGCCTCCCAAAGTGCTGGGATTACAGGCATGAGCCACCGCGCCTGGCGGAAAAGAGATTTTTAAAAATTCCTTGTCAAAATTCTGTATGCAAAATTATTTTCTTCTAGCCCTCTGAGCCACCCTCTGCTCCCTGCAGCCCCCAGACCCTCTTCCTCTCTCTAAGCACTCTTGAAATTCTGGGCCTTCTTATGGCCCCAGCAAGCCAGGGTCCCCAACTTTGGTGCATCACCAGGCTCAGACATAATTCCACACTTCTAGTGGGTTCTTTCTGCCTGTCCATGCTTCATCGCCCATCAGAGCTCAACTGTTCATCTCTTAATGCATCTCTTACTCCAGGTGTTAGTTTTTTTTTTTTTTTTAATTGTACCGAGTGGTACTAAATTACAACATCATCTTCCTAGTTCACATAAACTCTTAGCCTGGTGTGAAGAAAGCACTCTGAAAGCTGTTGCTCTATTTAAGCATGAAAATCAGTGTTCTGAATAATTGTGTGGAGGAACAACAGTGGGTAGATGAAGGGGAGAGAAGGGAGGTGTGATTCTTTTAGGAATTAAATGCAGCTGAGTCAGAGCTCTGTGCCAGAAGCCGAACTATAAATCCAGTGACACAGCAGTGTGAGAAACAGCTCCCCCATCAAGCAAGGAGTGTTAGCTCTCTGGATGTGATGTGGTATCATTCTCTGCATGTCTTAATGTTTAAATCCTAACGTAACCAGCTGAAAATAATTTTCAGTGCTAATTGGTGTTCATAGTAAATGCTGCTTATAGGTAATTTTGGTGCGGTTAAGTGTGGAGTCAGATGCTAGAGCAGGGCTTCTCGAATTTGAGTGTGCACAGAATCATGGGGAGCTTGTTAAAATTCAGATTCCTGGGTCCCACCTCCAGAGTTTCAGCAGATGTGAGGCAGGCCCAGCATTATGAGGCAGGCCCAGCATTATGCAGGTTCACAGTGAGTCCAGGCCACACTTGGAGAAAAATCACGTGGGGAATATCCCAGGTAGGAATAACAGGTGTGTGGTGCAAACTGGGAACTTGCAGATGGCACAGGCTTCCCTCTGTGTTTCTTTCTCTCTGCTTGCCATGGAGAGGGTAAAAATATATGTAGGGGTGGGTACCTGGGAAATGTTACTAGAAACTTTGCTGGTTGAAGTTAAATGTCTCAAAGGCTTCATGAAAGATGCCTAAATTAAACATTATTTCTGGGTGTGTCTGTGAGAGTGTTTCTGAAAGAGACAAGCATTTGAATTGGTGGACTCAGTAAAATAGATGGCCTTCCACTATATGGGTCGACATCAACCAGTTTGTTTAGGGCCTTGCTATGGTTTGAATATTTGTGTCCCCTCGCAAATTTATGTTGGAGCTTAATCCTCAATGCAACAGTATTAAGAGGTGGGGCCTTGAGAAGGTGATTAGCCCATGAGGGATCCATCCTTATGAATGTTAACATCTTATAAAAGATATTGCCTCTCTGTCTCTTCCTCCACGTGAGACTCACACTTCATCCCCTCCAGAGGATTCAACAATAAGGCACCATCTTACAAGCAGAGAGTAGCCCTCACCAGACACCAAATCTGCCAGTGCCTTGATCTTGGACTTCCCAGCCTCCAGAACTGTGAGGAGTAAACTTTTACTGTTAATAAATAACTCAGCCTGTGGTATTTTTTTTATAGCAGCCCAAAGGATTAAGACAGGCCTGGGTAGAAAAAAAAAAAAAGGCAGAGAAGAGAGGAATTCACCCCACCCACCGATTTTATTATTTTGCTTCACTGCTTGAGCTGGGACATCTTATCTTCTCCTGCTCTCAAACTGGAAGTTATACCATAGGCTTCCCTACTTTTCAGGCTTTGGACACGGGCAGAATTACACCATGGGCTTTCCTGGGGCTCCAACCTGCCCATGGCAGACCCTGAGACTTCTCAGTGTCCATAACTGTGGGAGCTAATTTCTCACAATCATTCTCTCTCTCTCTCTCTCTCTCTCTCTCTCTCTCTTTCTCCCTCCCTCCCTCCCCCACTCCTTCTCTCTCTCTCTTCCTATATATATGTGTGTGTATCTATACTGTATATCTATACTGTATATATATGTACATACACACATACATACATATATACAAATTGATATGGTTTGGCTGTGTCCCCACCCAAATCTCATCTTGAATTCCCACGTGTTGCAGGAGGGACCTGGTGGGAGGTAATTGAATCATGGGGGCAAGTCTTTCCCATGCTGTTCTCGTGATAGTGAATAAGTCTTATGAGATCTGACGCTTTTAAAAAGAGGAGTTCCCTTGCACACGTTCTCTAATTTTTTGCCTGCCACTAACCATGTAAGATGTGACTTGCTCCTCCTTGCCTTCTGCCATGATTGTGAGGCTTCCCCAGCCAAGTGGAATTGTAAGTCCAATTAAAACTCTTTCTTTTGTAAATTGATCAGTCTTGGGTATGTCTTTATCAGCAGCATGAAAATGGACTAATACACAAATATAGAGATGTATTATATATACATATGTGTGTATATATACAATAGAGAGAGAGAGAGTGAGAGATAGAAGGAAAGACAAAGAGAATGAGAGTGAGATTTATTATGAGGAATTGGCTCATGTGATTATGGAGACTGAAAAGTCCCATGATCTTCCATCTGCAAGCTGGAGACCTAGGAAAGCCAACCAGTGGTATAATACACACACACACACCCACACACATACACATTCACACATACACACACATGCACACTCACATACACACTCACACATACACACACACACTATCATGTTCTGAAGAGTAAGGGCTAGTTGTGCTACAGAGCATTCCATGTTCTAGATTCTCTTGACATTTTCCTTGCAATTCAAATCAATTCAATCATGATTCATCCATTTATGGCTAGGATGCCACCCAGTTGAGGATGGGTACCTTCCACTGCATGACTTCAGGGAGCACATAATGAAAGGTAACCCATTACTAGTGATGGCATGAGTATACTATTGTTCTCAGTATTTCTCTACTACCCATGGGACTTTTTTTTTATTATTATCATACTTTAAGTTTTAGGGTACATGTGCACAATGTGCAGGTTTGTTACATATGTATACATGTGCCATGTTGGTATGCTACACCCATTAACTCGTCATTTAACATCAGGTATATCTCCTAATGCTATCCCTCCCCCTTCCTCCCACCCCGTATCAGGCCCCGGTGTGTGATGTTCCCCTTCCTGTGTCCATGTGTTCTCATTGTTCAATTCTCACCTATGAGTGAGAACATGCGGTGTTTGGTTTTTTGTCCTTGTGATAGTTTGCTGAGAATGATGGTTTGCAGCTTGATCCATGTCCCTACAAAGGACATGAACTCATCCTTTTTTATGGCTGCATAGTATTCCATGGTGTATATGTACCACATTTTCTTAATCCAGTCTATCATTGTTGGACATTTGGGTTGGTTCCAAGTCTTTGCTATTGTGAATAGTGCCACAATAAACATACGTGTGTATGTGCCTTTATAGAAGCATGATTTATAATCCTTTGGGTATATACCCCGTAATGGGATGGCTGGGTCAAATGGTATTTCTAGTTCTAGATCCCTGAGGAATTGCCACACTAACTTCCACAATGGTTGAACTAGTTTACAGTCCCACCAACAGTGTAAAAGTCTTCCTATTTCTCCACATCCTCTCCAGCACTTGTTGTTTCCTGACTTTTTAATAATCACCATTCTAACTGGTGTAAGATGGTATCTCATTGTGGTTTTTATTTGCATTTCTCTGATGGCCAGTGATGATGAGCATTTTTTCATGTGTGTTTTGGTTGCATAAATGTCTTCTTTTGAGAAGTGTCTGTTCATACCCTTCACCCACTTTTTGATGGGGTTGTTTGTTTTTTTCTTGTAAATTTGTCTGAGTTCATTGTAGATTCTGGATATTAGCCCTTTGTCAGATGAGTAGATTGCAAAAATTTTCTCCCATTCTGTAGGTTGCCTGTTCACTCTGATGGTAGGTTTTTTTGCTGCGCAGAAGCTCTTTAGTTTAGTTAGATCCCATTTGTCAATTTTGGCTTTTGTTGTCCATTGCTTTTGGTGTTGTAGACATGAAGTCCTTGCCCATGCCTACATCAGAACCAATGACAAAAACCACATGATTATCTCAAACATGCAGAAAAGGCCTTTGACGAAATTCAACAAGGCTTCATGCTAAAAACTCTCAATAAATTAGGTATTGATGGGACGTATCTCAAAATAATAAGAGCTATCTATGACAAACCCACAGCCAATATCATACTGCATGGGCAAAAACTGGAAGCATTCCCTTTGAAAACTGGCACAAGACAGGGATGCCCTCTCTCACCACTCCTATTCAACATAGTGTTGGAAGTTCTGGCCAGGACAGTCAGGCAGGAGAAGGAAATAAAGGGTATTCAATTAGGAAAAGAGGAAGTCAAATTGTCCGTGTTTGCAGATGACATGATTGTATATCTAGAAAACCCCACTGTCTCAGCCCAAAATCTCCTTAAGCTGATAAGCAACTTCAGCAAAGTCTCAGGATACAAAATCAATGCGCAAAAATCACAAGCGTTCCTATACACCAATAACAGACAAACAGAGAGCCAAATCATGAGCGAACTCCCATTCACAATTGCTTCAAAGAGAATAAAATACTTAGGAATCCAACTTACAAAGGATGTGAAGGCCCTCTTCAAGGAGAACTACAAACCACTGCTCAAGGAAATAAAAGAGGATACAAACAAATGGAAGAACATTCCATGCTCATGGGTAGGAAGAATCAATATCGTGAAAATGGCCATACTGCCCAAGGTAATTGATGGATTCAATGCCATCCCCATCAAGCTACCAATGACTTTCTTCACAGAATTGGAAAAAACTACTTTAAAGTTCATATGGAACCAAAAAAGATCCCGCATTGCCAAGTCAATCCTAAGCCAAAAGAACAAAGCTGGAGGCATCATGCTACCTGACTTCAAACTATACTACAAGGCTACAGTAACCAAAACAGCATGGTACTGGTACCAAACAGAGATATAGACTAATGGAACGGAACAGAGCCCTCAGAAATAATGCTGCATATCTACAACTATCTGATCTTTGACAAACCTGAGAAAAACAAGCAATGGGGAAAGGATTCCCTCTTTAATAAATGGTGCTGGGAAAACTGGCTAGCCATATGTAGAAAGCTGAAACTGGATCCCTTCCTTACACCTTATACAAAAATTAATTCAAGATGGATTAAAGACTTACATGTTAGACCTAAAACCATAAAAACCCTAGAAGAAAACCTAGGGACTTTCTTTGATAATGTGGGGGAGATTTTACTCTTATTTTCCAACTGCCAGTGCCTGCCTGCAGGATCTGCCTGACTCCTCACTCTCATATAGCACATGAGTTGGCTCTGTTGTTTTCACTTTTCTACCACATGTACATTGGAGAGAAGAGTATTTTTTTCTGTCATCTAGTTATGTTGTGGGCTCAAGTTATAGATGATTTTATATATTCTCCTTGTTGATATGCATGGTTCTTGGAAGATGTATGAAAAATCAGGATTTAGGAATCCTGCTGTTATTCTATGGGGATTTGGAAGTCCTGAATGAGCTTCTAATGTCAAGTTTTCTTAAAGCTTATAACAGTTGGAGCCAGATATGAGCTCTGAATATAATCAATTGACTTTGACTCTAAGAAAATACTTAGATCGAGTCAAAGCATTTTAACCTACATCTGAGATGAAAATAAAGGTTACACAGAGAGTGATGGATAGTTCTTAAAATGAGTATGGTTGTTATCTTATTTGTTTTTCTTCCTTCATATTTTGTTTCGAATTATTTGATAGCATTTCTAACTGACTATTGTATTAATGATGTTTTATTTTTAATATACTGCATTTCCATAGGGAAATCTTAGTTGCCTGCAGTCATGTGCTAATCTGTTCTGCCAATCAATCTAGGAAGCAATATAATATACTCTTTAAAACCTCTGAAATCTCAGCCCATGCCTCAGTTTAGTTGAAGGTAGCCATAGTGCAGGGCTAGGAAAAAAGAAACTTCTCATACATGCAAGCCAGAGCAATAATGTAATGAGAAGTCACCTGCAAATGGTTAATTTCATGTATTAACTTGACTGGGCTAAGGGATGCTCAGAGAGCGGGTCAATATTGTTTCTAAGTATGTCTGTAAGGGTGTTTCTGGAAAGGATTAGCATTTAAGTTGATAGACTATGTAAAGAAGATCTGCCCTCACAAATGCAGGCAGGCATCATCCAATCCTTTGAGGGCCTAAATAGAAAAAAAAAGGCAGAGAAGAGGTAAATTTGCTCTCTTTCGTTGAATGGGGACATCCATTTTCTCCTGCCCTCAGACATGGGAGCTCCTGATTCTCAGGCCTTCAGACCCTGGGACTTACTCCACTAGTCTCCTAGTTATCAGGTCAGCTACACCATTGATTCCCCTTGGCTCTCAGGCCGTTGGCCTTGGACTGGAATTTACACCAATGGCCCCCTCGTTCTCAGGCCTTTGAACTCATACTGAATTATAACACTAGCTGTCCTCGTTCTCTAGCTTGCTAATGGCATAGGGTGGGACTTGTTGGCCTACATAATCTGGTGAGCCAGTTTCTATAATAAATCTCCTCTTACATAGCTGTACGTTTCCTACTGGTTCTGTTTCTCTGGAGAATCCTGAATAATACCTCACCTTAAATCCTTTCTGGAGAAAGATAGGAGTTTTAATCCATTCTTTAAAATGAATTTATTGATACTAAATATTCCTTCAGTTAAAAAGATTTCTTATGCAGAAATTTAGAGAGTCACAAAGCCATTTAGAGAGAGATCTTCTCCTTCAATGCCCTCACTTTATGGCAAAGAATCTGAGGTCCAGTTACTTGTTCAAGGTTATATTACTAGTCAAAGGCAGATTCAGAAAGACTCTTAAGAAGTCAGGATAAAGGCAGGAAATACAGGAACTTAGCAAAGACATACATTCAGTAAGACAGCTCTGTGAGTTCCTCAAATTAGAGCTCAGAGCCAGAGGTGGAACGCCTATAAATAAGGCTTTCTCTGCCTTTTGTGTACCTCCAGGGACATGGGAAAGTTGCACATTTCATCTAAAATTACATCTCCCATCTCACCGTCTGTCCGGCTTTCTCCTCAAGACTCCCTCTTCCTAAATTGATCACATATAGACATGATTTACGTTTTTAAATTTGCTCATGTGTACCATTGCAAACTCTTTTATTGGGATAAAAATAGAAGCAGTCCTATTTGAGGCATTAAAATTAAATGACCCCATTAAGCCCAGCCAGTCCTTGTCAGCCTTATAAATCACTTTCAAAACATTGTAGACTATCATTGGGATTTTAAGGAAAAATTTTCACTCAGAGCCATTAACAAAAGCAGTATTTCTTTTGTTCTCTTGTTTCTCCCTTGGCTTGAAAAATTCTTTGTGCTTTCCATCCCCTTCTAAATCAGCACATCAATTTCTGGCTATTGGCCCAGGAAAGATGTGCCTGAACCCATTAGCCTGAGAGAATTTCATTGCATCACTGCACCAGAAGATTAAGTGGCCAGGATGACATCACGTGAAAAGCTGGAATAAGAACTATCCCCCTCCCTGACACCACAACTAATGCAAGGCAAGACAGTAGGTATTTTGGACCTAGACAATCTCCTCCCTGAAGGAAAGAGAACAAGGATGCAAACTCAGGTAACCCAGGGCCAGAAATTCCTTCTGTTCCTACAAGCAAAGTTTCAGGGAAATATATTACATTAAAATAAACCAATTTTGGGGACGTGCCTTCTTAAGTGCAGTGTTCTTGTGTAACTCTAGAACAATATGTTCATCCTTTGAGCCAGTGTCCGTTTCGTGGGAGTTATTTTTCTTACCAAGGTGAAAGCATTAGCTTGGTCTTTCTCTTTTTCTGCCAGCTGCTCTGAGCTGGAGGATTTTCACTCAGCTTGTCATTCTTGCCTCTCTTTGCCTCCCCGCTCCCTTGAGTACAGGCCATGCTCGCTTTGCATAGTAGCGTGAGATCATAAAAATGACTGCACAAGCTGAAACCATGCAAGACGATCTTATTAATCAATGGAAAAATGTTACAATGTTTTGTGACTGTTACAAATTTTTGTTGAAACATTAAAAACTCTCTTACTTTTGGTTATAAATGTTTAGAAACATGAAAAATAGTAAAATTATTATTTAGTATACTGTAATTTAAAATATTAGACATATTGAGATTTAAATTACTTTATTTCTCTAAAATACTCTATTTCTCAAAAGCACTTTGAACAGTAATTGCCTTCTTCTTGTTGTATAGTTTATGATACAAAGCAGGCATCCTTTCACTGCCTATGATTTCATCATACTCTTTAAGTTTGGATTAGCTCCCAAGGTTTTATCCTCTGTACTTTCAATGTCATGAAATATCTCTGAGAGTTCCTTTAATGTAAGGTTTTGTTTTTGGTTTTTGCCAGTATCACTTCCTCTGGGACATATGTCAGTAAGTTTGATTTGTTCCTCTGCCTGTAGATCTCTCAAAAGCAGTGGTGCTGACATTCTCACTGCCCCTATTCTATAATTTCATTGATGTTCAATACAAATTTCACTTTCAGCATTATCACTTCTTGTTTATTTTCTGCACTTTCATCTTTATTGACCAATTTTTGTCAATGACCCATTTTTGTGAAATGTCACACGGATTTACCACTGGGAGACAAGGAGGCAAAATAGCTACACACCTTGCTGTCTGTGCATGAACTGTGAATGACAGATGTGCAATGACCAATCATTGACAGATACTGAAAGAGGAAACATGACCGGTCACAAATCAATTTAATAATCTGTATTTTATGTAGTGATTTGTAGACTGAAGACACAGCAGTAAAATTTATACTTTATGCAATTACTCATAGCTAATACAAAGTAGTAACTAAATTTGAATCATGTTGGGGACTGATATTAACTAAACTATGACAGTTGAAATTCATGTATACCAAACCGTGCAAAGTGAGGACTGCATATATAGATGTAGATACAGATATACATATATAGTATGTGTAAACCATATTTTATATGGTTTTATGGTCCTGATATAAAAAGGCTTATCCTGCTTCCACTTAGGCAAAATGGAAAAATCATATCAACAGAGCCTTCTTGCTCTTGTTCAATTAAGAAATTTATTTTTATCCCTATCGAATTAAAAGCTTGCCCAAATAAATTGGATATATAGACCATGACGTGGATAGGAAAGCTCCGTATTATAAACATGTCAATTTTTCAGAAATACATCTAATAATATACCATAAACCCAATTGAAATCCCAGTGGAATGGAGGCGGCCCAGGGAAAGAGGGACTTGATTAAGTGATTCTAAAATTTGCCTGGAAAAATAAATGCATGAGAAAGGACAAGAAAAAAATTGCAAAACAAAAATAATGGAGCAGGTACTGATACCAGATTTTTTAAAATTAAAGTTATAATAATTAAAATGATAAGAAACTAACACCAGAATAAGCAGACAAATTTAGTATATGATAGAGCTGGCATTTCCAATCAGTAGGTGTTGCTTATGGTGTTGGCATAGCTGGCTAAATTACTGGATCATACTAAAGTAAGAATTGTTCTTAGAAACCTCACAAAAATACATTCCAGATTAATTGATGGTTTTGCATATATATATCTATCTGATGGTTTTGCAAATATATATCTATATATATATCTGATGGTTTTGCAAATATATATCTATATATATATCTGATGGTTTTGCATATATGTATCCATATATATATATATGTGTGTATATATATATATATATATCTTGCTAAGAAACTGCTGGAATCATACAAGGTATATAATTGCATAACCTTGGGTTACATAGGTACTCTCCAAATAAAGACCATTAAAGACAGAAACCATAAAGAAAAAATTACAGATTGCTTATAAATATATTTAAATTTTCTATATTAAAAAACTCTACCATAAACAAAAACAAAAGCAAAACTAGAAATATTTGCTGTGTATATGACTGATAGAGGATTGATATAATTTTTAAAACTCAAAATTAAATAAAAAGGGATAATAACTCAATAGGAAATTGGCAAAAACATGATGATAATAAACAAAAAGTAAAATACTACAATGTGCCTATTGTCAGTAAATACAGAAAGGTGTTATATTTTCCTGGTAACCAATAGAATTTGAATCAAGGATAGAACATTTTAAACAACATACTGTTAAATATTTTTTTAAAAAAACAATAATTCCTGGTATTGGTGATGTTGTGGTAAGACTGCAAATTGTCACATTTCTCTAGGATGTTATGTACAAATCCTTAAAAACATGTATATACTTTGGCCCAGCATTTATGAGGAGGCTGGCTCCTGGTTACAACTGTGTGTGTGATTTTTCAGGCCTGACGATAGGCAATTACAAAAGCTTTACCTGGCAGTCTTCATGGGAGAAATCTGCCCTTCTCATATCAGACTTGGTGCACAGCCAATGCATTGTAGTCTCTGAAGGGAGTTGCAGTCAAAGTCTCAAGCTCTTCTAGCCTTGAGGTATACCCTTCACTTTTTTTTTATTATACTTTAAGTTCTAGGATATATGTGCACAATGTGCTGGTTTGTTACATATGTATACATGTGCCATGTTGGTGTGCTGCACCCATTAACTCGTCATTTACATTAGGTATATCTCCAGCCCTAGCACCTTCATTCCCAGGACTTGTTGTCTAAGACTTTGGGTAGAGGTCCCACTTTGACTCAGGACTTTTCTACTCCTAGTCCTTCCCCTTCACACTCTCTGAAACCCCAGGTATAAACTGCAGAAACCTGTAAGAGAGAAAAAGTAATTTTTTCCTTAATGCTTGTGGATTCTTAGTTGGAACAGAACTCTGTAATGAAAGAAAGATTAACAAGAGAAAAACAAAGAGTTTATTAACTCACGCAGTGCACATGATGCAGGAGAAATGTCAATGAAAAGTAATTTAAAATGGTGGCTTATTCTTGAGGACTGGCTAGACAGATGCAGAAGATTGAAACTGGACCCCTTCCTTACACCATATTTAAAAACGAACTCAAGATAAACTAAAGACTTAAATATCAACCCAAAGCTATAAAAACCCTAGAAGGAAATCTAAGCAATACCATTCAGAACATAGGCATGGGCAAAGATTTCATGATGAAGATGCCAAAGGCAACTGCAACAAAAGCAAAAATTGACAAATGAGATCTAAATTAAATAAAAGAGCTTTTGCACAGCAAAAGAAACTATCATCATAGTAAACTGGACAACCTATGTCATTCTGTAGAATGAAAGAAAATTTTTGCAATCTATTCACCTGACAAAGGCCTGATATTCAGCATCTACAAGGAATTTAAACAAACTTACCAAAAAAAAAAACCCCATTAAAAAGGGGGCCAAGGACATAAACAGGCACTTCCCAAAAGAAGACATACATGTGGCCAATAATCATATGAAAAAAAAAAAGCTCAACATCAAAGATCATTAGAGAAATGCAAATCAAAACCACATTGAGATACCACCTCACACCTGTCATAATGGCTATTACTAAAAAGTCAAAAAACAACAGATGCTGGTGAGTTTGTGGAGAAATAGGAATGCTTTTACACTCTAGGTGGGAGTGTAAATTAGTTCCACCATTGTGGAAGACAGTGTGGCAATTTCTCAAAGACCTAGAGGCAGAAATACCATTCTACACAGCAATCCCATTACTAGATATATACCCAAGGGAATAGAAATCATTCTACTATAAAGACACATGTACATGTATGTTCATTGCAGCACTATTCACAATAGCAAAGACATAGAATCAACCTGAATGCCCAACAATGATAGACTGGATAAAGAAAATGTGGCACATATACAACATGAAATACTATGCAGCCACAAAAAGGAACAAGACCACATCCTTTGCAGGGACATAAATGGAGCTGGAGGCCATTATTCTCAGCAAACTAACACAGGAACAGAAAACCAAGCACCACATGCTCTCACTTATAAGTGGGAGCTGAAGGATGAGAACACATGGACACATGGGGCCTGTCACAGAGTCGAGGGGAGGAGGGACAGCATCAAGAAGAATAGCTAATGGATGTCGGACTTAATACCTAGGTGATGAGATAATCTTTGCAGCAAACCACCATATCACACGTTTACTTATGTAACAGACCTGCGCATTCTCCTGCACGTGTACCCATGAACTTAAAATAAAAAAGGAAAAGAAAAAAAGGTGGTTTATTGGAAAGTGGGAAAACTCCACCTATTGACAAATTAATCCTTTTTTGTTTAAATTTCGAAAAAAAGAACTCCACTTATGTAGTATATTTAAGAAAGAACAATAAATTTGTAGAGAAATGACAAGACAAAGGAAAGTGGTTGTAGTTTTCTAAGGGCAGGAAACTATGGGAAGGTAAATATATGGGAGGAAACTAATGCAGTGAGGTCTGTTTGCAGATTCATCTGGTACCGTCTGGTCTCTGGGCTGGTAACATTCTAGAGTTACTCCAGTAAAGGAGAATTTCTATCCTGTCTGTAGAGTGAAAAGGGGGAGGATAGATAGGGCTTTTCCTCCATTTGCTGCTTCTTAATTGCCTTCAGCTCAAAATAACCAAAGAGGCATATTTTGGTGTGACATATTCTGGTTTCCTTCAGGCCTTTTGTTCTGGGTTTCCTCAAAAGAGAGACCATCCTTATGTCTGCACTGATCCACCTAACACTTGACCAGTGTGCTCTTCCATGGGGAAAAATAGAATGGGAGAGTCAGTGGCTTTCTCCAGTTCCAGCCTTTTACTTATACTGTCAAAGAAAGTGATGACAGGCATGACTGTTACTTTCATTTGGGCTTATTTTGCTTTCATTGACTTCAACACTTGACAGTTCAGATTTCCCTCCAGGTCAGCTGAGGTCCTAATTATTTGTATTTCTGGGAAATGATTAGAAGAAAATACTATGATAAATAGTTCTTATTTATTTAGTATTTAAAAGTGACATATAAATATGTTCAACACAGCTTTGTTTACCATAGCGGGAAACTTTATAAAGCCTCATTGATCATCAGAGACTGGTAAAGTAAAGCAATGTGCATTTACATACTGAAATACCTGACAGCCACTACAAGTGGCAATGTTTATTATATTTATTGACATGAAAACATGCCTCTGAAATAATGTTAAATAGGAAAAAATGACAATATGACATATACAGTAATGTCCTATCTTAAATGTATATGTGTGTGTGTGCACACATACATGCACATGAACTCACAGTGAAAGTCTGGGAGGATGAAAATAACCACATTTAATGTGTGCCTACTCTGTGTAAAGAACTGTTCTGAATGTTTTATGTATGTTGACTAATATAATTTTCAAAAGGTAGGTGTTTTATACTCATTTTACAAATCAGTAACTAATGCAGGTAACATTTAAATAACTTGCCTTAGGTCATAGCTAATAAGTGATGGAGTTAAGATTCTCACACAAACACCCTAACACTAACACTAGAACCAGCCCACTCTGACTATTCTACACAAACATTAACTAAGACAATTAGTGGTGGTCACTAGTAGTAGATGGCAGTAGTGATTGCTTTATTTTTATGCTTTGCAATATTGTTTAAGTTTTTCAAGAATACACTTGTTTTATCATTTAAAACAACAAACCTACTTTTATTTTATGAGAGAAATGAACACAGCAGAGATTTAGAACTAAATCTTTGTTTTCACTTTTGATCTGAAATGCCTTCAGCTCTGAATAACAATATCTACTCAACATTACAGTGAACAAACAGGGGTTTTGTTTTCTTCACATAAGAAGAAATCTGGAAGTAGGTAGTCCAGAGTTGGTTTTCCTGCTCAAAGATGCCATCAGGCATCCAGGTACTTTCCAACTCTCTGCTCTATCATCTTTAGCGTTTTGGTATTTGGCCTCATAGTTGCAAGATAGATGTTGTACCTGAATCCTGTCTGAGTTACAGGTCAAAGGAAGGGGGAAATTGATGGAATAATCAAGAAAGTACCTTCAGTCACACCCTCATCAGACTTCTGTATACATTTCACAAGCCAATACTATGTGACACAGCTACCCCCAGCTGGAAGTGCATCAAAAACTGTTAAGTGTCAGATTTTACCTTACTTGCAAACTAACAAATTTGCCTGCTACTGGTTCATGGACGCTGGCAGGAGGCATAAGACTCTTGGTTCAGAAACAATGGACTTTATAACTTAGAACACAGCGAGCAGTGTGAGCTTCATTTTGCATTGATTTTCCCTGTCCTTCTTCCCCAAAGTCCCATGGACACAATGTAGAGGCAGGTCTAGGTTGATATGGAGAGCATGGTGGGTTTGTGTCCCAAATGAGAAATGCTAAATTTAGTAAGCCCCTATCTTTTAAAAGCATTGCCAGCAAACATGCCTAACCCATACCCCAGAGGAAAACATTATCTTTATTATCCTGGACAGTGGGATACTCTGGACAGCAAATGCATCTGGCCTCTGCCTCAAAGGGAGACAGTATCTCTATCTGCGAAGGCTCTTGACTATACAAACATCCTTGAAAAGACAATCCAGAACAAACAGACACAAGACATAAAGAAATGCAAGAGACTCACGGAGACATGTATCCCAGCAAAGACCATCTCCAGCTAGTGAGAATGAGGTTATGAATGGAACCAGTGGTATTTGTTACCTGCCCTTCGAAGACTGTCCTAAAACTAAGCCTAGAATAAGTAACTACCAAAAACTTTCTCTATTGAATATGTTAGTTTTCTATTGCTGCTGTAACAAATTACTACAAACTTAGTGGCTTAAAAACAACACAAATTTACTCCCTTATCGTTCTGGAAGGCAAAAGTCCAAAATTTCACTGGGCTAATGTCAAGATATTGGCAGGGCTGATTCCTTCTGGAGGCTCTGAGGGGCAATGTTTTCTTGCCTTTTCTAGCCTCTAATAGCCACCTGTACTAGTTGGCTTGTAGACCCTTTCTCTTCTCAGAGCACATCACTTCACTCTCTGCTTCTGTCATCCGTCTCCATCTCTTCTGGCTCTGAGTCCTCCTGCATCCATCTTTCAGGGATTGCACTAAGTAATTCCACTGGACCAATTTGGGTAATCCAGGCTTATCTCCCCATCTCAAGATCCTTAGCTTAATCATATATGCAAAGTTCCTTTAGCATACAAGGTAACATTCACAGGTTCTGGGATTAGAAGCTGGATGTCTTTGCAAACTAATATTTTACATACTGAAGTCGGTTGTGGTAGGCCGAATAATGGCCTACCACAACCGACTTTAGTATGTAAAATATTAGTTATTTCTTCAAATGGTGTATATTGTAACACTACATTTATTCACAATCAATTCAAAAACAGTGAGAATACAGATACAAACACGTGATTATCCTTTTCATTTACTTAATAAGCCCATTATCCTGAGATTATTCAGATTAATATTTTAAATAAGATTGAAAAGGTGTTTCCAAAACTAACAATAAGCTGTTTATAAGCAGACTTATTAAATATTGTGAATGCACCTATTTCACATATTGCCCTTTAGCATTCTCTATCTACTAATGTGGGCTCTCTAAGAGCTCCTACTAAGCAAATCTTAGTAACATTGACTACTTTGTTACTAAGTAGTAACATCACTTTTTTTACTTTTTTTAACATTACTTTTTTTTAACATTACTTTTGTTACTACTTAGTAACAAAAGACTACTGAATCTCAGCCCTGGAATGGACTCTAGTCTAACTTCCATCTAGAGCAAGGACATCTTTCCCCATTTCTGGCAAATCATTAAGCAGCTTATGTTTGTATATTTCTGGTAATAGTGAGGATCCAATTTTTAGGAGCAGGTGCTTATTAGAGCACTGGATGAAATTATATCCTGGAGAGAGCACAGGCTTTGGGTGTGATGGTTGATTCTATGGGTCAACCTGACTGTAGTTCCCAGTTGATCAATTGCTATGGGTTGGATACGGTTTCTCTGTGCTAAAACTCATGTTGAAATTTGATCCCCAATGCAGCAGTGTTGGGAGGTGGGGCCTAGTAGGTGGTGTTTGGATCATAGGAGCAGATCCCTCATGAATAGATTAATGCCCTCCCTCTCGGGTGAGTGAATTTTCATTCTCCAAGGAATGGGTTAGATCCTGCTGAGAGTGGATTGCTAAAATGAGTCTAGCTTCCAGGATTTCTTTCTCTCTTTCTCTCTCCCATGTGATCTTTTTGCACATAGCTGCTCCTCTTCTGCTTGCCTTCATGAGTTGAAGCAGCCGGAGACCCTCACCAGATGCAACTGTGTACTCTTGAACATTCCAGCCACCAGAATCATGAGCCAAATAAACCCCTTTCCTTTATAAATCACCCAGCCTCAAGTATTCTGTTATAGCAACACAAAAATGGACTAAGACAGCAATCAAGCACTAATCGAGGTGCTGCTGTGAAGGTAAAGATGTGATAAAAGCCTATAGTCAGTGTAAGCAAAGGAGATTATTTTAGGTAATCTGGGTGGGCCTGATTCAATCAATTGAAAACCTGCAGAGAAGAATTAAGACTTCCCTGGGGAAGAAATTTTGCTTGTGTATTGCAGCTTCAGTTCGAGTCTGAAAGTTCCAGCCTGCCCTTCCTGATGGTTTGCCCTATGGAATTCAGACTTGCCTATGCAGTCCTCACAATCACATAAGCCAATTTCTTGTCTATTCCTTAGGTAGATAGATGATGATGCTAGATAGACAGATGACAGATAGATGATAGATAGATAGATAGATAGATAGGTAGATAGATAGATAGATAGATAGATAGATATAGATAGATAGATAGATAGATAGATAGATAGGCAGATAGATCTCTTACTTCTCATGGAACCCTGACTGATACAGTGGGTAAATTACTACCTCTCTGATTTTTAACTTCTTTATCTATAAAATGGGCATAGTAATAACCTCACAGGCTTGCTGCAAGATTTATATTAGGTCATTTGATAACTGAGGCAAAGCACCTAGCCTAGCATATAGTAGGCCCTTTTATTACTATCATTTGCTATTTGCTATTATTATAAAAAGAAAGTTTCATATTCTCTTTCTGTCAACTTATTAGATTATTTTCCTTCACTGGAATGTAAATCTGCTTTTTGGTAACTTATGTCTATAGATCCTAATTCTACCTCCACAACCAAGAACAGTATATCTACTGCATTGTTCATGCAGTTTCCATTAGAGTATTTTAATCCATCCATTTTGCATTTATTTAGTTCTATATGGGTGGGCAGTTTAGGAGGGGTTCGATCAGACACTCTTCTGATCTTGGCAGGGTTCCCTCACATGGCTATAGACTGACTTAAGACAGCTTCAGCTGGAGTAGCTGGGCTGGCCGAGATGGCTGAGACAACTCGGCATTTTAGCTGTCTCCTCCATCTGTCTCTTATTTCCCTCCATTACAAACATGCAGCAATATACTCACAGTTTGAGTAAAGGATTAGAATGCAAACCATTGCAAGAAGGAGAGCAGAAAGGACAAGTGCTTTTCAGTCCTTTCCTTGGGTCACATTTGCTAGCATTCTATCGACCAAAGCAAGTCATAAGGCAAATCTCAGAGGCAGGGAAGGCACTATGCAGTTACTGGGCACAGGGCGCAGATACAAGGAAGCTATCAAATGAGACTATGAATGCAACTATCACAGTCTGTCCTACAACCGCCATTGTTCACATGCCTTCTACATGCAAAATACACTCATCACCTATAAAGTTCGCCAAAACATCTTTTTTTTTTTTTTTTAAAGCTGGCCCATAATTTTGCAACCTGCATCAGATTTTGATGTGGCTCCTCTTTATTAGGAGACCTGTGAATGACAAGACAAGATATTTGCACTACAATTATCATCTTCTGCACTCATGACCATCGGTGATTGCAGCATTTCTTAAAAGAATGCCACTATCAGCTCCAGAGTTTTCCTCCCAAGCCGCAGACCTTCTTTCTGCAGCTTTTGATGTCATTTTTCTAAACTTATATTTTTTCCCTCAATTGAATCATTTGGTGCTGAAAGTTAAGTAGTTCTGTTCAAAGTTTCTGACAGCTGCTCTTCGGCCACATAATGATGGTCCCGAGTGACACGCAGATTAGTCACACCAGATCCTCTTTTTTTTAACTGTTATTTTAAGTTCAGGGGTATGAGTACAGGTTTGTTACATAGGTAAACTTGTGTTATGAGGGTCTGTTGTACAGATTTATATTACAGATTATTATGTTGTGTTTGTTACATAGGTAAACTTGCTTGTTACAGGTTTGTTACATAGGTAAACTTGTATCATGAGGGTTTGTTGTACAGATTATTTCATCACCCAAATATTAAGCCTAGTACCCATTGGTTATTTTTCCTAATCTTCTTCCTCCAACTATTCACCCTCCCCCCTCCAAAAGGCTCCAGTGTGTGTTGTTCGCCTCTAAGTGTCCATGTGTTCTCATCATTCAGCTCCCACTTATAAGTGAGAACATGCGGTGTTTGGTTTTCTGTTCCTGCATTAGTTTGCTAAGGATAGTGGTCTCTAGCACCATCCATGTCCCTGCAAAGGACATGATCTTGTTGTTTTTTATGACTGCATAGTATTCCAGGGTATATATGTGTCACATTTTCTTTATTCAGTCTATCATTGATGGGCATTTAGGTTGATTCCATGTCTTTGCTATTGTGAATAGTGCTACAATAAACATACATGTGCATGTGTCTTTATAACAGAATGATTTATATTCCTTTGGGTATATACCCAGTAATGGGATTGCTGGGTGGAATGGTATTTCTGTCTTTAGATCTTTGAGGAATCACTATATTGTCTTCCACAATGGCTAAACTAATTTACACTCCCACCAACAGCATAAAAGCATTCCTTTTTCTCCACAATCTCACCAGCATCTGTTGTGTTTTGACTTTTAAATAATAGCCATTCTGGTGGGTGTGAGATGGTATCTCATTGTGGTTTTGATTTGCATTTCTCTAATGATCAGTGATGTTGAACTTTTTTTATATGATTGTTGGCCATGTGTATGTCTTCTTTTGAGAAGTGTCTGTTCACGTCCTTTGCCCACTTTTTAATGGAGTTGGGTTTTTTTCTTGCAAAACTGTTAAATTCTTTTTTTTTTTCTTTTTATTTTTTTAATTAAGTTTTAGGGTACATGTGCACATTGTGCAGGTTAGTTACATATGCATACATGTGCCATGCTGGTGCGCTGCACCCACTAACTCGTCATCTAGCATTAGGTATATCTCCCGATGCTATCCCTCCCCCCTCCCCCCACCCCACAACAGTCCCCAGAGTGTGATATTCCCCTTCCTGTGTCCATGTGATCTCATTGTTCAATTCCCATCTATGAGTGAGAATATGCGGATGCTGAATATTAGACCCTTGTCAGATGTATAGTTTGCAAAAATTTTCTCTCATTCTGTAGGTTGTCTGTTTCCTCTCTTGATAGTTTCTTTTGCTGTCCAGAAGCTCTTTAGTTTAATTAGATCCCATTAATCAATTTTTGCTTTGGTTGCAATTGCTTTTGGAATCTTCGTCATGAAATCTTTGCCTGTGCCTATGTCCTGAATAGTATTGCCTAGGTTGTCTTCCAGGGTTTTTGTAGTTTTGGGTTTTACATTTAAGTCTTTAATCCATCTTGAGTTGATTTTTGTAAATGGTGTAAGGGAAAGGTCCAGTTTCAATCCTCTGCACATGGCTAGTGCAGTTATCCCAGCACCATTTGTCAAATAGGGAGTCCTTTCCCCATTGCTTGTTTTTGTCAGGTTTGTGGCATATCAGATAGTTGTTGGCGTGTGGTCTTATTTCCGGGTTCTTTATTCTGTTCCATTGGTCTATGTACCTGTTTTTGTACCAGAACCATGTTGTTTGTTTACTGTAGCTGTATAGTATAGTTTGAAGTTGGGTAGTGTGATGCCTCCAACTTTGTTCTTTTTGCTTAGGATTGCCTTGGCTACTCAGGCTCTTTTTTGGTTCCATATGAATTTTAAAATAGTTTTCTCTAGCTCTGAGAAGAATGGCAATGGTAGTTTAATGGGAAGAACACTGACACTATAAATTGCTTTGGGCAGTATAGACATTTTAATAATATTGATTCTTCCTATCCATGAGCATGGAATGTTTTTCCATTTGTTTGTGTAGTCTCTGATTTGTTTGAGCAGTGGTTTGTATAGTTTACTTTGTAGAGATCTTTCACCTCACTAGTTACCTGTATTCCTAGGTATTTTATTCATTTTATGGCAATTGTCAGTGAGAGTTTGTTCCTGATTTGGCTCTTGGCTTGACTGTTCTTGATGTATAGGAATGCTAGTGATATTTTTGCACATTGATTCTGTATCCTGAGACTTTGCTGAAGTTGTTTATCAGCTTAAGAAGCTTTTGGGCTGAGAGTATGGGGCTTTCTAGCTATAGGATCATGTCATCTGCAAACAGGTATAGCTTGACTTCCTCTCTTCCTATTTGGATGCTCTTTATATCTTTCTCTTGCCTGATTGCCCTGGCCAGGACCTCCAGTACTGTGTTGAATAGGAGTGGTAAGAAAGAGCATCCTTTCCTTGTGCCGGTTTTCAAGAGGAAAGGCTTTCAGCTTTTTCTCATTCAGTATGATGTTGGTTATGGGTTTGTCATATATGGCTCTTATTATTTTGAGGTATGTTCCTTCAATACCTAGTTTATTGCAAGTTTTTAACATGAATGGACATCGAATTGTATTAAAAGCCTTTTCTACATCTATCGAGATAATCATATTTTTTTTCCTTTAGTTCTGTTTATGTTGAATCACATGTATTGATTTGTGTATGTTGAACCCAACTTGTATCCCGGGGATGAAGCCTACTTGACAGTGGTGGATAAACTTTTTGATGTGCTGTTCGATTTGGTTTGCCAGTATTTTGTGGAGGATTTTTGCCTTGATGTTCATCAAGGATATTGGCCTGAAGTTTTCTTTTTTTGTTGTATCTCTGCCAGGTTTTGGTATCAGGACAATGCTGGCCTCATAGAATCAGTTAGGGAGGAGTCCCTCCTTTTCAATTTTTTGGAATAGTTGCAATAAGAATAGTACAGTCTTCATTGTCTGTCTGCTAGAATTCAACTGTGAATCTGTATGATCCTGAGCTTTTTTTGGATGGTAGGCTATTAATTACTGCCTCAATTATAGAGCTCTTTACAGGTCTGTTCAGGGATTCAATTATTCCTGGTTCAGTTTTGGCAGGATGTATGTGTCCGAGAATTTATCCATTTCTTCTAGATTTTCTCGTTTATGTGCATAGATATGTTCACAACATTCTCTGATTGTGTGTATTTCTGTGGAGTCAGTGGTAATATCTCCCTTATCATATTGATCGTGTTTATTTGCGTCTTCTGTCTTTTCTTATTAGTCTAGATAGCAGTCTATGTATTATTAATTTTTTCAAACAAACAGCTCCTGGAATCACTGATCTTTTGAATTTTTTGTGTGTCTCTATCTCCTTCAGTTCAGCTCTGATTTTGGTTATTTCTTGTCTTCTGCTAGCTTTGGGATTTATCTGCCCTTGGTTCTCTAATTTTTTTAGTTGTGATGTTAGGTTGTTAACTTGAGATCTTTCTAACTTTTTGATGTGGACATTTAGTGCTATAAATTTCCCTCTTATCACTTCCTTAGCTGTGTCCCAGAGATTCTGGTATGTTGTATCTTCGTTCTCATTAGTTTCAAAGAACTTCTTGATTTCTGCCTTAATTTCATTATTTACCCAAAAGTCATTCAGGATCAGGTTATTCAGTTCCCATGTAATTGTAAGGCTTTAAGTGAATTTCCTAGTCTTTATTTCTAATTCATTGTGCTGTGATCCCAGAGGCCGTTTGCTATGACTTCAGTTCTTTTGCATTTTCTGAGGAGTGTTTTATTTCCAATTATGTGATCAATTTTAGACTAAGTGCCATGTGATTATGAGAAGAATGTATATTGTGTTGTTTTGGGGTGGAGAATTCTGTAGGCATCAGGTCCATTTGATCCAGTGCTGAGTTCAGGTCATGAATATTTCTGTTAATTTTCTGTCTCAGTGATCTGTATAATATTGACAGTGCGGTGTTAAAGTCTCCCACTATTACTATATGGAAGTCTAACCCTCTTTAAGGTCTCTAAGAACTTGCTTTATGAATCTGGGTGCACCTGTGTTGGGTGCATATATATTTAGAACAGTTAGATCATCTTGTTGAATTGAACACTTGACCATTATGTAATGCCCTTCTTTTTTTATCTTTGTTGATTTAAAGTCAGTTTTGTCAGAAACTAGGATTGCAATCCCTCCTGCATTTTTCTGCTTTTCATTTGCTTGGTAGATTTTCCACTATCTCTTTATTTAGAGGCTACGTGTGTCATTGCATTTTTATTTTTTTTCTTGAGACAGGGTCGTGCTTTGTTGCCCAGGCTGGAGTGCAGTGGCATGACCTCAGCCCACTGCAACCCCTGCCTCCCAGGCTCAAGCAATCCTCCTGCCTCAGCCTCAAGCCATCTATCCTCCTAAGCCTCAAAGTGGTGGAATTACAGGTATGAGCCACTGCACCCAGCCCTGACATGAGTCTCTTGAAGACAGCATACGAATGGGTCAGACCCTCTTTACTTGAAATATCTTTCACCTCTTTCAAGGTATTTGGCAATTTCTCTCCATTCAGTTGCAGTGTGTTGTGTGTGGTACCAACATGAGTAATAGCCACTGTACATATAACTGAACTAAATTATTAATAATCTAAACAATAATATATTTAAATTTTTGTGGAAACATATATATTTGTGTGGATAAGAGCAACTACTTCATTACCCCTTCCTAGATGACAAAGATTATAAGATGGGCATCAATTGTAAGACACAGCCCAATTTCAAATGCAATAAAGTGTGAAAAACAGTGTGTCTTAGAATTGATGGAATATAATAAATTTTAGAGTGATTAGACTACAGAAGATATTTGAGGACACGTGACTATTTGACATTGTCTATGTGGTTAGAGTATGTAGAAGAGAGGTCTCAGAGCCAATCCCTGAGACATTTCAATATTTGGAGAATAAGAAGGAGAGGAATATCCAGCGAAGAAGAGCTACAAAGTACAGCTAGTGTGGTATAAGGAGGGCCAAGAGAAATGGTGTTGCATAGCCTAAGAAATCACTCAAAAATTGGGAGCAGCCAGGTGAGTCAGAAGCTGTTGATAGATGGAATAAGAACAGGACTGAGAATTGACTCTGCTATGCAGCAATATGGGGGTCATTGGTGACCTTGGCAAGAGCAATTTTGGTGAAGTGGTAGGGGGCAAATGCTTAACAGGCATGGTTCCAGACATAATCAGAGGTCAAAATATACAAAAGGTGGTTAAAGACAACTTTTTAAAGGAGTTTTGCTGGAAAGGGGTGCTAAGCAACTGAGCAGTAGCTGGAGAGTGATGACAGCCCAGGAATGGCTTTTTGAAATGGAAGCTACCATACAGTGTTTGCATGTTAATGGGAATGGTCCAGCAGAGCAGGAAAATGTGATAATTCGAGAGGAGAGGATAAGTGCAAGAGTGATGTCCTTAACTAGGTGAGGGAGGATATGAGCCAGTGCACAAAGGAAGGGATAGGCTATGGCTAAGACCAAGGGCAGTACATCCATTAGGCAGGCACGAAGGCTGTGCATGTGTTGGCAGATGCACTGCCGGAAGTATATGGAAGCTTGCCTTTGATGGGTTCTTTGTTCTGAGTGAGGCTCCCTTTCAGCCCGCTATGGGTGAGGAGAAGGCTCTTCTTTGAAAGGAACAGAACACATGGACTAGAGCCTCCAGTGGTTTCTTGGTAGTGCTAAAAAACAAAATTTCAACAAATTTAATTTAAAGGTCTAATTGGCTTTTAATAGTGATTAATGAATCAGGCAACATCTCATCCATAAAATAGGAGTTCCAGTGAACTGAGCAGAGGAAGTGGACTTTCTGTAAAGGCAAGAGAAGGCTGAAGAAAACAAACACGAGGAACAAAAAGCAGATTGGTGGTTACAAAGTTACTTCCCTTATAGGGTTAAAACAAAGAGGACGTCCTTATTGTGCCAGCTCAGGTAAACTGGGCCTTTCTGATTGATTGCTGTAAATCTCCTGTTTTTTTGAGAACTGGCCCATTTTAAAGTTCAGCCTGACTACAGGTATCTAACACAAGGGACTCCATTCTGGTTTGGTCTGGTCTGTTGAACACAGGGTAGGAGCTCAGTCCCAAACAAAATGGCCCCTCATAATTTTTATTTAATAGTAGATTTTCTTGGGTTTGGTAAATAATTTATATTTTTCATTTATGCAAAAATATATTTAGACTATAAATAATTTTTCTCCATTCCAATACCCTTTTCTGTCATTTCTGTTTCATTTGTATTGCACTGTCTGGAACAGCTATAAGATTAAATGTTATGACTTGTAATGAGCATCCTTGATTTGTTTCTGAAATTAATGGAAATATTTCTAGTGTTTCCCCATTGAGGGGGATGTACCGCTATGTTGGAATAGAGCTAGCTTTTCGAATTACAAAAGTATCCTATTTCTAAAGTTTTAAGTTGGAAACATAGGATTTTTATCAAATACCTTCTAGGTAACAATTGAGCATATCATTTTTTCATATTTAAGTTATTGATAAGCTATATTAATAGATATTTTTATTCCATAAAGAACTTACTGAACTTAACTCAAATATTGAGAAATATCCATTAAGTTGCTGCTTTATAAATGGATCTAGAAATGGATTTTGACATTAAGATTAAAAGCATGGTATTCTTCAATTGGTCATGTTGCTTTTCATTGTACAAGCTCTCTGGGAAGACTATATAAGGAAGGAAGGTAACCACCGAGACTGGACTCTGTCTGAAAGCCTGTTATTGTTATGCAGGCTGCATCCTCTCTGCACATCTCATTCCAACCTGATTACAGAAAAAATTATGAATTAACAGTCGATGAAGAGTTTGACTTCCAGTTTTTTCCCCTTACCAGCTCTAAGGCCTGAAACAACTATAGGTCTTTCTCTGTACTCCATAAATGATCTCCACATTTCTTATTTTATGACTATTCCTGCTCCAGAGAGAGAGAGAAAGAGAGAGAGTGAGAGAGAGAATGAATATGAAATCTGAAAACATCTCTTTAAAAAATGATATTAGAGAAAATGAGCAGACTGGCATGGAAATGAGCAGACTGACATTGATACAGTGCTTTTGAACAAGTCATTATTAAACAAACATATTAATTCCATTTTCCTTTCTTGCATACAATTTTCGATTAACTATACCTGCCATTCAAACTATAATTAACTATACCGGCCATTCAAAGGCAGTCTTCAAATGAGCCATTGCTGTTATTCCTGCACGGTTTCAGTAAGTACATGTGCATCCTAGCTCTTCTGCCATATGGATTTAAGTTAATGACTTGAGATTATAGCTAATGATACAAAACTCTTTTATGAACAGGAAAGCATAATCTCTGCTTCTTCTCTCTTTGCCTATCAGAGAGGACAGTTTTATGTAGAGCTGTAAGGGATAGAGAGACCGATGCTGCCTGAGCTTCGGTGCTCTTCTAAGTTTATGTCACTGTGTGAAGACAGCTGTGCTCCAAGTCTTTCCCCAGAGCCTCAACACTCTAATCCCATCTCTATTTTACAATGCCTGTAATATATGCATCCCAAGGCTCTGCATATAAAGCATCATTAAAACAGGCTTTTACGCCTAGAAACCAGAATGTCCTTCCTGTTGCGAGTTCACAGAACCAGAAGAAGAGGTTCCAGGATTTTAATCCCTCTCTGAAGTGTATATCTTGTCACATGGAGCTTGAGAAAGCTTAAAAGATTCACACCCAGTGCACATTATCGTATTCAACATGAGACACAGGAAAGTGTCAAGAATAGGTCTTAGACATCCTCTAAGTTTTAAGTAAATTCCTACATGAATTGGAAATAAAATATGTCTATAGACATGGAGCAAGGATTTTGACAGATGTGGTCATTTATATCCAAGTTCAGGTGATTAATTTACAAGTCCATCCTTTCATTTTAGGCAGATATCAAACTGACTTGAAGAGTGACAGTTGCTTCATCATTTAATAAATATTAAAACCATAAAAATACATACAAATAGGGCTTCACTAGGTGCACTCCTGTGATCTGACCTGAATTTATGCTTTAATAAGCCTCACATATCTGTATTTGAAAATCACCTATCCTGCAATACCACAGAAGTGCTATGGTTTTTGGTTTGGCTCTTCAGTGGTACTATGTCAAGGTCAGATGTCGCATGCTTTCTAGTGGAATGACCCTTAGGACAACTGCAAAGTAATGGATTCAACTGTCATTGATAATTCTATCAGTTTATGGGAATCAGCATGCTATAATAGTTAAGAGCAGAGGCTGTAGGAGCAGACTATTATGACTTGAATTCTTGCCTCTGTTGCTTGCCTGCCCTGTGACTTTGACAAGTTTTTTCAAAGCCTCAATTTTTAAATCTGTAAAATGGCAATAATCATAGCATATACCTCAGAGGGTTGTGAATAGTAAACCTAAACCTCTGGCACAAAGTAAACTCTCAGCAAATGAGAGCCATATTGATTTACATTTTTAACCCTATACGCTATAGGTATATTTTGCTTAGTGGAAAGCCAAAATGCAAAACTTAGATGTTATAAAATCTAACAGGTAATCTGTTATTATCCACGTATGTGAATTTAGCTTAAAAAGGTGAAAGCACAGCTCTTGTTATAGGAGGCGTGAGACCACTCTCACCATCCCAATATGCCATCACTGTTCATATTACTACAAATCAATCAGGTAAAAGGATTCCAAACAGAGTGGAGAGAGTTCTCTCTGAGGACTCATGGGTAGTGACTGTTATTCAGAGACAAATGAGAAGAACGGTCATTCCATTTGATGACAACCTGAGATAATGGTATCAGCAAAGGATATATCTTTGAAGGGAAAATGAAAATAACTTGGAAGAATCTGACTTATTTTACTGACATTTCCCTTAACTTTCTAAGAGTGTGTTCTCATATATTTTAGAAAATTAAAAGTTATTACAATGCTGTATTTAAGGTCATAATTCTGAAAGCAAATCATTTGCTAAGGTAGATTCGATGGTTCCATTTAAAATATTAGCAAATAAAGTTTTTGGCTGAACCTGGGTTTCTGCCATGAAACTCAAGAATGTGAGAAATCCAAACATCTATGTAGAAATTAAAAACCTCATCATTAACTCAGGATCATTATTGTTTCATTGAAGGCAGAACTTCTTAAAATAAATAATAATAATAGTAATGATAAAATAATGACAAGAATACAAAAAGTGAATTTATAAGTTGATCTCCCTGGATATTAGTATTACATTTGCAGTCATAACTCATTTTTTTGACCATGGTTCTCAATCCCTTTAATAATACCATATTCCCATCTTTAACAAAAAAATTCTCTCTAAAAAATAGTGCAAATAAGAGATAATCAATGTTCCTAGATGTTTTGAGGCAGAAATGTTCTCAATTTCATATGACATGAGGTTAGTTTACCTATAGTTACCAAATAGTTTGAGAGATCCTGCTGTATACTAGACACCATACATCATTCATTCAAATTAAATATATTAATTCTCTCAACAAGTACTTACTGAGTGCAGATAAAGAGAAAGAACAGCTTCCTGTTTTGTAGTACTTACTCTTCTATATAGTCTGTCATAATCCTGATCTATGGCTAAATATAAACCTAATCATCAGAACAGTGTAATTATTATGTCACTCATTCAAAATGTTACACATGTATCAATCTCCCCTCGTCTATCTTTCAATTGATAAGCTGACCCTCCTGGAAAACACATTTCTTTACTTTTTTTTCTTTTTCTTTTTTTTCTTTTTTTCTTTTGAGGCAGTCTTGCTCTGTCACCCAGGCTGGAGTGCAGTGGCATGATCATAACTCACTGTAACCTTGAACTCCTTGGCTCAAACCATCCTCCTACCTTAGCCTCCTGAGCAGCTAGGACTACAGGAACATGCTACCATACTTGGCTAATTTTTTTTTATTTTATTATTATTATACTTTAAGTTTTAGGGTACGTGTGCACAACATGCAGGTTTGTTACATATGTATACATGTGCCATGTTGGTGTACTGCACCCATTAACTCATCATTTAGCATCAGGTATGTCTCCTAATGCTATCCCTCCCCCCTTCCCCACCCCACAACCGTCCCCGGTGTGTGATGTTCCCCTTCCTGTGTCCATGTGTTCTCATTGTTCAATTCTCACCTATGAGGGAGAACATGTAGTGTTTGGTTTTTTGTCCTTGCAATAGTTTGCTGAGAACGATGGTTTCCAGCTTCATCCATGTCCCTACAAAGGACATGAACTCATCATTTTTATAGCTGCATAGTATTCCATGGTATATAGGTGCCATATTTTCTTAATCCAGTCTATCATTGTTGGACATTTGGGTTGGTTCCAAGTCTTTGCTATTGTGAATAGGGCCTCAATAAACATACATGTGCATGTGTCTTTATAGCAGCATGATTTATAATCCTTTGGGTGTTTACCCAGTAATGGGATGGCTGGGTCAAATGGTATTTCTAGTTCTAGATCCCTGAGGAATTGCCACACGGACTTCCACAATGGTTGAACTAGTTTACAGTCCCACCAAGAGTGTAAAAGTGTTCCTGTTTCTCCACATTCTCTCCAGCACCTGTTGTTTCCTGACTGTTTAATGATCGCCATTCTAACTTGTGTGAGATGGTATCTCATTGTGGTTTTGATTTGCATTTCTCTGATGGCCAGTGATGGTGAGCATTTTTTCATGTGTTTTTTGGCTGCATAAATGTCTTCTTTGAGAAGTGTCTGTTCATATCCTTCGCCCAGTTTTTGATGGGGTTGTTTGTTTTTTTCTTGTAAATTTGTTTGAGTTCTTTGTAGATTCTGGATATTAGCCCTTTGTCAGATGAGTAGGTTGCAAAAATGTTCTCCCATTTTGTAGGTTGCCTGTTCACTCTGATGGTAGTTTCTTTTGCTGTGCAGAAGCTCTTTAGTTTAATTAGATCCCATTTGTCAATTTTGGCTTTTGTTGTCCATCGCTTTTGGTGTTTTAGACATGAAGTCCTTGCCCATGCCTATGTCCTGAATGGTATTGCCTAGGTTTTCTTCTAGGGTTTTCATGGTTTTAGGTCTAACATATAAATCTTTAATCCATCTTGAATTAATTTATGTATAAGGTGTAAGGAAGGGATCCAGTTTCAGCTTTCTACATATGGCTAGCCAGTTTTCCCAGCACCATTTATTAAAGAGGGAATCCTTTCCCCATTGCTTGCTTTTCTCAGGTTTGTCAAAGATCAGATAGTTGTAGATATGCGGCATTATTTCTGAGGGCTCTGTTCTGTTCCATTAGTCTGTATCTCTGTTTTGGTACCAGTACCATGCTGTTTTGGTTACTGTAGCCTTGTAGTATAGTTTGAAGTCAGGTAGTGTGATGCCTCCAGCTTTGTTCTTTTGGCTTAGGATTGACTTGGCAATGTGGGCTCTTTTTTGGTTCCATATGAACTTTCAAGTAGTTTTTTCCAATTCTGTGAAGAAAGTCGTTGGTAGCTTGATGGGGATGGCATTGAACCTATAATTTACCTTGGGCAGTATGGCCATTTTCACGATATTGATTCTTCCTACCCATGAGCTTGGAATGTTCTTGCATTTGTTTGTATCCTCTTTTATTTCCTTGAGCAGTGGTTTGTAGTTCTCCTTGAAGAGGTCATTCATGTCCCTTGTAAGTTAGATTCCTAGGTATGTTATTCTCTTTGAAGCAATTGTGAATGGGAGCTCACTCATGATTTGGCTATCTGTTTGTCTGTTATTGGTGTATAAGAATGCTTGTGATTTTTGCACATTGATTTTGTATCCTGAGACTTTGCTGAAGTTGCTTATCAGCTTAAGGAGATTTTGGGCTGAGACGATGGGGTTTTCTAGATATGCAATCATGTCATCTGCAAACAGGGACAATTTGACTTCCTCTTTTCCTAATTGAATACCCTTTATTTCCTTCTCCTGCCTGATTGCCCTGGCCAGAACTTCCAACACTATGTTGAATAGGAGTGGTGAGAGAGGGCATCACTGTCTTGTGCCAGTTTTCAAAGGGAATGCTTCCAGTTTTTGTCCATTCAGTATGATATTGGCTGTGGGTTTGTCATGGATAGCTCTTATTATTTTGAGATACATCCCATCAATACCTAATTTATTGAGAGTTTTTAGCATGAAGCGTTGTTGAATTTTGTCAAAGGCCTTTTCTGCATCTGTTGAGATAATCATGTGGTTTTTGTCTTTGGTTCTGTTTATATTCTGGATTACATTCATTGATTTGCATATGTTGAACAAGCCTTGCATCCCAGGGATGAAGCCCACTTGATTATGGTGGATAAGCTTTTTGATGTGCTGCTGGATTCGGTTTGCCAGTATTTTATTGAGGATTTTTGCATCAATGTTCATCAAGGATATTGGTCTAAAATTCTCTTTTTTGGTTGTGTCTCTGCCAGGCTTTGGTATCGGGATGATGCTGGCCTCATAAAATGAGTTAGGGAGGATTCCCTCTTTTTCTATTGATTGGAATAGTTTCAGAAGGAATGGTACCAGTTCCTCCATGTACCTCTGGTAGAATTCGGCTGTGAATCCATCTGGTCCTGGACTTTTTTTGGTTGGTAAGCTATTAATTATTGCCTCAATTTCATAGCCTATTATTGGTCTAATCAGAGATTCAGCTTCTTCCTCGTTTAGTCTTGGGAGAGTGTATGTGTCGAGGAATTTATCCATTTCTTCTAGATTTTCTAGTTTATTTGCATAGAGGTGTTTATAGTATTCTCTGATGGTAGTTTGTATTTCTGTGGGATCGGTGGTGATATCCCCTTTGTCATTTTTTATTGCGTCTATTTGATTCTTCTCTCTTTTCTTCTTTATTAGTCTTGCTAGCAGTCTATCAATAGTGTTGATCTTTTCAAAAAACCAGCTCCTGGATTCATTGATTTTTTGAAGGGTTTTTTATGTCTCTATTGCCTTCAGTTCTGCTCTGATCTTAGTTATTTCTTGCCTTCTGCTAGCTTTTGAATGTGTTTGCTCTTGCTTCTCTAGTTCTTTTAATTGTGATTTTAGAGTGTCAATTTTAGATCTTTCCTGCTTTCTCTTGTGGGCATTTAGTGCTATACATTTCCCTCTACACACTGCTTTGAATGTGTCCAAGAGATTCTGGTATGTTGTATCTTTGTTCTCGTTGGTTTCAAAGAACATCTTTATTTCTGCCTTCATTTTGTTATGTACCCAGTAGTCATTCAGGAGCAGATTGTTCAGTTTCCATGTAGATGAGCGGTTTTGAGTGAGTTTCTTAATCCTGAGTTCTAGTTTGATTGCACTGTGGTCTGAGAGACAGTTTGTTATAATTTCTGTTCTTTTACGTTTGCTGAGGAGTGCTTTACTTCCAACTATGTGGTCAATTTTGGAATAGGTGTGGTGTGATGCTGAGAAGAATGTATATTCTGTTGATTTGGGGTGGAGAGTTCTATAGATGTCTATTAGGTCTGCTTGGTGCAGAGCTGAGTTCAATTCCTGGATATCCTTGTTACTTTTCTGTCTCGTTGATCTGTCTAATGTTGACAGTGGGGTGTTAAAATCTCCCATTATTATTGAGTGGGAGTCTAAGTCTCTTTGTAGGTCACTCAGGACTTGCTTTATGAATCTGGGTGCTCCTGTATTGGGTGCATATATATTTAGGATAGTTAGTTCTTCTTGTTGAATTGATCCCTTTACCATTATGTAATGGCCTTCTTTGTCTCTTTGATCTTCGTTGGTTTAAAGTCTGTTTTATCAGAGACTAGGATTGCAATGCCTGCCTTTTTTTGTTTTCCATTTTCTTGGTAGATCTTCCTCCATCCCTTTATTTTGAGCCTATGTGTGTCTCTGCATGTGAAATGGGTTTCCTGAATACAGCACACTTATGGGTCTTGACTCTATCCAATTTGCCAGTCTGTGTCTTTTAATTGGAGAACTTAGCCCATTTACATTTAAGGTTAGTATTGTTATGTGTGAATTTGATCCTGTCATTATGATGTTAGCCAGTTATTTTGCTCATTAGTTGATGCATTTTCTTCCTAGGCTTGATGGTCTTTACAATTTGGCATGTTTTTGCAGTGGCTGGTACCAGTTGTTCCTTTCCTTGTTTAGTGCTTCCTTCAGGAGCTTTTTTAGGGCAGGCCTGGTGGTGACAAAATCTCTCAGCATTTGTTTGTCTGTAAAGTATTTTATTTCTCCTTCACTGACGAGGTTTAGTTTGGCTGGGTATGAAATTCTGGGTTGAAAATTCTTTTGTTTAAGAATGTTGAATATTGGCCCCCACTCTCTTCTGGCTTGTAGAGTTTCTGCCGAGAGATCAGCTGTTAGTCTGATGGGCCTCCCTTTGTGGGTAACCCGACCTTTCTCTCTGGCTGCCGTTAACATTTTTTCCTTCATTTCAACTTTGGTGAATCTGACAATTATGTGTCTTGAAGTTGCTCTTCTCGAGGAGTATCTTTGTGGTGTTCTCTATATTTCCTGAATCTGAATGTTGGCCTACTTTGATAGGTTGGGGAAGTTCTCCTGGATAATATCCTGCAGAGTGTTTTCCAACTTGGTTCCATTCTCCTATCACTTTCAGGTACACCAATCAGACGTAGATTTGGTCTTTTCACATAGTCCCATATTTCTTGGAGGCTTTGTTCATTTCTTTTTAGTCTTTTTTCTCTAAACTTCTCTTCACACTTCATTTCATTCATTTCATCTTCCATTGCTGATACCCTTTCTTCCAGTTGATTGCATTGGTTACTGAGGCTTGTGCATTCGTCATGTAGTTCTCTTGCTGTGGTTTTCAGCTCCATCAGGTCCTTTGAGGACTTCTCTGCATTGGTTTTTCTAGTCGTCCATTCATCTAATTTTTTTTCAAAGTTTTTAACTTCTTTGCCATTGGTTTGAACTTCCTCCTTTAGCTCAGAGTAGTTTGATCTTTGGAAGCCTTCTTCTCTCAACTCATCAAAGTCATTCTCCGTCCAGCTTTGTTCAGTTGCTGGTGAGGAGCTGCATTCCTTTGGAGGAGGAGAAGCGCTCTGATTTTTAGAGTTTCCGGTTTTTCTGCTCTGTTTTTTTCCCATCTTTGTGGTTTTACCTTTGTGGCTTTGGTCTTTGATGATGGTGACGTACAGATGGGTTTTTGGTGTGGATGTCCTTCCTGTTTGTTAGTTTTCATTCTAACAGTCAGGACCCTCAGCTGCAGGTCTGTTGGAGTTTGCTGGAGGTCCATTCCAGACCCTGTTTGCCTGGGTATCAGCAGCGGTGTCTGCAGAACAGCGGATATTGGTGAACCCACAAATGCTGCTGCCTTATCATTCCTCTGGAAGTTTTGTCTCAGAGGAGTACCTGGCCGTGTGAGGTCTCAGTCTGCCCCTACTGGGGGGTGCCTCCCAGTTAGGCTACTTGGGGGTCAGGGACCCACTTGAGGAGGCAGTCTGCCCATTCTCAGATCTCAAGCTGCGTGCTGGGAGAACCACTACTCTCTTCAAAGCTGTCAGACAGGGACATTTAAGTCTGCAGAAATTATTGCTGTCTTTTGTTTGTCTGTGCCCTGCCCCCAGAGGTGGAGCCTACAGAGGCAGGCAGGCCTCCTTGATCTGTGGTGGGGTCCACCCAGTTCGAGCTTCCTGGCCACTTTGTTTATCTACTGAAGCCTCGGCAATGGCGGGTGCCCCTCCCCCAGCCTCGCTGCCACCTTGCAGCTTGATCTCAGACTGCTGTGCTAGCAGTGGGCGAGGCTCTGTGGGCATAGGACCTTCTGAGCCATGTGCGGGATATAAACTCCTGGTGTGCCATTTGTTAAGCCTGTTGGAAAAGTGCAGTATTAGGGTGAGAGTGACCCGATTTTCCAGGTGCCGTCCATCACCCCCTTCTTTGAGTAGGAAAGGGAATTCCTTGACCCCTTGCGCTTCCCGGGTGAGGTGATGCCTTGCCCTGCTTCGGCTCATGCACAGTGCACTGCACTCACTGTTCTGCACCCACTGTCCAGCACTCCCCAGTGAGATGAACCCGGTACCTCAGTTGGAAATGCAGAAATCACCCGTCTTCTGTGTCAGCTGTGGACTGGAGCTGTTCCTATTCAGCCATCTTGGCTCCACCCATACTTGGCTAATTTTTAAAGTTTTTTTGGTAGAGATAGGGTCTCACCATGTTGCTCAGGCTGGTCTCAAACTCCTGGCCCCAAGCAATCCTCTTACTTCAGCCTCTCAAAGCATTGGGATTACAGGCATGAGCAATTGTGCCTGGCCCGAAAGGAGAATTTTTTTAAAAAATCAAAGTAATGATAGTGTATATACCTTATTAATGCAATGCTCAACAATCATGTTAATTGTGAATATATATATTAGTAAGTTTTAGTAAGTTGCCGCAAGTCATGTGATTAGTAAGTACCAGAGCCCAGGGCCTAAATCTGTCTTGAGACTGTGCTTTTTCTACCATACAATGCAGTAGTGATACAGATCAAATGAGCCCCCAAACTGGGGCTTAGTCCAGGAGGGTTCTTGGCTTCACTCAGGAGGAATTCAAGAGTGAACCAATGGTGAGAGAAAGCAGGTTTATTGAAGTGTCAGAGTACAGAAGAGTGATTGCTCCTTGCAGAACAGGGCTAACCCATAGGCTGTGCACCCAGAGTAGTGGCATGTGGCTGTTGGCTAGCAGGATTTATACCCACTTTTAATTACATGCAAATTAAGGTACAGATTATTCAGAAAACTCTAGAATAAAGAGGTGGTAACTTCTGGGTGTTGCTGTAGCATTTGTAAACTGTCATGGCACTGGTGGGAGTGTCTTATTCTGATGAGCAGCGAGGGCAACTAAAGGTTGCCTTTGGTGCCATTTGCTGGTTCTGGCCAGTTTCTTCATTTTATCCTGTTGGGACCAGGAAATAAGTCCTGCAGTCTCCTATTTCAGTAGGGTAGCATAAAAATTTATTTGGGGTCTGGTAGTTTTCATATTTTGACTACCAAAAGTATGATTTCCTGCACAAAGCTTTGGTTTACTTGCTTCTTTCTCACTTTCAGTGAATATATTATATTTAATAAGATATTCCAAAGAAAAGCTAAGCATAAATCTCAATCATAACTAACTTAGAAAGAACTTAAAATTGGATCATATAAAACTCCCAGGAGTTACTTCAGTTACTTATAGACTAGAAAAGTTTCCTTTTTCACTATACTTTCCTCCACAATTTGTTTTGAAGGCAGCTAATCAATAATGTTGAAAATACATGACTGTGGGAAGCCAGACTGAATGCAATTGTAATAGTGTCTTTGCTTCCACAGTTGTACATTACTTTGTGCAGAAGCTCAAGACAGTGACAGTTTTAGCCCCTTCTCTTACTGCTCCAAAGCTGACAAACTGAAAAGAATTTATAGTGAATGTTAATCTTTTTGTCTTTCCTTATATGTGAGCATTTTTGGTAGCCAAGTAAAATTATGCTATGTACTTGATTTTTCTTTTTTTTTTCTGGAGAACTGGAGATAATCTTCCAGCACTTGAGACATTATGGTATACATCTTCCTGTATCCCTAGCAACAATGCCATAGTAGGTAGAATAAAAAAAACTCAATCTAGAATAAACTTGTCAAAACTATAGAAAGAGGAGAGAAATAAATTCACTCCACTTTCTTACTCCATAGTGCTCTTTGTCTGTCTAAGCTACTGTAACAGACTACCATAAATGGGGTGGCTTATAAACCATAGAAGTTTATTTCTCACAGTTCTGGAGGCTGAGAAATACAAGATCAAAACACTGGCAGATTTGGTGTCTGGTGAGCACCTGTTCTCTGGTTAAGAGAGAGTGTCTTTTCACTGTGTGTCACATGGCAGAATAGGCAAATAAGTTCCCTTAAGCTTCTTTTATTAGAGCACTAATCTTATTCACAATGACTCGCCCTAATGACCTAATCACCTCCAAGAGGCCCCACCTTCCAAAACCATCACCTTGACAGTTAAGATTTCAACATTTAAATTCATGGGAGACACAAACATTTAACCCACAGCAGTTCTGAACCAAGAACTATTGTTAATGAGTTCACTTTGTGAGATCCTAGTGGCTTGAAGGCCAGAGTGATTGGTTTGATCTCAGGTTGGTTGTAAGCCCCAATCTCTTATGGTCACAAATGGTGCCCCTTCCCCTTAACTGCAGTTCTGACAATGAATGTGCTCCTGGTCATAAGCAGGAGCAAGTCAAAGTGTCTGCAAGTTCATGATCTTTACATAAAGACAACCCCATGTACATGCCCTAATACTATCATCTTAAATATAAAAAAGGAGAGTTTTTATTTATGTATCATATTGGGCTCTACCAGTAAATATACTATTGTAGTTGCGGTTTGTATTGGGATGCTAAACATTTTTAAATTCTCTTCCAGTTATCTTTTTCTCTCAACTAGTTTAAAAAATTGCTGTAATTGTTGCAAAAGTAACAGAACCTTCATAATGACAACAGCATATATGTGTTTCTTAATATCCTTCCGTACCCCAAGACTCCATTAATATGGTAGTAAAAGAATAAAGAAGGAATAAACTCATAGTAATACAGAGAATGAGAAGACAGACTTGATTAGATTAGAGATTTTGACAAATTTTTGAAAGACAGAAAGTGGAGGAAGAGTGTTGATTGGTAGAATCTGGTAAAGAAACCCTTAGCCCAGAATATTTTGTGGAAGCTTTGATGGAGGGGGATGCCCAGAGATCCTCCAGTCTTGGATCCAACAGATAAAAAGACTAAGAGTCTAAGAGACTGAGAAGGAGGCTAAAACCAGGGAGGGAGTGGAGCTTACCGAGAGTCTGACAACAAAAGAACTATGCCAGTGGCTTTCCTCCCCTATCCCTGCACACAGAGGTGGCAAGGAGTTGGCTGAGCCCCCACTATATCAGGCAAGATAACTGATATCTTTATTTCAAATAAAGTAAAAGAAATACTTGAGAAGGACTACTCTGCTAAAATGAATATCGTGACCCAGAGTAAAGCCTCTTGTTGTGACAAACTCCTGGTGAGCGGGTAGTTCCTCTTTCTCAATTCAAGGCAAGCCTGTTGGTAGAACAGCCTCACCAGTGTGAACAGAGCTCCCAGTCAGTCCTCTCACTTCCTAATTATTAAATATAAACTACAAACAAGGACTGTAACACACATGACAGAAACCAACAACACCAAGAAGAAAGAAAACATGAACAGACAGGTCCTTGGGGGAAACAGAAATACTCCAAGAGACAGAAGGACCTTAAACAATCCAAGCCCCTTGTAATGTCCTCAAAGAGATTTGGAATTCTGTTATATCCCTAAAGGAAAAGCTATGTGCTATGAAAAAGAAAAAGAATAAGAGAAAAACCCTTCCTGAAAACTAAAAATATGTTGGCCAGAATAAAACAAAATTCAATAGAAGAACCGGAACATGAAGCCATACCAATTTTATGAAGTAGAACAAAAAGAAAAAAAGAGAAGAAAAATATGAGAGAAACACTAAGAGACATAGAGTAACTTTCTAAGACAGTCTGACATTTGGCTTATAGGCATTCCAGGAAGAGAGAACAGAGAAAATGGAGGTGAGGAAAGTACCAAAGAAAATACATAATCATTTCCCCAATCTGAAGAGACACTCGAATCTTTCATATTTGAAAGGACCAATCAAGTACTGAGTAAGATGAATTAGAAAAGACTCACACCTAAGCACACCATGGTAAAATGTTGGAACCTAAAGTATAAGTAAAAAATATATAAAAGCTTCCAAAAGGAAAAATAAAAAGGAACCCAGAGTACTTAAAAAGAAGAAGAATCAGACCCAAATGAGACATGTCTTGAATAATATCGGATTTTAGAAGACAAAGACAAAACCTCTGTCCAAAATATTGTAAAAAGATCATTTGAACCCGGATTTACATACAAGGACAAACCAGAATCATAAGGGAGGCCAGAATACATGTTTAGATATGCAGAGTCTTATAATATTAACCTCCCATACACTCTTTCTAAGGAATTCGTTGTGAGTGTACTCAAGCAAAATGGAGGTAAAACCAAATAAAAGAAGCATACAGGACAAAGAAATGGTGGGGCTAGCCTAGCAGTGCAGTACAATGAAACACAGAGGTTTTCAATTTTTCAAAGGTGATCAGTGGAACGAGTAGGATGTTTTGGATGATATGAAAGACGTTCACTCTCTAGACTCTGTCAGTCTGACCTTCCTTCCCATTCCGTGCCTCACCTTTTTGGGAGGAGTGTCCATGCCTTTCCTCAAGTCTCCACTGCATTTTACACATTTTTTTTTTATTGTAAGTCACATCACAGTGTGTTGCCATTAGTTGTTTTCCATTTCCCTGAGCAGGTGATGATATTAACTTGTACATGTATTTGTTCCACAACCATTTGTTGTGTACTTTTGAGCAAACAGTTTTTATATTGCTTCTTTAGCATCTTTTCTCATTTTTCTGGCTATAGTAATTCAATTATTCTGTGGGAACCATTCCCCTCCCATTCTCAGTCTATGTGGTTTAGATGGGACTACCACTAAGCCTTGGCTTTAAGTGGTGGTTTGGCCACATGGCTCAAAACTCATTCATGAAAACAATACATCCCATGTCCAGGGTGAATGATGCTAGTGGGGAGGATGTGCCCCATGCTAGTGATATCAGAGCCAAGGAACATTAGCTCTGAAACTTTTTGCTCTTGGAGTTACTAACCTAGTAGATGTAAACCTGGATGATGTAAACCAGTGGGTTATCACTGACACCTCATGAAAATGAAGTCAGTACAGAAGAAAGCAAACATACAGAGACAGTGTCCTGACAATGTTACTTGAAGTTCTGAATCTGGTTGTGCTTGAATATGTACCCTCAGATTTTTCCAGTTCTCTAAGTCAATACATTGCCTTATTTTACTTGTCAGTTTGAACTGCAACCAAATGAGTACTAATATTCTAATACTCTTTTTTCATGTACGAGGAACTCTGATAGGCTCTAAGTATACAAAGATGCAACCACCCTTGCATCTGAACAACACATGTCCTTACCCTGGGTCCTGTGCTGTAGAGATAGCTGCATATCACAAACACTATAAAGGAAATTCAAGTTTACTGAAGAACACATGGGTGTCTGTTACTCAAGCTCTGATGCTTAGCATTGGCTCAGAATAATTTATAACCCTAAATACCCACTCTCATGACCAAGTCCTTCAGGTCCTGGAGAAATGCATTTTCTGTTTCTTGCCCTTACGTCCTTGAAAGAAGAGGTGACTGTGTCCAGTGCCAAGTAGGATTGTGGGCTGTGTCACTGCTAATGACAGAGAGGAACAGGTGTTCAGAGCACAGGGAGGATCTGAATGTCACTCAGCACAGATTAAGCTGTGGATTCCTTTCTTTCAGATAGCATGAACACTATATATTTTTGCATCCCAGTAGTGCTGAGTGTCCCTTTCTTACATTTCTATGTGTTTGACAATGTTGTTCCAGAGACACTCATCAATTAGCACAATATTTGCAACAGTTTAATATGGTAGTTGAGAAGCATTTTTTAATATTAAATAATTTATATTTATTTCACATTTGCATATATGTTGATCTAAATGTAATATGTGTGAAAATTAATATTAATTCTTTACATTGCAGAGAGAAGAATCTTGAACACTAAAATTGAAATGGTTTTTAAAAATATTAAATGGTATGTAATTAAAATTTTAAAACAGAAATTGAATTTCAGGTTTTAAAAATAATTGTATTTAAAATTCTGATATTTATGAATCATATTTTATAATTTTGAATAATGTAATAACATTTTTGAAAACAAAATAATTATGATTTTATTTTTATTTTTCTGAAATACATTACATTGTTGTAAAAACATTCTAATTATACTTTGCATTTACCTTTGTTTTATTCCTTTAGATCATTCCTTTTAATATAATACAAATTACTTAAAAATATTGATTACAACAACATAATTAGTGATTTTGCTAAAATAAAGGCAAGAAAAATAAATTTAATGGAATAAATAGACAATAATTTATGAATTATGTGTCTGTATTACTCATCCAAACAGCAGCAGCCCATTGACAGAAAACCTAGACATATGCAAAAAAATAATTAAATCCAGTCATCTTTGATATCTGCTGTCTTCCAGTCATACAGAAACCATAGCTTACCATGTATTTATCATTTTGTTTTTATGAAAATATATTGGCAAGGTAGAAGGAAAGAGCATATTTTATTGAAAGATCTGATCACTTAATGTATAATTTTAAAATATTTAGATACGTGGCATATGGGCTTCCATTTGGATTCTTGCTTTGGCTCACAAATACTAGGGGTGGGCCTTCCAAGAGACATAACACAGAGTTCCTAGGAATCAGATAAATTCACTTGAACAGCCCACTAAATTTGGCTATGAAAGAAGTATGTGCAAAGTGGTATTAGAGCACAAGGAAGTATTATATCCTATTCACCTTTGTATATCTAATACAAACAGTCTGTAGATATTTGGGGAATTAATAAATAAATGAATGCAGGCAGATATGAGATACTTATAAATACAATCAATAACAAAGCAACAAACATAATCATGTGTCCTTTAATGACAGGGACACTTTCTGAGACATGCTTTGTTAGGTGATTTTTGTCACTGTGTGAACATCATAGAATATACTTACACAAACCTAGACGCTATAGCTTGGTTTTTAATTTTTATAGCTTAGATTTTTATTCCTTTAGATCTATACAAAGTAAAAGACCTAGGCTATATGGGATAGCCTATTGCTTTTTGGCCACAAATCTGTACATTAGGTTACTGTATATTGAATACTGTAGGCAATTTGCAGCACAATGGCAACTATTTGTGTATCTAAACATAGAAAAAGTAATGCATTGTGCTACAATCTTATAACAGCTATGACATCACTAGGTGATAGGAATTTTTCAGCTCCATTATAATCTTATGAGACCACCACTGTATAAGTGATCCATCATTGATAGAAACATCATTATGTGGTGCATGACTGTATTAGAAACAGATTGTAAAAAGCCATAAAAGAGCAGAGCAACAGACAGTGTCAGGCACTTGTGTTAACACAGTTATTACATTAATAGAGTTGCAAAAAAAATCAGTTAATAGGGTTATAACAAAGAAAACCATAGTTATTACAGAAAATACTCTGAGTTTCTAGGATTTTTTCATTAAAAGTTCCATTGACCTTCAAGGTCATATTAAAATAGCATCAGGAAAAATTAGAATTATGAAAAGGAATGCTAGCTAAAATATTCTGTAATCCTATGATGCCACTCTTAAGAAAGTTTTATATCTTAAGGCTGAATATCATTTTTCACTATAGTCTTTTCAGCAAATTTACTCTGCAATAAAAATGTGAAGTAGAAACATTACTACAAATTTTGTCTAAGGAAGCAGTAATGGTGCTCTAGGTCTTTAAAAGAATATTGATTTTTAGTATACTTTCTCATTTCTTTGTGAATAGGACTGGTCTTATCTTTCCTTTTACCTCTACAGGAAAGAGAAACATTTGCAAAATCAGGTATTTCTACCTTTGGACTGACAGAAGATAAATGTGGAATGAATATGTGAGCAATGGACCCCTCAAAATAACAATGAAGTGATGTTGCCTGAATTGTACTTTATGTCATCTCTGTGGATTTAATAATTGATATTTCCCCCAATTATCATAGAAGCTAGATTAGATTCCTTGAGCAGAAGTATAACTTGCTGATGTGTTTGCATATATGTGTGCACACATGTGCATGTGTTTTGGGGATAAACCTCAACCCTGGCTACATTTTAAATTCACTTGAGAAGCCTTCAATAAATATCAATGCCATGTCCACTACTCCAAAGATTAAAGAGAGACAAGAACTGCAGCATTCAGTATAGAGGAATTATCAGTTCTAACTACTTAACACCCACATGAGATGTTAAACAGGATGAGCTTTGAGGCCATTCTGATCTTAACTGAAATGTTCTTAGAAGAAACACTGAATAAACGACAGAATCTCCAAAGAAGATGTTTTATGCAGGCAGCATGCAAAGAGAGCAGATCTTCTCCTAGGACAGTCTGCCCCGCTAAACTCCAGAAAATTAGAAAAGAGGTCCTTAAATGCTTGTTCTCAGGGTACAAGTTGTTCAACTCTGGACTGTCACAGGTCAGAAACCCTATCGTTTTTATCCTTGCATCATCAGCAGCTACCACGGTGCAAAGAACACTTGCTTAATAAAAAATGAAAAATATATGCATAAATGAACAAAATCTGATGTCAAATGATGTTAATAAGGGACTTTTTCTGTCACAGTTTTAGCATGAGGTCTTAAAATATTTGAGGGGGCATGGGTATAAATCACTCACATTTGCTGAAGTGAACTACTAGACCACCTACGCAGATGTACAAAGAAAGTGTTCTAGAACTCTTATCCCAATGAATACTTCATGACCATCAAAGGGTTGAGGTTGAAAAGGTCAAGGAGAGGGTTTCCTTGGAGATAAATGCTGGTATGCTATGAATCCGCCTCCACATCCCACCCCCATTCCCACTACAAGAGAGGGAGAGGGCTTCCCTCATTTCAAGCATAATGATAGAGTCTCAAAAAGAAACGGAGAAAATGACGTGTGTCCTGAGCCAAGGAGACCATTAGAAATCTATATTTGAGAAACTTCCAAAGCCAGAAGTAGTGACTAGAAGCTGTTCAGCCTTCAGGATGCAGCCAAAGGGCCAAGTTGGAAATGCTCTACATTCCCAAAGTCAGGGCGAAGGATGCAAGAATGTTTTCTGTGGTACAATTGGTGCTGCCTTAAGATAATCTGTTATTGTTAGAAGCAATGTCGCTACAACAGAAGGAATCAGGAAAAATACCAGTGGACCCAGAAGTTGAGGAGGGGAGAGTGGCTAGTTTGTAGACAGATAGGTTCCCCCACATTTAGGGAACTTCATATGAGAAATTACTAGTGATGAGGGTTTCATCCAGAAACACCCTCACAGACAGAACCGAAAATAATGTTTAACCAAATATCTGGGCACCCCATGGCCCAGTCAAGTTGAACAGAAAATTAATCATCACAATAAGCATCTCTGGTCACATAGTCAGTTGATGTCCCATGGTCATGCACTTAGTTTCTGTTAGAGTTCAGTAGTATGCCAGGAGCTTATTTTGGAATGATAACTAATTCTCTGATGCAGATGGCATGACTTTGCTCAAAAACTCTATTGAGGCTTTCCAGAGATTCTGCACTGTGTCACATCAAGGTTACCTGTAGCACCACGGGCTATGCTCAAAAGGCATTTTGAACCTATTTTAGAGTATCCTTCTGTTGGGGGCACCCACTGAAAACTGGTAGCCTTCCAAGTTATCTGACAAATAGGATGGAACAGTATTCCCAAGGGAGGTATGTCCTGTATCCAAAGTCCAAAGATGCCTAGCAAGAACTATGAAAGATACAATGACTTGTCTATCTAGGAAGTGCAAGGTACAGTGATTTGCCTTTTACTTAAGAGGAGATGGCTGGGCATGCCCCATTTTGTCAGAGGCTTAGAAACTTCATCAATATGGCAGACTTTTAAAATATTTGTAGGATGTATTTCCTATGGTGTGTCACACATGTGTCTTACCAAGGAAAGCAGTGTACTTGCCATATGCAACTTCTTAGATTTAATTAACATGATGTCAATGATATCAGCCTGATGTTATGTGGAATGTCAAGCTGATCAAAGAAAGTTTGGATTTACTTTGTGACAGAGCAGAAAAGTTAGTATAGCCCTGGGGCAAGAGTCTGAATACATAGTGCTACTGCTATCCATTCAAGGGGATCCTTCCTCCCATTGTAGATTGGAGATAAGACAGTCACCAGATTAATAGCTGCATGTCAAAAGGTTGTGCCAATCTCTTCTAGTAAAGATACTGGCTTCCAGCACAGCAATTGCCATTGAAGCAATTGGTAAGGTTTATAGCAGCTCATAGTTATTGGCTATAATCTATCTTTTTATTGCAAGGACTACACTGATGAATTAAACAAAGATACACTGGGAACCAACATTTCTGTATCCCTTATGTCTTAGTAGATGTTACTAATCTCTACCATTCTACTCAGAATGTGGTCTTACTCCTGATTTACTATCTTATCTAGGGTTGAGGAAAATTTTAGGAGCTTCTAGGCTTTTCCCATCATCATTGCTCTTCCTCAGTAAGTGAATAAATCAATATAAAGCTTCTGCCAGCTGCTAAGTATATCTTTCTTGATTATGTACTCAGGGAATGAGGAAATGACGGAGTGTGTTCATGAATCAGTTGCAACTATGTGACATGGACTTGGGCCTGGACTTAATCTATCACCTTGCCTTTGTAGACTGTAATAGGGAGGAGGAGAGTAGATGGCTGAGAAGTTACAAGGGAAGGTATGTGCAAATCTGTAGGAGGATATGTATTAACTTGAGAGACAGCTACCTTATGTGAAACTCTGCATGTTTTATAGTCATTGAGTAGCTGCTATCTCTACCAGTGGGAACTGGGCTAGTTCTGAAAGCCCAGAGGTTTCCCAGAGGAGAATTTGGGGCTTCAGTGTTCTCAAGGACATCCACATGAATATCAACATTTCTGTTGTTAGAAAATCAAGGATTCTACTCCCTGACTTTGGTGTAGTATACTTGCGGGGATGGTGAATTGAGCCTTATTTACAATGCTACTGCTCTCATAATCAGATTCTGGTCTTAATTTTCAACCCGAGCTACCCTCCATCTACAAGAGATGATAGGCTCTTTTTATTATTATTATTTTTATACTTTAAGTTTTAGAGTACATGTGCACAATGTGCAGGTTAGTTACATATGTATACATGTGCCATGCTGGTGTGCTGCACCCACTAACTCGTCATCTCTCATTAGGTATATCTCCCAATGCCATCCCTCCCCCCTCCCCCCACCCCACAACAGTCCCCAGAGTGTGATGTTTCCCCTCCTGTGTCCATGTGTTCTCATTGTTCAATTCCCACCTATGAGTGAGAATATGCAGTGTTTGGTTTTTTGTTCTTGCGATAGTTTACTGAGAATGATGATTTCCAATTTCATCCATGTGCCTACAAAGGACATGAACTCATCATTTTTTATGGCTGCATAGTATTCCATGGTGTATATGTGCCACATTTTCTTAATCCAGTCTATCATTGTTGGACATTTGGGTTGGTTCCAAGTCTTTGCTATTGTGAATAATGCCGCAATAAACATACGTGTGCATGTGTCTTTATAGCAGCATGATTTATAGTCCTTTGGGTATATACCCAGTAATGGGATGGCTGGGTCAAATGGTATTTCTAGTTCTAGATCCCTGAGGAATCGCCACACTGACTTCCACAATGGTTGAACTAGTTTACAGTCCCACCAACAGTGTAAAAGTGTTCCTATTTCTTCATATCCTCTCCAACACCTGTTGTTTCCTGACTTTTTAATGATTGCCATTCTAACTGGTATGAGATGGTATCTCATTGTGGTTTTGATTTGCATTTCTCTGATGGCCAGTGATGGTGAGCATTTTTTCACGTGTTTTTTGGCTGCATAAATGTCTTCTTTTGAGAAGTGTCTGTTCATGTCTTTCACCCACTTTTTGATGGGGTTGTTTGTTTTTTTCTTGTAAATTTGTTTGAGTTCATTGTAGATTCTGGATATTAGCCCTTTGTCAGATGAGTAGGTTGTGAAAATTTTCTCCCATTTTGTAGGTTGCCTGTTCACTCTGATGGTAGTTTCTTTTGCTGTGCAGAAGCTCTTTAGTTTAATTAGATCCCATTTGTCAATTTTGGCTTTTGTTGCCATTGCTTTTGGTGTTTTAGACATGAAGTCCTTGCCCATGCCTATGTCCTGAATGGTAATGCCTAAGTTTTCTTCTAGGGTTTTTATGGCTTTAGGTCTAACGTTTAAGTCTTTAATCCATCTTGAATTGATTTTTGTGTAAGGTGTAAGGAAGGGATCCAGTTTCAGCTTTCTACATATGGCTAGCCAGTTTTCCCAGCACCATTTATTAAATAGGAAATCCTTTCCCCATTGCTTGTTTTTCTCAGGTTTGTCAAAGATCAGATAGTTGTAGATATGCGGTGTTATTTCTGAGGGCTCTGTTCTGTTCCATTGATCTATATCTCTGTATTGGCACCAGTACCATGTTGTTTTGGTTACTGTAGCCTTGTAGTATAGTTTGAAGTCAGGTAGTGTGATGCCTCCAGCTTTGTTCTTTTGGCTTAGGATTGACTTGGCGATGTGGGCTCTTTTTTGGTTCCATATGAACTTTAAAGTAGTTTTTTCCAATTCTGTGAAGAAAGTCATTGGTAGCTTGATGGGGATGGCATTGAATCTGTAAATTACCTTGGGCAATATGGCCATTTTCACGATATTGATTCTTCCTACCCATGAGCATGGAATGTTCTTCCATTTGTTTGTATCCTCTTTTATTTCCTTGAGCAGTGGTTTGTAGTTCTCCTTGAAGAGGTCCTTCACATCCCTTGTAAGTTGGATTCCTAGGTATTTTATTCTCTTTGAAGCAATTGTGAATGGGAGTTCACTCATGATTTGGCTCTCTGTTTGTCGGTTATTTGTGTATAAGAATGCTTGTGATTTTTGTACATTGATTTTATATCCTGAGACTTTGCTGAAGTTGCTTATCAGCTTAAGGAGATTTTGGGCTGAGACAATGGGGTTTTCTAGATATACAATCATGTCATCTGCAAACAGGGACAATTTGACTTCCTCTTTTCCTAATTGAATACCCTTTATTTCCTTCTCCTGCCTGATCGTCCTGGCCAGAACTTCCATCACTATGTTGAATAGGAGTGGTGAGAGAGGGCATCCCTGTCTTGTGCCAGTTTTCAAAGGGAATGCTTCCAGTTTTTGCCCATTCAGTGTGGTATTGGCTAAAAACTCTCAATAAATTAGGTATTGATGGGACGTATTTCAAAATAATAAGAACTATCTATGACAAGAGATGATAGGCTCTTTAAATCCTGCCTTGAAGTTCTTTCAGCTTTCATACCTTTCCCTGAAACAACTTAGCCTGCCATTTTCTTCCTTCAACACATTAAAGTACTTAAGAAATAAGAGTGCAACTCCATAGTCCTTTTAATTAACATTGCCACATACAGGTATCTCTCAAATTCTAGAGAGAATGCATAAGGCAGTGCGTCCCCTTTGACTGTATCCCATCCTAACCCACCATCAATGAGAATCTTAGTTATTATTATGTTCCAGTGTGCCAGGACAAATCACCATCTCAATTACACCTGGCAGTAGGCTCCTTATTGTCACTAAGTAATGCAATTACAGAATCCTATCCTGAGAATCTACTCCTTTGAATTACTTTGGCATCAACTGTCTTGGTTTGAATGTCCCCAGAAGCACACTCCAGAATAAAGATTCAAAAGCAAACAGTTCATTTGGAGGTGCAGGAAACACTGGTATAGGAGTGGGGAGTAGGAAGTGATACAAAAAAGAGAAAGCAGCCAAGAAAAGGTACATTTTGTAGACAACTTCCATCATGGAAAATTGAAGCTTAATTTCATGAAAAAGAGGAGAGGAAAAGGGGCAGAGAAATCTGAGAAATGGTATAAAACGCAACTCAGATTTATCCCACTTAAGGAACAAGGGAGCTGAGGCACTCATATATCATTTGTCATCAGTCATTGCTTCTGGATGTCCACTCTGCCACTTCTAGCCTGTAGCATATATGGGAAAGGCCTTCTGGGTTTCCGGATAAAGTACTCATGTATGGAGGCACAGCTACTGCAAAGTTTGAAGTTGATTTAAGCACATTAGGTTAAAAAGTTGAAGGACTTTATTATAAATTTGTGGGATCCTGAAACATCTACTACGTATGGTGAGGCTGAAAATGAATCCATGAAAGAAACAGGTTTTATGAAAAATGAAATAGGTATTTTTGATATATGAAGTTTGAGGTACCTCTGGGATTCCTGTAGTTTGGATGTTCATTCCCCCAAACTTCATGTCAAAATGTGACCCTCAGTGTTGGGTAGGGGCTTAATGGGAGGTATTTGGTCATGGAAGCAGATGCCTCATGCCTAGATAAATCCTCTCCTTGGGAGGGAGAAGAGCTAGTCATTATTCTATTAGTTCCCACAAGAGCTGATTGTTAAAAAGAGCCTGGCCCCTCCCAACTCTTGCTTTCTCTCTCACCATATGCTGTCTGTACATGCCAGCTCCTTTTCACCTTCTGCCATGAGTAGAAGCAGCCTGAGGCCCTCGCCAGATGCTAAGTCTTCCAGTCAGCAGAATCATGAGCCAAATAAACCTTTTTTTCTTTATAAATTACCCACATCAGATATTCTTTTATAGCAACACAAATGGTCTAAGATAGTGATATACAAGGGGATACATCTAGAAGCACTTGAGTATTTGTGTTTGGATCTTAGGAGGGAGAAGTAAGCTTTGGAGATATGTGGAAATTTGTGAGGCATTATAATAATAGATGCTTGAAACCACATGTATTAGCCGGTTTTTCCATTGCTATAAAGAAATACCTGAGGCTGGGTAATTATAAAGAAAACATTTAATTGGCTCACGGCTCTGCAGGCTGTACAGGAAACAAGGCACTGCCATCTGCTTGACTTCTGGTGAGTCCTCAGGAGCATTTACCCATGGTGGAAGATGAAGCCAGTATATCACATGGCAAGAGGAGGAGGAAGAGAGAGAAGGAGGAGGTCTCAGACTCTTAAACAACCAGATTGTGTGTGAACTAACTGAGTGAGAACCCACTCATCACCAAGGGGATGGCACTAAGCCATTCATGAGGGCTCTGACCCATATGATCCAATACCTCCCACCAGGCCCCACCTCCAACATTGGGGGTTACATTTCAACCTGAGATTTGGAGGGGACACAGATCCAAACCACACGACCACAATAATGAAAAGGATTAATCAATTCAGAATGGCAGAAGATGGAATGTTGAGAAATGTCTCTATTTAAAGGAAGATGAAAGAGAAGCCAGTGAAAGGAAGGGAGTTAGAAGAAAGGAAGTTGGAAGGAAGGAAGGAAGAAAGGAAGGAAGGAAGGAAGGAAGGAAGGAAGGAAGGAAGGAAAATGCAGGAGAAGAATACATTGGAAATCAGAATAAGTTAAGTTATTTCAATTCAGCAATGTCATGATTTTTTTGATCAGGGTTGTTTCATTTTTCTGTTTCAGTTCACTAAAAATAAGTTAGAATATTAATCTTTATTTCATTTTTACTGCTGTACTTAACTGAACTCCTTGGATTATAATAAAGACTCATAAGTTCTTTGGGCTACCTGCTTATCATTCTTTATTTTTACTACTTGCCAATCACTTGAAAAGATTTCCCTGCTTGAGAAGGGAACAGAAGAGACAACAATCAGTCCTTTATATATCCTTACTCCCTTTGCTGTATCACAAGTTTCTTAGTGAAAAGAACTGTTATGTGAGATACCATAATGCTGAATAAGGTTTTCTTTGAGTCCACAAATAGTGTTGTTGGAAGAAGCGTGGTGAGCAGAAAAGGCAAATTCATAACCATATCCAGAATGAGTGTCTATTTCAGTAAAAAGTCACTGCACAGTCCTCGGTGAAAATGATCCAACATAACCAGTTACACTTCGATTGAAAGAACAGGCAAGACAGAACTTACAGGGTTTTCTGTTTCCCGAATTTCTTCTGCATGAGGCATCTCTACATGTTCAAGTAAATCCCTAGATTGATACAGTTACATTTAATTGGAATCTCTTTTATTACCTTCTGGCTTGGCCAGAGAACCCCTTGAAGCATGGATTGGAGTTCCTTGGCATGGGAGACAGTGGAGAAAGGCTCTCCAACCTTGAGAAAGTTTGAAACCTTGGATCTGAGAGAGCCTTACTGAGGTGAAATAATTTCTTCATTTAGCTTAAGAAGCCCTGGCAGTTCCTGTTTCCCAGCAGGCAAAAGCAGAATGACCAATTCTGAACAGCATCTCTACTGAGAGCATTTTAATCAGCCAGAATGAATACAGAGCAGCTGGCTCACCACCAAAAATTCGCAGACATGTTTGCACTCAATTGGAAAACAGTAAACATCAGGCATAAGGCCAGATCCATTTGGTATATTAATTTCTTCCTCTAAAATAGATCTTAGAAGCAAATTCTTTTTTTTGCTCTCATCCCTCTGTAAGACCACATAAATTTTTATCCCTTTCATCTTAATATCTAGATTAGCAGGACAGAACTAGCTCAAACCCAGCTTATAATTATCAAGATAGTTCTAATATTCTATGGCATTTTTGTATTCAAAACTATAGACCACTTATAGAATAAAGAGAGAAAGGATGGGTGGTAGGAGTCAGCATAGCGGAATCTAGTTTCACCTCTTTACTAATTTCCCTCATTTTAAAGATAATTGGAATCATTCATTTGACTTTGATCATGTGACTAGAATGTAAAGAGATGATAACAGCAAAGCTTATGTATCTAAATATAGGTAGACACTATGGAAGAAATAATTGTTCCAGGGATATTACTATTGTTTAAACATTTTCTAAAAAATCCTTCTTTGGAATAACTCTCAAGCCACTAGGAAACTCAGTCTTCATAGACTTAAGCCACATTTAACAGTAAAATATTTCTCGATTTATTCATCCACTTATATCTAGCTTGACTCTGAAAGACTTCTGGCAATTTTAGCAACTAAAATCCACCCAAAAGGACATTTTTTCATATATAAGGATTCTCAAAGCAATATGTCTATAAAAAGTAGTCCAGATATTATTTCCAAGCATATTTTGACCAATTGTAGTATCATTACAATAAGTATTTAGCCATCTCAAGGAAAAACTTCAAAAAGGCAGTACTCTTTTGGATATAGAAGTTTTCATATGTTTGTTAAAAATTAGTCATATTACTTTGTAATATTCATCGTTTTATAAATTTCACAAGATGGACAATAACTTCCTAATTCATCCCCTCCATGTGGGGTCTTTTTGTAAGCCATAGAATATTGTGTATTGGTAATGATTAAATTCATTTGTAATGGCCTATTTCTCAGCTGTGTTCTCTTCATATCACCTTCTGGTTTCGTTTCATTCAATTATGTTTATTACTAAAGTGTGCTCCTTGAAACACTAGGTCCATAAGATCAAGCATAAGTTCTGTAATGAAATACACTTAAGAAATGTAGCTACTATATTCCCTCTTGGATTTTTGCAATGCGTATAAACACACCAACAGTGCCCCAGGGCTCAGTTCTAGCTGAACCTACTTCCCTGGGAGCTACATCAAGACTCAGGCTTTTTTCCCACACTCCTCTCCTCTCCTGGTTCTCCCCATCTCAGTTAATCTCAGGCAACATTATCCTTCCAGTTGCTCTAGCTAAAGTCCTTGGAGTCATCCTTAACTCCCCGTTTTTCTTACAACAATATCCAATCCCTCAAGAAATCCTGTGGGCTATAATTTAAAAATAAAATTGTGTCACCTCTTTAACACCTCCACCACAATCACTTTGGTTCAGTTATCACCATCTGTATTAGCTGGTTTTCACACTGCAGATAAAGACATATCCGAGACTGGGTAATTTATAAAGAAAAAGAGGTTTAATGGACTCACTGTGCCACATGGCTTGGAGAGGCCTCACAATCATGGTGGAAGGTGGAAGGGATATCTTACATGGTGGCAGACAAGAAAAAATGAGAGCCAAGAAAGAGGCAAAACCCCTTATAAAATCATCAGATCTGGTGAGACATATTCACCACCATGGGAACAGTATGGGGGAACTTCCCCTATGATCCAGCTATCTCCCACCACGTCCCTCCCACAACATGTGGAAAATACAGGAGCTACAATTGAAGGTGAGATTTGGGTGGGGACACAGCAAAACCATAGCACCATCTCTCTTTTAAATTACTACACCAGTCTCCAACTGGCTTCTCTACTTTTGCCCCTACTCTCCTTTAGTCTACTGTTAATATAACAGCTTGAATAGGTCACTTCTCTGCCCAAGCCCCACCAATGGGTCCCTAAGTCAGTGTACTAGTCCATTCTTGCATTGCTATAAAGAAGTATCTGACAGTGAGTAATTTATAAAGAAAAGAGGTTTAATTGGCTCACAGTTCTATAAGCTGTACAGGAAGCATGGCACTGGCATCTGCTTGGCTTATGGGGAGGCCTCATGGAGCTTTTACTCATGGCAGAAAGTGAAGCAGGAGTAGGTACATCACATGACTAAAGCAGGAGCAAGAGGGAGAGGAGGTGCCACACACGCTACAGGATCGATTCTCAGGAGAACTCACTCACTATGGTGAGGATAGCACCAACCCATGAGGGATCCACCCCCATGACCAAAACACCTCCCACCAGGCTCCATCTCCAACACTGGGGATTACAATGCAACATGAGATTTGGGAAGGGACAAATATCCAAGCTCTATCAGTCATCACAAAAGCCAAAGTTCTAATCAAAGCCTTCAAAGTCGTATGTAATCTGTTTTTCAGCTCTCAGACCCTGCCTCCTTTCTGTATACCATTGTTCTTATCTCCTTTCCTATCTCCCCACAGCCCACCCCAAGATTAATCCACTCTAATTATACCAGCTTTCTTGCTATTCCTGGAACATACCACGCATACTCAGGGCTTTTATATTTACTCTTTCCTTAAACATCCCTTCTCCAGATATTTGCATGGCTCACTTCCCCATTTCCTTGAGGTTTCTACACAAACGTCGCCTTATCAAATAAGCCCTCCCTGACCACCACCCTATGCAATCACTCCTTCCACTTCCCCATCCAGGACTTTCACTCTATTTCTTTATCCTGCTTTGTTTCTCCTCATGGCACTATCACCACCCAACACATCATATATTTACCTACTCTTTTCTTGTCTCTTTCCTGCTATAATGTAAACTCCATGAAAGCAGAGTGTATCATTGCCTTCACCTGACTTTCCAGTGTCTTAATGGTGGCTAGCATAGGGAGTACTCAATAATTATTTGTTGGATAAACAAATGTATGTGCATTTCTGAGAAACCATGCAGTAAAGAAAGCTGTTTAATTATCATTCCCAAACATGTGTATCTACAAAACCACATTTCAAAACATAATACTGAGTAACATCTCACTGAATACATTTTGGAATTCCATGGATGTAAGGTGCAGTCCTAACTTACATGTGCTTTCAGCCTAGTTGGGGAGAAACATAAACAAATAATTCAATGTAACTTGATAAGTGATAAAAATAGGTGTATATGAGGGATGCTATAACAGGACAGGATAAGGCCATTTTATCTAAACAGGGGCCTCTGGGAAGGCAGCTTCCAGGAAGAAATTCCTGATTGTGCTACTACAAAATATGCTTTTGTAACTTTGGCCATTATATAGATCTGCCAGTCATTTTAAGTTAATAGCGTTCACTGATGTTTTATGGAGTAGAATAAGACTTCCTACTCTTGATTTTAAAAAAAAATGGAAAACAGAAAAATCATAATTTAGGAGCCCCTTTGATAAAAGCAAGATCAAGGAGAAGACCAATGTTATTTAGTCCAATAATGCCGAGGGTGATTATTTTGTAAGAAGAAGTTCAAAGAAATGTTAATAAGGGGTTATACATTAATAAGGGGTTATATTTGAGACATGATGTTTTTGTCACTAGGAAAAAAATTACATTTGCTCTAATGAGGTACACTCTGCCCTTGGGTAACTCAGGAAGAAATGAGCTGTGGCTGCCACTGGTGAAATTAGGATACCCCTCAACTTCCTTTCACTCTGCGTAGTGGAGCACATGTCCTTGTCTCTCCCTCCCACACTCATATCCAGCAAAGCCTGAGTAGAAGAAATCTCTCAGCATCCAGAGTCTGAGGGACAAGAATTTTCAAGACAAAAGAAGAGTCTTAGGTCTATGATGTCTTCCCAGTATAGAAAGGGATGGAATTTTCCAAGGGGGGCAGATAGAGAAAATAGATAGTAGGGAGAGTGTGCTGAATGAAGGCTGCAGGAAGAGAAAGAAAAAATAAAATAAAAAGGAATATGGAGGGAGTGATCATTGAACAACCTCCAAAGACATAATTTGGAGGCTTCTCTTTTTCTTAACATTACTTCCACAGGGAATTGGGGATTCCACTCCACAAGTTAATTGAATCAAGACACAACTCCTGATCTTCATCCTCTATACTGATTACAATATTCTAGTAGACATTTATCTTTATTCCCACTGGCACCTCCAAACTCTTCTCATTTTAGAAAACTTCCCAATTGTATGAAACTTTGTGAAAGTGCAATTAAAGAAGCCAAGAGCAACCCAAGACCACCTCTCCCTACTTTCAGACGTGAAGGCATGGTCACTGACCAGACTCAGCCAATCAGACTCTCTCACTTGGATCTTTCAGTTTTAGCAACAAATGCAAAAATAAAACAGTAATAAACATTGTTTTAAACTGTATTTTTATCTGGCATACAGTAAATTTCATTCATTTTATAGTACAGTTTCTGTAATTCTCATGAATGGATAGAGTCATGTACCTATGAGCACAAATATGATAGAACAGTACTTTTGACTCCCAAAATTCTTTTGTGTTGTACCTTTGTAGTCAAACCCTACCCCCTGGCAGCCACTGATGTGTTCTCTGTCCTTACAGTTTTGTTTTTCCAGAATGTTATACGAATGAAATCATAAAATAGGTAGCCTTCGAGTCTACCTTGTTTTGCTTAGGTTAATACATTTGAGATTCACCTATTTTGTTAGATGTTTTGACAGTGTTATCACTGTGCCATATTTCATTGTTATTCATACGGTAATGCAAAGGACCCGGAATAGTTAAAACAATTTCAAAAAAGGAGAACAAAATTGGAAGACTTGCATGATCTGACTTCAAGATTTACTAGAAAGCTACAATAATAAAAACAATGTGGAATTGGTGAACAGATAGTCATGTAAACCCATGGAACTGACTAGAGAGTTCAGAAATTAAGTCACAGAAATATGATCAAATGATTTTTGACAAAAATGCAAGCAAAGGTAATTCAATGGAAAATGATGATCTTTTCCAAAAATGATGCTAAAACATTTGGATATTCATATGCAAAAACATAAAATTCTTACATATACATCACACTGTATTCTGCTAATATCTGTAGGTTCTGTAGTGGTATTTCCTCTTTCATTCCTGATGTTTGCAGTATGTGTCTTCTATTTTTTTCTTGGTCAATCCAGGTAGAGACTCATCAATTCTTTCATCTCTACACAGAACCAGGTTTTAGTTTCATTGATTTTATTGTTTGTAATTTTGATTTCTTTTCTTAATTTGCATTTTCCTCCTTGCTTTGAATTTCATTTTTTTCTAACTTATGTATGTGGAAGCTTTGGTTATTAATTTGAGATCTTTCTTTTTTCTAACATAAGCATTTAATACTATAAATTTCATTATCAGCACTGCCTTTCCTGCCTCCCATAAATTTTGATATGTTTTGTTTTCTTTTTTGCTTTATTCAAAATACACTCTAATTTCCCCCATTACATTCTTTTGACCCATTAATTATTCAGAAGTCTGTTATTTAATTTCCAAATATCTAGTGATTTTTCTAGGTATCTTTCCGTTATTGGTTTTTAAATATAATTTCATTAAGCCTAGAGAACATACTCGTATGATTTTAATTCTTTAATTTGTCAAGGTTTGTTCTATGGTCTAAGCTATAATCTATCTTGGTGAATGTTCCATGTGCACTTAAAAATAATGTATATTTTGGGCAGGCATGGTGGTTCATGTCTGTAATCCCAGCACTTTGGGAGGCTGAGGTGGGCAGATTGCTTGAGCCTAGGAGTTTGAGACCAGCCTGAGCAACATGGTGAAACCCTGTCTCTACCAAAAAAAATAATAATAATAATTAGCTTGGTGTGGTGGCATGCACCTGTAGTCCCAACTACTTGGGAGGCTGAGGTGGGAGGATCACTTGAGCCTGGGAGGCAGAGATTGCAGTGAGCCATGATTGTGTCATTGCACTCTGGATGACAGAGTGAGACTCTGTGTCAAAAAAAAAGAGAGAGAGAAAAATAATAATGTATATTTTATGGTAATTCCATGAAACTTTCTATAAATATTAATTATTTCAAATTGATTGTCTTGTTCAGGTCTTCAGATACTATATTTTTCAGTTCTAAAATTTCCATTTGTTTCTTTTATGTAACTTCTACCTCTCTACTGGGAACTTGTATCTTCTTACCCATTTTAAGAGTGTTCACCATGACTTTATGTAGCATGGTTATTTTAGCTGCTTTAAGTCTGTTTCTGATCATTCCAACATCTGGGGCATCTCAGTGTTGCCCTCTGTTAATTCTGTTGATTATTATTTCCTGGATTTTTGTGTGGGTTTTTTTTCACACATTGGTCAGATGTTTTGATTCTCCTCACAGTCTTTGAGCAACAGGGACCCCTTTTTCCAGTTTTTTTAGCCAAGACAGTCCATCTTTTTTGGGGGTTTTAGGTGCCTGCACCAAATGGTGGAAGTGTAGTGTCACAGCTGGGGCTGGCCCTGGGTCAGGGCTGGGAGAGAAAAAACATAAAAACTGTAAAAGAAATGGGTACTTTTCTCCTGCCACACTCTCCGGAAAGCAAGAGTCCCTTTTCCTGTGCTCTGCTAGAAAGAGATGATTTCTGCCAGAGTTCTTCTGTCAGCACTTGCTGACAGTTAGCATATATTAGCCTGTCCTTAGTTCAAACCCAGGTGTCAAAGGAGAAAAAAATCCATGAAACCCTTCTCCACTATAGGTTGTTAATCAAGTTTTTACTTTAATTTCCAATTCTTGTATTATTGTTTGCTTGTCACAGTCCTCAGGTAGTTGCTTTTTGTATTCTATCCAGAGCTTTAGTTATAACTAGGGGGAGAGATAGGCTGTAGTCTGTATACTCCATCTTGGTGAGCACAGGAATTTTTGTAATAAAAATTTTTTACCCAATGAATAGAATTAATTTAATTAGCTTGCTAACATGCATATATATCAATCAAGAAATTAGTAATGACTTGATTATTAAATATTAATTTTTCAGGATTAGGCCAAAAAGACAACATGAGGTAAGTTATGCTACATTCATAAAGCCACAAAAGTGGGTGTGGGCAAACCACTGAAGTAAGTAGGTAAGCAGTTTCCAAGTTCTTAGTCAACATCATAGAATTGGTTCTCTTGAGCAGGCATGGTGACACACTCCTGCAGTCCTAGCTACTCAGGAGGCTGAGGTGGGAGGATTTCTTGAGCCCAGGATTTTGAGGTTATAGTGAGCTATGGTAGTGCCACTGCACTACAGCCTGGGAAACAGAGCAAGACCCTGTCTCTTAAAAAAATAGAATTAGTTATCTTTGTTTTCTTGCTTATTTTGTTTTGCAATAATTCATGCTTTATACCTTTTAGTGTATAAAAACATGGATACACTTCTGCTCAAATAAATTAATTCTCCCAACTCCACAGACTATTCTGGCAGTAATAAGTTCTGTTGCCAAAGGAAATATGGAAGGGTGAGGATACACATCAGGAGAGGGACGGAGAAAGCATCTAATACATATCAGTAGAGTCCTGGCACCTCCAAGTGAGTCTTTGGCAGAAAAGGAGGCCCTGAGCATGGTGTTAGAGAGGGAAAAGACTGTCTAGACCTCACTTGTTTCCACATTTTAGGACAATAAAACTAAAGTCAAGAGAGGTGAAGTGTTTTGTTCAAGGTCAACCATCTATCTCCTTATTGCTCACGTTTCAAAATTTAGCATAGCAGTTACAGATGGGGCAGTTCATTTTGAGAAACATGGCTTTGTGATTTGGGAGCTCATAGATTAAAAGTCTTGTTGAGCAAACAGGATAGAGAAATCAAAGATGAAAAATACTAGAGCTAGAAGAAAAAGATAAAGAGTAAGCTGAAGAAGAGAACATTGTGTTCTGAGAAAAAGAAGGGGCAAAAGGCACAGAAAAGCAGAAAAGACATGTCTTCATGGCAGCATTATTTTAAGTTCCATGGCCAATGTTATTGGGAAAAAAATGTTTGCCATTCAGGAGAAAAACTACATAAGACTAATAACCATCAGTACTTGTACCCATTTAAAAGCCAGTTGCCAGTTTAAACAGTATCTAATTTATTTCTCTTCCAAGCAATAGCGTGAGCTTGAGACCTCTTCACCCACACTCCCATGAATTATTAGTTAGACCCTGTTCCTGAAGGACCCCACTCTTTGTTATCTTTCACTTTAGAATGTGATCTTGCTTTCTCAGAGAGTGCTTAATGCTACACTAATGGCCACTTTCAGACCCAGCTCTGTGCAGACACAGCTGAGTTCTCTGTCCCAAGTCAGGCATTTGCTTATTTATTTGTTTGTTTTTGTTTTAATGAGATAGGGTCTGACTATGTTGCTCAGGCTGGTCTCCAGCTTCTAGGCTCGGTAATCCTCCAGACTCAGCCTCCCTAGTAGTTGGGATTACAGACATGCACTATCGCATGTGGCTCCAAATGAGGTTTCTTAATTCGATTAACACAGTGTCAACCTTAACAAATGAATCTTCCTTTAATCCAAAACCCTAAAACTAGTGAAGGAATAACAGTAAATTGATAAACTAATTCATGTTAAGAAGTTACTGACGGAAGCACTTTTCCCAAGATAGTTGAGTTTGAACAGGGAACTCAAGATGATATAATGATTTGATCCCTAGGAATAAATTATGAATGGTAGGAATGTCTGCATATTGTATATCATTTAGGACACAGATTCGAGTCTAGCTGTAGAAAAGGCCAAAGGAACAATAGCTTACATAAGTTCATTTATTTTTCTCTCATATAACTGACAGGGAGGCAGCCTAGGCTGATTGATAGAACTGCTCCACAGTGCTGGACACCCCAGTCTTTTCTGTTTCCTGGTTCCACCACGCTCATCCCAGTTTCTGTCTCATGGTCTAACATGGCTCCAGCTCTAGCCATCACGTCTTCCCACCAGTCAAAAGTCTGGGCCTCTGGAACATCTGATCAACCAACTAAAGGTTGTGGTTTCCATGACCCTCTCTTTGAGTTCAATTAATTTTCTAGAGGAGCTTATAGAACTCAGGGAAACCCTTACTTATGTTTACCAGTTTATTACAAAGGATATTTTAAAGAATACAAACAAACAACTGGATGAAGAGATACATAGGGCGAGATCTAGAAGGATCCCAGACATAGGAGCTTCGGTCCCCATGGAGCTGGCACCCTCCCAGCACATGGATAAGTTCTTGTTCACCCTCCTGCAAACCTCCATGTGTTCATCTGTCCAGAACTCTCTTAACCTTGTCCTCTTGGGCCTTTTATAGAGAATTCATTGGATAGACATGATTGACAACCATGTAGAAATGTGATTGGACAAAAAGGATATGAGCTAATACTATAGGCTAAGTTGGGGAACTCACCAAAGCCTATCTGTTCAGATTCTTCCTGGCCTCTCTGTGCAGCATTCCTTTCTCCAGGGTATGGGTAGGACCCCATCTGAAATGAAGGTCTTATGACCTACAATCAGACAAGGTAGGTCAGAGAATTTATTTATGTCCAGCTCCAAGGTAGAAAGGCCCAAAAAGATTCCTACCTTGGAGAAAGAAAGGAGGTAAAGGAAGGCAGGAGAAGGTCAGAGAGATTCTGCTTCCTGAGGCCTGCCTCTGAGGCCTAAAGTGCCCCAACATTATAACAAAAGACAATAACAAGGGTTATAGGAATTATGAGCCAGGAGCTGTGGATGAAAACCAATGTATGTATCATAATATCATAGGTATTTTAGCTGGACAGCCATATACCTACCTTAAATTTCTATTACTAGAATTAAAAATGAGAACATCTATAAGGAATAAAACTGTCAGAGTCTGCCACAGTAATTTTGATAAGGGGGATTTTTTTGTACATCCTTCAAATACCTGGTGGCTATCTTATAACAAGCATATGTTGAATAGAAAGGCACTGGGCTTTATATTATAATGTAGATATTGGCTATAGAAGATGTTTAAAGTAACATTTTAAAGCCAATATCTGTTTTAGAAGTTGTAGATAAATCGAGCTTTTGATTAAGAATTCTATCTTAAACCATGAATGGCAGTATTTTCAGTTTATTAAAGACGCAACCAATTTTTGTTTATTTAGATTTAAGTGAGCGAGAAGTAATGATGAAAGAGGAGATGAGCTTCTTTTTTCTTTATTTTTTCTAATAAAACTGAAGCTGGTATTGCACCAACTGAAAGGTTCTCTGGGTTCAAAGCAACCTGAGACATCACTTACAGAATGATCATTCATGAAGAAATTTGCATAATGTATGAAATTCCAAGAAAAAGCCATTGAGCTCTTTAGCTTATAAACTTTAACAGCTAATAAAATCTGCTGAAAAATAAATTATTTCCCTTAATTCACCAAACCAATAAATTAAGTTTTACATGTGGGTAGATAACCTTATAAAGAGCTTTAGGATCCTAGGCAAGTGGTGAAGCAAGCGCAAAATTACACTTTAAATACACACTTTAGATAATATATTCTTATGACCTAAGGGTTATCTACTTCATTTATAAAGTAACCAAAGATTAAGAATCTCTTGCACTTTAAGTCCCTCCAACCATTAACCTTCCAATCTTGTTTTCTCATCATGAAACAGTGTTGTAACTACTGTTAGGATCATTTGCCCTTTCCCCTAATTCTCTTTCATCGATTTGGTACAAGTCAACTCTAATAGCCAGGAGGACAGTCACACTCTGGAGTAAGAAACACACCCATTAAGAAGTAAATCAAGTGTGACAGAGACTCCTGTCTACAGGATATTAGAGTCTTTGTGAATTGTGCCTGGCCTGCAAATTTTCTTGTAAACCAAGAGAACCATTAACCAGTGGGAAACAATTTTATTCCCATCAAAACAAAGGCATCAAATATTAAGAACAAAACCTGACTGCACAGGCGAGTGAAAAATGCCAATTATCACTTCAATTCTTTTTTCTTTTTTTTTTGAGACAGAGTCTGGCTCTGTCATCGAGGCTGAAGTGCAGTGGCACAATCGGCTGAAGTGCAGTGGCATAATCTCAGCTTACTGCAACCTCTGCCTCCCATGCCCAAGTGATCCTCCCACATCAGCCTCCCAAGTAGCCCGGACTACAGGTGAACACCATCGTGCCTGGCTAATTTTTGTATTTTTTGTAGAGATGAGGTTTTGCCATGTTGCCTAGGCTCAATTTTGTTTGTTAAATAAACATAAAATGCCCATTGTATACTAAGCATAGTGCTTGTACTGGAATTACACGGATTAAAAAGCAAGGTTTCTCTCTTCAGGAAGCTGACAGTCTTGTGGTGGAGACACTCCTGCACATATAATTTCAACATGGAATGATAGTCGCAGGAATGAGGTTCAGTTCTCAGGACGATGGAAGGAGATCTTGGGTAGAACTGAAGGCGGGGCAAGGGAAGGGTTGCTGGAAAGGATGCAACTGAGCCAGACTTGAACTAACCAACAAAGGAAGCCAGGTGAAGATGGGGAGGAGAGAGGTTCTAGGTAGAAGGAACAGGTGAGTGAAGGCACAGGGACTGTAATAAACATTGTATGTGCTGTGTGGGATGCCAGAGCAGGGCAGAGGGCAGGGTTGGAAAGGGTAGATTTGGGAGTCAACTGCATTTCAAGTCATGTGATGCTTCTGGGTTCTAATTTCACCTGACCTGACTAAAATTATCGCACAATTAGACGGAGAGAAGGGGGTTGGGAAGTGTGACTGTGCAGTGAGGTTAAGGAAATGCACAACCTTGAATTTCCCCAGTTGGAGGTTCAATAGACAATGTCTGCTTTGGACCGAATTGTGTCCCCCTACCCCGCAAAAAAATTCATATTTTGAAGCCCTAACACTATGATGGTATTTGGAAGTGGGGCCTCTGGGAGGTAATTAGGTTTAGATTAGGTCCTAAGGATGGGGCCCTGGTCTGATGACTTTAGTGTCCTTATAAGAACTGAAATCAGAGAGATTCCTCTGTCTCTCCCTCTCCCCTGTCTGCCATGGGAGGACATAGAAAGAAAGTGGCCCTCTACACTCCAGGAAGCCGACCCTCACCAGGAACTGAATCTGCTAGCAACTTGATCTGGACTTCTCAGCCTCCAGAACTATGAGAAATAAACACCTGTTGCTTAAACTACCCAGCCTATGGTATGTTGTTACAGCAGCCCAAGCAGACAAATATATATCAAAAGCTGAAAAACCAGGAGGCTGGGGCTGGAGTATATGGTACATTGAGTGCTGGCCCTGGCAATAATGGTGAAGGGTCTGGAAGTATGATTTTGCACTTCATGCTCTGGAGGCCCTCCCATCTTTCCTGTTTAAATGATAGCCTAGTGACAAATGATATTAACTTGTACAAGACATTCCCCTGCCTCTCCCCAGGGTTATGAACCATTTTGCCATTGTTGTAATTCCACCCTTTACCACCCCCAAATCAAGAAAGGAAGTGAGTACTGTTACTCTAGGGAGCTCACAAAATCCACTGTGATTTATATTAAAAGAGTGAAGGTATTATAAACTTTGGTCCTCAAGTTAGAAACATGTTACTTTTTTGGTAAAAGATATATTGAAATATACATATAGAAAAGGACACTAATCGTAAGCATACAGGTTGTCAAATTATCAAAACTAAAAATATACGTGTTACCAGATCAAGAAACAGAATATTAGCAGTGCCCCAGACCCCGCTACACTCCCTTCCTGTCACCACCTCTGCCAATGACAATTACTGCCCTGAGCTCTGGTACCACTGATTCATTTTGCCTGTTTTTCGAACTTTATATAAATGAAATCATATGGTATGTATCTTTGATGTTTAGCTTTTTTAGCTCAACATTTTAAGATATTCATTCATATTATTCCGTGTAGTCGTGTTTGTAAAACCCCATTGCCAGAAGGTGTTCCATTTTATGATTAAACCACAATTTATTTACCCATTCTACCACTGATGGGCATTTGCATTGTTTCCACTTTATCAGTATTATGAATGGCACCACTATGAGCATTCTTGTGCATGTCTTTTGGTGAACACATGTATGCACTTCTATTGAGCATATACAGGCAGTTCTCATCTTGCATAGTACCAAAATGCACAAATTTCATTTACCACAGTGTAGTTAGATAACACCAGTCCTCGAGCAACACAGTTTAAATTTCAATTACCACTGTATATAAACTATGAGAAATTGCAGAAAGTACTAACTTTGCCACTAGCCATCCAGTCCACAAATCATTATGTAAATAACAGACGGGCATCATGGTCAGAGACCAATCATGTCTCTTCTTTCAAAGTCTTGGGTATTACACATCTGTTATTCAGTTCACACACAGACAGCAAAACCTATACTTGTGTTGCCTCCTTGTCTCCCAGTGATAAATCCATGAGATTTATCAATTTTTTTATCAATTATCAATTTTATAAAAATTGATAATTAAAAGAAGAAATTGGCCAACAAAGATGAAAACGCAAAAAAAAAGAGATAATGCTAGAGGTGAAATTTAAATTGAACATAAATGAAGTTATAGAAGAATTACAGTTGGTTATGGGAATGTTGATGCTACCACTGACTGGAAGACCCTAGCTGTTGCAGTTAGAGAAATAGTAATGGCACAGTTTTGTTTTGTTTTGTTTTGTTTTTTTGTTTCTTTAGACAGAGTCTCCCTGTGTTGCACAGGCTGGAGTGTGGTGACGTTATCACAGCTCGCTACAGTCTCAACATTCTGGGCTCAAGAAATCCTCCCACTTCTGCCTTCTGAGTAGCTGGGACCACAGGTGTATGCCACAATGCTGGGCTAAGTTATTTATTTATTTATTTATAATAGAGATGGAGTTTTTCTATGTTGCCCAGGCTGGTCTCAAACTCCTGGGCTCAAATGATCCTCCCATCTCAGCCTCCCAAAGTGCTGGGATTCCAAGCATGAGCCACTGTGCCCAGCCAGGGCTCGTTTTTTGACATAAATGATGAAAGTGATTGTGATGAAAAAGATGAAGATGTAAAAGAGGAAGTAATGCTGAGAAAAAATCTTCACAATAAACTCTAAGATATTTCACAAGATTGAAAGCAAAATGGATAAAATGTTGGAAGCTGATCCAAACTTCACAAAGAGTATGACAATTCACTAAGGCATAGAAAAGATGCTTGCTCCATATGGTATGTAATAATATGAGAAGAAGGTAATTATTGTTTAAGCTGTTTGACAATATTTTTACAAAGAAATTAAACACTTTAATTCTCAATGTTTTTAATGTCTTAAATTGCTAAATACAGATTAGTGTTACTATCTTTTAGATTTCTTTATGCCAGTGTGACAGAAAGAGAGGGTTTAACGTTTTGACAAAGTTTTCTAAAGATCACGAGACAACTGCAATTTTCCCATTGATTATTAAGATGGTTTTACACAGTTTCAGCTTGTGTGGCCATTTTTATGTCTCCCACTACTGTGCAAAGCAAGGACTGCTTGTGTTGATAGCATAGTTCTAGATTAAGGTAACGAACATTTGACACACTGCTCAACTGGCAATCAGTTCCTCTCATAAACCTCTGTCCATTGGGTTTGCCGTAAAGACTATGTTCCAATGAGAATCAATAGACCAGTAAGTCAACTTTAGTCCTTATAAGGTATAAAGCAAAATGAAGAGTGAATAATGATTAGACACTGGTTCAAGAATATCTCAATACCAGCTATCCCTTTTCTTTGTTCATAACATATAATGGCTGTCTTTAGCCATATAAACTCAAGCTTCGTCAAAGTAACGCATCTGTTAGCTGTGGCCCACCCCATATGTCACTGTCCACAAACTTCTGCCTAAACAGGCCTTTAGATATAAAATTGGCTGCACTTTAGTAGCCGGAGCTGAACCAGAAACAGTGACTATTTATGGATGAACCTTTACATACTATTAATAGTTGGAAATTAATTTCACAATTCAAAAAGTAAAATATTAAATGGAGTAAACTGACACAATCAAAGTCTTTCTCCAAAGTATTTTCCAGAATTTCCTCAGCCCAAGATGGTAGTGAACCTGTAGAGACATAGACCCAAGGATGATTAAAAACAAGCAAACAAAAAGCAGAGGAGGACAGTCCCCAGAGGAGAATTGTGCAGATGTGTCAGGAGAAATAGATGTCAAAGAACCTGGGCGCTGGAGAGAGAGAGGGAAGACATAGCCTTTGAACTTCCCTACTCCCTTGAGGCCAGATTGCATGAGTTTCCTAAGATTCTCCTACATCCTTTCAATAAACTCCCTTAATTCTACTCATGCTTTTTAAATCAGTTTCTGTTTCATGTAACAAAATATACCCTAATGTCACATCCCAATAATATCTCAATAATTTAGCATAACTTGATGCTACATGAAGCATACATAGAGCTTAAAGTAGACATCTATAATTTAATCTATCAAAAATTTTATAGTTTTGTAGTTATAACTTTTTATTTCTGTTTTAAAATTACAACAGTAACTTATGTGTGGATAGTCAGTGTACAAAATCTAAATGATACAGAAATGAATAGAAAACCTGTAGCTATGAATCCTTTTACTTCCTCACCACAGATTAGTCAATCCTATCCCCTCTCCAGAGGTAAACACTAATAACAATCTCTCTGATCTGTTGCATGCCTCTACATATATGAATGTTACGTACTTCTTAACACAAACAGTATAATACTATATTTATTCGTTCGCAACTTGCTTTTTCAATCATTCGTGTGTCTTAGAGTTCTTGTCAGTACATTTATGTCTTCCTGATGCTTTTCAACAGCTCTATAGTATCTATAGTGTTGATAATTATGCTCTTAATTATACCCATAACTTTTACCCTTTCCCTATTGATGGTTATTTTCAATTTTATACTATTTAAAATTACACTGCAATGATTTGTAAAAAAATCACTGTGCGTGTGACTATTTCTGGAAGGTAGACTCCTAGAAATGGAATTACTGGGTCAACTTTCAGAGCTAATTCCAAGTTACCTTCAAAAGCAGGTACTTATTAACCCTCCTACCTCAATATATAAGAAACCACATTTCTCCTACACACTAACCAACCCCAAATACTAGATATTACCAATCTTTTTATTTAAAAATTAGTAAAATCTTTACCAGCCTAATGGGAGAAAAATGTTTTGTTGTTTTAATTCTTATAATTCATAGAGCAAGCACGTAGTGAATTTTTTATTTTATTTAATTCAATTTTGAATATCTATTTTAGAGCACATAACTTCATATTGGAAAATCAAATATGAAATTTCAATCATGTCTGAGAAAAATCAGTATATAAACTGTAACCATATAGGAAATATATTTTAAAAATAGCAACATTTCTTGTAAGTTAGCAGGTAGTTAAATACATTGGTAGCATTTCTATATATTAATATTTTGTGAGCATATGCTCTTTTCCATGATATAACAAAGGTTAGTGCACAAAATAGAGAAAAAAGGATGATGTAAAATGCAAAAAAAAAAAAAAAGTTAACTTTGCTCAATCTGCTCTTGCCCATGATATCAGCATCAATATGTGCTCACTACTCTTCCTTGACTCTCTATAACCCTGTAGAGGAGAGATTATAAGTGCAAATGGCCCACAGTGATCATGTACCCCCACACACCACCATAGGACAGTAGAACTCAAAAGCGAAATTAATAAGAAGGCAGTGACACAATGGAACTGATTTCTTTAAGGCCTAATCACTCTAACATCCTTTTTCAAAATTTCTTACTGTAAAACAAGGAAAGAAAGAAACCAAAGCTGAATTTAAAACAAACTCTGAGGCCAGGCACGACGGCTAAAGCCTGTAATCCCAGCACTTTGGGAGGCCGAGGCAGGTGGATCACGAGGTCAGAAGTTCGAGACCATTCTGGCCAACGTAGTGAAACCCCGTCTCTACTAAACATAGAAAAAATTAACCAGCTGTGGTGGTGTGCGCCTATAATCCCAGCTACTCAGGAAGCTGAGGCAGGAGAATCATTTGAATCAGGGAGGCAGAGGTTGCAGGGAGCCGAGATCGCGCCATTGCACTCCAGCCCAGCGACAGTGAAAAAAAAAAAAAAAAAGAAAGAAAGAAAAAAAGAAACAACAACTCTGTTTACTACAAAATAAAGCAATGTCATTTGGTCTCAGTGGAGCAAGTTATCCAGTCACAGTCTAATGCAGTGAAGAATTAAGGTGCTCATTGCTCCTGCAATCAGATCATCTGGGTTTGAATCCCAATGTCACCTCTTACCTTGGATAAATCACTTTCAGCTGTCCAAACTCCATAAAATGGAGATGGTAGTAGTAAATTCTCCATATAATAGTTGAGATTAAATGAGAATTGAATGTGATAATCCTTATAAAGTTCTCAGCCTCTGTCTGCTACTACCTAAATGTTAAGTAATAGTGTCTAAATTTCATTGGGTTGAATCTTGATCCTGTTTTACAGGCTGCCTGTGCCCTACAGTGAGAGGGTATCCCCAAAGGGCTATGAAAGTGTAGGGGAACGAGGAGCCTTTCCTGAAGCTAGATACAGTGGTGAAAGCAAAGTTAGTTTTGGTCAGGCAGGCAAGATGAGAATATAAAGCTTGGACAGATGATAGACAGAAAACTGGAGCAGGCTGCTATAGAAGAAAGGGGTAATTAAGACAGGAAAGTGAGGAGGAAGGCATGGCAGCAGTTGGCCTGGAGCCAAGATGGTTCCTGCTGCATGCAGAAGGTACTTACTTGCCTGTGTCAAAACTTCCAGCTGGGCAACTGGCTACGGTGCTACTGGTTATCCACTGATGGTCCTGCCCTAGGGTAGTTCTTCCCAGTCTTTAAAGGAGTCTGGCTCCTTGAATAGCGACTTCAAAGAGAAACAGCCAGGAGACTAAAGAAACTCAGGCCTTTCTTAGGAAGGGGAGAAATTCAGTCCTTTCATTCATTCAGTCAGTATTTATTGAATATCAACTAGGGGACAAGAACGGGGCCAAATGATGAGGATATAATTGATACAAACTGGCAAACAGAACATGAGAAACTCGTCTTTGAGAAGTTTGCTGTCCAGTAGAGGAAGACAAACTTAAACATGTGAGTAAGCAAGTGAATATATAATCACAAATTGCAAGCAGTACTATGAAGAAAAAAATAGGATGCTATATAAGAGAACAGGAGAAAGATTCTTATTTATACTCTTAGGTTGGTGATGATGCGGGGGTAGGGTTAGGAAAGGCTTCTCTGAGGAGGTGACAGTCAAGTTAAGCACTAATGGATAAGGAAGAATTAGATAGAGTTGTAAGAAAAACTCCCATAGAGAGGAAACATCAGTTGCATAGACCCTGAGGTAGGAATGAGCCTAATAGGATCCAGGAACTGCAAATAAACTGCAGACCCATGTGCCAGGGGCAGCAGTGACACAGGATGGAGCCAGAAGTATAGGCAAGGACCAGATGATACAGCGTATTATGATGCCATTGTCATCATTTATTAAATAGTTCCCTTTGTATCAGCCCCTGTGGAAGAGGGGAAGGAAGTGAGAAATGGGGGGAACAGGACCTAAGCCTGTCATAAACAGGCCTTAAAGAAACTGGCCATAAACAGGATTTCTGTAGCAATGTGACATGCTCATGACGGCTATCATGCACACTTCTAGAAGTTGTTGGTTTACTGGAGCAGGGCAAGGAAAACCTGGCCCGCCCAGAGTGGAAAACTGCTCAAACCACAGACAATAGCAGGAGCAGCCTGTGCCTTAACAACATGCTTTTGCTGCAGATAATCAGCCAGAGGCTGTTTCTCTGCTCTTCACGAAGAATGCTTTGTTTACTGTAAGGAATGCTTTTAGTTAATCTATAATCTATAGAAATAATGCTTATCACTGGCTTGCTGTCAATAAATATGTGGGTCAAACTGTTTGTGGCTCTCAGCTCTGAAGGCTGTTAGCCCCCGATCCCACTTTGCACTCTGTTTCTGTATCTTTGTCTTAATTCCTCTAGCACTGCTGGGTTCGGGTCTCCACAACCGAGCTGGTCTTGGCAGAGAAAGATGGGGCAGAGCAAGACATGAACTGAGTGGCAGACCCAGATGATAGCCACAGCCGATCCCATGTGAAGCTCTGCAGCTAGAATGGCTATCCAGAGTTGCCCAGAGTTGGCCAAGCCTTTATACTCCCAAGATGAGTGGACCCTGGATGTAGGGCTCCCCGGGAAGAAGGAAGTGGCTCCCTGTGTCTGAGGCCAGCCTGCAGGGGCTGACTGTTGAAGACATCTACCAACAGCATTCCCAGAAGCCAGACTGCTCACTGTGTTCACCATAGCCATGGTCTGAGATGGTTGGGATTTATTCAAATGCCGTGGGAAGCCTTCAAATGATGGGAATGAAGTGAGCAACACAATATGGCTGCTGTATGGAGCCTGGATCAGAGGCTACAGCTTGGAAACAGAGAAACCAGTCAAGAGGCTGCTGTTCAGGTGAGGGATGCCGGATGCTGTGGCTAGGAAGGAAGGAGTGGAGGTGGAGCGACGTGGAGAAATTCAAGATATACAGAAGAAGCACAAAGAAAGGAATTAGTGAGGGCTTATTTCCAGCAATATGAAATCATAACACGTTATGAGAGAAAAATGTGAAAATCAAAGGCTATGCAAAAGAACCCAATCAATATTCTTAAAATCAAATTTTATTTATCCAAGTGGCTTTTGTAGGATATTGCAAAGAGAATCTGATTACTTTGGGATATAGCTTTGAACTTGCTCTCTTTCAACCAGTTAGGTTTAATGTGGCCTTAGCTTTCCATTTGACATAAGCATAAAGGGCCAGCAGTGGATTGGCCCCCAAACAAGTGACCAAAACAACATTTATGGAAAAGCCAGCATTTCTTTTGGAACAAAACTGCCAGACAAAGATTTGCCTACAGTTTACAAAAGTGAGAACAAAGTTACACGCAGTTACAAAGCATTTTGATTGATCACCACCTTGAAACATAGTATTCTGGAGCAGCATATGATCCAAGTATCCCATTTTATAGACAGGAAGACTGAGACTCATGGCAGATGATTGACTTATGACCACATAGAAGATTTGTGACCAAGTGTAAACTAGAATTCAGCTTTCTTCTCCGGAGCATTTCCCTCTATGGCTCACATCCCTTCAAATGGTTAGATGTGGAGGAAAAGCTGCAGAATTGAAGCTCCTAGACAGTTATTCCTAAAACTAGGATTCTATCTCATAAGACAGGACAAGGAAGGTTTGCTCATTATTGTTTTTTGTTTTTTTAAAGACCGAGTCTTGGTCTGTCACCCAGACTGGAGTGCAGTGGCACAATCTCGGCTCACTGCAACCTCACCTCCCAGGTTTAAGCAATTCTTGTGCCTCAGTTTCCCTAGTAGCTGGGATTACAGGCATGTGCCACCGTGCCTGGCTAATTTTTGTGTTTTTAGTAGAGACAGGGTTTCGCCATGTTGGCCAGGCTGGTCTTGAACTCCTGGGCTCAAGCAATCCACCCACTTCAGCCTCCCAAAGTGCTAGAATTACAGGCACGAGCCTCCAACCCAGCCTGCTCATTATTACTCTTCACCAAAGAAACTGATGATCAAATCAACATAAATGGCCCATAAAAGATCTAACGTATTATTCTCTAATCTGTCTTATCTTTTGAATATAGATTTTATTCACATTTTCAAATTTTTGAAAGCTCCCTAAAGCTTTAAATGTGCCATTAGGACAGTGCTCACGTCCATGGATTTCCAACTTCCATATCATCAATTTTCAGTGTCTTTATTCTTTTTCATAAAGGTCAGTGAACAAAAATTGCATTCTGAGATGCAATCTCTTGGATGATAGACCTTCTAGAGAATCTGCCTAATGTTCCAGTCATCACAGACACACAGCAAAGACAATTCCTGACCCAGGAAAGAAATAACATGTCACTGAGACCTTTTGTATGAATCTTTTTGTTAATAGAACCAGTGAGCTTCAACTGAATTCAATCTTAAATTTCCAGAGCACCACTGCTGGATGCTCACAGAAAAAAACTGGCGCTCCTCTAGGATATCTTAAAATTTACAATTGGTAACTTCTGTCTTTTTCCAGAATAATATGAGGAAGCATGAAACTTTTCCCTGCTTGCATTTCTTCCTGGTCCCCTTCCCAAACGTCTGCACGCTGCACCTGACAATAATATGTCAAGAAGGGAGTAAGGAAAGAGGTAGAAAAGATGAGGCGGAAAGCAGGGGGAGAAGCGGGGGAAGGGAGGGAAGAAAATTTAAGGGTTAGGGAGGGGAGGGGAAAAATAGTAGGGACTGGAGGAAAAAGGAACAGATCAGGGAAGAAAGCAGAAAGGAGAGAAGGCTTATGAATTAGCTCTCATTAAGCTTTTCCTTTCATTCTTTTCTCCTGGTAGCTAAGAGGAATTTGAAGACATTTCCATAAACATTTATTTTTGTAGGTACAACAGATAGGACTTTGACAGCAAAAGTTCTGATAATTATCCAAATGTATATTAACAGTCTGTATTCAGGACTTTCAGAGCTTTAAGATACAACCAATATTTTACAAAACGTAGTTTTCTTCTCTTAAAATGAATTAGATAATAACCATGCTTAATGAGCAAATAAAGACTGGAAACAGAGTATAAAACTACATAAAATAATTTCTATAAAGTGATTAAGATGGTAGCTGGCATGTAGAAGCTCAGCAAACAATAAATTATTGTTATTTGTGTAATGTTGCAACCCAACAAAACTTACAATAAAATTAGTTGTGTACATATACATAAGTGTATATGCATGTGGTAATTAGCCATAAGTTCTCATAAATTCTTGTAATTAATATTACCTTTACAGAACCAGATCTAGTTTTTCTGTTTTAGAGCTCTGCATCTTTATAATGTACCACTGTTTATGTTTTCCCTAAATGCAGTTTAATCCTCTTTGCACATTCATGATAATCACATTCCTAGAGGCCATAGAGGCCAGATAAGTTCCCCCAAGCAGATGCCGCAGCTTCCCCACCATGCCTTAGGCAAACACTCCCTGGGCTCATCTGGAAGGGGGCTGGGCTGGGCACCTGAGGGTAGAAGAGCTCAAGGGTCCTGACTGTGGAGTATGAACTGTGCAGCATCCCCCAGAGAAAGGACAGGTGTGAGGGGACAGGCTGGGCACAGGGAGACTCAGAGCGAGGTGGTTGATGTGTTTGAGAGGACAGAGTGACAGTCAACCCTGGACACAGGGGTGTGGAGCAGAGCTGACTAGTAGGTTGGGTGAGTGGGATCTAGTTGGGCCAGGATTGGATTCAGGCAGGGCTGGGGACACCAGGGAACTTTTTAATGATTTGGGGGAGGCCTCTAAGCAGAGAGAATTTGAAACCTAGCCATAATGAGTGCAAAATGGCAGAGATAAGGTCAAAAGAACACAGGGGTTCCTCTCTATGCAGGCAGAGGAAAGAAGCAAAATTATTCTCCCCTTCCTGTCATGCTTCATGCACTTGTTCTTTTATTAATATTCCAATTGTACTATCCAGGCATTTCCTCCAGTTCTCCCATCTCTCTAGGCTTCAGGATGCAGACTATAGATAGAAGTTGGTAAGGTGAGATGGGGTCTGGGGAGTGGAAGATGGAGAGAGGAGACTGGGAACAGAATTTCTTCCAAGCTTCCTTAAACCAAATTAACCACAGAGGGATGACACAGAGACAGTAAGAGTACTTAAACTCTGTGACTCCATCACGAAGTTTTGAGGGTTCAGTGCCTACTCCCCAGCCTCTATCTTCAAAAATGGGGATTGTAATCATTTTGGGGATTATATATCCTTCTAAGGTTGAGGAGGAAAAAGCTACATAATCATTTCCCAAGCAAATGCATCTGCATCCAAAATTCTGATTACAATTGCAGGGAGTTCATAGACCCCCTGGATAAGTCCAGGGACCACAAGTTTAGAATAATTAATACCTACATGTGTTTACCATGAATCACATCCTAATACTAAGTAAATACATGCAGCAGCATAAGGGACTGAACATCATCTCCCGGGCGTTTTCAGGGCCCAAACTCCCAACATTTCTGCAGTTTCCAGGGGATCAAATGAGAGAGCTAAACAATGAAAACAAAACCTGCTTCATGGTCATTTCTCTCAGAGTTTGAAATGAAATAAAATTAATGACAAGGACAAAGCATTTTTTAATGGATACAAAGTTTCTGTTTGGAGTGATGAAAAGTTTTGGAAGTAGATGGTGGTGATGGTTGAATATCACTGCAACCTTCATTAATGCCACTGAATTATACACTTAAACTGTTTAAAATGGCAAATCTTATGTTATATACTGTACCACAATTAAAACAAGGCTAAAAAATTATATTTTAGAAAAGGAGGAAAGTGTGAGCATACCAATAAAAAAGAATCCAATACTATGTCTGGCATGTAATAGACACTCGATGAAAGTTACACTCTTCTCTCCCTCAACCCCGGATATGGGAATTCCTGTAGGGCTACCACACTTCCTGGTCTTTGGTGGCTCCTGTAGAGGGTTCCTTCCCTTGCTCTCTCACCCTTTCTTTTGAAATTTTTTTTAGCTTTATTGAGGTATAACTGATGTACCAAAAATTGCACACATTTCATGTGTACCTCTTGCTGAGTTTGGAAATGTGACTACACCCATGAAACCATCATCACAACCAAGGCACTAAACATATCCATAACCTTCAAAAATGTCTTTATGTTCTTTTGTGGGGTTTGGGGGGTTTGTTGTTATTGTTTGTTTGGTAAGAACACAACATGAGATTATCCTCTTCCATTTAGAAGTATGCAATACCATATTGTTAAACCTATGTACTATGTTGTACAGCAGATATCTAGTACTTTCTCATCTTGTGTAATAGAAACTTCATACCCATTGAAAAATAATTTCCCATTTCCCCCTCCCCCCATCCCGTAGCAATCACCATTCTAATCTCTGCTTGTATGGGTTTGACCATTTTAGATACTTCATATAACTGGATTCATATAGTATTTGTCCTTCTGAGACTGGCTTATTTCACTTAGCATAATGTCCTCTAGGTTCACATATGTTATCAAAAATGGCAGGATTTCCTTGTATTTTTTAAGGCTGAATAATATTCCATTGTATGTTTATATCACACTTTCTGTATCCATTCATCTGTCGATGGACATTTGGGTTGTTTCCATATTTCGGCTATTATGAATAATGCTGCAATGAACATAGGGTAGGGAACACATTTAAACCATAGCCCCTTCCAGCTCTCAATCTATAGGATCCATAGCTCCTCTCCAACAGGAAAATCATGCACTGATATCCACCTGCATTACACATAATCTCATACATTAATGGAAAAAATTATGCCTCGAGTCCTCTAGAATCTTAGATTTTCATATTCAAAATTCAGGCTTTTGCAGTCAAATCTTCTTCCGCCAAATAGTAAAGAGGCTCAAGAGCCCATTCTGAACCTCAAACTTGAGAAGTGGTTTCTATTTGTTTTCTCTGCTGTAATATTCCTTCCAGAGGAAATTGATACCTCTAGTCTAGTTTGAATGGTGAGAGTATACAAGAGATTAAAAGGAACGGGAATTTTTTCAAATGGTTAATATATTAAAATGTTGTACCCTATTCCTCAACTGTGAGTGTTTACCAAAGGATTTTGTCTTTGTGTGGCTGTGCATACATGCAGTTTGGCAGGAATACAGATCATATGCACAGTCTGGCCCCCATCAGCCTGTTCTTTTTTCTATTTGTCAGCAATATCTGGTTATATGTTCATCAGAAATATTTTGTTTCCATCATTATTATAGTGGCTTGGATTCAGAGCCACTAGATCCATAGAATATGCAGATAAAAAGTAGAATCAGCCTATTCAACACATTTCAGTAGTAGCCAAGAAAATTCAGGCACCGAGCAGGAAAAACAAAAATGGAAAAGATTTATGTGCTTAAGAATTAATAATTGGGTATCACTCTTTGAACCAAAAAAGAATGCAAGAAATACTTTATCAGTAGCAAAGCTCATTAGTTCTTTTAATACCAATTGTAATGTCCCAAATCCCTCCTGTCTTTCCAAAAATGTTTTATTATATTTGATAATTTTTTCATTGAAATGAACTGAAATAACTCTGAAAGAAACTTCTATACAGCTTGGAGCAGATGAGAGTTTGGGTAAGCTCAAAGATGAGAGTTTGGGTAAGCAGATGAGAGTTTGGGTAAGCCTTGGAGCAGATGAGAGTTTGGGTAAGCTCAGTGAGAATTTATATCTGTGTCAAGCTACCCCGGCTTCTAATTCTTTTCCTAATTTATATATAACTTTGATTGAATATTGCCATTTTCTATCAACCGCAGTTAAGTGAGATCTTAACAGAAGCCATTTCAACCTGAAACTTTAAAAAAGTTCAGATGTTAGTGTTTCAATGTTCAATAATTTTTATAGACTCCTACTGTCTCTGGTTTAAATATGAGTCAAAGAAAGAGAAAGTCCAACGAAACCCAAGTGATTCATGGAAACCTAAGATTAACTTGTTGTCCAGCTCATTTCCAGGGTCACATTGCAGGTAGATGATAAACCATCTTACTTTAAAAATCTGCATAGAGGTAGATTCTATAATTTTTTTAAATTGCTTACTCTAAGAATCTATGTTCTTTGTGCTTTTTTTTGTTTTTTAAAAAAATCTTTTAAGATTATAAAAATATTTATTTTTTAAATGAACATAATATAGAAAATATTAAAGAGGAACTCTCCCTCTCCATCCCCATGATACTGCGATTAGCCTGGTGCTAATCACCAAATACAAGCAGAGTTTGAGCACTTGAGTCCTCAGGTGACTCAGATGTCCCTGGGACATATCTGTTCAATCCCAAGGGCCACCCTCCAGCACTCTATGTGTATGGAGATTGGAAGGGAACTGTCCTGAAGGAGTGCCCATGAGAAGTTTGACCTAATTCTGCCAGCTACCTATATGGTGTATGGTACTGGCCCGTTCCATTACTATCTGAGTCCTATGAGGGTATTGGGAAATGTGATTAAATATCGTAAAAGTAATTTCACTACACTGTTTACACACTGGGGCCAAGGCAACTACCTTAAGACCCTCTCTCACATTATGACAAAACTAAGAGAGGGATTCTTTCCTGGGGTCAGAGGTGCTCAAGTGCCTCTGTGCTGAGCCTGATGGCACAGAAGTCCGGCCTTACTGCCCACTGGGAACAGACGTGCTGGTGAGCACATTTTAGAACTTCCCAGCTCCAGGACTGGGGGATTTATTTGGAGCATGTTTTGTAAAGAGCTGTGGTTCCATATAACATAGGAAAGAGGTAGGACCAGAGAAATAAGTGTTTTTACTAATAGTGTAAACCCCTTAGTATCTATAGGCAGGTGAGGGCTATGAAAACTCATATTAAATAACCATAACTTTTTATGATTCAATAATTTTATTTCCTAGGGTGTTTTGTATACTGTATTTTTCATTATTTAATGAACAATTTATTTCATTTAATATTCTTCAAAACATCCTTTTGTTTTGTACTAGCTTCTAGATATCCCATCTTGATTTGGAAGGTCTCCCCCATTCCTAGATTGTACACATAGTCTGTTCGATTTTTCCTATTTTATTTTTATGATCAAACTTCTTTACTCATTTTGAATATATATATATATGTATAAATTTTCAAAGAAAGGCCTAATTTTAATTTCCTCCAGACAGTCAATTGGGGTAGCATCATTTATTAAATAACCCAACCTTTGCCCAGTGAGTTAAAATACCACTTTGTCATATATTAAGGGCTGCATAGTATGTTATAGATACCATAATTTATTTAAGAAAGGCAGCATATGTGATAGTTAAGATGTAAGATGTAGATTCTAGAGTCAATGGCATGGGCTTGACATTTATTAGCTATGTGATCTGGAGTAGGTTTCTTATTTTAGCTCAGCAATTTTTTATTTATTTTTATTGTATAAGACAAAAGGTTTGACTAAGAAATACATTTTGAAATGAATATTTTTTTATTTCAATAGTTTTTGGGGTACAGATGGTTTTTGGTTACATGGATATGTACTTTAGTGGTGATTCCTGAGATTTTAGTGCACCTGTAACATGAGCAGTGTACACTGCACCTGATATGTAATATTTTATCCCTCATCCCCCTCCCAAACTTCCCCCAAGTCCCCAAAGTCCAGTATATCACTCTTATGCCTTTGTATCCTCATAGTTTAGCTCCCACTTCTAAGGGAGAACATATGATATTTGGTTTTCCATTCCTGAGTTATTTCACTTAGAATAATGGCCTCTAGCCCCATCCAAGTTGCTGCAAAAGACATTCTTTTATTCCTTTTTATTGCTGAGTAGTATTCTATGGTGTATATATACCACATTTTCTTTAGCCACTCATTGGTCAAAGGCCACTTAGGTTGGTTCCATATCTTTGCAATTGTGAAATGTGTTGCTATAAACATGCATGCGCATGTGTACTTTTCTTATAATGACTCTTTTCCTTTAGGTAGACACCCAGTAGTGAGATTGCTGGTTCGAATGGTAGATCTACTTTTAGTTCTTTAAGGACTCTCCATACTGTTTTCCATAGTGGTTGTACTGATTTACATTCCTAGCAACAGTGTAAAAAGTGTGCCCTTTTTACCACATCCATGACAGTATCTATTGTTTTTTGACTTTTTATGGCCATTCTTGCAGGAGTAAGGTGGTATTTCATTGTGGTTTTAATTTTCATTTCCCTGATGATTAGCGTTATTGAGCATTTTTTCAGGTTTGTTGGCTATTTGTATATCTTCTTTTGAGAATTGTCTATTTATGTCATTTGCCCGCTTTTAGATGGGATTTTTTTTATGCTGATTTGTTTGAGTTTCTCATAGAGTGTGGATACTAGTCCTTTGTCAGATGCATAGTTTGCAGATATTTTCTCCACTGTGTTGGTTGTCTGTTTACTCTGCTGATTATTTCTTTTGCTGTGCAGAGCTTCTTAGTTTAATTAGGTCCTGTTTTGTTGTTGTTGTTTTTGTTGCATTTGCTTTTGGGGTCTTAGTCATTAATTCTTTGCCTAAGCCAATGTCCAGAGAGCTTTTCTGATGTTATCTTCTAGAATTTTTATGGTTTCAGGTCTTAGATTTAACTAAGTCTTTGATCCTTCTCGAGTTGATTTTTGCATGAGGTGAAAGATTGGGATCCAGTTTCATTCTTCTACATGTGGCTTGCCAGTTTTCCCAGCACCATTTATTAAATAGGGTGTCCTTTCTCCACTTTATGTTATTGTATGCTTTGTCGAAGATCAGTTGGCTGCAAGTATTTGTCTTTATTTCTAGGTCATCTATTTGGTTCTATTGGTCTACATGCCTATTTTTATGCCAGTATCAAAGCTCAGCTATTTGTTTGCTTTGTGACCACGGGCAAGTTACTTATCCCTCTGTGCCTCAGTAGCCTCATCTGTAAAATGGGGATAAAATATTTTGTTATTTCCATTAGTTGATATGTTCTGTTGTGGTAACAATTCAATTCCCTATGCTCAGTGCTTAACACATCAAAGGTTTATTTCTTGCTCTAGTCACTGTCCAATGTGGGCCAGGTGGCTCTCTTTGGTGGCTCTTCTCCATGTGATGATTTTGGGATCTGGGTTGCTTCAAACATGTGGTTCCTAAATTGCCATGGAAGAGAAGACAGAGCTGAAGTGTCACTCTGAGTGATCTTTGGACTTAGGTCTATAAATGGCATATGTTACTTTTGCCTGTATTTATTGACTAAAGTCACATAATTTCCAACTGAACTGCTAGGGAACCTGGGAAAGACAGTCTTCTTTTATTCCCAGGGTGAGGAAATGTTTTGATTAACACAAAGTGCAGTCTCTGCCATAACTATTTGCCTTCCAGAAAGGTTATACTGATTTACATTCTCACCTTTAGTAAATGAGACTACTTACTTCTATTCACTATTGCCTATAGCAGTTGCTATATTTCTTACTTTACTTTTTATGAGTTGTATAAACTGAGAAAAATGACAAATTCAATTTTTTTATTTAATTTTATTAATTTTAAAATTAAAATTAGCCACTTACACTTATTTGTCTTGTTTTATAAATTTCCTATCCATTGAGCATAATAACAGCTGAGTTAATTAAGCAGCTTGATAGACTGGGGGGAAAGGACTAGATTTTGAATGAGAATATTTAGCTTTGAGTACCAGATCTATCACTTATGGCCTGCATTATTTGGTCCTCCTTAAATTCAGTTATTTAAATGTGAAAGAGGGAAAATAATATATATTTCACAGGACAATATAGAAGTTAGTAAAATATATGTAAACTATACATATTTTTAATATATATCATTTATCTATGTTCTTATAAAACTTCATACATTCCTTTATTGAGTCATATATTCAGTTTTCGATGATCTCTTCTATCTGTTTCTTCCACTAGACCATGAGCTTTTTGAATGGGTGCATTTGTGTTTGTATTCCTGGAGCCTACTACAATTTCTAACATACAGTAAACTTTAGATGATTGTTTCTTGAATGAATGAATGAATGAATAAACAAATTGATGATATTGGATCCATTTTAGACTTTACAGGCTTAAAAAAAAAAACCCTGCTATATATTTGTTTATTAAATCTTCACAACAATCCTTGGCACGAGCTTGGTAGATACCATGAGCTTCTGAAACAAAATGCTAGAGAGCCTCAAATATTTTATACCCTCTGTTCTTTGCTGGGTATATCCATTGCTGTTTACCAACAGATAAAAGGGGGCCCCCGCATTGGCCAGTGGGACAGGAAAAACATCAAGAAGGGGGAGAAGAACACAATTGTCACCTCCTACAACAGGAACTTCACGGGCCGCAATGACACAAACCCCAAGACCATGCCTTCAATCATCTCCCCAGAGATTGTCACAGCCCTGGCCATTGCAAGAACCCTAAGTTCAACCCAGAGACCGACTGCCTTATGGGCAAGGATGGCAAGAAGTTCAAGCTGGAGGCTCCAGACGCAATATGAGCTTCCCCAAGCGCAGTTTGACCCAGGGCAGGACACCTACCAGCACCCCCCAAAGGACAGCAGCAGGCAGCATGTGGATGTGAGCTCCACCAGCCAGCACCTGCAGCTCGTGGAGCCTTTTGACAAGTGGGATGGCAAGGACCTGGAGGACCTGCAGATCCTCATCAAAGTCAAAGGGAAGTGTCCCACTGACCACATCTCGGCTGCTGGCCCCTGGCTCAAGTTCCACGGGCACTTGGAGTACATCTCCAACAACTTGCTCATTGGTGCCATGAACATTGAAAACAGCAAGGCCAACTCCGTGCACAATGCCCTCACCCAGGAGTTTGGCCCCATCCCTGACACTGCCCGCTACTACAAGAAACATGGCATCAGGTGGGTGGTGATTAGGGATGAGAACTACCGCGAGGACTCGCACGGGGAGCACACAGCACTGGAGCATCACCTCCTCAGGGGCCGGGCCATCATCACCAAGAGCTTTGCCAGGATCCACGAGACCAGGGCCTGCAGGGCCTGCTGACCCTGACCTTCGCTGACCCAGCCCATTACAATAAGATTCACCCTGTGGACAAGCTGACCATTCAGGGCCTGAAGAACGTCTCGCCTGGCAAGTCCCTGAAGTGCATCATCAAGCACCCCAACGGGACCCAAGAGACCATCCTCCTGAACCGCACCTTCAAGGAGACGCAGATTGAGTGGTTCCACACCGGCAGTGCCCTCAACAGAATGAAGGAGCTGCAGGAGTGAGGGCAGTTCCTCCCACCCACCCCCCACCACCCACTCCCTATGCAGTGCTGGCATCATGTTCAAGTTCAGGTCCACATGCACTATCAGAGGATCCAATCCAGCCAGCCATGGCTTCTTATTCCAAGATGGTGTGACCAGACATGCTTCCTGTTCCCCGCTTAGCCCACTGGGTGGCTGTGGTTGGGGGGGTTTCTTAAAATAGCTTTTTAGCCTCTGCCTTCCTATTTTTAGTTTGGTTCAGATCTTAGGCAGCTCCATGCAACTGCATTTATTTTTGATGACAAGACTCCCATCTAAAGTTTTTCTCCTGCCTGATTATTTGATTGGTGACTGAAGGATTCTAGAGAAACTTTTGTTCTTGAAAGGAAAACAAGAATCCAAAATCAGTGACCAAAAAAGGAGGGCCCAACCTTTAAACCATGAAGTCAGTACCACATCCTTGTTCTCAGCTCCTAGATAATGCTCTCCACCTGTATAACTTCACCAGCGTTTACTCTCAGAATGCCTTCTGTGCCCTTAGCCCCCTTCTAAGAGTTCCTGTCCATAGATTCTTACTTAAGAAAGTGACGTAGTCAATTCCTTTAACTTCTATGGCCATGTGTTTTACTGCATATCTCTACCACCCACCTATGTTTTGGTCTAGCAGAGAGACCATACCCAAAGGCAATGAATCTCTGAGCTGACCATTAGTCCAGAAAGAGGCCATATACTTCAGCTTTGTCCAACAGGTATGACAGCAGTTAACCAAAACTTATCAAACTCTTACACTTTGGGAATTGGGGGTTTGAAATACAGAATTTGGCAGAGAGTAAATTATACCAAAGCAGAAAGACAATGAGAATGCTGTACACAATTGTCAAAGTCAAATGCTTGCTGTCCAAAATATCACTACAACAGCCTGTGGATAAGACAAAGCTGAGTGTATTGTTTACCTACTAAGAAAGAACATCAACAAAGCCTTATTAACAGTCAGGATACTGATTGACATTTCAAAGTCTGGTTTAAGGTAGGTTCTTTTGATGATGGAGAGGAGTTTAATTAGGATGAGAGCAGGGTTATGATAAAATAATTTAGGATTGTTGCAGACAGCTAGGTGAGAATTTTAAGAGAACAAGGTTTAGGATGCATTCTATAGAAGAGTTCATGGATCTTTGGGGAAGTTACGGGAACCAGCAATAATATTATTTGAAATTTTTATCTTCCTGGGAAAGAATTGCATTTAATAGTAAAGTTATATTGATGAAGACAGCCAGCTGCATAGACAATTTTGATTCTCATCACAAAGCAAAAGAAGCAAATAAGTAAACAGAAGCATAAGGTAGAAAAACACTGTCCAGAGAAGAAAAACAGAGGATCTGAAACACACCGATAGGGGAGGGCCCGGTGACCAACCTGAACAGCAGAAAGGATGTTTTTTTCTCTCTGATCTAGCCTTTCTTGCTCTAGACAATCTGGATCATCATGCTATCCAGTCAGTAACTTGTACACTGTTCTCATGTTGAGCAAAAAGAGTAAACCAATCCAAACAGAGTATTCCATACTAAGCTTTGGGATCACAAGTTTAAATTCTCACTTACAGTTCCATTCAACAACTTTGGAGATGGAGGGAATCCCATTTGGATATGAGAGAAAAAATTACCAAGTCAAGAAATCATGAATTCTGCCGGAATGTTTAAAACTTCAGGGCATCAGGCAGGGAGTAAAAGCTCATTATGCAACAAATATCAGATCTCACAGCTCGCTTCACATACGTACTACCCTGTGAACTGAAACATGTTCATATTGGAAGTGCATTTGTTTCCAGTTACAAAAATGTGCTGGTTATGATGGATTTGGGAAATATGCTTGTTCTTCTGCATATCCACTCTGTGGTGTAACTCTTCTTCCCTCTTGTTATCTGACTTCTGCTTCCACTTGGGATATCTATCACTCTTGTTATCTACCACAAGCTCCCAAAATTCCATCATTCAAGAGTTAGTCCTTTTTGTTTTGATTAATAGCAACAGTCTGAGTGGTGGATGATGTGCAAAGAAGAGCCACTCATGAGGGACAGACTATAGCTTCTCACACACACAAGCGGCATGGGCCATAGAGTAGAAAAACCATTAGGTCTGTTTTGTGCCAGAAATCTTTGTGATGAGTAAGTTCTTCCTCATATTTCTAAACTTGGAGCTTTTTCCCCCTTAGAGCCTACATCTTTCACGAAGATATAACATTTGCTGAATTAAAAAGTCACACCAAATTGTCATTGAAATAAAAATACGTATGCAACTATCATTCTGTTCAATAGCCTATAAATTACATAATGTATAGGAAAAAGAATATAAAGCCCCTGTTTATTTCTTTTGGACACACCAAAAAGAAATTTGTCTGCAATCGTTGTATTTACCAAAGTGTTGTAGTGTTGCCTGGAACAATCAATAGAAGGTTACTTTTCCTTGAGTATCACAAGGTAGTGCAATCCCAGCTCTGCGAATAACTGGTTCTGTGACCTTAGACAAGCTACTTAACATATTATTTGTTCACTTGCCAAATAAATATTTCTTAGGATTTAACTATTTGCCAGGCTCTGTGCTGAAAACTGGATAAAATGGCAGGTAAAATACAATCCTCACCCTCCATGGCTTTATAGTATAATAATATCTTCAGCTGAAAAATAAGGCAATAACTTCTACTTCAGAAGTTATGAAATTTTATTTTTAATTTTTGTGGGTACATAGTAGGTATAAATATTTATGGGGTATATGAGTCTTTTATATAGGCATGCAATGTGAAATAACATCATGGAGAATGAGGTATCTGTCTCCCCAAGCATTTATCCTTTGAGTAACAAACAATCCAATTACACTCTTTAAGTTATTTTAAAATATGCAACTAAGTTATTATTGACTATAGTCACCCTATTGTCCTATCAAATAGTAGGTGTTATCCATTCTTTCTATTTTTTTGGGGTACCTATTAACAATTCCCACCTCCCCCAGTCCTCCCACTACCCTTCCTAGCCTCTGGTAACTATCCTTCAACTCTCTATGTCAATGAGTTCAATTGTTTTGATTTTTATATCTCCAAAATAAATGAGAACACCTAATATTTGCCTTTCTGTGCCTGGCTTATTTCACTTAACATAATGACCTCCAGTTCCATCTGTGTTGTAAGGTTATGAGATTTACATAGATTATTATATGTGAAAAGTGCCTGATTCTGTGAAAGCTCTGTGGTCAATATTTATTTACTGTTATTTCTCTTCTTTTTCTTCCTTAGCACAGTGTCAAGCATAATTCACTCTGATATAGTGCTAAACCTAACTTGTACATGTCAGAAGTTATATACAGGCAGAGAAGGTAAAAATGCTACACATGCCTGTCAGGTAGTCATGCTGCTTCCAGAGGCCAAATTCACTGTTTGGGTTTTTTAAAGGTTTGGTGGCAGGCTGGTTAAAAAAGAGTCTGCTATTTTGAAAAAAATAACTATCTTAATTTGGATTCTCCTAGAAGCAGAACCTGAGACAAAGATTAAAGTACAAATAGTTTCACTGGGAGGTGATCCCAGGAAATCTCCGTAGAGGAGTGGGAAGGGAGATAGGGAAGGAAAGGCAGTGAATAAAGGCTGTGTTACCAAGCAAGTCCTGTTGTTGGCAACTAGGGTTCAGTTCTCTGGGGAGCATTTGGAGACGGTGGAGAATCCACAACTCAGAGTTGCTTCCACTGAGGGGTGAGGAGGTTGGGGTATTTGTCCAGGCACCTGCCAACCTTCGTTGGCTGAAAGCTACTCCCAGGGCATCACTCCTAGGTATTTTCATCCTGCCCAAGGCTGGCACTGGGGGAACAGCCCATTCCCTGGCCAGAAAATCTCCAGAAAGGTGTAAGTGCTGGAGGTAAAGAAGATGATGAGGACTGGGCATGGTAGCTCATGTCTGCAGTCCCAGCACTTTGGGAGGCCAAGATGGGTGGATGGCCTGAGATCAGGAGTTCAAGACCAGCCTGATCAGCATGGTGAAACCCCGTCTCTACTAAAAATATAAAAATTAGCCAGATGTGGTGGTGTGTGCCTGTAATCCCAGCTACTCGGAGGCTGAGGCAGGGACAATCACTTGAACCTGGGAGACGGAGGTTGCAGTGAGCCAAGATTGTGCCACTGTACTCCAGACTGAGCAACAGAGTGAGACTGAGTCTCAGAACAAAACAAAGAGGAGGAGGAGGAAGAAGAGAAGGAGGAGGAGGAGAGGAGAAGGGGAGGAAGAAGAGGAGGTGGAGGAGGAGGAGGAGGAAGGGGAAGGGGAAGGGGAGGAGGAGGAAGGAGGAGGAGAGGAGAAGGGGAGGAAGAAGGGGGGAAGAAGAGGAGGAGGAAGAGGACGAGAAAGGGGAAGGGGAAGGGGAGGAGGAGGAGGAAGGTGAGGAAGAAGAGGAGAAAGAGGACAAGGAGGAGGAACCAGAAGGGGAAGGGGAGGAAGAGGAGGAGGAGGAAGAGGAGGAGAAGAAAAAGAAGCATCTTCTGCAATGTTCAAAACGTTTTGACTTGCCACTGAATGATTGTGTTGACTGGAGGTGTTTTCATTCTTATTAGAAGTCAAATAAGATCATATAATACCACAGACCTTGATGTAAGTAATTCTCTATTGCCTGAAAGATATTTCCATTCCTTAGCCTGACAGTCCAGTTCTTCCATGAGCTAGCTCTATACTACCTGTCTCTCTCCACTCCTTGATAAGACCCCTTTTGCAAGCACGCAAGAGCCCCAGATGCATATTCCTACCCCAAGAATTATATTCATTCTCTTTCTCCTGCTCAGAATGTCCCCTGCCTTGACCAGTTGCCCCTCTTCAAGGCCCACATCAAGCTCTAAGCCTTTCGTTAAGCATCTTGACCACATTCCTGGCCTTAACCTACCCATTCCTGGAGCTTCTTGTCTGCATCACTCATTGAGGACCTTGTACTCCTTGCCCTCCATGGTTTATCATCAAGTGAACAATCCTGTCTCTCCAAGTGGACCACAAATCCTATTCTCATGAGTAGGGAGACTGCATGTTCCTTCTCGAAATAGCCACATCCTTTTTATTTTCACGCTTTCAATAGTCAAGTGCTTAACAAATGTTGAGTTGTTACAGTGACCTGTGTTGCTCATATCTAACTATATATTAGGCAGTCATACCTCTTTAAGTGCAATGAAGTCTCCCTGAAGTATAATCCAGGTTTCTGAGAACCAGAAAGCTTAACTGATTCAACAATTACCTTGAACTTTAAAAGGAATTACTAAAAAGTGTTTTAAGGAATCCTACTTACTTCATTGTTTGGCAGCTTCTGCATATCAGGTCCCTTTGCATTTATTGGCATTTATTGCTGTAACATGAAGCAGCATGGTGTCATGATTAGGAGTATGATTTCAGGCACCAAATAGATGTGGGTTAAGAGCATGGGCACACTGATAGTTGTGACCTTGAGCAAGGGAAATAGCCTCTCTATGCCTCAGTATGTTCACTTGTGAAATGGTGATATGGTTTGACTGTGTCCCCACCCAAATCTTATTTTGAATTGTGACTCCCACAATTCCCATGTGTTGTAAGAGGAACTTGGTGGGAGGTAATTGAATCATGGGGGGATCTTTCCCATGCTGTTCTTGTGATAGTGAGTAAGTCTCAAGAAATCTGATGGTTTTAAAAAGGGGAGTTTCCCTGCACAAGCTCTTTTTCTCTTGTCTGCCACCACATGAGATGTGCCTTTCACCTTCTGCCATGATTGTGAGGCCTCCTCAGCTATGTGGAACTGTAAGTCCATTAAATCTCTTTCTTTTGTAAATTGCCCAGTTTCAGGTATGTCATTATCAGCAGCATGAGAACAGACTAATAAAAATGGGGATAGCATTATCACATCCATAAGTTTTCATGTAAAGCATTTAGCTCAGGCTGTAATAATAGAAACCACTCATTACATGTTGACTATCATTATAAGATAGATCAATTTTATATTATAATATGTACCCAAAATTAAATTTAGATTTGGATATACATTAGCAAAAATTTCAGTTAATTGTACTCTCTCCTATTAAGGAGTACAGCTGGAACTCTCTTAATACACCTTCACTGAACCAATTCACAAAATTAACAACCACTCTCCATTCCCTCTGTAACAAATGCTGACTAACACTTGTGGGAGGCTGAATTCTCCACATCAGGAGGCCATGCTTCTGGACACAACCTATTACTTCTGTTCCCACCTGTGGAGCTGTATTTTCACTAAAGATTCAGCTGGGTTTACTCCCAAACCTGGTTATGCTAGTTCCCTTCATCATAATAATATAATTTGATTGAATATTACTCAAACTGACAAAATATGGGTATGAAAAAGTAGTAATTATGTTAATAAAAATATAAGTTGAATATTTTGGAAGGAAAAATAAATTTGGTAAATGTTTAAATGAATGAGGTGTGGGGAAGGCAGCTATAAAAGAACTCTAGAAGAGTTCTACACTCACATTTTGTTTTTGTTTTTGCAGGAGGCTTTAAATCCTCATTGTACTTTAAAGATGAAACTGGGAATCATAGAGAAGACAATATGGGGTTAGCTTACACATGAAAATGATGCAGAGCCATGATTAGCCAATTCATGCTCAATGAAAAGACCTTAGACCCACATTGGCAAATGGGTGAATAAATGTACATGTATAGGTTTCAAGTTAAAATATAATGTTTAAGGTGTGTTTTTTTTTTAACTATTCTCATTTATGGCCTATTTGATTTCTGACTAGCTATGATCTTTATCACAATAAAAATATTTCTTCCCTGGTTTGCATTTCCATACAAAGGCTGAAATATAGCTTAGCCTCACTTGTAGGCTAAAAGCCCTGTACAAGTAATCTAGCTTTTTGAGAAGAATCCAGAATCTTTTGCAAATATTCACCTTAGGGGCTGCATTTTGACAGCTCCATTTCTGAAACAGGGCCAAGAGATGGTTCACCAGTCCTGGTCTCCCCAGTTACTTTTCAACACAACCAACCTGCACTCTGGGAGCCAAGAAGTCTCCAGAATGTTCAGTAGGAGCATCCCTATCCCAAGATGTGGTCTGGAATTAGTCTTGTCATCTTACACACAATATACATGTGGTGAACTTGGACCTCTACGTACTTTATGAAATACAGCCTCCTCCACTCCAAAACTGTCTAGGTCTACCTAATCCCTAACCCTTTCAAGGCTTTCTAATCATTTCCCCGCTTTCCAGCACCTGGACTTAAACCCTCTAGGAGCTCACCTGCCTGGGACCCTGAGGCTCAACTTGCTCTTATTTATAGCATGCTTTGTGAGCTAGAACTTTCCCCTAGATACAATGGCATATTCAGAAGCATGATACAGTTATCTTCCTGATTTCAAGTGTGGTCCATATCTGGAGACTCCTAATTTATATCCTACTCGCTGGATCAGATCCTGGGGACCTCCATACTGGCCAAACCCACTTTAACCCTGCTGGTTAGGATACTATCACTTGGAAAGCCCTGCTGGTTAGAACACTATCATTTGGAGAGCACTATCATTTGGACTAGATTCCTAGGCTGGGTCCAAGCCTCTGACTCCTTATCCCTCACTGGCCTATTCCTGTGGCATGGTTTACCTCATGGGAAACCTAGTATGGATTGACTATGCCATGAATGAGGGCCATTCTTGGATTCTTGCCTTCATGGCTTCCACCATATTCTAAATCAAATACACTCTCCTGCCATTTGGGAAAACAAAGAGTTTAGCCTATTCTAGGTTTATTCCAACTCACCTGGCTTGATCATCTTCTTGGGCAATGTAATTTTAGGATACAGACCAAAATCTGTTAAGCAAAAGTACCTTACTTTGGATTTATCCTGAAATAATTCTGCAGAAATTTTCTGTGGAAGACTTTAAAACAATCACCTGTTTTGGTTTGTTTCCTCTCCTCTACTTCATGAGCTGTTACCTAAGAATAAGAAGAAACATAATAGGGCTTTCCAGAGTTTTCATGTAAGGGCCCCCACCCTCATATCAAGTAATGTTTAGAGAAATGGTATGAGGTCAGAGCAAGAATGGGGTCATGTCTGATCCTATCCTACATACTAGTTATACTTGCTCCAATAGTTGCATATTTTTTGACATTTTTTACAGTCAAGAGTTGTGGGGGGTTTTCTATTTCAATAAGGAGAAAAAACTATTTTATTTTCGTTTTTTGAGACAGGGTCTTACTCTGTCACACAGGCTAGAGTACAACGCTCCACCCCACTGCAGCCTTGACCTCCCAGGCTCAAGTCATCCTCCCGTCTCAGCCTCCCAAGTAGCTGGAACTACAGGTGCCTGCCACCACACCCACCTAATTTTTGTATTTTTTTTGTCAGAATCAGACTTTATTTAGCAATCTGAAAATGCGTTCTTCTGGCTTTAAGTCTTGCAAAATGGGTCATAAGTCAAAGACAGATTTGTTCACTATCTCTGAGTATGTGTGCTTATGTTTCTGTATAGACAAGTGTCTGTCTATAGATGCTTTTGCTTTTTATAGTGATTATAGTTCCACTTTAGTTAATGTATAAAGTCTTATTCTAATAATGCTAAAACCTGAATTAAGTATTCCTTGAGTCTAATGTTCTCTTCTCCTCAGCCTGCCTCACTCCACCTCTCCCATAAGTCTTCTCCTCCGCCTCCATTAATGTCAGGTCTTTAGAGAGCACCAGCATTCCTACTGAGAACCCAGGGATGGTTGCTGGCTCTTATATCTCTCTGACCTATACCCTCTGGTTGAAGAGCTTCTTTGGGGAGGTGTGGGGTGAGAGGAGTCTTGGCAGTTTCTCTTCAGAGTTGTGCATTTTCACTTGTAGATACCTATTCTTGAGGTTCAGGTGCTGTGAGGTTGCTCTTGTCTGGTACTGTGGAGACTTAAAGCTGGTCTTGGCCCTCCGAGGAGTCAGCTAAGACAAGCTTATTATCCTCTTTCTTGTCTTCCATCTTCTTTGCCTCTCCAGGCTCTGAAGCAATCTGAGATGTCATTAAGGTGGGAAAAGTGCAAAGTTCTTCGGGGTTCTGATTGTGGATGTTTTCATTTTCTTTGACCTCAGGAGTTCTTACTGGCTTCTTTTGTAGTTCTGGATTAGGGGAGAACTCTAGGGAGGTACTAGGACTTGGAGTCTCAGTCCCCAAGGAGACCCTAGGGCCAGTGGTTGAACCCCCTCCAGAGGCTGGAGGACTGGAGGGTATGTTCCCTGAGGAGGGCCTGGGGTTTGGAGTGGCTCTGGGTGGAGGAGGCCTACTAGGGGGTGCTGACGTCCTCTGGATATAGGTTCTCTTCTTTGGTTGTTCAGATCCTTCATTTTCTGTGCGGGTTTGGAGGACTACTTCTGTGGCAGATGATGAAGGCTGCCCTGAAGGGCTCAGGGTTCTGCCTGGTGATGGAGCTGGGGAGCTAGGGAGAACTTCCTCCTGGGACTTGCCACTCCCAATGGTAGGAGAGGGCTGGGCCTGGGCAGGGCCATTGCAGGCTGGTAGAGGCTCTTCTTCCTCAGAGGAGCTTGCTTCAGATCCTTCCTTCTCTATTTCCTCATCTTCTAAGTGCTCCTTGATCTCAGAATTATCTTCCCCCGGGCTGCATCAGGTTCCAGATCTTCAGTTGTTGCGACAGATTCACTCTCACTCTTCAAGGAAAGTGTAGAGGGACTAGTAGGTGAGGTAAGAGGACTGGAGGCCATAGATGTTCGAACTGGGGGATAAATGACTAAAGAGAGCCTGCTGCTGCTTGATAGTCCCTTCACCACAAAGACTTTGTTGGAATGTTGCTTCTGCAGTTTGCTCATCATCTCATAGAGATTGCAGTTCAGCTTGCTCATTTCCCTGTAGAAGACATCCCTCAAATTGGAAATGTTTTGGAAGATGGTCACATAGCAGCCAACATGACTGTTATAAAGAATAGGCAGCTCCTCTAGTAGTTTTTGGTTCAGATCTTCAAACATAGTCTGGGCTTTGTTGAACTCTTCCTCTGCCTTGGCAGTCTTGGCCTCGTCTTTCTTCTTGGCATTCTGCACTGCATCCAGGTGATGTTGGGCACCATCATAATCCACAAGTTTTCAACCCCACTTGGCAATTCTCTCCTCAATCTCACTGAACTGGGTGAAGTAGTAAACCAAAGGTGAACAATTTGAACAAAGCCCCAACAACTTCTACCATCAACAGGCAGAAGACCACAAGCTATACAAGGACCTCAAGAACTTCCTTAGTGCAGCTGAAGTGATGCATGAAAGTTCAAAAAGAGTATCAGAAACCCTGCAGGAAATCTACAGCAGTGAGTGGGATAGTCATGAGGAGCTGAAGGCCATCGTAGGGAATAATGATCTCCTTTGGGAAGACTACGAGGAGCAACTGGCTGACCAGGGTGTGAGGACCATGGAAAACTAATTTTTTATTTTTTGTAGAGATGAGGTTTCGCCATGTTGCCCAGGCTGGCCTTGAACTCATGCAATCCACCTGCTTCAGCCACCCAAAGTGCTGGGATTACAGGCTTGAACCACTGCACCTGGTGACAAAACTATTTTAAACTGGAGAGAAGTGGATGGAATCAATCAAAGGTTTGTTGAGCCTACTGTGTGCACTGATTCACTCATCCCACAAGTATTTATGGAGTGTCTGCTCTGTGAAGTCCCCATGCTGGGTGGGCCCTGCCTGAAGATGCACAAACTAACAACAGGGAATAATCCTGTTGACATGGAGTTTACTGGGCAGGACAAACTTATATCAAACACCGGCTATTATTGTGTCTGTGGATGGATCATCCTGACATCTTGGTATTTCAGTTGCTGAGTGGTGATTGTATAATTTTTGTGATTTTTATGTCTTTTGTGAGGAGGATGGGCAAATAGGTACAATTTTACCATGTATTATTTTGGAAGTTGGGAGGATAAATGAAAGAGATGAAAGATAGGTTAATTGGTTTGCATATTTAACAGTAGCTTACAGGAAAAAGGAGTTAAAATGAAAGGTCAAAATGAGAATTAAAGAGAAATGTATATTGATGCTATGCATGCTCTCCTGGTTTTCCAACAGCAGTTTAATGGAAAATCAGAAACAATTTTACCACTTTACAATAGTTAAACAAAGAAAACATTACCAAGAACAAAACCCTCCCTCTGCTACCTTGAGCCCACTTGTCTCCCCTCTTGCTGGTGTCTCTTTCTCCCACAGACAACACTTTCCAGTCCTGGCACTCCTACAGTATGTCAACAGAAATAAAAGTGTGTGCCCAGCAGCTACAATTAGCTAGTCACAGAGATTGTGAAAACCCATTCAACTCCCTGGTTTAGACTAAGTGGCATTTTAAATATATCTGTGGTACTAGAGGAAAAGCAGGCAGGAACAAAGACGCCAGTACTGTCTCCAAATAAGAACAAGGCTTCAGTGTCCCTCCACTGGGATAGCAAAAGGATTCAGGACCCTGACACACATGCACAGGTGTTTTCTTTTGCAGACCAATTTGGCCACATTTTGCTGTGCTTTGCATGGCACCGTGGAAATCAGTGTGGTCCCTTAGGAAAGAGGAATGGAAGATCTGTCAGGAAACCTGGATTCTGGAGCCAATGCTGTGACTTCCTTGAGGCTTCTAAGTCTCAACTTTTCTGCCAAGTGAGGACAGTAATGTTCAACTTCTTACCTCTCAGCACAGAAATGAAAATTAAATGGGTTAATATGTCAAAGTGATTTTTCAAATCGTAAGGAATGATACCTATAGGAATCATTAACACTGAATGACATTGTTGAATATCAAAAGTTTTTCAATGCAAAATAAGGCAACTACATAAGAGTTTATTATACACGATTATGCTGCAAATCTCTGCACTGCTGCAGAGGTTATCTAGCACTTGAAGAGGTACTGTTTGAGGCTGGTGGAGCCAAAACCACTGACAATGATAAATCTACAGTGTCAGAGGAAAGGACAACACAGGAACTAATGATATTGCAAAAGGTGCTGAGTAGTCAGCATAACCAAATCCAGATGTCCATGGAAGAAGGGCAGGGGGCATTTCTGACAATTGAAATTTACAAACCAGCCCTGAGCCACCATCAAGTGAAAGACGTCTCTCCCCTTCCTACCATATGGCCAGAGTGACTTACAGGTAGTTCAACCATGGGACAGGTTTGGCCTCATTGCTTTCCTTGCTCACCTGGCACATAAAACTAATAAAAATTATTGCTGGAAACAATCCAAATGTCCCTGACTGATGAATGGATGAGCAAAATTTGGCACATCTCTATAATGGAATATTATTCAGCCATAAAAAGGAATGACGTACTGATACATACTACAGTGTGGATGGATCTTGAAAATACGTGCTAAGTGAAAGAAGTCAGATACTATGTGACTGGTAAGATACATAATGTGTGACACAAAAGGCAACATATTATGTGACTCCATCTGTATGATATGTCCAGAACAGGCAAATCCTAGAGACAGAAAGCAGATTGGTGTCACCTAATGCTGGGGAGTTGGGGGAAAACAAGAGCAACTGCCAATAGCAGGTGTTAAAAATTATCTAAAAATTGATTGTGACAATTGTTGCACATATCTGTGAATATACTAAAAACGATTGAATTGTGTACTTTAAATGGGAAACTTGCAATTTTTTTTTTAAGTCACGTTCCCTCTCTGACCTGTTCCTAACTAACACTGGCATTCTCTGGCCAAGGCCAACAGCATCACACAGTTAAATCCACTCTCTCCCATTAGTGCTCCTATGAAGAGATGGCTGTGTGTGCAGGGGCAGGGCTCTGAAACCTTATCGCAGACCCATGCTGCAGTTCTCAGGCGAGGCTTCCTCAGGGCACTTTTAATAGTCTGTCTTCCTTCAAGCCTCTATTAAATTAGAACAATTTAGGTATTTTGGTTTCTCTGTTTTCTTTCATGGTCTTCTCAGAATCAGATTAGAGAGACAAAAATAAACAAACTCTCTGCTTTTCAAAACCAATGACTATTTAAAATGGATCTGTCTCGGTTAGGGACAGACAGCCTTGGTCCCAACCAGTAGCCACTAGCTGACATTTCTGCACAAACCCACAGTTATCACCTTTGCTCTTACTTATGCCTTATGATGTTTCCCATTTACCCAAAATAGGTCATTCTTATTACTCTCTCTCATGGGCTCTTCTCTTTCTTAGCAGTTTTGTGTGGGTGTTTGCTTATATCCCCATATCCCATCCTCCCCCCATCCCACCGCGCTGCTCCATAGCCTGCAAGGGTTACCACAGTGTAGCAGCTCTGACAGTGAAGTTCACATTACTGGCCCCAGAACCTGGCACAGACAAGACCTCCAATAAACATTTACTGAAGACATAATAAAGCCCTCAGAGTGCTGCTTTGGAGGTGAGCCATGATCAAGATTGCCTCATTTCCTTTAAGTAATAAGTAATATTTAGTCAAAAGAGTCTGAGCTCCTCCACCTGTCCTTAAACCAATTTGTAGTGAGCACACATTTTCTCCCAAGTGTTCTTCCCTTTGGAGACCACCCATCATCTATGGAGTCTTGAGGGGTTGGTCATTTGGCCCCACACCTGGTCAATGATATGGCCAGTGGTTGTTATTCTGGCCACTTTGATTGGCTAAAGGTTGGGCACATGACCAAAACTTGGGAGATTGGAGTCCTCTTGAAACATCTCCACCAGCACTTTCAGGAGAGATGTTCTAAGACAGAGTTTCTCAATATCAGCGCTCTTGACATTTTGTTCTGGATAATTGTCTGTTATGGGAGCTGTCTTGTACATTCTAGGATGTTCAGTAGTATTCCCAATAGATGCCAGTAACAAGCCCCAGTTGTGACAACCAAAAATATTTCTAGACATTGACAAATTTCCATGGGGGTGGGGTGCAAAATTAACCCTAGTTAGGAACCACTGCTGTAAGATGTGCCAGTGAGGACAAAATAAACTGGACTTGCCTGCATCTGTGCTCCTTGTGGCTCCCTGGAAGGAAGCTTCCATGGAGAAGCCATCTGCAACAAGAGAAGTTGAAGTCAGCAGAAAAAGAGAAAGAAAGCTGAGATGTGGAGAAAGAGACCTAATAATATCTGTTAAATTTCACTTGAATTTGATTTTGGGGGGTTACTTGCAACTAAAGTAGACTCTTGACATATATAATCCATCCATCACCTTAATCCATAACAATCCAGTTTTTCTTCTAGAAACCCATTTGCCTATTCTAACCGAATAAGATGAGCTGGTCAAAAATGTCCATGATTAGGAAAAAAAAAAAAAAAGCAGACATGAAAACCTCCTGCCCATCCTTGGATACATCTTGATCAACTTTTGCATTCTTCATACCTGTTTTAGCACAGTGTGGGACACAAAGTAGCTATCATCCAAAGGAGGTAAGAAAATTTCCTGGCACTGCTGTAACAAATTATCACCAATCGAGTGGCTTAAAGGAGCAGGAATGTATTCTCTCACAGTTCTGGAGGCCAGAAGTCTGAAATCAAGGTGTCAGCAGGATTGTTTTTCTCTGGAGACTCTGAGAGAAGCCTTTTTTGGTTGTCACAACTGAGGCTTGTTACTGTCATCTACTGGGAATGCCTCTGCTCCATGCCTTTCCTAGCTTCTGGTAGTTACCAGCAGTCCTTGGTGTTCTTTAGCTTGTAGCTGTGCTGTTCCATCTCCACTCTCATCATCACACGACCATCTTTCCTGTGCACCTCTGTGTATGAGAGTCCTCTCCTCTTATGAGAACATCAGACACTGGACTTAGGACCCACCCTATCTAGTATGACTTCATCTTAACTAATTAAATACACAAAGACCCTATTTCCGAATAAGGTCACATTCTGAGGTTCCAAGTGAATGTGAGTTTGGGAGGATGCTATTAAACCCTGTGCAGATGGCAGAACAATACCTTATATTTGCAGAAAACTTTACAGTTTCTAAAGCATTTTTAAGAAAAGAAATAGGGCAGACAGTTATGCAAGTCCCATTTTTTCAGGGAGGCCCTGATGATAAGTGAAGAACACTGAGCTCCATAGAGTGAGCTAGAGAACCACCTGACACCACCAGCTGGGAGACTGGAAATGAGCTGGACATCCCAACTGCAGACCACTATCCCTCTCTTCTGTACTCTGCCTCAGTTTTATCTGCAGCCTCAGCTCAGGGATCTAAAAGCTTACTACCTTGTTTTAAGAGCCATCTGAATTTCCATTTGGAATTCTATCCAAAGCAATACACCACCAAAGCCAGCCAAAGAAGCTGCTATTTATTTTTCCAGTTTATTTTGCAACATGGGCATACATCTTTTAATGCATATATTAATCAAACTGCTTTCTAGATGCTTTGACCCAGAAGCTAAGTTCAAAGACTCCAGCAAGGCACTGGCAATGGCAGCCAGAATCTTGGCATTTGACGGTTATTACATATCAAGGGTCTTTGTTCTCATGTGATCACTAGCAGTAGCTCCTGGATGGAAGCAAATGAAAAAATAGAGGTAACTTTGCCTTGCTTCATGGACATATCCTGGAGTAACAAAACTCAGCATCACTAGAGAATCTTGGAACATTCAAGAGTTCTTTAAAATAAAATAACTCATGACTTCATGATCATAATATAATATGGCAGGACTAAAATCTAAACTGAAGCTAAAAGTAGAGTTCTGGGAACACATTTTGAAGCACGGTCATTTTTACCTCCAGTTATCAGTGATAATCATTTGAAGTGTTGGATTATCTCCAATCATTCTTGCTTTCCAGTAAGAAATAGGACTTGAATTTCATTTGTCAGAAGGGACTCTGTTTTCTCTCTACTTACTGTCAGTATCTAGCCAACTGAAGAATTTGACAGAGTGTTAATTCTCGCTAAGATATACTGTCCTTAGGTAGCAGTTATTCATCAAAGCAAGACTACAAATAGCACTTTAAGTGAGGATTTACTAAAGTCAGTTTTCGCATTGTAGACATTAGTGCTGCCTATGTCTACGTTTATCTAGAGTTAGGATGACAGATGGGAACCATGTTTTCCCTAGGATCCAGTCCCAGAAGTTATGGTGTAAGCTTGGGAGGAAGACATGAAGGCAAGCTCATTGAGTTGTGCAGACAGATGAATCATTTGTTGGGATTCAGGGCTCCATTTTACATTTACTCCCCACATGGACAGATAAATTTGTTCTTGACGCTCTGGACAGGGGCAGCCCATCCTCACAGCTCTGATCAATTTGCACCAAGAGGGTGAGAAGTCACAAGACACTCAGAGTTGCTGGGCTATTTCACTGACCACCGACAGCCTCTCTCTCTCTCTCTCTCTCTCTCTCTCTGGGTTTGTTTTGTTTTGTTTTGTTTTGTTTTTTTGAGGACTGTGGCTTCTGAGACCCCTGATTCCAAGTAATCCAGATCAGAAATATCTTAAGAGCCCCCATTCAGTGAGCTGGTTCTTTTTGCCTTCCAAAGACCTGTTGTCAGCAAACAAAATACCCTCGCCAAAATAAATGATATTTTTATATGCAGGACTTTAATCACCTGAATCAGGAAAAAAAAGTTTATCTCTCCCTAACCTAAAAACCCACCAAACTATATCAAAACTACCAAACATCCATTACTGAGCTGTGAAGAGCACATATTTGGTCTTGAGCTATAATGTGTAATTCAAGCTTTAAACACACGTGTGCTTACGTAAAACTCTATAACCACCCCCCAGAAGATTTTATGCCATGAGTACACCTTTCACAACACTGTTAATTCATTACTTTTATTTTTTTCTTTGAATAAAAGAGGAATGCAAGTAGAAAACTGAGTTGTAAACAAAATTTTAAATCTCAAAACAGAATTCCGAAGATAAAGTTGATAATTCTGCCATGAGAATAATATGTAATTGTCAATAATTTGGGTGATGAGGAAATGTAGAAACTTCCACACAAGAAGAGAGTATGAGTCAACAATTTACAAAGTTGAAGTCTAAAAGAAATGCTGTGTCAAAATTTGTAACACCCTGAAGTAAATGGAGAAGGTCGACATGAGCTCATTTACCATAATCTGAGCTGTGAGAACAAGGGTCTCATCATCTTCATCGTTGGTGGTTCTCAAACAAATGGAAGATTTTAACAAGACTGTGCAGGCTGAAATTCTAAACAGATTTAATACAGTTAGGCTTCAGGTTAATATGCAGGATGCTGAGAGTACTGCAGTGGAATGAAAGAAAAGTTCGGGATGGCTGGGAGAAAGTGTAGGTCACACTTGTTTTGAGAATTTGGTGTGAAAAGACTGTCATTAGCAAAGACAAAAACCTGTGAAGAATAAACCATAGGTTCAACAGAAAATGATATAAATTTCTTTTTTTTTTAAAAAAAAAAACACCTTTTTGTGGTACCTCTCACTCCTACACACAACACTCAAGGGTCCTATCACCTTTCATAATCTTGGACAAATCAGGTCATCCAGATGGATTTCAGTTATGCATGTGTACACAGTGAAAGGTTGAATAATCTCTAAGGATACTTTGAGCCCTGACATTCTATGCTCTTATTCTTTAGAATCATTTTGGAATACTGGAACAATGACAGACCCTGGAATAAGAGAGACAAGTATTTAAATCCTAGTTCTCTTCCTTAATAGCTGTTCACTTTTGAATAACTACTAAGTTGTTCAAAACTATGTAAGTTTATTGAGCTCAAATTTCTTAACTGAAAAATAAAAACAAGAATCCATCTCACAGGATTTTATGAAGATTAGCTCTAACATATATAATATACCTAGCCCAGTGCCTGGCACCCAGTGCACAGTCAACATTAGCCTTTTAGATCATCCTGCTCACCAGTTCCCCTTCCCAGCTTTCTTCACATCTTACTGAATAGACTTGCTTCCCAATACAACATCACACATCCCATATAAATACCTCTTTTCATCATGCTAACTTTGTAATCATTTTGTTAGCCCTATTTTAGTTGATCAACTTTATGCAAATCCCAAAACAAATGCCCAGCAAATTATGAGCCAGTTTCATAATGTTAGAGTCCAAAGGGAAGGGAAGACATAAAAGTCTGCACTAAAAACCATGGCTCTTCCATGGCTATGGCAAACTACAATGGAAACAGATTTCACAGTTTGGAAATTATCAGAGGCAAAATAGACCATTTGAGCTCTGGGAAAAGCATTTCAACCCCGAAGGATAAGAACAAAAGGAAAACAGTAACTACAACAAATGGCCAAATCCAAAGGTTCCTTTTTACCTGGGTTGAAGCACAGAAACCTAGAGGTGAAAGGGATGACAGCTAATCCAGACTCCTTGTTCTATAGATGGAGAAATTGCTTGCCCACTCATTTCTTAGGCCCATACAGCACCTTCTGTGAAGGCACAGTAGCCTGAATTTCTTGCACACAGGGACATAAGATTTCCTATGTGTTAGTGTGAGTGTCTACCACCTTATTAAGAAAGAAGACCCAGATTACTGTTCAAAAGCAAGTGGTTAAGAACTATCCAGGTGTGAGAGCCAAGATGGCCGAATAGGAACAGCTCCGGTCCACAGCTCCCAGCGTGAGCGACAAAGAAGACGGGTGATTTCTGCATTTCCATCTGAGGTACCGGGTTCATCTCACTAGGGAGTGCCAGACACTGGGCACAGGTCAGTGGGTGCAGCACACCATGCACGAGCTGAAGCAGGGTGAGGCATTGCCTCACTCAGGAAGTGCAAGGGGTCAGGGAGTTCCCTTTCCTAGTCAAAGAAAGGGGTGACAGACGGCACCTGGAAAATCGGGTCACTCCCACCCGAATACTGCGCTTTTCTGACGGGCTTAAAAAATGGCGCACCAGAAGATTATATCCCGCACCTGGCTTGGAAGGTCCTATGCCCACGGAGTCTCACTGATTGCTAGCACAGCAGTCTGAGATCAAACTGCAAGGTGGCAGCAAGGCTGGGGGAGGGGCACCTGCCATTGCCCAGGCTTGCTTAGGTAAACAAAGGAGCCGGGAAGCTCCAACTGGGTGGAACCCACCACAGCTGAAGGAGGCCTGCCTGCCTCTGTAGGCTCCACCTCTGGGGGCAGGGCACAGACAAAGAAAAAGACAGCAGTAACCTCTGCAGACGTAAATGTCCCTGTCTGACAGCTTTGAAGAGAGCAGTGATTCTCCCAGCATGCAGCTGGAGATCTGAGAAGGGGCAGATTGCCCCCTCAAGTGGGTCCCTGACCCCTGACCCCTGAGCAGCCTAATGGGGAGGCACCCCCCAGTAGGGGCAGACTGACACCTCACACGGCCGGGTACTCCTCTGAGACAAAACTTCCAGAGGAACGACCAGACAGCAGCATCCTCAGTTCATGAAAATCCATTGTTCTGCAGCCACCACTGCTGATACCCAGGCAAACACAGTCTGGAGTGGACCTCCAGCAAACTCCAACAGACCTGCAGCTCAGGGTCCTGTCTGTTAGAAGGAAAACTAACAAATAGAAAGGACATCCACACCAAAAACCCATCTGTACATCACCATCATCAAAGACCAAAAGTAGATAAAACCACAAAGATGGGGAAAAAACAGAGCAGAAAAACTGGAAACTCTAAAAAGCAGAGCGACTCTCCTCTTCCAAAGGAATGCAGGTCCTCACCAGCAATGGAACAAAGCTGGACGGAGAATGACTTTGACAAGCTGAGAGAAGAAGGCTTCAGATGATCAAACTACTCCGAGCTACAGGAGGAAACTCAAACCAAAGGCAAAGAAGTTAAAAACTTTGAAAAAAGTTTAGACAAATGTATAACTAGAATAACCAATACAGAAAAGTGCTTAAATGAGCTGATGGAGCTGAAAACCAAGGCTCAAGAACTACGTGAAGAATGCAGAAGCCTCGGGAGCTGATGTGATCAACTGGAAGAAAGGGTATCAGTGATGGAAGATGAAATGAATGAAATGAAGTGAGAAGGGAAGTTTAGAGAAAAAAGAATAAAAAGAAATGAACAAAGCCTCCAAGAAATATGGGACTATGTGAAAAGACCAAATCTACATCTGATTGGTGTACAATCAGATTGGTGTACTACATGTGAAAGTGACGGGGAGAGTGGAACCAAGTTGGAAAACACTCTGCAGGATATTATCCAGGAGAACTTCCCCAATCTAGCAAGGCAGGCCAACATTCAGATTCAGGAAATACAGAGAATGCCACAAAGATACTCCTCGAGAAGAGCAACTCCAAGACACATAATTGTCAGATTCGCCAAAGTTGAAATGAAGGAAAAAATGTTAAGGGCAGCCAGAGAGAAAGGTCGGGTTACCCACAAAGGGAAGCCCATCAGACTAACAGCGGATCTCTCAGCAGAAACTCTACAAGCCAGAAGACAGTGGGGGCCAATATTCAACATTCTTAAAGAAAAGAATTTTCAAACCAAAATTTCATATCCAGCCAAACTAAGCTTCATAAGTGAAGGAGAAATAAAATCCTTTACAAACAAGCAAATGCTGAGAGATTTTGTCACCACCAGGCCTGCCCTAAAAGAGCTCCTGAAGGAAGCGCTAAACATGGAAAGGAACAACTGGTACCAGCCACTGCAAAATCATGGAAACTGTAAAGACCATCGAGGCTAGGAAGGAACTGCATCAACTAACAAGCAAAATAACTGGCTAACATCATAATGACAGGATCAAATTCACACATAACAATATTAACTTTAAATGTAAATGGAATAAATGCTCCAATTAAAAGACAGACTGGCAAATTGGATAAAGAGTCAAGACCCATCAGTGTGCTGTATTCAGGAAACCCGCCTCACATGCAGAGACACACATAGGCTCAAAATAAAAGGATGGAGGAAGATCTACCAAGCAAATGGAAAACAAAAAAAGGCAGGGGTTGCAATCCTAGTCTCGGATAAAACAGACTTTAAACCAACAAAGATCAAAAGAGACAAAGAAGGCCATTACATACTGATAAAGGGATCAATTCAACAAGAAGAGCTAACTATCCTAAATATATATGCACCCAATACAGGAGCACCCAGATTCATAAAGCAAGTCCTGAGTGACCTACAAAGAGACTTAGACTCCCATTCAATAATAATGGGAGACTTTAACACCCCACTGTCAACATTAGACAGATCAACGAGACAGAAAGTTAACAAGGGTACCCAGGAATTGAACTCAGCTCTGCACCAAGCGGACCTAATAGACATCTACAGAACTCTCCACCCCAAATCAACAGAATATACATTTTTTTCAGCACCACACCACACCTATTCCAAAATTGACCACATACTTGGAAGTAAAGCTCTCCTCAGCAAATGTAAAACAGAAATTATAACAAACTATCTCTCAGACCACAGTGCAATCAAACTAGAACTCAGGATTAAGAAACTCACTCAAAACCACTCAACTACATGGAAAATGAACAATCTGCTCCTGAATGACTACTGGGTACATAACGAAATGAAGGCAGAAATAAAGATGTTCTTTGAAACCAACAAGAACAAAGACACAACATACCAGAATCTCCGGGACACATTCAAAGCAGTGTGTAGAGGGAAATTTATAGCACTAAATGCCCACAAGAGAAAGCAGGAAAGATCCAAAATTGACACCCTAACATTGCAATTAAAAGAACTAGAAAAGCAAGAGCAAACACATTCAAAAGCTAGCAGAAGGCAAGAAATAACTAAAATCAGAGCAGAACTGAAGGAAATAGAGACACAAAAAACCCTTCAACAAATTAATGAATCCAGGAGCTGGTTTTTTGAAAGGATCAACAAAATTGTTAGACCGCTAGCAAGACTAATAAAGAAAAAAAGAAAGAAGAATCAAAAAGATGCAATAAAAAATGACAAAGGGGATATCTCCACCAATCCCACAGAAATACAAACTACCATCAGAGAATACTACAAACACCTCTACGCAAATCAACTAGAAAATCTAGAAGAAATGGATAAATTTCTCAACACATACACCCTCCCAAGACTAAACCAGGAGGAAGTTGAATCTCTGAATAGACCAATAACAGGATCTGAAATTGTGGCAATAATCAATAGCTTACCAACCAAAAAGAGTCCAGGACCAGATGGATTCACAGCCAAATTCTACCAGAGGTACAAGGAGGAACTGGTACCATTCCTTCTGAAACTATTCCAATCAATAAAAAAAGAGGGAATCCTCCCTAACTCATTTTATGAGGCCAGCATCATCCTGATACCAAAGGCGGGCAGAGACACAACCAAAAAAGAGAATTTTAGACCAATATCCTTGATGAACATTGATGCAAAAATCCTCAACAAAATACTGGCAAACTGAATCCAGCAGCACATCGAAAAGCTTATCCACCATGATCAAGTGGGCTTCATCTCTGGGATGCAAGGCTGGTTCAATATAAGCAAATCAATAAATGTAATCCAGCATATAAAGAGAACCAAAGACAAAAACCACATGATTATCTCAATAGATGCAGAAAAGGCCTTGGACAAAATTCAACAATCTTCATGCTAAAAGCTCTCAATAAAATAGATATTGATGGGACGTATCTCAAAATAATAAGGGCTATTTATGACAAACCCACAGCCAATATCTTACTGAATGGGCAAAAACTGGAAGCATTCCCTTTGGAAACTGGCACAAGACAGGGATGCCCTCTCTCACTACTCCTATTCAACATAGTGTTGGAAGTTCTGGCCAGGGCAATTAGGCAGGAGAAGGAAATAAAGGGTATTCAATTAGGAAAAGAGGAAGTCAAATTGTCCCTGTTTGCAGACGATATGATTGTATATCAAGAAAACCCCATTGTCTCAGCCCAAAATCTACTTAAACTGATAAGCAACTTCAGCAAAGTCTCAGGATACAAAATCAATGTACAAAAATCACAAGCATTCTTATACACCAATAACAGACAAACAGAGAGCCAAATCATGAGTGAACTCCCATTTACAATTGCTTCAAAGAGAATAAAATACCTAGGAATCCAACTTACAAGGGACGTGAAGGACCTCTTCAAGGAGAACTACAAACCACTGCTCAAGGAAATAAAAGAGGATACAAACAAATGGAAGAACATTCCATGCTCATGGGTAGGAAGAATCAATATCGTGAAAATGGCCATACTGCCCAAGGTAATTTATAGATTCAATGTCATCTCCATCAAGCTACCAATGACTTTCTTCACAGAATTGGAAAAAACTACTTTAAAGTTCATATGGAACCAAAAAAGAGCCTGCATCGCCAAGTCAATCCTAAGCCAAAAGAACAAAGCTGGAGGCATCACGCTACCTGACTTCAAACTATACTACAAGGCTACAGTAACCAAAACAGCATGGTACTGGTACTAAAACAGAGATATAGATCAATGGAACAGAGCACAGCCCTCAGAAATAACGCCGCATATCTACAACTATCTGATCTTTGACAAACCTGACAAAAACAAGCAATGAGGAAAGGATTCCCTATTTAATAAATGGTGCTGGGAAAACAGGCTAGCCATATGTAGAAAGCTGAAACTGGATCCCTTCCTTACACCTTATACAAAATTAATTCAAGATGGATTAAAGACTTACATGTTAGACCTAAAACCATAAAAACCCTAGAAGAAAACCTAGGCATTACCATTCAGGACATAGGCATGGGCAAGGACTTCATGTCTAAAACACCAAAAGCAATGGCAACAAAAGACAAAATTGACAAATGGGATCTAATTAAACTAAAGAGCTTCTGCACAGCAAAAGAAACTACCATCAGAGTGAACAGGCAACCTACAAAATGGGAGAAAATTTTTGCAACCTACTCATCTGACAAAAGGCTAATATCCAGAATCTACAATGAACTCAAACAAATTTACAAGAAAAAAACAAACAACCCCATCAAAAAGTGGGCAAAGGACATGAACAGACACTTCTCAAAAGAAGACATTTATGCAGCCAAAAAACACATGAAAAAATGCTCATCATCACTGGCCGTCAGAGAAATGCAAATCAAAACCACAATGAGATACCATCTCACACCAGTTAGAATGGCAATCATTAAAAACTCAGGAAACAACAGGTGCTGGAGAGGATGTGGAGAAACAGGAACACTTTTACACTGTTGGTGGGACTGTAAACTAGTTCAACCATTGTGGAAGTCAGTGTGACGATTCCTCAGGGAGGGATCTAGAACTAGAAATACCATTTGATCCAGCCATCCCATTACTGGGTATATACCCAAAGGACTATAAATCATGCTGTTGTAAAGACACATGCACACGTATGTTTATTGCAGCACTATTCACAATAGCAAAGACTTGGAACCAACCCAAATGTCCAACAATGATAGACTGGATTAAGAAAATGTGGCACATATACACCATGGAATACTATGCAGCCATAAAAAATGATGAGTTCACGTCCTTTGTAGGGACATGGATGAAATTGGAAATCAGCATTCTCAGTAAACTATCGCAAGAACAAAAAACCAAACACCGCATGTTCTCACTCATAGGTGGGAATTGAACAATGAGAACATATGGACACAGGAAGGGGAACATCACACTCTGGGGACTGTTGTGGGGTAGGGGGCGGGGGGAGGGATAGCATTAGGAGATATACCTAATGCTGAATGACAAGTTAATGGGTGCAGCACACCAGCATGGCACATGTATACATATGTAACAAACCTGCACATTGTGCACATGTACCCTAAAACTTAAAGTATAATAATAATAAAATAAAATAAAAAAAGAACTATCCAATTACTGACAATTTAGATAATATATGCATACATAAATTATGTATGTGCATTTTGTATGTGTGTATATAGTGCAAATGTATTTAATATATAAATAACAGTTCTATCTTTATAAGATAGGTTCAAATAGAAACCCTAAAGGTACTACAATAAAAATTAATGTTTTTGTGGAAAATTTCAATTCTGAAGCATTCTCCAGATATTTTTAAATGCAACATTAATCCACATGCTCCGGGAGTCAAGACAGAGCCCCCAAGCTCAAATAATCCAGAAAAGGTCACCTTCTCTACTCTCACATCACCCTTGACAGGAGTGAAAAAGAAGCAACAGAATGCTGCATGCATGTGGCATGAGGCCCACACCTCCAAAAAACACAGCCCAGGCCCATGAATTGCTTGGAAACCATGAAGTCTGAGCCCATCATGCCCTTCATCACTTTTCCCATCTGTTACAAAGTCTACTAGGTTATCCATCATCCCGACTCTAATCTCTGAATTATTTTGGGCACTGAGGCAATTCCCCACCATCATGCTTCCTCCCCAAAATTTCTATTTGGTTTTTAATTAAACTACTTTATGTCACTTTACTGATATTCTCTATTTGGTGACAGCTCATTCTCATATTTTTCTTTGATTCTTTAGACATAATTTCCTTCAGTTATTTGAACATATTTAAAATAGCTGATGTAGAGTCTTTGTATAGTAAGTCTAATGTCTGAGCTTCCTCAGGGACAATTTCTATTGATTGCTTTTTCTCTTGTGTGTGAGCCATACTTTCTTATTTATTTCAATGTTATATAATTTTTTGTTGGAAATTGGACATTTTAAATAACATAGCATGGGAACTCTGGAAATCAGATATTTTTCTCTTTCCAGGATTTGTTGTTGTTGCTGCTGTTGTTGCTGTTTGTTTATTCAGTGACTTTTCTGAAGTAATTCTATAAATACTGCATTCGTTGTCATGTGTGGCTGCTGAAGTATCTGCTTGGTAAGCGTAGTGATCAGCTACTAAGTAGACAGATATTTTCTTTAATGTATGAAATCAATAAGTCTTTACCAAGAAACTCCGTATGCATCTTCAGAGAGGCCTTCAACACTCCGTCAGTCAGTTTACAACTCTGCTTTAGCACTTACCTCCTGCCTGTGCACAGCCTTAAGGTCAGTTAGAGGTGAGAGCACAAGTCCTTCTCAAGTCTCTCCTGGGCATGTGCACAGCCTTACACATGAGCATGGCCTTCTAGATTCCCAGGAATGTGCAGGACCTTTTTAAAATGGCTTTTGGTCATTTCATTTCCCAGATTTTCCTTTTAAGCTTTTTGATTGGGCTACTGTTTGGTCAAACTGTTATCTATCACCTCAGGTTGCTAGGATATTTAACAATTGCCATTGATTGTTTTTGACAAATCCTCCCGGAGAAAGCAGGCAAGCTCTGACTCAGGTTAAATAAAAACAAACATTGTGAGTGGGGCCTTCCATGAAACCACCAGACAGGTCAAATAATGACAATTCTCTGTCAATGGAGCTTTGAAAGGAGCTCCAAACACACTTTGCTCCCTCCAGAGACTGTCCAGCTGCTGGTTTTCACTGGCATCATGAGCTGTTATTTTTCAATACTACCACAGAGCTAGAGAGAACAGGATCAGAATAGGGCAAATTAAAATGCCACAAAGTCCATGATTTTATAAATATTTATCTAGTTTTCTTGTAAAAACCACTCTCTGGATTGCTGCAAACTTTTAATTAATTTACAGAGTTCTGGGGAAGCTGATCCTGACAAGTATGCCAGTGTTCTAATTGTTTTTATAAAGAAGAGGATTTTTGAAAGTCCTTACTCTGACATTCTCACTGATATCCCTCTGGGCTAGAGTACTGCCACAGCCATCTAATTGGTCCTAGTGCCTCCAGTCTGTCTTCTCTCCAATCTGTCTGTATAATGCTGCCAACGTAATGAATAATTCTAATGATGTCCTCCCTCGCTTAAAAACCTACAATGGTTTCCCATTCCCTTCACTAAAATTGAGATATTTTACTGTGGAACAAAAATTCTCCATGATCTGGTTCCCACCTACCTTGCTGGCTTCATCTCCCACAATTCACCTTATTTTCCAGTCAACTGGACTGGCTGTCATTCGCAGATCAAAATCCCTGGCTCCTTGGTGACGTGTCTGATCTTTTCAGCAAGAAGTTCTCTCTTTCCCCACCTTCTTCACTTCCAGAGACTTTCCACTGCTTTCATATGGCAGGGTAAAGTACATTTGGTGGCTCAAAACTCAATGGTTTTTTTCTATAATTTCAACTTCTATTTTAGATTCAGGAGGTACATGTACACATTTGTTACATGGGTATATTATATGATGCAGAGGTTTGGGATACAATTAAACCCATCACCCAGATGGTAAGCATAGTACCCAATAGGTAGTTTTTCAACTCTTGGCCTCCTTCCTACCTCCCCACTCTAGCAGTCTCCAGTGTCTATTGTTGCCATCTTTATGTCCATGAGTACCCAATGTTTATCTCTCACTTACGACAACATGCAGTAGTTAGTCTTCTGTTCCTGCATTGATTTGCTTAGGGTAACAGCTTCCAGCTGCTTCCACGTTGCTGCAAAGGACATGATTCTGTTCTTTTTTATGGCTGCAAAACCTCAGTGTTAGACCCAAAGACCCTTTAGTTAGACCCAAAGAATCTAGAATACTTTACAGACCTCATGATGGTACATTTGCATATATCCAGAATCTCCAATGATCTTAAAAAAATCAACAAGCAAAAAACAAATAATGCCATTGAAAAGTGGACAAAGGGCATGAATAGACACTTCTCAAAAGAGGACATACAGGTGGCCAAAAAAATATCAAAAAATGTTCAACATCACTAATCATCAGAGAAATGCAAATCAAAACCACAATGAGATACCATCTTACACCAATCAGAATGGCTATCACTAAAAAATTAAAAAATAACAGATGTTGGTGAGGCTGCAGAGGAAAGCGGATGCTTATACATGTTTGGTGGGAATGTAAATAAGTTCAGTCACTGTGGAAAGCAGTTTGGAGATTTATCAAAGAACTAAAAATAGAGCTACCAATCATCCCAGCAATCCCATTACTGGGTATATACCCAAAGAAAAATAGATCATTCTACCAAAAAGACACATGCACTCATATGTTCATCACAGCACTATTAACAGTAGCCAAGACATGGAATCAACCTAGGTGTCCATGAATGGTGGATTGGATAAAGAACACTTGATACATGGAATACAACGCACCCATAAAAAGAATAAAATCATGTCTTTTGCAGAAATATGGATGCAGCTGGAGGCCTTTATCCTAAGTGACTTAACACAGAAACAGAAAACCAAACACTACTTATACTCACTTATAGGTGGGAGCTAAACAATGGGTACACATGGACATAAAGCTGGGAATAAGAGACACTGGGGACTACAGAGGGAAGATGAGGAAGGGAGCCAAGTGTTGAAATCCTACCTACTGGGTACTATGCTCACTACCTGGCTGACAGATTTAATCGTACCCCAAACCTCAGCATCATGCAATATACCCATGTAACAAACCTGTACATGTGCTCCCAAATCTAAACTAAAAGTGGAAGTTGAAAAAAAAAGAAGGGGTAAGTTTGATATTTCATAGCAGATAGGATGACTATACTTTAAAAAAATGTGTTGTACTCAGGTGGCAAACACCCTAGATACACTGACTTGATCACTGCACATCGTATACATGTAAAAAATTTCTCATGTGCCTCATAAATTTGCACAAATTAAAAAAAAATTTATTAAAAAAATAGGGTAGTGACTAATGTGACATGAAACACAGCAAGACCCAAACCAGGGAACATGAAGATACACAATACCAGGGAAGAAATGGATTCCTTTAGCCTCTGAGGTAAGAGCTGGAGTTTCAGTGCAATGCCAAAATCAATTCTGAGGAATTTGAATGAGAGATTACCAAATGCTATGAAAAGCAGTTAAAAAGGTTCTAACTTTGAGATAAAGATCAAAGTTTAGGAACCTGGGAATCAGGGAGTAATAGGAAACAGGTGATCAGATTTTGCTGGGGAGGTCAGGGTTTATCTGGCCCTAAGCTGTTTTTAATGGACCAGGGACCATTGCAGGCCCCTCTAGCATCCGATAGATCTCTGCAACATGAATGGGTGGTGCTGGCTCACAGACTAGATGAGACCTTAATACAGACAAAAAGGAAGAAAGAAATTTACTCTACAATTCAATTATGCTAGTCAGTGGCACATTCCTTTCCCAAGTCACAAACACATTTACATGGTCTGAGATTGCAAGGCTGATATCTCAAAAATAAATTTCTCAAATGAAAGAAAATGGATTTTAAATTGCAGAGGTAACATTTCTATTTCATGCCATCTGTTATAACTCAAGTTTTTCCAGCTAATGGATTATTCATCAGAAACGATGAAAACATTTTTGAGATCAAAAGTATGTTATTGGAAAGAAAGATATTCAAAAATGTTAAGATAATTTAAAAGTATTTACTCAATATAGTTTTTCTCTTAAAACTTACAGATATTGATTATGCATCAGTGTACTTGGATAAACCAAAATGATGATATATTAAGCCCTTTCCTCAAATAAACCTAGAAATGTGAGTGAACATGTTATCTATTTTACAAATCTCTTTGCACTACTACTAAAGTGTGGGCAGTTACATGAAGAGAGTTCTACCCTGTAGATTCCCTTCAAACTCACATGATAGACAAAAGTAGCTGACCAAAGATTAGGAGACCCAGTTCCTGGTTATCTCTCTGTTTCCCCTCTGCAGACACAGTTAATCCCAGTGGTCTAATCTGATCAAAGCAAAAGTCTCAAAGTCCCTGGTTTCCATCCCAACCAATACTGACTGCTGATTTGTATCAGAAAACAATTAGGATTTCCTAAATTGGGGCTTGCACAAGTACCTCAGAATCAGAAGGAATCAAGACATTCAGTCAACTACATGGTGTGGTTAAGAACAAGACACAAACAAAAAATAGGACGAGATATCTACCATCAGCCTCCCTACATAATCAACACAGCAACGTTGCTCAGAGGAGAAAATGAGATTGCAGTAATATCTTGACTCTAATATCAACATACAGCCAACCAGAAACAAATGGTAGGGGAAGGCTTTCCCTAACATGATAGTTAGAAGGCAGCCATTGAGTGGTCTATCCTCATTCACCTCTGCTGACACTGATGTAGAAGCTCTCTCACCCACCTCCACTGCAGGCCTAGCCCTACCCACATAGTGAGCAAGTACCAAAGTCAACAAATGACTAACTGTAGCATTCTAGCTTAGGGCAATTCCTATGCTCACTTCATTAGACATCACAGGAGCCTCGCAATGGGAGACTAAACAAAGAGGTATAGGACTCTGGAAACCCCCAATTCACAGAAATGCATAAATGTCCTCCTCTAAGCAGGAGATAGACCTGGTGGCATCTATCTGGGTGTTGCCATCATGACTTCAACTTCTGATGTTCTTTTTCCTTTCTTTTATCAGTGATGGAATGATGGAAATTTATAGAAATAAGGAGTATAGGCATTTGGGATTGTATGCAGGTAAGCACCACCTTTGAAGGCTTCTAGGCTGTTGCCACACTCCAAAGCAATGGCTAGGCTTTGTCCCCACTCTGCCTTTCCTAGGAGAAAGTGATTGACACACTATCCTGTAGACTATAACTGTATTCTATGTATAATAAAGATTTACTACAATGGGAGGAGGTTTGCTAACACTTGCTGCTTTGCTGAACAAGTGTACCTGCTTTGCAAAACATTGACCTAGGCAAATGAAAGAACAGTGGCACGCTCCTGGAGTGCTGACTTCATTTTCCTTCACAATTTAAAGTCTACATTGTGGGTAATTTTAGCATTCATTATGAAAATGTGGCTACCTTTAAATATAATGCATTGAAAATAGCACAGGAAGCCAGATGTTTAAGTTGACATACTAAATCTGTAATTCTTTAATTGTATTATCTTAACTGTTTAATTGTATTATCTTGGTCACGTCTCTAAAATTCCTTGGCCTTTCTTTCTTCAAAATTAGGGTGACTGAAATGGATTAGTGATGCTTAAGACTGACTATACATTCGAATCACCTGTAAAAGTTACAAAAATCCCAGACACCACTGCTCAATCCAAACCGCTTACAGTACACATCTCTAGAGTGGGCACCTTGGACAAGCTTCAAGCTTCCTTTCCTTTTCTGTTTTACAATCTTTGAACTCAATGATAATTTTGAAAGCATTTATCCATTCAGTGGATGTGTATGAAGTGCCTATTATGTGCCAGGGTTTTATGAGGTGAATTGAGCCCTCACCCCTAATTCATACATTGAAGTCCTGACCCCAGTGCCTCAGAATGCGACTGTATTGTATTTGGAGATAATCTTTAAAAATTAATTAAGTTAAAATGTGGTCACTAAATCATTCTACTATAAAGACACATGCACAGATATGTTTATTGCAGGACTATTTACAATAGCAAAGACTTGGAACCAACCCAAATGCCCATCAATGGTAGACTGGATAAAGAAAATGTGTCACATATACACCATGGAATACTATGCAGCCATAAAAAAGAATGAGTTCATGTCCTTTGCAGAGACATAGATGAAGCTGGAAGCCATCATTCTTAGCAAACTAACACAGGAACAGAAAACCAAACACCACATGTTCTCATTCATAAGTGGGAGTTGAACAATGAGAACACATGGACACAGGGAGGAGAACATCACACACTGGGGCCTGTCAGGGGGTGGGGGGCTGGGGGAGGGAGAGCATTAGGAGAAATACCTAATGCACGTGGGGCTTAAAACCTGACGAGTTGATAGATGCAGCAAACCACCATGCCACATGTATACCTATGTAACAAACCTGCATGTTCTGCACATGTATCCCAGAACTTAAAGTAAAATAAAAAATAAAATAAAATGTGGTCACTAGGGTGGAACTAACTTAATATAACTTGGGTCCTTATAAGAAGAGAAGATTACACAAAGGAAGGCCACGTGAAGACATAGAGAGAAGACAGCCAAGGAGAGAGGCCTCAGAAGAAAACAACCCTGCTGACATCCTGATCTCAGACTTCTGGCCTCTAGAATTGTGAGGAAAGAAATTTCTGTTGTTTAAGCCACCCAGTCTGTGACGCTTTGTTAAGGTAGCCCTAACAAACTAATATAAAGGATAATATGCAAGATTCTAGGTATAGCATAGGGCAAAACACGGAAACAGGCCACCCCCCTGGCATTTACAGTTTAGCAAGGGTCAGATAAGAAAAAATTACAAATTATGCTAAGCCACGGGAACCTGTTACAAGGTGCTGTAACAGAATGCCAAGACAGGTAGTAGTTGGCTTACATTAGATGAAGTTGGTAGAGAAGGACTCTCTGAAGAAGTGATATTTATTAAAAGCTGTTAAGTTGAGACCTAAAGGCTGAGAATGAGACAGCCATGTGGCAGCGAAAGGAAAAGCCTTCCACTCAGAGAATCAGGAGAGGCAAAGGCCCAAGGTAAAAAGAAAATGTGTGTATTTGGGGAAGTGAAATGCCTCTGTGGCCAAAATGGAGTGAGTGATGAAGGGAGTGACGTGAAATGAGGTTGGGTAATTGGGAAAGGGGCCAGTCCGTTGAAATCCATGGTAAAGAGTTTGGATTTTATTTCAAAAAAAAAATTTTTTTTTTTTTAAAAAGCAAGGAGACTTTAAGCTCGGCTTCAGATAAACCATGTCTAATGGTACCATCTTTTTATTTAAATCACAAGGTTGTGGCCAAAGCATCGCCCCCACCTGGTTGCAGCGGACTACACCATCTTTCATTCTTTTGAGAGGTACAGAAGCCCCCTTTGTCAGGTTTAAAATTTACACAATGGACTGAGATGAACAGAATGTTACTTTTAAAATTTTCTAAACTTGAACACAAATTATGAGATCCTATTTTCGATAATGATAGAATACAAATTGACTCTCCTTTTTAAAAAAACAATTGAACACTTTTAAGCAGGAAATTGATGTTTATGTGTAATGGGAAGTAAAATAAGGTTCTTGCAGTCTCAGCTTTGGCTACAGCATCAAGATAATAGACACCATTTTTTGAAATTAAGCCCATGCTGATATTTCAAAGGGGTATTTTAAAAACCGCTTCAAGGACACCTAAGATCTGCTCCTACACTAAGTATATAAAATCAGGATTTGGAGATTTTTAAAAGATAGCTTATTCTTGTTTTTGCTGTTGCTTGGTTTTTGGGGGGTTTTGTTTGTTTGTTTTGTTTTTGCTTTTTCAGAATTTTTGGAGAAAGCTGTAGGAATGCTCTAAGTCCCACCATATATACATATATACATTGTCCAGAGCATCATATTTGTGCATTATATTAATGATATATCAATTTGACTGAATGAGCAAGAAGCAGCAAGTCTACTGGAAGCCTTATTAAGGTACCTGCATTCCAGACGATGGAAGATAAACCCTGAGGAAATTTAAGGCCTTAACTCATCCAGAAGGATTTTAAGGATCCAGTGGTCTGAGGCATGCGAGAACATCTTTAAAGTGGAGGATAAGACAAATACTACAAGATCTCACTTACATGTGGAATCTAAAAAAGTTGAGCTCATAGAGGCAGAGAGTAGAAACTTGGTTACGGGGGGCTGGGGTGGGGGTGCTGGAGAGCTATTAGTCAAAGGGTTCAAAATCTCAGTTAAACAGGAGGAATAAGTCCAGGCAATCTATTATATAATATCATAACCATAGCTAACAACAATGTATCGTATGCTTGAAAATAGCTAAAAGAGTAGATTTTAAGTGTTCTCAACACAAAAAAATGATAAATCTCTGAGGTAATGCATATGATAATTTAGCTTGATTTAGCCATTTCACAATGTATACATATAATCAAAACATCATACTTATACATCATAAATACATGTAATTGTATTAGTCAATTAAGAAATAAATGCTAAATATTTTAAAAATAAAAAAATAAAGTGAAGGACAAATTACATCTTGCATCTCCTACCACTAAGAAGGAACTGCAATGCCTAGCAGGCTTAGGTTGAACAACCATCCCAGTTTGCCTAGGTCAGGGGAATTTCTGGGACTCAGGATTTCCAGTGCTAAAGCTGGAACAATTCCAGGAAAACTTGCCTGGTTAGTCATCCTAGAAGACATCTTATTTTTTTAAAGCCACTTACAGTCAAGTATCTGTTTCTTGCAGCTGAAAACATTCTGACTTACACTATTTCAAAGTCTCAAAGAGAACCACCCCACCGCCCCTCGACCACCAAGTAATAACTCTGTAAATGTCTGTGGATTTAATTGAGCTCTGAGTTGAATTAGTTGTTACTGAGTTAAAAGAAGGGCATCTCTGTCAGTTATATCCTAAGTGTCTAGCACAATCCCCAGACCATAGATGGTGTTTGGCAAATATCTGCTTAAAGCCAGAATGGCTTCAGGATCTTAGCAAGCAAAAGGGAGACTTTAGGAGTCCACATGGAAGGCTGAAAATGAGAAAAACTAGTTCAGTGAAACTAAAGTTCTGGAAGAATCTTTCTGCTCAAATGGACAAGGAGGAAGCTGCCCCAGGCAGGGTCAGAGAAACAGACTCTGAAGAGGACTCTGGCCTCCTCTGGTGGCTCAGAGGGGAAGGCAGTGTGCCACTTAGGAGACTGTGCTAGGGAGGAGATGGGGAAGGGGAACGTAAAAGACAGCCACAAGAGATTTTCCTTAGCAAAAAGAGACAGAATATGATTTCTGGTAACTTTCCTAGTAAGAATTAAAGAGCTGAATCAAAGGAAATTAGAGGCTGTCTTATCTGTACTCATAGGAATGATGAGCTCCTAGGAGTGATGGCAAATGACAGCTCTCAGTAGAGTCTCATCTCCTTTGCTTGCCCTCAGCTAAAAGGGGCTGACTCACCCAAGGTCAAGCCCACATCCTGGAAGAAGCTTGTATTCAAAGATTTGTCCATGCAAACAGTATAGAGGCCCAAGGCCCTCAGTTCCACTAGGGGCAGCTCTGAAAGGCCATCCTGGCTTCAGAGCTCCCCACGGAACTGAGTGAGGCTTTTGTTTGACTGTACTGAAATCCAATAGCTTCTTGTCTTGCAGCAACTCTCTTTTCCTCATTGCCACAATGGTGTTGATCCAAGAGCATTTCCCATTGATTTGGGACATGCAAATCTCCTTCTTGGAGTCTGCTTATTAGTGTCAAAAACTGGGAAGAGTCTGAGATGTTTACCCTACTTGTAAGCTAACAAGTTCATAGATGCCAGCAGAAGACACAAGACTCCTGATTCAAGAAAAAAGAATGTTAGCTGACATGGTGGCACAACCCTGTAGTCCCAGCTACTTGGGAGTATGAGGTGGGAGGATTTCTTGAGCCTAGGAGTTCCAGGCTGTAGTGCACTACAATTTTTGCCTGTGAATACTTTTTTTAAAAAGAATGTTATTACTCATAGCATAGTAGTTAGCATGAACTTCTGCTTAAATTGATTTTTCTTGCTTCTCATATCCCACAGGTGATGCAGATTTCACAGTGGGTTTGCGTCACAGCTGAGAAACCCTCAGCTTAGGCAATCTCAATCTTTTAAAGACTGCTAGCAAATCTGCCTGTCCTTTGCCCCAGAGGGAGATATGACATTTATTATACTGGTCAGGAAACTGGACTTGGAGGCAGATACTGTCTCTATTTCCTACACCTCTTTGGATATAAACATTCTTAAATAGATAGTTCAGTACAGAGGCTAATAAAATATTATGTTATAGTTGAGTAAGCTGACAAATTGATAAATGTCCCATCAGCTCAAAATGTTAGACATCCCTGGACTCTAATTAGGGTTTGGGGATGGGAGGGTGACAATAGGGGGAGTATTTTCTTGGAAATCTCTAGAATTTCTTTTGCACAAAGAGCCACACTTTAAAACAATCAGCATTAAATTTTCTTGTATGTGTCACAGCTTAAGCTGGTTATGTAATAATTTTCACTTGTTGAGTCGTGAATGCATTACAGATGCTCAAAATAGCCTTTATTCTATTGTTGTTTCTTTTGTTTCCTTGAGTTTCAAGTGTTATTTAGCATCTTAAATGTTGCAAAGGTTTATTTTATCATTATTAATTATACTCTGAAGATTCAGTATTTTTGCACACTAGAATGAAGTACATTGTTGCTAAGTTCTGTACAATATGGTTTTTTCTTTTTCTATTTTAATTTTTCATTATTAATTTTTTATTTATAATTGACATATAATAGTTGTACATACTTATGGGGTACAGTGTGATGTTTCGGTGCATGTATACATTGTATAAGGATCAAATCAGGGTAATTATAATATCCATCACCTTAAACATTTATTAGTTATGTATGGTGATAACATTCAAAACCTCCTCTTCTTGTACAATATGTTTTTTAAGTTCATCATTTAGTTAAGTTTGCAGAACAGTCAAGAAGCATGTATCAACCCAGTTTTACATTGTAAAATAAAAATGACCAAGTCCATCAACACTATGAACAATACCCAATAGTTAGAAAAGGCAAGTCTTCCTTTAATGGACATATTGAGCCATTATCCTATGATGTAATGATGTTGCTTCTGTAGGATATTATTTAGCTATGTAAAAACAAAGTATGTTATTTGTTATTGGAGTTAAAACAGTCTCTAATTATGCACAGTTTGATATCAGTAATATAAAAGCAATCACGGTGCAATCAAGCAAAATGGCATTGTTGGCAGGTTCCACTTAATATTCCTAAATTACCACGTTGGCAAAAGTCAAGCATTTATGAGTGTTACTGCAAAGCCAATCAAATAGTCCATTTGCATGGTCCCCTTTGGTGTTTCTCAAAAGTTGATGCTCACACCCAGGGAGCATGGTTAGTTCACAGGGTTATTTTTCAGTTTACCTTCCTGAAGAAAATCTCCCAAGACTAGGGTATATCTTCCCGAAGTTCAATAGCATCCAAAATCACTTTTGCTGATCCCCAGTCTTTATTAATTTTTATTAATCAGAATTTGCAACTTCTTGCATAACCTTCAATTGTCAGACTAATAAATAATACCATTGTGAAAGTTCCATTAAATAGAGTACTCAGACAATTGTCTGCTCCAGTTAGTTCTATTTCCCAGTTAACAGGATAAACCAGAAATACACCTGAAAGAAATGTTTTTTTTTTGTTTTTTTTTTAAATATTATTATACTTTAAATTTTAGGGTACATGTGCACAATGTGCAGGTTAGTTACATATGTATACATGTGCCAGGCTGGTGGGCTGCACCCACTAACTCATCATCTAGCATTAGGTATATCTCCCAATGCTATCCCTCCCCCCTCCCCCCACCCCACAACAGTCCCCAGAGTGTGATGTTCCCCTTCCTGTGTCCATGTGTTCTCATTGTTCAATTCCCACCTATGAGTGAGAATATGCGGTGTTGGGTTTTTTGTTCTTGCGATAGTTTACTGAGAATGATGATTTCCAATTTCATCCATGTCCCTACAAAGGACATGAACTCATCATTTTTATGGCTGCATAGTATTCCATGGTGTATATGTGCCACATTTTCTTAATCCAGTCTATCGTTGGACATTTGAGTTGGTTCCAAGTCTTTGCTATTGTGAATAATGCCGCAATAAACATACGTGTGCATGTGTCTCTATAGCAGCATGATTTATAGTCCTTTGGGTATATACCCAGTAATGGGATAGCTGGGTCAAATGGTATTTCTAGTTCTAGATCCCTGAGGAATCGCCACACTGACTTCCACAATGGTTGAACTAGTTTACAGTCCCACCAACAGTGTAAAAGTGTTCCTATTTCTCCACATCCTCTCCAGCACCTGTTGTTTCCTGACTTTTTAATGATTGCCATTCTAACTGGTGTGAGATGGTATCTCATTGTGGTTTTGATTTGCATTTCTCTGATGGCCAGTGATGGTGAGCATTTTTTCATGTGTTTTTTGGCTGCATAAATGTCTTCTTTTGAGAAGTGTCTGTTCATGTCCTTTGCCCACTTTTTGATGGGGTTGTTTGTTTTTTTCTTGTAAATTTGTTTGAGTTCATTGTAGATTCTGGATATTAGCCCTTTGTCAGATGAGTAGGTTGCGAAAATTTTCTCCCATTTTGTAGGTTGCCTCTTTACTCTGATGGTAGTTTCTTTTGCTGTGCAGAAGCTCTTTAGTTTAATTAGATCCCATTTGTCAATTTTGGCTTTTGTTGCCATTGCTTTTGGAGTTTTTTTTTTTATGGTTTTAGGTCTAACATGTAAGTCTTTAATCCATCTTGAATTAATTTTTGTATAAGGTGTAAGGAAGGGATCCAGTTTCAGCTTTCTACATATGGCTAGCCTGTTTTCCCAGCACCATTTATTAAATAGGGAATCCTTTCCTCATTGCTTGTTTTTGTCAGGTTTGTCAAAGATCAGATAGTTGTAGATATGCGGTGTTATTTCTGAGGGCTCTGCTCTGTTCCATTGATCTATATCTCTGTTTTGGTACCAGTACCATGCTGTTTTGGTTACTGTAGCCTTGTAGTATAGTTTGAAGTCAGGTAGCATGATGCCTCCAGCTTTGTTCTTTTGGCTTAGGATTGACTTGGCGATGCAGGCTCTTTTTTGGTTCCATATGAACTTTAAAGTAGTTTTTTCCAATTCTGTGAAGGAAGTCATTGGAGCTTGATGGGGATGGCATTGAATCTGTAAATTACCTTGGGCAGTATGGCCATTTTCACAATATTGATTCTTCCTACCCATGAGCATGGAATATTCTTCCATTTGTTTGTATCCTCTTTTATTTCCTCGATGAACATTGATGCAAAAATCCTCAATAAAATACTGGCAAACCAAATCCAGCAGCACATCAAAAAGCTTATCCACCATGATCAAGTGGGCTTCATCCCTGGGATGCAAGGCTGGTTCAATATATGCAAATCAATAAATGTAGTCCAGCATATAAACAGAACCAATGACAAAAACCACATGATTATCTCAATAGATGCAGAAAAGGCCTTTGACAAAATTCAACAACACTTCATGCTAAAAACTCTCAATAAATCAGGTATTGATGGGACGTATTTCAAAATAATAAGAGCTATCTATGACAAACCCACAGCCAATATCATACTGAATGGGCAAAAACTGGAAGCATTCCCTTTGAAAACTGGCACAAGACAGGGATGCCCTCTCTCACCACTCCTATTCAACATAGTGTTGGAAGTTCTGGCCAGGGCAATTAGGCAGGAGAAGGAAATAAAGGCTATTCAATTAGGAAAAGAGGAAGTCAAATTGTCCGTGTTTGCAGATGACATGATTGTATATCTAGAAAACCCCATTGTCTCAGCCCAAAATCTCCTTAAGCTGATAAGCAACTTCAGCAAAGTCTCAGGATACAAAATCAACGTACGAAAATCACAAGCATTCTTATACACCAACAACAGACAAACAGAGAGCCAAATCATGAGTGAACTCCCATTCACAATTGCTTCAAAGAGAATAAAATACCTAGGAATCCAACTTACAAGGGATGTGAAGGACCTCTTCAAGGAGAACTACAAACCACTGCTCAAGAAATGTTTGTTAAAAAACCTTCATAAACATATAATGTACTTTAAAGATTTAATAAGTATCCTAGTAAAAAATAATAGCTAACACTATGGATTACTTGCCAGGGGCCAGTCACTGTCTTTATATATGTTAACGTATTTAAACTTCACAGCAAACCAAGGATGTAGCTACTATTTTTCTCTTCATTTTACTGACAAAATTATTAATTTCCTCAGATTAATTGAGGAATTAGGTGAAATGAATGGTGATATGGTTTGGGTATTTGCCCACTCCAAATCTCGTTGAAACATAATCCCCAGTTTTGGATATGGGGCCTGGTGGGTGGTGATTGGATCATGGGGGCAGATTCCTCATGAATGGCTTAGCGGCATCCCCTTGGTGTTGAGAGTACTTGCTCTGAGTTCATGTGGATCTGGTTGTTTAAAAGTGTGTGGCACCTCTCCACTCACTCTTTTGTTCCTTCTCTCACCATGTGAGATCTGTTCCCCCTTCACCTTCTGCCATGAATTTAAGCTTCCTGAGATCTTCACCAGAAGCAGATGCTGGAGCTGTGCTTTTACGTCTTGCAGAACCATGAGCCAACTAAACCTCTGTTCTTTATAAATTACCCAGCCTCAGGTATTTCTTTATAGCAATGCAAAAATGGCCTAATACAGAAAATTGGTACTGAGAAGTGGGGCATTGATATAAAGATACCTGAATATGTGGAAGCAACTTTTGAACTGAATAACAGGCACAGGTTGGAAGAGTTTGGAGGGCTCAGAAGAAGAAAAGAAGATGAGGGAAAGTTTGGAACTTCTTAGAGACTGGTTAAGTGGTTTTGACCAAAATGCTGATAGTGATATGGACAGTGAAGTCTAGGCTGATGATGTTTCAGATGGAAATGAGGAACTTATTGGGAACTGGAGCAAAGGTCATCCTTGTTATGCCATAGCAAAGAACTTGGCTGCATTGTGTTCATGTTTTAGGGATCTTGAAATTTAAACTTAAGAGTGATGGTTTAGGGAATCTGGTGAAGAAATTTCTAAGCAGCAAAGCATTCAAGATGTGACCTGGCTTCTTCTAACAACCTATGCTTAGATGTGGGAGCAAAGAAATGACTTAAAGTTGGAACTCATATTTAAAAAGGAAGCAGAGTGTGAAAGTTTGGAAAATGTTCAGCCTAGCCAGTGCTATAAAAGAAAAGCCCGTTTTCAGGGAAAGAATCCAAATGTATCTTGGTAGAGTTATTTGCATGTCTAAAAGGCAGTCAGGTGCTAATAGCCAAGAAAATGAAAAAAAAAAAGGCATTGAAGGCATTTTTTCAGATATCTCTGAGGCAGCCCCTCCCATAACAGGTCCAGAGGCCTAAGGGGAAAGAATGGTTTCATGGGCCAGGGCCAAAGCCCTGTGCCACCCCAGAACACTGCTCCCCATACCCTTGCTACTTCAGCTCCAGCCATGGCTCAAAGGGCCCTAGATACAGCTCAGGTTGCCACTTTGGAGAATGCAAGCCATAAGCCTTGGTAGATTCCATGTGGTGTCAAACCTGCAGGCACACTCAATGCAAGAGTGATGGAGACTTGGTGAGTTCCACCTAGATTTCAGAGGGTGTATCAAAAAGCCTGGGTGCCCAGGCAGAAGCCAGCCACAGAGGCAGAACCTTAACAGAGAAACTCTACTAGGGCAATGTGGAGGAGAAATGTGGAACTGAAGTCACTACACAGAGTCCCCACTGGGGCATTGCCTAGTGGAGCTATGGGAAGTGGGCTACTGCCCTCCAGAACCTAGAATGATAGATCCACTGGCAGCTTGCATCCTGAGCCTAGAAAAGCTGCAGGCACTCAGCTCCAACCCATGAGAGCAGACATGTGATTGGCATCCTTCAAAGCCACAAAGGCAAAGCTGCCCAAGGCCTTGGGAGCCCACCTCTTGCACCAGTGTGCCCTAAATATGGAACATGGAATCAATGGAGATTATTTTGGAGCTTTAAGACTTAAGGACTACCCTTCTGGGTTTCAGACTCTCATGGGGCCCACAGCTCTTTTCTTTTGGCCACTCTTTCTCTTTTGGAACAAGTATGTTTACCCAATGTCTGTATCCCATTGTATCTTGGAAATAACTTGTTTTGATTTTAAAGGTTCATAGGTGGAAGGAGATGAGTATCAGATGAGACAGAACTTTGGACTTGATGTTGGAATGAGTTGAGACTTTAGGGGACAGTTGGGAAGAGATTCTTGCATTTTGCAATGTGAGAACCTGAGATTTTGGGGTGGGCCTGGGGCAGAATGATATGGTTTGAATATTTGTCCACTCCAAATCTCATGTTGAAATGTAATTCCCGGTGTTGAAGGTGGGGCCTTGTGGGAGGTGTTTGAATCATTCATCCCTCATGAATGCCTTAGCGCCATACCCTTGGCGATGACAGAACTCGTTCTGAGTTCACATGAGATCTGGTTGTTTAAAAGTGACACATCCACCATCACTCTTTCTTGCTCCCATTCTCACCATGTGAGATGCTGCCTGCTCCTCCTTCACCTTCTGCCGTGATTGTAAGCTTACTGAGGTCCTCACCAGAAGCAGATGCTGGAGCCATGCTTGTACAGCTTTCAGAACCATGAGCCAAATAAACCTTTTTTTTAATATAAATTATCCAGCCTCAGATATGTTTTATAGCAATGCAAAAATTGCCTGTTACAAATGGTAAATTCAAGTGAGGATCGGAACTCAGCACTCTGGCACTGCTCATGTAATCACTATGGTATGTGGTATGGCCAGAGTAGGGTATGTATTTATGTGTAATAGCTCCTCAATGATTATCTTATATCAGGACCACCACTATAGACATGAATTTCCATTGAATAACAGTATACATAAAACAGCTATGACAGATTGGGTAAAGGGTATGAGCTGGGGTGGGGGAAAATTAGTTTAGGGCTTGAACTCAGTTTATTTTGGGGTTTTAATAAAAGTATGGAGAAGAAAGAATAAAAATTGCCAATTATTCCTACCATTAGTAACATTTTAACAGATGTTTTGTCAGTCTTTTACTACACAGTATAGATGCATTAAAAAATTAAAGGCAGTTTATAATAAAATAGGTGAGCAGATTCTGAAAAAGAAACAGACGTTTAAACCTAAGAGCTCTAGACTTCAACTTCCTCAACTGCAAAATGGATATAGGACTAGAACTTAAACTCACTGAAGAATAGGAAGATATTTCATATAAAATACTAAATATGATGCTTGGCACATAAGAAACACTCTACGAAACTTAGATATTGGTATTCATATCAACTATACATAGCATTTTCAACTTCCTTTCCTACCCATCTAGATTGTGAGCATTTTCTCACTTTATTAAATATTCTTTAAAAACAATTCTCAAACTTTTAATAGCTTTATTGAAGTATAATTGGCGTGCATACAATTCACCCTTTTTAAGTGTACCATTCAGTGGTTTTTGTTATATTTACAGATGTGTTCCAGCATCTCCACAGTCAATTTTAGAACATTTTCATCACTTCAAAGAGAAACTTGTTTTTTTTTTTTTTCTATCACTCCCTGCATTCGATAAGTTTTGGTATGTTGTGTCTTCATTTTCATGCATCTCAAATTATTTTCTTATTCTCATTTTGATTAAAAAGTCAAAAAATAACAGAAGCTGATGAGGTTTCCGAGAAAATGAAACACTTATACCCTTCAACACTGGGAATTACATTTCAACATGAGATTTGGAGTGGACAAATATTCAAACCATATCATTCTGCCCCAGACCGACCCCATGTCTTATTCTCCTTTTAAATGCATTCATCTTGGATGCACTGGATATTTAGAAGTGTGTTGTTTAATTTCCACCTATTTGTGAGTTTTTCAATTTGATTTTTTTTTTTTTTGCTATTGATTTCAAATTTCATTTCACTGTGATCAGATAATATACTTTGTATTGTTTCTTTTAAATTTACTAAGTTTTTAAAAAATGATCCAACATATGGCATATCCTGGAGAATGATGTGTGTGCATTAGAGAAGATTGCCATATTCTGTTGTTGCATGGAGTGTTGTAGGTCTATTTGGTTTATAATGTTCTTCAGGTCTTCTAGTTTTATGCTGATCTTCTATCTTGTTCTGTCTACTACTGAAAATGGATATTGAAGTTTCCAATTATTGTTGTTGAATTATTTATTTCTCTCTTTATTTGCTTCATATATTTTCGTGCTCTATTTCTAGGTGCATACATGTTTATAATTATCATATATTGCTGATGGATGACCTTTATTATTCTAAAATCTCCCTATTTATCTGGTAATATTTTTGGTTTTAAAAGTCTATTTTGTCTGATTATCAGTATAGCCACTCCAGCTTTCTTGTGGTTGCTTTTTGATAATATGTCTTTTTACATCCTTTTGCTTTCAATCTATTGTATCTTTCGATCTAAAATGTGTCTTCTGTAGATAGCATAGAGTTGGATCATGTTTTTAATCCAGTGTGACAATCTCTGCCTTTTGATTGGGTGATATAATCCATTCACATTTAATGTTGTTATTGATATAGATTTATGTCACTATTTTTCTTTTTGTTTATTATATGTTTCATGTCATTTTTTCCTCCTCCACTTCTCTTTCATATCTTTCTTTTTCCTTAGGTAACTATTTTCAAATGTAGCATTTTATGCCTAATAATATTAACCACTTTTAGGTGGTTGCTCTAGGATTTGCCATACACATCTTATCAGAATCCACTTCAAATTTACTGGCTTAATTTCAGTGATACATAGACACATTACTCCTACATAGCTCTATTCCATTTCTCCCTCTTTATGACGTTATTGTTATGCATATTACACCTATCAATTTACAAACCCAACTATACCCCGTTGTTATTATTACTTTATCATCTCTAGTAACTTCCTTTTTTAACTTTTATTTTAGATTTGAGGGTACACGTGAAGGTTTGTTACGTAGGTAAACACATGTCACAGGAATTTATTATACATATTATTTCATCATCCAGGTATTAAGCCCAGTACCCAATAGTCATCTTTTCTGCTCCTCTCTCTCTTCCCACCCTACCCCCTCAAGGAGAACCCAGTATCTGTTGTTTCCTTCTTTGTGTTCATAAGTTCTTATCATTTAGCTCCCACCTGCAAGAGAGAACATGCAGTAGTTGGTTTTCTGTTCCTGCATTAGTTTGCTAAGGATAATAGCCTCCAGTTCCATCCATGTTCCCAAAAAAGACATGATCTCATTATTTTTATGGCTGCATAGTATTCCATGATGTATATGTACCATGTTTTCTTTATGCAATCTGTCACTGAAGGTCATTTAGGTTGATTCCATGTCTTTGCTATTGTGAGTAGCATTGCAGTGAATATTCACATGCATGTGTCTTTATAGTAGAATGATTTCTATTCCTTCGGGTCTATACCCAGTAATTGCATTGCTGGGTTGGATGGTAGTTCTGTTTTTAGCTCTTTGAGGAGTTGCCATTCTGCTTTCCACATGGTTAATTTACACTCCCACCAACAGTGTGTAAGTGTTCCCTTTTCTCTGCAACCTCATCAGCATCTGTTATTTGTTGACTTTTTAACAATAGTTATTCTGACTGGTATGCAATGGTATCTCACTGTGGTTTTTATTTGCATTTATCTAATGATCAGTGATATTGAGCTTTTTTTTATATATGCTTGTTGGCCACATGTATATCTTCTTTTGAGAGGTGCCTGTTCATGTCCTTTGCCCACTTTTTAATGGGGTTGTCTGTTTTTCTTGTAAATTTGTTTAAGCTCATTATACATGCTAAATATTAGACCTTTGTCAGATGCATAGTTTGCAAAATTCTCTCATTCTGTAGGCTGTTTACCCCGTTGATAGTTTCTTTTGCTATGCAGAAGCTCTTAAGTTTAATTAGATCCCACTTGACAATTTTTGCTTTTCTTGCAATTACTTTTGGTATCTTTGTCATGAAATATTTGCCTGTGCCTATGTACTGAATAGTATTGCCTAGGTTGTCTTCCAAGGTTTTTATACTTTTGGGTTTTACATTTAAGTCTTTAATTCATCTTGAGTTGATTTTTGTGTATAGTGTAAGAAAGGGGTCCAGCTTCAATCTTCTGCACATGGCTAGCCTGTTATCCCAGCACCATTTATTGAGTTGGTAGTCTTTTCCCCATTGCTTGTTTTTGTCAGCTTTGTTGAGGATCAGATGGTCATAGATATGTGGCTTTATTTCTGGGCTCTCTATTCTGTTCTATTGGTCTATGTGCCTTTTTTTGTACCAGTACTGTGCTGTTTTGATTACTGTTAGCTTGTAGTATAGTTTGAAATCAGTTAATGTGATGGCTCCAGCTATGTTCTTTTTGCGTAGGATTGCCTTGGCTATTCAGGCTCTTTTTTGGTTCCATATGAATTTTAAAATAGTGTTGTTGTTGTTGCTGTTGTTGTTTTTGGTTTGTTATTTGAAGAATGTCGTTGGTAGTTCAATAGGAATAGCATTGAATCTGTAAATTGCTTGGGCAGTATAGCCATTTTAACAATATTGGCTCTTCCTATCCATGAGCATGGAATGTTTTTCCATCTGTTTGTGTCTTCTCTGATTTCTTTGAGCAGCATTTTATAATTCCCATTGCAGAGACCTTTCACCTTCCTGGTTAGCTGTATTCCTAGGTGTTTTATTCTTTTTGTAGCAATTGTGAATGGGATTGCCTTTCTGATTTGGCTCTTGGTTTGGCTGTTTTTGGTGTATGGGAACACTAGTGATTTTGGAAATTGATTTTGTATCCTGTAACTTTTCTGAAATTTTTTATCAGCTGGAGGAGCTTTTTTGGGCCGAGACTATGGGGTTTTCTAGATACAGAATCATGCCCTCTGCAAACAGAGATTGTTTGACTTCCTCTCTTCCTATTTGGATGTGCTTTATTTCTTTCCCTTGCCTGATTGCTCTGGCTGGGACTTCCAATCCTGTGTTGAATAGAAGTGGTGAGAGAGGGCATCCTAGCCTTGTGCCATTCTTCAAGGGGAATGCTTCCATCTTTTGCCCATTCAGTGTAATGTTGGCTCTGGGTTTGTCATGGATGCTGTTATTATTTTGAGGTATGTTCCTTTGATACCTAGTTTATTGAGAGTTTTTAACATGACACGGTGTTGAATATTATCAAAAGCCTTTTCTGTGTCTATTGAGATAATCATGTGTTTTTTTTGTCTTTAGTTCTTTTTATGTGATGAATCACATTTGTTGATTTGCATATGTTGAACCAACCTTGCATCCCAGGGATGAAGCCTACTTGATCATAGTGAATTAGCTTTTTGATGGGCTGCTGAATTCAGTTTGCAAGTATTTTGTTAAGGATTTTTGCATGATGTTTGTCAAGGATATTGACCTGAAGTTTTCTTTTTTTGTTGTATCTCTGCCAGGTTTTGGTATCAGGATGATGCTGACCTCATAGAATGAATTAGGAAGGAGTCCCTGCTCCTCAATTTTCTGGAATAGTTTCAATAGGAATGGTACCAACCCTTCTTTGTATGTCTGGTAGAATTCGGCTGTGAATCCATCAGGTCTCGGGCTTTTTTTGGTTGGTAGGCTATTTATTACTGATTCATTTTCAGAGCTTGATATTGGTCTCTTCAGGGAATCAGTTTCTTCCTGGCTTAGTCTCAAGAGGGTGTATGTGTCCAGGAATTTGTCCGTCTCTTTCTTCTAGTTTATGTGCATACAGGTGCTTGTAGTAGTTTCTGATTCTTTTTTTAATTTCTGTGGGGTCAATGGTAACATTTACTTCATCATTTCTAGTTGCACAAAAACAATTTTTGAAGTGTATCACAGACGTAATGTTTCCTGTAATTTTTTTAAATTTTAAGTATGCTACAATGAATGTTCTCATAAATAAATGATTTTGTAGTCTTCTGATATTTTTCCCCTTAGGATAAAATTCCAAAAGCAAAATGGCTTGTTCAAATAATGTAAATATTTTGATACTTTTAATGTAAATTTCCAAATAGATGTCCAGAAAGAATATGCTACTTACATTAGTATCTGAGATATGAGAACCTGTAAATCTATAGAATTAAATTATTACAATTATTTCTAAACTTTGCCAATTTAATTAGTGAAAAAATGATGACATATTTATTAGATGTGTTTTATTCTAATGAAATTAAATTTTTGTATGTATGTTGAAAATTTGTATCTCTTTTGTGAATTCCCTATTCATGTCCTTTGTCTACATTTTCATTGGGGCTTAAATGTCTTCATCATTGTTTCATAACAGTCCTTTTAATTTCACCAATTGATTCATGTATTCATGAATTCATTGTATTAAACAAATACCTATTATTAACACACACTTTACTACATAGATTACCAACGTATCTCTTTTTAATTTGCTTTTATATTTGTACATAATGATTTTGATGTACAGATATTTTTAATTTTATGTATATAATCTATCAATGCTCTCCTTTGGTTTCTGGCTTTGGTACTAGGCTTTAAAAGGCGTTACCTAGAGATGTTATGTATGTCTACATATTTATGTTTTTCTACTTTTTAAATGACTATTATTTTTCTTTTTCTTTTTTTAATTTTATTATTATTATACTTTAAGTTTTAGGCTACGTGTGCACAACATGCAGGTTTGTTACATATGTATACATGTGCCATGTTGGTGTGCTGCACCCATTAACTCGTCATTTAGCATTAGGTATATCTCCTAATGCTATCCCTCCTCCCTTCCCCCATATTTTTCGTATTTAAATATTCACGTTTATATTCAAACTATCTGGAATTTATTTCATGATAAATTATAAAGTAGGACCCTAATATGATCATTTTTCTTTCAAAACAGCCAGTTATTTACATTTCTCTAATAAGTACATTTTCTCTAATAAGCATGCTTTTCCAATACTTGTATAAAATATGATATTCTTCTATTCACTAGCATCTTTTTCTAGTTTGTCAATTCCCCTCTGTTAATCTCTCTATACCTTCTTGAGCCAATATCTTACTGTTTTAAATACTGTATCTTAAAATTGTATTCTTTCACCGCTATGTTGTTTCTGCTGTTTTTCCCAAAAAATACCATTCCAGGGAATTTCAGAATCATTTTGCCTGGTGTAAGAAGAACCAAATTGGAGTTTAAATTGGAATTAATTTCAAGAAGTTATAAATTAATTTGGGAAGAATTTTTATAATTTTTATTTCTTTCAGTACTAAACACTGGTAAATCTTTTTATTTATTCAGGGCCTTTTTTCATATTACCTAATAAATTTAGCAATTTTTCTCATATTGGCCCTATATATTTCTTGTTAAGATTTTTCCAAGTTATGTGGTGTTTTTGTCCCATCATTGATGATATTTTTCCATTGTAATTTCTGATTGCTTCTTGCAACCTACCATATATATATTCATATATATTATCATATATATTCATATATATGTATATATAAATATATATGATAGTTTTGTTATATATTGCTAATATATTATATAAAATAAATAATATATATTTTGTTATATATATTTGTTAAATATACGTGTGTGTACTAGCATGGCACATGTATACATATGTAACTAACCTGCACATTGTGCACATGTACCCTAAAAGTTAAAGTATAATAATAATAATAATAAAAATATATATACGTGTGTGTGTGTGTGTGTGTGTGTATATATATATATATATATTTATATATTTGAGACAGAGTCTCGCTCTGTTGCCAGGCTGGAGTGCAGTGGCACGATCTCAGCTCACTGCAACCTCTGACTCCCCGGTTCAAGCAATTCTCCTGCCTCAGCCTCCCTAATAGTTGGGATCACAGTCACACGCCACCACACCCACCTAATTTTTGTATTTTTAGTAGAGACGGCGTTTCACCATGTTGGCCAGGATGGTCTCGATCTCCTGACCTTGTGACCCACCGGCCTTGGCCTCCCAAAGTGCTGGGATTACAGGCATGAGCCACTGCACCTGGCCTATATTTATTTTTTTAACTGGCAAACTTACATAGTTTTTTAAATAGTTTTTCCTTACTTTTGGGGGCTTTCTACATAAACAGTCTTATCACTTGCAAATGAAAATAATTTTTATTTTTATTTTCCAGTATTTATACTTCTCAATTCTTTTTCCCATCTAAATATAGTAACAAATATTTCCCCAAATCATCAGTGGTTATACGTCTTGTTCTCATTGATTGCAGTCCTTTCATTGCCTAACTGTTGGGCATGATGTTCACTTTGGGTGTTTTGATTTTGAAAAAAGCCTCATTTCATTTCTACTTCAATTAAAAACATTTTTAAACCAGAAATAGGCATTGAATTATATGAAATGTCTTTTTTGCATCTATCTAGATGATCACATACCTTTTTTCCCTTTGGCATCTATTGGCATATTATATAAATAGATTTCCTAATATTAAACCATTCTTTCAATTCTGAAATAAACCTCATCTAATCTTGGCATATTGTCCTCGTATTATGCTACTGAAACAGTTTACTGAATATTTTACTCGGATTTCTAAATCTCTATTTATGTGAAGTTACTCTGTCATTTCTTTTGTTGCTTCCATCAGATTTTGGCATTAGGCTCACGCTAACCTTGTTTAAATAAATGGAAAATATTTCTTTAGCAGTTTAAATATGTCGTGCCACTCTCTCCTGGCCTGTAAGGTTTCCACTGAAAAGACTGCTGCCAGATGTATTGGAGCTTCATTGTATGTTATTTGTTTCCGTTCTCTTTATGCTTTTAAGATCCTTACTTTATCCTTGACCATTTTGGAGTTTGATTATTAAATGCCTTGAGACAGTTTTCTCTGAGCTAAAACTGCTTAGTGTTTATTAACCTTCTTGTACTTGGATATTGATATTTTTCTCTATGTTTGGGAAGTTCTCCATTATTATCCCTTTGAATAAACTTCTTACCCCTATTTCTTTTTCTACTGCCTCTTTAAGGCCAATAACTCTTAGGTTTGCCCTTTTGAGATTATTTTCTAGATCCTATAGGCATGCTTCATTTTTTTTAATTTTTTTTACTTTTGTCTCCTCTGTGTATTTTCAAATAGCCTGTCTTCAATCTCATAAATTCATTCTTCTGCTTGATCAATTCTTCTGTTAAAAGACTCTGATGCATTGTTTACTATGTGAAATGCATTTCACAGCTCCAGATTTCTGCTTGATTCTTTTTAATTATTTCAATCTTTTTGTTAAATTTATCTGGTAGAATTCTGAATTCCTTCTCTGTGTTATGTTGAATTTTTTCTTGAGTTTCCCAAAGCAGCTATTTTGAATTTCCCGTCTGAAAAGTCACATGTCTTTGTTTCTCTAGAATTGGTCCCTTGTGCCTTATTTAGTTCATTTGGTGATGTCATGTTTTCCTGGATGGTGCTGATACTTGTGGATGTTTGTCTGTGTCTGGGCATGGAAGAGTTACATATTTATTGGAGTCTTCACAGTCTGGGCTTGTTTGTACCTGTCCTTCTTGGAAAGGCTTTCCAGGTATTTGAAAGGACTTGAGTGTTGTAATATAGGCTGTATCTGCATTTAGAAGGCATCCCAAGCCCAGAAACGCTGTGGTTTTGCAGACTAGATGTACCACCTTGATGGTCTTGGACAATATCTGGCATAATTCTCTGGATTACCAGGCAGAGACTCTTGCTCTCTCCCCTTATGTTCTCCCAAACAAACGGAATCTCTCTCTCTGTTTTGAGCTGCCTGAACCTGGGCTGGTGTGACACAAGCGTCCCTGTGGCCACCAATGCTAGGACTGTGGCAGGTCAGATCTGAAGCCAGCCCAGCACTGGGTCTCACCCAAGGCCTACTGTAACAAATCTCCGGCTACCACCTATGTTTACTCAAGGCCCTGAGAAGCTACAATCACCAGGTGACAAAGCCAGCCAGGCCTTTGTCCTTCTCTTCAGGGTGGTGAGTCCTCCCAGGGCCAGGGCAGGTCCAGAGGTGCCATCCAGGAGCCAGGCACTAGAGTCAAAGATCTTAGGGGTCTACCTGGTGTTCTATTTTACTGCAGCTGTGCTGGCATTTAAACCACAAGATGCAGTCCTTCCCACTCTTCTCTCCCCTTTCCAAAGGCAGATGAGCCTCACCCTGTGGCCGTTACCACCACAGGCCCACCGGGAATACTGCCAGACTACCAATGATATTCCCTTAATGCCCAAGGGCTCTTCAGTTAGCTTATGGTGAATGCTGCCTCACCTTGGACTCACCCTACAGGGGAGTGGGCTCCCCTCTGGCCTAGGGTAGGCCCAGAAATGTCATCCAAGAGCCAATCAGGACCCCAAGAGCCCACTTGGTGCTGTATCCCCCTGTGGCCAGGTGGGTACCTAAAGTGCAAGACCCCAAGAACCTAGCTGGTAGAATCAGGGACCCCAAGAGCCCACTTGGTGCTGTATCCCACCTGTGGCCAAGCGGGTACCTAAAGTACAAGACAAAGTCCCCTTTATTTACTTTTTCATCTGCTTTTCTCAAACAGAAGGAGTTTCTCCCTATAGACACCACACACCACATTTGGGAATGTGCTGAGTCTCACCTGAAGCCAGTAAAGAAGGAAAAACTCATGCTTATGATGTTAATCTCTCAAGCAAAGCCTACGCCCTGCAATTCATGTCAGGGAACCAGGGAAAGCTTCTTGGTAGAGTGCTGGTCAGAGGACATATTTACAGAGACATGTTGGGTAGGAAGAATTGTGGGCAGGGGACTCTGGAGTGGCAGGATGGGGTTTGGCTCTGAGTCTGACTTCCCTTTAACTCCACTGACACCCAGCCCTGGGACTCTGCCCCCAACTCCAATTCCCTTCTCAATCCTCAGCATTATATGTCACCACCCTCAGCTTATGACCTAATAGCTTTGGATTGGTGGATACAGTAAAGTGAAGGTTTTATTTTGTTTTTGGGTTTTCTTAGTTAGTTTACTATTGGAAGCACTTGCTGTCTTCCAGGAGCAGGTACTTCCTAAAGCAAGCAGCCAAGTTTTTTTGTTTTTGTTTTTGTTTGTTTGGTCTGGTCCCAGTATTGTTTACGAGAGCGACCCTTTCCTTCTAGTCTCACTCTCCTCCAACCCATCCACACATAGTAGCCCGAGTGCTCATTTAAGAGAACAAATCTGTTTGCATTACTCTCCCAAAGTTTTGTTTGGTTTTGTTTGTTAAATACCCTTCATAAATGGTCAGTGGGAAAAAGCCATTCCAGAAAGAGTTTTGTATACATGGGTGTTATCATTTGGCCTCAATCTTTCTCCAATCTTTTCACTTTCCTTCCTATACCTTAAGTTTCAAATATACCAAAATACTTAGTCCTTCTTTGTTTCTCTTGAATTTCTACGCCTTTGCAAATGTTTATATTTCCTCTCTTAGTCCCTTAAGAGTGGTCCAGTTATTCTTCAAAATTCAGTTCAAATGTCACTTCTGAGCTTTCCTTGATGTCCTGGCCCTTCATAAATGTTCCTCACATATCCTGTGCTTATTTCTGTCATAACTCTCATCCCTTTTCATTGTACCTATCTGTTTCCTCATCTTTATCTCTCCCAACAGACTATGCACCCCCTTGAGAGTAGGGACTGTGTAGTTTATGCCTTCATCATCAGTACTTAGCATGTGCCTGGCACATAGTATGCACTCAGCTAAAATTTTCTGAATAAATGAATCGCAGATCTCACCCTCAGCACACAGCTTTTGCTGAGAGAGGTAAAAACAGGACCCTGGAAGGGAAAGATCTCCCAAGATGAGAAGTTGTTAAGAGTGAGAAGAGACAATGAAGGGAAAGACAGGAAATCTTCACCATCAACAGGAAGGAACATTCCAAAGATCTATGTTCTATGGAAATTCTTCTTATGTAAGAAACATCCAGGAATCAAATATAACAGATGTATGCTTTACAATCACAAAACTCCATATAAAAAATGTAACTTTATTTCTATTATGCATTTGTATCTCTGACCTAATGGCAGACCATTTAATCAAAACAATTCTATAGCTTTCCTCAGTCCAGTCCAGGAATTTTTAGCATTTTTCAAGATTCTTCCCCTTCTCCTTTCCTTCTCTCCTTCGCTCTCAGGGTGGTCTAAGTTCTCCCAGCATATTGTCCTGGCTTTGGAGAAGGAGCCGTGGTCCGCCTACTGTCCTCTGTCCCAGCCAGCCCTTTCCAAGGAAGCTTGATCCGTCTTGTGTTGGGTATTGGCTCTGACCCCTGTTGCATCTGCTACTGAAGAACACACATCCCACCATGCCCTCTGGTTGATAGGTCCGTGTGTTCTAAGTCTTCCTCTGCCAAACTATCCATGATTGGCCAAACATCAGGCAGCTTTCCTACTCTTACCCAATCCTTAGTCTCCTCTCAAGGAGACTTAAGAACCTTGGAGACTTCCTCAAGGCACAGAAGCCTGGGGGTGTGGAGAAGCTATCTTAGGTTCTCTCTCGGCCTATATCTACCTTGCTACCATGTTTTTCCCACTGTGGCTGCCCTGCATTGACACAGAGAAATCAGCAAGACTTTCTTCTCTCAGCATTCCAGCAAGAAAGATGAAAACACATTTTCTCAGCTGCCAGATACTTAAATCCACCGAGGAAGCCCTGTCATTTCCTCCACTACACCCTAAGAGGGGATAGGTAGAAAGCCCCTTTCTCAGGGACCCTCACTAATGACTCACTGTCTTATTTTCCTCTCCAAGTTCACTCTAAGCCCCTCCTCTGCCTAGAAACTAACCTAACTTTTCTATCTTGGAGCCTTACTGCTTATGGCATAAATTCTAGGCTCTGGATTTGTACCATAACCTCTTCAAGAAAAATCTTTTCTCTCTCAAAGTTATTCACCTGCCATCAGGTTACCTGGTTTGGATTCTGGAGATACGAATTTGAGGCTTCATTTCATACTGGATTCTTAGGTGTTTTGTCTTCACTAGGAAAATAAGCTTCAGCCTTGGCCAATGATAATGCTAGAAAGTTGGCAGGGTAGACCCAAATTTCAGTTCTATCACTTATAACTCTGTGATTCTGGAAATATTCACTATCTTCTTTGAGCTTCAGTTTCCTCGTTGATAAAATAGGGGATAGTTGTGCTCCAGCCATAGGTTTATTGTGAATATTTATTAAAAGTAATAGCTCTGCCACATCGGTGCAGTGCCCAGAACACTGTAAGTACCCAATGCATAGGAATCCCTTACAACTAACATCAGTATCAGATTGCATAACAGTTAATTTTTAAGAATAATAAAACTACATAATACTGACTACCTGTTTAGCATAAGAAAAGATCAAATTGAGTCTTTTAAAATGAAAAAAAAATGCATTGGAGATGAACTGATGCATGTGGACATGGCAGTTGAAGTAAACGTGTTACGAAAAATAGGTAAAAGACTGATCTTCTTTGTCTTTCTTTCCATTCTCACCTTCACTGAATCCCCCATAAGTGGCAGCCAGGGAAGTAAGTGGCTCAGAACTCCCTCCAGGAGAGAACTTACTGCAGGGGATGCATTTTTGATAGTTTCTAGATGCAGGAAACTCCTCCCAATGGCAGGAGTTACAACAGGTTTTGTCAGTGGGAGTCCAACCGGCAGGGCACATGTGCAGGCTCCATCTCTGTCTCCAAGGCCACTCCATTCATGTGCCCATTGTGCCAGTTCCAGAGTGGCTGGTGACAAAGGTTGGCTAACCCAAGTTATTTGTCTACTTGGTTAACCAGGGCCTCTTCCATAGAAGATGCTTTCTACGGGGCATTAACGTTCTACGTGGCATTAACGTCCTACGGAAATCTTCATACTTTGACTGACTCCCATTTGTTGGTCCACATGCTTCTCCCCAGACATCCTTGTCTCTGATCTTCCAATCCTTTTCTTCCTAGGCTCCTGAACAGTTGGCAAGGCTATTGGCCACTGCCTAGAAATCTGAATGTATTCTCACATCAGGTCACTTCTCCTTCCACGCAAAGTAGATAACCAGATGTACTGTTCACAGCTCTTCCATGGGGAAGATTCTTCTTCTACATCATCTTTCAAGGCCACTTCTGGATGTGGCTCTAATGCAACTGATGTCCTTTTCCACCCTATTCCCACATACCAAAGTAGCCCATCTATAAACCAAGCATGAGTTTTTTCCTTCTCCTGCTGGTCACATGGGACCCTTTATATGACCATTGACATGAGTGGCACTGATGCACCCAAGAAGGACCACATGGGGATCTGGACTGATCTGCTCATTAACTTTCTTATAGCCTCTGGCCCTACTCAGACATAATGCCAGATGGACTGTTCCATCTTTTGAATGCTGCCAGCCTTTCTGACTTTATTCCTCAGTTGCTCTCATAGACCCAGCTTATAACAGGCAATTCCAGGTATGTGGTCACTCAGTGTCCCATGCTCAATTGTTCCTTTTCTACAAGAGCCCAGTAACATGCCAGGAGCTGTTTCCCAGAAAGTGTGTTAAGTCTGTGCTGCAGATGGCACAGCCTTGCTCCAGAACCCCAGGGGCCAGTGCTGTGATTCTCCCTCTGGAGCTTTCTGTGAACTTTACAATGAATCTTTTCCCACCACCAACACCTCCAACACTTCAGTGGTAGGGTTGCTTGCATAGCAGTCTGGACATGCTGCAGAGCCCTTTCTGCTCTACTCCCACTCAAAGCTGGTAGCTTTCCATGTCACTCATCACATGTGCTGGAGAATTTTTTCTTGGTGTTAAATCTGTTGCCTCAGAACCCAAAAGGCTATCAGCCAATCTGTCTACTTCTTTGTAGTAGTGATGCAGAATGCAGCAAGGTTACTTTTACTTTGAAGGAATTATTCTGGCATACCTCTGAATACTTGCTCCCATGCTGGGAGGGACCCCCACAGTATCTCCATGCATGGAGAAGTACCAGCTCTCAGTAGGGTCATGGATGTAGCCCCTGCAGCTTTCAGGCTTCATGGTACACCACAGAGCCAGATTCTGCAGGGACATCTACCCAGATGTCCTTGTCCTTGTTTCAGGGACCCAGGTTGCCCAGTCAGGAAAAAGGAGTATAACAGATGTAACAAGTCTACCTCGGCAGAAAAATTCTGTCTCTGGGGATCTGTGATTCTATCAAGCTTTGTGTCTGCCCCTTGGCTATGTCAGCTTTTCACTGCAGGAGATAGGGGCCTGGTACCTATTAGGTACTATTAATTAAATGAATGGATGGATGGATGGATGGATGGATGGATGGATGGATGGATGGAGTGGCACTGGACAAGCAGTGGTTTGGAAAAGCATAGAACTTATTTTAAAATATTAGTTTTATATTATTTCTGAACAAGGCAGGAAATATAGATGAAAAGATAAGAGAAAATCAGGCTCAGTTTTTCTATAAAAAAAGAACTTTTTGCCCTTTACTGTGTCTCTTTATCCAATAAATCATAACCATGAATTATTTAATGAAACCTTTATGTTGTTTCTCATGTCTTTTATAAAACAAGAAACTATAACCATGATGTATAGAATATTACACTAAAATTATTTTGCATAAAATAAAATAATGGAGAGATTCAAAGTTACAGGGCTAGTTATAACCTGCTTCCTTTATGTAATAAGCAGAAAGTCGAATATGCCTCACATTTATATTTGTCATTTATTGAAAATTGAAAGCTTGATATACCTTAAAGATACCTTAGTAAACAAACTTATTCAGCAGAATAAATCAACAGAAAAATATAGGTTGGGGCTATGGAAAACAGCAGGAAAGAGTGACATTTAATCTTCTCAAAATGATATTTGGACACAAAATCTTGTTTGGTAAATGTTTCACTATCGGAACATCGGTCTTTAAAAATATCTCAGGCAATTAATGTCACAAAGCAAGTCAGAACCAAATAGTTGAGTAAAACAACAAAATCTGAAGCCAAGCCACTGCATACAAACCCTTCTGAACGAGAGCAGCTGAATGTAAAAAGGCCATGTGGAAAAGCCACAAGGCAGGAAAAACTGCCAAAGAAACCTAATTGTTCCACATGGATAATCAGATTATTTGCAAGTAACAAGATATTTACCTCTACATTTCCAATATTAAAAGCAAAGGTAATAAATTCTCAAAACTCACCACTTTCCAATTTTACGACAATTTACTATTATCTCTGTGGTCTTTAGATTGTATTTGTTGTCTTTGTATGGTAGAAATGCTATATGATATTTGGTACAATGGATCTTCTTTAGTTTTTCTATTTCAACAGTTTTTGGGGAACAGGTGGTTTTTTGTTACATGGATAAGTTCTTTGGTGGTAATTTCTGAGATTTTGCTGCACCCATCACCTCAGCAGGGTACAGCGTATCTTTTCCCAAGCCCAAGTTCAGGGACATCACCTTGGTAGCATGAAATCAGCCATACTGGGAGAAGTTGGCAAATGCTATACATCAAGGCTTTTTCTTTGTTCAAAGACCTTGTCATTAAACATTTACCAGTTTCCCCTGGCAACACTCTTTCTGGCTGTAAACATTTGAGAAAGGTGTTGGTCCTCCCTGACCAAGGACTGAAATAGTAAATATTTTGGAATCCACACCAGGTAACAGATGATGCCTGAGTTCACACCAATACTGTTAGATATGCTCCCCGTTCCGTGATTCCCGAAGCCAACCACTGCACTGTACCACCATCGCACAGCATGGAAATTGTTCTGATCAAAATGAACCAGTTTGGTGTCACACCCTACTCCGATTATCACGTCTTCTCTTTCTGTATCTACTGAGATTTGGATATCACTGTGCAACACAAGAAGAAGCAGAGGGATGGATAAAGATGTCTTTTGTCTTGGGAAGATTAGTCCTCCAAGAAAGGGCAGAGAAAGGATGAGTACAGGATGCCTCAGCCACAGTTCCATCTTCTCCAGCGGTAAGTAGCTAGGCCTGAAAATACCCAAAGGCAAGAATTTGCCACAGCAAGAGATTTTTTTCCTCGTGAAGTCCAGCTGGTTCAGACTGCATGAAAAATGCCCTGGTTTGTGGAAGGCTCATTTTATTTTACTATTTGCCAAATAATCTCCCTGCCTTAATAGGCTAAAGGACATTCAGCTCTTTCCTGATCTGTAAATTAGATGTATTTTTTCTGATTCCAAAATTCCCCACACTAAATCATTATGTTTTTTCTAAAGTTACCTGGGCTTCCATGTAGGTTCTAGGCAAATGGCATTAGGTCCACATAGTTTCTGTCTAAACCCAAGCTGCCTCCCCAATACAACTGATGACTAGTTCAGTTCTTCCCACCAGCAAGACAGGCCTGTAGCCTCATGTTAAATTAACAATGGTGGTTAAGGGAATGGCTGGGGCAGAGAAAGGAGAGCAGAATTATATAAAGTGCACTAAGTTCCTTGTCAGAGGAAGGAGTCTCAAATTAGTAATTTATTCTTGATGCTAATTTTAGATGTAAGTAGGTTTTTTCAGATATCACGAACTGGGAAATGATCATGTTGCTTCAAATAATGGGAACTTATTTATGATGTAACAGGCAAAATGTACACAAGTTCTATGAGAGATGGAAGTAAATAAAAATTATTCAATCCCACTCTCTTTTTAAAATTAACTTCAACTTTCATTTTAGGTTCAGAAGATACATGTACAGGTTTGTTACATAGGTATATTGCATGATGCTGAAGTCTGGGGTGTGATTGAACTCATCACCCAGGTAGTGAGCATAGTACCCAACAGGTAGTTGTTCTAAACTTGCCCTCCTCTCTCTCTTCCCCTTCTAGTAGTCCTCAGTGTCTATTGTTCCCAACTTTATGTCCCTGAGTACCCAATGTTTAGCTCCCACTTATAAGTGAGAACATGCAGTATTTGGTTTTCTGTTCCTGCATTAATTCACTTAGGATAATGGCATCCAGCTGCATCCATGTTGCTGCAAAGGACATAATTTCATTCTTTTCATGGCTGTGTCCATGGTGTGTATGTACCATGTTTTTTTTATCCAGTCCACCACTCATGGGCACCTAGGTTGATTCCATGTATTTGCTATTGTGGATAGTGCTGTGCTGAACATATGAGTGCATGTGTCTTTTTGGTAGAATTATTTATTTTCCTTTGGATATATACCCAGTAATGGGATTGCTGAGTTGAATGGTAGTTCTGTTTTAAGTTCTTTGAAAAATCTCCAAACTGCTTTTCACAGTGGCTGAACTAATTTACATTCCCATCAACAGTGTATCAGCATTTCCTTTTCTCCATAGCCTCACCAGCATCTGTTGTTTTTTGACTTTTTAATAATAGCTATACTGATTGGTGGGATATAGTATATTATAGTGTTTATATTTGAATGTCTCTGATGATGTTGATCATTTTTTCATGTTTGTTAGCCACTTTTATGTCTTCTTTTGAGAAGTCCCTGTTCATGTTCATGTTTCTTGCCCACTTTTTAATGGGGTTATTTGTTTTTGCTTGTTAATTTGTTTATGTTCCTTACAGATTCTGGACATTATATCTTTGTCAGATGCATAGTTTGTGAATATTTTCTCCCATTCTGTAGGTTGTCTGCTCTTTGCAAAGGCCAATGTCCAGAATAGTGTTTCCTAAGTTTTCTTCTAAGATTCTTATAGTTTGAAGTCTTACATTTAAATCTTTAATCCACCTTGAGTTAATTTTTGCGTATAGTGAAAGGTAGGGGGTCGGTTTCAGTCTTCTGCATATGGCTAGCCAGCTATCCCAGCACCATTTATTGAATAGGGAGTCCTTTCCCCATTGCTTATTTCTGTCAGCTTTGTCAAAGAAAAGATGGCTGTAGGTGTGTGGTTTTATTTCTGCATTCTCTCTTCTGTTCCAGTAGTCTATGTGTTTTTGTACTAGTACCACATTGTTTTGGTTACTGTAGCCTTATAATATAGTTTGAAGTTAGGTAATGTGATCCCTCCAGCTTTGTTCTTTTTGCTTAGGATTGCTTTGGTTATTTAGGCTCTTTTATGGTTCCATATGAGTTTCAGAATAGCTTTTTTCTACTTCTGTGAAAAATGTCATTGGTAGTTGAATCGGAATAGCATTGAATCTATAGATAGCTTTGGGCACTATGGCCACTTTAATGATATTGATTCTTCCAATCTGTGATCATAAAATGTTTTTCCATTTGTTTGTGTCATTTATGATATTTTTGCAGTATTCTGTAGTTCTCATTGCAGTAATCTTTCACCTCCTTTGTTAGATACATTCCTATTAGTTTTTAAAGTAATGGCAAAAACCGCAATTACTTTTGCACCAACCTAACAGGTATTATTTGTGTGTGGCTATTGTAAATGGGATTGTGTTCTTCATTTGATTCTCAGCTTGAATATTACTGGTGTATAGAACTGCAACTGACTTTTGTACGTTGATTTTGTATCCCAAAACTTTCCTGAACTCATTTGTCAGTTCCAGGAGCCTTTTGACAGAGTCCTTAGGATTTTCTAGGTATAGAATAATATCATCAACTGTTAAAGAAACCAGCCCCACACCACCTGGTGGGTACCCCGAGTCCAGCAGAGACAAAGGAGTTAGAAAGAGACAGAATAAGAGTTTAAAAGACGGGTCTAGGGGACCGGAGCTTCGGAGGCTTGCTCAGGGCCCAGAGCTCTTCGGCTCCACCTAATTTATTGGTTTACAAGCTCTTTGTTCTTAGGGCAAATGGGAGGCGTAGGAAGGGATGAGAAAAGGATTAATCAGTGAAGGAGAGCTAGTAAGTCATTCAATAAGATGTATAGCAGTGGCGGTTTCTGTGAATTTCCTGTGAGCAACGGCGTGTGTCTAAACTACTTAAGATCTTTAACTTTTCAGGACTGAAATGAGTGGGAGCAGTTTTCAGGAGGAGCCAAGATGTTTGATTATACTCCACTGCTTCAAGGGAGTGTTATTTCCCCGAGCAACCTGTGGAATGCCGCGGAGTGGTTATGCTCTAGGGGCATAAAGACATGAAGGCAATAAGGAGACTTTTCTCCTCAGAGGCCGCCCATGGCTCCCCATGGGTGTCTCACACAGGGGAGACCAACTCATCTGGCGCTCCAGAAACTCTCTTTCCCACATTAACAAAGAGAGATAGTTAAACTTCTTATTTTCCTATTTGGTTTCTATTTATTTCTTTCTCTTGCCTAATTGTTCTGGCTAGGACTTCCCAGAGCCCACTTTAAAAGAATTTATGAGTACCTTCAGATTATTCTGAAGAGAATGTTTTGGTTTTTCTCCCAGAGACTTTAAACTTTCGGAATGTAAATGCCCTCGTATGTGAAGAGGCAAGAGACAGAGGTTGAGAGATATCAAGATCCTCATTACTTAATCTGGATTCATTCAAATGATAGATAATGACTTCATCGATGCAATATAAGTGAATCTTATATCCTTAGTTTTATGGGCTCAGTCAATAAATTGCTATTTTCCCTTTAGTGAACATAGGAAAAAATCAGATCAAGAGCAAACCAAAACCAAAATTAGTAGAAAAAAATTATAAAAATCAGGGGAGAAATAAAATTGAAACACAATAATGATACAAAAGATCAATGAAAAGAAAAAATGGTTCTTTGGAAAGATAAACAAAATTGACAAACCTTTAGCCAGACTGAAAAAAAAAGAGAGAAAACCCAAATAAATAAAATCAGGGATGAAAAAGAAGACGTTACAAGTGATACCACAGAAATTCAATGGATCATTTAGAGACTACTATGAGCAACTGCATGCCAAAAATTGGGAATAGAAAAATAAATTCCTAGACACATACAACCTACCAAGAGTGAACCATGAAGAAATCCAAAACCTGAAAGACCAATAACAAGCAACAAGATTGAAGCCATAATAAAAGGTCTCCCCACAAAGAAAAGTTGGGACCCAATGGTTTCACTTCTGAATTCTACCAAACATTTAAAGAAGAACTAATACCAATTCTACTCAAACCATCTCAAAAATTAGAGGAGGAGAAAATACTTCCAAACTCATTCTATGAGCTGAGTATTACCTTGATACCAAAACCAAAGACACATAAGAAAAAAAGACAATTACAGCCCAATGTCCCTGAAGAACTTTGATGCAAAGATCCTCAACAGCAAACTAGCAAACCAAATTCAACAACACGTTAAAAAGGTCATTCATCATGACCAAGTGGGATTTATCCCTGGGATGCAAGGATGGTTCAACATACACAAATCAACCAAAGTGATCATTAATATCAACAGAATGAAGGACAAAAACCATATGATTATTTCAATCGATGCTGAACAGTCATTTGATAAAATTCAACATCTTTTCCTGATGAAAACCCTCAAAAAAATGGGTATAGAAGGAACATACCTCAACACAAAAAAGCCATATACAATAGACCCACACCTAGCATCACGCTGAATGGGAGAAACCGAAAGCTTTTCCAGTAAGACCTGGAATAAGACAAGGATGCCCACTTCCGCCACTGTTATTCACCGTACGACTGGGAATCCCAGCTAGAGCAATCAGACAAAGAGAAAGAAATAAAGGGTATCCACGTTAAAAAGGAAGAAGTCAAATTATCCTTGTTTGCAGATGATTCGATCTTATATTTGGAAAAACCTAAAGAATCCACCAAAGAACTATTAGAACTAATTAAATATCAGTAAAGTTGCAGGATACAAAATCAACATACAAAAATGAGTAGCATTTCTCTATGCCAACAGTGAACAATTAGGAAAAGAAATCAAGAAAACAATCACATTTGTAATAGCTGCAAATAAAATAAGATGCCCAGAAATTAACTAAGGCAAATAAGTGAAAGATTTCTACAATAAAAATTATAAAACCCAGATGCAAGAAATTGAAGAGGACACAAAAAATGGAAAGATATTTCATGCTAATGGATTAGAAGAATCAATATTGTTAAAATGTTCATACTACACAAAGCAATCTACAGACTCCGTGCAATCCCCACCAAAATACCAATGACATCCTTCACAGAAACAGGAAAAATAATTCTAAAATTTAGGAACCACAAAAGACCCAGAATAACCAAAGCCATCCTGAGCAAAAGGAACAAAACTGGAAGAATCATGTTACCTGACTTCAAATAATAATACAGAGCTATAGTAACCAAAACAACATGGTAATTGCATATAAACAGACACACAGACCAATGGAACAGAATGGAGAACCCAGAAATAAAACCAAACATTTACAGTGAACTCATTTTTGACAAAAATGCCAAGAACAAACAATGGGGAGAGGAATAACTCTTCAATAAATGGTGCAGGGAAAACTGGATATCCATATGCAGAAGAAAGACACTAGGCCCCTATCTCTCACCTTAAAAAAATCAAATCAAAATGGATTAAAGACGGCCGGGCGCGGTGGCTCACACCTGTAATCCCAGCACTTTGGGAGGCCGAGGCAGGCGGATCACAATGTCAGGAGATCGAGACCATCCTGGCTAACACGGTGAAACCCTGTCTCTACTAAAAATACAAAAAATTAGCCAGGCGTGGTGGCAGGCACCTGTAGTCCCAGCTACTTGGGAGGCTGAGGCAGGAGAATCGGCTTGAATCCGGGAGGCAGAGGTTGCAGTGACCCAAGATTGCACCACTGCACTTCAGCCTGGGTGACAGAGCGAGACTCCGTCCCAAAAAAAAAAAAAAAAAAAGGATTAAAGACACTTAAGTCAAAGACCTCAAACTATGAAAATGCTACAAGAAAACATTGGGAAAACCTCTCCAGGACATTGATCTGGGAAAATATTTTTTTACTAATGTTCCACTCGCACAGGCAACAAAAGCAAAAATTGATAAATGGGATCATATCCAGTTAAAAAGCTTCTGCACAGCAAAGGAAACAATCAACAAAACGAAGAGACAACCCACAGAATGGGAGGAAATGTTTGCAAATTGTCCATTTGACAAGGGATTAATACCTAGAATATGTAAGGTGCTCAAACAACTATCTAGGAAAAAAATGTAATAATCCGATTTTTAAAATAAACTAAAGATCTGAATAGACATTTTTCAAAAGAAGACATACAAATGGCAAACAGGCATATGAAAAGCTGCTCAACATCATGGATCATCAAAGAAATGCAAATCAAAACTACAATGAGATGTTATCTCACCCCAGTTAAAATGGCTTATATCCAAAAGACAGCATTATATAACAAATGCTGGTGAAAATGTGGAGAACAGGAAATCCTTGCACACTGTTGGTGGCAATGTAAATTACTACAACCACTATGAAGAAGAGTTTGGAGCTTCCTCAAAAAACTAAAAATTGAGTTACCATCCAGCAATCCTACTTCTGGGTATATACTGAAAAGAAAGGAAAACAGTACATGGAAGAGATCTCTGCACTCCTATGTCTGTTGCAGCACTGTTTACACTAGCTAAGATTTGGAAGCAACCCAAGTTCCATCAACAGATGAAAGGATAAGGAAAATGTGATACATATACACAATAGAGTACTACTATTCAGCCCCAAAAAGAATGAGTTCCTGTTATTTGCAACAACATGGATGGAACTGGAGATCATTATGTTAAGTAAAATAAACTAAGCACAGGAAGATAAACTTACACGTTCAGACTCATTTGTGGGAGCTAAAAATTAAAGCAATTGAACTCATGGAGATAGAGAGTACAATGATCTGGGGCTAGGAAGCGTAGTGGGGAGGGGGAGAAATGGAGATGGTTAATGGGAACAAAAACATACTTAGAATGAATAAGACCTACTCTTTAATAGCACAGCAGAGTGACAATAGTGAATAATAATTTAATTGTCCATTTGACAATAACTAGAAGAGTATAACTGGATCATTTGTAATTCAAAGGATAAATGCTTGAGAGGATGGATATCCCATTTTATATGATGTGATTATTATGCATTGCATGCCTGTATCAAAATATCTCATGTACCCCATAAATACATACACCTACTATGTACTCACAAAAATTAAAGTTAAAAATTTTAAAAGATCACTGATCATAGATCATCATATCAGATATAATAATAATAAAGTTTGAAATATTGCAAGAATTACCAAGATGTGACACAGAGGCACTAAGTGAGCACATGCTGTTGGAAAAAATGCTGTCAATGCACTTGTTTAATGCAGGGTTGCCACAAACCTTCAGTTAGTAAAAGAAAAAAAAAATTATCTGCAAAGCACAAATGAGGTATACCTGTATGTAGAAAATCCTTAAGAATCTATCACAAAAGTCAGTAGAGCTCATTTGTTAACTCAGCAAGATCACAGGATAATAGTCACTGTGTAACAATGAATTGTATTTCTCTCTTCAAGCAATTAAAAATTGGAAATTGAAATTAAAAGTCCAATGCCATTATAATAGGAAAAAAATCATTAAGTGTTTAGGGATTAATCTACCAAAATGTGTGTAAGATCAATAAATGCCCAAATCACATCTACCTATAGATTCAATGCAATTCAAAATTCCAGCAGGAATTTTTCTAGAAATTGAGGTGAGCCCTAAAATTATTTTAAAATGCAAAAGATATAGAATAGTCCATGTTTTAAAAGAAAAACAAAGTCAAAGGACTTAGGCACCTAATTTCAAAACTTACTATAAATCTACAAGAATAAAGACAGAGTAGAGCTGGTTTAAGCATAGACATATAGATCAGTGGAATGGAATAAAGAAATGGTTCTGGAACAACTTGCAATCCAGCTGGGGGCTGGGGAAGAAGAACCTCAATCCTTACTTCTCATCATAATAAAAAATTAATTGGTAATAAATGATAGTCCTAAACACAAAAGCTAAAACTGTAAAACATCTAGAAGAGAGCATAGGAAAAACATCCTTGCCACTTTGAGTAACCACAGCCTTCTTAGGATGCAATAGGCACAAACAACAAGAGAAGGAAATAACACATGGAAGTTCGTCAGAAGAAAAAACTTCTCTTCAAAAGATACCATTATGAAAATGTTAAAAAACAAAGCAAAAACTGAAACATGAGCACTACATATATAACTGACAGAGGACTTATGTGCAGAATATATAAAAACTCTCAGAACTCAAAAGTTAGAAGAGATATAAATCAAGGAAAGATGGGCAAAACATTTAAAGAGGCACATCACAAAATAAGATACTTGAATGACCAATATGAGAATATGTCATTAGGGAAATGCAAGTTTAAAGAAATACACAATGAAATAGTTTGATAGTTTTTATACAAAAACATACATTTACCATACAACTCAGACATTTCAGTCCTAGGTATTTTACCTTTAAAAAATGAAAACATTTGTCCACAAAATGACTTGTACATGAATGTTCTTTGCAGCTTCATCCACAAGATGAAACAACCCAAATATCCATCAACAGGTGAATTGATATAAATAAGTGGTATGTTCATATCATAGAATGCTACTCAGCAATAAAAAGAAATGAAGTACATATATGTGAAAAATGTCTATGAATCTCAAAACATTGTGCTGAATGAAAGAACTCAGAAAAAAAAGAGTAAATACACCATTCTTTGGTTTATATGAAATTTTTAAAAGGAGAATCAAACCTATTGTGAAAGAATGCAGATCTACAGTCGTAAGGTTGGGTGGGGACTGACTCCAAAGGAACAAGAGGAGGTTTTTTTTTTTTTTTTTGGTGATAGATGCATTCTATATTTTAATTGTGGTAGTACATATATATATCTGTCAAAGCTAATCAAACTGTACATTTAAAACATGCAATTTTAAGAATTTATTTTTATTTTATTTACATTTTACCTGAATAAAGTAGAGTTTAAAAAAAAATTTTTAAAGACTGACAAATGGTCTCAAAGACTCAGTCTTTACAAAATTTAGGAAAAGAACGTAATGTAAATTAATTTGCTGACACACTTCTATAATACTTTTGCCCTACATTTTCAGCTACTTGATCGATTGCCTCTTCACTTGACAATGAATTTGTAATATTTTAAAAAAAATAGAAAAATAACTTTAGTAGATGTAACAATTTTAAAATTCTTTTTTTTTTTTTTTTTTTTTTTTGAGACGGAGTCTTGCTCTGCTGCCCAGGCTGTCTTTTTTTTTTTTTTTTTTTGAGAAGGAGTCTCGCTGTGCTGCCCAGGCTGGAGTGCAGTGGCGCGATCTGTGCTCACTGCAAGCTCCGCCTCCCAGGTTCACACCATTCTCCTGCCTCAGCTTCCGGAGTAGCTGGGACTACAGGCGCCCGCCACCACGCCCGGCTAGTTTTTTGTATTTTTAGTAGAGACAGGGTTTCACCGTGTTAGCCAGGATGGTCTCGATCTCCTGATATTGTGATCCGCCCGCCTCCGCCTCCCAAAGTGCTGGGATTACAGGCGTGAGCCACCGCGCCCGGCCAATTTTTAAATTCTTGATGGTTTAGGTAGGAATGTTTACTTCATATTCAAATATTTTCTAGTATTCGGTATTATGCCCCTTATTGACTTTTTGCCTATACCTCTTTGGTTTATTTCTAGTTGTTGTTGTATGCATCCTTAACTTATCACAGTTTACATGGAACATCTCTTCACATATAGCATTAAGAACTTGCGACAGTATGTATATTTCTATCACTTCCTCTCTTTTTGATATATTTATTATGTATTTATGCTAATTTTGTCTTAGTCAAATGCCTTTCGAAAACTTAGGTAAGTTTTTAAATTGTTGTGTATTTATTACTTATTTTACTTTTATGGCATTCCTCACTCATTATTGTAGATCCAAGCTTTCTACTGATACCAGTGCTCTTCATCTGAAAACCTGCCTTAGGCAGTTTTTTTTCTTTTTTCTTTTTTTTTTTTTTTTTTGAGACGGAGTCTCGCTCTGTCGCCCAGGCTGGAGTGCAGTTGCGTGATCGCAGCTCACTGCAAGCTCCGCCTCCTGGGTTCACGCCATTCTCCTGCTTCAGCCTCCCAAGTAGCTGGGACTACAGGCACCTGCCACCACGCCCAGCTAATTTTTTATATTTTTTAGTAGAGAAGGCAGTTCTTATAGTGAAGATCTATAGACGAAATATTCTCTCAGCTTTCATTTTTCTGAAAATGTCTTCATTTTGCCTTTATGTTTGAAGAATATTTTTACTACATATGAAATTATAGATTGAAAAGTGTTATTTGTAGTGTTTTAAATATGTCATTCCATTATCTTTTTACCTTGCATTGTTTCCTATGTTAAGTCAATCATAATTCTCGTCTGCATGTGTTACACCTTTTTTCCCCCTCTGGTAGCCTTTAGGACTTTTTATTTATCTTTGTTCTTATCAGTTGATAATTTTTTGTGTATTTATTTAACTTGGGGTAAATTGACTTTTTAAATTATTATTATACTTTAAGTTCTGGGGTACATGTGCAGAACGTGCAGGTTTGTTACATAGGTATACACGTGCCATAGTGGTTTGCTGCACCCATCAACTCATCATCTATATTAGGTATTTCTCCTAATGCTATCCCTCCCCCAGCCCCCCACCACCTGACAGGCCCTGGTGTGTGATGTTCCCCTCCCTGTGTCCATGTGTTCTCATTGATCAACTCCCACTTATAAGTGAGAACATGCGGTGGTAAATTTACTTTTACCTGCCCACTCCTTCACCAGTGCTTCTGTTGCAATCAGTCAAGTCTCTTGAGTTTTGACACTTTCTCCTCCTCCTGCCTGTATTAAGATCCAATGTTTCGGCCAGGCGCGGTGGCTCACGTCTGTAATCCCAGCACTCTGGGAGGCCAAGGAGGATGGATCATGAAGTCAGGAGATCGAGACCATCCTGGCTAAGACGGTGAAACCCTGTCTCTACTAAAAATACAAAATAAAAATAAAAATAAATTAGCCTGGCGTGGCGCCATGCGCCTGTAGTCCCAGCTGCTGGGGAGGCTGAGGCAGCGGAGGCAGCAGAATGGCGTGAACCCGGGAGGGGGAGCTTGCAGTGAGCCGAGATCGCGCCACTGCACTCCAGCCTGGGTGACAGAGCAAGACTCCGTCTCAGAAAAAAAAAAAAGATCCAATGTTTCCACCCAGAAGTTGCCACAGCATACTGCTCACTTATGAAAGACTTTTCTTTCTTGTAATCACTTTGTAAAGGCTTACCTACATCGGACACTCTTCAAAAATCCCATGGGTACATATGAATTGTATGTTGTCTGGGTTTTTCATGGTGTTACCATGGGCGAAAAAGCCATCCACATCTTTTCACATCCTAGCCTGAAGTAGAACTGCCTACACCGGCTATTTCCTAAAGTGGTCTTATGAAAAGAATATGGTCTTTTGGATTCAGACATACATAAACTCAAAAATTGAACTCTGTATTTACTAGCAGAACATAGTTCAGCTATGCACATAGCAGAACTGTACTTACTAGCAGAACACTTCTGCTAGTGGCTAATATTGAAAATATCATCTAGCTGAGGAAAATCTTTTAAGAGATTCCACTAAAAAAGAATGAGCTACTGTTAGATGATAATTTCTGCTGACTTTTGCTGGGTCATCCCGTGTAGCTGAAGCTGGAGCCAATGACTCCATCAAAACTGAATACCAAATTGTGTGCCATCCTGGGATTTAACGATTAAATTCTGACAAGTGTTAGATGTGGAGTCCTATTTAGGGAAAAGGAGTTAGGCTGGTGGGAGTAGGGGAGAGCAAAAAGAGAAAGCAGATAAGCTATGAGTCTGCCTTTCTTCATGATACAGGACACGTAGCCCTCCTGTGCAAATAACTCAGAATCTTCCTATGCCCGACTTATCAACAGCCCCTCGGCTGATAGAAAAATCCAAGTTAGCTCACTGCAACACTGGCATTATTAGTACAAAGCCCTCTGCAGCACACAGCACAGCACCATTCTATAAAATCCCCAGCAAGCCTTTGTCTCCTTGCAGTCAGCTCCTTTCTTGCTGACCTGTTTGTTGCACCCTTACAATGTATTTTCATACTTTCTCTAATAAATCTGCCTTTCCTAACCTAAAATTGTCTCGGTAAATTCTTTTTATACATATATATGCTTTTTTTTTTATTATACTTTAAGTTCTAGGGTACATGTCCACAACGTGCAGTTTTGTTACATATGTACCCACACCACCAACCTAGATAGTCACTACCTACCTATGACATTAGGTAGTCATAGTAACAAATTGGTCATTTTGTTCTTAAAAATGAAAAGCAATAGTCCACTCACAAATCTAATTTCATGTTGTTGATTAGAAAAAAATAAGAAGCTAGAGTTTCAAAGCTTAAAATCCTAATAAAAACATAAGTATTTTGTGATTTTTTTGCAAATATATAACAAATTGATAGAAAATTAACTTGCCTCAGAAGTGAAAAACATGATCACACCAATCACGGGAACGGTGTGTGTATACATTTTAATTCAGGGCACCTGTGATTTAGTAAATCATTCTGCACAGAAAGAAGTACTTAATAGTCATTTGTTGGTCTAACATCTAATTTTTATCTGCTAAATCTGCTTATGAACAGCTTGATGAGAGTGTCATAATATGAGGGAAGATTATTTTATATGTAGGACATTCCTTATATACCTAAAACTATGAAATCAAATGAAGATTTTCAAGGAAAACAGAATTAAACAGCATCATTTACCATATCAAAGATATTAAATCTCTTCAAAAATTAGAAATACAAAATTCTTACTTCAGAAAACCATTAGCCATCATTCTAAGCAGTTATGATAAAAATAATAAAAACTATAAACATGAGATTTTAAAGGTTTCTTATTTTAAAAAAAAGAAAAGAAAAGGAAGAAAAGAGGAAAGGCATACTATGTCCTAAACCCAATATCGTTTGAGAGTTTGCTCTTATTCCAAGGTCAAGTCTGTTACTCATTTTATAAATGAGCCAGGTCTAAGGGTTAATTGCATTCTAAAAACCTACAGTGATCTTGAAATTTCAAATTCAAATCTTTTAACACTTTCTTCATCTTTACAAGCTCTCAAAGAATCATAAAGCATTAATACTGACCTTGTGATGTAGTTAAATTCTATTTACATTTTTAATAGAGAAAAATTCAGTTTGCATAAGATAGATGATAGAAAGATTGATCAAAAAGCTCAGGTAAGATTGAAAAATCTAGGCCAAGTATTTTATACACATTCAGAAATACACACTAACATACACACGGGTACTTCCCCACAAATGTATACCACACTGTTGGAAAACACAAATGGTGGTCTATACAGTGGTCTTTTTTTAAATATAAAGGTATTGCTTTATAGCACAGGATTTTTTGTGTATACAGACCATAGATTTCTGTTCCTTTTCTATTGTAAGTAGGTGTATATGTAATTGAGTTCTGTTTATCTCACTCTGATCAAAACCTACTTTCCTGAAGCTTAGCATTTGTAACCACCTGCTCTTCCATTCACTCCACTAAGTTTTATCCTTCCATTTGAGACTTATCTCACATGCAGAACCTGCTTTAATACTCCCAGCTGTCTTCCTAGAGTTCCACCCCAACTTACTCACTCAACAACTATTTATTGGGAACTTACTATGTGCCAGACACTATGAAAACAGAAGTGAATAAGATAAAGTTCTACCCACTCAGAGACTTCTTTCATGCATACGGGGAGATAGAAGGGGCTGGTGGGGGTGGGGATGAGGGAAGAGCACTGGAGGTCAAGGATATGATACACTGTCATTACATTCTAGGCACTACGTGCCGAATATTTAATGTATATTATCTCAAAACCTCAAAACAACCATATGGAGTTGAATATTATCATATTTCTGCAGATAAGGAAAGTCAGATTCAGCAGATTGAAGAATTTGCCCCAAATCACAAAACTGGTAATTGACAGAGTAGGGATTCAAACCACAGCTGCTTGTGTCCAGGTAGCCTATTCTTGATCCTATCACCAGACTGTCCCATATAGGATATATGTTCCAATACACTCAGACTTACCACCTCCTCTGTCCCTTCCCATACACACCCCCCAACCCCTCCTATCTTGAGACACAACCAGGCTGACCCACACAGGTATGAACTAAACAGTGCAAACATGTTCAATTGTTTTATTCATATAACCCAAAGTTGTTTCTGTGGATTTTCTAATGGCAGACAACTTAAAACAAGAACTTTTGAGATTTCTCAGTCCAGCAGTGATTCTCCTCGCAACCAATTCTGACTTGTTATCAAGTCACTTACCAGGTTAAATTTTAGTGAGCTGAATGTTCTGTCTTCCTTCATCCTTCTCCCCAGGGCAGTTTCTGAGTCCTAAGGAAGCCTTTGGGAGCACTGTGGCCTTGGTAGAATATATGTAACTACTCTAAGGCTCTAAGGCCCTGTCTCTGCTAGTGTCTACTGCTGATATAACTCCCCTGCCCTCTTGGTTCAAGTGGTATACAATGTGACCTTGAGCAGGGCTCAGAGCTCTTGACAACAGGCTCTTCTTTGCCTTCTGGTGCTGCCAGTCCTCTGGATTCAGTTCCACACTCCATCTGGACCATGGCTGGAAGTGCATGCAGCATTCTTTCAGTGAAGACCTTCTCACACCAATAGGTGACTTCCTGGGAGGCGTTCCAGCTCCTACTCTTAGACAACTTCTGTGTCCCCATACTGGATCCCTAGGAAAAACTGGATTCCAGATCCATGGGAAAAGTTGAGGAGAGGGTGTTGTCTCTGGTTTACTTTTTTTCATAAATACCATCTCCCATTTTGCTAAGCTGGCATGGAGCTGGGCTTTTCTCTCCATCTTGCTGTTGTTCTAGATCGTACCTGGGACTTTCCTCTTTAGGATCCTGAGACTTAAGGAAGATTTTATAGGGTGGAGACAGGTGCATAGGTGGAGTTCAGAGAGTGCAATCATTACACTACTTCTCATTTCCTTTTTTCCTTTCTCTAAAATCTCCTCTCCTCTAGCTTGGAGGTCATTTACTAATTCTGGGGGTTGGGAACAGAAATACAAACCTTTCATTTCCTCAAATCTATTTCTGGTCTCTTCTATCTTACATCCACCTCAAACTTAGAATCAAAGAGGAAGTCAACTTTGTTATCAGCTGTGAACTATTCCTACATCAACAGAACTTTCAGCCAAATGAGAAAATGTGGGCAGCTATACAAGTTGGACTTGAAATGGCAAAGCAATTAATGATTTGAAACACCAACAGTAGATATTCCACTGAAGTCTACCTTTTAACCCTTTCCCCCTGCAAGTCAGTGTACATGGGTGGACACAACCATAAAAAGTGAAGTTATGGGCAAGCTGTCCTCATGCGGTTCACATTTTCTTAAGAGCAATATAGATGCTTGATTAACAGAAAGAGGTGAAATCAGAGACAGAAGCCAAGAGAACATTCATATGATGCAAATTTTGATATACAGGTTTAAACAAACTCCAGACTGGTGGTGTTTGAAAGCATTTAGAATTATTCAGAGAGAAACTGGGGATTTTCATGATTTTTTGCAAGTTTCTATCTTCAACTCTAAAAAAGCAATAAGAACAGAGATACAGAAAAACAGTAGGGAATACGACAATGTACAGATAATCATTTGGAAGTCTCACTTTGTTCAAAGAGAAATAATGATCATAACAAAGGTGGCTTACCTTAACAGAATTTAAAAGGCAAATAATTTGAAATAAAAAGCACAGGGACATTTAATGTGTTGAGTTGCTTAAGAAGTGGTTCAATGCAAATTTGTTGAATCAGTGTTTCCCTGGCAGAGAGGCAATTACATTTAAGAAAGTTTTAAAAGGTGGTTACTAAGCAACTACACTCAGCCTACACACATTGTTCATAATCTCTGGTAAATTATAGAAAATGACAGCCTGCCATTAGAGAACAGAGACATACAAAATTAAAGCATTATTATTCTATGTTCCTCCTACAGGAGAAAGATCCATTATATCTTTGGTACGGTTATTAGGTTAAATAACTACAATAGGTATTAAATGTTAGTGTGTTATGGTATAAAAGAGGAAAAACCCAGATGTTTTTCAAAGAATGACCCTTGTAAGTAGGTACAACCTTCCCCTGACTTGACTTCACATTGTATCCTCTCTGTCATAGCAAGAGCAGCTCAAAACACTACTTTATTGGCAGAATTTTAAGTGAGTCTTTGGTAAAGGAAAAAAAAAAGAAGAAGAAGAGAAGGAAGGAATGAAGGAAGAAAGGAAGGAAGGAAGGAAGCAGCAAGCGAGCCCTGTAAGACAAATATACATATCAGTATTATTCACAGCCCAGAATTCTCTCTTCTAATAAAATAATGATATCTTTGGCATCAACACCTTTTTGATAGTGGTACTTTAATGACTGCCTACTATTTCTTTAGAAGAGAAAATCAGTATATAGCAGTAGATAAAATCAAAATGTCCCATTTAAGACATCGGGAAAATAGCTAGTTTCTTTCTGTTTTTCTTCCTTTCTTCCTTCTTTTTTTTTTTTCTCTTGAGTCAGGTCTCACTCTGTCACCCAGGCTGGAGTGCAGTGCTGCAATCACAGCTCACTACAGTCTCAACCTCCTGTGCTCAAGCAACCCTTCTGCCTGCGCCTCCCAAAGTGGTAGGATTATGAGCATAAGCCACCATGCTCGGCCCTAGTTTCTTGGGTAACAAATATTTCTATTAAAAGAGTATGCCACTATACATGCCTGTAGTCCCAGCTACTCAAGAGGTCAACGCTGGATAATTGCTTGAACCCGGGAGGCAGAGGTTGCAGTGAGCCAAGATCGCGCCACTGCACTCCACCTGGGCGACGGAGTGCGACTCTGTCACACACACACACACACACACACACACACACACAAAAGTATGCCACTAAATTTAGTAATCATGTGGCTAATGTCTACCAGATAAGGGTTCTCAAATTTCAGGGAAAAGCTATTGGCCAAATGTATTTTGAAATTTTATTCATTCTCTTATTTATGAAAATAATCCCTACAGTTGGATAAAACCATATATCTACTGTTATCCATTTCCATTTCAATGTGCATTATAAAACAATACATCTTTGGAAATAGTGAAGTAGTTTCTCTTCTTGCTCCCACTTCCTATACCTCTTCCCAGACTGTAATAAAGTGCAGAGGCAGTAATAAGCACACAGTGGCTCTTTCTTACTACTCAGCAGCAACTGCTTCACATAGTTATTTCTCTTTCTCTCTAATGTGGCTCTCACCATGTCAGTAAAAATTCTGAGGACTGAAGAAACCTGCTGCCTAGCCCCGCTCATTTCAGTATGTCCTACTGCCATGTAGGACATTGTTATTGACTGTGACCTAGAAAAATGGGTAAGAAAAGTAAGATCAGTGTCAAAAACAACAAATGAATGGGAACTGAATAGGAACTGTCAGAAAGAGTTGGGCATTCTAGAGGCTCCCTGCCTTGTCATGATCTCTCTCCAGGACTATATGAATTTTCTTTTATTGCATTTCTCCTTTTCTCTTCATTGTATTTCTACTCCGTAGATGTTTTGCTTTCTCATAGTTCCTGACTCTTTATAACCTGGACTTACCATGGCCTTGTCTATACTTCATGGTATTTTTTCATCTCTACCCACCACTTCTAACTAAAGTGTTCCTTTGTATTCCTTAGTTCAAATTTTTGAAAAGAGAAAATAATTAACCCAGTTCATCTTTTTGAGCCAGACCATGTTATAGATCACTGCCTAGCCTACGGGATGTGTGACAGTTTTTAAAAGGTACACAAAAATCTTTGACACTTCTCCCATCCAGAGACAGGGTTCATGTCTCCTCCCCTGGAATCTGGACTTTGTGAATACAATAGAAGTGGCAGTGTGCAGATTTCCAGGATTAGGCCTTAAGACACCAGCAGCTTGCTCTTGGAATCCGACCACCGGCTATGAAGAAGCCCAGGCCACACAAAGAGGCCAGGTAGGGGCTGTGGCTGACTGTTCCAGCGGAGGTCCCAGAAAACAGCCAGCATCAACCACCGGACATGTGTGAGTAAAGCTATCTGCAGAGGACAACAGTCCCCAGTCGATCACTCCCAGCCTTTGAGTCTTTCCAGCTGATGCATCAGATATCATGGAGCAGCGACAAGCCATGCTTATTGTGCCTGTCTGAATTCTTGATATACAGCATGTGTGGGCATAATAAAATGCATGCTTTATACCCTAAGTTCTGGGATAGTTTGTTATATAGCAGTAGACAATTGGAAAATATTTTGGTACCATAAGTCAATTACCTATAGCTGCGTCACAAAACTACACACTTCAGTGGTTTAAAACAATGATCTTTTTTTTTTTTTTTTTCCTGTTTCTGGGAGTCAAGGATTTGAGAAGCATTCAGCCAGGTAGTTCTGGTTCAGAGTCTGCCACATAGCTGTAGTCAAAGGCTGGAGCTGGAAGACTATAACTGCTGAAAGAGCTGGGGGCTGGCTAGGCACCTCTCTTTCCTCTGAGGTTTCAAGGGTTCTCGGCTCTCTGCAGGGTCTCTCCATGTACACTACTTTGGGCTTCATCCCAGGATGATGGCCTCAGATGACAGAAATTCTTACATGGTGGCCCAAGGTTCCAACGTGACTGTTCCAGTGAGCCAAGCAAAAGATGCATTGCCTTTTTTGACCTAGCCTTGTAAGTCACGTGGCATCACTTCCACCATACTCTTAGCAGTCAGCTGCTCACTAAACTCAGCTCAGATTCAAGGAGTTGGAGGAGATATATCCACCTTTCAAAGAGAGGAGTGTCAAAGAAATTTGTCAAAGTTTAGTTCTGGGCCAAAGCTCATACCTATTCTAATCAACTATGCCCAAGGCTGGTGGGATCATAGGTGCACCTGTGGCCTCTCTTCTGTTAGGGACTGGAAGCAGGGATAGCTCCCTTAGAAGGAACTACATTGGCCAGTTCAGAGCACTACATCCCTTGCCTGCCCAGAACCCAGGGTCCTTCTTCCTCTTCTTTATGTCCTACACACATCTGCATCCTGTTGACCCCATCTATTGAACATCTCTTAAACTCTCCACTGGCAGTTAATAGATGATTTTTATAGAAAATTTGGAGAACACAAAAAACTACAAGGAGAAAAAAATACCCTTCCTCCCACATACACAGTTCCAGAGCTGCCCACTCCCAACATGGCCTGTCTGACATTTACAACTATAAATATGCTCGTCATCTGCTAATAGAAAGACTTTCCAAAGTCATGACCAGTTATAGCGCCAGGAAAAATGTCAAGGACCACTTCAAAAGCTGCTTGCCTATCTCGGAGTCCAGAGTTTTCTGTGGTGTCTAGCCTATTTCTTTGTTCTCCTTTTTCCGTGCTCCCATTCAGAGCTACTTCTTACCATTTTATGGGCTCAAAATGACCACTGGTAAACATCAAAGCACCCTGAATACTACAAATGAAAAGTAAAGAATATTTATAATAACTATTTTTATTGGCATACAAAGGGAACATAAAATCTATCTTTTCATCCTGAAACTCAAGATTTACATATGTGTGATCAAGCAGTATTTACAAATTTGTAGTCTGCATTTTTCCCTTGTATTATAATTTTTGTTGTCATTATAATCTTTAAAATCATGAAAAGAAAATGTAAAGTGAAATATCTAATAGCTAAAGCAATATGTTCATTTTTCCTCATCACTTTACTATTAATAAAAAAATTATTTTTTAAGTTGAATTACCCAAATAAATTAACCCAATTATAACTTTACTAATCACTTCTTTTATTTCATTTTTCTCAATTAAAATAGAATTATTAATTAAAATAAATTTATGGGTAAGCTTGCTGGACTCAGTATAATTGTTTTTTCCTTGTTACCTTCTAAAATCCCACTAAAATAAAAGGAAAAGGAATTTAAAACTATAAATCCACAAAAAAGAGAAATAATGACAGCATATGAGAGATGTCAACAAAATCTAGAAACTGAAAAGCAATAAATGAGAAGTGGCCTCATAGACCAAAGAGAGATGAAGCTTGAGTCTATAATAGGATATCTAATAAGAAGTAAGCTAATTATACGCCAAACAGTTAAGAAGTTACAGAACCTTGAGAATTCTCAAGAATTGAATAAACTAGATATCACTGAGTCCAACAGTTTAAGCTGGTCTGAAAGCAAAAGGACTGTGACAATCTTTATAAGGAATAGATAGGACACCACTGAACTCCACCAGCCCATTCAGTCAGAGCATGAAGAACAACAGGTGCCTGAATACAGATGAATCTGGAGAGCATGATGCTAAATCAGGCACAGAATGACAAATACCACATGATTTCACTTATAGGAATCTAAAAAGTTGAGCTCATAGAAGCAGAGTAGAGCAGTAGTTACGAGGGGCTGGGAGTGTGGAGAGATAAGGGTTTAGAGAGATGTTGTTCAAAGAATATAAAATTTCAGTTAGGAAGAATGAGTTCAAGAGCTCTACTGTACAACATTGTGACTATAATAAATAACAATATATTGTATACTTGATTACTAATTTTAAGCAGATTTCAAGTGTTCTCATTGCACACAAAAATGCATATGAGAAATGCACATGTCAATTATCTAAATTTAGCCATTCCACAATGTACATGTATTTCAAAACACACTGTATACATAAATATATATCTTTATTTGTTAATTAAAAATTAATAATAATAATAATATTATATTGGTAGGCCTAGTCAGTATAAATATAAGAAAAATAAATTTAAGGCATTAGACTAGGAGCAAAAATCAGTGAGATAATAAAGCATTACCTTCATAAAAACAGAAGTCAATTAAAAAAGGGACATTTCGAGAAAAGAAGTTTTTAAAATTAAAGTACGGATATATACTTTTTAAATGAAATCCCACAATTAGAAGATAAAGTTAAGGAAATCTAGAAAGTAAAAGCAAAAAAGACAAAGAGATGGAAAATAGTGGTAGGAAAAAAAGAAAGTTAGAGGAAGTTCAGCATCCAGTTTAATTATTAAGAGTTCCAGGAAAAGAAAACAGAAGAAATGGGCAAGAGAATATCTTCAAAAAATAGCACGCACGTAAAAACATCCCAGACCTGAAGGACATGAGCGCCAGTTTGAAAAGGTCCACACAGTACACAGCAAAATGAATAAAAATGACTCTCACCAAGGCACATTATGGTAATACTTCAGCACGCAGGGGAGAAAGAAAAGACCTAAAATTTTCAGATAGAAGAAAATGGTTCGCATCAGTGTATCATTAGACATCTCAAAGTTACATTGTGTAGCATACTATAAGAACCATCATTCTCAGCAAAAAAACCAAACACCGCATGTTCTCACTCATAGGTGGGAATTGAACAATGAGAACACATGGACACAGGAAGGGGAACATCACAGACCAGGGCCTGTTATGGGGTCGGGGGAGGGGGAAGGGATAGCATTAGGAGATATACCTAATGTTAAATGACGAGTTACTAGGTGCAGCACACCAACATGGCACATGTATACACACGTAACAAACCACATTGTACACATGTACCCTAAAACTTAAAGTATAATAAAAAAAAATGGTGCTGGGAAAACTGGCTAGCCATATGTAGAAAGCTGAAACTGGATCCCTTCCTTACACCTTACACAAAAATTAATTCAAGATGGATTAAAGACTTACATGTTAGACCTAAAACCATAAAAACCCTAGAAGAAAACCTAGGCAATACCATTCAGGACATAGGCATGGGCAAGGACTTCATGTCTAAAACACCAAAAGCAATGGCAACAAAAGACAAAATTGACAAATGGGATCTAATTAAACTAAAGAGCTTCTGCACAGCAAAAGAAACTACCATCAGAGTGAACAAGCAACCTTCAGAATGGGAGAAAATTTTCGCAACCTACTCATCTGACAAAGGGCTAATATCCAGAATCTACAATGAACTCAAACAAATTTACAAGAAAAAAACAAACAACCCCATCAAAAAGTGGGCGAAGGACATGAACAGACACTTCTCAAAAGAAGACATTTATGCAGCCAAAAAACACATGCAAAAATGCTCATCATCACTGGCCGTCTGAGAAATGCAAATCAAAACCACAATGAGATACCATCTCACACAAGTTAGAATGGCGATCATTAAAAAGTCAGGAAACAACAGGTGCTGGAGAGGATGTGGAGAAATAGGAAGACTTTTACACTGTTGGTGGGACTGTAAACTAGTTCAACCATTGTGTAAGTCAGTGTGGCGATTCCTCAGGGATCTAGAACTAGAAATACCATTTGACCCAGCCATCCCATTACTGGGTATACACCCAAAGGACTATAAATCATGCTGCTATAAAGACACATGCACACGTATGTTTATTGTGGCATTATTCACAATAGCAAAGACTTGGAACCAACCCAAATGTCCAACAACGATAGACTGGATTAAGAAAATGTGGCACATATACACCATGGAATACTATGCAGCCATAAAAAACGAAGAGTTCATGTCCTTTGTAGGGACATGGATGAAACTGGAAACCATCATTCTCAGCAAACTATCACAAGGACAAAAAACCAAACACCAATTGTTCTCTCATAGGTGGGAACTGAACAATGAGAACACATGGACACAGGAAGGGGAACATCACACTCCAGGGACTGTTGTGGGTTGGGGAGGGGGAGGGATAGCATTAGGAGATATACCTATATACCTAATGCTAAATGACGAGTTAATGGGTGCAGCACACCAACATGGCACATGTATACATATGTAACAAACCTGCACATTGTGCACATGTACCCTAAAACTTAAAGTATAATAATAAAATAAAATTAAATTAAAAATTAAAAAAAGAGACATATTGTTGCTATAAGTTTAATGATGGCCAAAAGTCCCTCTCAAATATCTCACAGGGTCTACACTATGTGTTCACTTAGCAGTATGGTGAAACCTGGCCTAAGATTTCCAACCATGGCCTGGGAATTACTGGGTCTGTATGACAATGAGACCTAAAAATGCTGGTTGCCCTAGGGACAAGACCACTCAACATAGATGCAACCTTAAAACAATGCTTACCCTCACAAGAATGCTAATACTTCCTTTATGAAAGAAACACCTGGCAACTGACCTGGACTGAATAGTATGAAAAAGGAGAAAGAATCCCCCAAACTCTGAGAATGGTCCCCAGATGGAGACTCTCCCAGTCATCTGACTCCTGACTCTATCTGGCCCATGCCACCAGCCTGCTCCCGCTATCTGTCTTGTAAGAGCACTTCTGGAATAAACTGTCCAAACATCAGACAATGTCTAAGACTCGTCTTTGGAAGCTAGAAGAGACTGATGTCTTCAAAATATTGAGGGAAAAATATTTTCAACCTGAAATTCTGTGCCCAACCAAACTACCCATCATGAATAATAAATAAAGTTACTATAAATTATGCTCTATCAAAATCAAGAATAAGATAGGGGATAGAGGAAACAGGACATTCAAATAGGTGACAGGCAAAAAGAATTCCTGGATGGTGCTAAAGTGAAGACCCAGCATAATAGCTGAGGGCTCAGCCTTCAGAGCAATCAGTTCTGCCTAGAGAATAGAGAGCATCAGAGGCAAAGTCACCAGGGGAAAAAATTAATTGATAGATTACCTGATGTGTTTGATTGTTTTGATAAGTAATTCATTGATCTGTTGGAGTATTTAGGGATTAAAAATTGGTGACAGGTACATAGAAAATCAAGCAATTTTAAACTTCAGAGTAAAAAAAAATTGTCTTTAAAAAATTGGAATGTGTATTTAGTAAAATTCAGTACCCTTTAAGGATGAAAAAAAAAATCACTCAACAAAACAGGAATAGAAGAAAACTACCTCAACACAATAAAGGCCACATAGGAAAAGTCCACAGCTATCATAGTCAAGGTGAAAGACTGAAAGCTTTCCTGCAAGATCAGGAAATAGACAAGAATGCTCACTTTCAACACTTCTATTCAACATAGTACTAGAAGTCTTAGCCAGAACAATTAGTCAAGAAAAAGAAATAAAAGGCATCCAAAAAGAAGAATTAAAATTACCTCTATTCATAAACAACAGAATCTTGTATGTAGAAAATCTTAAGGATTCCACAAAAAAACCTGTTAGAAATAATAAACAAATTCAACAAAATTACAGGATTCAAAATCAAAACACGAAAAAAATTAGCTATATTTCTACACACTAATAATGAATAATCTGAAAAGGAAATTAAGAAAATAATTCCATTTATGATAGAATCAAAAAGAATAAAATATTCAGAATAAGCAAGCCAAAAGACTTGCACCCTGAAAATTACAAAATATCACTGAAAGATATTAAGGCAGACACAAATAAATGGAAAGATATCCTGTGTTTATGTACTGGAAGACTTAATATAGTAAGATGTCAATACTCTACAAAGCGATCTACAGATTCAATGCAATTCCTATCAAAATCCCAATGATTTTTTTTGCAGAAATAGAAAATCCCAGCAAAGGAATTGAATAGATATTTCTCCAAATAAGATATACAAATGGCCAATAAGCATATGAAAAGATGCTCAATGTCATTAATAATTTTGGAAGTGAAAATAAATCAAAGTCACAATGAGGTATTGCCTCCCACCCATTAGAATGGCTGCTATTGAAAAAAAAAAAAAAGAAAATAGATATTGGTGAGGATGTGGAGACATTTGAACTCTTGTGAACTTTTGGTGGTAAAATGATACAGCTGCTGTGAAAAACAGTATGATGGTTCCTCAAAAAATTAAAAACAGAAATACCATATAAATCAGAAATTCTACTTCTGGATATTTAGTGAAAAGATTTGCACCTAGGATCTCAGAGATATTTATACACCCATGTTCATAACAGCATTATTCACAATAACCAAAAAGTAAAAGCAACCCAAACATCCACTGATGGATGAATGGATAAACAAAATATGGTAGGTAATACAATGAAATATTATTAAGCCTTAGAGAGGAAGGAAATTCTGACACATGCTACAACATGGATGAATCTTGAGGACATTAATTAAGTAAAATAAGCCAGTCACAAAAAGGTAAAAATCATGACTCAACTTGTATGAGATATCTCTAGGGAAGTCAAACTCAAAAAAAAAAATAGAAAGTAGAATGGTGGTTCCCAGGGGCTCGGGGGAGGGGAAAACAGGAAGTCGTTTAATAGGTATGAAAAAATTCTGGAGATTGGTTGGACAACAAACTGAATATACTTAACCTACTGAAGCGTACACTTAAAAATGATTAAGATGGTAAGTTTTATATTATGTGCATTTTACCACATTAAAGCAACTTCTATTTTGAGACACGGTCTCACTCTGTCATCCAGGCTGAAGTACAAGTGGCATGATCACAGCTCACTGCGGCCTTATCCTCCCAGGCTCACGCGATTCTCCCACACCAACCTTTCAAGTAGCTGGGACCACAGGCATATGTCACCATGCCTGGCTAATTTTTTTTTATTATTATTTTTTGTAGAAACAGGATCTCACTATGTTGCCCAGGCTGGTCTCAAACTTTTGGGCACAAGCAGTCCTCCTGCCTTGGCCTCCCAAAATACTGGGATTACAGGCATAAGCCACTGCACCTAGCTAAGACAACATTTTAATATACTATATTACATGATTCAGCTATGGACAACATCTACATACACACTTATAATAATTTAGCACTCATTATTTTTAGACAAAAATTTGCAACATAAATATTTGCAAGATAGAGGAAGTTTAGAGTTAGGTAAGAGAGGAGTAGTGGAAGAGAACCAAATTTTCTAAGTCAGGAAGTCAATAATAGATAATGTCTAAAACTGGAAAATCAATGTGGGGAAACATAAACACATTATTCAGAAATAGAGGATAAACACCTGTGCTAGTCTTTGTGTGACTGGCCTCAGCTCTATGTTTTATCCTTTTCCTGCTCTCTTCTAATAAGAGTGTTATCTGTTGTCTGCATGCTATATTCTCCAAGTTGCCATGTCTATTGGAGATAGCTAGTTTGACTAACGGGAAAAACTGTCCGGAAACTGAATGTGAAGAGGAAAAGACAGGATATTTTCCTCCTTCATTCTATGCCTCAGGTGACATATTAAGTAATGTCTGTGTTTCTTCCATGGCTCCAGCTTCTGACAGACAAGCTTCTATGGTTCTAGATTCTGCAAGATTAACCTAGCTACTGGGCTTACCAGTATCTCTTCTTTTTTTCCCTCCAGCCTAATCTATCTAATGTTGCTAGTCTCTGAGTTGCTCACCAACCCCTGTTTGGCTTCTCAGCTTTTCCACGACTAATGCCTGCATAAAAGCTTATTGCAAGAGTTTTGTTTCTGCCTAGTATTTAGCTGGGAAGGTATCATTCCTGCCCCAAGTACAAGAAAAATGTATGAACTACAGAATCAGAATATTTCTTAATCTCATTAGAGAGCTGATATAAAGAGCAACCAAATAGACTGAAAGCCAAGGAAAGACAGGAGCCTCCAAGATGATACAAGCATTGGCTTAATTGTGGCAGAGTATTGGGGGAAGAGACACTGAGCATCATCAAAGTGGGTAAAATGAATTCACTTAAAAAGTTTAAGTTGCTAGGCCTCACTTGGGCTAGTGGGACATCATAGAGCCCCTGGGAGTTTCAGACATGAGGGAAGTTTATGTCCACTTGCAGTTCTTCTCCACATACCTTCAATGGGGGTGTGTGGAGAAGAACTACAAGTGGACATGAGAAATATTTGGGGCAGGGTGGGAGAAGAGGGCCTCCATCAGTAGAGTGAAAAAGGCACAAAACCCATCTGGCTCCTCTTCTGTGGAACAAAGGCCTTAAGTCACTGGGGGAAAGGTAGCAAACCCTGTCACCCACAGTACAAGTTGATAAGCAAAGGATGCACATTCAAGAATCAAAAATAACCTTTAAAAACACAAAAGCAAAAACCTAAGTATAACTAATAAGTAATAGTGGAGATAAACAGAAGTATTATAAAATGCTCAACTGACCCCCACCCCCAAACAAAAATAAAAGAAAAAAAGGAACAAAGAACAGATGGGGCAAATAAAAAACAGGTATCAAAGTAGTAGTTTTAAATTCAACCATAGCAATAATCACATTAAATATAAATGGTCTGAACTTTCTAATTAAAAGAAGTAAAAGGCAGAGATTACCAGAGTGGACTACAAGAAGTGGATTACAGATAAAAGGACAAAATAAGATATACTCTGCAAAAATTCATTGTAAAAAAAAAAACTGGAATGGATAACATCAGACAAAGTACAGTTCGGAACAAGGAATATTACCAGGAATAGGAGGTAAATTTCATAATGATAAAGGGGTAAACTTATCAAAAAGATATAACAGTTCTAAATGTGTATGCATCCTGTAACAGAGATTCAAAATATCCAAGGAAAAAGCTGATAGAACTGAAAGGAAAAATAAAACCACAAATACAACTGGGAGCTTCAACAGTGTTTTTTTCATTAATTAATAAAACAAGAACACAAAAAAATCAGTACAGACATAGGAGACTTGAAAAATACAACCAACTGGACCCAACTGATAAATGTATAGAATATACCATTCAAAAAAAGAATAAACATCCTTTTCAAGTGCATTCACAATAGTCACCAAAATAGACAATTTTCTGGGCCATAGGGAAATTTAATCAGATTGAAATTATATGGAGTATGTTCTGTTACAAGATAATTAAATTAGAAATCAATAACAGGAAGATATAAGGAAAATTCCCAAACATTTAGAAATTAAACAATATACCTCTTAATAATGCATGGGTCAAAGAAAACATAAGAAAATTAGAAAATATTTTAAATGGAATGGTAATAGTAACATCAAAATGTGTGGGATAAGACTAAAGCAGAGCTTAGAACATAATGTATAGCCTTAAGTACTTATATTAGAGAAGACCTAAACAAGCAAAAATTATAAAATTTCCAGGAGGAAACATGGAAGAAAATCTTTGCACTCTTGATATAGCAAAAATTCCTAGGTGGGAAAGAAGAAGCATGAACCATTTAAACAATGAACAAATTAGACTTCATCAAAATTTAAAAATTCTGCTTTAATTTTATTTAATTTTAAGTTCCAGGATACCTGTACAGGCTGTGCAGGTTTGCTACATAGGTAAACATGTGCCATGGTGGTTTGCTGCACCTATCAACTCATCACCTAAATATTAAGCCCTGCATTCACTAGCTATTTATCCTGATGCTCTCCCTCCCCTCGCTCCCCTACAGACCCCACTGTGTGTTGTTCCCCTCGCTGTGTCCATGTGTTCTCATTGCTCAGCTCCCACTTATAGGTGAAAACATGAGGTGTCTGGTTTTCTGTTCCTGTGCTAGTTTGCTGAGGATAATGGCTTCCAGCTCCAACCACATCCATGCAAAGGATATGATCTCATTCCTTTGTATGGCTGCATAGTATTCCATGGTGTATATGTCCCACATTTCCTTCATCCAGTCTATCCTTGATGGGCATTTGGGTTGATTCCATGTCTTTGCTATTGTGAATAGTGTTGCAATGAACATAAACATGCATGTATCTTTATAATAGAATTATGTATATTCCTTTGGGTAGATAACCAGTAATGGGATTACTGGGTTAAATGGTATTTCTAGTTCTAGGTCTCTGAGGAATAGTCACATTGTCTTCCACAATGGTTGAACTAATCTACATTCCCATCAACAGTGTAAAAGTGTTCCTGTTTCTCCACAGCCTTGCCAGCATCTGTTGTTTCTTGACTTTTTAATAATTGCCATTCTGAATATTGTGAGGTGGTATCTCACTGTGGCTTTGATTTGCATTTCTCTAATGATCAGTGATGTTGAGCTTTTTTTCATGTTTGTTGGCTGCATAAATGTCTTCTTTTGAGAAGTGTCTTTTCATATCCTTTTCCCAGTTTTTGATGGTGTTGTTTTTTCTCATAAATTTGTTTGAGTTCTTTGTAGATTCTGGATATTAGACCTTTGTCAAACGGATAGATTGCAAAAATTTTCTCCCATTCCGTAGGTTGTCTATTCACTCTGATGATAGTTTCTTTTGCTGTGCAGAAGCTCTTTAGTTTAATTAGATCCCATTTGTCAATTTTCACTTCTGTTGCAATTGCTTTTGATGTTTTTGTCATGAAATCTTTGCCCATGCCTATGTCCTGAATGATATTGCCTAGGTTTTCTCCTAGGGTTTTTATAGTTTTGGGTTTTACATTTAAGTCTTTAATCCATCTTGAGTTAATTTTTGTATAAGGTGTAAGGAAGGAGTCCACTTTCAATTTTCTGCATATGGATAACCAGTTTTCCTAGCACCATTTATTGAATAGGGAATCCTTTTCCCATTGCTTGTTTTTGTCAGGTTTGTCAAAGATCAGATGGATGCACATGTATGGTCTTATTTCTGAGATCTCTATTCTGTTCCATTGGTCTATTTGTCTGACCCCACAGAAATACAAACAACCATCAGAGAATACTATAAACACTTCTACACAAATAAACTAGAAAATCTGAAGAAGTGGAGAAATTCCTGGACACACGCACCCTCCCAAGACTAAACTAGGAAGAAGTCGAATCCCTGAATAAACCAATAACAAGTTCTGAAACTGTGGCAGTAGTTAATAGCCTACCAACCAAAACAAGCCCACGACCAGATGGATTCACAGCTGAATTCTGAGGTACAAAGAGAAGCTGCTAGCATTCCTTCTGAAACTATTCCATATAATTGAAAAGGATGGACTTCTCCCTAACTCATCTTATAAGGCCAGCATCATCCTGATACCAAAACCTGGCAGAGATACAACAAAAAAAGGAAACTTAAGGCCAATATTCCTGAGGAACACTGATGCAAAAATCTTCAATAAAATACTGGCAAACCAAATCCAGCAGCACATCAAAAAGCTTATGCACCACAATCAAGTCGACTTCATCCCTAGGATGCAAGGCTGGTTCAACATACACCAATCAATAAATGTAATTTATCACCTAAACAGAACCAATGATAAAAAGTGACCTTAGACGCTCCAGAAAAGAGGTTGAGAAAATTTAAGTACTGAGGCAAAGATGCATCTCGGAGGCGACAGCAGAGGATAGCAGTCAGCCTGGAGCTCCGAAAGGCCAAGAAAGATGAACGGATCTTAAAGAAAAAGAATATCACCAGCTTCTGCCCTGATACAGCTTCCGAAAAACCAGCCAAAGAGGTGGCAGTCAGCTTCACTCTGGTGAAATAATCAAAGGTGTGAATAGCTCAGATTCAGTCCCACGTTTCCAGGCCACCCAGACAGCCAGGAAAATGCTATCCCAGGAAAAGAACCCCCTTCTGAAATTGATCATTGAAGCGGGCCTCATTCCCAGGATGGTAGAGTTCCTGAAGTCATCACTTTACCCCTGCTTGCAGTTTGAGGCTGCCTGGGCCCTGACCAACATTGCTTCAGGGACTTCCGAGCAGATTTGAGCCGTGGTAGAAGGGGGACCCATCCAGCCCTTGATCAAGCTCCTGTCTTCCCCCAACGTGGCTGTGTGTGAACAGGCAATGTGGGCTCTTGGTAATATACCCAGTGACGGCCTGGAGTTCAGAGATAATGTCATCTCAAGCAATGCCATCCCACATCTGCGGGCCTTGATTTCACCCACCCTACCAATCACATTTATGCGGAACATCACGTGGACCTGGTCGAACCTATGCCGAAAAAAGACCCCGTACCCTTGCGAAACTGCAGTGAAGCAGATGCTGCGTGCCCTCTCACTCCTGCAGCGCCACCACAGCGAGGTTCTCTCAGAAGCCTGCTGGTCACTGTCCTACCTCACCTACGGCTGCAAAGAGCTCATCGGCCAAGTGGATGACACAGGGGTCCTGCTCAGGCTAGTAGCCCTCATGACCATCTCAGAACTCAATGTCTGGACCCCTTCTCTCCCGTACCATGGGGAACATTATCACAGGCACAAATGAACAGAAGCAGATGGCCATTGACGCGGGCATGCTGAACGTGCTGCCCCAGTTCCTGCAGCACAACAAGTCCTCCATCCAGGAGGCGGCCTGGGCCCTGAGCAACGTGGCGGCAGGGCCCTCTCACCACACCCAGCAGCTGCTTGCCTACAACGTCTTGCCTCCCGTGGTGGCTCTGCTAAAAAAAATGGAGAATTTAAAGTCCAGAAAGAGGCTGTCTGGACGGTGGCTAACTTTGCAATGTGGGTCACCGTGGATAAGTTGATCCTCCACTCTGGGGTCCTGGAGCCACTGGCAAATCTGCTCATTGCCCCAGATGTTAAAATTGTTCTCATCATCCTCGATGTAATCTCTTGCATCCTCCAGGCGGCAGAGAAACGGTCTGAGAAGGAAATCCTATGTTTTCTGATAGAACAACTCGGTGGGATCGATAGAATTGAGGCTTTACAACTGCATGAGAACTGTCAGATTGGCCAGTCTGCTTTGAACATCATTGAGAAGCACTTTGGTGAGGAAGAAGATGAGAGTCTAACTTTACTGAGCCAAGTCCTAGACCAAGATTGTGAATTTATAGATTGTGAATGCTTAGCAAAAAATAGCCAAGCTCCATAACTCCTAAACCAACAACCCAATGCTAAAGGATAACTTCTTTAAGCAGCAGTAGTCCTATATCTTAGTGTATCCCAAATGTGAAGCTTTCAAAACTTAACATTAATAAAACGTTCAATACTTTCAAAAAAATTATCTCAATAGATGCAGAAAAGACCTTTAATAAAATTCAATTCATGCTAAAAACTCTCAATAAACTAGGTATTGATGGAACATATTTCAAAATAATAAGAGCCATTTATGACGGACCCACAGCCAACATCATACTGAATGGGCAAAAGCTGGAAGCATTCCCTTTGAAAACTGGCACAAGACAAGGATGCCCTCTCTCACCACTCCTATTCAACATAGTATTGGAAGTTCTGGCCACGGCAATCAGGCAAGAGAAAGAAATAAACTGTATTCAAATAGGAAGAGAGGAGGTCAAATTGTTTCTGTTTGCAGATAACATGATTGTATATCTAGAAATCCCCATCATCTTAGCCCAAAAGCTCCTTAAGCTGATAAGCAACTTCAGCAAAGTCTCAGGATACAAAATCAATTGTGCCAAATTAACAAGCATTCCTATACACCAACAACAGACAAGCAGAGAGCCAAGTCATGAGTGAACTCCCATTCACAATTGTTACAAAGGGAATAAAATACCTAGGAATACAGCTCACAAGGGATGTGGAGGACCTCTTCAAGGAGAACTACAAACCACTGTTCAAGAAGATAAGAGAAGACACAAACAAATGGAAGAACATTCCTTGCTCGTGGATTAGAAGAGTGAAATGGTCATACTGCCCAAAGTAATTTATGGATTCAATGCTATTCCCATCAAACTACCGTTTACATTCTTCACAGAAATAGAAAAAACTAGTTTAAAATCCATATGGAACAAAAAAGAGCCCATATAGCCAAGACCATCCTAAGCAAAAAAACAAAAAACAAAAAACAAAGCTGGAGGCATCACACTACCCGACTTCAAAATTCTGCTTTTCTAAAGACGCCATTAAGAAAACAAAGTGGTAAACCATGGACTGGAAGAAAAAATTCACAATACGTACATCTGATAGAGCATTTGTTTCCAGAATATATAAAGAACTCTTAAACTCAATTACAAGAAGACAACTCAAGCCAAAATTCGGTAAAATGTTTGAAAAGATTCTTCACAATAGAAGATATACAAATGGCCAATAAGCACATGAAAATATGCTCAACATTACTAGTCATCAGATAAATGCAAATTAGAACTACACTGAGATTTGCTATACTCTCACAAAACAGTTAAGAGTAAAAATATTGACATTACCAAACATTGGAGAATATGTGGAACAACTAAAATTCTATTCATTGCTGGTGGAAATGCAAAATTGTACGATGACTTTGGAAAACAGTGTAACAATCTCTTCTAAGATTAAACCTACTCTTACCATAAGACCTAGAATTTCACTCCTAGGTATTTACTCAATTCTTTGTCCACACAAAGAATTGTACAAGAATGTTCATAGAAGCTCCATTCATAATAGCTGAAAACTGGAAACAATCTAAATGTCTATCAAATGAGAATGGATAAAAAAGTTGATCTAGTCCTGCACCAGTGCCATCAGGTCTTAATAACTACACTTTATATTACGTGTTAATACCTTGTCTGGCCAGTCTGCAATGCTTTCTACTTTTTCAGAATTTTTTTGTGAATTCCTGCATTCCAAAGTAACTTTTGAATAATTGTTTCAATCTCCTAAAACTCTTGTAAGTATTAATTTAAAGAGAATACATCTTATACAAGATTGAATTTACCTATACAGAGATAAGGCATCATCTCCGCTTATTAAGGTATACCGCAGAAAACAGAATTGCCTTTACTGGCTATCTGCTAATCTATACCACAACGTCACTCCCATATCCCACCCAGGGCACTTTAATTTTTCTAGTAACAGAGTTTTATTCCAGAATTTGGGGCTTTGGTGATTGCAAGATTTGCAGTATTCATACCAGCACTCATAGCATGTGCTCAATGCTAGTTCTTCACAGTCACGCTCAGAATTAGAAAGCAGGTGTTTGTTACCTTGATTGAATTCAGTTCACCTTAATTTGAGAATCATATATTGTACACCTACGACGTGTCAGCCAAGGTGCTAATTTCTATGAGGAATCAAAGATGAAAAAGTCACAGCTCCATTCTTATGAATTTTTTCATTCTATGGCAATGGCAACCATATAAAGCAAAAGTTTCATGGAAGACAAAATGTCCTGAGGGCACAGAGAGTCTGTGTGGGCACAGAGGAAAGAGTTCCTATTTAGGTAAGAAAAAGAACAACACGAGAAAGACAAAACTTTAACATTCTGTATCAAAATGTTGATTTAACTTCTGTATCTTCTTTCTAACAAACCCTGAGACCTAGAAATTTGCTGAACTTGGTGCTTTGTGACTGAGTCTAATTTGCTTCACTGCTCTTGAACCGCAAGGTTTAGAGCATCCTGAGCTTGTAATTTTGGTATTTCTCATATTACCTGCTTAGGTGGTAATTCTTATTTAGCTAATAATAGAACTTGACAAAGAAATTTTAAAGAAATTAATGCAGGAGTGAATGGTGGGGCAACTCTCCATTCAACATTTTATTGTTCATTATAAATTTGCTGCATAATTTCAGTTCCTAAAGAAGCTTAAATTGGCCGGACGCGGTGGGTCATGCCCGTAATCCTAGCACTTTGGGAAGCCAAGGCAGGCAGATCACCTGAGGTCAGGAGTTCAAGACCAGACCAGCCAACATGGCGAAACCCCATCTCTACTAAAAATATAAAAATTAGCCAGGCATTGTGGCGGGCACCTGTAATCCCAGGTACTTGGGAGGTTGAGGCAGGAGAATTGCTTGAACCCAGGAGGCAGAGTTTGCAGTGAGCCAAGATCGCACCACTAACTCCAGCCTGGGTGACAGAGCAAGACTCCATCTCAAAAAAAAAAAAAAAGCTTAAATATTTTTCTAATTATAAGAGACAAGTGGTGTGATTAGAAGCAGCTGCTCCAGACAGTTTTTGCCAACAGTCATTTCCAAATTACACACACACAAAGGTATTCAGCGTTGTTTCTTTCCACTTCAACTTTGATATGGGTAGGTTTGTAATTTTTTCACATACTATGTAAAGAAAAATCAGTTAATATCTCAAGATTTATTGTGTCTATTCTCTCAATCCTATGAATAGCTGTGCAGAATAACCAAGCTAAAGTCACTTTTTAAAATATGAAGATGGAGGGAGAGAGGGAAGAGAAAAGATGGGTGAAAGCAAATAAGGAAAGGATAGAAAAGATGAATGGGAAAAGGTGCAGACAAAACACGCAGATGGCAGACTACTGGAAAAGTACAGAATGAGGAGAAAAATACACCTCCAGGCTCTGTTTCTTCATTTTAAGGATGCATATTGGCCTAACAGTGAAGTGTATGCTAACAAGTTACAGCAAGAGAATTAACAGCATGAATTTTGGAGTTAGTTTGCTCCAGGATCATTCCTGACTTCCAGTCTCCTACTAACTATAAGGCCTTGGACAAATTATTTCCTCCACTTTAGAGTCCTCATTTGTAAAATGGGCTTAATAAGAATACCCTCCACCTAAGATTGACATCAGAGAGAAGAAAATAAGAACTGTAATGTGGTGCCATGTCACACCCATCATGTAAGCAAAAATGTTTAAAAATTTAATAACAACTGTTGCTGGGGAAGTCAAGAAATATAGTTCTCATACAATGTTAACAGCAATATAAAGTGGAAATTAATTTAAAAATCAAACAAGTTAGAAATGCACACAGTCTGATTCAGCTATTCTTCTCCTAGGTAAACATGTCCCTGAGAAAAACTTCTGCATGTGTAAACAGAGAGACACAGAATGTTTACTGCTCTAATATTTATAATTGTCAACAATAGAAAAATTCAAATGCCCTCCAACAGAAATATGGGTAAATCAGAGACTATTCATATAGTAGCAAAAAGGGATGATTTTGAGTTACATGTGTTAGTATAGATGACTCTCTAGTACATTAAGTTTTTTTTAATCAAGTTTCAGATTTCAGAATATCAAGACAGAATCACAATGAAACTAGAAGAAGGCTGGACTTCACCCCAAGAGGCTGAACTTGAAGCTAGATACAATAGCTAAAGTATTCTTGGTTGTGCATAAGATAAATTTATTTATATTAGAATGAGGCATTTAAAAACCTAAATGCATGAAAATTCATATGTGATGTAGGGGGAGGGTAAGTGAGCCTCAAAGTGGTGGAATGTGGATCTATTCTTTTTGCCTGCCAAGCATCCCTATCCTTTTATATTTGTTAATCAAACCTTTTGTTTCTGTCTATCATAATCCCCTTAAACCTCCATTCCTGATCAGTGGTTGGGCACAGAATTCAATCTCTATTTCCTGGGAATTTAAATCTTGGGTACAATCACAAAAATATGAAAAGTGATGCCAGTATCCCCAAAGAGCCGAAGACAGAACTGGTAGCAGATTAATTACATTGGATCCCCTCTGTCATGAAAGGGGCAGCAATTTAAAATCACTATAATTGATACTTATTCTGGATCTTCTGGATCTAGGTTTGCTGTCCCTGCCTGCTATGCTTCTGCCAGCAAAACTATCCCTGGTCTTATTGAATGGCTCATTCACCATTATGGTTGCCCGTAAAATATTGTTTCTGGTCATGGGCTCCATTTACAAGGAGGGAGAGGCAATGGAACTCAGTATCTCATATAATGTGTTAACGGTGGTTAACTTCACATTATTGAATATAAATTGCGGAATCCGAATGTGAGTTGTGCAGAGCTAGATGGAGCTGGATTTGAAAATGTGGTAACTGGTGAAACTTGGCCTGTCTACCTCTCTGGAAAGAGACAAGTGTACTTTCAGATGTACGGAGAAATAATTGCATGATGTAAGGAAGGCAGTTTTTCTTTTTTTTTCCTTTTTTCCGGAACTGAGCATGTGAAGTAAGGTGGGCTTTGATGTCAGGTAGCCAAATACTATGGACTATAGTAGGAATGCATTGGGATTTGGAGCTGTCTAATTTTCTGTATCTCCTTCCTGATGAGTCTTAGTGGTAGGCACATGACCCAGGGCATTTGACCCGGGAGAACATAATCAGATATAGAAACTAAAATTTTAGATGTATAGCTAGGAATACAAAGAAATAGGGCAGGGATAAAATGTTTCTAGTGTCATTCAAGATAACGTGTTCCAATATCCAGGGCCAGCAAAAGTTGGAAAGAAACACTAATCTAATTCTGTTGTAGATTCTGTTGTGAGGCCTCCAAATAATCTTGCCTAGAATTGATATACGTTACTTCCCAAAAGTAGGCACCTAAGGTTTACATCAGAGAGAGAAAATTAAGAACTATGATGCGGTGCCATATCACATCCATCAGAGAAGCAGAAATGTTAAAACCAGACTACATCTGGTTTAAAAAAAAAAAAAAAAAGCACTTGATTGAAGAATAGTAATTCAGCAACATAGAACCCATTTTCCCTGTAAGTTAAATCACACTTTTTATACTGGGCCCAGAATTTAAGCTGTAAGCCCTACAAGTCTCTCACATTCCTCCTGGAATAATTTTTGGCTGCAGCCTAGCTCCTCTGAATCCCACTCCCTCAGTTCTGCCTCTAAATAAGCAGCTATGCAATCTTTATATAGTTCTATATTTTTTATGTATGGAATCTGCTGCATGGAACATTCTTATGGAAAGTGTTCACAGCCACGTTTTATGGCTTCTTTAGCACCATAGCTTCTGGAAGAGTCAATAAGGAAAGAGTGCTGGTACAAGGACGGAACTAAAGGCCCACCATTTATCTTATTAGGAACAAAATACTGTTTCTCCACTCCTAGCCTGTCCCCTAGGTTCAAATTTGCCTGTAACTCAGGGTTAGGGTGTAAGGTGTCTACTCTGTTCGACACTACGTAATAAGAGGCAAAAATTTAACATTTAGACTCAGCTATTTTGGGTCTTCTTTTGTTTGGTTGGGTTTTTTTTAATAATTTCAACTTTTATTTTAGATGTAGGGAGTATATGTGCAGGTGTGTAACATGCATGTATTGCGTGATGCTGAGGTTTGGGGTACAAATGATCCCATCACCCAGCTAGTGAGCCTAGTACCCAACAGTTTGTTTTTCAACCCATTCCCTCCTCTTTCCGCCTACTCTAGCAGTCCCCAGTGTCTATTGCTCCCATCTTTGTCCATGAGTACCCAGTGTTTAGTTCCCGCTTATAAGTGAGAACAGGTGGTATTTGGTTTTCTGTTCCTGCATTAATTCACTTAGGATAATGGCCTCAAACTGGATTCATGTTACTGCAGAGGGCATGATTTTTTTTATGGCAATGGTATTCTATGGTGTGTACGTATCACATTTTCTCTACCCAGTACAGCACTGATGGGCACCCAGGTTGATTCCATGTCTTTTCTATTATGAGTAGTGCTGCGATGAACATACAAATGCATGTGTCATTTTGGTAGAATAATTTATTTTCCTTTGGGTATATACCCAGTAATAGGATTGCTTGATTGAATGGTAGTTCTGTTTTTTAAGTTCTCTGAGAAATCTCCAAACTACTTTCTATAGAGGCTGAACTAATTTACATTCCCATCAACTGTATATAAGCATTCTCTTCTCTGCAGTCTTGTTAATATCTGTTGTTTTTTTGACTTTAATAATAGCCCTTCTGACTGGTGTGAGATGGTTTCTCATTGTGGTTTTGAATTTGCATTTCTCTGATGATTAGTGATTTTTTCATGTATTTGTTGGCTGCCTGTATTAGACTCAGTCATTTTTATTCTATGCTTCCAAACAGCTGCATTGTTATAGCATCATCAAATGTCTCCCATGTCAGAATAGCCTAACCAAACCCAAAAGTCAAAATAGTTCTCTGTCTTTGTGGCTACAGTGGCTGCGTGAATGCTGTGGGCCACATTTCTGTGAGAAGTAGCTCCTTGGATTTGCTCTCTGCATTGAAGAGAATGCCTTGAACTGTCCTCCAGAGAGAGCTGTGTCCATGACGTTGGCCTTTCTCTTTCCCTCACTGGGCTGTCACCTGCAGGTAGAGATGGTCCTTGCTGTATAGTCACCCACAATAGGGATGTCACTGCAGCCACCTTGACAGCTAAGGGTGTGATGGAATGAGAATCCGGTGCCTCATGCTTCTGACTCCTTACTCCCACACAGGTGAAGAGACCTTGAAGATGGTCCTGAACTCAGGATGGGGGTGAGGATGTTGGGGGAGTGTCTCATTGGACACTTCCTCTTTCCTAATTATCCCCCTTCTGCCTCCTCCTCCCACAGCCCTCTTCCTTTAACTCTTTTCTCTTCTGGTATCCCTTTTCCACAAGCTTCTCCCCTGGGGTTTACCACCACTCCCCATAAGAAATAGTCTTATCTCAATCACCATCATTTCCCTCCAAGTCTTGCAGATTCCACAACCCCAGGTGTTTTTTAATGCCAGAGGGTTTCTATTGCATCCATTTACCACTGATCTGCAGAGGGCAAGGGTGAGCTCTGTTAGTTCTGAGCTGAGGGGGCTCCACTGAAAGACAGAAGGAAACTTCTACTCTGGGCTCAAGCTCCTTCTCTCTTAAAGGATCAAAACTATTGAACATATTTCATCACCATAGGATTAATTTTCACCCTCAATTCCACATGATAAATTGATAGCATAACTTTGATCTTATTTTACACTAACAAATATCATGGCATTGTTATAATGATAATATTTGATCCTTCTTGTCCTGGATTACATAACAAAGCATTCTGTATTAACTGACAATAAACTGTGACATGCTCAAATTCTAATCACTTGATTTCCTCCCTGAGTATGGGGGGTAGGGGCCGAGTGTAATTTGCCCCCCAAATATGTTACAGCAATCTGAGTGGCCATAATTTTTTTTTCTTGAGATGGAGTCTTGCTTTGTCACACAGGCTGGAGTGCAGTGGCACGATCTCGGCTCACTGCAACCTCCACGTCCTGCATTCAAGCGATTCCCCTGCCTCAGCCTCCCAAGTAGCTGGGATTACAGGCGGCACCCACCACCATGCCTGGCTAATTTTTGTATTTTTAGTAGAGATGGGTTTTCACCATGTTGGCCAGGCTGGTCTCGAACTCCTGATCTCAAGTGATCCACCTATCTCAGTGTCCCAAAGTGCTGGAATTACTGGCATGAGCCACCGTGCCTGGCCATGAATTTTTGTTGAAACACTATACATGTCAAATTTGGCAAAGTAGTAAAAGATGCTACTGGAAAATATCCATGTCCATGATCAACACACACCCTTTTTATCATGGGTTATCATTTAATAAATTGCTTAAATAGGTTGCCATCTCACCTCCAGTATTTTCACATTTTCCAGGAGGATTTGGTGTTCTCTGCCATATATATATATTTCTTATAAATATATCATATATATAAATGTATTATTAATATATATGCCATTTATGTATATATGGCATATATATATTTATATATATATATACTTTAAATTCTGGGATACATGTGCAGAACATGCAGGTTTGTTACATAGGTATACACGTGCCATGGTGGTTTGCTGCACCCATCAATCTGTCATCTACATTAGGTATTTTTCCTAATGCTATCCCTCTCCTAGCCCCCAACCCCCCAACAGGCCCTGATATGTGATGTTCCCCTCCCTGTGTCCATATGTTCTCATTGATCAACTCCCACTTATGAGTGAGAACATGTGGTGTTTCGTTTTCTGTTCCTATGTTAGTTTACCGAGAATGATGGTTTCCAGCTTCATCCACGTCCTTGCAAAGGACATGAACTCATCCTTTTTTATGGCTGCATAGTATTCCATGGTATATATGTGCCACATTTTCTTTATCCAGTCTATCATTGATGGGCATTTGGGTTGGTTTCAAATATTTCCTATTGGGAATTGTGCCCCAATAAACATACAGGTACATGTGTCTTTATAGTAGAATTATTTATAATCCTTTGTGTATATACCCAGTAATGGGATTGTTGGGTCAAATGGTATTTCTGGTTCTAGATCCTTGAGGAATTGCCCCACTGTCTTCCACAATGGTTGAACTAATGTACACTCCCACCAACAGTGTAAAAGTGTTCCTATTTCTCCACATCCTCTCCAGCATCCATTGTTTCTTAACTTTTTAATGATCGCCATTCTAACTGGTGTGAGATGGTATATCATTGTGGTTTTGATTTATATTTCTCTAATGACCAGTGATGATGAGCATTTTTTCATATGTTTCTTGGCCACATAAATGTCTTCTTTTGAGAAGTGCCTGTTCATATCCTTTGCCCACTTTTGGATGGTTTTTTTTTTCTTATAAATTTGTTTCAGTTCTTTGTAGATTCTAGATATTAGCCCTTTGTCAGATGAATACATTGAAAAAAAATTTTCCCATTCTGTAGGTTGCCTGTTAACTCTGACACTAGTTTATTTTTCCGAGCAGAAGCTTTTTAGTTTAATTAGATCCCATTTGTCAATTTTGGCTTTTGTTGCCATTGCTTTTGGTGTTTTAGTCATAAAATCTTTGCCCATGCCTATATCCTGAATGGTATTGCCTAGGTTTTCTTCTAGGGTTTTTATGGTTTTAAGTCTTATATTTAAGTAAGACTTTAAGTCTTTAATCCGTCTTCAGTTAATTTTTGTACAAGGTGTAAGGAAGGGGTCCAGTTTCAGTTTTCTGCATATGGCTAGCCAGTTTTCCCAACACCATTTAGTAAACAGGGAATCCTTTTCCCATTGCTTGTTTTTGTCAGTTTGTCAAAGATCAGATGGTTGTAGATGTGTGGTGTGATTTCTGAGGCCTCTGTTCTGTTTCATTGGTCTATATATGCTGTTTTGGTTACTGTAGCCTTATAGTACAGTTTGAAGTCATGTAGCGTGATGCCTCCAGCTTTGTTCTTTTTGTTTAGAATTGTCTTGGCTATATGGGCTCTGTTTTGGTTCCCTGTAAAATTTAAAGTAGTTTTTTTTTTCTAATTCTGTAAGAAAGTCTATGGTAGCTTGATGGGGATAGCATTAAATTTATAAATTACTTTGGGAAGTATGGCCATTTTCATGATATTGATTCTTTCCATCCATGAGCATGGAATGTTTTTCCATTTGTTTGTGTCCTCTCTTATTTCCTTGAGCAGTGGTTTGTAGTTCTCCTTGAAGAGGTTCTTCACATCCACTGTAAGTTGTATTCGTACGTATTTTATTCTCTTTGTAACAATGGTGAATGGGAGTTCACTCATGATTTGGCTCTCTGTTTGTCTATTATTGGTATATAGGAATGCTTGTGATTTTTGCACATTGATTTTGTATCCTGAGACTTTGCTGAAGTTGCTTAAGGAGATTCTGTGCTAAGACGATGGGGTTTTCTAAATACACAATCATGTCATCTGCAAACAGAGACAATTTGACTTCCTCTCTTCCTATTTATTTCTTTCTCTTGCCTGATTGCCCCGGCCAGAACTTCCAACACTATGTTGAATAGGAATGGTGAGAGAGGGCATCCTTGTCTTGTGCCGGTTTTCAAAGGGAATGCTTCCACCTTTGCTCATTCAGTATATTAGCTGTGGGTTTGTCATAAATAGCTCTTATTATTTTGAGATACATTCCATCCATCAATACCTAGTTTATTGAGAGCTTTTAGTATGAAGCGGTGTTGAATTTTATCGAAAGCCTTTTCTGCATCTGTTGAGATAATCATGTGGTTTTTGTGATTGGTTCTGTTTATGTGATGGATTACGTTTATTGATTTGTGTGTGTTGAACCAGCCTTGCATCCCAGGGATGAAGCCAACTTGATCGTGGTGGATAAGTTTTTTGTTGTGCTGCTGGATTCAGTTTGCCAGTGTTTTATTAAGGATTTTTCGCAACGATGTTCATCAGGGATATTGGCCTAAAATTTTCTTTTTTTGTTGTGTCTCTGCCAGGCTTTGGTATCAGGATAATGCTGGCCTCATAGAATGAATTAGGGAGAAGTCCCTTTTTTTCTTTTGTTTGGAATAGTTTCAGAAGGAATGGTACCAGCTCCTCTTTGTATCTCTGGTAGAATTTGGCTGTGAATCCCTCTGGTCCTGGGCTTTTTTTGGTTGGTAGGCTATTAATTACTGCCTCGATTTCAGAACTTGTTATTGGTCTATTCAGGGAATTGACTTTTTCCTGGTTTAGTCTTGGGAGAGTGTATGTGTCCAGGAATTTATCCATTTCTTCTAGATTTTCTAGTTTATCTGTATAGAAGTATTTATAGTATTTTCTGATGGTAGTTTGTATTTCTGTGGGATCAGTGGTGATATCCCCTTCATCATTTTTTATTGTATCTATTTGATTCTTCTCTCTTTCTTGTTAGTGTGGCTAGCAGTCTATTTTGTTAATCTTTACAAAAAGCCAGCTCCTGGATTCATTGATTTTTTGAAGGGTTTTTCATGTCTCTATCTCTTTCAGTTCTGCTCTGATCTTAGTTATTTCTTGTCTTCTGCTAGCTTTTGAATTTGTTTGCTCTTGCTTCTCTAGTTCTTCTTTTTTTTTTTTCTTCTTTTTTTATTTTTATTGATCATTCTTGGGTGTTTCTCACAGAGGGGGATTTGGCAGGGTCATAGGACAATAGTGGAGGGAAGGTCAGCAGATAAACAAGTGAACAAAGGTCTCTGGTTTTCCTAGGCAGAGGACCCTGAGGCCTTCCGCAGTGTTCGTGTCCCTGGGTACTTGAGATTAGGGAGTGGTGATGACTCTTAACGAGCATGCTGCCTTCAAGCATCTGTTTAACAAAGCACATCTTGCACTGCCCTTAATCCATTTAACCCTGAGTGGACACAGCACATGTTTCAGAGAGCACAGGGTTGGGGGGTAAGGTCACAGATCAACAGGATCCCAAGGCAGAAGAATTTTTCTTAGTACAGAACAAAATGAAAAGTCTCCCATGTCTACTTCTTTCCACACAGACACGGCAACCATCCGATTTCTCAATCTTTTCCCACCTTTCCCCGCTTTCTATTCCACAAAACCACCATTGTCATCATGGCCCTTCTCTAGTTCTTTTAATTGTGATGTTAGGGTGTTGATTTTAGATCTTTCCTGCTTTCTCTTGTGAGCATTGAGTGCTATAAATTTCCCTCTAAACACTACTTTAGCTTTGTCCCAGAAATTCTGGTATGTTGTGTCTTTGTTCTCATTGGTTTCAAATATGATATCCTTCTTAATGTTCTATTTTCCATTCACCAAGTAGATCTATTAATTTGTATCATGAATCCAATAATTCCAGAGTTATAATCTTTCTCCTCATAGAATGATTGGCAGCCCCGAATGATCAGGGAACTCTGGCGGCAGCTGCTGACAATACCATCATTACATTTTTCACAAGAAATTATGAACAATGGCATTGTCTGAGTCAAGAGATACTGTAGTCAAAACATATCAAAAAGAATAGGGTGGATTCAATGAATCATTTTGATGACATAGGCTGTTACTGTAAAGGTTTTCCATACTATTGGCAAGACTCCCCCATAGCCTGGCTGTCTTATGAGTGTGTAGTGTTTTGCATATACAAAATTACCAGTTTAATGGTGTTCTATTATTTCAAAATTTTTAAGGTTTCCAAAATGGACGTTTTGAGACAGCAATATACGTACTGAACCCTCACCACCTTTTATTCTAATAGAGAAATGTAAATCTGATGCTGCTGATGAAAAGGAAATCTGTTCAAGTCTCAGTCCTAAACAAACAGGTGCAATTGAGATCTTTCCAAGGCTTATGTTTGGGCATCACAGACTAGCAGGAGAAGCACATAAGTCTCTTTATAGTCTATTTTGACTGTTTCAAAATAGAATAAACCTGTAACTCATACACACACAAAGGCTGACACAAAACACTTTTTTTTTTTTTTTTTGAGACAGAGTGTTGTTCTGTCGCCCAGGCTGGAGTGCAGTGGCACTATCTCGGCTCACTGCAAGCTCCGCCTCCCGGGTACACACCATTCTCCTGCCTCAGCCTCCCGAGTAGCTGGGATTACAGGCGCCTGCCACCACACCTGGCTAATTTTTTGTATTTTTAGTAGAGATGGGGTTTCACCGTGTTAGCCAGGATGGTCTTGATCTCCTGACCTCGTGATCCGTCCGCCTTGGCCTCCCAAAGTGCTGGGATTACAGGCGTGAGCCACTGCACCTGGCCCACAAAACACTTTTACCTGTTCCCCCACATACCACTTAGGCTGGAGATTGTATTATTTACTAGTAGATCATGAGAGTAGACTAACACTGCTAGTTGTTTCCAGACTTTCCAATGTCAATTAATCTGAAAATGTGTTTTGTTGGATAACAGATCTTTTTAAAAGTAAACTTTATTTTTTAGAACAGTTTTAGTTTTACAGAAAAATTGGAAAGATAGTACAAGGAGTTCCCATACACCTGGGTGCCCAGTTTCCGCCACAGTGGCTCACGCCTGTACTCCCAGCACTTTGAGAGGCCAAGACAGGCAGATCACCTGAGGTCAGGAGTTCGAGGCAAGCCTGACCAACATGGTGAAACCCCATCTCTACTAAAAATACAAAAATTAGCCCAGCATGGTTGCGGGCACCTGTAATCCCAGCTATTCAGGAGTCTGAGGCATGAGAATCAATTGAACCCGGGAGGCGGAGGTTGCAGTGAGCCGAGATCACACCATTGCACTCCACCCTGGGTGACAAGAGCGAAATTCTGTCTCAAAAAAATAAAAAATGCTACATTAATGTGTATATTTGTTACAATCAATGAACATATATGGAGACAATATTATTAACTAAAACTCAGTGTTTATTCAGATTTCCTTAGTTTTACTTAATGTCCTCTTTCTGTTCCAGGATCCCATCCAAGATACCACATTATATTCAGTGGTCATGTCTCCTTAGACCCTCTTAGCTATGATAGTTTCTGAGACTTTCCTTGTTTTTGACATCCTTGACAGTTTTGAGGAGTACTGGTCAGGTAAATTGCAGGATTTCCCTTTATTTGTCTGATGTTTTTCTCATGAGTAGACTTTTGGGAAGAAAGGTCACAGAAGTGAAGTGCCATTCTCATCACATCATATCAAGGGTATACAATATCAACATGATTTATGACCGTTGATGTTGACCTTCATCACCTGCCTGAAGTAGTGTCTGTCAGGCTTCTCCATTGTAAAGTTACTCTTTATCCCCACCCCTTTTGGTACTGCATTCTTTGGAAGCAAGTTGCTATGCACAGCCCACACTTAAGGATTGGGGTGTTATGCTCCCTCCCTCTCTTTTAGGGCAAAGTACCTACATAAATTATTTGGAATTTTCTGCATATGAGATACGTAATTGTTAAATTCCAGTATACAAGTATAGCAGTAACAAAATTGTTAACCTGTATCTCTCTGAGACACCACTTTATCAACTAGAGTACAGTGTTTATATACAGTTCCTTTTGCCTTTAGTCCTATAGCTTCCTCTCACTTCCAAAATTAGGTCTGCACTTTCCCCCAACACTTCCCATTCCAGTAAAGTTATTTTAAACATTTGTGATACATTTAGATTCTCTTGTCACAGTCTGCATTCCACACTGGGTCTCCTTGACCTCCTAAATGGTTTTTTTCAATTTACATATATTAAAGTTTTCTCTTTTGCCATAAAGTTCTATTTGTTTTGACAAATGTGTAATATACACTATTGCAGTATCATACAGTATATTTGTACCATCCTAAAATCTCCTGTACTTGACCTATTTATCCTTCCTCACTCCCCTCAAATCCCTGGCAAACACTGATCTTTTTACTTTTGCCTTTCCAGAGTGTCATGTTGGAATCACAAAGCATGTAGCCTTTTCAGATTGACTTTTTTTTGTTTGTTTTAGACAGAGTTTTGCTCTTGTTGCCCAGGCTGAAGTGCAATGGCACCATCTCAGCTCACTGCAACCTCCACCTCCCAGGTTCAAGCGATTCTCCTACCTCAGCCTCCCAAGTAGCTGGGATTACAGGCATGCACCACCACGCCTGGCTAATTTTTGTATTTTTAGTAGAGACAGGGTTTCACCATGTTGGCCAGACTGGTCTCGAACCCCTGACCTCAGGTGATCTGCCCTCTTTGGCCTCCCAAAGTGCTGGGATTACAGGTGTGAGCCACCACGCCCAGCCTCAGATTGACTTCTTTCACTTAGCAACAAATATTTAAGTTTCTTCTATGTCTTTTTGTGCCTTGAGAGTTCATTTCTGTTTTTTCACTAGATAATATTCCATTGCATGAATGTACCAGTTTGTTTATGCATTCACCTGTTGAAGAATATCTTAGTTGTGCCACGTTTTTTAGAGATTATGAATAAAGCTGTTATAAACATTCATGTGAAGGTTTTTGTATAGACATAAGTTTTCAACTCATTTGGTTAAATATCTGAGAGCATTATTTCTGCATTATATGGTAAGACTATGTTCAGCTTTGTAAGAAACTGCCAAACTATCTTCCAAGGAGGCCATACCATTTTCACATCTGCAATAAATAAGAGTTCCAATGACATTTTTTTTAAACTTTGAGAATAGGCAAGTCTTCAATTACACAGAATCTCATTGCTGCAGAACAGCTCCATTGTGAGGATTAGGTGGAAATTCAGTTTCCATGGTTCATGCCTTCTTGGAGATGAACAACAATCTTCTATAATTGTGTGGAGACAGCACTTATCTTTGAGGGAACACAAAAGTATAATTTTTTTCTCCCCTGCACAGCTAATACATCATAGCAGCATGTACTGACAAGCTGCTAACTGTAAAAGGCTACTGGGAGAATTAAGCAAATAAATCTATACTTAATCCCATATATACCAATATTTTATCAGGGAGGATGAGGATGTACTATTAACATCACCACTTTAGTGGGATCATAGTGGACAGGAGGCAGGACTAGAATGCACCTCCCGCTCATATAGACAGAGCAGCATATAGAGGCTCACACTGTGAACTATTGCTCCAGAACGATTGCAGGAATACATTAGGATATCCAAGAGAACCCACAGACCCACTGAAGGAAGCAGATTGCTCCTGTAAGACTCAGGAGACACCTCAAATACTGTGAATACCCAAACTGTGGAAGTGGGAAAGGGAAATCATCCACCCCAGAACACACACCCCCACTGGGGAAACTGAAGGTTTAGATTACAGGAGAATATTCTGACCTTACCTGCCATCTGAGTCAATTTAGGGAACCAAATAAAATACAGGAGTAGAAGAAGCAGCAGGAACAGTCCTGTGGGCTCGCTGGGTCCCTAGCAAGCCATTTCTGCCCTGCCTCACAGGGGTCCTTGGTGGGGCAGGGTGGTGAGAGGCACTGGGAAAAGGCCACAGAGAGAAGAAATCTCCAGTTGAACTTTGTAACAACTCAAACCAATCAAGAAGTCTCCTGGCCAGAACTCGGGGGAGGGCATGAATCCAGTGTGCAGACTCCACAGGTTGGGGAAAAACAAAAGCCCTACTTGCTTTCACAGCTGGGACGCTGGTAGCCTGGGGCAAGTTCTCAGCCCTGCTCACCCACTGCCTGAAAACAGTTTCAGTGCTGTTGGTGCAGGGGCACAGTGGGAGTGAGGCCGGCCCTTTGGGTTGCATGGGAGCTGGGTGATGCCTGTGACTGCTGGTTTTCCCCTACTTCCCTGACAACCTGCATGACACAGTAGAGGCAGCCATAATCTTCCTAGGAACATAACTCCATTGACAAGGGAACCTCACCCCCATCCCCCAAAAGAGCTGCAACAAGACCCATCCAAGGAGAGTCTGAGCTCAAACATGCCTAGCCCTGCCCCTACCTAATGCTCCTTCCCTACCCACCCAGGTAACTGAAGACAAAGGGGATATACTCTTGGGAGTCATAGGGCCCCACCTACCACCTGTTCCTCCTCATACTGCCACAGCTGATGCTCTCTTGAAAGCACCACATCACGGCAGAAGGCCAACCAGCACAAAAAATAGAGCATTAACCCACCAAAGCTAAGAATCCTCATAGAGTCCATTTCACACTCCTGCCACCTCCATCGCAGCAGGTGCTGGTACCCACGGCCGAGAGACCCACAGAGGGTTCACATCCCGGGACTCTGTGCCCACAACGCCCAGTACCAGCCCAGAGCCTGGTAGACTTACTGGGTGGCTAGATCCAGAAGACAGATAACAATCACTACAGCTCGGCTCTTAAGAAGCCATATCCCTAGGAAAAGGAGGAGATTACTAGATCAAGGGAACACCCCATGGGATGAAAGAATCTAAAGAACAGCCTTGAATCCTGGACCTTCCCTCTGATGGCACCTACCCAAATGAGAAGGAACCAGAAAACCACCTCTGGTAATATGACAAAACAAGGTTCTTAACACCCCCACAACTACACTAGCTCACCAGCAATAGATCCAAACAAAGAAGAAATTCCTGATTTACCTGAAAAAGATTCAGAATGTTAGTTGTTAAGCTAATCCTGGAAGCAACAGAGGAAGGTGAAGCTCAATCTAAGGAAATCAAAAAAATGATACAAGTGAAGGGAGAAATAGTCAATGAAATAGATAGCATAAATAAAAACAATCAAAACTTCAGGAAACAATGGACGCACTTACAGAAATGCAAAATGCTCTGGAAAGTCTCAGCAATAGAATCAAACAAACAGAAGAAAAAACCTCAGAGCTCAAAGACAAGGTCTTCAAATTAACCCCATCCAACAAAGACAAAAAAGAATACGAAAACAAAGAAGAAAACTTCCAAGAAGTCTGGGATTGTGTTAGATGACTAAACCTAAGAATAATTGGCATTCCTGAGGAAGAATAAAAATCTAAAAGTTTGGAAAACATATTTGAGTGAATAATCAAGGAAAACTTTCCTTGCCTTGCCAGAGACCTAGACATCCAAATATAAGAAGCTCAAAGAACACCTGGGCAATTCATCGCACAAAAAGATCATCACCTAGGCACATTGACATCAGGTTATCTAAAGTTAAGACAAAGGAAAGAATCTTAAGAGCTGTGAGGCAAAAGCACAACATAACCTGTAAATGAAAACCTATCGGATTAACAGCAGATTTCTTAGCAAAAACCCTATAAGCTAAAAGGCATTAAGGCCCTATATTCAGCCTTCTCAAACAAAACAATTATCAGCCGAGAGTTTTGTATACAGCAAAACTAAGCTTCATAAATGAAGGAAAGATAGTCTTTTTAGACAAACAATTGCTGAGAGAATTTGCCACTACCAAGCCACCACTACAAGAACTGCTAAAAGGATCTCTAAACCTTGAAACAAATGCCGGAAACACATAAAAACAGAACCTCTTTAAAGCATAAATATCACAGGACCTATAAAACAAAAATACAGTTGAAAAAACAAAAAACCAAGGTATACAGGCAACAAATAGCACAATGAATGCAATGATACCTCACATCTCAGTACTAATGTTGAATGTAAATGGCTTAAATGCTCCACTTAAAAGATGCAGAATTGCAGAATGGATAAGAACTCACCAACCAACTATCTGCTGCCTTCAAAAGACCTAACACATAAGGACTCACATAAACTTAAGGTAAAGGGGTGGAAAAAGACATTCTATGCAAGTGGACACCAAAAGCAAGCAGGAGTAGCTATTCTTATATCAGATAAAACAAACTTTAAAGCAACACCAGTTAAAAAAGACAAAGAGGGATATTATATAATGATAAAAGGCCTTGTCCAACAGGAAAATAATCGTTATTATATAATGATAAAAGGCCGTGTCCACAGTCCTAAATATATATGCATCTAACACTGGAGCTCCCAAGTGTATAAAACAATTACTAATAGACCTAAGAAATGAAATAGACAGCAACACAATATTAGTGACAGAATTCAATACTCCACTGATAGCACTAGACAGGTCATCAGCACAAGACAGAGAATCAACAAAGAAACAATGGATTTATACTATACCCCAGGACAAATGAACTTAACAGATATTTACAGAACATTCTACCCAACAACCACAGAACATACATTCTCTTCAACAGTGCATGGAACTTTCTCCAAGATAGACCATATGATAGGCCACAAAACAAGCCTCAATAGATTTAAGAAAATTGAAATTATATCAAGCATTCTCTCAGACCACAGTGGAATAAAACTGGAAATCCAAAAGGAACCTTCAAAACCATGCAAATACATGGAAATTAAATAACCTGCTCCTGAATGATCATTGGGTCAAAAATGAAATCAAGATGAAAATTAAAAAATTCTTCAAACTGAACAACAATAGTGACACAACCTATCAAAACCTCTGGGATACAGCAAAGGTGATGCTCAAAGGAAAGTTCACAGCCCTAAATGCCTATATCAAAAAGTCTGAAAGAGCACAGACAATCTAAGGTTACACCTCAAGAAACTAGAGAAACAAGAACAAACCAACACCAAACCCAGCAGAAGAAAGGAAATAACCAAGATCAGAACAGAACTAGATGAAATTGAAACAAGAAAAAAATACAAAAGATAAATGAAATTAAAAGCTGGTTCTTTGAAAAGATAAAGTTGATAGACCATTAGCAAGATTAACCAACAAAAGAAGAGAGAAAATCCAAATAAACTCAGTTAGAAACAAAACAGGAGATATTACAACTGACACCACAGAAATACAAAAGATCATTCAAGGCTACTATGAACACCTTTATGCACATGAACTAGAAAACCTAGGGGAGATGGATAAATTCCTAGAAAGATACAACCCTTCTAGCTTAAATCAGGAAGAATTAGATACCCTGAACAGGCAAATAACAAGCAGTGAGACTGAAATGGTAATTCAAAAATTACCAACAAACAAAAAGTCCAGGACCAGATGGATTCACAGCAGAATTCTAACAGACATTCAAAGAAGAATTGGTACCGATCCTATTGACACTATTCCACAAGATAGATAAAGAGGGAATCCTCCCTATACTAGTCTATGAAGCCAATATCACCCTAATACCAAAACCAGGAAAGGACATAACCAAAAAAGAAAACTACAGATCAATATCCCTGATGAACATAGATGCTAAAATCCTTAACAAAATACTAGCTAACCAAATCCAAGAACATATCAAAAAGATAATCCATCATGATCAAGTGGGTTTCATACCAGGGATGCAGGGATGGTTTAACATCTGCAAGTCAATAAATGTGATACACCACATAAACAGAATTAAAAACATAAATCACATGATTATCTCAATAGATGAAGAAAAAGCATTTGACAAAATCCAGCATCCCTTTATGATTAAAACCCTCAGCAAAAAAGGGCATACAAGGGACATGCCTTAATGTAATCAAAGGCATCTATGACACACCCACAGCCAACATAATACTGAATGAGGAAAAGTTGAAAGCATTTCCTCTGAGAACTGGAACAAGACAAAGATGCCCACTCTCACCACTCCTCTTCGACACAGTACTGGAAGTCCTAGCCAGAACAATCATACAAGAGAAAGAAATTAAAGGCATCCAAATCAGCAAAGAGGAAATCAAACTGTCGCTATTTGCTGATGATATGATCGTTTACCTAGAAAACCCTAAAGACTCTTCCAGAAAGCTCCTAGATCTGATAAAAGAATTCAGCAAAGCTTCTGGACACAAAATAAATGTACACAAATCAGTAGCTCTTCTATACACCAAAAGCAACCAAGCTGAGAATCAAATCAAGAACACAACCCATCTTACAATAGCTGCAAAAAGAATAACATACTTAGGAATACACCTAACCAAGGAGGGGAAAGACCTCTACAAGGAAAACTACAAAATACTGCTGAAAGAAATCATAGATGACACAAACAAATGGAAACACATCCCATGCTCATGGATGGGTAGAATGAATACTGTGAAAATGACCATACCGCCAAAAGCAATCTACAAATTCAGTGCAATTCCCATCAAAATACCACCATCATTCTTCACAGAATTAGAAAAAACAATTCTAAAATTAATATGGAACCAAAAAAGAGCCCACATAGCCAAAGCAAGACTAAGCAAAAAGAATAAACCTGGAGGCATCACATTACCTAATTTCAAACTATACTGTAAGGCCATAGTCACCAAAACAGCATGAGACTGTATAAAAATAGGCACCATGACCAATGGAACAGAATGGAGAACCCAGAAATAAACCCAAATACTTACAGGCAACTGATCTTCAACAAAGCGAACAAAAACATAAAGTGGGGAAAGGACACCCTGTTCAACAAATAGTGCCGGGATAATTGGCTAGCCACATGTAGGAGAATTGAAACTGGATCCTCATCTCTCACCTTATACAAAAATCAACTCAAGATGGATCAAGGACTTAAATCTAAGACCTGAAACTATAAAAATTCTGGAAGATAACATTGGAAAAACCCTTCTAGACATTGGCTTAGGCTTAGGTGAGGATTTCATGACCAAGAACACAAAAGCAAATGCAATAAAAACAAAGATAAGTAGCTGGGACTTAATTAAACTAAAGAGCTTTTGAATGGCAAAAGGAACCGTCAGCAGAGTAAACACACAACCCACAGAGTGGGAGAAAATCTTTATAATCTATACACCTGACAAAGGACTAATATCCGGAATCTACAATGAACTCAAACAAATTAGCAAAAAACAAAAACAAATGAAAAAAACAAAATAAAAAACCTAAACAATCCCATCAAAAAGTGGCCTAACGACATGAAGAGACAGTTCTCAAAAGAAGATATACAAATGAAATGGCCAGCAAACATCTGCAAAAATGCTCAACATTCACACTAATGATCGGGGAAATGCAAATCAAAATCACAATGCCATACCACCTTACTCCTGCAAGAATGACCATAATCAAAAAATCAAAAGTAGATATTGGCATAGATGTGGTGAAAAGGGAAAAATTTTTACACCATTTTTGGGAATGTAAACTAGTACAACTGCCATGGAAAGCAGTGTGGAGATTCCCTAAAGAACTAAAAGTGGAACTACCATTTGATCCAGCAATCCCACTAGTGGGTATCTACCCAGAGGAAAAGAAGTCATTACGCAAAAAAGATACTTGCACACGCATGTTTCTAGCAGCACAATTCACAACTGCAAAATCGTGGAACCAACCAAAATGCCCATCAATCAACAAGTGGATAAAGAAACAGTAAGATATATATATATCACATACCTTATATATATATATCACATATATATACCATATATATATCACATATATATACCTTATATATATATCATATATATATCATATATATGATATATATATGATATATATGTCATATATATCTCATATATATGACATATATATCATATATATGTGATGGAATACTACTCAGCCATAAAAGGGAATGAATTAATGGCATTCACAGCGACCTGGATGAGACTGGAGACTATTATTCTAAGTGAAGTAACTCGGAATGGAAAACCAAACCAAACATCATATGTTCTCACTCACAATTGGGAGCTAAGCTATGAGGATGCAAAGGCGTAAGAATGACACAATGGGCTATGGGGACTCAGGAGGAAAGGGTGGAAAGGGGGTGAGGGATAAAAGACTACAAATAGGGTGCAGCATATACTGCCTGGGTGATGGGTGCAACAAAATCTCACACATCACCATTACAGAACTTACTCATGTAACCAAACACCACCTGTTCCCCCAATAACCTATGGAGATTTAAAAAAATTTAACTTAAAAAAATCACCACTTTAATATACAGAATTTTTTAAAAGAAAGTGATTGTCTCCAGGAGACTAAATACAAGACAAGTAGAGAAAGGTGTTACAATTATGGGCCCTTTACTTGAGCTCTGTATTCAAAATCTGCCTTTGCTACTTACTAGTCATTTGCCACTAGGCAAGTTTCTTAACTTCACTTCGACCTGGCTTCCCAATCGTAAAATAGGAATAACAATAACAATATTCATCTCACAGGGTAGTTGGAACCAACCAGTAAACAATGACTATCAATGCTCAGCTCCCTTGCTACAACCAGGACAACTCCTGAGCTCCCAGTGGGATTGGCAGATTTTTCTACTGCAATTGCATCTTATTCCAACTTCTTCTTCTGCCCAATCCTGCTTCCCTCATTCCCTTATAAATATTGTTCCCAAGAGCTCATCCTCATAAACCCCTGTATGCAAATCTCCATCTTGGGAAATCTGACCTAAGGCAGCTAGCATTCCCATCATAACCACTATTATTATTGTTGCTGTTTGTTCCAAGGTCCCAGATGCATACAAGATTCATGGCTGTGTGTGCACTGCAAAAATATACATCCCTCAGTTCTTCATTTGAAGGACCATCCTGCAGACAGACTCACGCTCCTTAAAGTGATGAGCCACTTGAATTGGTCAACCCAATCTAAAGTGTCGATCTTAGCACAGCTAGTGATGGTGGAAGATGATGGGCAAGGATGAGCCAAAAGGACAGAAAGGAGACTTTCAACTGATGAAAGTTCCCCAGTGCAGCCTAGGATAAATCAATAGAATAGAATCAAAAGTGAAATTTGGCTGGGCATGGTGGCTGATGCCTGTAATCCCAGCACTTTGGGAGGCTGAAGCAGGCAGATCACTTGAGGTCAGGAGTTCAAGACCAGCCTGGCCAACATGGTGAATCCCCATCTCTACTAAAAATACAAAAAAAATTAGCCAGGTGTGATGGCGTGCACCTGTAATCCCAGCTACTCAGGAGGTTGAGGCAGGAGGATCACTTGAATGTGGGAGGCAGAGGTTGCAGTGAGCTGAGATCGCACCACTGCACTTCAGCCTGGCCGACAGAGTGAGACTCCATCTCAGGAAAAAAAAAAAAAAAAAAAAAGTGAAATTTGAAGGATGTTTAGTTGCAGCAGGCAATGTATCAGAAATAAGCCCATTACCAGAAAAGCAGATGTGGCCAAAAGTTGGTTATACAAATAGAGATTTCATAATATTATCCAGAAGAGTGGGATTTCAGAGCTGTGTTGATTTGCACACAGCCAAGACCGACAAAAAAAAATTCAGAGTAGGATCCATGCCTTGGAATGGTAGCAATCTGGAGCAGGAAAAGAAATGAACCTAATGGCACTGGGGTCCTACCAGATCATACAGAGAGGAAATCATGTTGTTAAACATCAAAGGTCGGCAATTTCTTTTCCTTGCTGAGAAAAGCCAGTTGCTTCCATGTAACATTTTAAGAATATACATATATTCTCTATATGCAAATATACAGAACATGACATGCTTCCTTTAAAAACAGTCAGGGATATTTTTAGTAAATTTACCCATAGCCATCCTGTTCTGTGCATTTCTCCCAAAACTATGTGGGTTCACTCTTCCCATCAAGTTAAAACTTAGATCTTTAAGAACAATAATAAAAGAGGTCTCAACAGTAGCAGTCAACCTGTCAAGAAATTTTTCTCTTTAAAACTGAGATGTCAGCTTTTCCTTTATGCATACAGATTTAATTATCTGATGACTACAGTTTCCAGAATTACTCTAGTTTTCTCTGGAATAGTGGCTATTAGGGTGCAAATAGTAGGTACTGAGAAAAGTTGTCCAAAACATATGAATGCCATTTTGTGACTTCTAGGAATATACCAGGTGCAGTGAACCAATTCCAAATGTGGAAAGCATGCTCCCATTTAAAATTTTTGTCTCATAGGTACTTGCAAAATACACTAATGTCTAAACTACTTACGTACAAAGGAAATGCATTAAAATGTAGAGGCAGAAAAGAAATTCAATTAAGCCAGCTCTGCTAACCTTGAATTCACCAAAACGGAAAGCCTAGCTCATAAACTGTGTCTTCCCTTCAAGTGAATCAAACCTATTTTAGTGAAGTTCAAGTTCCTCTGTAGAGATCAAGAAGGCATGGCTACAGGCATCCAGAGACTCCAAAGAGTTCATTTTCTGGGCTCCTGGGGATCTAGTAGAGGTAACGAATGTCCCATGACCTTGAAGGCCAGTGGGGATAGCGACACAACTGGATGAGGAGACGCAGTGCTGATCTGGAGGCCATCATAGGCACAGGCAGGACACTGGATACCTTAGGTAGAAATCAAATCAGAATTTGATGTGACTCAAAGTTGAGAGGGAAGGTACTCAACAGAGTAGACAGAGCGGCACACAATAATATTTGATATCCAACATGGAAAAACTAACCAACAAAGAGAATGAATCTTAAATAACTTGTTTGCAACTTTAACAAAAAACAGCTAAAAATCTTTATTTCTATAACACCTCTTTCTCTGATGAGTGCAGAACAATTAACACTTACAGCTAATTAGTCCTCACAGTTTGAAGTTTCATATAATTAAGATTTTCCAGGGATGCTATTCATGAGTCATAGACAAGACACCGAAGGAGTCTTTTTTAAAAGGAAAAAAACATCTATAAATATAATCAGGTCATTTCAGTCCACTGCCTGGTGGAGGGAATGTGGTCTGCCTGGAATTGTCGTGAGTGCTCTCAGCACTGGCAGACTCTGGAGCTGGGAAGGAAAACCTCCTGATCTTCCCTCTTGTGGCAGTAGCCATTGGGAGCTCTGTAGGGAAAGGCATTCAGTGCACAAGGTCCATCTTAGTAGGGAAAAATACTGTGATCAATTATAACATCTTGCACTGACAGAGAATCGGAATAAATACTTGACAACAAACTTGCCCTAAGAGGTTCTACTAGAGAGGGCTGTCCAGGAATTGACAGTCTGCATGTTGCCAGCCTGCCAACTAGAGCAGATTGGACAGTTACACATCTCCCTAACCAGGCTGAGAAACGGGGCCAGAACAAGCATTAACGTATAGAAGCAAGGCATTGGGTGGAAAGTGTCCAGCCTATGCTGTGGCCTGGTAGGGTTTTTATTCCCCTTCAGCTGTCTCATTCCTTCCTACATAGTTAGAAGACTTTTAGTAAAATTGATAAGCCAGGAAAATTGATCCTTACTAGCAATAGAAAGGTTTGCTTGTGTTATGGGTGTTCCTGCTGCAATGGAGGGCCTAAGGAAGCTGCTGACTCCAAGAACCTGTATTGCCCATTCCAAACTTGATGGCTTAAGGAAACACACATGTGTTCTCTTATAGTTTACACTTCTGGAGGTCAGGAGTCCAAAATCAATTTCACTGGGCTGAAAAATCAAGGTGTTAGCAGGGCCACACTCCCTCCAGAGGCTTTAGGAAAGAATCCCTTTCCAGCTTCTAGATTGCATTCCTTGCTTCCCTTAGCTCAAGGCCCCTTTATCCATCTTCAAAGTCACAGAGTAGCATCCTGTTTCAGCCTTCACATTGTCTACTTCTGGTCCAATTTCTCTCTGCCTCCCTCTTCTAAGAATACTTGTCATTACATTTAGGGTCCACCTAGAGAATCCAGGATAAACCTCCCCATCTCAATATCCATAATCATAGCTGCAAAATCAATTTTTCCCTATACAGTTACATTTATAGTTTCCAGGAATTAAGATCTGGATATCTTTGGGGGCCATTATTTAGCATATCTCAGCCAAAAACAATGACTCCCCCAGCCTTTACCCCACTAGAGAAATGAAAGTGGGCATGTGGAGAAAGGGAGAACGTAGGAAAGAAAAGAAGGAAGGGTATCAGGACAGGGAGGGAATCAGCCTGCAATTGGGTCTGAAGGGCTGCAAAGAGCAAACATCAGACACCCTCCTCTGGGCTCCAGATTGTCCTCTTTCTGCAATGTTGTGCACTCACATGCCTTTCTAGACATAATGATGCTCACTGGTGAGGCTTGAATCCATTTTTCTTGTCTAAATTATATGTATTAATTTTTCCTAATTATAATACCAATATTTATTCATGGCAGAAATTTTGGCAACTACAGGAAATAAAAATCACCCGATACCACCACTGTTAATAATGTAGCATATTCCCAAGCAATCCGAGCCCATCTTTCTTGAATTAAGTCCTTGGAACATTTTGGGTTCAGCACTGCCAAGAAATCCTTACTCAGAAGGTCAGAGACAGTCTTCACATTGTGTTTTATTGATGAAAAGACCACGATGTAAAAAAGGTGAAGTGCTTCATCCAGCCTCATTCATTAGAACCAAGAGTGAACGGTGAGACTTGGACCTCTTCCTTCTCCTTGTTGTCTTCTGATCACTATCAAAGACCTCTTGGTATTCCATATCCAATTAAATACATCCAGAATTCCTAGTCAGTCTTGATGATTCATTTGTTATTCAACCTGTTTTTGGCACATCAATGTTTTAACATTTTTAAGTCATAAATCAATATCTACTTTTCCCAAGTCAGAAACTATATTGCTATTATAAATCACATTGAAATATAAAAGTGACCAATTACTTAGCCTGTCAAATATCTGGAGAAGAGTGAGAGAGGAATGGAGATAAGCTGAATGCTATTATTTTGTCGTTGTTATTGAGTATACTTTGAATGGTGAGAAAACTAGCAGATGTTATTCCTCACTGTTGGTCATTTTGAATCTCACTGACAAATAAGTAAAATCCGCTTTAGTTATTAGACAACAAATCAATACTCATAGTGCTGGTGCACTTCAGGATGGGTTTCCTTCTTTATTGAGCTGAAGAAGACTCACAAAGGAATGGGAGAATGCTTAATGAGCTTGAAAATGAAGCTGTTCATTTGATCTGAAGAAATCAACATGTTCTCCCCTCACTCCACATTAATTCATTTTCCTGTTATGGAGACAATGAGAGCTATCAAAACCATAGAGGCCAAAGTGCAAACACTCAGAGTGCAGTATATTCAAGATCTTCAGCACTGCTGCTGAACACTAAATAAATTCTTACTCACTAACTCCTCACTCTCTAGCCTATTCACCTCATACTCTGTTAACACAATTTTTCTTCAGACAGATTTCAGTACAGTCAGTCATTAAGCAACTCATGACTGTATTTCAAAATAAAGAGCTATGTTTTAAAAGTTATAGCCTAAGCTTTATTATACTTTGGGAAATTTGGGAGAAGGGCCTGTCCTATTCATGGAATGAAGTAGACAAGAAGTCAAGCATTCAGTACAATTGGCTAACCCAACTACCATTTTATAGAGGTATATATATATATATAATGTTGGCTGTGGGTTTTTCATAGATGGCTCTTATTATTTTGAGGTATGTTCCTTCAATACCTAGTTTATTGAGAGTTTTTAACATGAATGGATGTTGAATTTTGTATTAGCCAGGGTTCCCTAGAGGGACAGAACTAATAGGCTATATATATATATGTGAGAGTTTATTAAGTATTAACTTACATGATCACAAGGTCCCACAATAGGCTGTCTGTGAGCTTGAAGAGCAAGAAGAGCCAGTCCGACTCTCAAAACTGAAGAACTTGGAGTCCGATGCTTGACAGCAGGAAGCATCTAACATGGGAGAAAGATGTAGGCTGGGAGACTAGGCCAGTCTTGCTTTTCACGTTTTTCTGCCTGCTTTATATTCACTGGCAGCTGATTGGATTACACCCACCAGATTAAGGGTGAACCTGCCTTCCCCAGCCCATTGACTCAAATGCTAATCTCCTTTGGCAACACCCTCACAGGCACACCCAGTAACAATACTTTGCATCCTTCAATCCAATCAAGTTGACACTCAGTATTAACCATCACAAATTTTATCAAAAACCTTTCTTGCATTTATTGAGATAATCATTAGTTTCTGTCTTTAGTTCTGTTTATGTGATGAATCACATTTATTAATTTGTGTATGTTGAACCAACCTTGCATCCCAGGAATAAAGCTTATGATCATGGTGTATAAGCTTTCTGATGTGTTGCTGGATTCAGCTTACCAGTATTTTGCTGAGGATTTTTGCCTTGATGTTCATCAAGGATATTTGTCTGAAGTTTTCTTTTTTTGTTGTATCTCTGTCATGTTTTGGTATCACGATGATGCTGGCCTCAGAATGACTTAGGGAGGAGTCCCTCCTCAATTTTTTGGAATAGTTTCTGTAGGAATGGTATCAGCTCTTCTTTCTACACCTGGTAGAATTCAGCTGTGAATCTTTCTGGTCCTGGGCCTTTTTTTGGTTGATAGGTTCTAATTTCTACTAATACAATCACTGCAGCCTTTCTGCATCTTACTGAATGGGCAATTACATATTGGGGGCACTGTTTTTAGGCTTCCTAAATTTTGAAACATTACTTTGAATTGGTTGAAAATGTATTTTCATCTCTGTTTTGTTTTATTTCCTGCTGATTGAAAAACATCTCATTTCAGTGAGCAGGAATGTTACTGTTGTACAATTATTTATTCTCTTACCATTTTCTTATTTAATATCACATGATCTCTCTTCTGAAAGACAATATAATTTTTTTTTTTGCCAAAATCACAAGTGATTCTTCTAAAGGCTTTTTTTTTTTTTTTGGTATGCCTTAAATTGAGCTGTCATCTAGTTCACTGATTCAACAAAAGAGTGATAATACATTTTATATAAATAATTTAGGAGGATGTCTCCTGTCAAAACAAAAAGTGCATTTGAAAGTAAACCAATATTAATAGTAATAATTCACAAAAAATACAACAAATCCTAAATTTGAAATAGATTATGTTTAACATTTATCTTATGCCTTATATGTGAAAGCCATATTGCATATTGCCAATAATTAACTATATTTTAATATCAGGTTCTCAATTTACAATATCATGTAGCAATTGAAGGGATTGAGTGAGAGCATAAATCTTTTTACAGAAAATATGACAAAAAACAATCACCAAACAAGTAGATTAATAATTTTCCCCAAATGGCTAGCACATGAACAATACAAATTGGAGTCTGGATATTCCGGTATTTTATATTAACTCAGAATACTTGACAGCCTTTACTGGTGGTGGACACGTTTTTCTGTGAAAGGCCAATAATAAGTATTTTAGACTTTGTGGGACCATTTGGTCTCTTGCAACTACTCATCTCTACAGTTGTAATGCAAAAGCAGCCATAGGCAATAAGTAAACAAATGGGTGAGGATGTGAACTGATAAAACTGTTTACCAAAACAAGGGGGTAGGAGGACTGGAGTTTGCTGACCCTTGTCCTATATGATAGATAAGACATATATGAAGTGGAGCTCCACAATGTCACTGTAAGTCCAAAACTTGATTGTTGGGAAATATAGGAACATTTGTAAAAACATGTTATAAAAAGTAGGAAGAAACTATACATTGAACATGGTTAAAAACAAACATAGGGAGATAAAATCTGAAATAATGTCATAAAAGCTTTTTTTTTCCCCAATACATCATGATGTTCAAAATAAAAGTTTTAAAAGCTGAAATGAAAGATATGAGAAGAGAGTAAGATATAACAGAGGAGTCCCTCTTCCCTCAAGCCAAGAGGGAAAATGGTTCAGAGGGTTCAGGGTGTGGGCCAGGACTAGGGACTGTTACTCCTGCACAGACTGCAACCTGGTCTTAATGTCAGAATCCCCTTGAGAAACAACCTTGTTTCCTTAGGTATCTGCGGGAGGAAAGAGCTACTGAGTTGGACTTAGCTTGGTGTGTAGTGAGTGGTTTCTACTTGATCTCACTCTGCTCTTCCCACAGTGGCAATCCCAGGGGCCAGCAAGGGAACTATGTTACCCAAATGTACACCAAATTATGGTGGCTCAAGATCCACTGGCTTTATTTATCCTCCTTAAGAAATATCCAGATATGTCAGAGAGGACCTGATGTGCTGCCTCATATGTGGTAAGCCCCACTTCGTCACACTGTTACTCTCCAGTGTCCCTGTCACCTCTGCAGGATTGCCTCTCTGACCAATGGCATTCATGGTCTGCATGGCACAGCTGTACCTCCAATGGTGAGCCGCATAGCCTCAGGAGAAAAGATGTTTTTCTCCTTGTAGAGATGGCATTTGGCTTTAGCTAAACCATTGTGGTTTAAATGGATACAGATTTATTTTTGCTACAAAACAATTTCACACACACACACAGACACAAACACACACACACAGACTCCTTTTTTACCACAGTTCTTGGCCTGTGGTTTTAATCCTCATGGTTGACAAGTGGCTGCTTGGGGGGCAGTTCCAAGATGGCCAAATACGGACAGCTCCAGCCTACAGCTCCCAGTGTGACCAATGGAGAAGATGGGTGATTTCTGCATTTCCAACTGAGGTACAGGGTTCATCTCACTGGGGCTCGTTGAACAGTGGGGACAGGACAGTGGGTGCAGCCCACCAAGTGTGAGCCGAAGCAGGGCAAGGCATCACCTCACCCAGGAAGTGCAATGGGTCAGGGAATTCCCTTTCCTAGCCAAGGGAAGGGGTGACAGATGGCACCTGGAAAATCGGGTCACTCCCACCCTAATACTGCACTTTTCCAATGGTCTTAGCAAACGGCACACCAGGAGATTATATCCCACACATGGCTCAGAGGGTCTCATGCCCACAGGGCCTTGCTCATTGCTAGCACAGCAGTCTGAGATCAAACTGCAAGGCAGCAGTGAGGCTGGGGGAGGGGCGCCCGCCATCGTTGAGGCTTGAGTAGGTAAACAAAGCCTCTGGGAAGCTCGAACTGGGTGGAGCCCACTGCAGCTCATGGAGGCCTGCCTGCCTCTGTAGACTCCACCTCTGGGGGCAGGGCATAGCTGAACAAAAGGCAGCAGAAACCACTGCAGACTTAAATGTCCCTGTCTGACAGCTTTGAAGAGAGTAGTGGTTCTCCCAGCAGAGTTTGAGATCTGAGAATGGACAGACTGCCTCCTCAAGTTGGTCCCTGACCCCCGAGTAGCCTAACTGGGAGGCACCCCCCAGTAGGGGCAGACTGACACCTCACATGGCCGGGTACCCCTCTAAAATGAAGCTTCCAGAGGAACGATCAGGCAGCAACATATGCTGTTCAGAAATATTCACTATTCTGCAGCCTCCACTGCTGATACCCAGGCAAACAGGGTCTGGAGTGGACCTCCAGGAAACTCCAAAAGACCTGCAGCTGAGGGTCCTGACTGTTAGAAGAAAGCTAATGAATAGAAAGGACATCCACAATAAAACCCCATCTGTCGGTCACTGTCATCAAAGACCAAAGGTAGATAAAACCACAAAGATGGGGAAAAAACAGAGCAAAAAGCTGAAAATTCTAAAAATCAGAGCACCTCTCCCCCTCCAAAGGAATGCAGCTCCTCGCCAGCAATGGAACAAAGTTGGATGGAGAATGACTTTGACGAGTTGAGAGAAGAAGGCTTCAGATGATCCAACTTCTCCAAGCTAAAGGAGGAAGTTCAAACACAAAGCAAAGAACTTAAAAACCTTGAAAAAACATTAGATGAATGGCTAACTAGAATAACCAGTGTAGAGAAGTCCTTAAATGACCTGATAGAGCTGAAAATCATGGCACAAGAACTACATGATGAATGCACAAGCTTCAGTAGCTGATTTGATCAACTGGAAGAAAGGGTATCAGTGATGGAAGATCAAATGAATGAAATGAAGCAAGAACAGAAGTTTAGAGAAAAAAAAGAGTAAAAAGAAAAGAACAAAGCCTCCAAGAAATATGGGACTATGTGAAAAGACCAAATCTACGTCTGATTGGTGTACCTGAAAGTGATGGGAAGAATGGAACCAAATTGAAAACACTGTGCAGGGAGCCAAGATGGCCGAATAGAAGCAACTCCAGTCTACAGGTGCCAGTGTGAGTGAAGCAGAAGACAGGTGATTTATGCATTTCCAACTGAGGTACCAGGTTCAATTCAATGGGGAGTGCTGGAAAGTGTATGCAGGACAGTGGGTGCAGTGCACTGAGTGTGAGCCAAAGCTGGGCGAGGCTTCACCTCACCCAGGAAGTGCAAAGGGTCAGGGAATTCCCTTTCCTACTCAAAGAAAGGGGTGACAGATGGCACCTCGAAAATCGGGTCACTCCCACCATAATACTGCGCTTTTCCAATGGGCTTAACAAACGGCACACCAGGAGATTATATCCCGCACATGGCTGGGAGGTTCCTATGCCCACGGAGCCTCACTCATTGCTAGCACAGCAGTCTGAGATCAAACTGCAAGGGGGGAGGGAGGCTAGGGGAGGGGCGCTCGCCATTGCCGAGGCTTGAGCAGGTAAACAAAGCCGCCAGGAAGCTTGAACTAGGTGGAGCCCACTACAGCTCAAGGAGGCCTGCCTGCCTCTGTAGGCTCCACCTATGGGGGCAGGGCACAGACAAACAAAAGGCAGCAGTAACCTCTGCAGACTTAAATGTCCCTCTCTGACAGCTTTGAAGAGAGTAGTGGTTATCCCACCATGCAGCTTGAGATCTGAGAATGGGCAGACTGCCTCCTCAAGTGGGTCCCTGACCCCTGAGTAGCCTAACTGGGAGGCATCCCCCAGTAGGGGCGGACTGACACCTCACACGGCCGGGTACTCCTCTGAGACAAAACTTCCAGAGGAACGATCAGGCAGCAACATTTGCAGTTCACCAATATCCGCTGTTCTGCAGCCACCACTGCTGATACCCAGGCAAACAGGGTCTGGAGTGTACCTCCAGCAAACTCCAACAGACCTGCAGCTGAGGGTCCTGACTGTTAGAAGGAAAACTAACAAACAGGAAGGACATCCAAACCAAAAACCCATCTGTACGTCACCATCATCAAAGATCAAAGGTAGATAAAACCACAAAGATGGGGAAAAAACAGAGCAGAAAAACCGGAAACTCTAAAAATCAGAGTGCCTCTCCTCCTCTAAAGGAACGCAGCTCCTCACCAGCAACGGAACAAAGTTGGATGGAGAATGACTTTGACGAGTTGAGAGAAGAAGGCTTCAGAAGATCAAACTACTCCGAGCTAAAGGAAGAAGTTCGAACCAATGGCAAATAAGTTAAAAACCTTCAAAAAAAATTAGACAAATGGCTAACTAGAATAACCAATGCAGAGAAGTCCTTAAAGGAGCTGATGGAGCTGAAAACCATGGCACGAGAACTACACGACGAATGCACAAGCCTCAGTAGCTGATGCAATCAACTGGAAGAAACGGTATCAGCGATGGAAAACGAAATGAATGAAATGAAGTGAGAAGAGAAGTTTAGAGAAAAAAGAATAAAAAGAAATGAACAAAGCCTCCAAGAAATATGGGACTATGTGAAAAGACCAAATCCATGTCTGATTGGTGTACCTGAAAATGACGGGGAGAATGGAACCAAGTTGGAAAACACTCTGCAGGATATTATCCAGGAGGACTTCCCCAATCTAGCAAGGGAGGCCAACATTCAGATTCAGGAAATACAGAGAACGCCACAAAGATACTCCTCGAGAAGAGCAACTCCAAGACACATCATTGTCAGATTCACCAAAGTTGAAATGAAGGAAAAAATATTAAGGGCAGCCACAGAAAAAGGTCAGGTTACCCACAAAGAGAAGCCCGTCAGACTAACAGCTGATCTCTTGGCAGAAACTCTACAAGCCAGAAGACAGTGGGGGCCAATATTCAACATTCTTAAAGAAAAGAATTTTCAACCCAGAATTTCATATCCAGCCAAATTAAGCTTCATAAGTGAAGGAGAAATAAAATCTTTTACAGACAAGCAAATGCTGAGATATTTTGTCACCACCAGGCCTGCCCTAAAAGAGCTCCTGAAGGAAGTACTGAATATGAAAAGGAACAACCGGTACCAGCCACTGCAAAAACATGCCAAATTGTAAAGACCATCGAGACTAGGAAGAAACTGCATCAACTAACAAGCAAAATAACCAGCTAACATCATAATGACATGATCAAATTCACACATAACAATATTAACCTTAAATGTAAATGGGCTAAATGCTCCAATTAAAAGGCACAGACTGGCAAATTGGATAAAGAGTCAAGACCCATCAGTGTGCTGTATTCAGGAAACCCATCTCACGGGCAGAGACACACATAGGCTCAAAATAAAGGGATGGAGGAAGATCTACCAAGAAAATGGAAAACCAAAAAAGGCAGGGGTTGCAATCCTAGTCTTGGATAAAACAGACTTTAAACCAACAAAGATCAAAAGAGACAAAGAAGGCAATTACATCACGGTAAAGGGATCAATTCAACAAGAAGAGCTAACTATCCTAAATATATATGCACCCAATACAGGAGCACCCAGATTCATAAAGCAAGTCCTGAGTGACCTACAAAGAGACTTAGACTCCCACTCAATAATAATGGGAGACTTTAACACCCCACTGTCAACACTGGACAGATCAACGAGACAGAAAGTCAACAAGGATATCCAGGAATTGAACTCAGCTCTGCACCAAGCAGACCTAATAGACATCTATAGAACTCTCCACCCCAAATCAACAGAATATACATTCTTTTCAGCAACACATCACACCTATTCCAAAATTGACCACATAGTTGGAAGTAAAGCACTCCTCAGCAAATATAAAAGAAGAGAAATTATAACAAACTGTCTCTCAGACCACAGTACAATCAGACTAGAACTCAAGATTAAGAAACTCACTCAAAACCACTCAACTACACGGAAACTGAACAACCTGCTCCTGAATGACTACTGGGTACATAATGAAATGAAGGCAGAAATAAAGATGTTCTTTGAAACCAATGAGAACAAAGACACAACATACCAGAATCTCCGGGACACATTCAAAGCAGTGTGTAGAGGGAAATTTATAGCACTAAATGCTCACAAGAGAAAGCAGGAAAGATCTAAAATTGACACCCTAACATCACAATTAAAAGAACTAGAGAAGCAAGAGCAAACACATTCAAAAACTAGCTAGCAGAAGGCAAGAAATAACTAAGATCAGAGCAGAACTGAAGGAAATAGAGACACAAAAAAACCCTTCAAAAAAATCAATGATTCCAGGAGCTGGTTTTTTTGAAAAGATCAACAAAATTGATAGACCGCTAGCAAGACTAATAAAGAAGAAAAGAGAGAAGAATAAAAGAGATTCAATAAAAAATGACAAAGAGGCTATCACCACTGATCCCACAGAAATACAAACTACCATCAGAGAATACTATAAACATCTATACACAAATAAACTAGAAAATGTAGAAGAAATGGATAAATTCCTCAACACATACACCCTCCCAAGACTAAACCAGGAAGAACTTGAATTCCTGAATAGACAAATTATAGGCTCTGAAATTAAGGCAATAATTAATAGACTACCAACGAAAAAGTCCAGGACCAGACAGATTCACAGCCGAATTCTACCAGAGGTACAAGGACGAGCTGGTACCATTCCTTCTGAAACTACTCCAATCAATAGAAAATTAGGGAATCCTCCCTAACTCATTTTATGAGGCCAGCATCATCCTGATACCAAAGCCTGGCAGGGACACACAAAAATAAGAGAGAATTTTAGACCAATATCCCTAATGAACATCGATGCAAAAATCCTCAATAAAATACTGGCAAACCGAATCCAGCAGCACATCAAAAAGCTTATCCACCATGATCAAGTGGGCTTCATCCCTGGGATGCAAGGCTGGTTCAACATACACAAATCAACAAATGTAATCTAGCCTATAAACAGAACCAATGACAAAAACCACATGATTATCTTAATAGATGCAGAAAAGGCCTTTGACAAAATTCAACAACCCTTCATGCTAAAAGATCTCAATAAAATAGATATTGATGGGACATATCTCAAAATAATAAGAGCTATTTATGACAAACCCACAGCCAATATCATACTGAATGGGCAAAAACTGGAAGCATTCCCTTTGAAAACTGGCACAAGACAGGGATGCCCTCTCTCACCACTCCTATTCAACATAGTGTTGGAAGTTCTGACCAGGGCAATCAGGAAGGAGATAGAAATAAAGAGTATTCAATTAGGAAAACAGGAAGTCAAATTGTCCCTGTTTGCAGATGACATGATTGTATATCTAGAAAACCCCATTGTCTCAGCCCAAAATCTACTTAAGCTGATAGGAAACTTCAGCAAAGTCTCAGGATACAAAATCAATGTGCAAAAATCACAAGCATTCGTATACACCAATAACAGACAAACAGAGAGCCAAATCATGAGTGAACTCCCATTCACAATTGCTTCAAAGAGAATAAAATACCTAGGAATCCAACTTACAAGGGATGTGAAGGACCTCTTGACAGAGAACTACAAACCACTGCTCAACGAAGTAAAAGAGGATACAAACAAATGGAAGAACATTCCATGCTCATGGATAGGAAGAATTAATATCGTGAAAATGGCCATACTGCCCAAGGTAATTTGTAGATTCAATGCCATCCCCATCAAGCTACCAGTGACTTTCTTTGCAGAATTGGAAAAAATTACTTTAAAGCTCATATGGAACCAAAAAAGAGCCCACATTTCCAAGTCAATCCTAAGCCAAAAGAGGAAAGCTGGAGGCATCACACTACCTGACTTCAAACTATACTACAAGGCTACAGTAACCAAAACAGCATGGTACTGATACCAAAACAGAGATATAGACCAATGGAACAGAACAGAGCCCTCAGAAATAATACCACACATCTATAACCATCTGATCTTTGAGAAACCTGACAAAAACAAGCAATGGGGAAAGGATTCCCTATTTAATAAATGGTGCTGGGAAAACTGGCTAGCCATATGTAGAAAGCTGAAACTGGATCCCTTCCTTACACTTTATACAAAAATTAATTCAAGATGGATTAAAGACTTAAATGTTAGACCTAAAACCATAAAATCCCTAGAAGAAAACCTAGGCAATACCATTCAGGACATAGGCATGGGCAAGGACTTCATGTCTAAAACACCAAAAGCAATGGCAACAAAAGACAAAATTGACAAATGGGATCTCATTAAACTAAAGAGCTTCTGCACAGCAAAAGAAACTACCATCAGAGTGAACAGGCAACCTACAACATGGGAGAAAATTTTCGCAACCTACTCATCTGACAAAGGGCTAATATCCAGAATCTACAATGAACTCAAACAAATTTACAAGAAAAAAACAAACAACCCCATCAAAAAGTGGGCAAAGGACATGAACAGACACTTCTCAAAAGAAGACATTTATGCAGCCAAAAAACACGTGAGAAAATGCTCATCATCACTGGCCATCAAAGAAATGCAAATCAAAACCACAATGAGATACCATCTCACGCCAGTTAGAATGGCAATCATTAAAAAGTCAGGAAACAACAGGTGCTGGAGAGGATATGGAGAAATAGGAACACTTTTACACTGTTGGTGGGACTGTAAACTAGTTCAACCATTGTGGAAGTCAGTGTGGCGATTCCTCAGGGATCTAGAACTGGAAATACAATTTGACCCAGCATCCCATTACTGGGTATATACCCAAAGGACTATAAATCATGCTGCTATAAAGACACATGCACACGTATGTTTATTGCGGCATTATTCACAATAGCAAAGACTTGGAACCAAACCAAATGTCCAACAATGATAGACTGGATTAAGAAAATGTGGCACATATACACCATGGAATACTATGCAGCCATAAAAAATGAGTTAATGTCTTTTGTAGGGACATGGATGAAGCTGGAAACCATAATTCTCAGCAAACTATTGCAAGGACAAAAAACCAAACACCACAGGTTCTCACTCATAGGTGGGAATTGAACATTGACAACACCTGGACACAGGAAGGGGAACATCACACACTGGGGCCTGTTGTGGGGTGGGGGAAGAGGGGAGGGAAAGCATTAGCAGATATACCTAATGTAAATGACGAGTTAATGGGTGCAGCACACCAACATGGCACATGTATACATATGTAACAAACCTGCACGTTGTGCACATGTACCCAAGAACTTAAAGTAAAATAATACGTAAATAAATAAATAAAAATAAAAAAAAGAAAAGTGGCTGCTTATACTTCTAGGTCATGTTCACAGTCCAGGCAGGAAGAAGGCAGAAAGGAAAGAATTTGCACCATCAGACCTCTACTCACATATTTTTGGCCAGAATGCTGTCAAATGGCCATATTTGGTTTCCATAGAATCTGAGAAATGTGTGTGTGTGTGTGTGTGTGTGTGTGTGTGTGTGTGTGTGTGTGTATGGCTAACCCAACTACCATTTTCTAGAGGCAGATTCACGCTTAATCTGGTGGGTGTAATCCAATCAGCTGCCTGTGAATATAAAGCAGGCAGAAAAATGTGAAAAGCAAGACTGGCCTAGTCTCCCAGCCTACATCTTTCTCCCATGTTGGATGCTTCCTGCCGTCAAGCATCGGACTCCAAGTTCCTCAGTTTTGAGAGTCGGACTGGCTCTTCTTGCTCCTCAAGCTCACAGACAGCCTATTGTGGGACCTTATGATCATGTAAGTTAATACTTAATAAACTCTCATATACATATATATTTGTGTGTGTGTGTATATATATATACATTATATATACATATATATACATTATATATATACATATATATATACACACATATATATACATATATATATGATATATATATATATTCTATTAGTTCTGTCCCTCTAGGGAACCCTGGCTAATACAAAATCCAACATCCATTCATGTTAAAAACTCCCAATAAACTAGGTATTGAAGGAACATACCTCAAAAATAATAAGAGCCATTTATGACAAACCCACAGCCAACATCATACTGAATGGGAAAAAGCTGGAAGCATTCCCCTTGAAAACTGGCACAAATCAAGGATGCTCTCTCTCACCACTTCTATTCAACATACTATTGGAAGTCCTGGCTGGAGTAATCAGGCAAGAGAAAGAAATAAACGTATCCAAATAAGAAGAGAGGAAGTCAAACTATCCCTATTTGTAGACAACATGATCCTATATCTAGAAAACCCCATAGTCTCAGCCCAAAATCTTTATGAGCTGATAAACAACTTCAGCAAAGTCTCAGGATACAAACAACAGTTTAGGTTCAGCAAAATCCCAGGACACCAAAAACAGTCAGGCCCAGAGCCAAATCAGGAATGAACTCCCATTCACAACTGCCATAAAAAGAATAAAACATCTAGGAATACAGCTAACTAGGGAGGTAAAAGATCTCTACAAGAAGAACTACAAACACTGCTCAAAGAAATCAGACATTACACAAACAAATGGAAAAACATTCCATGCTCATGGGTAGGAAGAATCAATATCCTTAAAATGGCTCTACTGCCCACAGCAATTTATAGATTCAATGCCATGCCTGTTAAACTACCATTCACATTCTTCACAGAACTAGGAAAAATTATTTTAAAATTCATATGGAACCAAAAAGGAGCCCAGATGGCCAAGGCAATCCTGAGCAAAAAGAACAAAGCTTGAGGCATCATGTTACCTGACTTCAAACTATACTACAGGGCCACAGTAATAAAAACAGCATGGTACTGGTACAAAAACTGACACATGAACCAATGGAACAGAATAGAGGATCCATAAATAAAACTACACACCTACAACTATCTGATCTTCAAAAAACCTGACAAAAACAAGCAATGGGGAAAAGATTTCCTGTTCAATAAATAGTGCTGGGATAACAGGCTATCCATATGCAGAAGATTGAAACTGGACCCCTTCCTTACACCATATACAAAAATTAACTCAAGATGGATTAAAGACTTATATGTACAACCCAAAACTATAACAACCCTGGAAGACAACCTAGGCAATACCATTCAGGACATAGGCACAGGCAAAAAGCTTTCATGAGGAAGAAGCCAAAAGCAATTGCAACAAAAGCAAAAAATGACAAATGGGCTCTAATTAAACTAAAGACCTTCTGCACAGCAAAAGAAACTATCAACAGAGGAAACAGACGACATACAGAATGGGAGAACATTTTTGCAAACTACGCATTTAACAAAAATCTAATATCCAGCATCTATAAGGAACTTAAACAAATTTACAAAGAACCCCTTTAAAAAGTGGGCAATGAACATGAATAGACACTTTCCAGAAGAAGACATTCATGCAGCCACGAATCATATGAAAAAAAGCTCAACATAACTGATCATTAGAGAAATGCAAATCAAAACCACAATGAAATACCATCTTACACCAGTCAAAATGGCTTTTATTAAAAAGTCAAAAACTAACAGAGGCTGGCAAGGTTGTGGAGAAGAAGGAATGCTTATACACTGTTGGTTGGAGTGTAAATTAGTCCAGCCACTGTGGAAGACACTGTAGTGATTCCTCAAAGACCTGAAGACAGAAATACCATTAGACTCAGCAATCCTATTACTGGGTATATACCCAAGGGAATAGAAATCATTCTATTACAAAGACACATGCACACATATATTCATTGCAGCTCTATTCACAATGGCAAAGACATGGAATTAAACTGAATTCCCACCAATCATAGACTGAATAAGGAAAATGTGGTACATATACACCCTGGAGTACTATGCATCCATAAAAAAGAATGAGAGCATGTCCTTTGAAGGGCTGGTGATAATGCTGATGGGAGGAGAAGTACATTATCTTGTAGAGCACTCCAGACACAGGAAACCGGAATTTTTGAAATATTAATGCCAAACTACAGACTTAAAGTGCAGGTATTTAATGTTGTAGACACTTGTATTTATTTATATTTTATTTTCTGAAAATATAGAAAATTCCCTTTTTTAACTTTAAACTTTTGTGACTACATAGTAGATGTATATATTTATGGGGTATATGAAACATATTGATACAGGCATACACTGCATAACAATCACATCAGGGTAAATGAGGTATTCATCACTTCAAGCATTTCTCCTTTCTTTGTGTTACAAACAATCCAATTATACTTTTAGTTATTTTTAAATGTACAATAAATTTTTGTTGACTGTAGTCACCCTGTTGTGCTATCAAATTCTAGATCTGATTCATTCTATCTGACTATATTTTTGCACTCATTAAACATCACCACTTTCCCCACCCCACTGCCATTCCCAGCCTCTAATAACCATTGTGCTACCATCTCTGTATTAGTTCATTTTCACACAAAGCAGCAAGGTCCTAGGCCCAGCCCACAAAACCATTTTTTTCCTCCTAGGCCTCTGGGCCTGTGACAGGAGGCGCTGCCATGAAGACCTTTGACATGGCTTGCAGACATTTTCCCCATTGTCTTGGTGATTAATGTTTGGCTTCTCATTGCTTATGCAAATTTCTGCAGCCAGCTTGAATTTCTGCCCAGAAGATGGGTTTTTCTTTTCTATTGCATTGCCAGGTCGCAAATTTTCCAAACTTGCATGCTCTGCTTCCCTTTTAAACATAAGTTCCAATTTCTAACCATCTCTTTGTGAGAGTATATAACTTTTAAGAGCACCCAGGTCACCTCTTGAGTGCTTTGCTGCTTAGAAATTTCTCTGCCAGATACCCTAAATCATCTCTCTCAAGTTCAAAGCTCCACAGATCCTTAGAGCAGGAGCACAATGCCACCAGCCTCTTTGCTAAAGCACAGCAAGAGTGACCTTCATTCCAGTTCCCAAGAGGTTCCTCATTTTCATTTGAGACCTCCTCAGCCTGGAATTCACTGTCCACATCACTATCAGCATTTTGGTCACAACCACTTTAAAAGTCTCTAGGAAGTTCCAAACTTTCCCTCATTTTCCTGTCTTCTTCTGAGCCCTCCAAACTGTTTCAACCTCTGCCTATTACCCAGTTCCAAAGTCACTTCCACATTTTTGAGTATCTTTATAGCAATGCCCACTTCTGGTACCATTTTACTGTATTAGTTTGTTTTCACACTGCTATAAAGAAATAACTAAGACTGGATAATTTATAAAGAAAAGAGGTTTAGTTGACTCACAGTTCTGAATGGCTGGGGAGGCCTCAGAAAACTCACAATCATGGAGGAAGAGGAAGCAGGCACATCTTACATGGTGGCAGGCAAAAGAGAGGAAGTGAGCAAGAGCAGGGAAACTGCCTTATAAAACTATCAGATCTCATGAGAACTCACTCACTATCCTGAGAACACCATGGGGAAAACTGCCCCCATGATCCAATCACTTCCCACCTGGTCCCTCCTCTGACACATGGGGATTATGGGGATTACAATTGGAGAAGAGATTTGGGTGGAGACACAGAGCCAAACCATGTCAATCTCCATGAGTTCAATTGTTTTAGTTTTTACCTCCCACAAATAAGTGAGAATATATGAAGTTTGTCTTTCTTTTCCTGTCTTATTTCACTTAACATAATAACCTCCAGTTCCATCCATCTTGCTGCAAATGACAGCATCTCATTCTTTTTTATGACTGAATACTACCCCATTGTGTATATATACCATATTTTCTTTATCCATTTGTCTGTTGATGAACACTTCAGCTGCTTCCAAATTTTCACTATTGTGAATAGTGCTACAATAAACATGGGAGTGCAGATATCCCTTCTGTATACTAATCTCCTTTCTTTTGGGTATATACCTAGTAGTGAGATTTCTAGATCCTACAGTAGCTCTATTCTTAGTTTTTGGGGAACCTCCAAACTGTTTTCCATAGTGCTTATACTAATTTACATAGCCACCAATAGTGTATGAGGGCTCCCTTTTCTCCACATCTTCACCAGCATTCGTGTTGCCTGTCTAATCAGCCATTTCAATTGGGGTGAGGTGATATCTCATTGTAATTTTGATTTGCACTTCTCTGATGATTAATGATGTTGAGTACCTTTTCATATGCCTGTTTGCCATTTTTATGACTTCTTTGGAGAAATATCTGTTCAAACCCTTTGCCCATTTTTTAATCAAATTATTAGATATTTTCCTATAGAGTTATTTGAGCTCCTTACATATTCTGGTTATTAACCCCTTGTCAAATGGATAGTTTGCAAATATTTTCTCCCTTTCTGTGGGTTGTCACTTCACTTTGTTGATTGTTTCCTTTACTGTGCAGAAACTTTTTAACTTGATGTGATCCCATTTGTCCATTTTTGCTGTGATTGCCTGTGCATATGGAATATTACTCAAGAACTTCTTGCCCAGACCAATGTCCTTGGAGTTTCCCCAATGTTTTCTTACAGTAGTTTCATAGTTTGAGATCTTAGATTTAAGTCTGTGGTCCATTTTGATTTGATTTTTGTATAAAGTGAGAGAATTAAGTTTCGTTCTTCTGCATAGATATTCAGTTTTCCCCGCACCATTTATTGAAGAGACTGTCTTTTCCCCAATGTATGTTATTGGCAGCTTTGTCAAGAATAAGTTCACTGTAGGTATGTAGATTTATTTCTGGATTCTCTGTTCCATTAGTCTATGTGTCTGTTTTTGTGCTAGTACCATGCTGTTTTTGTTACTATAGCTCTGTAGTATAATTTGAAGTCAGGTAATGGGATTCCTCCAGATTTGTTCTTTTTGCTCAGGATAGCTTTTGTTATTCTGTGTCTTTTTTGACTCAAGATCAATTTTAATACTGGTTTTTCTATTTTTGTGAAGAATGTCATTGGTATTTTTATAGTGATTGTATTGAGTCTGTAGATTGCTTTGCATAGTATGAACATTTTAATAATATTGATTCTTCCAATCCATGAACATGGAATATCTTTCCATCTTTTGTGTCCTCTTCAATTTCTTGCATCAATGTTTTTAGTTTTAATTGTAGAGAAGCTTTACTTCTTTGCCTAAGCTAATTCTTAGGTATTTTATTGCATTTGTAATTATTGGAAATGGGATTAAGTTTTGGTTTCTTTTTCAGATTGTTTGCTGTTGGCATATGGAAATATTACTGATTTTTTTTTTTTTTTTTTTTTTTTTGAGACGGAGTCTCGCTCTGTCGCCCAGGCTGGAGTGCAGTGGCGGGATCTCGGCTCACTGCAAGCTCCGCCTCCCGGGTTCACGCCATTCTCCTGCCTCAGCCTCCCAAGGAGCTGGGACTACAGGCGCCCGCCACTACGCCCGGCTAATTTTTTGTATTTTTAGTAGAGACGGGGTTTCACCGTTTTAGCCGGGATGGTCTCGATCTCCTGACCTCGTGATCCGCCCGCCTCGGCCTCCCAAAGTGCTGGGATTACAGGCGTGAGCCACCGCGCCCGGCCTGATTTTTGTACACTGATTTTGTATGCTGCAACTTTACTAAACTTCTTCATGATTGCTCATAAACTTTTTATGGAGTCTTCAAGTTTTTCAAAATATAAAATTATACCATCTGCAAACAAGGATAATTTTACTTCTTCCTTTCTAATTTTAATGCTCTTTATTTATTCCTCTTCTCTGATTACTCTACCTAGGACTTCCAATGTTATGTTGAATAACAGTAGTGAATGTGGGCATCCTTGTCTTCTTCCAGAAGTTAGAGGAAAGCCTTTTAGTTTTTCCCCATTAAGCATTATACTAGCTGTGGGTCTGTCATACATGACTATTATTGTGTTGGGATATGTTCCTTCTATCCCTAGTTTTTTGAGGGTTTTCATCATGAAGGGATGTTGCATTTTATCAAATGCTTGGTCAGCATCAATTGAAATGATCATATGATTTTTGTCCTTCATTCTGTTGATATGATATAATACATTTGTTGATTTGTGTATGTTGAACCATGCTTGCATCCCTGGGATAAACCACGCTTGGTCACAATGATGATCTTTTTAATGTGTTGTTGAATTTGGTTTGCTAGTATTCTGTTGAGGATCTTTGCATCCATGTTCATCAGGGATATCAGCCTGTAATTGTCTTTTATGGGATGTCTTGTTCTGGTTTTGGTATCAGTGTAATACTCGCCTCATAGAATGAGTTTGAAAGTATTTTCTCCACATCTAATTTTTGAAATGGTTTGAGTAGGGTTTGTAATACTTCTTCTTTAAATGTTTGGTTAAAAATCAGCAGTGAAGCCATTAGGTCCTGGGCTTTTCTTTGCTGAGAGACTTTTTATTATGACTTTGATCTTACTTGTTATTGGACTGCTCAGGTTTTAAATTTCTTCTTGAATCAATATTGGTAAGTTGTATGTGTCTAGGAATTTGTTCATTTCTTCTTGATTTTCAAATTTATCGGCATAAAGTTGCTTATAGTAGACTCTAATGATTCTTTGAATTTCTGTGATATCAATTTGCAGTATCTCCTTTTTCATCTCTGGGTGTATTTATCTGGGTATTCTCTCTTTTTTTCTTTATCTGGCTAAGGCTTTATCAGTTTCAAACTTTCAAAAAATCAACTTTTTGTTTCATTGATCTTTTGTATATTTAATTTGTTTCAATTATGTTTATTTCTATGCTAATCTTCACTATTTCTTTTCCTCTACTTATTCTGGGTTAAGTCTGTGCCTACTTTTCTAATTGTTTAAGATGCATCATTAGGTTATTTATTTGAAGTTTTCCTACTTTTTTGGCGTACTTAATTATAGTTATAAACTTCCTCTTAGTACTGCTTTCACTGTGTCCAATGGTTTTTGTATGTTGTGTTTCCATTAACATTTGTTTCAATCACTTTTAAAATTTTCTTCTTGATTTCCTCATTGAACCACTGGTTATTCAGGAGCATATTGTTTAATTGCCATGTGTTTGTATAGTTTCCAAAATTCCTCGTTATTGATTTCTACTTTCATTCCATTGTGGTCAGAGAGGATACTTGATATAATGTCAATTTTTTTGAATTTTTAAAGACTTGTTTTGTGCCCTAACATGTCTATCCTTGAGAATGATCCATGTGCTGAAGAGAAGAATGCATATTCTGCAGCTGTTGGATGAAATGTTCTGTAAATATCTATTAGGCCTTTTTGCTCTACAGAGCAGATAAGTCTGATTTTCCATTGTTAATTTTCTGTCTGGATGATATGTCCAATGCTGAAAGTGGGATGCTAAAATCTCCAGCTACTATCGTGTTGGGGTTTATTTCTCTCTTTAGCTGTAAGAATATTTGCTTTAGGTATCTGGGTACTCCAATGTTGGGTACATTTACAACTGTTATATCATTTTGCTGAATTGATCCTTTTATCATTATATAATAATCTTTGCCTCTTTTTATAGTTTTTGTCTTGATATCTATTTTGTCTGACATAAGTGTAACTGTTTTATTTTTGCTTTCTACTTCCAAAACACCTGTCTTTTTTTGCTTTTCTCCTCCAAGGTATATCATTTTCCATCCATTTCTTTACAGTCTTTGTATATTTTTATAGGTGAAATGTGTTTCCCTTGGGCAACAGATTATTGAGCCTTGGTTTTTTAATTTCAATAGTTTGGGGGTACAGGTGGTTTCTGGTTACATGGATAAGTTCTTTAGTGGTGATTTCTGAGATTATGATGCACCCATCACCTTAGTAGTGTACACTCTACCCAATATGTACTCTTTTATCCCTCACACCCCTCCCGCCCTTTTCCCTGAATTCTCAAATACCATTGTATAATTCTTATGTAATTGCATCCTCATAGCTTAGCTCCCACTTACAAGTGAGAACATACAATATTTGTTTCTTCATTCCTAAATTACTTCACTTAGAACAATGGTCTCCAACTCCATCCAGGTGGCTGTGAATCCATTATTTTGCTCCTTTTTATGGCTGACTACTATTCCATGGTGTATATATATTGCATTTTCTTTTTTTTATTATACTTTAAGTTCTGGGGTACATGTGCAGAACGTGCAGGTTTGTGTCATAGGTATACACTTGCCGTGGTGGTTTGCTGCACCCATCAACCCATCATCTACATTAGGTATTTCTCCTAATGCTATCCCTCCCCTAGGCCCCCAACCTCCAGACAGGCCCCAGTGTGCGATGTTCCTCTCCTTGTGTCCGTGTGTTCTCATTGTTCAACTCCCACTTATGAGTGAGAAAATGCACTGTTTGGTTTTCTATTCTTGTGTTAGTTTGCTGAGAATGATGGTTTCCAGCTTCATCCATGTCCCTGCAAAGGACATGAATTCACCCTTTTTTATGGATGCATAGTATTCTATGGTGTATATGTGCCACATTTCCTTTACCCAGTCTATCATTGATGGGCATTTTAGTTGGTTCCAAGTCTTTGCTATTGTGAACAGTGCCACAATAAACATACATGTGCATGTGTCTTTATAGTAGAAAAATTTATAATCTTTTGGGTACATACCCAGTAATGGGATTGCTGAATCAAATGGTATTTCTAGTTCTAGATCCTTGAGAAATCGTCACACTGTCTTCCACAGTGGTTGAACTAATTTACACTCCCACCAACAGTGTAAAAGAGCTCCTATTTCTCCACTTCTTCTCCAGCATCTGTTGTTTCCTGACTTTTTAATGATCATCATTCTAATTGGCATGAGATGGTATCTCATTGTGGTTTTGCCTTGCATTTCTCTAATGATCAGTGATGATGAGCTTTTTTTCATGTTTGTTGGCTGCATAAATGTCTTGTTTAGAGAAGTGTCTGATCATATCCTTTGCCCAATTTTTGATGGGGTTGTTTGTTGTAAATTTGTTTAAGTTCTTCGTAGATTCTGGATATTAGCCCTTTGATAGATAGATAGATTATAAAAATTTTTTCCCATTCTTTAGGTTGCCTGTTCACTCTGATGATAGTTTCTTTTACTGTGCAGAAGCTCTTTAGTTTAATTAGATCCCATTTGTCTATTTTGGCTTTCATTGCCATTGCTTTTGGCGTTTTAGTCATGAAGTCTTTGCCCATGCCTATGTCCTGAATGGTATTGCCTAGGTTTTCATCTAAGGTTTTTGTGGTTTTAGGTCTTTATGGTTTTAGGTCTTACATTTAACTCTTTAATCCTTCTTGAGTTAATTGTTGTACAAGGTGTAAGGAAGGGATCCAGTTTCAGTTTTCTGCATATGGCTAGCCAGTTTTCCCAACACCATTTATTAAATAGAGAATCCTTTCCCCACTGCTTGTTTTTGTCAGGTTTGCCAAAGATCAGGTGGTTGTAGATGTGTGGCATGATTTCTGAGGCCTCTGTTCTGTTCCATTGGTCTATATATCTGTTTTGGTACCAGTACCAGGCTGTTTTGGTTACTGTAGCCTTGTATTATAGTTTGAAGTCAGGTAGCATGATGCCTCCAGCTTTGTTCTTTTTGCTTAGGATTGTCTCGGCTATGTGGGCTCTTTTTTGGTTCCATATGAAATTTAAAGTAGTTTTTGCCAATTCTATGAAGAAAGTCAATGGTAGCTTCATGGGGATAGCATTGAATCTATATATTACTTTAGGCAGTATGGCCATTTTCACGATATTGATTCTTCCTATCCATAAGCGTGGAATGTTTTTCCATTTGTGTCCTCTCTTATTTCTTTGAGCAGTGGTTTGTAGTTCTCCCTGAAGAGGTCCTTCACATCTTTTGTAAGTTATATTCCTAGGTGCTTTATTCTCTGCAGCAATTGTGAATGGGAGTTCACTCATGATTTGGCTATTATTGGTGTATAGTGATGCTTATGATTTTTGCACATTAATTTTGTATCCTGAGACTTTGCTGAAGTTGCTTATGAGCTTAAGGAGATTTGGGGCTGAGATGATGGGGTTTCCTAAATATACAATCATGTCATCTGCAAAGAGAGACAATTTTACTCCTGCTTTTCCTAATTGATTACCCTTTATTTCTTTCTCTTGCCTGATTGCCCTGGCCAGAACTTCCAATACAATGTTAAAAAGCAGTGGTGAGAGAGGGCACCCTTGTGTTGTGTCAGTTTTCAAAGGGAACACTAACAGTTTTTGCCCATTCAGTGAGATATTGGCTGTGGGTTTCTCATAAATAGCTCTTGCTATGTTGAGATATGTTCTATCAATACCTAGTTTATCGAGAGTTTTTAGCATGAAGCACTGCTGAACTTTGTCGAAGGCCTTTTCTGCACCTATTGAGATAAACATGTGGTTTTTGCCATTGGTTCTGTTTATGTGATGGATTACATTTATTGATTTCCATATGTTGAACCACCCTTGCATTCATGGGATGAAACTGACTTGCTCATGGTGGATAAACTTTTTGATGTGCTGCTGGATTCAGTTTGACAGTATTTTATTGAGGATTTTCACATAAATGTTCATCAAGGATATTGGCCTGAAATTTTCTTTTTTGTTGTGTCTCTGCCAGGTTTTGGTATTAGGATGACGCTGGCCTCATAAAATGAGTTAGGAAGGATGCCCTCTTTTTCTATTGATTGGAATAGTTTCAGAAAAAAATGGTACCAGCTCCTCTTTGCATCTCTGGTAGAATTCGGCTGTAAATCCAGCTGGTCCTGGGCGTTTCTTGGTTGGTAGGCTATTAATTACTGCCTCAATTTCAGAACTTGTTATTGGTCTATTTAGGGATTCAATTTCTTCCTAGTTTAGTCTTGGAAGGGTGTATGTGTCCAGAAACTTATCCATTTCTTCTAGATTTTCTAGTTTATTTGTGTAGTATAATAAGATATGAAGAGAAACAACAGAAAGTCAAAAAGTGAGAAGAATTAAGTTAAAGTATGGAGTTTTTATTAGTCTTTTTGCTTATGTGTTATTTCATTTATGCAATCAGTGTTAATTTGTCATTGTTATCAGTTTAAAATAATGGGTTATAAGATATTATTTGCAAGCCTCATGGTAACCTCAAATAAAAAGAAATACCACAGATACGCAAAAAATTTAAACATACCAGTAGAGAACATCACTTTCACAAAAAAGAAAACAGGAAGGAAAGAAGGAAAAAAAGACTGCAAAACTAAGCTGTTTACCTCACCTTCTGAGAAATCAGGAGAGAGAGAGAGATAATAGTCAAATCACCAATAGGCCAGTTTTTCAAAGTGGCATGAGAAGGAAATCCCCTTTGCTTTAACCCTTACAAGGCAAAAAAGTAACCCGAAGTAACCTGATGTTAACCAAACTACTTTTTGTATTATGCCGTTTCTTTGTTCCTGTTCAAGATACCTTATAAAAAGTAGCCATGCCTAATAGAGCACTCTTTCCAAATTTTCTGATGAGATGCTGCCCAACTCACAAATTGCAAACTTATAAAAGCCAATTATCAGTTAGATAAAAGAAATAAGTTTGGCCGGGCACGGTGGCTCACGCCTGTAATCCCAGCACTTTGGGAGGCTGAGGTGGGTGGATCACAAGGTCTGGAAATCAAGACCAGCCTGGCCACGATGGTGAAGCCCCATCTCTACTAAAAATGCAAAAATTAGCCAGGCACGGTGGCAGGAGCCTGTAATCCCAGCTACTCGGGAGGCTGAGGCAGGAGAATTGCTTGAACCAGGGCAGCAGAGGTTGCAGTGAGCCGAGATCAAACCGCTGCACTCCAGCCTGGGTGACAAAGTAAGACTCCATCTCAAAAAAAAAAAAAAAAAAAAAAAAAAAAAGAAAAGAAAAAAAAGAAAGAAGTTCAAGAGATACATCATACAACATGGTGACTATAGTTAGTAACAATGCATTGTGTTTATACATGTTGCTAAGAGAATAAATTTTAAGTGCTCTCACCACGCCAAAAAAAAAAAAATAAGTACATGCGGTAATGCATGTGTTAATTAGCTCAATTTAGCCATTCCCCAATTGCAAAACAATGTTACTTAGATGATAGATATACATAATTTTTATTAGTAAGCAAGTATATCAAGAAAATTCGATCTTTAAACTAAATTTGTTGAAATTTCATGCTTTGAGAACCCCAAGAGCACTTGCTAATAAACACACTGCATTTTTTCTCAGAGTACACTTCCCAGGAGAGCCAACCTGGGCCGCTCATCTTATACCTACTCATTCAGCAAATGTGCAAAATTGACAAAAGTAAGTTATTTTAACTGTATTGGGTTAATATCGCTGTCTCTTTCTATCTCAACATCTGCTCCTTCACACTTCTCATCATGTTGTGTGGTGCTAGAGAAGCTATGGACATTTGGAGATTCCGTTAAGTATAAGATGAGTAAGGGATATATTTTATCTGGGTTGGTGGGATACCTTTATCACAGGCACTTCCCATATAGGCAAGTTATGGATAGCTATTCTATTGTGGGAATGGTGTCACGACACAGTGGTGCAAGGGCAGATGTCACTGGAGATGTGAATGTGTTCTATGGTGTTCGGCACTGGAATTTTGTGGGTTGTGTTGGGGAAGGTTGATAGGTAAGGAGCCAGAAGCGTCTGTGGAAAATCTTTTCAGCATCAGACATAGAAAATAACAAGTAAAAGATATGATTCTCATCAATGCCTAGTCAAAATGGAATTTCTCTTCTGTCAGATAACATAAAACTCATAATATGCCAGGACAATGAAGACAACTGATGATAAATTGGCAAATGAGTGTCATCAATTCAAAGAATATTTAAGATTAGTTACTACACAAGAAAATTTGAAATGCCCTAAAATCTTATAGTTCATATATAAAAGAAAATTGCCAGATGTCCCAAAATTTAGCAACAATCCTAAATAGTACATGACATTATCAACAATGAGTAATGAAATGGAACAAATCTTTACTAAGCTATTATAAAATATATTTTAATCAACCATAATAGAAGAAATATTAAATAATCTTTCTATTCTCTCTAGAGAAAATAATATTACAAACTTATTTTCATATAAAAATATGATAAAAAATTATGCAGCCAAAAAAACATAGGCGAGAAAAGTGCTATAGAGGTATTTCAAACAGTTAATTAATTAAATTATGTTACTTTTCTAGATTTTTGTCACCCTTGTGTATTTGTCAGTTTTTGGTATCTTCTCTTATTCTAAATAAATTATGACATTTGTATCTGATTATGCATTATCTTCTGAAAGATGGACTAAACATTTTACTAATCTTCAGGCACTACAAAATCTAGATCCACCCATGAGAGCCACACTTTGAAAAAAGATGTATAAACTATTATTACTGTATTAGAGGTCCATAATAGCTAGAGGGTCTTTCAAGACAGAAATCCTTACAGTGAGAAAATCATATGTCCCCAGGGGATGTCCATGGAGGAAAATAACACAGCATTCTCCTGAATATTAGTGCATGCTGCTGCAGACTGTACCAGTAGCACAATACTCACTAGACAAATTATTAACATTTCTAATTTAACATCATTTATACATTTGTTTTATTCTTTCAACCATATTTTATAGTCAAAGCATTGTGCAGTAAAGTTCTTACCAGTGCTATTTAATGATTAAGTGTGGATATACAGCCTTGAGAAACTTCCCTTATTGTTCCCATTTTCTTTGCCACTTTCCTATTTCTTTCAAATTTACAATCTTCAATTCATGTTCAGTAAGTAGAATATAGACATATGCCACGAATGTCACTGGGTAAAATGTGAACAAAGCAGAAAAAGCTTAGTGTTTCCCAATGATTGTTCAGATGAAAAGACAATAGATATAATTCTTATTGGGATCATATGTTTCAGCTCACACATTTGCATATAAACTGGTTCCTATCAAAAAGGATGGCATTGAATTGAAGAGTGTGAATGTACCTTAATATTACTCTGAATAAGAAAATCAGATGTTTCTGATCTCATCATTACAAACAGAAAACGGCTAAGAACAGGAATGTGGCAGAAACTGCTGGGTGTCTGTCAATATTCGTTCTTCTTCCTTACCAACAGAATTCTAATTTTGAATGTGCCCAGCTGATAAGCTACATTTCCCAGCCTTGCTTGAAGCTAGCAGTGTCTGTGTAACTAAGTTCTGACCAACGAGATGAAAGCACAAGTCACCGGGTGGAGCTCCCAGGAACGCTCTATAAAGATGGAAGACTCAGCTAGCAAGCCTTTGCCCTCTCCTTATTTCCACCTGGAATTCAGAGGTGATGCCACAGGAGAGACAAACATTTTACAATTCGAAGGCAATGAAAAACGACGTTTACAAGTTGCACAACCTGCAGCTAGGAAGGCATGGTGGTGCATTACTTACCTTCCCTGGGCTGCCTACCTCTAGGCTTCTTGTTAGGTTTAATGTAAATCCTTGTTTGTTTAAGCCAACTGTAGTCCAGTTATGTCATACACAATTGTAAACAAATTTCTACCTGATACAAGGAGTAACTGAGATCTCTATTTTTATTTTCCTTACTTTGTTTCTGAATACCTATTATTCCTAAAAAGCTAAGATATTGGCCGGGCGTGGTGGCTCACGCCTGTAATCCCAGCACTTCGGGAGGCTGAGGCAGGTGGATCACTTGAGGTCAGGAGTTTGACACCCGCCTGGCCAACATGGTGAAACCCCATCTCTACTGAAAATACAAAAATTAGCTGGATGTGGTGGTGGGCACCTGTAATCCCAGCTACTCAGGAGGCTGAGGCAGGAGAATTGCTTGAACCCCGGAGGCGGAGGTTGCAGTGAGCCAAGATCATGCCACTGCACTCCAGCTTGGGTGGCAGAGTGAGACTCCATCTCAAATAAATAAATAAGTAAATTTAAAAAGCTAAGATAAGCTACGATATTTAGAGAGAAGGAGGGAAGAAAAGGGGGAGAGGAGGAAAGGTGAAGATGGATAAGGAGCTACAGTAAAGCTAATAGTAAAGACTGGTGGGTCTGGAGCCAGACTAACTAGATTAGAATCCAAGCTGTGCTACCCTGATTCAGTTTACTTTTTCATTCAACTAATTCAAATTGAGCACACACTGTGTGCCAGGCGCTGTTCAAAGTTTTTGGAAATGAAGTTACTTAACTTCTCAGTACCTCAGTCCTGGTTAATTAAGTGGAGATATTGATAGTACTACCTTATGAGGTTATTGTAAGGATTAAATGAGCTACTATTTGTAAATACCTAGAGCAGTACACGGCATCAGGTAAGTGTTCAATAAATATCAGCTATTGTTATTTAAAATAATTTTATAGAAGTTTTAATACATGAAAAACAAATTTACTTGTATTATTAAATAAAAAAATGAAGCTGTAAAATGGTATTATCGCATTTTTATCTTGGAAAAGCCATATGTATATTTAGCAAGAATACTGAAATCATATCCAATAAGATATTAACAGGGGTTATCCATGAGTCGTGAGATTATGAGTGGTGAGATTATGATGAGTGAGTGAATGGTGAGATTATGATGAGTGAGTGAATGCTGAGATTACGAGTGGTAAGATTATGATGACTTTAATGAATGGTGAGACTATGATGACTTTAATAGATTTCTTTATATTATTTAAAATTTCACAGGAATAGATGTTAGCTGAGTGAACATGTATTCCTCTTGCAATAAGACTAATAAAGTTGTGCCTAAGTTACATTGTAACACCCCCATGAGAAACAATGCTTTATAGGGTCATGGAATCTGGCCACATTTATGTAGTTTGGGCTTCCCCCTAAAGGGAGCAGGCATTCTATTTGTCAGTCATTCTAGAAAGAAGTCACCCACATGTTCAACTCAAATTCAGGGTTTCTATTACTGAGGGAGAAGGAGAAATGGATATTGAGGAACAACATATTCTCTACCATAAGTGGGAAGTGAATTAAAAAGAATTCACCCATATGTTAGTTCGGTGAAATGAAGGCCTAATGATGGCTGCCCCCAACAAATTTCAGTGAGCTGAAAAGAAAGTACATGAAGCAATTAATAAAACAAGGCAGGGGAGTAGAAGAGAGAACGGAGGATGGAATTGAACATAGCATAAAAAAAATAGGCATACAATACACTCAGGGAGAAGACATACTCCAAGAAACAGAACAAAATTCAGGAACACAAATCTTTCCTGCCCTTAAATTCTCCACATTTAAGAAAACATTAAATCTGTGTTTTAAAGATCACAATCAGATGATAGATGGTAGAATTTAATTTTTTTTTAAGTGAGATTGCAGAATTAAGGGGAAAAAATATCAAAAGTAAAAACAACATGATTAAGGACCAAGCAATAAGCTAAATGCATAAAGGAACATAATCAACATGACAGAAATCCAAGTCAGTGATTTATAAGACAGCTTTGGGAAAAATCACACAAGGGAGGACATAAAAGACAGAGACAAAAGCGACCTTATGACAATAATAAATAAGAGGGACAAACAAAGAACAGCCAACATGTGGTCTGATGTCACAAAGCAGAGGACAAAAAATAAAGGAACTACCACTTTCTGAAAACTACTACTAATAAATCCTGAAGATTTTCCTAAAAGAAGGAACAGAATTATATTCCAGAAAAATTTAAAGAGGAAAGTAAACTTTTTATAAAACTCATCACTTCTTCCTAATTTAAAAAAAAAAAGGAAACAGACTCTTAGTGAAGTTGATGTTAATATAAACCATCAAATAATGGTTTATATTACAAATAAGTAACAAATAAGTATTGATATTTTAAAATAATATCAATACTTTTCTGACAGGCTTAAAAAATGGCGCACCAGGAGATTATATCCCACGCCTGGCTCGGAGAGTCCTACACCCACGGAGTCTCGCTGATTGCTAGCACAGCAGTCTGAGATCAAACTGCAAGTTGGCAGCGAGTCTGGGGGAGGGGCGCCCGCCATTGCCCAGGCTTGCTTAGGTACACAAAGCAGCCTGGAAGCTCGAACTGGGTGGAGCCCACCACAGCTCAAGGAGGCCTGCCTGCCTCTGTAGGCTCCACCTCTGGGGGAAGGGCACAGACAAACAAAAAGACAGCAGTAACCTCTGCAGACTTAAATGTCCCTGTCTGACAGCTTTGAAGAGAGCAGTGGTTCTCCTCACACGCAGCTGGAGATCTGAGAGCGTGCAGACTGCCTCCACAAGTGGGTCCCTGACCCCTGACCCCCAAGCAGCCTAATTGGGAGGCACCCCCCAGCAGGGGCAGACTGACACCTCACACCAATATCCACTGTTCTGCCGCCACCGCTGCTGATACCCAGGCAAACATGGTCTGGAGTGGACCTCCAGCAAACTCCAACAGACATGCAGCTGAGGGTCCTGTCTGTTAGAAGGAAAACTAACAAACAGAAAGGACATCCACACCAAAAACCCATCTGTACATCACCATCATCACAGACCAAAAGCAGATAAAACCACAAAGATGGGGAAAAAACAGAGCAGAAAAACTGCAAACTCTAAAAAGCAGAGCGCCTCACCTCCTCCAAAGGAACGCAGTTCCTCACCAGCAATGGAACAAAGCTGGATGGAGAATGACTTTGACGAGTTGAGAGAAGAAGGTTTCAGACGATCAAATTACTCCGAGCTATGGGAGGAAATTCAAACCAAAGGCAAAGAAGTTGAAAACTTTGAAAAAAATTTAGAAGAATGTATAACCAGAATAACCAATATAGAGAAGTGCTTAAAGGAGCTGATGGAGCTGAAAACCAAGGCTCAAGAACTATGTGAAGAATGCAGAAGCCTCAGGAGCCGATGCAATCAACTGGAAGAAAGGGTATCAGCGAAGGAAGATGAAATGAATGAAATGAAGCGAGAAGGGAAGTTTAGAGAAAAAAGAATAAAAAGAAATGAACAAAGCCTCCAAGAAATATGGGACTATGTGAAAAGACCAAATCTACATCTGATTGGTGTACCTGAAAGTGATGGGGAGAATGGAACCAAGTTGGAAAACACTCTGCAGGATATTATCCAGGAGAACTTCCCCAATCTAGCAAAGCAGGCCAACATTCAGATTCAGGAAATACAGAGAATGCCACAAAGATACTCCTCAAGAAGAGCAACTCCAAGACACATCACTGTCAGATTCAACAAAGTTGAAATGAAGGAAAAAATGTTAAGGACAGCCAGAGAGAAAGGTCAGGTTACCCTCAAAGGGAAGCCCAGCAGACTAACAGCTGATCTCTCGGCAGAAACTCTACAAGCCAGAAGACAGTGGGGGCCAATATTCAACATTCTTAAAGAAAAGAATTTTCAACCCAGAATTTCATATCCAGCCAAACTAAGCTTCATAAGTGAAGGAGAAATAAAATCCTTTACAGACAAGCAAATGCTGAGAGATTTTGTTACCACCAGGCCTGCCCTAAAAGAGCTCCTGAAGGAAGCGCTAAACATGGAAAGGAACAACTGGTACCAGCCACTGCAAAATCATGCCAAAATGTAAAGACCATCGAGACTAGGAAGAAACTGCATCAACTAATGAGCAAAATAACCAGCTAACATCATAATGACAGGATCAAATTCACACATAACAATATTAACTTTAAATGTAAATGGGTTAATGCTCCAATTAAAAGACACAGACTGGTAAACTGGATAAAGAGGCAAGACCCATCGGTGTGCTGTATTTAGGAAACCCATCTCACATGCAGAGACACACATAGGCTCAAAATAAAAGGATGGAGGAAGATCTACCAAGAAAATGGAAAACAAAAAAAGGCAGGGATTGCAATCCTAGTCTCTGATAAAACAGACTTTAAACCAACAAAGATCAAAAGAGAAAAAGAAGGCCATTACTTAATGGTAAAGGGATCAACTCAACAAGAAGAGCTAACTATCCTAAATATATATGCACCCAATACAAGAGCACCCAGATTCATAAAGCAAGTCCTGAATGACCTACAAAGAGACTTAGTCTCCCACACATTAATAATGGGAGACTTTAACATCCCACTGTCAACATTAGACAGATCAACGAGACAGAAACTCAAAAAGGATACCCAGGAATTGAACTCAGCTCTGCACCAAGCAGACCTAATAGACATCTATAGAACTCTCCACCCCAAATCAACAGAATATACATTTTTTTTCAGCAACACACCACACCTATTCCAAAATTGACCACATACTTGGAAGTAAAGCTCTCCTTAGGAAACGTAAAAGAACAGAAATTATAACAAACTATCTCTCAGACCACAGTGCAATCAAACTAGAACTCAGGATTAAGAATCTCACTCAAAACCGCTCAACTACATGGAAACTGAACAACCTGCTCCTGACTGACTACTGGGTACATAACGAAATGAAGGCAGACATAAAGATGTTCTTTGAAACCAATGAGAACAAAGACACAACATACCAGAATCTCTGGGACACATTCAAAGCAGTGTGTAGAGGGAAATTTATAGCACTAAATGCCCACAAGAGAAAGGAGGAAAGATCCAAAATTGACACCCTAACATCACAATTAAAAGAACTAGAAAAGCAAGAGCAAACACATTCAAAAGCTAGCAGAAGGCAAGAAATAACTAAAATCAGAGCAGAACTGAAGGAAATAGAGACATTAAAAACCCTTCAAAAAATTAACGAATCCAGGAGCTGGTTTTTTGAAAGGATCAACAAAATTGATAGACCGCTAGCAAGACTAATAAAGAAAAAAACAGAGAAGAATCAAATAGATGCAATAAAAAATGATAAAGGGGATATCACCACCAATCCCACAGAAATACAAACTACCATCAGAGAATACTACAAACACCTCTACGCAAATCAACTAGAAAATCTAGAAGAAATGGATAAATTCCTCAACACATACACTCTCCCAAGACTAAACCAGGAAGAACTTGAATCTCTGAATTGACCAATAACAGGAGCTGAAATTGTGGCAATAATCAATAGCTTACCAACCAAAAAGAGTCCAGGACCAGATGGATTCACAGCCGAATTCTACCAGAGGTACAAGGAGGAACTGGTACCATTCCTTCTGAAACTATTCCAATCAATAGAAAAAGAGGGAATCCTCCCTAACTCATTTGATGAGGCCAGCATCATCCTGATACCAAAGCCAGGCAGAGACACAACCAAAAAAGAGAATTTTAGACCAATATCCTTGATGAACATTGATGCAAAAATCCTCAATAAAATACTGGCAAACCGAATTCAGCAGCACATCAAAAAGCTTATCCACCATGATCAAGTGGGCTTCATCCCTGGGAAGCAAGGCTGGTTCAATATACGCAAATCAATAAATGTAATCCAGCATATGAACAGAACCAAAGACAAAAACCACATGATTATCTCAATAGATGCAGAAAAGGCCTTTGATAAAATTCAACAACCCTTCATGCTAAAAACTCTCAATAAATTAGATATCGATGGGACGTATTTCAAAATAATAAGAGCTGTCTATGACAAACTCACAGCCAATATCTTACTGAATGGGCAAAAACTGGAAGCATTCCCTTTGAAAACTGGCACAAGACAGGGATGCCCTCTCTCACCACTGCTATTCAACATAGTGTTGGAAGTTCTGGCCAGGGCAATTAGGCAGGAGAAGGAAATAAAGGGTATTCAATTGGGAAAAGAGGGAGTCAAATTCTCCCTGTTTGCAGACAACATGATTGTATATCTAGAAAACCCCATTGTCTCAGCCTAAGATTTTCTTAAGCTGATAAGCAACTTCAGCAAAGTCTCAGGATACAAAATCAATGTACAAAAATCACAAGCATTCTTATACACCAACAACAGACAAACAGAGAGCCAAATCATGAGTGAACTCCCATTCACAATTGCTTCAAAGAGAATAACATACCTAGGAATCCAACTTACAAGGGATGTGAAGGACCTCTTCAAGGAGAACTACAAACCACTGCTCAAGGAAATAAAAGAGGATACAAACAAATGGAAGAACATTCCATGCTCATGGGTAGGAAGAACCCATATCATGAAAATGGCCATACTGCCCAAGGTAATTTACAGATTCAATGCCATCCCCATCAAGCTACCAATGACTTTCTTCACAGAATTGGAAAAAACTACTTGAAAGTTCATATGGAACCAAAAAACAGTCCGCATCGCCAAGTCAATCCTAAGCCAAAAGAACAAAGCTGGAGGCATCATGCTACCTGACTTCAAACTATACTACAAGGCTACAGTAACCAAAACAGCATGGTACTGGCACCAAAACAGAGATATAGATCAATGGAACAGAACAGAGCCCTCAGAAATAATGCTGCATATCTACAACTATCTGATCTTTGACAAACCTGACAAAAACAAGCAATGGGGAAAGGATTCCCTATTTAATAAATGGTGCTGGGAAAACTGGCTAGCCATATGTAGAAAGCTGAAACTGGATCCCTTCCTTACATCTTATACAAAAATCAATTCAAGATGGATTAAAGACTTAAACGTTAGACCTAAAACCATAAAAACCCTAGAAGAAAACCTAGGCATTACCATTCAGGACATAGGCATGGGCAAGGACTTCATGTCTAAAACACCAGAAGCAATGGCAACAAAAGACAAAATTGACAAATGGGATCTCATTAAACTAAAGAGCTTCTGCACAGCAAAAGAAACTACCATCAGAGTGAACAGGCAACCTACAAAATGGGAGAAAATTTTTGCAACCTACTCGTCTGACAAGGGGCTAATATCCAGAATCTACAATGAACTCAAACAAATTTACAAGAAAAAAACAACCCCATCAAAAAGTGGACAAAGGACATGAACAGACACTTCTCAAAAGAAAACATTTATGCAGCCAAAAAACACATGAAAAAATGCTCACCATCACTGGCCATCAGAGAAATGCAAATCAAAACCACAATGAGATACCATCTCACACCAGTTAGAATGGCAATCATTAAAAAGTCAGGAAACAACAGGTGCTGGAGAGGATGTGGAGAAATAGGAGCACTTTTACACTGTTGGTGGGACTGTAAACTAGTTCAACCATTGTGGAAGTCAGTGTGGCGATTTTCAGGGATCTAGAACTAGAAACACCATTTGACCCAGCCATCCCATTACTGGGTATACACCCAAAGGACTATAAATCATGCTGCTATAAAGACACATGCACACATATGTTTATTGCGGCATTATTCACAATAGCAAAGACTTGGAACCAACCCAAATGTCCAGCAACGATAGACTGGATTAAGAAAATGTGGCACATATACACCATGGAATACTATGCAGCCATAAAAAAGGATGAGTTCATGTCCTTTGTAGGGACATGGATGAAATTGGAAATCATCATTCTCAGTAAACTATTGCAAGAACAAAAAAACAAACACTGCATATTCTCACTCATAGGTGGGAACTGAACAATGAGAACACATGGACACAGGAAGGGGAACATCAGACTCTGGGGACTGTTGTGGGGTGGGGGGAGGGGGGAGGGATAGCATTGGGAGATATACCTAATGCTAGATGACGAGTTAGTGGGTGCAGCGCACCAGCATGGCACATGTATACATATGTAACTAACTTGCACATTGTGCACATGTACCCTAAAACTTAAAGTAAAATAATAATAAATAAATAAATAAATAAATAAATAAATAAATAAAAAAGAACAAAGCCTCCAAAAAGTTTGGGATTATGTTAAATGACCAAACCTAAGAATAATTGGTGTCCCTGAGGAAGAAGAGAAATCTAAAAGTTTGGAAAACATATTTGAGGGAATAATCAAGCAAAACTTCCCCAGCCTTGCTAGAGATCGAGACACCCAAATACAAGAAGCTCAAAGAACATCCAGGAAATTTATTGCAAAAAGATCATTGCCTAGGCACCTTGTCATCAGGTTATCTAAAGTCAAGATGAAGGAAAAAATCTTAAGAGCTGTGAAGCAAAAACATCAGCTAACCTATAAAGGAAAACCTATCAGATTAACAGCAGATTTCTCAGCAGAAACCCTAAAAGCTAGAAGAGATTGGGGGCCTGTTTTTAGCCTCCTTAAAAAAAACAATTACCAAGAATTTTGTATCCAGCAAAACTAGGCTTCATAAATGAAAGAAAGATACAGTCTTTTACAGACAAACAAATACAGAGAGAATTCATCACTACCAAAACAGTACTATAAGAACTGCTAAAAGGAGCTCTAAGTCTTGAAACAAATCCTCAAAATACACCAAAATAGAACCTCCTTAAAGCATAAATCTCATAGGACTAGTATACAATACCACAATGAATAAAAAAACAAGGCATTCAGGCAACAACTAGCACAACGAATAGAATAGTACCTCATATCTCAATACTAACGTGAATGTAAATGGCCTAAATGCTCCACTGAAAAGACACAGAATGGCAGAATGAATAAGAATTCACCAACCAAGTATCTGCTGTCTTCAAGAGATTCATCTAACACATAAGGACTCATGTAAACTTAAGGTAAAGGGGTCAAAAAAGATATTCCATGCAAATGGACACCAAAAGTGAACAGGAGTAGCTGTTCTTACATCAGACAAAACAGATTTTAAAGCAACAACAGTTAAAAAAGACAAAGAAGGACATTTTATAATGATAAAATGACTAGTCCAACAAGGAAACATCACATTTCTAAATATATATGCACCTAACCTGGAGGTCCCAAATTTATAAAACAATTACTACTTTAGACCTAGTAAATGAGATAGACAGCAACATAATAATAATGGGGGAATTCAATACTCCACTGACAACATTATACAGGTCATCAAGAGAGAAAGTCAACAAAGAAACAATGGACTTAAACCACACCCTAGAACAAATGAACTTAACAGATACTTACAATACATTTTACCCAACAAGTGCAGAATATACATTTTACTCATCAGCACATGAAACGTTCTCCAAGATAGACCATATGATAGGCCACAAAACAAGTCTCAATAAATTTAAGAAAATCGAAATTGTATCAAGTACTCTCTCAGACCATAGTGGAATAAAACTGGAAATCAACTCCAAAAGGAACCTTCAAAACCACGCGAATATATGGAAATTAAACAACCTGCTCCTGAATGATCATTTGGACAATAGAAACAAGATGAAAATTAAAATTTTTTTGAACTGAACAATAATAGTGACACAACCTATCAAAATCTCTGAGATATGGCATAAGTCGTGCTAAGAGGGAAGTATGTAGCATTAAACGCCTACATCAGAAAGTCTGAAAGAACACTAATAGACAATCTGAGGTCACACCTCAAGGAGCTAGAGAAATAAGAACAAACCAAACCCAAACTCCGCAGGAAAAAAAAAAAACAAAAAAAAACCAAGATCAGAGCAGAATTAAAGGAAACTGAAACAAAAAAAAGGGTAAATGAAACAAAAAGGTGGCTATTTGAAAAGATAAACAAAATTGATACACCATTAGTGAGATTAGCCAAGAAAAGAAGAGAGACGATCCAAACAACTTCAATTAGAAATGAAACAGGAGATATTACAACTGGTACCACAGAAATACAAAAGATCATTCCAGGCTATCATGAACACCGTTTTGCACACAAACTAGAAAACGTGGAGGAGAGGGATAAATTCCTGGAAAGATACAACCCTCTTAGATTAAACCAGGGAGAAACAGAAACTCTGAACAAATAACAAGCAGTGAGATTGAAATGGAATTTTTAAAATTGCCAACAAAAAAGCCCAGGACCAGATTGATTCACAACTGAATTCTGTGAGATATTCAAAGAAGAATTGGTATCAATCCTACTGACCCTATTCCACAAGACAGAGAAAGAGGGACTCCTTTCTAAATCATTCTATGAAGCCAATATCACCCTAATACAAAAACCAGGAAAGAATATAACCAAAAAAAAAAAAAAACCACAGACTAATATCCCTGATGAACATAGATGCTAAAATACTTAATAAAATACTACCTAACCAAATACAATAGCATATTGAAAAGATAATCCACCATGATCAAGCGAGTTTTATACCAGGAATGCAGGGATGGTTTAACATAAGCAAGTCAATAACTGTGATACACCACATAAACAGAATTAAAAACAAAAATTGCATGATCATCTCAATAGAAGCAGAAAAAGCATTTGACAAAATCTAGCATTCCTTTATTATTAAAACTCTCATCAAAATCAGCATAGAAGGGACATACCTTAAGGTAATAAAAAGCCATCTATGACAAACCCACAGCCAACATAATACTGAATGGGGAAAAGTTGAAAACATTCCTTTAGAAAACTGGAACAAGAAAAGAGTGCCCACTTTCACCACTTTTATTCAACATAGTACTAGTACTGAAATTCCTAGCCAGAGCAATCAGACAAGAGAAAAAAATCAAGGGCATCCAAATCAGTAAAGAGGAAGTAAAACTGAACTGTTGCTGTTCACAGATGATATGACTGTATACCTATAAAACCCTAAAGACTCATCCAAAAAGCTCCTGGAACTGATAAGTGAATTCAGTAAAGTTTCAGGATACAAAATTAATGTACAGAAAGCAGTAGCACTGCTGTACACCAACAGCAACAAGGCTGAGAATCAAATCAAGAGCTCAAGCCCTTTTACAAGAGCCAAAAAAAAAATGAAATAAAATACTTAGGAATATACCTAACCAAGGAGGTGAAAGATTTCTACAAGGAAAACTACAAAACACTGCTGAAAGAAATCACAGATGACATAGACAAATGGAAACATATCCTATGCTCATGGATGGGTAGAATCAATATTATGAAAATGACCATACTGCCAAAAGCAATCTAAAAATTCAATGCAATTCCCATTAAAATATGTATTAGTCCATTTTCATGCTGCTGATAAGGACATACCTGAGATTGGGTAATTTATAAAGAAAAAAAGGTTTAATGGACCCACAGTTTCATGTGGCTGGGGAGGCAGAACAATCATGGTGGGAAAGTGAAAGACATGTCTTACATGGTGGCAGGCAAGAGAGAGAATGAAAGCCAAGTGAAAGGGGTTTCCCCGTATAAAACCGTCAGATCTCATGAGACTCATTCACTACCATGAGAAGAGTACGGGAAACCACTACCATAATTCCATTATCTCCCACCAGGTCCCTCCCACAACACTGGAAATTATGGGAGATATAATTCAAGATGAGGTTTGGGTGGGGACACAGCCAAACCATATCAAAATACCACCATCATTCTTCAGAGAACTAGAAAAAAAATCCTAAAATTCACATGGAACCAAAAAGAGCTCATATAGCCAAAGCAACACTAAGCAAAAGAACAAATCTGGAGGCATCATATTACTGGACTTCAAAGTATACTATTAAGGCTATAGGCACCAAAACAGCATGATGCTGATATAAAAATTGGTACATAGAGCAAGGAAAAAGAATAAAGAACCCAGAAATAAAGCCAAATACTTACAGCCAACTGTTTTTTGACAAAACAAATGAAAACGTAAAGTGTGGAAAGGACACCCTATTCAACAAAATGTGCTGGTATAATTGGCAAGCCAATATAGAAGAATGAAACTGGATTCTCATCTCTCACCTTACACAAAAATCAACTCAAGATGGATCAAAGACTTAAATCTAAGACATGAAACCATAAAAATTCTAGAAGATAACACCAGAAAAACCCTTCTAGACATTGGCTTAGGCAAAGACTTTATGACCAAGAACCCAAAAGCAAACGCAATAAAAACAAGGATAAATAGATAGGAATTAATTAAACTAAAGAGCTTTGGAACAGCAAAAGAAATAGTCAGCAGAGTAAACAGACAACCCACAGAATGGGAGAAAATATTTGCAAAGTATCTATCCAACAAAGGACATAGTTTAATATTTTCAAACTATGCATTGAATTTGCATAGTTTGAAAATATTAAACTATGTCCTTTGTTGGATAGAAGTGAATTTGCATAGTTTGAAAATATCAAACAAATTAGCAAGAAAAAAAAACAAACAGTGCCATCAAAAAGTGGGCTAATGACATGAAGAGACAATTCTCAAAAGCAGATATACAAATGGCCAACAAACATGAAAAAATGCTCAACATCACTAATTATCACGGAAATTCAAATCAAAACCACAATGAGATATCACCTTACTCTACGAGAATAGGCTTAATAAAAAAATAATAGATGTTAGCATGGATGTGGTGAAAGGGGAACACTTTTACACTGCTGGTGGGAATGTAAACTAGTACAACCATTATGGCAAACAGTGTGGAGTTTCCTTAAAGAACTAAAAGTAGAGCTACCATTTGATCCAGTAGTCCCAAGACAGGGTATCTACCCATAGGAAAAGAAGTCATTATACAAAAAAGATACTTGCAAATGCATGTTTATAGCAGCACAATTCACAATTGCAAAAATATGGAACCAGCTCAAATGCCCATCAATGAAGAAGTGGATAAAGAAAATGTGGTATGTATATACCATGGAATACTACTCAGCCATAAAAAAAACAGTGGCATTTGCAGCCACCTGGATGGAGGTGGAGACCATTATTCTAAGTGAAGTAAGTCAGGACTGAAAAAACAAACATTATATGTTCTCACTTGTAAGTGAGAGCTAAGCTATGAGGACAAAAATGCATGAGAATGATACAATGGACTTTTGGGACTCAGGGGAAAGGGTGGGGTGGGGGGTGAGGGATAAAGGACTACACATTGGGTACACAACACTGCTCAGGTGATGGGAGCAACAAAATCTCAGAAATTACCCCTAAAGAACTTAATCATGTAACCAAACACCACCTGTTCCCCAAAAACCTATTCAAATAAAAATAATAGTAATAATAAAAATAATAAAATATTAAAGAAAAAGTATATTATAAAAAGCTCTTCTTTAATGCTCATAAATTTTACATCATTTTTTCCTTGAATTTGTATTTTATTCCACTTTCCCCACAGAATATCTTCATGTAAAATATCTCATACTTGAAAATACTTTATTGATCACCTTTCATCTTCCTCTGCAACCAAATATATGTATTAATATGTAAATTAAATAACTTGTAAGGCTTTTGAGGGCGAAAATTTTTCCTTGAGAGGCATCATGCTATCTAACTTCAAACTATACTACGAGGCTACAGTAACCAAAACAGCATGGTGCTGGTATAAAAATAAACACATAAACCAATGGAACAGAATAGAGATCTCAGAAATAAGATCATACATCTACAAACATCTGATCTTTGACAAACCTGACAAAAACAAGCAATGGGGAAATAATTTTCTATTTAATAAATGTGCTGGGAAAACTAGCTAGCCATATGCAGAAAATTGAAACTGGACCCCTTCCTTATACATTGCACAAAAATTAACTAAAGATGGATTAAAGACTTAAATGTAAAACCCAAAACTATAGAAACCCTAGAAGACAATATAGGCAATACCATTCAAGACGTAGGCACAGGCAAAGATTTCATGACAGAAACATCAACAGCAATTGCAACAACAGCAAAAATTGACAAATGGGATCTGATTAAACTAAAGAGCTTCTGCACAGCAAAAGAAGCTATCAGAGAAAACTTTTGCAATCCATCCATCTGACAAAGATCTAATATCCAGAATCTACAAGAAACTCAAACAAATTTAAAGTGGGCAAAGGACATGAACAGACACTTCTCAAAAGACATTTATGGGGCCAACAAACATATGAAAAAAAAGCTCAACATCACTGATCATTAGAGAAATGCAAATCAAAACCACAATGAGATACCATCTCACACCAGTCAGAATGGCGATTATTAAAAAGTCAAGAAACAACAGATGCTGGTGAGGCTTTGGAGAAATAGGAACGCTTTTACACTATTGGTGAGAATATAAATTTGTTCAATCATTGTGGAAGACAGTGTGGTGATTCCTCAAAGACCGAGAACTAGAAATACCATTTGACTCAGCAATCCCATTACTGGCTATATACCCAAAAGAATATAAATTATTCTATTATAAAGACGCATGCATGTGTATGTTCATTGCAGCACTATTCACAATAGCAAAGACATGGAATCAACCCAAATGTCCATCGATGATAGACTGGATAAAGAAAGTGTGGTACATATACACCATGGAACACTATGCAGCCATAAAAAGGAATGAGATCATGTCCTTTGCAGGGGCATAGATGGAGCTGGAAGCCATTATCCTCAGCAAACTAACACAGGAACAGAAAACCAAACACTACATGTTCCCACTTATGTTTTTACATATTCTTACCCATGTGAAATTTAAAAGCAAAAAAAAAAAAAAAAAAAAAAAAAAACAAGCTGAACAATGAGAGCACATGGACACAGGGAGGGGAACAACACACACTGGGGCCTGTCAGTGGGGCAGGAGGAGGGAAATCATCAGGATAAATAGCTAATGCATGCAGGACTTAATACCTAGGTTATGGGTTGACAGGTGCAGCAAATCACCGTGGCACATGTTTACGTGTTAACAAACCTGCATGTCCTGCACATTGTCCCAGAACTTAAAATAAAATAAAATTTAAAAAAAAATTATTCAGTATTATTATGATACTTATTATTACATATAGCTACAATATAAATGTATTTTAAATTTTAAACATAAAAAGAAAAAATTAGAAATTATTTGTCTTCATGGGACAGGTGAAGATTTTTAATTTCACTTATGTTTTGGTGGATGAATATTATTTATTGCTATAATGAGACTGGGTTTAGTATCAGTTCTAATGTGTTTTTTTGTAAGCTCTGAGAATCTTTGTTCACAATTAAAAATAGATGTAATTGGGGCAAAATTTTCTATAGAAATGTCATTCAACTCTTTGAACGTCTTCCACTTTACATGCCAAAACTACACAGTGGCACATCTTCAAATATTATTTTTGTGATCCATCAGCTGACAACTCAATTAGGTCTTCCTCAATTTTGTTGAAAGCAAAGAAATGGAAATCATCCTGAATTGTGAAGAGATTTGTTACCCATCTTTAGAGACATCAATTTCACAATTTCTGGGAAATATATCAAAAAGACTCTTCCAAGATGGATCAAAAGACTATTAATTACACCTCTCAGTCTCTCATTGAGAGACATCCTGTTTAACCTAATATACTCAGAAAAGGTTGGGAAAACTAAAATATTGTTAAGTATATTGAATATTATTAACATGCTTGTAATAAATTTAGTTAAATCTGTAGCTTGAAGTTTTATTAAATGTATTAATGTATATTAAAAATACCCATTATAGAAATCTAATTAGTAAAGCTATTCATCATTGTCAAACTAAATAACCAATCAGAATTCTGACTTCATTTTTTATTTCAATTAACTCTGTGACAGCAACTCCAGTCTAGTTCTAACTGTAGTTACAGAGGTAATAGGGAATGGAGTCCTGCCTGAGTTTGTCATCTAGATAAGAATGAATTATGAATAGCCTCTGATTCAGGAACAAATATGGCTTTTGGTGTGATCTTTATATCCTGAAAAGCAATTATAATCACTCTACTGTAAAACTTTAAATATTTATTGAAAACTTATAGAAATAGGTAATTGCATAGAACACTTAAATTATTATTAGTGACATTTATTAATATTCAATTAGAATTATTTAATAATTAGGCTGATGGTATAGTTACAGAGTAAGATCAAATAGAAAGCCTGTTTAGACCCTATTTTCTATGGTGGGAAAGAAAAATGGACAATAGTAAACTCCAGTAACTATCAGCTACATGAAAAAGACTGCAGTGGATTCTTGTGCGGTGACCAAGAAAAAGGTATCATTTTTCATCACGCAGTCCACTGTAATTAACCCACAAAACACAGCTGGTATTCACAAAGCAGCATGCCAGCAGTATGTACAAAATAAGCCACAGTCCTGGAAGAACTTATGTTTTTACATATTCTTACCTATGGGAAATTTAAAAGCAAAAAAAGGTACAGAATTAGTTTGTCCAAAGACAAAAGGGGTAACTTAACTGGTATACTCAGAACAGGCTCCAAAAATCTTGATCGGAGCCTTGAAGGGCACCTTAGACAGAAAGATAGCATTGCAGCCAGAGAGAACAGTGTAAGAAAGCCTTAGAAGTGCTTCCAGTGTCAGTGAAGAAATCAACCACGCTGGCACAGTGGCTTTGAATTGGAGAGCAATGTAAGAAAATGTGCAAATTCGGCGAAAGAAACTACCATCAGAGTGAACAGGCAACCTATAGAATGGGGGAAAATTTTTGCAATCTACCCATCTGACAAAGGGCTAATATCCAGAATCTACAAAGAACTTAAACAAATTTACAAGAAAAAAACAAACAGCCCATCAAAAATTAGGCAAAGGATATGAACAGACACTTCTCAAAAGAAGACATTTATGCAGCCAACAGACAGGTGAAAAAATGCTCATCATCACTGGTCATTAGAGAAATGCAAATCAAAACCACAATGAGATACCATCTTATGCCAGTTAGAATGACGATCATTAAAAAGTCAGGAAACAACAGATGCTAGAGAGGATGTGGAGAAATAGGAATACTTTTACATTGTTGATGGGAGTGTAAATTAGTTCAACCACTGTGGAAGACAGTATGGCAATTCCTCAAGCATCTAGAACTAGAAATACCATTTGACCCAGCCATCCCATTACTGGGTATATACCCAAAGGATTATAAATCATGCTACTATAAAGACACATGCACACGTATGTTTATTGCAGCACTATTCACAATAGTAAAGACGTGGAAACAACCCAAATGTCCATCAGTGATAGACTGGATTAAGAAAATGTGGCACATATACACTATGGAATACTATGCAGCCCTAAAAAAGGATGAGTTCCTGTCCTTTGCAGGGACATGGATGAAGCTGGAAAGCATCATTCTCAGCAAACTATCACAAGGACAGAAAACCAAACACCGCATATTCTCACTAATAGGTGGGAATTGAACAATGAGAACGCTTGGACACAGGGCAGGGAACATCCCACACCGGGGCCTGTCGAGGGATGGGGGGCTAGGGGAGGGATAGCATTAGGAGAAATACCTAATGTAAATGACGAGTGGATGGTGCAGCAAACCAACATGGCACATGTATACCTATGTAACAAACCTGCATGTTGTACACATGTACCCTAGAACTTAAAGTATAATAATAATTTTTAAAAAAGAAAGAAAATGTGCAAATTATAAAGAGCCTGAAATGAACCCGTAAAGACTTGCACTTGATCTCAGAGGCAGTGGAGAGCCCTGGGAGCCTATTGCACAGGGGACAGATACAAAGGATGGAAAATACCTTATGTTTTGTAAACGGAGAAGTTTAACAGGAGAGACTAGAGACTACAGTAAGCTCTGTCAGGTGGTGGGTGGTGTTGATAGTGAGTTTGCCTGATGTAGCCAAAAGAGCACTAAACTTTAGCTTGACTTCTGGGACCAGCTCTGCTAACTGGCTTCATGATCCTGGACAAGTCACTTAATCTCTTTGGACCTTCATTTTCTCCATTCCAAGGATCCCTTGGGGTTAGGGAAAGCATCTTTGGAGACAATAGCAAGGCAGCATGAATGGACCAAATAGGTAAGAGTCTGTGCCCCCCAAGTCTTGCTTCAACCAAACCAAATTTTCTTTTATCTGTTTTATTTTTATCGTTACTATCAATTTGGGGACTTCTGTGTAACATTTGGAGAAAAGTTTCTGCTACTTAAAAAGTTTTGAGAAAAACTGGACTGTAGGAGTCTCCTTCAAAGGCATAAAATTCTGAGATTCTCTAAAGGAGAGCAGTTTTGCAAGAGAAGATGCAATAGGACTTGATAACTGATTGGATAGAGAAGGGAAATGTGAAGGATATCAAGGAAGATTGGATGACTGGAAGACATGAAGCAAAAATGAGCATAAGGAATAGGAGACAGTTCCTGGGAGAAAAGGTTGAGCTTTCCCTAAAATGTGTGTGAAGTCAGGAACTAGAATGGAAGTGTTTTCTCTTCGTTGTTTTTCTAATACTCTCAAAGTCTTTCACTATAAGCTACAACATCCAAAAATAATCTATGTTTAGATTATTGCAAACATAATCTAAAATATCATGTCTTTCATTATTATTTAGAAATGGAATAAATACAATCTCCCAGAATACAATTATTATTATTTTTTGTTTTGTTTGTTTTTTTTTTTATTTTTTTGAGACGAAGTCTCGCTCTGTCACCCAGGCTGGAGTGCAATGGCGTGATCTCAGCTCACTGTAACCTCCGCCTTCCAGGTTCAAGCGATTCTCCTGCCTCAGGCTCCAGAGTAGCTGGGATTACAGGGACATGCCAGCATGCCCACCTACTTTTTGTGTTTTTAGTAGAGACGGAGTTTCACCATGCTGGCCAGGCTAGTCTCTAACTCCTGACCTCAAGTGACCCGCCAGCTTCAGCCTCCCAAAGTGCTGGGATTACAGGCTTGAGCCACCGCGCCTGGCCAAGAATACAATTTTTAAAGAAATTTTTAATGTGTTCTTAGGCAAAATGCTTTTACTTTGGTGATACAGATATTTGTAGTAAATCTTTAGGGTTTAAATTATTGGCTTGAATTTTCTATTTCCCACATGTAAACCAAGTCAAAATGCCACATGTAAACTTGGCATTTTTCTCCTAAGGTGTTTCTTTTAACATAAAGAAATATTAATTTGATATGTCCTGTTTTGAAATGTTACCTTTGTCCTGGATTATTCATACAAGATTTTGGATAATATATGCAAGAATGCTTTGAACAAATGAAACTATAACCCTTCCATGTGTAAAGTCAGCATGTATTTTAAATTTTCTTTCACAATTACAGTATCACACGCAACTGGGAACAAAAGCTACAGGGAACAGAGTGTAATGGATCGTGATGACTATTTTAGAACAGCTTGAACCTCCTTGTAGCCTACAAGAAGGCTATGTGAGCTGAATTCAAAAGTGCTGAAAATGGATTCTACTGCAAGCTGCAGTTACAGGGGCAAATACGCTTTTTTATAACTTACAATAGAATAAATCTCAAATAAAACGACTCATCTCAATGGGAAAATATGTTATCCCCTATGTCCGTCCATTCTGTGCATTTCTTTTTAATAGGAAGCATGCACATAAATACAGAATGGTTTCTAAATTACTAATATATTTTGTTCCAATTGCTTGCCACTAATATAACAAATTGCATTTATCATTTTATTGATGTTATGGCTTTTGTCTCTTGTGAATGGAATTATTACTACTATAGCAAATCAATTAGATTTAAATGTTTTGAGGCAAAAGAGAGGTCAAAGAATGAGTTTTTGATTCATTGTCTCCATGTTCTAAAATGCACCATATTTATGTTTAAAATAATTGTATTAAGCACAGAATAAAAGGAGAAAAGGAGAGAACTGCACCATACTTTCATTCTAGTCCAGCTTTTAATATCTTCAAAGTATATTGCCCTTGTTCTATCACCTTGGCAGTAACTCTCATAGAGTACAGGACCACTTTTGTTCAAATTAAAATTTTCAAACTATGCTCAGCACCAGTGGATTCTTAATGAACAGAAACCTCCTATATTTTGGAAAATCATGTCCCGTCAGTATGACTGGAATAATAGCTTTCAATTCCTTGCTGACAGATTATAAGCTAATACATTTGGGGAAGATGATGACCAAGGACATCTGACATTTGATAATGCTGTTCTGACACTAAGGTGATCCCACACACCCCTCACCCCTTGCCTGGGAAACTGGCATGCTCAAATGAAATCCTTTATCAGGAGAGAATGCCATTGTTGAGTGGTTCCTTGTTTGCTTGAGAACAATGAAAGACAGAGAGATTTAGTTGTCCATCAAGCACATTAGTTCACAAAAAAAAAAGAACACTTTATTAATCTTATTTCTCCTAGTCTGAATCTTCCCAAGCACAATGCTCATATTCCCTTTTTTTTCTGTGCTGTGACTCCTCAAACCATTTCTGATAGAAAGACACAAGCAAGAATTTAATGGTGCAGAACAAGCAAGTGAGCCCTCTCTGCAGTGTACCCCATAGCAATGAGAATGTGCTTCCCATGACTCAGAATGAATCAGATGGAGAAGAAAAAATAACAGCACAAAACTGCAGCTTCAAAAATAAATGACAATGTGCTATCTGGAGAAAGGAGACTGCATTGCTGAGTGTGGTCCCCCAGTGCAGCCATCCTGACTGCTGCATTCTCCAAGGGACAAGTAGAATGGAAAGCAGGCTTTTCTTCCAAAGGAAATCAAAACACTCTGTTGTTTAAACACATTTTCACAAAATAAATAATTTACCTCTGTTCTTCCAAGCAACATGTTGTATCAAAATCAATGGCATATGTCAAAGCTGCCCTTTATGTGAAAATTTCACACATATATATGAAGGCTCATACAGAATAAGGGCTCAAAATACAAATTTATATATTTTTTCAGAATATTTACAGAACATATATATAAAATTCATGAAATCTACATTAACATATATATGTATTTATATGTATATGGGATCTATATTTACATATATATGAAATATTAAAAAGGGAAAGTTATTTAAGTTACACCTACTTTTTCCTTTTTTATAATTTGTGATTGAAATCAAAGATGTCTCTCACTAGGAATAGCCAGCAAACTTCCTTATGTGAAATGCTAATAAAGGACAAAATTTATTTTATTTTTCTAATTTTATCAACAGAAGAGCAGCCAGGCTATGCTGACCTAGACCTACTCCCTCTTTCTACTTGCTACTGGAATTGTCCTTTCTTCTATCCTCCCCTCTCCTCCCACAGTTGCCCAGATCCTCCCCAACCTTCTCGTTTCCACCATTCCACATTCCATGCTCCACCTTTGACTTCACCCCACAGCCAGTGAGTTGTGAAATTTATAGCATAGGACGAGCTGTCAAGGAAAGAGAAGAGGAATCAGGGCAAGGAAAACTTCTCTGAATGTTCCTTTCTACCATACCCCAATGCAATCTGTGAGAGAAAGAGACAAGAAAGAATACCCCAACCTCTGCTGCTCCTCCCTACCCAGCCTCTCCCACCTTTGCTGACTGATTTAGCAAGAACTGGGAGGAGAGAGATACAGGGATATGTGAAAGGAGGAGGAGATTGCACAGAATCAGTTCCCCACTCTCTCCCCATGCCCTGGAACAATGTAAGTTCCCTGGAAAAAAGAGAGGGAAAACCCTTAATTAACTGAGATTAAGGTCTTACCATCTGGCAGAATAAGGCTCAAAATACAAATTTGCTTCAGTCACTTTCCTTGCACACCTGACTGTGCAGCCTGAGAGTCATAGCTGGCACTTTGTCGACATGGTAACAAATACCTACTTTAAACCAAAAGCCAACACAGTAACTTAGAGTAAAAGGATAGAGGCGCTTCTATTAAAATTAAGGATCAAAACAAGAGAATACATCATCTTATTCTCCTTTTGAATTCAATTTCAAAAATTAAGGAATAGAAACAAAAAATAAACACTTTATTAGAAATAAGGACACAAGATCATCTTACATAGCCTATATGAGAATTGAAAATGTCTCAGATTAATTTTTTAGACTTCAGCAAAGTAATCTGATACAAGATAAAGATACATCTTCAGTCTTGCCTAATAGCATTAATGACCAAAGAGACAATGAGAGAAAACCAAGTTTATACAAAACAACAATATAAAGCATAAAATATTTGTGAATAAACCTAACCAAAAAGTGTATGATTAATATGAAGAAAACAATTGAATTTTGCTAAGGGAATAAAATACTTATATAAAAGAAGAGAGATGCTGCATAAAAGGATGTAAAGATCAAATACCTCTAATACTAATAAAAGGCAAATTTTATTTTATTTTTTATTTTATCAATGGAAGTGTGAGCCAATAGTCAGCATTCACTGAAGGCAATGAATATTGGGAGTTATTATTACCCAGCTATACCAAGGATTGTTCAAGGTATTTTATATATTTTACATTTTATTGTATCTTTCCAACAAATCTATCAAATATTACTATTGACATTTTACAGATAATGCATGTCAGAGCACAAACTCTGATCTTTTATTAAGTTTGACACATTAACTTTGTTAAAATGTCTGGATTTTCACCTCCAAACCATATAGTTTTAAAAAAACAACTGAATAACTTCCATGGGATTTTTTTTTAACACGGTAAAATTAATGTTCTTCTAAAAGGTGTGAAAGGCACGAAAAAAAGTTTAAAGAGCAATTTTACAGAAGAATTAACAAAGAAGTAAAAAGAGAAACAGACACTAGTATACACAAACTTTAAGTATTTGATCAAGGGAGCATCAGAAACCAATGGAAAAAAATATTGATTATATTTTAAATGATGTTGAGAAAATTGGCTATGGGGGCTGGGGGGAAACAACTGATCCTTTGCTTCATATCACACATCAAATTAAGTTCCAGAAGTTTTAAAGAATTAATTTTAAAAACATATCATCATCGTCATCATCATAAACTGGAAGAAAACATATAAGGATAGACTGAGAATAATAGCAAAAAAATTTAGAAAGGAAAAGTTCAACAAACTTAACTATATAATAAAATTTCAAATTTCTATATCCTATGAATAAAATGTTAAGGTAAAAACACTGAGGGAAACATTTACAAGGTATATGACGAAGAGTTAATATATTAATATATAAAGAAGTTCCATGAATCAATTTTTTAAAAAACAAACATCCCAGTTGAATATGGACTGAGAATATGAATAGTCAACTTACAAAATGATTGCTCATATGTTCTATTTCTACTCATGTCAGAAATAGGTGTCAGTTTGGTAAATTGTTTTTTACTAGTAATTAAGTTGTGTCATTTTTTAAATTCACTGGAATAAATTTTTATAGTATCCTCATACATAATTTAATACTTATAGGATCTAAAGTGATGTTCCATTCTTAATTCCTGATGTTGGCAATTATAGCTTTTCTTTTTTGTCTTTGTCAAACTTTCTTGCACAGAGATAACTTTTGTTTGGGTTAAACTTTTCTATGTATTATGTGTTTGCTCTATATCTCATTATTTTCTGCTTTCATTTTTATTATTCCTTTTCTCCCCCTTTGTTTGGTTTTAATTTGCTGTTCTTTTTCTAACTTCTTGAGATGGATGCTAAGATCATTGATTTTTACCCCTTCTTGTTTCTTAACATATGCATTAGTTATTATAAGCTTCCCTCTGAGCAAGGCTGCATTCCTAAACCTATAAAGCAATTATCGTGATTTGCCTACTCATTAAGTGAAAGTTAGTTAATTAGGTGGATTAATTTTTTAACAGCAATGATAATGGGAAAATGGTGGCAAAGGAGATAGAACTTTTGTTTAAAAATAAAATGGTAAGAGTAGATACTGATCATAAATGAACAATGATTTCAGGAAAGTAAAAAAATTTTTCCTAAATGTGAATCAGATTTTGTGTTTATCTTTCCCTTAGGGAAAGTAGTCTCACAACGGATGTTCCATCCTCTTTAATGGAACCAATGTTCATTTTTCCCAAAGCATTGATATTACCACACATGATCCCTAGAGGTAGCGGGGATTGAAAAAAATAACAGTTTGTAAAATCATTGAGCCGAGTTCAATAGATGAGGGGAAGTGAGGGGCATTCCTACTGATATCCTGTAAATTTTTATCAGAATTGATGAAATACAGAGGAAAAGAGAAAGAATTCTGCCCTGAGTCCCAGAATCAAAGCTGGTTCCCAGCCCAGTCCCATCTCACAGTTGCCAGCCTCCTCTTTCCTTTCAATATGACAGATGCCACTGTGACCTTCTCCAAGGACTTTCTGGCAGGTGGCGTGGCTGCGGCCATATCCAAGAACACAGCAGTGCCCATCAAGTGGGTCAAGCTGCTGCTGCAAGTGCAGCATGCCAGCAAGCAGATCACCGCAGATAAGCTATGCAAGGACTAGACAGACTCTGTGGTTCATACCCCCAAGGAGCAGGGAGTCCTGTCCTTCTGCCACGGTAACCTGGCCAGTGTCATCAGATACTTACCCACCTAGGCTGTCAACTTTGCCCAAGGTAAACAGAAGCAGATCTTCTGAGGTGGGGTGGACGAGAGGCCCCAGTTGTGGTGCTACATTGCAGGCAATCTGGCCCCCAGTGATGCCACTGGGCCACATCCTTGTGTATGGTGTACCCTCTTGATTTTCGCAGCTACTTGACTTTGTACCTGTCTAGCAGCTAATGTGGGTAAAGCTAGAGCTGAAAGGGAATCTAGAAGCCTCAGTAACTGCCTGGTTAAGATCTACAAATCCGATGGAATTAAGAGACTGAACCAAGGCTTTAACGTGTCAGTGTGGGGTATTATCATCTACCAAGCTCCCTACTTTGGTATCCGTGACACTGCAAAAGGCATTTTTCCAGATCCCAAGAATGCTAACATCTTCATCAGCTGATGATCGCACAATCTGTCACTGGCATTGCTGGGATAAAAAGTCATTCCTATCCATTTGATACTGTTTGCCACCACAAGATGACAGGGTCAGGGTTCAAAGGAACTGATATTCTGCACACAGGCATCCCTGACTGCTGGAGGAAAATTGCTCATGATGAAGGAGACAAAGCTTTTCTCAAAGGTGCATGATCCAGCATTCTCAGAGGCATGGGTGGTGTTTCTATGCTTTTCTTATATGATAAAATAAAGAAGTACACATAAGTTATTTCCTGGGTTTTTTCCCCTGTGAACAGGCATGTTATATTATTTAAAATATCTTGAGCCTTGTTGGTAGACTCTGGGTTGTGCATTCATTAATGGCAACTATTTACTGTTGAAAATCAGGAGCAATAATATTCGTATGACCAGTTCTCACTTAAAGCCATTTCCATCATGATGATGGTGGTAATGATGATTATGATTATGGGACTCAATTACATTTTTTATTTCAGTCATTCCTGATAAGTAACAAATATGAACAAATAAAAATATCTAAGATACAAAGAAAGAGAAAGAAATCCACAGTAACTGAAAGAGGTTCAAATCTACCAGTAAATCTGATAGATTGGAACAGAGCTCTGTCAACACACACACACACACACACACACACACACACAGTGTCACACTCACCCTAAAAAGTTTTCACAAAAAGGAAAATCGTAAACGTGGAACTATTACCTCCCAAGAGTTCACTCTGTTCTCTCCTGTTGTCTGGTAGTGGAACACCCCAAGGCCAGTCCTTGCTCCTCTTTTCTTTTTGATCTACATTCCTGTCCTGGATGAGCTTATCCAGTCTCATGGTTTTAAATATAATCTCCCAAATGCATATTTCATTCAGATTCCCTTCCCAAATGCCAGGCTTGTACATAAGCATTTGTACTGGACATCTGAAATTTAGAACATCAAAAATTGAACCCCTCATCTCCTCCTGTAAAACTTACTCTATGTGCAGTCTTTTTAATCCTGGTTAATGGAAACCCTAGCTTTTTCCTTTTATTTTGAGTTAATTTTAGGCTCATGGATAAGTTGCAAAAATAGTACAGAATCCTTCACCCTGATTCCCCCCAAAATAACATCTTACATAACTACAGTACGAGTATAAAAATCAGGAAATTGGCATTGGTACAATACTGTTGACTAAACTATGGACCTTTTTCGATTTCACCAGTTTTTATATGCACTTTTTTTCTTGATGTATGAAATGTTTTAAGAAATGTTGTTACATGTTGAGATATTTGTAACCAGCAGTAGATACAATCAGTATATAGAATTATTCCTTTACCCCAAACAAGCTCCCTCATGCCCTCTCCCCTCCAACCCCAACCCCTGGCAACCACTGATCCATTCCACATCTCTATAATTGTGTCATATTGAGAATGTCATATAAATTGAATCATATGGTAGGTAGCTTTTTGAAATTGACTTTTTTTTTCTCTCAGCCTGATACCTTTGACATCCATTCAAGTTGTTACATGCATTCTTTTTATTTTTTGTCTGAGCAGTATTTGCGTATATAGATATACCACAGTTTGTTTGTTTATTCATTCACTTGTTGAAGGACGTTTGTGTTGTTTCTACTTTTTGCCTATTAGAAATAAAGCTGCTATGAATAATTTGTGTACTGGGTTTTGTTTAACATAAGTTTTCGCTTCTCTAGGATAAATATCCAGGAGTAGCATTGCTGGATCATATGGGAAGTATATGTTTAACTTTATAAGAAATTCCAAATTGTATTCCTGACTAGCCATACCACTTTACATTTCTGCCAACAATATCTGAGACCCAGTTGTTCCTCATCCTTGTCAGCACTTGGTATTGTATTTTTTACTTTAGGCACTCTGATAGGTATGCTGGAGTATATCATGGTGACTTTAATTGCATTTCCCCAAGGGTTAATAATGTTAAACATCTTTTCATGTGCTTCTCTGCTATCCTTTGGATATGTATTTGTTCAGATCTTTTTTCCCATTTTCAAATGGGATTGTTTATTTTCTTGTTGTTGAGTTTAAATAGTATGTGTGTGTAGATAGATAGATAGATAGATGGATGGATAGATAGATAGACAGACAGATAGATACTGGATACAAAGCCTTTGTGGGATATGTGATTTGCAAATAATTTTTCCGAGGCTATGACTTTATTTTTATTTTCTTAACAGAATATTTAAACAGAGCAAAAATGTTTAATTTTGATGAGTCCAACACATTGTTTGTTTTCTTTTATGGATCATGCTTTTGGTGTCATGTTTAAGAATTCTTTGCTTATCTATAGGTCATGAAGATCTTCAGTATTTTCTTTTTAAAGTTTTATAATTTTACACTTTACTTTGATTTATGGCAAATTTTGAATTATTTTTGTATAAGAGATTCACCATCTTCTCAGTTACTCAGGTCAATAGCTTTGAAGTTATCTTTGAATTCTCTCTTACTCTTATACCCCACATCAAAACCATTAGGAATTTCTACTGAGTCTACCTTCTCACCAGCTCCACATCTACCACTCTGGCCTGGCCCATTATTATCACTCATCCATTTTCTATCCTTGTTCTCTATCCTCAACACCGCTACAAAACTGACTGACTGACTTTCTTTCCTTCCTTTCTTCCTTCCTCCCTCCCTTCCTTCCTTCTTTTCAGAGACAAAGTCTTACTCTGTCACCCAGGCTGGAGTGCGGTGCTGTGACCATTGCTCACTGCAGCCTCAGACTCCTGGGCTCAAGCGATCTTCCTGCCTCAGCCTCCCGAAATGCTGGGATTACAGGCATGTGCCACCATGCTGGGCCAAAATTGACCATTTTTAAGGCATAAGAGAAATTGGGTCACTCTTCTGCCCTCCAGTGTCTCCCATTTCTCTACATGATGTGCTCCCTCCCTTACTTCTCTGACCACATTTTCTAGTACTTTACATTCAATCTCTCCACTCCCTCCCCACTGGTGTCCCCGTGTTTTTTAACCATACCAGGCATACCCCTAACTTTGTAGCTTTTGCACTGGCAGTTTCTTTAACTGAAATGCTCTTCCACCAGAAAGCCACATGGCTAACTCCTTCATCTTTTTTAAGACTTTGCTCAAAATTATCACCTTTGCAATGAGGCCTATCCTGACCACTCTAAACTTTCAACCTGCTACCTGTCACCCACCAGCACTCCCAGTCACTCTTACCTTGCTCTGCTTTTTATTTTGTCCATAGCACTTATCATCTCCTAATGCATTTCCTAATTTGCCTACATATTATATTTGCTCTTATTGTCTATTGCTACCCTGCTAGAAAATGGCCCCCATGAAGGCAGAATTCCTTGTTTTGTTCACTGACATATCCCTTGCTCTCAAAAGTGCCTGGCAATCACAAGGACGCGATAAGTCTTTTTTTCAATGATAGAATAATAGCACATTTTAAATTAGTGATTTGCAAAGTATGGCCCACCCACTCCTGTGGGTTCCCCAAATTCTTTCAAGGAATCTGCCAGATCAAAACTATTTTCATAATAATATTGAGATGGATATGTCTTGCTCTCTGTATTAGGCATTTCTTGCATTGCTATAAAGAAATATCTAAGACTGGGTAATTGATAAGAGGTTTAATTGGCTCACGGTTCTGTAAGCTGTACAGGAAGCATGGCATCAGCATCTTCTTCTGGGCAGGCCTCAGGAAACTTTTACTAGTGGCAGAAGTTGAAGCAGGAGCAGGCACATCATGTGGCCAAAGCAGGAGCAAGAGAGAGAATGGGGGGAAGGTGCCATACTTTACAACAACCAGATCTCACAAGAAGTCACTCATTAGTGCAAAGACAGCACCAAGCCATGAGGGATCCACCCTGATGACCCAAACACCTCCCACCAGGCCCCACCTCCAGCACTGGGGATTACGTTTCAACATGAGATTTGGGTGAGGACAAATATCCAAACTATATCACTCTCTGGGTTGACATTTTCATTGAAGGTGCAAAAGCACCAGTGGGTAAAACTGCTGGAATCCTCACACCCATCAAGGCAGTGGCACCAAACTATTGTAATAATCATATTCTTTTTTTTTTTTTCTTTTTCAGATGGATTCTCACTCTGTTGCCCAGGCTGAAGTGCAGTGGTGCAATCTTGGCTCACTGTAACCTCTGCCTCCCGGGTTCAAGTGATTCTCCTGCTTTAGCCTCCTTAGTAGCTGGGACTACAGGCGCATGCCACCACACCGGTCTAATTTTTGTGTTTGTAGTACAGACGGAGTTTCACCATGTTGGCCAGGATGGTCTCGAACTCCTGACCTCAAGTGATCCACGCACCTCGGCTTCCCAAAGTGCTGAGATTACAGGCATGAGCCACCGTACCCAGCCAAATAGTCATATTCTTCACTGCCATGGCACTCATGACTTAAAAGGAAAAGAAGATGATTTCTAATATGAGGTTATAGAAAAAAAAGTTTAAGGAAAAAGAGTTTCACTTAGGAATGTCCTTGATAAAGCACTAAAAAATGTTAGTTGTCAACCTTTGAGTGTACTGTTTTTTAATACAGTGTTATAAAATGGAGAGTCCTCGTAAAGCACTTTTGTTGCATGCTAAAGTACTGATTGACTTGAGGAAAACAATTTGTGTGAGTATTGGAGTTGCACACTGAATTAGACACTTTTTTCATGCAATACCATATTTTCTTGAAAAAACACTGACTGGCAAAGTATGGTTATCCAGATATGGGTACTGGTGGACATTTCACTTTGTATTCCAGTCACTTGAAGGAAAATAACAGACAGTGTTTGTTGCCAGTTGTGTCATAATTTTTTTTTTTTTTGAGATAGAGTTTCTGTATTGTCACAAAGGCTGGAGTGCAATGGTGTGATCTCGGCTCACTGCAGCCTCCACCTCCCGGGTTCAAGCGATTCTCCTGCCTCAGTCTTGTGAGTAGCTGGGATTACAGGGGTGCACCACCATGCCCAGCTAATTTTTGTATTTTTAGAAGAGACAGGGTTTTGCCATGTTGGCCAGGCTGGTCTTGAACTCCTGGCCTCAAGGGATCCGTCCACCTCGGTCTCCCAAAGTGCTGAGATTACAGACATGAGCCACCGTGCCCAGCCATTGTGTCATAATTTTATACATACTCTATTTCATATAAAATCTCATTAGTTGATATTGAATGCATTTTATTGTGTCTAAGATTTTTCATTATTAAGCTAGGTATCTCTAAACTTTTTTCTGACACATTTTCTTTTTCACCTTCAGTTTCTTGCCAGCTCTGAGTATATGTTTTAGTCAGAAGCCTTTCTATTGCAGGTGCAAAACCCTAATTTAAATTAGCTTAAGCAAAAAAAAACAAAAAAAACAAGAAGAAGAAGAATTATTAGCTCACAGAAAAACTGGTTCAGAAGGCCCTGAGGTCAAGCTCAATCAAGCCAGATCCAGGGCCTAAACCTCCAGGACTTTTCGTCTCTATTATTTGTCTCCACTTGGCTACACTCGGCATGCTATCTATGCCTCTCCACCTAGAGGAGTCACGAAAGTGACCACAGTCATCCCCAGCTTTATGTTATCCCGGATGAGCAAACAAGGAAAAAGGAGAGCTTCAGTCCCCCCAGTTCCTCTCTCTTTCTCTCTCTTACACACACTGTATACTCTGGCCATGATTGGATCATGTTTCCACCTCTGTGTGTCCAGCCAATGCTACAGTAAGATGGGTCCAGTCCCATGCCAACCCTGGAAGTGGGATGTATATTTATGAGACCCATTATGCATACACACACACACACATATACACACAGCCAAATGGATTTGAGGAAAAACGGATCCACAAGAAAAAGATGCTGGCAGAAAAAAACAACGTACCACTACAACATGAGACAGAATCCCTGTATATTTGTACACCCTACTCCCACAGCTAAGAAACTTATAAGGATAACAGAAAGTTTTTAGAAATAAGCAATGCTTGACTTATATTTTTCAAAATCACTACTCTATAATTTCAAGAAATGTCTGGGTTGAGCGAGTGGAGTAAACTGACGCTAGGAAATCACCTCTTACGAACCCCTATCTGACTATTCAAGAGAGAAGAAAGAAATTCAAATTGTCAGTAGTCAAATTATTATAAAAGTAAAATAAGGTTGAGTTAGGCAATTCATGGGATAATGTATTCAGGATATAAACAAGAAAACGCTGCATAGATAGGTAGAATGTGGTCCTACTTAGTAGCAATTATATTTTTCTTCCAATAACATTGGAAACCAGCATTTCTAGATTAGTATAGCTAAAGGAGAGTCATAGCTGTCTCTTAATTCATTCTCGAAATGCAAGTCTCCAAATCAATGGGCTGAGAATGGGGGCCATTCTCACGTCACCAACTCCAGCTGCACTGTAGGTGCCCCGCTCATATCTCCTCACCATTACCATGTCAGCTCATGGTGCCTGACTTCCACTTTCTTCAGCCACCTAAGCACACTTTGTCCACCCATGCAGTCAGGCCAAAAGTGTGAAAATATTAACAGCTCATCAATGTTCAACTATTGACTTACAGGAGTTGGTCGTGGTGACTCTGGGGGGTGAGTGGAACACTGTTTTCCGGAGTAGGCTTCAGCTCCAGCTGCCCATGGTGGAGGCTGGCTTGTAACAGACTCTTTACCAGCTGCCTTCATCTTCTCTCACATCTCACTCACCTGTTGGTGTTTCCTTCACCTGCCAAACAACCTGCTTTTATTTGAATCTTTATCTCAGGATCTGCTTTTAAGACAAGAGAGAAAAAAGAATTGAAAAGGCGTGTATTGAGCAAGCCATTCATGCTTTTCCTGCACTTTGAAGTACAGAGCTTATTCCAGCAAGGTCCCATGTAACCAGAAATCATTCTTTTGCTAACTTTAAGAAACTAGAGGACCTAGGTGCACAAAAATGAGAGAAAAGGGCCTGTGAACATATGCACTTGAGTCCCACATGGATGTATTTAGTCAGCCTTGGGACTGCCTCCAAAACCAAAATGTAAAACAACATAAAATGAAGTTAGTGATGGAATAACCAAGGTCGACTGACCTCTTGTGTCCACCCTCCATCTTTCTGAGTTTAAATGAGTAGATGATTGGAAGCAAATGAGTGTGGGAGGGAGGGGAATGGAAGGAGAGAGGAGGCAGACACATTTAATACGTGGCCTCAAACTACTACACTGCTTCGTTTCCCGATTTCCTCCTTTGTGTCTATGCACTTTAATCAACCTCAAGGTGTGCACCCTTGGGGAGCTGACACACATAATCATCACCTACAGAATTCATAGATTATATTCTATATGGTCTGATTGAGATGGCAGGAATCCCAACAATACTTTTTTTAAAAAAATGTTACTTAACTGGTTAAAAGAAAAAAAACTTTTGAAAGTGTAAGCTCTAGGTGTTCAGAAAACTTATTCTAACAGATCCTTCCCCCAGAGTCATATAACCTATTGGCATATAAAATATTGTGCTCTAAGATACTTTCCTTTCCATTTCTTTTTTTTTTTTTTTTTTTCAGAGTCTCACTCTGCTGCCCAGGCTGGAGGGCAGTTGCACAATCTTGGCTCACTGCAACCTCCACCTCCTGGGTTTAAACAATTCTCCTGCCTCAGCCTCCAGAGTAGCTGGAATTACAGGTGTGCGCCATCAAACCCAGCTGATTTTTGTGTTTTCAGTAGAGACACGATTTCACCATGTTGGCCGGGCTGGTTTCAAACTCGCAACCTAAGGTAATCCGCCTGCCTCGGCCTCCCAAAGTGCTGAGATTATAGGTGTGAGCCATCGTGCCCAGCCCACCCTTCCATTTCTTAACTATATATTCTAAAAGCAAGTTATAAAGCCCTTGTGTTTCACATATAAGAAGTATTCATTTACATGATGTTTGGCAAGTATGCTACTAAGTGAGCAATTTAAAGACAGAAGGTATTTTACTCACAATTGCTCATAGATATTTGGTATAAATATAAATATACAAATAAAAGCTTACAAATATTGTACTCCTGTCACACATAATCACAGACTTTAAAATATCAATTTACCTTAACAGTCCAAGCAGCTCATGAAAATTCATTGTCAGGGAAGAACCGAAATGAGTCAAGAGAACAATGTGTTATTTTTCTTTTACTTCAATTATCTTTACATAATTTCTAATTTTGTGATGAGACATTTTGGAATATTTCTTTCTTAAAAATCTACTGATTGCTTCAATACCTGCCAGAGGTTCTGTGGGGTATTTACGGAGTATGTAGGAAAGTGTAGTTCTAGTAAATTCGTTGTAAATCTTAACCTGCAAATTGAATTATTTACTATGAAATAAGTAATTTTTATTTTTTGGGAACTTGACAGTCTTCAAAGCTGTGATACTCCAGAGACACTTCACACTTAAGGAAGAGGATATTTCATCCAAGTGTCAATAGCTATAACGCCAAGGATCCAGGACACCTGTGCTTCTCTCTGGACATACCTTTAGGTGTGGTGGTTTAGAAGTCACAGTGCTGCAACACAGCTGAAAACGATCTGCCACATAACAACATTTAAAATTATACCATCAGTTCCCCTAAAACACAGTGTCCCCGTGGGGATTCTCTGACTATGTTTCCATCAGAAGGTGATAAACTTAAGGACTGGTTGTCTAAGAACATACCTAAAGAGACCCCCAAAAAACAGAGATTGGAAAGAGTATAGGACAAAGTTACCTAGTTACAAGGATGGGCTGTTGTGGCTTCTGAAATTCTGATGATCCCTCATTGCCATGACCCTATCATGCATTTTTATGCCTTTTGTTTTGTGGCAGATGAATTCATCTGGTTTACATGCATTCTGGTTCAGTTTACCATTATTTATAGGATCAAGAGACTGTTGCTATGATGACTCCAACACAAGTAAAGGAAGAGCCAAAGGGTTAGTTTTGCCTCCATCTCCGAACAAAGGACTAAATGTTTCCCTCTTCGACTAATTGTTGTGGTGACTTCTCAGTTCTATGAATATAGACCTGAAAATCCTAAACAAAATGTTAGCGAGTCAAATCCAAAAATATGCAAAAACAGATAATACACAGCAGCAATTATAGTCTTAGGTCTCTACCTAAGAGAATGAAAACATATGCTCATAAAAAGACTTTTATATGAACATTAATATTAATATTATAACAGCCCAAAGTGGAAACAGCCCAAATGTCTATCCACAGGCAAATGGATACTGAAGTTGTATCATTTATACAATGGAATACCACTCAGCAATAAGAAGGAACAAAGTACAGATACACAAAATAAACATGGATAAATTTCACAGACATTTTTCTGGGCAAAAGTGGCCTGGCATTAAAAAAGTGCATACTGTATGATTCCACTTATGTGAAATTCTAGAATAGTTAAAACACATCTATGGTGATTTTTTTTTTCTAAACCAGTGTTGGCCAGGCACAGTGGCTCACACCTATAATCCCAGCACTTTGGGAGGCCGAGGCGGGCAGATCACCCTAGGTCGGGAGTTTGAGACCAGCCTGGCCAACATGGCGAAACCCTGTCTCTGCAAAAATACAAAAATTAACCAGGTGTGGTGGCATACCCCTGTAGTCCCAGCTACTTAGGAGGCTGAGGAAGAAGGATCCCATGAACCTGGGAGGCAGAGGTTGCAGTGAGTGGAGATCACGCCACTGCACTCCATCCTGGACGACAGAGCAAAACTCCGTCTCAAAAAAAAAAAAAAAAAAAAAAAAAAACAGAAAAACAGTGTTTCAGTGATGTGTGGGGTGAGGGAGACTGCAAAGTGGCAAAAGTGAATTTTGGAGAGAGGGCACTCTTCTATATCTTAATTTTTACGGCAATGACATTGGCGTATAGTTTTGTCAAAAGTCATAACCTATATACTTCAAATATGAGAATTTTACCATAGATTATGCCTTAAGAAGCTTATTTAAAGAAAGAATATTATTGAAAAGGGATGAATAGGCAATATCTTTTTACAGAAAGGTTTTTTGTTTCAATTTCCATGATTCCACTCTCTGACCACCACCTTCCTTCTTTCCTACTCACTCCTTACATTACCAGTGCAACAACTCTTTGTCCCCAGTGAGCTCTCCAGCTTTTCACTCTCCCTGACCTACCTCCTTTTATCCCTTATCCCACTTAAATTTCATGGTCTGTAAATCACTCCTTTGCATCCCTCACCGTCCTTGCTCTGCACTTCAATTGGATAGACCACTTCCCAGATTAAATCACTCTACCTACTCCACCTGAAGCTGATCAGCTGAATGTGGTTGAAGAAAACCACACAACCAGGCTGAAAGGACACATTCTAAATGCACGATCACCAACCCTGGGAGGTCCCCACTGCTGCCGACGTTGCTACATTTAACGCTCTGCCCTGCTTTTCTCAACAACGTCATCTCTTTTTGGATATCCAAAACTCAAATCTCTTTCTACTTCTTCACTTTGAACGAAAGTTTCCTACTTTTTGCTTAAGAAAATAGAAGAGATCAGAGGAGAACTTCTAAGCACACACCCAACATGAAATCTCTACCTGCATCTCTGCCTTCATACACTTGCTACACGCAACTGATTGTGCACCTACTTAATGCCCACCCCTTTGCTTGTGGACCTGCCAAAGACATCACTCCAGCAATTGTCCTCTATCCTTCAACATCAGACTTTTCACCTCTTCTAAATATCTCCAATTGCATATAAACACACTTCAATATCTTCCATCATTAAGAAAAACACCTTCCCTTGACTTCAGATCCCATTGCATTTCCCGGTTCCCCTTCATAGAAACACTCCTGGGCCCAGCACGGTGGCTCACGCTTGTAATCCCAGCACTTTGGGAGGCCAAGGCAGGCGGATCATGAGTTCAAGAGATCTAGACCATCCTGGCCAACATGGTGAAACTCTGGCTCTACTAAAAATACCAAAATTAGCTGGGCATGGTGGCATGTACCTGTAGTCCCAGCTACTTGGGAGACTGAGGCAGGAGAATCACTTGAACCCGGGAGGCGGAAGGAGACGAGATCGCACCACTGCACTCCAGCCTGGGCAACAGAGCGAGACTCCATCTCAAAAACAAACAAACAAAAAAAGAAATACTCATCCACTTTGGGAGGCCGAGGCGGGCAGATCATGAGGTCAGGAGATCGAGACCACGGTGAAACCCGTCTCTACTAAAAATACAAAAAAAAAAAAATTAGCACGGCGTGGTGGCGGGCGCCTGTAGTCCCAGCTACTCGGGAGGCTGAGGCAGGAGAATGGCGTGAACCCGGGAGGCGGAGCTTGCAGTGAGCCGAGATTGCGCCACTGCACTCCAGCCTGGGCGACACAGCGAGACCCTGTCTCAAAAAAAAAAGAAATACTCCTCAAAAAAATTTTCTGTAATTGCCATGTCTAATTTCTCACCTCCTTTTCTCTCTTGACCCACACCAGTGAGGGCTCTTTTTCATCAGTACACTAAAATTGCTCTTGTCAAGGTCACAGTGCCCTCCACGTAGCCAACTCTATGGCTTTTTCTCAACTTCAAAGTCACAACTGATCACTTTCTTTCTTTGGCCGCCTGAATCTCTCTCTCGGCTCTTCTCCTACTTCTATAGCCACTCTTTTCCAGTTTCCTTTTCTACTCTTTTAAAAATTTCTCAACTTCTAAACTTGGGAGTGTTCCTGGGCTCAACCATGGGACCTATTTTCTCTTTATTAATTCACTGGAAGATCCCCTCCCACCCCATGGCTTTCTATTCCATGTGGACACTGTTTACTTTCATGTTTCTCTCCAGCCCCTGAACACCAGACTGTAGAGTCAACTGCCTAATGGACATCCGCACAAGCTAACATGTCTACAATCAGAACTTTAAGTTCCCACCCAAACTCACCTCTCTCCCAGTTTTCCCCATATTAGGAAAGGATGATTCCATTATACCAGCTTCTCAAGCCAGAAACCTTGATGTTATCTCAGGTAGGAATTGATTTCAGTTGAGATCAGAAAACCCAAATCACTTGAACAATCATATTGCTTTTCTCAAGCAGTCTGTAAGTAGACAGTTCCTGGAATCTTTTTTAGTGGCTCAAGAACATTAAGACTAAAGACTGTGTAATTATTTTGGCTTTCTCCTCATGGTTACAACATGGCTTCCATATTCAGTTGGGAGATGTAATTTTTAACTTGCCACCCCCAACAAATTCAGGATTCTACCAGTAAGGGGAAAAAAGAAGACGCATCTAGAAGTATCTGCCATATTATCTTTAGCTCCTCTTTTTCCCGGGTACCTCGCATCCTATCGGTTAATAATCTAGACTCTACCTTCAAAATACACCCATCATTCAATCGTCCTCACCACCACATCCTGGTCTGAGCTACCATAAACTCTCACCTGGATTACTACTGCATTTTCACCTCCTAACTGGTCTCCCTGCTTCATTGTTTTTCACCCACTATTTATTCTTAACAAAGCAATCAAAATAATATCTAATTCTATTATGTCACTCCTTGGCCCAAAATGCTCCTATGGCTTCCCATCCCAGTCAGAGTAAAAGCCAAAGTTCCCACTTTTTTTTCTTTTTTTTTTTTTTTTTTTCCGAGACAGAGTCTTGCTCTGTTGCCCAGGCTGGAGTGCAGTGGCACAATCTCAGCTCAATGCAACCTCCACCTCCTGGGTTCAAGCGATTCTCCTGCCTCAGCCTCCCCAGTCGCTGGGATCACAGGTACACACCGCAGCACCCAGCTGATTTTTGTATTTTTAGTACAGACAGGATTTCCCCATGTTGACCAGGCTGGTCTTGAACCCCTGATCTCAGGTTATCCACCCACCTCGGCCTCCCAAAGTGCTGGGATTACAGGCATGAGCCACCGCATCTGGCCCCTTACATTGTTTTAAAAGGACCTGAATGATCTGTTGCTCCTGTTACCTTTGTGAATTCATCTTCTGCTAATCCCCTCTTGCCCAATCTACTTAAGCCACATTCACTTTCTTGCTGTTTTTCAAACATTCCAAGACTCTTTAACCTCAGAGCCTTTGCATCTGCAGAGTCTTCTGCCTGGAATGCTCTTCCCTTCACGGGGCCCATGTGATGTGCTCTCTCACTTCCTTCAGGTTTATGCTCAGGCACCACCTTATCACCCCATAGAAAATAGCAGTCTGCCTCCATCACCATCCCCTTTCTTTGCTTTATCCTTTGTATCACTTTCCACTAGCCACAAATAAAATGTTTATGTGATGGTTAGTGTATTGTCTGTCTCCACTAACTAAAATGTAAACTGCGTAAGAGCAGGGACTTAGTTTTATTCGCAGCTGAAATTCCTGTCACCAAGACAGTACTTGGCTCATAACAGCTACTCGATAAATATTTGTTGAATTTGAGTGAAATTTTTCCAATTCTTGATCAGAACTCACATATCTTTGGAGAAACTTTGCACCATTCCCGCAGGGAAAAATTTTTTTTCCCCTTCCCACAATGGCAAGGGAAATCTTCCCATGAAGTCTAAATCAAACCAATCCTCTATCCTCCTCTGGATTAATGACTCTACTCACCATAGCCACTGGGAGAATCAAGGTCTATGAACTATATCCTGCCCTTCAGGGAATATAACCCTTTTTCCAAAGCCTCTGCGCTTATGTTTTCAGTGACTTGGGGAGTGCTTGAATAGATCAGAGCATCTGCATCTCTGCTGTGCAACCCCTACTAATAACAAGCCCTGAAATTATGGTCTACCATTGTAGCAAACCAGAGCTACCCTAGAGCATCCAACTTAGTACTAACAAGATCTAGTGTGAGGAGGTTATCATCAGTCTATACCTTCTATACCTGCAAGAATCTCATATATAGATATACACACTCATACATATACATACAGTCATGCACTGTATTATACTATATTGGCCAATGATGGACAGCATATATGATAGTTGTCCTGTAAGATTGTAATACCATATTTTTACTGTACTTTTTCTATGTTCAGATATGTTTTACCATTATGTTACAATTGTCTGCAGTACTCAGCACAATCATGTGCTGTACATGTGTTTGTGGCCTAGGAGCAATGGTTTACCATATAACCTAGGTGTGTAGACTATACTAGACTATACTATGTAGTATAGTCTAGTACTATCTAGTACACTGTATGATGATCACGCAACAACAAAATCACCTAATGACACATTTCACAGGATGCATCCCAATCATTAAGTCACACATGACTGTATAAACATACACATACACACAAACACTATGCATGCACACACATACACATTTATATTCCTTAAATTTATTTTTGATAGCTTCTCTGGTACTTACCGACACCAGTGAATGGGGCATCCAGCCTTACCTTGGATAGGTCCTAAGTAGGAAATGCAATCAAATCCTCCTTAGTCAGTGCAGCCTCTATGCCTTCTGAGCTAGTACTGGAACATTACATGGAAGGCTTATTGTCTTCTCATTAAGGCAACACAGAAGCCCCACTAGTAGGCCCACTAGCACTTAAACTGTCTTTCCACAGGCTCCTCTCTCTCCCCAAACCCCATTCCATCATCTCCATTCTGCCACAGGAGGCCATCTTGTCTGTTTAATGCCCTGTAGTCAGGTCAGTGGGAGGCTCAACAACATGTCTGCTCTACTCTCTGAAGCCCTAAAATGTGTTTAATGAGTGAGAGTTTTTAGGACAAGACTGATGGGTGATGGGAGACAGATTTAATAAGTCTATTCTCACATCGTGCTGGAAAACTTGTCTACCCCACACTCACTATCCTGGTGCTTGTCAGGTGACAGTTTTTACCATGGCTCTACAGAATGATTTTGCAATTTAATTTTGCAGGAGAAAAAAGTTAATGATGCAAGAAAATGTTCACAATGTATTATTAAATGAAAAGAGCAGATTACAAAAGTACAGTATGCTCCCAGTGGCTCATATACATAGATACGTGGGATGACATAAATAAAAGTGCTTTTTCTCTGGGCAGTGGGCTTATGGGTTGACTTGTTTAGCTTTTCTCTGAGTGTTTATGCCCATGCACTTCTTAATGTCTTTCAGTTTCTCTATAAAAGGCATTTATTACTTTTATAATCAGAAAAAAAACTGCTAGAAGCATTTTTTCTCTTTAGTTTTGTTCCCACTATGCATAATGGTAAGAAAAGAGCAAATAAAAAAATAAAGAATAAGTCCAGGTGCGGTGGCTCACACCTGTGATCTCAGCACTTTGGGAGGTCAAGGTGGGAGAATCGCTTGAGGCCAGGAGTTCAAAACCATCCTAGTCAACATAGTAAGAGCCCATCTCTACAAAAAAAGAAAAGATAAAAAAGAAATTAAAAAGAAATAGAGAATAACAGATTTCATCATATAACCAGGACTCTGGATTACCAAGTGTCAGAAACCCAGTCAAATAAGCTTAATTGAAATCGCCCAGGCACAGCTGGACTAGAGGCTCAAAAAATGTTATTAAGGGTCTTAGGCCCTCCATCTCTCCTCTGTGCCCATTCTCTTTGTTTGTTGCCTCCTTTCCTCCTACAATAAGCAACTTCTTCCAAATAGCTAGGGAGAATAGTTACATTGTCCTTAGAGCTTGCAATCCCTGTGGACTAGAGAATCTCTCAGAGTCCACATATCAAATCCCAGCAAAGACTCTGATGTGCCCTGCTTGGATCACGTGCCCATATGTGAACGCGGGACAGGAAGGGGAGTATTCTGATTGCCCAGGGCTGGGTCACCTGCCTTCCTTGGGGCAATGGGGAAACAGAGTGGAAGAACCTGGTGCTAGTCCCATGCTAAGGGTTCCCCATGATAAAGAAGGATTCCAAAAATAGAAGGGAAATAGTGTACTAGCTAGACAAAAGCAATAGTCTTCTACTCTGCTTGTTTTTAAAGTGTTACTTTGCTAAATTATTCTTTGATATCAAATTTAGGTGTTTCTTAGTATTGCTCTAGTTTTAAACATTAAAATTATTTCTCCCTTTTTTATAGAAAGCATCTACTTATAAATATCGAAATGACTTTACCTTTACTCAGCTGAGATTGCTTTAACACATTTACTGGATCTTTAATCAATTCCAGATTATAGCCATTATATTGTATTCATTCTTTCTTCCTTTCTTGAGGCCAGGAATTCCATATGAAAATTTCCCTAGCTTTATAACAAACAAAAATCTTACAAGTTATCCCAAAAGCTGTGTCTAGAAAAAAAGAGTATATCCTCTTCTTCCTGTTTCAGTCAGGGTTTTAAGTGGCTTAAATGAAAAAGGAATTAAAGGCTGGCAGGTAGCTCACAGACGCTCTGAGAGAGCTTGAGAACAAGGCTTGGATGCTGGGCAGTCAGGAACAATGTCCAATTACTCTGCAGGAGCCACTACAACCAAAACACCCCTGCTGCATGGTCAGCATCCGTACCATGACTTGCACAAATGCTGCTCAGCTCACGTGGGAATTCTCAGGATCGGATGCCAGAAACTCCGGCACCGATGATTCTGAAGAGCCCCAACATCTTTGTTGCCAACCTTGCCGAAGGACAAATTCTACATGCCTCCTTTCTCCTTTTGTTCACTTCTGAATGAAACCCACATGCAAGTGCATCGGATTGGTAGAATCCAGGATACACACCTATGACCCCAAGGGAAGCTGGGAAAGAGAGATTCCTGCTGCAACCTGGGGAAGTGGGACTCCTACGATAGGAAATTTTCCAAGCATTAAAAGAGCATTCAAGGGGTGCTGGGCAATCAAGAATATCCACAATAACAAGTGTCCACAATAAGCCCTTAAAGGAGAGATTTCTCTCTGTTAGTGCTTCCCCTATCTTATAGTTGCAAAAAATACTCAGAAGATCAACTGAAAGGTGGAAGTGCTGATACCTATCAAGCACTGCAGAGTGTGCCACTTCATGGAGGAATATGTTACTGATACCAGAATAATGCAGTTGTTTCTTATTTCTCCATATCCCAAATTCAGTAGGACCTAACCTGGAATCCCAACTTTAAGACAATAAAGGTACTCATATACATGAAAAACATTTTGCACAAATCATTTACCTGTACCAAAATTCAACCATAATGCCAAAATCAGTTATATCTTAAAATTAGATTAATCTCTTGACCTTTTAATAAGTGAAACAGTCTGATCACTTGAGTTTCAAGGAATAATTGTGGCTTTTATAGCTATTCTCATATTTACAAAATAGCATAATAATATTAACTTTCAATATGATCACTTCCATTCCTTTATATAAATGCCAAGATTTACTGTTGTCTGCTAGGATACATACCTATTTCTGTCTGTACCTGTTGACAGTGCAAATAATAAAACTTATTTTCTTCACTTTTCTGTGTCAACAGCAGTTGTATAAATCATGTGAGTCTTTGAATCTCCCACTAAAATATAGAAAATTGACTTTATTTATCCCTTTTGTGTTAAACTGTTTTTAAATGCCTTTTTTGGTAGAATGTCTGCATTGTTTTGCTCATACTCCAGCTTTGGTGGCCATGCAGACATGGTTCACACTGCCACCTGGTGTGGCTGGGACAAACTTTCTTCAGCTCTCTGGAAGCTACCAGAGCAGAGTCGACACACTGACCCGGCATTACTGTCATGCCACAGGCTGACTTTTGTTCTTGAAGAATCTGTGGATCTACATAAAATGAGGAGAGAGGTTTGGATCAACAGCAAACACAAATTATTTTATAGAGGAAGGGGAAATCATAAGTCTTTAGCATTTTAATTCAGCAAATGTTTACTTAGGGCTCACCGAACTTAAGGTCTGTACTTTGTGCCATCAGTGACACAAGAATGAGGACGGGACAATCCCTGCCCTAGAGTATCCAGTAATTAAAGGCAGAATATAACACGAGGTAAGCATGCAATATGCTTTAGAGGGGAAGAGATCACGAAAAATAACATAAAAGCAAACAAACAAACAAAACCCAAAAATAGACCTCTTAGTGGGAGTGGCATTTGGGATAACCTTAAAAGAAGTTTGGAACTTTGCAGGCAGAGATAAGGGAATTGAGGAGGATGGGGAAAAATATATACCAATAATAATAAATTAAAGCCTCTAGTTTAAAAATGAGTCTTATTTTACTTTTCTCTTATTTTATCAGCAAAATATACAAGAGAAAACTTATAATTTTCACAGTCATTTGTGATTAGGATTTGATTATTAGAAAGGTGAAATATATTTAATTTGCAATACTAAAACAATTACATTTTTCTTTCCTTAAAAAGTGAATCATGAATGATAAAGTTTGGTAGCATTTCTGCTACTAAGTTTTCTTCAAATCATTTTTGCCTCAAAAAAACAAAAGACAAAAAACTCACCCAAATAAATTTTCCAAAATTTTATTAAGATAGGATGATGTATAACTTTAAATAAGTTCTATTAAATATTCATATTATCATTATCACATAACACATATTACATAAATATATATTACATATTCACCAGACATAAAAGAATAGTTGTTCACTTTTCAAGCTTTTTTAAAAAGATGTTCAGATAATCTATGTGACCGCTGATTCTTAGAAATTCAGCAAATCAACATCATCCTCTTTTTTATTCTTACGGTAAAATTAATGCTTTGATATTGTACTTTTTTTATCAACATCTTCAATGGTGATTTCAATTATTTGAATTTTAGTCTAGACAGGGCTATCATGCACCCTTGAATTTAAATTTTGCCTTTATCAAATATGTTACTGGCATGTTTTTCTTCGGATTCAGGGTATATACGTAAATTTTATAAATGTTCAATGTAACAAGAAATAAAGCAATAACCTTTGAATTTTTATTAGAATAGTCTTTGAATATATACTGCTGTGGTCTGAATGTCTCCCCAAAATACATATTTTGAAATCTTAACACCCAAGGTGATGGTATTAGCAGGTTGGGGTCTTTGGAAGGTGATAAGGTCATAAGGATGGAGCCCTCAAGAATGGGATTAGTGCCCTATCAAAAAGACCTGAGGGAGCTTGGCTGCTCTTTTCACCATGTGAAGACACAGCTGAAAGGCACAATCTGTGAACCAGAAAGCCCTTACAAGACACTGAATCCAGCAGTGCCTTGGACTTCCCAGCCTCCAGAACTAGGAGTAAAAAATTTCTGTTGTTTATAAGCCATTCAGTTTATATTTGGTTATAGCAGCCTGAATGGACTAAAACACATACACATTCATCTTGCAAAAATAATGATTTATGTAAGTTGAATAATTACCTATGCAAAATGCTTTTTAAATATAAAACTCTATCAACCCATAACTTTATTTATTTATTTATTTTTGAGACAGGTCTCACTCTGTCACCCAGGCTGGAGTGCAGTGATGCCATCACGGCTCACTACAGCCTCAACCTCACAGGCTCAAGGGATCCTCCTGCCTCAGCTACCCAAGTAACAGGGACTACAGGCATGCATCACAAGGCCCGGTTACTTTTTGTATTTTTTTTTTTTTTTTTTTTTTTTTTTGTAGAGATGGGGTTTCACCGTGTTGCCCAGGCTGGTCTCAAACTCCTTGGCTCAAGCTATCTGTCCACCCTGGCTTCCCAAAGTGCTGGAATTACAGGTGGAGCCACTGCACCCCACTCAACCCATAACTTTAAAAAATGTTTTCTTTTTTTATATTAACAAAATCTATTTAATTGTTAAACGGACATGATCGAGCTTGTTTTACACAAGTGTTAAGATTCTTTATCTTTGTATCCTGATGAATAAAAATGACATGAGGAGGAATGCAAAATCTCATTTTTAAATGTCATTTCTCTTTTGGTGCATTTCTAGAATATGAATAACCTTTATTTGATCTGGTTTTATGTATTTGTTTTTTTTCTTATTAGTAAAAATTCTAAAGGGCAAACAACACTGTATAAAGTAATACTTATAATTTAGAGATACATGCACAATATAGTATTGTAATATAAAATAACAGTTAATATTGCATCACAGATCTCCAAGTATTTTCTTTTTTTTTTTTTTGAGACAGAGTCTCACTCTGTCGCCCAGGCTGGAGTGCAGTGGCGCAATCTCGGCTCACTGCAAGCTCCGCCTCCTGGGTTCACGCCATTCTCCTGCCTCAGCCTCCCTAGCAGCTGTGACTACAGGCACACGCAGCCACGCCTGGCTAATTTTTGTATTTTTAGCAGAGATGGGGTTTCACTGTGTTAGCCAGGATGGTCTCAATCTCCTGACCTTGTGATCTGCCCGCCTCGGCCTCCCAAAGTGCTGGGATTACAGGTGTGAGCCACCACACCCGGCCTCTCCAAGTATTTTCAAACCAAATTTTTATTATTAGTATAACCTTCTGGTCCTATGGTTTAACTATGCAGAACTTTGTATCAACTATTATAGTAGCAAAATATATGTGAAATGGGCTAGCACATTGCTTGATGGATAGCAACCACCCAAGTACTTTTTGGACTGAGTACCCAAAAAAATGTAAGAAAGTCCTCTGCCCTTTCTCTGGAAATTACATCTGTTTTTCCTATAGCATTTTATTATTTTCTAGGAAGAAACTCAAACTTAAATTGCTCACTCAAGATTCACATGTGGCATGACTGGCGGGTCTGTGAGGTACATCATCAACAGTAACAGAGTTAAAACTTGTGAAGCAGGCTGGGTGTGGTGGCTCACACCTATAATCCCAGTGCTTTGGGAGGCCGAGGTGGGCGGATCACTTGAGGTCAGGAGATGGAGACCAGCCTGGCCAACATGGCGAAACTCCGTCTCTACTAAAAATACAAAAAAATTATCTGGGCGTGGTGGTACTCGCCTGTAATTCCAGCTACTCAGGAGGCTGAGGCAGGAGAATCACTTGCAGAGGTTGCAGTGAGCCAAGATTGAGCCATTGTGCTCCAGCCTGGGCGACAGAGGGAGACTCACGCCTGTAATCCCAGCACTTTGGGAGGCCAAGGCGGGCAGATCACCTGAGGTCAGCAGTTTGTAACCAGCCTGGCCAATATGGACAAATCCATCTCTACTAAAAATACAAAAATTAGCTAGGCGTGGTGATGGGTGCCTGCAATCCCAGCTACCTGGGAGGCTGAGGCAGAATTGCTTGAACCTGGGAGGTGGAGGTTGCAGTGAGCCGAGATCCTGCCACTGCACTCCAGCCTGGATGACAGAGCGAAACTCCGTCTCAAAAAAAAAAGTTGTGAAGCAGTTATGTGCACTCTAGCAGGTACATGACCTCTACATATCTCAAGACTCAAGAGTCTTTTTCTAGAAAGATATTTAAAGGAGTGTTAAGGCAGTGCAGGCACTAAAAGACTTATCAAGGGCAAAGGGCCAACATGAAAAAAGAAAGGAAATTTTGAGTATTGCTCTTAGTGCACTCTGTGTGTGGCTTGTGCCAAGATTCCATAAATGAATCCCTAAATGAGAACAAATGTAAGCAACTGAGAATCGGTTAAGGTAACATTAGTTAGCTGCTATAACAAACAGACCTCAAATATTCAGCAACTTGTCACAGTAGAAATGTAATTTTTAAAATTGTGGTAATATACACATAATACAATGATACAATTTATCATTTTAATTATTTTTTTTTTTTTTTTATTTTTGAGACGGAGTCTCGCTCTGTCGCCCAGGCTGGAGTGCAGTGGCGGGATCTCGGCTCACTGCAAGCTCCGCCTCCCGGGTTCACGCCATTCTCCTGCCTCAGCCTCCCAAGTAGCTGGGACTACAGGCGCCCGCCACTACGCCCGGCTAATTTTTTGTATTTTTAGTAGAGACGGGGTTTCACCGTTTTAGCCGGGATGGTCTCGATCTCCTCATTTTAATTATTTTTAAGTATACAGAAAATGTATTTCTTCTTTTTTTTTTTTTGAGACAGATTCTTACTCTGTCGCCCAGGCTGAAGTGCAGTGGCATGATCTCAGCTCACTGCAACCTCTGCCTCCTGGGTTCAAGCAATTCTCCTGCCTCAGCCTCCCAAGTAGCTGGGATTACAGGCTCGCGCTGCCACACTTGGCTAATTTTTTGTATTTTAGTAGAGATGGGGTTTCCTTGTGTTGCCAAGGCTGGTCACAAACTCCTGAGCTCAGGCAATCTGCCCACCTCAGCCTCCCAAAGTCCTGGGATTACAGGCGTGAGCCACCCTGCGCAGGCCAGAAAATGTATTTCTTCCTCCCAGAACAGTGCAAGGTGGATGTCCTGGCTCCTTCTGTCCCATATTCTGACATTCCTTGAGGTATTAGAGCTGGCAGAAGAGGAAAAAGAGAATGTAAAGGAGACAAACCCCACTTCTTAAACTCCTTGGCCCAGAAATGAGACACATCAGCTCTGTTCACATGGGTGTGAGCTAGTCCTATGACTCCACTAAATGCAAAGGTGGGGTACAGGGGCTCAGAATTTTTTTTTAATGTGTGTGTGGCTACTTCTTGGCACTTATTCTACATAATGGAATTTTAGCAGACAGCTAGTCATCTCTGCAAAAAGCTTCTTCACTAAATTCTCCCTGCTCACTGGCAACACCAGGAAGCATGACTTTGGAGCCCAGGTAGAAATATAAGACAAAAGACATAAAAAGATCCTTTCCACTTCAGTAGAGAACCTATTGGTGCTTTGAAGTCTTTATCACATCAATGCCACCACCAGTGCCTGCATCAGCAGAGTGGAACACTAGCAACCTTGCCAACCAGAGGTGCTAATACATTCAGCAAAGACATCAGATCTTCCACTTCCATACAAGACTTCCAGCAGTGCTACCTTCAGCAGATGAGAGAGAGCAGCGGCACTTTTTGTGGGAGTGGGAGGTGACAGCACCTTTGACAGGCACCAGCAGAGTCTCTGTAGGTATCTGAGGTGAGCAGCAGATCATCTGAGAAGGGGGCGATCCTGAAGGAAAGGGAAAATATGGCAAGCTTATCATGGTACCTGAGAAGATGCTCTGTGTGACTATTCATTTATATGAACCCCTATGATTAACAGGAATTAGTTAGGAGTAAGGCTGTGATCATTCATTTTATGTATCAACTTGACTGGGACATGGAGTGCCCAGATATTTGGTTAAACATTATTCTGGGTGAGTTTCTGAGGGTTTCTGGAAGAGTTAACATTTGAGTCAGCTGACTTAGTCTCAGCTTGCCCTTCCCAATGTGGGTGGGCCTCATCTGATCCTTTAGAGACCTGAATAGAACAAAAGGGAGAATTCATTCTCTCTGCCTGACTGTTTTCAAGCTGGAACATCAGTCTTCTCCTGCACTTGGACTGGACACCACAGGATCTCTTGGGTCTCCAGCTTGCAGATGGCAGACTGTAAAGTTTCTCAGCCTCCATAATTGCATGAGCCAATGAGCCAATTCCTTATAATAAACACACACGCACACACACACACACACACACAAAATCTGTTTCTCTAGAGAACAAAGGCTTTGTTGTCAGACTGTTGGGAAACAAATAAAAGAAATATTACTGAGACCTTGGCTTTACTCCAAAGCTGCTATCAGCCTGAAACTGCATTTCCGCAAAACCATTTCCCTGGGAGAAAGATCAATGTCTTGAGTAATGGAATAGCACATGGGACGTACCTTAACTTACAGATCTAGGAGCCACAGTAAGCCCTGGAACCCAGTCCCCACCTTCAATTACAGCAGCTTTGAGGCAGGCAATGAATATCTGCTAAAAGCTATGCTCTGGTTTGAATGTGTCCCTGAAGTTCAAGTGTTGAAAACTTAATCCCCCCGACGCAGCAGTGTTGCAGGTGGGGCCTAATAGGAAGTGATTAGGTCATGAGGGATTTGCTCTCAGGAATGGATTGATGTTGTTATTGCTGGTGTAGGTTAGTTATCAAGAGAGTAGCCTTGTTATAAAGGCGAGTTTGGCCCCCTCTTACTCTCCTTCACTCTCTTGCCCTTTCACTTTCCACCATGGGCTAATGCAGCAAGGCTTTCACCAAATGCCCGCCCCTCAATCTTGGACTTCCCAGCCTCCAGAACTGTAATAAATAAAATCACTTTCTTTATAAAATATCCAGGCTGTGGTATTCTGTTGCAGCGACACAAAATGGACTAAGCTAAGCTATGGAGGGAAAAGATGAAATACTAAATGGCTCTCAGGATCACACACCCATCATGAATGAATTAGGATTAGGTGCTACTTAGAAGAGGAGGTGAAAAGCTAAGCTTCAGTGGGGTGTATTTGCTGGCAACTGAAACGAATAGAGGGAACCGGAATGAAGAGAGGTTGAGACTTGAAAAGCCCAGAACCCTGGAGACTTCCAACGTGCACAGCTGTCAGAACTGGACTCTACAATCAGAAGTCTGGAAAAGTGTCTTTGGGGTTTAAGTAGGAAATTGACTTCAACCTCCAGGGAACCAGCTATGAAGCTTGGAGTGTCTAGAGCAAAGTTACAGAGAGGCCTGATTGTGATAGGGTGAACAATGCTGAAGCTTAGAGCCACAGAGAATACTGCTCTTGCTAGAAGCTAGGACCCTAATTGACCTAGGGCAAAGCGGCCCTGTGGCCAGAAGCATCAATATCACACGGGAACTTGTTTGAAATGCACATTCTTGGGCCCAACTTCAAACCTGCTTAATCAGAAACTCCCAAAGTGAAGCCCAGCAACCCATGTCCTAGTAAACTGTCAAGGTGAGGAAAGAAAAAAAAAGGTTGATCTGAGGAATGTAAGCCTTTTCAAATTATTAGGCCCAGAGAGGCATTGAAATGAGACAGCAATCACACCCTACTCCCTTCTTTGAGCTATGTATTCAACTCTTGAAACTGCTTGCTACTGCCACAAGTTGCTATAAATTAACCTAATGCCACACCGGACACTATAAACAACACCCTATAGTTTAACAACGTCTAGCCAATCACCAGTCAATGTTATTTCTGTAAACCAATGAGAATTCCTGACAGATGACTTTGTATCAGCCCACTCCCTGCCCCCTCTTTCTGCCTTTAAAAATCTACTTGTAACTGCTATTATCTGGAATGTATATTCAGGACAACTTGAATCTATGCTTCCAGGTTGCAATCCTCAAACTTGGCCCAAATTAACTCTCTACTTATATTAATTTTGCTTAAGCTTCTTCCTTTTAGGTCAACACAGGTTAGTTTGATGCACACTAGGGAACACAGGAGACCCAAGCAATGTTGGGTGAGGGGAAGTTTACATAGGGGAGGAAAATGGAATGAAACATATGGGGGTAAGAATAACCCATTCCTGCAAGGTAGAAACTGAAAGGACATTCTCAAAGGGACCATCTCTCAGACCTATCCATAAAACTAACTTGTATCAACTCCAGGCTACAGTAAGACTAGTTTGGCACATACACCAGACATATAAGCTGATTCGCAAACTAAAAACTGGAGTCAGTATCTACCACCTCAGAAGAGAACTCAGGAAATTGAAAATGATTAATAATTACTATGAGGGTTTTTGACACTTCAGGAACTTTTGTAACTTATACAAACGGATTGGTTTTTATACTCCAATCTATTTATCATAATTTATTTATGTTTTTTAAAAAATCTTTCAATGAAGAGACAGTCTATTCTTTATTAGGAGCAAACGAAAAAACAGGGAGTCTGGGGAAAGAACATCCTAATATATGAACAGTCTCAGAAAACGAAGAATTCTAAATAAGAGTGATGGGCAGATATTTTTAGAAGAAAGCAAGCTAATTCTATGAAGACTCAAGACAGGAAAGGGACTTCCTTCTAAAAGATCATTCAACAGAAGGCTGTGCTTCTGCAACATAAAATAGTACATTTCTTCATCAAAGTTAAACATAAACATTTATATAAAATAGCACATTTCTTCATCAGAGTTCACCATAAAGGTTTACAAATAAAAATGGACAAATGGATCACATCAAGTTAAAAAGCTTCTGCACAGCAAAGGAAATAATCAACAAAGTGAAGAGACAACCCACAGAATGGTAGGAAATATTTGCAAATTACCCCTCTGACAAGGGATTAATAACCAGAATATATAAGGAGCTCAAACAACTCTATGGGAAAAAAATCTAATAATCTAATCAAAAATAGGCAAAATATTTTAATAGACATCTCTCAAAAGAAGACATGCAGATAGCAAACGGGTATATGAAAAGGTGCTCAACATCACTCATCATCAGAGAAATGCAAATCAAAACCACAAAGATATCATCTCACTCCAGTTAAAATGGCTTATATCCAGAAGATAGACAATAACAAATGCTGGTGAGGATGTGGAGAAAAGGAAGCCTTGTACACTATTAGTGGGAATGTATATTAGTACAACTACTATGGAGAAGAGTTTGGAAGTTCTTCAAAAAAACTAAAACTAGAGCTACCATATGATCCAGCAATCCCACTGCTGGGTATATACCCCAAATAAAGGAAATCAGTATATCAAAGATATATCTGCACTCCCATGTTTGTTGCAGCACTGCTTACAATAGCTGAGATTTGGAAGCAATCTAAATGTCCATCAACAGATGAATGGATAAGGGAAATGTGGTACATATACACAATGAAGTACTATTCAGCCATGAAAAGGAATGAGATCCTATCATTTGAACAAAATGGATGGAACTGGAGATCATTATGCTAAGTGAAATAAGCCAGGCACAGAAAGACAAACATTGCATGTTCTCAATTATCTGTGGGATCTAAAAATCAAAACAATTGAACTCATGGGCATAGAGAATAGAAGGATGATTAGCAGAGGCTGGGAAGGGTATTGAGGAGCTGGCAAGGGAGATGGGGACAGTTAATGGGTACAAAAAAATAGAAAGAATGAATAAGACCTACTATTTGATAGCATAACAGGGTGACTGTGGTCAACAATAACTTAATTGTACATTTAAAAATAACTAGAGTGTAATTGGATTGTTTGTAACACAAAAGATAAATGCTTAATGGGATGGATACCCTATTCTCCATGATGTGATTATTTCACATTGCATGCCTGTATCAAAACATCTCAAGCACCCCATAAATATATATACCTACTATGTACCCATAAAAATTAAAAATTTTAAAAAAAATTTTTAAAGAAAAGTCAATAAGCCATCCTCCCACAGGGTTAACAAGAATTCTAGACAGAAATATAATTATATTAATCAGGCTGCACTTTGGCCCACTTCCTTGTAACTGAAAGTCACTAGATACTGACCATTTGTATCCCCACTGTTCCTATTGATAGAATTGCTGACATTAGAATCATAAAGCTTCTGTTTAAGGATTGCTTAAGAAGTTTTTCAGATCCTGAGTTCCAGGGAAACAGTTCAAAGACCCTCACAGAGGAATCAGCATGAGAATACAGTTTCTTCATCTCCCTATCCCATGACTTCACCTTGCACTCTTCAAGCAATCAACGATCTCCACACTTTGGCCCACTCCAAGACCTTTAAAAACCCTAGCCCCAAACTCCTGGGCAGATGGATTTGAGATTTCCTCCCATCTCCTCATTTGTCTGCCCTACAATCAAATCTCTTTCTCTTCTGCAACCCAGTGTCTCAGCATACTGACTTGCCAAATGCACTGGGCAAAGATGGTCATTTACTTTGGCGATACTAATTCATCCTTTTACCAGTTTCTTATATTGAGTGCTAATGGACGGATTCAGGGCCATTTAAATTGAGTTTTCTGTTTCTTATTGCCACACTTATTCCACTAAGACAAGTCACTTGAAGACCTTGCTAATGAAGATTAGTATCTCCATTAATCAGACTTAAAATAGACCCCAACTGGTGAGCTACAAGATGGAGACTATGACCTGGGATCCCCAATCTCCTTTTACCTATCCTCCCACAGACTGTGAAATGAGAGACACATTAAGACACATGCAGGCTGTGTATAGGGAGACTAATATTTTAACTCACACAGTAACTTGTGTGAGATTGGGAGGTACAGATGCTCCAAAGGGGCTGGGAGCGTGGTAGACACAGGATACGTCTCAGAGCAGAAAACACTTTCTGTTTCCTACTAAGCTCATCATGTCTACTCCTCTCCTGCCACCTCCCCATCAATTCCCTAAATTCAATACACTTTTTGTAGCCTCCTCTAAGTAAATAAGCATATCACCACTCCTACCATATTGCCATTTTTCTTTTTCATCGGCATTCAAGATAAAAATACAGTAAGCTTTTTTCTCATTTAGCATTCTTCCTCCTGTTCATTAAATCTGCTAGCCTTGCAACAGTATAGTTTTCTACCATACTGCAAACAATGCTTGCAAACAATGTTTCAGCCCTATTATGGACTCATAATTGAGCTGACCTTGGAATTATAATACTTTCATTTTTCTGTAGGAAAATGCATTTCAAGTTACAAACAATAGATCTGCAATTAAGCTTTGGGACATGTTTATAGATGTGAGGTGGATTGATTGGCATGACCCCTCACACACAAAAGGCAACTACAAAAAAGCAATTAGAATGGTGCTTTCAAAGACAGGAAACAAATTCTTCCACAACATTTCAAATCTGCTTTAAAATACTAGATCTAGCCTCTCTTCCCTTCCCTCCATTAAAAAAAAAAAATGAAAGGGAAGAATGGAGAAAGGAAAGAAGGGTCATAATTTAGAATGCGTAAATTCTTATTACTGAGCTGAATGACCCTGATCTACAAACTCACCCTCAGAAGCCCTAAAGATCCAAGAATACAGCATCTGTATAGTACTCAAACTCAGTAATATTGTTCTCTGAAAAGCTAATTAATCCTGCCTCTCACACCTCATGCTAGATTGTTTTATCAGGAGAAAGAATGCTAAGGGTAAGGAAGTTTTTATATGGCTAGAAGATGCTATTAGAGAGGTTCAAGAATGAGTGTTTATAATTAGGAAAAGCAGAAGGTTGGTGATGAGGGCCAAGAAATGAACTCCCTTCTGCAATAACAGAGCCAGGCCTGTAGAATCCAGAGAATCAAAATACTCTGAATAAGCCCTTAATCCACAGAAAAGTGGTGAACTGCCTCATATGTAGACCACTGTGTCCATAATAACCATCATTTACTCTGCGTTTTTGCCTTATTGATAGGGTCTTTTTCCTTCTGCTCCGCCTCAGTTAAATGGCTCTCAGAGTGTGAAGAGGTTGTAAAAAGACTGTGTAGTCTAACTACAGGAGTTCTACTTGGGACCTGTATTGTGAGCCACTTGGTCAAAATTAATTTACCATGATCTTTGCACACCTTCCTACTTGATATATAGATTTTTTCTTTTGGATATATAGCTGGGTATATATCCAAAAGAAAATAAATTGTTCTTCCAAAAAGACACCTGTACTCATATGTTTGTCAAAGCACTATTCCCAATAGCAAAAATATGGAATCAATCTAGGTGTCCTTCAATGTTGGGTTGGATAAAGAAAATGTGGTACATCTACACCATGGAATACTACACAGCCATAAAAAAGAATAAAACCATGTCAGCATGGTGGGCTCATGCCTGTAATCCCAGGATTTTGGGAGGCCGAGATGGGAGTATCACTTGAGGCCAGGAGTTCAAGACCAGGCTGGCCAACATAACAAGACTCCACCTCTTAAAAAAAAAAAAATTAAAACTTGTCCTTTGCAGCAACATGGATGGAGTTGGAAGCCATTATCCTAAGCAAATTAACAGAGGAACAGAAAACCAAATACTGTGTGTTCTTACTTATAAGTGGGAGCTAAACATTGGGTGTTAATGGGTGTAAAGATGCAACAATAGACACTGGTGGACTACTGGCAGGGTGGGGAGAAAGGGCTGAAAGACCATTGGGTACTATGCTCACTACTTGCATTATGGGATCATTCATATCCCAAACCCCAGCATCATGCAATATACTCATGTAACAAACCTGCACATGTACCTCCTGAATCTAAAATTAAAGTTGAAATTATATTTTTTTAAATCAAATTTTTAAGGAACATCATGGCAGCCTCTACCTAGATGTAGGCACTAGTAACAGCCCTGTTCCTAAAATCTGCACCCATCTCCACTCCCACTTCCGATCTCTCTCTCTCTCTCTCACTAGATTTCCAGCTCAAAGATAGCAAACATAGATCCCTCTTGGTCTAAATTCCTCCTTCATAAAATGAAAGTAATAGACTAGACTGTGGTTGCTACCCTGGACAAGAGTCATCAGTGTTAAAGATCCCTAGAATGAGGAATGTTCTCTTAAAGTCCCAGCTAAACAAATAATAGGGTGAAGAGATAATAGGGTGAAGGATTTTTAAGTGAGTCATGGATGACCTTAAAAAGAAACAGGTTTCAAATCAGTGCCCTAACACAATGTCCAGCAAAAATAACATAGGTATCAACTCTCTCCACTAATATTATTAATATTATAATAATAATTTCAACTAATAATCATATTAGTGGAAATTAATAGATGCTTTCCAACAGGTGCCTAAAGTCATCTTAACTTTAGGCCTATATCTTAGGAAAGGCTGGATCCCAGATCTTAAGAATCCAAATTCTATGTTCTTTCTACCTCACTTGGCTGCCTTACTTTAAAATTTTGCAAAGTGCTTTCATATACATTACTTCTCAACAACTTTATATACCCATCTGTAGAGGTGTAGATGTGGTGTTAGTTAAAAGCCATGAAAAATTGACCCTCAAATATAAAAACTTTTTTAAAAAGATGTTTTCTCATACTACAGAACTAGCAGGAGAGTTATATTCCACATGGTCATGCAGCCCACCATAGTGGGAAAAGAGAAGAAGACTTGGAGAAAGACACCTAATGTCTTAAATCCCAGTTCACAGGAAGTGATACACTGCATTTCCACTCACATTCTATGGCTTCTGGCCTCACTTAATTGATAGGTAGGTGGAAAAGGTAGTCCTGCTATGCAGCTATATGCTCAGCTTCAATTAGTTTACTAGAGCAGGAGGGAACTGATATTGAGAGACAGAAAAAGAGAGAGAGAGAGACAATAGATTTACGTTCAGGTCCTGGTTTAGATGTAGAGTTAGATTTTATATGTTCTAATACTTTCTCAATTTTAAAGAGATGAAACTCAAGCATATAAAGAATGTACACCTGCCCCAAAGTTTCCTACCTGATAAGTGGTACATTTGGGGACTCCAGCATAGTCCTTTTGGTGTTTTGTGGGGCTTGGTTTAGGAGAGCTTTGGATGCCATGCAATACCGTGGAAGGCTTTTGGATAGGTGATGCAATCCAGTGATATTCTAAGAAGATAGTTTATCAGCAGTGTGAAGAGTGAATTGTAGAAAGAAGAAATGAAGGCATACAATCAAGAAACAGTCCAAGCCAAATTCAGCAGTGGCTTAACCAAAAACATGAGAGATGGAAAGAAGACAGGTACTAGAGGAGGTTCAGAACTTGGGGCCCATGGAAGGGCCAAGACATGGGGGAACTCCATATTGTCAAACACAATAGTCACTTCACTAGCATTTTACTGAAGCCTCTGCTGGTTTTCCTCCCACTTCTCCAGCACCTCCTTCTCAGTCTCCTTTGCTGGCTCCTCCATTGCTACCCAACCTCTAAACATTAGAGGACATCAGGGTTCAGTTCCAAATCCTCTTCTCTACTCATTTTGCTCTCCCCCACTAGATTGTCTCATCTAGTTCTTTGGCTTTAAAGTGCATCTGTATCAGTTATCTATTGTCATAATAAGCTTACATAACAAACCACCCTAAACACAGTGACTTTAAACAGTCAATAATAATTGAGTTCATGACTCTGTAGGTTGTCTGGGTGGTTCTTAGATTCACACACCTGTTGGGGAGTCAAATGGCTATAGGCTGACCTAGGATGGCCTTGGCTAGGATGACTGGGGCAACTTGGCTCTACTACATGTGTCTTTCATCTTCCAGCAGGCTAGCCCAGGCGTATTTCATCGTTGTAACAGAGGGCAAGAGCAAGCTAAGCCAAGCACGTAAGTATTTTGAAACTTCCGCTTGCATCATATTTGTTAACATTCCGTTGGTCATTAGTAGAGAAGCACTCCAAGTGAAATTGCATGGCACAGGACATCAATACCTGGAGAGATGTAGAATTGGAGCCATTTTTGCAATCCTCCACAAAATCTATATGCAAAAGCCACCCAGTTTATATATCTAGGCAGTGACCTCTTTTCTGAGCCCTAGACATGTAAGTTCAGTGGTCTGATGGATACTCCATTTGGGTATCTCCAGATATTTCATGTTTAAAGAATGTTTAAAATTCAATTTTGATCTTCCACTTTCAAAACCTGCTCCTCTTCCAGTGTTCTCCTCAATATCTGATGCTGTCATCCACTCAGTTGCTCAAGCGAGAAACCTGAAACCTGGAGTCCTTCACACTTTTCTCTCCTTCACCTCAGATACAGTCCAAATCCTATCATCAAGTCCCACCAATTATACCTCCAAAACATACAGTTGGCCCCCTATATCCTCAGGTCCCACATCAGCAGATTTAGCCAACCGTGGATCAAAAATATTCAAAAAAGTAAATTTTAAAAGTAAAAAATAATACAAATAAAAAACAATAAAATATAACAACCATTTACATACATATATTTACATTATGTTAGGTATTATAAGTAATCTAGAGATTATTTAAAGTACATGGGAGGATGTCTGTAGGTTATATGCAAATACTATACCATTTTATATAAGCGAATTGAGCATCCTCAATTTTGGTATTTACTTTGGCGGAGGGGGAGGGGAAGACATCAGGAGTGGTCCTGGAACCAATCCCTAGGAATAGCAAGTGATGACTGTATCTCATTTCTGTCTTCTCTCCATCTCCTTTGCCACTCGTCTAGTTCAAGTTGTCCTCATCTCTCTCCTGAATATCTAAAATACATCCCATTGAACTTAAAATCTCAAATCCTTAACAAGTCCTGCATAGTTGGGCCTCCATCTCTATCTGCAGCCTCATCCTGTGCCACTTTCTCTTCACTCACTTAGCCCTTTCTTACCTTAAGACCATGGCATGCCGTCCCCAACAGAACATCTTGAGTGATAAGAACATGGACTCTGTTCTTACCAGCTACATGAACCTGGGAAAGCTGCATAACCTCTCTGTGCTTCAGTTTCTCTATCTGAAAAATGAGGATAAGAATAGCACCTACGTTAATTTAATTCTCAGTGAGCGAATTCCTACCCTCATTTTTCAGATACAGAAACCGAAGTACAGAGAGGTTATGCAGCTTGCCCAGGTTCACACAGCTGTTATGTATTCATATGTGTGGTGGATTTGTTGGTTTGATATCGGTTTTTCCCATTAGACTCTTAGTTCCATGAGGGCAAACTGTGTTTTGCTCACCACTCTATCCCCAGCACCAACAAAAATTTGCTTTGCCTGTGACAGATGTTAAATATTTGTGTTGAATGAATAAATAATTATGAAGGGTTCAAGCTGGCAACCAAGTTATTATGGGTTTGTGGGGGCTTTAAATTCTCTCTCTCTCTCTTTCCCTCCCTCTCTAGGAACCTTGGGAAAAGATATCAGTTCTAAATTCATAACATCCAGACAAGGTTCTGTCTCTTTCTCTCTATAGTTTTACAGGAGAATGGGATTGTTTACTAAATGGTTTGCGATAAAAATCTCTCCTCCCCAAAAAGGAAGACAGAAAAGAGAAACTTGGAGCCTAGTGGCAGGAGGGCACCAGAAGAGTGATTCAGTATCAATTATAGTGTATGGGGTCACCAAAAGGCAATTCAATTAAAAAACAAATACTAGAACCAAGTATGAATTTGCAGCTATTAATAGGAACTTGTCCTCTATAATAAGCATGAAAAAAAAGGGGGAGAACAAACATAATTTATGCCAAAGAAACTTCTGGTGCTCTTCTTACTTGTTTGTGTAAGTAGAAGTCTGGTTCTGCCAACATAAAAGTAAGTGAGACCCAGGTTATGTCATTTCTATCTACAGAAAAAGAAACCTTATACTGGAGGTAACAGAAGGGAGCCTGAAAACTCACCCAGATCTCAGTATCTGTTCTTCAGATTGCAGAACCCCAGTCTGGGCTACTTAGGTACCTTTGCCATCTGGGTCCTCATACCTCTAGCCTATCTGTTGCCAATGTAAGTTGAAAGACTATATGTTTGTGTGTTCGGTGTTTTAGATATATTAATTCCTTTAATCTCCTACCACCTTAGTATGTGAGTAGTATTATCCAAGGTGACAGCGAGTAGATGGTAAAGCTAGATTATAATTATGATCTGATTCTAAGGCCAATACTTCACCAGAAGGCTCTATCTTGAAGTCTGACACGTTTGAGATTAGTTAAAACTAGACTACCAATTTTGGTTTTTTCTTTGTTTTTTGAGACAGAGTCTCACTATCACCCAGGCAGGAGTGCAGTGGCGATATCTTGGCTCACTGCAACCTCTGCCTCCTGGGTTTAAGGGATTCTCCTGCCTCAGCCTTCGGAGTAGCTGGGACTACAGGCGTAAGCCACCACACCCGGCTAATTTTTGTATTTTTAGTAGAGATGGGGTTTCACCATGTTGGCCAGCCTGGTCTCGAACTCCTGACCGCAGGTGATCCGCCTGCCTCGTCCTCCCAAAGTGTTGGGATTACAGGCGTGAGCCAACGCGCCCAGCCTAGACTAGCAATTTCTCAAAGGGTGGTCTGCAGACTCCTGCATCAGAATCACTGGCAGTGTGTGTTAAAAATTCAGATTTCCTGACGGTGTCCATGACCGAAGGAATCAACACCTTCGGCCGGGCGTGGTGGCTCACGCCTGTAATCCCAGCACTTTGGGAGGCCGAGGTGGGCGGAACACCTGAGGTCAGGAGTTCGAGACCAGCCTGGCCAACATGGTGAAACTCCATCTCTACTAAAAATACAAAAATTAGCCAGGCGTGGTGGCGGTCGTCTGTAATCCCAGCTACTCGGGAGGCTGAGGCAGGAGAATCCCTTGAACCTGGGAGGCGGAGGTTGCAGTGAGCCGAGATAGTGCCACTGCACACCAGCCTGGACGGCAGAGCAAGACTCCATCTCAAAAAAAAAAAAAGCACCTCCAAGTGATTCTGTTGCAGGGGATCTGTGGATGATGCAGATTTTTTTTTTGTTTTTAATTTTTTATAGAGAAAGGGTCTCCCTATGTTCCCCAGACTAGTCTCGAACTCCCGGGCTCAAGCGATCCTCCCACTTCGGCCTCCCAAAGTGCCGGGATTACTGGCATGAACCACCACACCTGGCCCAGAATTTCGGATTGTTCTTATGCAGACGAAAGCATTAGGACTCATATCTAGGTTACCGGAATTGTTGAAAGCCAACAGCACACGGCATTAGCCAACTTCAGCCCTGCTCAACAGCCTCTATCCAAATCAGCTCCCGGAGCCGCTTAGCAGCCTGCAGCCGCTGAACAGAACTGAGCACGCGCAATATTTAATCCCCACGGGCGCTGGGTGGGGCTCCCTAGGACCCCGCCCCCTACCAACCTGCGGAGCCAGGGGGCGGGGCTCTCCAAAGTAATTCCGGCTTCTCCCGGCAGCGGCCCAAATCCCCGCCCCCAGCTCTCGGACCAATCAAACGGCAGATTGCTGAAACAAAGGACCAATGCCCAGGGCGGTCCTTAATTCCTCCCTGCAGTTTGAAACTGTCAGGTTGCCGTCTAGGTAGCGGTTGTGCTTGCTGAGGCTGCACTTGCTGACACTGCAGCTGCGACGCGGCTAAGAGGCGCAGAGCGAGGAGTCGGGATTTGGTCGCGAGCGGCGACGGTGGGTAGCAGCGCTCCGGGCAGATCCTGCGTCCCTGCATCCCTGGCGAAAGTAGTGGAGGGAGATTTAAAGTTCCTTGGCGCGTGTTTCCTCCCCCTGGGCTCTTCCCCAGACCGCGAGTGATTCAGCTGTTGTGCCGGAAGGTCCCAAAGTTTCCCCTCCGAGGCGTGCAGGAAGAGGAAGTGAGCAGGAGTGAGGGATGCTGAGCGATTACTGTCATCAGAGGTTCCGGTCACTTAAAACGTTGAGAAAAAATAACCATGTATAAAGCTCTGTTGTGCTTAAGTAAGATTTTTCTTAAAACAGGCTGGGTCGGAAGGTGATGGAAGAAAACTTATGGCCTTTTGCTTACTGCAATGGCTTTTCTCCTCTGCTTCTAGTCCCTGCTTTGGGGAGGGGCTGGCGCGCCCCTTTCCTTGAGTGCAGCTAGGCCTGGTGAAAGGCACAGGCGACATCACCCTGCTGCTAGTTTGCATGTTAATTCGCTCTTCCTTTGCCTCTTGGGGGTTCCATTTGAATTCCCAGACCCCTGTTTTGCTGTCAGCCAGATAATTACCAAGATGTTATTTTATGTTTCTGGCAACAGAGAAGCACACAAAAGTTTTGATCTTGTTTTCTGATACCTTGGATTAGAGACTACTGAAAATGTAGTGAACTAATGTGCGTCCGCCACCCATTAAAGCAGTTTTCATTTTTCTCCTTTGTTTCTGAACCTAGAAACAGTAAGGAAAATGCTACTGTTCTAGAGTTTCAAATAACTCATACCTTGTTGACATAAAGCAGGGCAGATGGAAGATAGCATATTTTCCAAGAGTGCGGTGGGTTTTTTTGTGTCTGCAGTGTGTCCATATTAAGAAACAATTTTTGAGATCTGACCATACTTACTAGCTCATTTTTAAATAATCAGCACCCCCCCCCCCCCACCCCTGTTACCTGCCTGGTCTCAAATCCTGAAGGAAGAAGTGAATAAAAATATAAATGGACCAAGTTATCACAGTGGTAGATTTGAAGTCAGTGAAGCAGCCATTCCTTGCTGCAGATACATGCACTTATTTTATCCTCCCTAATTGGCTTAACTAAAGACAGTCATGCTGAGATTTAGTTTACTTAACATGTGTATGCACAGTGATACTCACTGGAAAAAGTTGAACTTTCCTTTCCACAATTTAGTTCCAGCCTGTGTTTCCATTCTATTTTTGCACTTTTCCCTGTATCTTCCTTTTCTATTTCAATTTCCTCATCTCTCATTTATTTTTCAGCCCACTGTGACTAAGACCTGTAATTGTTTTACTTTCCAGTGAAATTGTTCAAGCAAACGTCTCAGCAACCTCCTAATCTCCAAATTCTATCCAATCCTCATGGTTCTTTGGCATCTAATTCTATTTTCTTCTCAAAGTTGTGATATTGCTTCCATAGTTCTAATGTTCTGACTTCCTTTGCTGACTCCTCTTCTTTGCTGACTGTTCTTCTCTTGCCCTTTAGATGTTAGTGGTTCTGGCTTTAACCCTCTTCTCATTCACAGTCGTAGTCCTTAACTCTATTAGGGCTATGGTCCCCTCTGAACGCATATTTAAAGCGAAAGATCTTCTTTCTAGAAAAATACACATTCACATTTATGATAAAAATATTGCATACGAGTCGGGTATAGGGACCTGATATGGTTAGGTCTTGTGTCCCCACTCAAATCCCATCTTCAATTGTAATCTCCACATGTAGGGGAAGGGAAGTGATTGGATTATAAGGGCGATTTCCCCCGTGCTGTTCTCATGATAGTGAATTCTCACGAGATCTGATGGTTTTATAAATGGTAGTTTTTCCTGCACTCTCTCACATACTGTCTCACCTGCCGCCATCTAAGATGTGCCTGCTTCCCCTTCTACCATGATTTTAAGTTTCCTGAGGCCTCCCCAGACATGCGGAACTGTGAGTCAATAAAAATTCTTTTATTTATAAATTACCCAGTTTTGGGCAGTTCTTTTTTTTTTTTTTTTTTTTTGAGACGGAGTCTCACTCTGTCGCCCAGGCTGGAGTGCAGCGGCGCGATCTTGGCTCACTATGAGCTCCGCCTCCCGGGTTCACGCCATTCTCCTGCCTCAGCCTCCCAAGTAGCTGGGACTACAGGCGCCCACCACCACGCCAGGCTAATTTTTTGTATTTAGTGGAGACGGGGTTTCACCGTGTTAGCTAGTATGGTCTTGATCTCCTGACCTCGTAATCCTCCCACCTCAGCCTCCCAAAGTGCTGGGATTGCAGGCATGAGCCACCGTGCCCGGCCTGGGCAGTTCTTTATAGCAGTTTGAAAAACGTACTAATACAGGACCTCAGGATAAGAACTTTTTCTCACATTCCTTTTTTATAGGTGGTCTCATCCATTCCCTTTTTTCAGCAGTTCCCATTATGCCAGTGATTCCTCAAACTGGATCTCCAACTTATACCTCCAGTGCGGCGCTCCCACAATGCTTAACTCCAGGAAACACCATTCACAGTGTAGCCATTGTGAATGGCAGTTCTTGGAGTAGCGCACTACGTAGCCAGTGTGACCACAGACTGCATACTTGCAGCTTTACCCTAGTGCCTCAGAGGCATCCTCACACCCAGCTCATCTGATATGGCACTCATTGTCCTTCCTCCCAACCTGCTCATCTTCCTACCTTCCTTGCCTTGGTGAGTGGCACTATCCATCTAGTTACCCAAACCGGAGATCTGGAAGCCACCAACAGTTCTTTTTAACCCCTTGATCTATTATTGATCATTTTCTCTTTCCATCACCATAACACAACTGTCTTGTAGTCATACCCTCCATCCCCTTCCCATTGCTACTTCCTAGACTTAGGTCATCATTTATCTTCTTAATTACTATCAAAGAGAACATTTATCTCTTAGACTACTGCAGTCAGCTCTCAATTGATCTCTCTCTCTTTTTTTTTTGAGACGGAGTCTCTGTCACCCAGGCTGGAGTGCAGTGGTGCGATCTTGGCTCACTGCAGCCTCCACCCCCAGGGTTCTAGCTATTCTCCTGCCTCAGCCTCCCAAGTAGCTGGGATTACAGGCACCTGCCACCAGGCTCGGCTAATTGTTTTGTATTTTTAATAGAGACAGGGTTTCGCCATGTTGGCCAGGCTGGTCTCAAACTCCTGACCTCAGGTGATCCACCTACCTCAGCCTCCCAAAGTGCTAGGATTACAGGCATGATTCACTGCACCCAGCCTGATCTCTCTTAATATCCAAATTCATCCTCAACGCTGCTGGAATGATCTTTCTGATCATGTAACTTTTAAAAAATATTTCAATAACTTGTCTAGAATAAACACCCAGATTTTTAATATGACAAGTTTTGACCTTCCATGATCTGGCTGCTCCTTACTTTTTGTTTCATCCTTAGCCAATCCTTTGCACCCATTGCTTTGTCCTTACCAAACTGCTTGCTGTTCGTGGCATACATGTCCATGGCTCTGTCTTTGCTTATATTGCTCTACTGCCTAGAATATCTACACCTGTGTTTATACCTTTTATCCATCTTTCAGGATGAGACCTACTCATCTTTCAGATCTCAACACCTGGGTCATCTTCTCTAAAAACTTTCTGTGCCTCCTTTCCTGCTTATTTACAGTCATGCAATCTTACCCCATGAAAAATAGCTACTCCTATCTCTCTACTTTGTATCTGTTATTTTAGGGCCTATCAGCAGTTTATTCATCAGTCGGTCACTTATATAATATACATGCCTGGCCCTCTCTACAGATTGTAAACTCCTTAAGAATGAGGACTTCATTTTACATTCCTCACCAATGTCTTACATATTACTGGTATTCAGATAGTTCGAATAGTCACTATTTGTTCTTTGAATAATTCGGTTACTTGTTACTAAAAGTACTTTTAATGATTTTTTGATTAGGACTTTCAACAAATTCTCTATGCATATATTTGATTCTGTTGTTCTGTATAAGCTCACTTTTCTTAAAATAATATTTCCAAAGGTAAGTTTCCCAAGAAGGGAATTTGCACAAATTGTTTGTTCTCTCTTGGTTCTGTGTCTTAGAGGAAAGTACACAGCACCCAGGTTGTCACACATTGCTCAAGAACAGTGATCACAATCTATTATGCTCAACAGGCCCCGCTGGGGATTTTTCTGAAGACCTGACTACGTTATAAACTCACTAATATTGGGACTGGGTCTTCAACTGTTTTTTGCCCAGTGATTTTTTGCCTGTAGGTACTCAATATGTTGAATGAATGATTTTAGCATATCACAGGAAGATTGCAGATTTGGATACTGTTGCACTTATATATATCTGGAAAGGATTTTATCTTAAATATCAAGGAAAAAAGCTAAAGTTAGCTTCTACTGTTTTAGAGCATTTGTGCAGAATGTCATCAGATGAGGAGAAATACTCACTTCCAGTTGTGCAAAATGACTCCAGTCGAGGCAGTTCTGTCTCTTCGAATCTTCAGGTAGGAAAAAATTTCTAAATTTACCATGACTTTTTTTATTTTAAACAAATGAATGTAAGGGAAAACTAGGATTTTTTAATAATTTTTTCATCCATTTACAAGGGAGTTTTTCAATTTATAATAATATCAAACTTCAGGAATTACTGTACACATTTTAGGAGTGACTTTACATTGTTTTAACTTTTCAGAAAATATTGATGAACTCTTCATACACTCTGTACAAAGGCTTCAACCAACACAGTAAGAGGTGAAACAAATGTTCAAGAAACATTTTTTTGTTTAAATTTTTTTCATTTTAGCTACCTCTCATGAATGCTACTTTCACTTTTAATGCAAATTAATACAATATCAAACCATCCAAAGTTCTAGAGCTCAAGATTCCCTTGTGTTCTACTTGCTGAGGTTTGGTCTCTGTTGTCACAACATTCAGTACAATCTGCTGCCCAGGACCTGGACATTGACAGATAAAATGAAGTGGGTCAGTTAACTACAGAGGGTGTGGTATTTACATGAAATGTTTTAAATTTCTCTTATTTCTAAATATTTCATCATCAAAAATATGGATTTAGATTTCTGGAGTAGATTTTAAATATGAGAATAATGACATGGTATATCTTAAATTTTACAGTTGTATTACTCAAGGGGAAAGGCTGTTTATGCCTAAGCATATGAAATTGTTATTGATTCTGTACGATATGAGAAAAGCTTTAGGAAAATATTTTATGAAACAAATTTGTTCCTTTAATCGAAATTATGGATTTCAAAATGGGGAAGGTATTGGGAAAATATCTGAATATTTACAGGATAAAACTAGTCTGGAGTTGTGGCAGAGCTTTTGCACCCTAGCCTTCCCTTTTGATGGTACCTGTCCCATGTAGTCCTCTCTTCAGGTGACAGTACTTCCTCCACCCTTCATCGCTGTCTGATTGAAACTTGAAGATAGAACTGATTAACTCATTTATACTAAAATGTAAACACCTTGTGAGCTCTCAAATTTCATTTCGTGAAGAGATAAAGCTTTAAATCAAAAGAATAACTCTCTAGAGTGGAATTTTAGAGAGACGGAAGAAGAACCTGCCAGAAATTATTTTGTGTTATTGTTTACCCACCTATAATGTAAGCTCAACTGAGAGTCTATTACTGTCAACTAATGTTCCTACTGGTTCTTGGACTGAAGTTGAAAGCCTCTCCATATTCCCTGTACATACAGTGTTATTACTTTGGGTTTCACTACTGGAAGCACTTCAAAATATAAATACAAAAAAAAATCTTAAAAATAACATAAAATACACATTTTTACATATGTAGTAAATATGTAAATCCAAACATTTAATACAAAAGCCCCTCATAAATAAATATTCCTCTTAAGGAACTTTTTTGTTACTCTCTTTTTATGCGAATGCTTCATAAGCCAGAAGGTGGTAAATGCTGAGGGATGGGCAGCATCCATAGTGCTTATACACTGAAAATTTCCTCTAACCACAGCTCCTATCAGCCAAGTTGCTCTGACTCTAATGGTTGAGGCATGGGTGGAGCTATATTTCAGGGTCATATCAATTCAGCTCTTGGGGGTTGGGGAGGGGGGCAAAATTACAAGTTTTGAATGTTAACAGAGGTTATGTTTGGCAATTAAGAAAGCCAATATTGTTTATTTTGATTCTTAATTTTAAATTTTATTTTTAAATAACTTATTTGGCTTGTGTCTACATATATGAAACTCTAAAATAGTCATTTAAATAACTGATTTTTTCTAAATGTTTTCTTGAAATAAGTTGGAATATATGGTCATGGAATACTATTGACATATACTTATTTATTTCCCCTTTAAGCCATAGCAATTGTGGTAAAATATATGAAATATATGAATATGTATGAAGTATATGATTTGAAATATGTGTTTGGATCTTTTTTTTCCTTCTCTTATCCAGAGCAGAAGTCAGACTAGGGAAGCCACAAGTGAAAGCCACTGACTTCCACTTCTCCCTCCGTTCCTACATGCTAGAGGTGGTGATAGGCTAACTCTGAGTAGAGCTGACTTGGCTAAATCTAGTTGCAACTGACACCACAGCAGGAACACTATAAAAAGTTTATGAACCTCACAATATAAGATCACCATCATATTAATCTGCTCAGGCTACCATAACAAAGTACCATAAATTCATAGGCTTAAACAACAGACATTTATCTTCTCACAGTTCTGGAGGCTAGAAGTCCCAGATCACAGCCCAAAAGGGTCAGTTTCTGGTGAGGGCTCTCTTTGTGGATTGCAGACAGGTGCCTTCTTGCTGTATCTTTGCATGGCCTTTCCTCAGTACAGTATGTGCAGGTGGGAGGAGAGCATGCACAAGGTTCCTGGTGTCTCTTCTGATGAGTACATTAATGCTCTCAGGGCCCCAACCAATGACCTTATTTAACCTTAATTACTTTCTTGAAGGCCTCATCTCCAAATACAGCCACACTGGGTGTTAGGGCTTCAGCATATGAATTTTGAGGGGACACAAACATTCAGACTCCGTAACTCCATAACAGCCACACTTTTATATATTCTTAGCCAAAATCAAAAGTATATTTTGGGTGTTTGGGAAGTATAATAGTGCTTTAACAGAAACCAAGTAAGGGTGGTTTAAGTGGGTTCCTTACAGTTTCATTCTGTCTCTCATAAATTCTGAGCTGATACGTAGTCCTGAGATCATCTGAGGACCCAATCCCTTCTCTCTTTTTGCTGTACCATGAGCTGTTGACCGTGTTTGCATTGTCAGGTACTGGTGCACTGACAGTGTACTACCACTAGCCCATGGGAAGAGGGGACCAGCAGGAAGCAGCTTCGTTTTTAAGGACTTCACCTAAAGTTGTACACATCATTTCCAGTTGAATCCCATAGACCAGGTCTCTTGGCCACACCTAGCTGCAGAGGAGGCTGGGAAATGTAGCTGGGTGGCCATTTGCCCAAATCAAACCCTGGGGCTTTATTAAGTTAAAGAAATTAAAAAGAAATGGATGCTGCTGGATTAGTTACAGTCTCTATGCACTTGAAATTTTATGTATTAGTTTATTAGGACCAACACACACATTCAGGTTTATAGGAACTAGTAAATATCTTGTGCATGGCCCCAATTTATTAAGCTCTTTGGGAATTTCTTTTTGATAATTAGAAAACCAATATGCTTTGGGAAGTGTATTTTTTTTAACCTAAGGATATTTAAATCTATTTAAATAATCATAGTTACTTTTGTCAATGTAAAAATTAAATGTTGGTGCTCGCTTCAGCAGCACATATACTAAAACTGGAGCCACACAGAAAATTAGCATGGACCCTGTGCAAGGAGGACATGCAAATTTGTGAAATGTTCTATAATTTTTTAATAATTTTTTTAAGTTTTATAATATAAAAAAAGTTGTATTGTGATATCCTAAATGATTTGTTTCCTAATAAGAGCCTTCTGTCTCAGTGATAACCATTATGTAAAATACTGATTTTTATTTGCTACTAGGAAATGTAAGTTTAAAACTCAGACAGATGTTTATTCTCATGAAGGTGACATCACTAACAAAAATGGTTGATTATAGCAATATGAAGGAGATTCTGGTTGAATTTTCTAAAGATTTTCTCTTTGAAATATCTCTCTCTTCCTCTTCTGTCGTTAGCCTTAAAATATATAAAAATCAGTATTTGCTATACCTAATGTTTACTGCGTGTAAGTATCTATGTTAAATATGTGAATCAGGCCGGGTGCAGTGGCTCACGCCTGTAATCCTAGCACTTTGGGGGTCCAGGGCTGTGGATCAAGAGGTCAGGAGTTCAAGACCAGCCTGACCAACATGGTGAAACCCCATCTCTACTAAAAGTACAAAAATTAGGTGGGCGTGGTGGTACAAACCTGTAATTCCAGATACTCAGGAGGCTGAGGCAGGAGAATCGCTTGAACCTGGGAGGCAGAGGTTGCGGTGAGCCAAGACCATGCCACTGCACTCCAGCCTGGGCTACAGAGCAAGACTCCATCTCAAAAAAAAAGAAGAAAAAAATTGTAAATCAAGAAATCAAGGTTGAAGCGCAAACCAGGTCACTCTTGTACATGTAATTGCCATAAAAGCTAGCAGTTTTCAAATATATAAAAGCATAAGCTTTTTTAAAAAACAATTTTACTTAAAATTCCGATATAAAAAAGCAGATGAAAACAAAACTACAGTAGTATAGATTTATTTTGTAAATTCAAATGCAATCAGTTAATAAAAACAGTTAAGCTGCCTTGATAAATGTACATTTGAAATTGGGGGGTAATAGAAGGCCATTGCAGTTTTATAAACTTAAGTATCCAGTTTGCTTCTATATTTTGTTTAGGTTACATAATTTTTTTTCAGTTCCAAAAATGGTATCTTTTTAATAGCATGTCTCATCTTCAATTAAACCAATCTGACATATAAAATTAAGTGATAGAAAATTTTTGATTCAGTGTTGAGTCACTCACAGAACCTTATCACCTCTTCATACTTTGTTGTTGTTTCCCCAGAGACAGGATCTTGCTCTGTCACCCAGGCTGGGGTGCAGTGGTGCCATCTTGTCTTACTGCAGCTTCCAGTTCCTAGGCTTAAGTGGTCCTCCTGCCTCAGCCTCCTGAGTAGCTACAACTACAGGCACACACCACCACACCTAGCAAATTTTTGTAAAAAATTTATTGTAGAGATGAGGTCTCACTTTGTTGCTCAGGCTTCAAGCCATCCTCCTGCCTCAGCCTCTCAAAGTGCTGAGTTTACAGGCATGAGTCACTGCACCCAGCCCTCTTCAAACTGTTAATCATAAATATAAAAATCACACAAGAAGCACTCGAGGAACTCAAGCTTGGAATAAGTGGTAAAACTTTGTAATATAATAAGCATGGGACTCTATTATGGTAATTAAATTTCTTTAAAACAAATTCAGTTGAATATATTATAACATTGTAACTGTTACACTACATTATTGATTATTGGCCTCTCTTAGGAAGAATATGAAGAACTGCTTCATTATGCTATAGTGACTCCAAATATTGAACCCTGTGCTTCACAGTCATCTCATCCTAAGGGAGAATTGGTGCCAGATGTCAGAATTTCTACAATTCATGATATTCTTCATAGTCAAGGTTATATATATTTTTCAAGATATCTCTTAATTTAAAATATTACTGAGTTTATTAATGATACTGACAGGATTGTGAAAATGCCTGTCCAGATCAGTGATTCTTCTCAACCATTTATGTGTATTAGTATCATCTAGGGGAGCTTTTTACATTTTAATATATTATTCCTGACTCTCGTGTGACAGCTTGATTTTTCTTTGAACTTCATTTGACTCTTACTTTTATGAAGAATAATAAAGTTGAAGCAATGCTATGGCAACTGCATGGCTTTTTGGTATGTTGTATCTCAGTACTTGTTCCAACAGTTTTATGCCAGGATTAACCTGAAAACTAAATGCCCAAGACTAAAATTAAAGATGGTAACCCTGAGAGTCTCTTAAATTACTTTACAAACCTCATGCTAGTGCTTTATCAGCAGTATTTATATGGGCATGGAGGACTGTTTGAATAATTATCACAAGGTGAACCCATCTGTGGACCATGTCAGCAACAGAACTGAAAGCTACTATAAACCAGGATGTGTGTTGATAGATGAGTGAAAAGTGGAGAAAAGAGGATAAAGCTCCTTTTACCTCCATTCCTTATTCAGGTGAAGACAACATCCCAAACTCTAAATAAATGTTCTTTCAAAGGGCACAGAAAGCCTTCCTAAAACAGTCCTGATAAGGACCAGTTATCACACTATAGGCGTAACTCCAAGGATCCCTGTCCTTGAAGGCGCATGACATAGCCTACTCAGAGGCCAAAGGCTCCTGGGCTTCTGCTAAGTCATAGCTCTAGTGTCTGTTGTCTCTCATTCTCTGTAGACGTGGATTTTTCACTGTTCCTCTGTCTTTGGCCTGTTGCAGTGGAACAACAAACAGGACCACAGGATGAGAGCCTTAAAATACAGGCCAGGCAGTGGCTCATGCTTGTAATGCCAGTACTTTCAGAGGCTGAGGCAGGAGGATTGCTTGAGCCCAGGAGGTTGAGACAAGCCTAGGCAACATAGCAAAACCCTAGCTCTACAAAAAAATTAGCCGGGCAGAGCAGCCTATAGTCCCAGCACCTTGGGAGGCTGGGGTGGGAGGATTGCATGAGCTCAGGAGTTCAAGGCTGCAGTGTGCCATGATTATGCCACTGCACTTCAGCCTAGGCAACAGAGCAAGACTCTGTTTAAAAAAAAAAAAAGAAAAAACTTTCGAGATGCTGTAGTCAACAGTTCAAGGTAATCATCTGGGATTTAAGACCATTGTTCTTTTCTCTTATGTAAGATAGCATTTATTTATTCTCTGCCATTTCCAAAAAGGATTTGAGATTAAAACATACGTTATATAGTAAGTTTAGATATCCTTTAGTCATCTTGATTCACAAGTAGACTTTGTTAAAGTCTTCTATGTAAATTCATCATCCCACATTCTCTTTATTCTTGGTATCTCAGTTGCTTGATAGAAGGCATGGTATGTGGAAATTGGCAAAGTATGTGTAAGCCTCTAACAGTCATTCTTGAGAGGTTTTTCCCAGTTTCCTTTTTGCCATCTGTTGACTACAGGTTCCTGAAGTGGAAGCAAATGTTTTGGGGGAGCCAGTGCCACTTGAGTTTGATTGTGGCTAGTGAAAAGCAGCGGGCCTCTGGAAATACCCAGTGTCATAAGAGAGCAGATCCTTTTCTAAGTTCTAATGTCATTCACCCACTTATTCTCTTAGTGTGAATTGAATGCTATAGTAGACTACATTATCTCTCATCTATATTTGGTGCATAAGTTGGAGCTTATCAATGATATAGTAAGTCTTTTTCTAGTCTCAGATTTTTATCTGTTCTTGTCCTTTGTTTTAGTGTTCCTATATCCCCAGCATGTTGTATTTTGTTTGTTCTAAAATATTATGTACTGCTACCTTCTTAAATTATGTGTGATTAGACATTTTATTTAAGAGTGGTTCAGTTTAATTTTAAAAAGCTTTCTTTTTGGCAGGAAATAACTCTGAAGTAAGAGAAACTGCAATAGAAGTTGGAAAAGGATGTGATTTCCATATTTCAAGTCATTCAAAGACAGATGGTATGATTTTTCTTTAGCTTATTTGTATTAATATACAACATTTTGTGGTTTGATGAATATTATCTATGTAGTAAGAGGAATAATTTCAGCATATTATTTATTAGCAGGATTTTAAAATGCTATTATTGCTAATTTAAGTGATAATATTTAAAATAATTTGATAAGATACCAAAATAGTACAATTAAGACAGGTCAATGCATTATAGTGTGTAGTATCCTTTCTTAAAATTGCTAAGTTAGAGGGCAAGTCTTTTAAAAGATTTAATGGGATATTAGATAGTTTGGCCAATTCAAGTTTTTATGTAAACCAATGCACTGTTTCCCAACTTTCAGGCATTTGCGTACCAGTGTAAGGATTTTCATCCTATCTTTATGCCACCTGTTACGCCATCATTTAGTGTTTTTCTTTAAAAGTCTGCTTTGTCTTTGTTAAAAGGGAAGATTAGCAAATCTTAAAGAGGCTTTTTGGGGGGATTGTTTTTTGTATTTTTTTAATTTTGTTTGGTTTTTGAGACAGGATCTCACTCTGTCACCCAGGCTAGAGTGCAGGGCTCCCTGCAGCCTCAACCTCCTTGGCTCAAGTGATCCTCCTGCCTCAGCGCCCCCTCCCCCAGTAGCTGGGACTACAGGCACATGCCACCACACCTAGCTAATTTTTAACTTTTCTGTAGAGGTGGGATCTCACTATGTTGCCCAGGCTGGTCTCAAACTCCTAAGATCAAGTGATCCACTTGCCCTGGCCTCCCAAAGTGCTGGGATTACAGGCATGAGCCACCATGCCTGGCTTTAAAGAACTTTTAAAAGCATACTAGAACTGGACTGAGACTTTTTTCTTGACTAGTCAGAATAATTAATTAAAATGTAATATTGTGGAATATTTTTCTATTTAATGTTATTTAATGTGGTAACCATTTTTGTCACCACGTAAGTAATGCCTCTAACCCTTAGTTTCCTCACTTGTAAGTAGAAGTCTTAGGCATCATAATCTCTGACAGCCCTTACAAGTTCTGAAGTTACATGATTTGATTTCTTAAAAGGTAAGTGTTGAGATATTTTTTAAATTGAAAAGCAGAGTCTATCGCTTTCTTTGTGAGTACAGATCTAGTTGGCAAAATCAAGTAAAAGAGAATATTCATGTACATTGTCATTCCACCTGTTCTTTGGGTTTCTTAACCATCCTCAGAACATGCAGATAGCATTTCATAGTATGACTAGCCCAGACCTTGTGTTATGTTTTTTATACCAAACACACATGTTAGGGAATTATTTTCCCTTTTGCAAAGAAGTCTTTACATAAGCAGAATATGTTTGCAAAAAAACTAAAATCTTACAAATTTTAAAAAAGAATTCTTGAAAGATTTAAGTAACAAGTTCTCTATCATAGATTCATCTTTCCTTCAGTAGGAAGAAAGCTCTTCCATCTTTGTTATTAGGATGCTCGTAGCAAATGTGAGATATGTGACAAGTGATGACAGATAGTCTCTAATTCCAGCATAAATATGTGAGAAAATATTAACTTTTCTTTCTCAGTGCTTTTTTTTTTTTTTTTTGAGACAGAGTCTCGCTCTATCACCCAGGCTAGAGTGGGTGGCACGATCTCGGCTCACTGAAACCTCTGCTTCCCGGGTTCAAGCAATTCTCCTGCCTCAGCCTCCCAAGTAGCTGGGACTATAGGCACGTGCCACCATGCCTGGCTAATTTTTTGTATTTTTAGTAGAGATAGGGTTTTACCATGTTGGCCAGGCTGGTCTTGAACTCCTGACCTCATGATTCGCCCACTTCAGCCTCCCAAAGTGCGGGGATTACAGGCATGAGCCACCGTGCCCAGCCTTTCAGTGCTTTTTTAGAAATAGATACCTGTTCTCTTTAGGGCCCTGACTCTCCCCCACCTCCCTGGATATGGGCAGGGGATGAGCGTTTTATATATATGCACATACATATAGAGATGTGTACATTTCTCACCTCTACATTGAAGCCTAACAGTGTACTTAACAACAGAGTATCTGCAAAACTAAATTATGAGTCTCTTTCTACTTAAATTGTTTAATTTTAATAGGTTTTTTGTTTGTTTTTGTTTTTGGAGACAGAGTCTCATTCTGTCACAGGCTGGAGTGCAGTGGCACGATCTCGGCTCACTGCAACCTCTGCCTCCCTGGTTCAAGCAATTCTCCTGCCTCAGCTTCCCGAGTAGCTGGGACTATAGGTGCGTGCCACCACACCCAGCTAATTTTTGTATTTTTAGTAGAGATGGGGTTTCACCTTGTTGGCCAGGATGGTCTCAATCTCTGGACCTCATGATTCACCCGCCTCGGCCTCCCAAAGTGCTAGGATTACAGGCATGAGCCACCGCGCCCGGCCGAATTTTAATAGTATTAAAACCAATCCCAGTGTTAAACTTACAGAGTAATATTGACCTATATACAACCACACTGACCTTGGTCAATTACTTAACTTTTTCTGAACCTCAGTTTCTCATCAGTAAAATGGAGATAATAATACCTATTTTTTAGGGTAGCATGTGTTATGAGAACTAATCTTTATAATGTTTTTATTACAGAAACAGAAAGCACTTCATTAATGGTGATATGATACAGATGATGATAGTTTCACCTCAGGCTGGACCTGGATATATGAAGGATCCTTATCTGGGATAGAGGTCATTTGCTGGGAGAGAAGGGATTGGGAGTATAGGAGGTATCTCATGCCAGTCTGTGCTAAATCACTGACAATACTGAAATTAAAAATAGATTAAGGTACACCTGAAAGGTAGTTTCTCTGCATTTTTTCTCAGCCTCCATAAGTAGCAGACGTCTTTTAGCCTTCCAGTATGGTTCCTTACCAACTTGAGTTATTTTCAATTTGGCTTGACAGCTACAACTTTTCTTTTATTCAGAGTCATCACCAGTGTTATCGCCAAGGAAGCCTTCTCACCCAGTCATGGATTTTTTCAGTTCACATCTTTTAGCTGACTCTTCCTCACCAGCAACAAATTCTAGTCATACAGATGCCCATGAAATACTTGTGAGCGATTTTCTTGTTTCTGATGAAAACCTTCAGAAGATGGAAAATGTGCTTGATCTTTGGAGTTCAGGTCTTAAGGTACGGTACAGCAGTTCTTCAATTACAGTTGTTTAGTATGTAATGTAATAGTTTTACTCTCATTTATACTGTTTTGTTTTTTTGAGTTAAACTTTCTAAAAATCTTTTGTTTCCTGAGATCAGTTTAGTGTCTTAAGTCTTGCTTCTCAATCTTTAATGTACTTACGAATCATAGCGGGAGCCTGTTAAACTACAGCTTCATATGCAGTAGGTCTTCAGCAGGGCCTAAGATCGTGCTTCTTTTTTTCTTTTTTTGACTCTTGTTTGTTTGTTTGATTTTACTTTAAGTTCTGGGATACATGTGGTGAACATGCAGGTTTGTTACATAGGTATACATGTGCCATGGTGGTTTGCTGCACCTATCAACCTGTCATCTAGGTTTCAAGCCCCACATGCATTAGGTATGTGTCCTAATGCTCTCCCTCCCCTTACCCTCCACCCCCTGACAGGCCCCGGTGTGTGATGTTCCCCTCCATGTGTCCATGTGTTCTCATTTCTGTCAAGCTCCCAGGTGTTGCTACTGGTTCAGAAACTGTACTTTGAGTTGCCAGGTTTTAAGTGGTTGCTGGAACGGTTCTACATGCTCCATTGAATTTCACAGATACTTTGAATGGCTCAGCCTGTGTGTAACTGAGACATACTGTGCCTTTACCATATCGTAGTTGTGACTAATAGAAATGTCTCCTTTTATGCAATAACGAAAGATCCAATTTTAGCAATGGATATTCATTTTATAGCCACTCCTATAGCAACTATGATGTGTAAGTGATAAAACTATAAAAGTTGATTTTTATTTTGATACTACTGGCCTTTAAGTAAAACAAAGTATTGCAGAAATAGTAAGTGGGTTTTATTTATTTATTTATTTATTTATTTTTATTATTATTATACTTTAAGTTTTAGGGTACATGTACACAATGTGCAGGTTAGTTACATATGTATACATGTGCCATGCTGGTGCGCTGCACCCACTAACTCATCATCTAGCATTAGGTATATCTCCCAATGCTATCCCTCCCCCCTCCCCCCACCCAACAACAGTCCCCAGAGTGTGATGTTCCCCTTCCTGTGTCCATGTGTTCTCCTTGTTCAATTCCCACCTATCAGTGAGAATATGCGGTGTTGGGTTTTTTGTTCTTGCGATAGTTTACTGAGAATGATGATTTCCAGTTTCATCCATGTCCCTACAAAGGACATGAACTCATCATTTTTTATGGCTGCATAGTATTCCATGGTGTATATGTGCCACATTTTCTTAATCCAGTCTATCATTGTTGGACATTTGGGTTGGTTCCAAGTCTTTGCTATTGTGAATAATGCCGCAATAAACATACGTGTGCATGTGTCTTTATAGCCGCATGATTTATAGTCCTTTGGGTATATACCCCGTAATGGGATGGCTGGGTCAAATGGTATTTGTAGTTCTAGATCCCTGAGGAATCGCCACACTGACTTCCACAATGGTTGAACTAGTTTACAGTCCCACCAACAGTGTAAAAGTGTTCCTATTTCTCCACATCCTCTCCAGCACCTGTTGTTTCCTGACTTTTTAATGATTGCCATTCTAACTGGTGTGAGATGGTATCTCATTGTGGTTTTGATTTGCATTTCTCTGATGGCCAGTGATGGTGAGCATTTTTTCATGTGTTTTTTGGCTGCATAAATGTCTTCTTTTGAGAAGTGTCTGTTCATGTCCTTTGCCCACTTTTTGATGGGGTTGTTTGCTTTTTTCTTGTAAATTTGTTTGAGTTCATTGTAGATTCTGGATATTAGCCCTTTGTCAGATAAGTAGGTTGTGAAAATTTTCTCCCGTTTTGTAGGTTGCCTGTTCACTCTGATGGTAGTTTGTTTTGCTGTGCAGAAGCTCTTTAGTTTAATTAGATCCCATTTGTCAATTTTGGCTTTTGTTGCCATTGCTTTTGGTGTTTTAGACATGAAGTCCTTGCCCATGCCTGTGTCCTGAATGGTAATGCCTAGGTTTTCTTCTAGGGTTTTTATGGTTTTAGGTCTAACATTTAAGTCTTTAATCCATCTTGAATTGATTTTTGTATAAGGTGTAAGGAAGGGATCCAGTTTCAGCTTTCTACATATGGCTAGCCAGTTTTCCCAGCACCATTTATTAAATAGGGAATCCTTTCCTCATTGCTTGTTTTTCTCAGGTTTGTCAAAGATCAGATAGTTGTAGATAAGCGGCATTATTTCTGAGGGCTCTGTTCTGTTCCATTGATCTATATCTCTGTTTTGGTACCAGTACCATGCTGTTTTGGTTACTGTAGCCTTGTAGTATAGTTTGAAGTCAGGTAGTGTGATGCCTCCAGCTTTGTTCTTTTGGCTCAGGATTGACTTGGTGATGCGGGCTCTTTTTTGGTTCCATATGAACTTTAAAGTAGTTTTTTCCAATTCTGTGAAGAAAGTCATTGGTAGCTTGATGGGGATGGCATTGAATCTGTAAATTACCTTGGGCAGTATGGCCATTTTCACGATACTGACTCTTCCTACCCATGAGCATGGAATGTTCTTCCATTTGTTTGTATCCTCTTTTATTTCCTTGAGCAGTGGTCTGTAGTTCTCCTTGAAGAGGTCCTTCCCATCCCTTGTAAGTTGGATTCCTAGGTATTTTATTCTCTTTGAAGCAATTATGAATGGGAGTTCACTCATGATTTGGCTCTCTGTTTGTCTGTTGTTGATGTATAAGAATGCTTGTGATTTTTGTACATTGATTTTGTATCCTGAGACTTTGCTGAAGTTGCTTATCAGCTTAAGGAGATTTTGGGCTGAGACAATGGGGTTTTCTAGATATACAATCATGTCGTCTGCAAACAGGGAGAATTTGACTTCCTCTTTTCCTAATTGAATACCCTTTATTTCCTTCTCCTGCCTGATTGCCCTGGCCAGAACTTCCAACACTATGTTGAATAGGAGTGGTGAGAGAGGGCATCCCTGTCTTGTACCAGTTTTCAAAGGGAATGCTTCCAGTTTTTGCCCATTCAGTATGATATTGGCTGTGGGTTTGTCATAGATAGCTCTTATTATTTTGAGATACATCCCATCAATACCTAATTTATTGAGAGATTTTAGCATGAAGGGTTGTTGAATTTTGTCAAAGGCCTTTTCTGCATCTATTGAGATAATCATGTGGTTTTTGTCTTTGGTTCTGTTTATATGCTGGATTACATTATTGATTTGTGTATATTGAACCAGCCTTGCATCCCAGGGATGAAGCCCACTTGATCATGGTGGATAAGCTTTTTGATGTGCTGCTGGATTCGGTTTGCCAGTATTTTGTTGAGGATTTTTGCATCAATGTTCATCAAGGATATTGGTCTAAAATTCTCTTTTTTGGTTGTGTCTCTGCCCGGCTTTGGTATCAGGATGATGTTGGCCTCATAAAATGAGTTAGGGAGGATTCCCTCTTTTTCTATTGATTGGAATAGTTTCAGAAGGAATGGTACCAGTTCTTCCTTGTACCTCTGGTAGAATTCAGCTGTGAATCCATCTGGTCCTGGACTCTTTTTCATTGGTAAGCTATTGATTATTGCCACAATATCAGCTCCTGTTATTGGTCTATTCAGAGATTCAACTTCTTCCTGGTTTAGTCTTGGGAGAGTGTATGTGTCGAGGAATTTATCCATTTCTTCTAGATTTTCTAGTTTATTTGCATAGAGGTGTTTGTAGTATTCTCTGATGGTACTTTGTATTTCTGTGGGATTGGTGGTGATATCCCCTTTATCATTTTTTATTGCATCTATTTGATTCTTCTCGCTTTTCTTCTTTATTAGTCTTGCTAGCAGTCTATCAATTTTGTTCATCCTTTCAAAAAACCAGCTCCTGGATTCATTAATTTTTTGAAGGGTTTTTTGTGTCTCTATTTCCTTCAGTTCTGCTCTGATTTTAGTTATTTCTTGCCTTCTGCTAGCTTTTGAATGTGTTTGCTCTTGCTTTTCTAGTTCTTTTAATTGTGAAGTTAGGGTGTCAATTTTGGATCTTTCCTCCTTTCTCTTGTGGGCATTTAGTGCTATAAATTTCCCTCTACACACTGCATTGAATGTGTCCCAGAGATCCTGGTATGATGTGTCTTTGTTCTCGGTGGTTTCAAAGAACATCTTTATTTCTGCCTTCATTTCATTATGTACCCAGTAGTCATTCAGGAGCAGGTTGTTCAGTTTCCATGCAGTTGAGCGGTTTTGAGTGAGATTCTTAATCCTGAGTTCTATTTTGATTGCATGTGGTCTGAGAGATAGTTTGTTATAATTTCTGTTCTTTTACATTTGCTGAGGAGAGCTTTACTTCCAAGTATGTGGTCAATTTTGGAATAGGTGTGGTGTGGTGCTGAAAAAAATGTATATTCTGTTGATTTGGGGTGGAGAGTTCTGTAGATATCTATTAGGTCTGCTTGGTGCAGAGCTGAGTTCAATTCCTGGGTATCCTTGTTGACTTTCTGTCTCGTTGATCTGTCTAATGTTGACAGTGGGGTGTTAAAGTCTCCCATTATTAATATGTGGGAGTCTAAGTCTCTTTGTAGGTCACTCAGGACTTGCTTTATGAATCTGGGTGCTCTTGTATTGGGTGCATATATATTTAGGATAGTTAGCTCTTCTTGTTGAATTGATCCCTTTACCATTATGTAATGGCCTTCTTTGTCTCTTTTGATCTTTGTTGGTTTAAAGTCTGTTTTATCAGAGACTAGGATTGCAACCCCTGCCTTTTTTTGTTTTCCATTGGCTTGGTAGATCTTCCTCCATCCTTTTATTTTGAGCCTATGTGTGTCTCTGCCCGTGAGATGGGTTTCCTGAATACAGCACACTGATGGATCTTGACTCTTTATCCAATTTGCCAGTCTGTGTCTTTTAATTGGAGCATTTAGCCCATTTACATTTAAAGTTAATATTGTTATGTGTGAATTTGATCCTGACAGGATCAATGACATTATGATGTTAGCTGATTATTTTGCTCGTTAGTTGATGCAGTTTCTTCCTAGTCTCGATGGTCTTTACATTTTGGCATGTTTTTGCAGTGGGTGTTACCGGTTGTTCCTTTCCATGTTTAGCACTTCCTTCAGGAGCTCTTTTAGGGCAGGCCTGGTGGTGACAAAATCTCTCAGCTTTGCTTGTCTGTAAAGTATTTTATTTCTCCTTCACTTATGAAGCTTAGTTTGGCTGGATATGAAATTCTGGGTTGAAAATTCTTTTCTTTAAGAATGTTGAATATTGGCCCCCACTCTCTTCTGGCTTGTAGAGTTTCTGCTGAGAGATCAGCTGTTAGTCTGATGGGCTTCCCTTTGAGGGTAACCCGACCTTTCTCTCTGGCTGCCCTTAACATTTTTTCCTTCATTTCAACTTTGGCGAATCTGACAATTATGTGTCTTGGTGTTGCTCTTCTCGAGGAGTATCTTTGTGGCGTTCTCTGTATTTCCTGAATCTGAGCGTTGGCCTGCCTTGCTAGATTAGGGAAGTTCTCCTGGATTAATATCCTGCAGAGTGTTTTCCAACTTGGTTCCATTCTCCCCATCACTTTCAGGTACACCAATGAGACGTAGATTTGGTCTTTTCACGTAGTCCCATATTTCTTGGAGGCTTTGCTCGTTTCTTTTTATTCTTTTTTCTCTAAACTTCCCTTCTTGCTTCATTTCATTCATTTCATCTTCCATTGCTGATACCCTTTCTTCCAGTTGATCGCATCAGCTCCTGAGGCTTCTGCATTCTTCACGTAGTTCTCGAGCCTTGGTTTTCAGCTCCATCAGCTCCTTTAAGCACTTCTCTGTATTGGTTATTCTAGTTATACATTCTTCTAAATTTTTTTCAAAGTTTTCAACTTCTTTGCCTTTGGTTTGAATGTCCTCCCGTAGCTCGGAGTAATTTGATCGTCTGAAGCCTTCTCAGCTCGTCAAAGTCATTCTCCATCCAGCTTTGTTCCGTTGCTGGTGAGGAACTGCGATCCTTTGGAGGAGGAGAGTCGCTCTGCTTTTTAGAGTTTCCAGTTTTTCTGCTCTGTTTTTTCCCCATCTTTGTGGTTTTATCTACTTTTGGTCTTTGATGATGGTGATGTACAGATGGGTTTTTGGTGTGGATGTCCTTTCTGTTTGTTAGTTTTCCTTCTAACAGACAGGACCCTCAGCTGCAGGTCTGTTGGAGTACCCGGCCGTGTGAGGTGTCAGTCTGCCTCTGCTGGGGGGTGCCTCCCAGTTAGGCTGCTCGGAGGTCAGGGGTCAGGGACCCACTTGAGGCAGGCTGCCCGTTCTCAGATCTCCAGCTGCGTGCTGGGAGAACCACTGCTCTCTTCAAAGCTGTCAGACAGGGACATTTAAGTCTGCAGAGGTTACTGCTGTCTTTTTGTTTGTCTGTGCCCTGCCCCCAGAGGTGGAGCCTACAGAGGCAGGCAGGTCTCCTTCAGCTGTGGTGGGCTCCACCCAGTTCGAGCTTCCGGGCTGCTTTGTTTACCTAAGCAAGCCTGGGCAATGGCGGGTGCCCCTCCCCCAGCCTCGCTGCCGCCTTGCAGTTTGATCTCAGACTACTGTGCTAGTAATCAGTGAGACTTCGTGGGCGTAGGACCCTCTGAGCCAGGTGAGGGATATAATCTTCTGTTGCGCCGTTTTTTAAGCCCCTCGGAAAAGCGCAGTATTCGGGTGGGAGTGACCCGATTTTCCAGGTGCCATCTGTCACCCCTTTCTTTGACTAGGAAAGGGTACTCCCTGACCCCTTGCACTTCCTGAGTAAGGCAATGCCTCGCCCTGCTTCACCTCGCGCACGGTGCATGCACCCACTGTCCTGCGCCCACTGTCTGGCACTCCCTAGTGAGATGAACCCGGTACCTCAGATGGAAATGCAGAAATCACCCGTCTTCTGCATTGCTCACGCTGGGAGCTGTAGACTGGAGCTGTTCCTATTCGGCCATCTTGGCTCCTCCCCCACTTTTTTTTGTTTGTTTTTTTGTTTTTTGTTTTTTTTGCTATTATTAAAAAACTGGAGAAAATGACAGTTTTTCTGAAACATATAATTTGAGAAAACTAAGTTGCATATTCACATATATAGAGAAATTATGGCCCATGTGAGTTCTGTGGCATTTATATTTTTCCCTCATTTGGAACCTTAAATTCTAGAAATAATTCTTCAGCATGGTTTTACCATTTTCCCCCCTTGGAACAGGTTTCATACTTAGAATAGTGTAAGTCAATTGGAGTGTTATACCACCAACCATTTAAATTGTGTTTAGTTAATATGTTGTCCAGTTTTTTTTTAATAACAAATTATTATTTGGTCTTTTTATTTGTGCCAGTCAGTAGGGTGACAGAACATAGCAGTCCATTATAACAGATAATAATCTGTGATAAATGGCTTGGGAAAACAAGTATCAACTCTCATGGTTTCTTTCCACTATCACCCATTTCTAAATAACTTCCCAGTCAGTATGGCTTAGCCTATGCCATAGTTATGTGTTTCCCTTTATTCCTGATCCATCTTCATATGGACATTTAATCCTTGAATAAACAAAGGAACATAGTGAATGAGACCTGAAATTTTTTTAAGTGACAACAAGATTTCATACAAAATTAGTTAAAATAGGAAAAAATTAGCTTCCCTAGTATGATGAATGTGAACTGCACAGACCTGTGACTGTTGAACTTACATATGTTTTTCATTAATGTGTTCCAATTGTTTTAATGACTTTTGTGTTGATGCTTGTTCTGATTTTTTTAATGTTTCTTTATTTCAGTGTAGTTTTAAGAAGTGATATTAACGAACAAACTACTTAATTGTCACTATATTAATTTTTCAGACAAACATCATATCTGAACTAAGTAAATGGAGACTTAATTTTATTGACTGGCACCGAATGGAAATGAGAAAAGAGAAAGAAAAACATGCAGCACATTTAAAACAACTGTGTAATCAGATCAATGAATTGAAGGAGCTGCAAAAAACCTTTGAAATCTCCATTGGGAGAAAAGATGAGGTCTTCTTTTTTATATTTCTTTTTAACTGAGATTCAGTAAATGTCTTGCTAGATAATAAATTCTAAGAAATGATTATTTACCTCATACAAGATACAGGTTCTATCAGAAACTGACAGAAAAATTCATAGCCATTGGATTTATTCTTCCTATTAAACATATCAGCATAATGTCATTTTACCCTCACCATTGACTTCTGTGTTCTTGATGTTTTAAGAGTGTTTGCTTTGTAAACTACATTAAAACATCACCTTGTAACCCATAAATGTATAAAACTATTATGATTTGTCAATTTAAAAAAAATTTTTTTTTAAAAAGAGTATGTGCTAAATGTAAGTACACTAGTTTTTTTCTTTCTAATCCTTTCTTCCTAACCTTAAGCGAACGTGAAGGAACGAGCATTATCTACATTTTAAACCATCCTTTTAGGGGTCATTTTAAGGATCTCACATTCTTTTTTTAATCTCTCTCTTTTTGAAACAGGGTCTTGCTATGTTGCCCAGAGTGGAGAGCAGTGGCTATTCATAGGCATAATCATAGCTCACTACAATCTCAAACTCCGGGGCTCAAGTGAACCTCCTGCCTCAGCCCCTGCCAGGGACTGCAAGTGCATACCACCATGCTTGGGTTTAAGCATCTCAAATTCTATCTGTGATGGATGTGTTTTCATTAATGAAGGCTTTCTTCATTTTATTGATAAACACAGAAAACATCTTTTATTTCACTTTCCTTTAGCTTCTTAAGAATTCGAGGGTAAGATTCAAGTCTGTGCTAATTTTTTGCCTCCTGACACAGTACCTGGAGCAAAGCAGATGGGCAACAAATCTGTGCCCGGCTATAAATGGATGTCCGGAGGGGCATCCACTTATGGATAGGAGAGTGGTGTTGTTCAGAAGAGGAGGACTTGGGCAGACACCTCAGCTGCTTGTCTGCAGAAGTAGCACTTAAGTGTTTTCATGAATTAAAGATTATAATTTTTTTAAACATACCTTGATTTCGTATAAAATTGAACATTTTATAGAATTTTTTTTGAAACAATGGATTTTAATGTCAGTCATTTTCTTTGTTATACTCAAAATTCTGTCCCATGGTTTTTAAGTTTAATTTTTTTATTTTGAAGTATCACAAAGAATATAGATATCATATGTTCAGTTTATGAGAATGAGTAAAGTGGATAGACAGGTACTACGATTCAGCTTAACACATAGAATATTTCCAGTAGCTTAGAATGTATGCCCTTTTCCTCTCTGGAAATTATTTAAAGAGCAGTTATAAATATCTCTTGGTAAATGTGCCCAATTTACAAAATCTCTTTCTAATGTGACTATTTTTAGAAATTTATTTCAGTTATTCAGTTCTTTTATAAGAGAGAATATTATCTTAGGATTTTAAAGCCTTCTGAATTTTTTTTTAAGAACAAGAGTAATAATATCACTGAAGAAGTACATCAACATATAACATTAATAACATTAGTTATATATAATGTTATTAATATGTTATATGTATAACATTAATTATATATATTTACTTATATATATAACATTTTATGTATGACATATGTTATATATGTTATTAATAGTTATATGTATAACATGTTATTAATAGGTATATATAACATATATAATATATAGTTATATATATAACTATAACATATTAATAGTTACATATATAACTATTATTTGCTTTTATAGGTTTGTTTAATCCAGAAAATCATTGGACAGTCGTTGAGGAACTTCTATATCCAAGATAGTAGTAGGGACCAGAAAGATATTTAAATATCTAAATATTCTGGCCCCTGCCCTCAAATCTAGTGAATAAAGACATGGTGTATATAGGAGAACTTTCAAATGTATAATTGTTTTACCTGAATTGAATGTCAGTAGCTAATTTGCATATACATAAACTTTTTATTGGTGATTACCATATACACATAATGAAGACTTCCTTCTTCTTTTGTTCCCTTTCATTAGTTGATATCTAGTATATTCATGTGAGAAAGTTTTACCATCTTTTTAAAGATAATAATGAGGTTAACTGAATGAATATAGTAGTGATCCATACCTATCCTCTCTAGCATTTTTTGATATATGAGAAAATCACTTTACCAATTGCTGTTATTTTAATATCACAATAATTGGGTTAATTGCTGTTTACAGGTGATTTCTAGCTTGTCTCATGCCATAGGCAAGCAAAAGGAAAAGATAGAGTTGATGAGAACATTCTTCCACTGGCGAATCGGCCATGTCAGAGCCAGACAGGATGTAAGTGTCAAAGCAGAAGACAGCTGATGGATGTTAGACTTCTGAATTCAGAAGTGCTCAGGATCACTTATTATAGTTGTTTTCTAATAAGTCAAAATGAATTTGTGATTTAATGTTCCTCTTATTTCAAAGGAATTTGATTTTGATGTAGTTTGGAAAAAATACAGTTTAGATCTTATTGACATATAATATATATATATTACAATAGATACATCATTTCCTGCTTCATAGTAGGTTAATAAGGATTGTTCCTAAATTGTAAAGGCCCTGGTAATAGAACCCCCTCAGATGTGGTTATTGGAGAAAGAAGTTATGTTTAACATATCAAATGCTTCCTATATTGTTTCTACTTTTAAAATGCCTGAATACAACTTATTCATAAAGAGGCTTTACTATATTTATACATTAAATCACAGTATAAATGTTTGTTATGTAGACTTGCCTTAGAGTGAGAGTCAGAGAAAGCCATACCTGTACAGCTTTTTAAAAGTTATCCTTAGCTTGTAGTATATCATTTAAACTTGAACATCTTTTATTTTAAGTAAGAGCTGAGTTGGTATATCAGTAAATAGTGAACTGAAAGAGAATACTAAATTGTTGTATCAAAAGTGGAAAAGTATGAGTATATCCCACAACAAGACATAGTTTAGAGACACATGAATATAGGAGATGAATATATATATATATGCTTTCCATGTATATTCATGTGAGCTATGGAATAATCTCTGTGTATTTAGTTTCCAAGAGATTAGTATTTAAGGAAAAAGCTAGTACAGGTTGAGTATCCCTTATCCAAAATGTTTGGCACCAGGAGAATTTTGGATTTTAGATTATGTTTCATATCACACCTTATGCACAAAATTCATTTATGTTTCATATTTCACCTTATACATATAGCCTAAGGTAATTGTATACAATATTTTTAATAATTTTATGCATGAAACAAAGTTTGTGTTAAGTACTTCTGTGTGGAATTTTTCACTTGTGGTGTCATGCTGACACTCAAAAAGTTTCAGATTTTTGGATTAGAGATGCTCAACCTACTTTATCCTGGAATAAGATTTCTCCTTTAAGAATACTTTCTGGATTTTTCATTTTTTTAATTAATCCCAGTAGATTAAATCCACATTAAGTAAGCTGGTTAAAATGAATATTTATACTCTACTTTGAAACTTGTCAAGTGAAATAATGAGAATACATATTTATTTTTAAATGTTAGCCAGAATAGTTGAGGCTACTGTCACTTTTGGATAGTTTTTCAAACTGAAGAAATTGAGAATTGGAACTACTTCTTCAAAAGAATTTAAATTCATTGATAAAAGAAAAATAGCATAAGTTTTTATTTGGATTGGCACCATATATGATGGCAGGGTTTATAAATTAAATCTTGCTTGTGGTGGCCATCAAACTGAAGAGAAAGCAGTGTCATCTGAAGCCACAGCCACCACCATTTCCTGCCTTCTAGCCACTCTGTTATTCTCCTGGTCCTGCTAAATTCATAACTAAGATGGCAAGTGGTGATTTGCTCATTTTCTTTCATTTGGTTGTATTCTTTTTCTCTAACTTGATTAGTTGCATAAAGCAATGATGTAATGGATAAGAGCTCAGTCTCTGGAGTCAGGCAAGTCTGGCTTTACTCATCTACTTATGTGAACTACGTAGCTTGCTTAACCTCTCTAAGCCTGTTCTCCTATATGCAAGATGAGAATAATATGATTACATAGAATTAAATAATGTGTATATGTACACTTACCACCATGTTATGTTTATTATTACTACCAATATATTTATCAATCAACTGTGTTTTTGAAGTTATATTTTACTTTTATTTAGGTTTATGAAGGTAAACTAGCTGACCAGTACTACCAGAGAACTTTACTGAAGAAAGTCTGGAAAGTCTGGCGTTCCGTAGTGCAAAAGCAGTGGAAAGATGTGGTAGAAAGAGCTTGTCAAGCAAGAGCTGAAGAAGTTTGTATCCAGATTTCCAATGATTATGAAGCCAAAGTTGCTATGGTAAGCATCTTTTTCTGGTTTTCACTTTCTTCTAATACAATAAAAAGATAGATAGACTCACTATTAATTAATAGACTTCTTCTTTTGGTCTTTAATCAAGAATGCAGACAAAAAAATGAAAACGTTTATTCTTGTGTTAATTTAATGTTTATTGTATATTCTTACATGGTTGATATAAGGAGTTGTATAGAAATTGAAATTATTAGTTGGGCGCGGTGCCTCACTCCTGTAGACCCAGCACTTTGGGAGGCCGAGGCGGGCAGATCACCTGAGTCAGGAGTTTGAGACCAGCCTGGTCAACATGGTGAAACCCCGTCTCTACTAAAAAAATTAGCTGGGTATGGTGGCACATGCCTATAATACCCGCTACTCGGGAGGCTGAGGCAGGATAATCTTTTGAACCTGGGAGGCAGAAGTTGCAGTGAGCTATATCACACTGTTGCACTCCAACCTAGGCAACAAGAGCAGAAATCCATCTCAAAAAAGAAAAAAAGAAATTGAAATTATTTTTTCCCATTGACTTTTAATAATAAAATTAACATTGTTTTCATGGGAAAACATTTGGAATTGAAATGAAATAAAATCCATTCTAAAGAATGCAATAGGCCTCTTGAAGTTAAATATTAAAATGAAAAAATAACTCATTACAGCATTAAATTGTTAAGATTAAAAATAAATCCATAATACAAATAATTTTCTGCAGTTCACTACGACATGCAAAAAATGCAGTCCCCTGAGGTTTGGCCTATGGGAAAGTGTGTTGTACCTAGGGTCACTCTGCACTTCAAATACTGAAGGTAACATTTACATTATAAAAATTCTGTTAATATTGCAGGCATGTAGTTTATTTTATTTTTTTCTGAAAGGGCTGTCTGTGGCTCTTAATGTATTTTGTTTAACATCCTACATAAAAGTTTTACAGTAAAAAATGGTGTATCTTTTTGTGAAATGAAAATACATCAGCAATATTCAATGGGACTGGATAAAATTCCCCTTGTTTGAACCTTGATTTTAAGGTTAGGAATGAAAGCATTTTGTTGATGGAGATAATAGAGGTAAGAGGTACCTTTTAAAATAAATTGCACATAGCAGAAGAGGTAAGTGACAAACTTTTTAATATTTCACATGAGAATAATCTCAAAGTATATATCTATTTTTTTGACAGTATTCTTCTTTGTATCTCAAATTGTTTTGCTTTTTAAACATTCTTATTTTAGTTATCTGGAGCTTTGGAAAATGCAAAAGCTGAGATTCAAAGAATGCAACATGAAAAAGAGCACTTTGAAGATTCCATGAAAAAAGCTTTCATGAGGGGTGTATGTGCATTAAATCTTGAAGCCATGACTATATTTCAAAACAGAAATGATGCAGGTTAGTATTTCATTAAAGTTTCTCTGCCTAATTTCAAAAAAAGATTTGAGGAGATTTTGGTGATTGGTATGGTCTACAGTACAAATAATCTGCAGTAGGTATGTTTCATCCAGGTGCTGCTATTCTTAATTCTATGGTGTCATATCCAGACTTAAATCTGCCATGAAAATGAGCTCAGTCATGGTTACTTATGGTATCTTAGATCTGATCAAGTACACTGTCACTCCTAAGTATTTAAGCTAAATGTTGAAAATAATATTTTAATGTATAGCATTATTTTAAATCTCTTTTAACTAAGAATTTTAATGCCTTTTTAAGTACAAAACTTCTAATTTTGTCTTTTCTTAAGTAGCCAAATATTTTGGACTATTTTGGTAAGTATTTGTTATCTAGTCATGGTTTCTCATTTTAGAAATTCCTAATCTTCCTGTTTATGAAAGGCCTCAACTAAGCTCATTGCAGCAAACATAAATATAGACCTATCTATAGAAGTAATTTTATTTTTTTTAAAAATCCACATATTGTCTGACATAAGAGTGGTTTGTGTAGTAGTTTTGTCAGCATGGCGTAGAAAAGCCCATAACTAGAATCCTTTGCCACCAATTTACCCAGGGGCCTGTTTTCCTCATTCGGCCTTAGATTTCTTCTCTGAGCGAAGGAGATAATATAAACCTTCCTTACCTGCTTCCTAGGGGCTTCTTGTGGGATGCAGTAAAACATATCTGAAAACACTTTAAAAGACAAAATGCACTTTAACGTGTAAGATGATAGTCATGATGTAATTATTAATAGTTTTAATTCAAGTCAACGTCTCAAGATTTTGTAAATGATTAACATGATTTCAATCCAATGAATAACTTCTCTGTGCTTGTGATGCCCTTATTTTAAAACATCAACAAACATTTATTATTTAAAGCATGCATATTGTGGATAGGAGTAAGTTTAGGCAAATTGCTTTCTATCTGAAGTGGTTGTGGTTTGTGGGCCATATTTAATTTAGAAACTGAGAATCATGGAATCTCAAGGCTGAATAGTTTATTTTGGTAATACCTAGGTGAGTACTTGATTTTTCCAATAAATGGTCTTTTATTTGAGTATCAGGGTTGAAAACAAACTCACCACCTTCAATGATAGAATAGTCTGTTTCAGTTCTAAGTATCAGCAAGTTGTGTGTCACAAATTGAGAAATTTAATTGTTTACTTGGGAGAAATATGAGTTTCACAAGTAAAGTGACAAATTCCTATTAGAACTTCTTACATTAAATTACAAGAAACCTGTTTCTTATAACCTACTTAAAAAGATTTTGAATTGACTTAGGAGTATTTCCCACCTTAATACATTTACCATCTTAAAATGTAAATTGAAATGCAACTGTGTCTCCTAAAGGCCAATATCCATAAGAGGATTTGAAGAAAATGTCTTCTGCTAATTACACAACATGATTTCTTTTGCTCCTGTTACTTTTGAAACAATCGATGAGAAAGATGACAAGAATGGTAAAGCATGCATTAGCAATAATGTTGGTAGAGCTACCAAAGGCAAAAAAGTTCAGTATAATTCAGTGGATCTGCTTTGTGATATTTAGGTTTTATGACATTTTAATGACACCTATTTTTTTTAGTTCTCATAAGAAAAAAAAATTACTTTTGGCCCCCTTCTATTAAAACAACTGTTTTTTATAGGCCAGGCGCGGTCGCTCACACCTGTAATCCCAGCACTTTGGGAGGCCGAGGTGAGTGGATCACGAGGTCAGGAGATCGAGACGATCCTGGCTAACATGGTGAAATCCCGTCTCTACTAAAAATACAAAAAATTAGCCGGGCGTGGTGGCAGGCACCTGTAGTCCCAGCTACTCAGGAGGCTGAGGCAGAAGAATGGCGTGAACCCAGGAGGCAGAGGTTGCAGTGAGCTGAGATCATGCCACTGCACTTCAGCCTGGGCGACAGAGCGAGACTATCTCACAAAAAAAAAAATTGTTTTTTATAATGCAGTTTTTAATAATGTAAAGTTCCTAATGCATCTGTCTTGTTAGAGCAAAATAAATATTTGGTTTTTTATTTGTACCGATTCTTTGCTGTCTGTAATTTGCAGTACCTCTCATGTTGTGCAGTATCTTAAATCTTACAAATTAGAGGTTTTTATGAAGAAGTTAGAACATGACAAAAAGTCCTTAAAATTATATCTGCCAATTTTACTGTGCCAATTAGGCACAGTAAAAAAAAATACTTGACAAGTGAAAAATTTATTCCAGCTAAAATGAGATTAATTATTAAACTTAAGAGTTATCTGATATCAGCCTATATTAGCAAGAGTTGATCACCTGCCTCTCTTCCCTGACCTTCATACTGTTTCTACATCTCCTAATGTCTGCCACCATCTAAAGATAGACACTCAGAATCTCTACCAAAACAAGTTAAAACTCAGTGTGTGTTTTGTTTTCAAATTAAAAGTATTTTATATTGAATTAGTCCCTTTCATCAGAGGAGTTCAAAGGATCTAGGTAGGCACTGTAATCATTGTTAAACTTCTTAAATAAGCTAACTAACTAATACTCTGCAAATTTTCTATACAGATAGTCTAAGGAAAGGACTTATGCAGAGGCCCAAATTTCTGGAGGGAAAGAGAACTACATAGAAAACCATTTAAACATACAACTTACATAATGCCCTCTGTTCAGATGTTCTGAAACAGCTCATTGACTGAATTTCTAAACCCTCACCACACTGTTTGATACCACACAGATACAGTCTTAAGCAGAAACTAACCAAATTATAATACTGGAGCGAAAACATCTAAAATTGGAAGAAACCCTTTGTACTAGCCCTGGAATTTGACATTATTGGCTCCTTAGATCAAGATTAAGGTTCAGTTTTGAGGGAAGGTTAGTGATTGGGGTGTCACTACAAATCAGTTAGGTGCACAAATATGCTCTTATGATTTATATAATTTATCTGCAAGAACCCATTTCTTTTACAGTGTAAAAAGTGAAGATTTTAGTTTTATTGATTTATTTTTGTTTTCTGACGACTCAAGAACAAAAATAAATTGTTAGGATAGGCGCAATACATGAAAATGAGGGAGTATAGTGATATCAGAAAGTGGTTCTAAAGATTGATTGCAGGTCATTTTGGCCATCTATCAGGATATTTGTATGAACTAATACAAAGGAACCTAGATCTCCAGGCTCACTGTGATCATATTTTTTGTGACAGTTGTGATGGCAATATACTCTACTTAGCTAAGGTCCCAGCTGAGTACATAATTTATTTTCATCTTTTATTTAAGAACAAATGATCCATTAGCTTTCACATGTGGAAGGAAGTAGTCTGAAGTTTTTAGTGGTTAATGCTGACATTAACCAGTTAATACTGACAAACTGTATTAACTGAACATTGTATCTAATATACTGTAAACATCTAAATTTTTGTTAGGACCAAACTTTAGCCAGTATGTGTTTTCATTGTTTGGAAGATAATAGTAGTCCTAACCTGGAAGAATTTGAATGGAATTAATTTGTGATTTATAGGGATAGACTCCACAAATAATAAAAAGGAAGAGTATGGTCCTGGTGTTCAAGGAAAAGAACATTCTGCTCATTTGGATCCTTCAGCTCCTCCGATGCCCTTACCAGTTACATCACCACTGCTGCCATCCCCACCAGCCGCCGTCGGAGGAGCCAGCGCGACTGCCGTTCCCTCAGCTGCTTCGATGACTTCTACCAGGGCTGCTTCCGCATCTTCTGTTCACGTTCCTGTTTCTGCTCTTGGTGCAGGATCTGCAGCTACTGCTGCATCAGAAGAAATGGTTAGTACAGTTTATACAGGTCCCACCTTATGAAAAGGGCGGCCAGGCCCAGTGGCTCACACCTGTAATCCCAGCACTTTGGGAGGCCGAGGCAGGTGGATCACGAGGTCAGGAGATCGAGACCATCCTGGCTAACACGGTGAAACCCCGTCTCTACTAAAAATACGAAAAATTAGCCGGGTGTGGTGGCAGCCGCCTGTAGTCCCAGCTACTCAGGAGGCCAAGGCAGGAGAATGGCGTGAACCCTGTAGACAGAGCTTGCAGTGAGCCGAGATCGCGCCACTGCACTCCAGCCTGGGCAACAGAGCGAGACTCCATCTCAAAAAAAAAAAAAAAGCTTGTTTGTAAATTTAATATTTTGAACTCATAAAATATTTTCCTATGGAGAAAAAAAAAATCTGTGGTATTTAGGCAAAGTCACTGAAAATATTTAATACACAAAGTGACTAGAGCATTAAATTGTAATGAAAATACCTGAAAGTGCTGTCATAGTAGTGATAATTAAGACAAAGAACTTTTTTATATTTTTCAAAAATTATGTAGGAGCCGGGCGCGGTGGCTCACGCCTGTAATCCCAGCACTCTGGGAGGCCGAGGTGGGCGGATCACCTGAGGTCAGAAGTTCAAGACCAGCCTGGCCATGGTGAAACCCCGCCTCTACTAAAAATACAAAAAATTAGCCGAGCGTGGTGGTGTGTGCCTGTAATCCCATCTACTCGGGAGGCTGAGGCAGGAGAATTGCTTGAACCCCGGAGGCGAAGTTGCAGTGAGCCAAGATGATGCCATTGCACTCCAGCCTGGGCAACAAGAGTGAAACTCCGTCGCAAAAAAAAAAAAAAAAAAATTATGTAGGAAAAGTAGATTTAATTTGAGAAAGAGTGAAGGACAGACTATGTTTGAAGAACACTATTGGGTGTTTTCAAAGGTGTGGGAGGTTAATGTATATTTAATTTTATATTTTCTATTCAGCTAACACCTTTCCTTTTTCCTAAATGCAGATATATCACTAACACTGCTCTGTAGTAACTCCATCTTGATCGAGTTTTAATTTGTAATTTGTAATTGGAATGGAGAGGAATAGTTTTTCCTAGAATCAGTGAGCTGCTATTAGAGAAGTGCCAAGAGGATAGTGTTAAATGGGGATGGAAGGTTTGTGTGAGAACTTGCCTGAAATGAAATTGATCAAGCTGTTAATATGGTAAGAGGCCGGGCATATTGGCTCACACCTGTAATCCCAGTACTTTGAGAGGCTGAGGTGAAAGGTTTGCTTGAGGCCAGAAGTTTGAGACCAGGCTGGGCAATATAGCGAGACCTCATCTTTACAAAAAAGTAGAAAATTAGTCAGGCATGGTGCTGTGCACTTGTACTCCCAGCTACTCAGGAGGCTGAGGCAGGAGGATCGCTTGAGCCCAAGAGTTCAAGGTTACTATGAGTTATGACTGCACCACTGCACTCCAGCCTGGGCAACGAGCAAGACCCTGTCTCTAATTTTTTTTTTTTTTTTAACTAGAGTTTCAGATGAAGCACATCGTGGCTCTAACTCCTTAGCCTCCTGTTGTTAAACTTGTATTCTGCAAACCATGTTTCTCAAGTAAGGGTGGAGTACAGATGCAAGCCAAGCTTATCAGACTCACCTGTGCAGAGCTAGCAGTGATTAGTTAGTCAGTTTAAAAAAAGCCATGCGCGGCGGCTCATGCCTGTAATCCCAACACTTTGGGAGGCTGAGGAGGGTGGATCACGAGGTCAGGAGTTCAAGACCAGCCTGGCCAAGATGGTGAAATCCTGTCTCTACTAAAAATATAAAAAATTAGCCGGGCATGGTGGTGGGCACCTGTAATCCCAGCTACTTGGGAGGCTGAGGCATAGAATTGCTTGAACCAGGGAGGCAGAGGTTGCAGTGAGCTGAGATCACGCCACTGCACTTCAGCCTGGGCGACACAGCGAGACTGTCTCAAAAAAAAAAAAAAACAACACTGTTAACTTCTTTCCTGCTGTGGTGTGGATCTGGTATAAAGGCATGTATAGTTTTATAAAGCTCCTGAGATGATTCTGATTTGCTTGTCTTCCTCTTCTCCCCAACTCCTAACCACTTACATAAGAGGAAAGAAGAGGCAGAATAAGTTTTAGGTCTTAAAATTCCCTTGGCAGGCCATCAGAAGGTGCCATTGCTCTGGACGGCTGTCTGTAGCTAAAGGAGGTATTGAGACAGACAAGTGGTCACCTTTAGTATTCTAACAGGTTTGAATTTTTACCTTTCGAGAGCTACTAACTTTGGGAGAAAATACATTGAGATCAGTTATTTACCAATTATTGACACAAAGAGTTTGAAAAATATCTAGCACATGGCTAAGAGAAATTTATGTGGGGGAGCTGTGACTTAGAAATAAGACATTGGCCGAGCACAGTGGCTCACGCCTGTAATCCCAGCACTCTGGGAGGCCGAGGCAGGTGGATCACAAGGTCAGGAGATTGAGACCACGCTGGCCAATGTGGTGAAACCCTGTCTCTACAAAAATACAAAAAAATTAGCCGGGCGTGGTGGCATGCGCCTGTAATCCCAGCTACTCAGGAGGCCGAGGTGGAAGAATCACTTGAACCCGGGAGGCAGAGATTGCGGTGAGCCAAGATCATGCCATTGCACTGCAGCCTGGGTGACAGAGTGAGACTCTGTCTCAAAAAAAAAAAAAAAAGAAAGAAATAAAACACTAAAATTCAACTCTGACATATTTTCAGCTGTGTTTGTTTTCCATGATTACACATTTTGAAGTGTGATCCTGCACAGATGACCTCATTTAAACATTCACTCACTGTGTTTATGTTCTGGTTTCTCATTCATCTTGCATATGCAGTTAACACACGCGGAGCTAGATTTTTCAAAATTCTCTTCCTAAAATGTAACTTCATGGGTACATCTGCATTTATATGTAAACCTGAATATGTATGGGAAGAACTGAATGAATGAGTTTGCTTAGCACCCTTTTTATTGCTAACTTTTTGAATAATCTGGTCATCGGAGATAGTGTTGAAGTCTTTGAAACCTGAAAACCATAATATTCTGTAGACAGCCCTTCCCTGTCTGCCCTATCCCACTATATCCACTTCTTCAAAAACAGATACACACTCCATTTCAGTCACATAAGTAAGTGGCCTTTAGGGCCAGGGAGAAAAGAGAATCACAATTAAATCTATCTCTAAGTATAATCTTAGTTTTCTTCCTTCCTTATATAGTTGAAATACTCAGATTTACCTCAAATATGTGTTTTTGTTTTTAAAAGAAACTTGATAACAAAAGTAGGAATAAATCCAGTAGTTGGCTAACTTACTGTGAAACCATCATTGTTGGGAATAGGAAAAGAAGAGAGAGATTTGCAATCCTGGCTTGGTTATCTTTCTTGTCATTTTAATCACAGAGGCTTCCTATGAACATTCAAAAATTTTTTTCAGTTTTTCTTGGTATTTCCAGTAGCTAAAAGGAGATAGGTCCAGAAAGTACAGAGAATTAGCAAACAAATAACTGGAGAATGGAAGATTACCATGCTAATAAAATAATATCTTATTTTAAAATATTATTATTTTAAAAAATTATTTAAATTTAAATAAAATTATTTAAAAAATAATAATATTAAAATGATTTTCTTTAATGCAGACATCCTCAGTATGTTAAAGACAATATCAGAATTTCATGGTGGAAACCATTTTTCAAAAAAGGCTGGACAGTTATACAAGCAAGCATATTGCAGTTCATAAAGTTGAACAGTAGATGGCATTTTATTCTTTTTCTAACTTCAATTGGAATAATTGAGGGGAAATATTTTTCACTGAATTTTAAAGCTATTTGGTAAAGACCTTTAGTAAAGTTTCTCTTCTAATTTTCCTCTTCATTTGAATAGAAAGTGAAAGGGTATCATTAGGGAGTTGGTACTGCGTTCTCCATTTTATAAATGAAGAAATTGAGGCTTAGAGAGTATGCAACTTGCCTAAGGACACGATTAGTAACTGATTTGGAATTCAGACTTTGAAAATCTGATTTAGACCTCTTACTCTTAACCAATGATCTGTACTGTCTCTCTGTCAAATATTAAGCTACAAATACTGTTTTTAATGTCATTTCATTTTTTTTCTTACTCCTTTCAATTTTGTTGCTTATGTTGATGTGGCTTAAAATGCTAGAATTTTTATTTTTATAGCATTTTTTAAAGTCAGCTAAGCTGATAAATTTAATGAACTCCAACATGATTGGTACCAGTAAGTGGTCATTTAATTTGCAGAGAATGATACATACCTAATGCATTATTTTATCCTAAAACATAAATATGTATTAATTTGCTGGTTTTAAATGTGGAGCCAAACTGAATGTGGGGTCAAAGATTGTAATTGTCATCTTTTTAATATAAACCACACCCAATATATTTTCTATGATCTCCAATTTCAGTTTCTGTAAAGCATGAACCTAACAAAACTTTCCAAACAATCTGATTAGAGAATCCTTCTAGGTTTTTCTTTCCTCCCCCTGATTAGTAGCAACTTTTTTCTAATAATTTATCTTTATGAATTATTTCTAAATTGTCCTTATGCATTTTCAACTTTTTCATCAATTTATACAATTTTTAATACATTAAATAAACATTAACAAGTACAAGTGACAAACCATCTGAAAACAAGCAGCCGACAGTAAACATGCGAGCCATTTAAGACAACTTCTATTTAATTCAATGAGCGTATAGAGATTTCTTTTAGAAGTCTTTTAGAAGTCATTTTATTTACAGGAGTATATATTTTCAAATTATTGAAGGCATTCTAAAGCAATTCTGAGCTGGGTTGAATGAAGCTTATCATCTATGAGCATTTTTCCTGCTACTCTAATTTTCTTCAGTCCAGACTTCTCTAGTTTTTCATTCACACCTGAAGCTCCAGGTGAGAATCATGGCTACTGAGAGGACACCCCTCAAGCGTGATTGGGCAGGAGGAAAGTTACAAACTCAATTGTACTTATTTCCACATTTTGGCAAAGAATATTCCTGCCAGCAATTAGTTTTCTATTTTGAAATAGCATTTAAGCATCTTCAGGAGTTTGTAAAATCTTTTTTGTCCCTTATTGTAATAAGTAATAGGACAAAGTTTCCCTCAGGCCAGAAGCATGAATTTAGTCCACAAAAACATATTTGTAAATATTTTTAAATCTGAGATTTAGTTTTTCAATTTCATAAGATCCATAGAAGTTTATGGTTTAAAAAGCCAAATCATTTTTACAAGGACTATAGTGAGAAACAGTCTTCTAAATTCCTCTCCCTAACTCTGTTAGCTGTTTCTTCTGTTTCCATTTTTTCCTAAATAGTATGTTTATATCATTATTTCTACATTTATTAATTTCAAACATTATCTGTTAACTTATTACAGATAAGAGGACTTGGCCTCCTGATGCCACCTTATTCCTTCTCTCTCTCTTCACTTTCCTTATCCTCCCTGTATGTTATAGATATTCCCATTTCAGATTAAATCATTTATGATTACTAATATAGCTAAGCCATGAATGTGTACTATGACTACATTTCCTTTCTGGTATAATGTTTTGTTCTTAGAATTAATTGCTTCATTTTTATCTTCGGTTTTCTATCCAACTATAGTGAATTATTTCCAAACTCTCCAAGGATTACAAAACCCCACTGAATGCTGTTTTCCATAGGGTCTTCCAAAAACATCAATACTCTGTCATTTTAATTTTCCCAGAGACATCTCTCCTGAAGCCCACTCTCTTCCCATTTCAGTATACAGCTGTGACTGTGTGTAGCTAGATGCAGCTATATGGAGAATCACAGATGAACTATAATAATCGGGAAAAGATTGATACTTAATAAATGCCTTTGGAAAAACTGTTTAGAGAAAAAATGAATTTAGATTAATACTTCACACTGGAATTTCAAATGTTTTAATAAGCTAAGCCAAAATAAGTAAATGTTATAAGAATATAACTACCTCAGCTGTCCAAAGCTGGTTTTGGTTTCATCATGGAAGCAAGAGGAAATTAATGACAGGATTAACCACAACTTAAAAAAATGGATGTGCATTGAAAATTAAGACAAATACATGAAATGGGGAAATCGTTTACACTCTGAGATAAGTATCTATAATTATTAAATGAGTTTAGTACTCGTCAGGAACTATTAAATTTAAATATTAATATCCTTTCAATTCTTAGCAAATAAGATGAATAGTTGACAAAATGGAATACAAATATGAAACATTAATAAAGAACCACAACTTGAATAGTAGATTTCACCTCAGACTTAAACAGGCGGCTGTGTAATTGATTGACAGTGGAAAAATAGTCCACTTACGTGTTATTCCTGCTGTAAATATTTTTCTGGAGTATTATCCAGCGATAAGCAGCAAAAGCTATAAAAGCTGATAATACTTTTTGATATGATCGTTCCATTGTTTGCAATATATTTTTATTATACAGAAGTAACTCTCAAAAGAGGATTTTTCTTTTGCAAAATGTGCTAAATGTAATAGAAAAAGAAAGACAAAGTAGTATGTTGGTATAAAAACCATCTCATTAAGAACTATAGCAGGTCTCTGTATTACCTCGTAAAAAAAAGTATATTAATAAAATGAGAAGGAAAAAAGGCAGAACACAGAAGCATATGTGTAATGATAATATTAATTATGCTTAAGGATCAAAGAGTCCATAAAACAGATTAATGGTTTCCAGAGGTTAAGGATGGTTGGGGAAGGAACAGAGAGATGGATATGACTGTCAAGGGTGGCACGAGGGAGATCTTCGTGGTGATGAGTATTCTGTATCTTGATTGAGTGATAGTTAACAGGAACTTAGGTGATAAAATGACAGAGATCTATACACAGGCATTATCTCATGGTGAGCTTCCTGGTTTTGACTTTGTTATATTCTAATTATGTCAGATGTAACCATGGCAGGAAACTGGGTGAAGAGCACACAGTACTTTTCAATATGATCTCTGTGTCTTTCTATAAATCTATCATTTAAAAAAAAAAAGTTGGTTTTTTAAGTTTCTAAAATCTTATAAAATCGTTGGCATACTCAGGTTAAAGGGATATTTTGGGGTGTTCAGTTTTGTTTTGCTTTTCGTCTTGTGATTTTGTTTTTTCCATGTTAAAGTTGGTTGAACATACAGTTATTTTAAGTGCCTGTGTATTCTTCATAATTTATGGAATCAATAGATTTTGCTGTGGATTTTCTGCCACCTTGTTACTTCTTTTATTTTTTTTTCTTCTTAGTATGTGCCAAGAGTTGTAACCTCTGCACAACAGAAAGCAGGAAGAACTATTACAGCCCGGATCACAGGAAGATGTGATTTTGCTTCAAAAAATAGAATTAGCAGCAGTTTAGCTATAATGGGAGTTTCTCCTCCCATGAGCTCAGTTGTTGTGGAAAAACATCATCCAGTCACAGTGGTGAGTCCACATTTGATGACCTTTTGTCAAAAAGTCTTTTTCCTGAGAGTTCATAGACTAGTAAACACTTACATAACATGTTGAGAAGATAAAAATTTATGATGACTGGTACTTGTTCTGCCTTTTCCTGTTACAGTTTTTTTTTTTTTTTTAATATATATACTTGTTTTTCTCAAACCTGCTATAAATCTACGTTTCTGCTGTTGGGAAATTAATTTCAGAAACATCGTTTCTTCCAAACTGTAAAAATTATAAAATACTAAAAGTAATCCAGTGTGTTTGTGGTCAAAAGAGTAAAATATGTAAATGCTTTATTATCAGTTTAAAAAGAGACAAAAATTGTTCACTCACTAGCTGCTCATGTAGCAGATATTTGATTACAAGAAAACTCCCCTACATTTATAGTTTTTAATTTTTGGTCCTTTTTTAAAAAAAGTCTTCCCCTTTTTTCAGTACAATTGTCAGCATGTTTTTAGTTTAACAAAATTCAACTTGCAGTAAATGCATGTGATATAAAGAAGGTGCATTGAATTTGAAGCAAAAATTTTAAAACCCGAGTTAGTGCTTCAGCTTTGCTACTTGTTGGCTTTGTGATATATACAAATCAAGTAAAATATTTGAGCCTCCACTTTCTCTTCTGTAAAATGGGGTTAATAAAAATAGTTAGCTCCTTGGGTTATTGTTAGGATTCAAGATTAAATGAGATAATGTGAAAATTAAACGAGATGTATTAAGGCATTTTATAAACTATAAAACCATAAGCAAATTTAACTTACTGAAAGTTACTAGAAAAAGATACATGAGATATCTCTGAATTATTTCCTACAAATGTGTACGAATCAACAATTATCTCAAAAAGTATAATAAGAGTGATAAGAACATCCCTAAAGAAAAACAAGGATTTATTTATTTATTTATTTATTTATTTTTTATTTATTTTTTTTTTTGAGACAGAGTTTCTCTCTTGTCTCCCAGGCTAGATAGAGTGCAATGGCGCAATGTTGGCGCACTGCAATCTCCGCCCCCTGGGTTCAAACAATTCTCCTGCCTCAGCCTCCCGAGTAGCTGGGATTACAGGCACCCGCCACCACCCCCAGCTGATTTCAGGGACTGATTTTAAAAGAGAATGCCCTCTATAAATTCTCAGCATCGGACAACGTTCCTGTGTACTTTCTAAGTATTAGCAAAAAAAAAGTATATGGAATGATTTTAAATCCTTTTTTCCCGAGTACTAGCTGGGCACTAGATGATTAAATGAAGACAAGCTGGATTGATTTGAACTGAACTTCAGGTGAAGTGGGACCTTAGCGAGGTGGAAGGCTGGAGATAGAAGCACCAAGTCCAGATAGAGACATGGAGATGACAGAGGATTTATTTTAGAATTATCTTAGGTTTCATGTTTCATAAGTTGGACAGACTCTGAAAGTTCGTAGAAGACTTTTCTATATATTTTTGAATATGGAAGACAAGTTATCAAAAATGAGAAGAAATAAACCCACTTCTGTTTTTTCAGATGTAGAAAATGTATAGAGATGGTGAGAGACTGTCCATTTGTGAGGTAAAGAAGGTGTAAAGAGAGCACATGTGTGTTTATTTTTTATTAGACAAGCTTTTGTTTTGTAGTAATGATGGGAATTCATATTTTACAGAAGAAAAATCAAAGTACTAAACATTTAGAACCCTTGTTTCTGATACTTATCTCCCATGCTGCCCTCCCTTTATTCAGTATGTGCATTTCTTACCCACTAACTGTGTATGAACCAGATAGCCATCAGCTGCCTGGATTATGTGACAGACACAGTGGCAGTCATTTGTACTGTATTTCTTTTCACCCTGGGAATCAAGATCTAAATCTACCAGAAATAGTTATTACTAAAAAACCAAGGATGCGATTTGTGACACTGTAGCCTCATCTGCTGGGTAACTGCATGCTTCTAGGGCCACTTCATTCTCTGTCATATTTTGTGTATCATAATTTCAGTGGCTACTTTATTTCTACAGTTCCTCTTGCCCATCCTCCTCAAGGAGAAAGCCTTTTTGGCAGGCTCAGGTTAGTGGCTGGCAACTAATTAGGTGACTGGCAACTAAAATTTCTTATCTGTTGCAAGAGTATCTCCTATTTATAATGGTTATCCAGTTGTTTATGTACAAATAAACGTTTTTATAAGATACTTTAAGAAAAGAAGTTATTTTTCTTTAAAAAGGAGTTCTGTTCTTTTTAAAATGGAATCTGACAGGATCTTTTGTTTTTAAGAAGTTTCATTCTTTTTTTAAGCAAAAACTACAGCTTGGAGTTTTTTAAATACATAGTGAATGTTTTGACCAAATACATGTAATTTTACTTAAACTATTTTAACAATGACTTTTCTAAGTGGAAGACCCTAATAGAAATTGACATGTCCTAGTCAGTGATATGGACTGAGAACTTGATAACAAATCCCACTGCTGGCTACTAAGAAGCTTTATCGGGTTTAATAGGGAAAAGCCTTGTACTGATACATATTGTTCATGTTTACATGTAAATGTGTACTTGTATACATAGTGTGTACTTACATGCATTACATGCATATTATGTGTGTCAAGTAAGTCACGTGTGTCCTGACTTTAATGACTCAGTGCTCATGTCTGAGGTGTTCCTTTGAGCTCTGAGGTGATGTGCATAAAAGTTTTAGTCTGCTCCCAGGTGAACCAGGTTAAATATGAGGGCTCTGGTTTAAAGCAAGGACCAGACTGCATCCTGAGGGCTTCCGTGTGCCCCTGGGATTGTGAGATAATCACATCCACATACTAACAGTCAAGTAGAGAGAAGGAAGTTGGATGGAATGAGGGGAGGACTCAGGGCTGACCCCTCTTCCAGACACCACAGAGTTTCTCTCTGTATACAAAGCCTCTGTACACATTACAAGATTCCACTTGGCCCTGTTGGAGGAATGGCTGCCGTGGCTTTCTTAATGAGCCTTGTGGATATAGCTCTGATATTACACTGTGGGTGTTGAACATGTCAGTCAGACTGGGTAGGGGTTCCTTACAGACAAAGGCCTCATCTAATTAACAGCTGCTTCACTCCACTCATTGCTTCTTTCTACTGGATCTTAACAAATGTTTATTGGGTTAAATTATAGATGATAGATGATGAAATGATACATAGTATACATAATCTTGGGATATTATTAAAGCAGAATTTTGTCTTTTCAGCAAACCATTCCTCAAGCAACTGCAGCAAAATATCCCCGGACCATTCATCCTGAAAGTAGTACCTCAGCTTCCAGATCACTTGGAACCAGATCAGCTCACACCCAGTCTCTCACAAGTGTTCATTCCATAAAAGTGGTTGACTAAAGTGAATATGTCCATAGTGGGGTCTTTTAATCCCTCTGGTCTTACCAAGGGTTAGAAGTCTTTTGGTTTTAACTTTTCCATATTGTTAGAACATCATGGAGACATCATGTTCATCTGTTCAAAATTACAAGAGGCTTTTTCAAGCTCTACCATGCTTTGTAACTATATGTAGAAATTATTTTAATGTTATTTTTTATTTAAGCAATTAAGTAAAACTTTTTTAAATTAAAAAAGAAACTGGACTTTATTTCTTTAATATGTTTAGCCTGTTGCTGATTACAGCATCAAAATATATAAATTTATTTTCACTATTTATAAAACACTAAATCATTTCCAATATTACACAGCTGTAATTCACTCAAAGTGTTGAGAGGGAACCTTACTAAAAACAAAGTATTAGAACTAGTGGAAACTAGGATATTTTTATTTTTAATTTAAAAAAGACCAAGTGTAATAATGATTTTTTTTTTTTTTTTTTTTGAGACAGAGTCTCGCTCTGTCACCCAGGTTGGAATGCAATGGTGTGACCTCGGCTCACTGCCTCCTCCTCCCATGTTCAAGCAATTCTCCTGCCCCAGCCTCCCGAGTATCTGGGATTACAAGTGCCAGCCACCATGCCCGGCTAATTTTTGTATCTTTTTTTAGTAGAGACAAGGTTTCATCATGTTGGCCAGGCTGGTCCCGAATTCCTGACCTCAAGTGATCCGCCCGCCTGAGCCTCCCAAAGTGCTGGGATTACAGGCATGAGCCACCACGCGCGGCCCCGTTTTTTGTGGCTTTAACATGTTAGTCTTCATTTTTCCAGGACTCTAACAACAGTTGAAAATAGACGGAAACGGCAACACCTATGAATCATTTTTTAATGCCAAAAGGGAAAACATTTGTAATACTAGCACTAGAGTTACAGAAGTATCAGAAATTTCCTGTTAGAATGAGCCTGTTTCTGGTGTTCTTTCTCGCCTTATTATTTGAAACTCTGCAGCACTGAACCTACCTTGTTCTCCCCGAACATCTAAACACTGTTCTGTGGTGGCGTAGCCCTGAGCAACTCAGCAAACCTAGGCCTGGGCAGAAATTTTTCAATGGCTGGCCAATACAAAGAAACCATCTGGGCAGAACTGATTTAGGTGAACAAGACTTGGCTTCTAATGGTTTCATTGCTGACTGATTGTGTGGGCCAGACAATTAAATGAATCTCTGGATCCTCATCTGTGAAATAAGAATAAAATCTACCTACTATTTCACAGTACTTATACATAAAAATGAACAGGTTCTAAAGAGTTTGTCCAGGACCTCAATTTCCATCTCTTTTAACAGAGTGGATGGAGTTAATCATCTGAAGCCTCTTCTAATTTGAATATAAGTTCTCTGCACTAATTTTTATTATAGGAAATAGGTTTTCTTGCTGCCTCACATTGTTCACAGGACATCAGAGAATAAATGTGATATAGGCAAATAGAATCCTAAGGCCTTTCTGAATTACTAGGCTGTTTCTTAAAGGGTATTAGATATTTACACAACACTTGTTCTGGATTCTGGCCCAGCTACCATTGTGGTAAACAAACAGCTCCACCCCTCATGGTCTTCAGCAAGCTTTTCATGAACACAAACCACAAGCACCTCATCTCGTGCCCTTTCCATGTGTGTGCTCTTCCCGGGCTTCCCCGTTCACTCCCAGTTGAGTCAGGATAGTGCAGGCTCCACTGGGGAGCCCACTCATGCAACCCAGAATTAATACTTGGCATTATGGTAAACAGACCAATTCTTCCTTCCTTCTCCCTGTATGAATTGTCCTGAGATGCATTAGTATATCATGTCTCTCAGAATAGAGTAGCCCAAGATTAAATAATCAGTTATGCTTGTACCAAGTGATGGCCACTTAGGTAATTCGCTTTGTTCTTGCTCTCCCTCCTCCCTAGACAACTCCCCTTTCTCCTCCGCTCCTTCCCCGGATGTACACTTCTGAAAAAGTTGTTGCACACAAACTTCGGTCTTAGACAAGCTCTACTTTTTGAGGAATCTAGACTACAACTAGGAATGGTTTTCAGTATCCAAGCCAAAACAATATGGACAAACTGAAGTGAATATTATGAATGTTGTGATTAAGAATATTATAAACATATTTTTAAGCTTTAAGCTCTAGAAATGTATGTTGTCTAAAGCACCAAGCAATTAGTGTTGGCCTAAGTTAATGTAAATTCAACAGTTTAACACTTGACACAGTTATAGTATATATTCATATTTGTTTATTTTTGCATAAAGAGGTTACCCCAATCTGGTGGGGAGCAGTAATAGAGAAAGAGAGGTCAGTGGAAACTGGCCATACTGAAGAACAGATGGGACAATACTTCTTCTCAATATGTTTTTGAAAAACGTTTTGGAATCATGTGAATCTATTACCTGTTTTAAACATTCATAAGATTAAGTGGGCCATTTATAATCAGTATGAGACAAAGACATAAAACTATAAATTCATGATAGAATAACTGGATTGAAATTGCTTATGGTTTTAGTATGTGCCTTGTAAATTTAGAGTCAGAATCTGAGAATGGAGAGTCTTAAATTCCAATGAATAGGTGCACATAAACTGACACTCAATTTTACATTTATTTCATAACTCTTAGATTACAAAAATAATGCATGTTCTTTGTGAAAAAAAGAATGGAATGTACCCAAAAGTACAAAGAAAATAATCATCTGTAATTACATCACCAAGAGATTTAAAAAAAAAAAAAAATGGTGTACATACTTCTGGTCTTTCCTAAGTAATATATTACACAAAATGTGTGATTTAAAGTCAACAATGACTATAAATTCCAAACCCAGTTTCTCTTACTGAAAGAGAAATAGCAGTTGATTTCCGTACTATGGGCGTGAGGCTACACAGGCATTTTCCCTTCATCTTCATTCCAACCCTATGGATTAAATAGACATCTCTCCCAGTTTATAGAGAAGGAAACTGAAGATCTAAGAACGTAAACAACATTAACATGCCCAAAGGTTCACATCTAATAAGTGGCAAAACCAAGTTCAAAACCATATTTGTCTATTATAAAAACCCTTGTTTTTTTACTGTACCATGATGCTGCTCCCATGAGTTTTTTAAAAAAACATGACATACAAAACCGTCCTAGATTATCTTATTACATGGATTACATCAAATGATTGATAGAAATGGGAAAATCACATACAACTTGCCCTCAGCAAAAAAAACTATATTTGACTTTTTAGTGGTTGAAAAGTATCATGGTATTACTCTTCTTTCATCTGTTAGAGTTCCCTGTCACCACCATCATCATAGTTGAAAATCAGTGCTACTGCTAGAAGAAATTTATGGCATTAAAAGAACTGAATGCTGAGTGGAAAATCATGTAAATACAATTTCTTTAGGCATTTATGAAACTACACATTTCTTGGAGTTTGAGTCAGTTTTGCTTTTGAAATGACGAGTCTTTTCTGGAAAAAATAAGATAACATTTATGAATACCTAAAATTTTTAAAGCACTGATTGTCTACCAGGCACTATTATTCATTAAATCCCACAACAGCCCTTTGAAGTAAACATTTTTATTTTCTTTCCTAGTTAATAAATGAGAAGGTTGTCACAGGAAGGTCATAGAACTTGCTCGAGGTTTACAACCAGTCAGTCAGCTTTGGAGTTCAAGAGTGAGCTCACACAGCCTTGCGTCAGAACACATACCCTTAGCCAGTTCAGTGGACTGCATCTTCATCTTCTCTAAGAGTTCTTATGGAACCTCTTTCATAGGAAGAATACATTTAACCCTTTTCCCATTTAGAAAAAAAAGTGCAGCTCACTGCCAGCACTTCTTCAATTTTACATAAATACGCTCTTTGAGGCTGAAGCAAATCTGATTTTCATTGTGAAAAACAAATATACAAACTTCTTGGAGTTATTTCTAAACAGAACTAACATCAGAATAGTCTGAATCATCCGAATCATCAATTTCTGAAAAATTGGATTCATGGAATGAATCTTTGGCCAACAATTGTTTGAGAACGATGTTAACATCACATATAGGAATGCTACATTTTCTAGGACTTGACATTTTCAATGATCAAGAATTTCCATATTTTGTAAATGGAAATACCACTAGTAAAACCAGAATGCTATAAGTAGAATGATATCTTTTGTTTCCAAAGTCAATATACTAGAGTGATCCAAAAATAATAATAAAAACAAGATAATTCATGGCAAAGTTTTTTCAGGGTAAATGCTGCAAGCACCACTGGTGAGTATTCTCGGGGCCAATGGGAACAGGGTAAAAGTTGAGGGAAAAACTCCAATATTATGAGATCATGTGATGGAAGGTAAGTATCCACACATTGTTCCTTGTACCTACTACTGCTGGAAACTATTGGATCAGTCGGTGTTCACTCATTTATCTTCTTGCTCCAGGTAAAACTGCTTCAGTGAAAATAATGGCAGATGTTCCTGTATTTTGCTTGAATGCTTGTTATTACATGAGAGCTACAACACCGCCTAATTTATTGATAAGTTTTTAAAGGATCTTTCCTGACAATATGGTCAGTGATTTTGGCAGACTGATTTTTAGCAATAACCTCAGGTGGCAAAGTAATAGCCTGTCTGCTCTTTTTGTTCTACCTAGAGATAACATTTTCAAATACACTAACCTGCAGTTTATCAACAGGGGTAAAATGGCATTTTGAGCAAGACAACTCTTAGTCGTGGAGAACAATCCTATAACTGTATGGGATAGTTTAGCACTTCTGCCCCACCCCACCTGCCCCCACCACACATACACATAAACAAAAACACTCCCACACTTTTTCAAATGCTGAGTAGGGGGATGACACAGAACTGCCAGGCTAATGAGTAACCAGTATTGACTGGGTCATTCCCCAAAGGAGAAGCTGCTGACAGCTTACAAGCCCCTTCCATAGTTCCATACTCCGTGTGAGCCACAGCTAACACCACGCTGGGGCTGTAGCTGGTCAGGATGATATTTCTGTAGACTGCTTCCTGAAATTTTAAGGGAGAAAGAATTTCTGTTGTTGAAACTGTCACTTACCAGCTAGTTTTGGGAAACCTGCGTGTACCAGCTCTTCATACAGTTGCTTGGCCGGGTCACCCTGAGTCATCAGGGTCCCGTGTAGCCAGATAAGCAGAGCCCTGTGGCCATGTTCACGGAAGCTTTCATTTCCTGTGCCAAGCACAAGAGGTCCGAGGTAAAACACCACGAGCTGCTATCTCTTTCCATTGTGATCTCAGTTCCAACTAAACTTTCTGAATGACTGTTTGCTTGCCTGTTCCTCTTCGAAAAAAGCCCTTCCAGTTGCCCTCGCTGTGCTGCTTTATGATGACCAGCATTTGCTTTCCCTCCAGCCTGTGCTATGCACCTGCTATGCTTGGCACACACCCAAAGGAGTGTACAAGAGAGAGGACAGCTGTGGTGCCTGCCCAGGGGGAACAATTTTAATGAAATATGCAACTTCTCATAGACCAGTGCTCTTCAAACTCACAGTGCTTATTTCACCTGGGTATCTTACTAAAATGCAAGTTTGGATTCAGTAGGTCTGGGGTAAGAATCCATGCATCTAACAAACTCCCGGGTGCTGCTGCCACTGCTGCTCCATATTCCCCACTCTGAGCAGCAAGCATGCACCATTCATTCTGCCACTCCAGTCTCAAGGAAGCTACTCTGAGGGAAGTTTGCATCCCTGGGCCAGGATTATTCATTTGATAAATACTCACTGCATATCTCAGCCTAGAGAGGTGTTGGGGGAAGTACCGGGATAGGGAGCCACAAAGCCTCTGTGGTTCCCAACAGGACTTCACTACAGGCTCCTTGCTCTGAGAGAGAGTGTGCAGGAGCAGACATGCTGTGCAAGGGAAGGGCCTGAGCTCTGCAGGGGTGAGGGAGAAGTTCACTGGACAGACTGATATGGAGAAGCGGGCATTTCAGGGAGAGGGAACTGCATACTTACAGAATGTACTCCTGGACAAGTCCTCTGTTCCTTTCCTAATCTTGCTCTTGACAAACTAATTTTTCTTAAATACCATCATGAGTCTGTCACTCCTTTGATCAAAAGCCCACAAACTCCCCAGTGCCAGTAACCTTACCCTGGATCACAATATAATTGAATTGCAAGTGTCATTGTTATTGTGCCAACTAGATTATAAACTCCATCAAACATGCATGGCTTAGAGAGCTGATGTATCTATCCCTCATCCAGCAGAAATAAACACTCCAGGCCCTCCATAAAGGTTCCATCGAAACACTTTAAAATCCCCCTTATCCTGCTGGCAAGTACTCTGAAGATACACTATATTTTCAAGTCATCTCTTTAGGTCAAGTTAGAGTTCCAGGAGGCAACTCAATTTTCCTAAAGACTTCACAGAACACTATAAGCCTAATTAATGACAAAAAAGAAATCTTAACAATAAAAAAATTTTTCTAGTTAGAAACTAGTTAGTATTCAATGTTTTCAATACATTATCTTCTATTTTTCACATGAAAATGTATCCTAAGAATGTGCAATACAAAGTCTCATAATTTACTTGTATGTGGTATAAATAGTGTGTGCTCATGGACTGTGCTTCTGCCATCCCCAGTTCCCAGCAATCCCTAATACAAATAGACCCCTGAGCAAGGACACCTTCTCGTCTTAGGATGTCCATGAGAGGGCAGTGCTCTGAATAGAAAACTTTGCCAAGAAACATGTTTGCTTCATTGTTTTCAAAGCTAATTAGTTGATTAATGCCAAGTAAACTTTCTATGTTTCCTAGGTTTTCGTCTAACCACAAAAAACAAAATTAAGGAATCTAGCTGACCTGACTTCACTAATTATGACAGTTTGAGTCCAGCTGAAATGATTCCATTGCTTGGAATCATCTAGCCAAGAAAGCCCTCTGAGTCTGTATTTGCCGTGTCGCTCATGGCACAGCCAAGTCTCCCCTAAGGCAGTGTCCTACAACAACCCTTTCTCCTACACCCACCTGCTTTAAGGAATTCCTCTTTCTGGAGCGCAGACTTAAACAGCGAGCCTATTGATTACAGAATGAACCCATTCACCCCAGGACAGTCTCAAGGAACATAGAAATCAGATTGGCTTCCCACTGACACACCAACTGTTAAATCCTTGCTTGCTTCCTTAGTGACCGTCCAGTTGGGAATCTTACTGTCTCTCTAGGCTAAATGCACATGTCTGATATGGGTCAATACACATAATCATCCTTTACAAACTTCGGTTTACTGCAGACCATGAGTGTTCACTTTCTGCAAATCTTAATGCCCAAATCACTGGTGTGGACCTAAGCTAACTGCCCCTATTCCTGGGCCCCTTGAAGACTGCAGCTTATTGTGAGTGCCACACACTTCCTTGGAAGACCTCACACCAGGAGGCACTGCTGTTCCTAACAGTGAATTCCTCCTGCCCACATCATCTAGTCTGTACTCACCCGACCACTGCTCCTCAATGGCTCTAATCTGGTCATCTGTAAAGTTCCACGAACGGGCCAGCCTCTGCCACTCATTGGCCTTCAGCTGATGGTAAGCCAGGTCCCAGAGAAGCGTGCGAATGTGTCTGGTCTCCAGACTGTGATCTTGCTTGAATGTCAGAGTAAAGCCTGTTGACGGGTCCCTGATGCTCTCATGATGCTCCTAAAGTGAAAATAATTGTATCAGAAGATTTCAGACATGTTCTACTTATTACCTTATTTCAGAGTATATATGTTTTTCAAACATAACTAGTAAGGTGGTAACCGAGACTATGTTTTCAATGCCTCCTGTCACTGGATCATATATATATTTTTTTTTTTTGCCATCCAAAATGGAAATAAATGCTTGAAATTAAAAGCTTGGGTACCGTCTGTCTGACACAGGAAATGTGAGGGATTTTGCCTATTGTGTCCCATGCTGCTTAGAACAGAGAATGAGAACAGAGAGGCTGTCTTGGCAAAGGATGTGTCACAACAACAAAACCATCTTTAATGGCCTTTGTTTGAACCCATACCCCCATTTCTTCTTTTGGGTATTTGATGTTCTCATATTGAAGCTTCGGTGAGCCCAGATTGGCTGTATCCTTAATAAGACCCCACAGCTGGTCCCTCATTCATCCTGCTCTCTGGTGAGCATAAGGAGAGTAAACTAGGAGCCTAGCTCAGGCTGGGGCTTGGGGAAGAGGTGACTAAGGGAGTGGAGAGGACAGGAGTGGACATCATTTAAAGTCACTATAGCCAGGCTCAGACCAACAGCACTATGCCTAGATTGGCATCTTGTTTTCTGACTGTTGAAAGGTTCCTTTTGTCCCTTCTGCAGAATCCACCAGAGTCCTGCAGAATCAAACCACAAACACCGGAGAAAATCACTGAGTGAAAGCAGGCATCACTGCTTCCTAGAACTGCATGCTGTGCTTATGCCACTAGGCCTCCAGGTAATCCTCCTGCAGAAGTTTGCAGATCAGTTAAGGACATGCAGGACAAGTGGCCCACCAAGAAGTCTGGGACTTCCTTTCTCATGTATAGTGACTTCTATTTTTGTCTTTCACTTAAATAGAGGTGTATCTTAATGAAAATATTCTTGACAACAAGATGGGAATCCAGGCTGGGGCAGGAAATGAACCAAAACTGTCTAGGACCCTGGGTTTAAAAACTGATGAGAAGAACTTGATGGGCCCCCACCATGGATCCTTCACAGCATCAGAAACCTCCTCCAGGAAGCTCGACAAGGGAAATGCAATAAGCTCCTCCCGGGAAGCTTGGCCAAGAAGGGCAAAACCTTCCTCTAGTATCTGAACTTTGTGTACAGAAGTTGAAATAGGAATGGGAGGTGTGAATTACCCATAATTGTTTTAGAGACTGTAAAAAGCAGGGTCTTCTCCAACCCAGCCTCAGCTTTACTTCCACAGTGCCTAGCTCCCAGGAATTCTAAAAGAAGTAAGATTGAGGATGGGGAGCTCCAGCAAACTTGGGAGCTGTGGGCCACTTCACTTTGTCCTTCTCTCCTCATTCCATCTCCTGAAACAATGATGAATCCAACAAGATCAAGAGCCTAAATGTCACAAGGGAAAGGGAAGAACACAAAATGCTTCTGCATCTATCTTTGTGCGATAACATTTTTAGCTCTTCAAGAAACTTACATGGTTTGTGCCTTTCAGGATTGGATTGGGTGGTCCCTTAGGCTTCCATTGAAAAGGGCAGGAGATTTGGAAAGCCTAGGTCTTTTTCAGCAGCCAGTGAAGCATTAAATAGCTTGCCTGCCAAAACACTGAACTATTTGCAGGAATAACATGAGCCAGAACTGGTGGAAATTAAAATAACATAAGCCAGGTTTTAGGAAGCTCCCATTTGCCTCTGAACCACTGAATTTAATAATGGATGATTGGGTGGTTAGGTTAATGGATAAATGGATATGAGAGAGGAAATTTAAATCATATCTTTAATCCTTTTACTAGGAACCATTTTATATTAGGCGAGGATATAAACTTGTTCAATGAACAAAGAGAATTTAAAATAATAAATGCATTTGGTTAAAAAAATATTTAAAGATGTATCTTAAAAAACAAGTATTTCTCCCACTCCAGACCCCAGGACCCCAATTGTCACCGGAGTTAACAACTCTTACCATTTCTGGGGGTCTCCTTTAGCTATATTCATGTTTTATATATGGTTTTCAAAGTATACCTAACTCTTATGTCTTAAAGATTCATTAGGAAAGAGGGCATATTCATTTGGTGGGAAAGTAATTTATTCTTATCTACCCAAAATAATTTTTAAAGAGCTATCAGGAATTAAAAATAGAACCAATGAATATTTCTATTTCCAAAGAAAATGTGAAAGCAAGTTAAAGAGAAAGAGAAAAGATGGAACTTGGCAAAGTTGTCTTCAATAAAATACAATGATAATTTAAGAAATTGAGCCTGAGGATAGGAAAAGAGGAAGAGGTAAAGGGAGGAGATGGAAGAACATAGAAATATGAGGAATGGGAGAGAAGAAACAGAGTTCCAATTGTTAAAATAAAAAGTTTTACAAGCAAAGCACTTTTTTTGTTTTGTTTTACAGGCAAGAAAAGTTGCAAGGAGGATGGTGTGACCTTTAAAAGAATCCATATATATCAAGACTACCAAGCTAATTAAACAGGATTGTGAGAGAGAAGGAGATGAGTAAATGCTTTTTGCTTTAAGGATTTAAGGGAAATTTCCCAAGACTGGCCAGGTGGACAGCAATCCAGGTTTGTAGAAACTCAGGGTGGGCTCCAAGTGATTAGGGCCTGAATTCTGGAGCTAACACATTGGGCCAGGGGTAGCCACGCAGCCTAGAATGGAAACAACACATCACTATAAATCAAGAATGGTGCCTGGCAGTGCCATTCTTGCCTGAGGGCATGGAGTTGAATCTTGCAGGGGAGGGCAGTCTATTGAGAAGCTGCATGGGTAGCAGATATCAGAGGAAATAAAAATAAAAGAACAGCAAAAAGAATGACTTACAGACAAGTTTTTTTGTGTTCTTAGATGAATAAGGTTTTCGTGACTCTCACAGAATACTTGAGTGCCTGAAAGCCTGCACAGCGGTGTGTTGAAAACTGCCGAGCCACACAAAGGAGTTTTTTAACCACTCATTCGTGCTACTGGGAATAGCTCATGGCCAGACTGTGGACAGAGGGAACAACCAGGCGTCACCCATCAGGGGCTCACACGCTAGGCCCATTATAGCTGGCCTGGTCAATGCCGCTTGGCCCTAGTGAACTCTACGCGCTCTCAGTTCTGACGTCTGATGTCCACAAAGGAAGAGGCAGCTGTTCATTCCACGAATGGGGGCAGCACAAGACAGAAGGGACAGTTATAATTGTACTGACCAGAGCTCTGCTCATTAGAGCAAAGAATGGCACAGACCCCCCCATTGCCCCTGCAAGAAGATGGGTGTTGCCAGGAAAGCCCCTGCTGTGCTGGGATCGTCCTTCCTTACCTCTCTCCAGGCGTAGTATCTCTCTGCTTTAATGAGCATGCCCACGACAAGGCTATGGTTGCTCCTGGAGGCCACAGCCAGGGCAGTCTTTCCTTGCTAAAATTAAAAAAGAAAAAAAATTCAGGTGATATGGCCTAGTGATTAGGAGCTCTAGTTTTGGAACAAGGGGGCCTCGGTTCAAATCTTGATTCTACCAGCCCATGCTGGGTAAACTTAGGCCAGTCCTTTGCTTCTTTGGGTCTTTATAACTACCCCATAGTGGAGTGGTCAGGGGTAAATGTGATAATGCATATAAAGCCTTTAGAACCTGTGCCACCCTGAATATTTCCTAGCCTCTTTTGCAGTTAGTTATGTGACCTAAGTTCTGGCCAATGGTCTGTAAATAGAAGTGGGACATGCAACTTCTGGGAAGTATCTTTAAACAGAAGAGAGATGAATGGCATTTTCCTTCTTTTCTTCTCCCTCCTGAGTGGAATGCTGACATGATGGCAGGAGCCTGAACAGCCACTTTAGACCAGGAAGTAGAAGCCATGTTTTGAGGAGCACTGAGTAATAAGACAGAAAAGGGCTGGATCTTATTAAGAATAATATCAATAATGGCAACCCTGGTAATTCATAGGTCACTGGACCCCTAACTAGAAATTTTTTCTATTATACCATACTGCCTCTCACCAAGGGTGAGAGGTTTTAATCTTAAACAAATGGAATGATCAACAAGGGCTGTTCTGGACATAATTTTGGGAATGAACTGCCTGGAGCCCACATGGTAACTTAGACGAATTACAAAAAGGTACACTTTTCTCAAGATGGACAGAGCTCAAAGCCAGGGCATAGAGCTTTGCAAGCAGAATCCTCTGGATTTCATAGAGTGCACCACTTCAACATCTAAATATTTTTCCCTGAGCAAAGGATGGTGGTTCTCATTTGCTTTTCAAATGACCCATGAAGAATTTGCTCAGAAAACAATTAAAATTAATGGTCAGAAATGACCCAAGAAGAAGAGTTCCAATCTTAGGAACCCTTATGGATCCAGAAATATATCCCAAGTATTATCTTACATGGTTAGATATTTGCAACAAGTGCGATTCCCACCAATATAAATGATTTGGTTCTTAGTCTAGGCACTAAGACCCAGGGGAGCAGGAAAATTAGGGCTGAAAGTAATCAGCCTGTAATCAAAAGAGACAGTAATGAAATTAGGAAGAACTGCATTTTGCAGGCATTTAGCAAGCCTCTAATTGTATGCTGTCTACATTCTGTCTTGCAGAGCCATTTGAATCACTATAATTAGCCTGCTTTGAGAAGGCAGCATTCTGAGAGCCAGAGTTTCCAAGTTCAAAGGAAAATCTTCCTAAGGAATATATGCTGGAGTGAAAATCCAAACACTTCTACCCTTAGGGGTTGGGAGGTAGCGTGGATAGAAGGTTCTCTGAGAGCTTTTTGACACCTCAGGCCAAGAGGACAAGCAGAGAACAAGCTGCTGGGAAAGTCAAATTTATACCAAACTTTGATTCCTTATTTCCTAACCAGACCCTAACATGGTCCTAGAAACACTTTTCTTTGGCAAAAAAAAAAAAAAAAAAAAAAAAATTGTGGGAGCCAATAGAAAAGATATTTTTTATTCATTTATTAACTATGTATTGGGTGCCAACTATGTGCCAGACCTTGAAAAGAAAGGAGAAGAAGGGAAATCTGGGAAAGTCAAATCATGAGGCCCAGTAAACTGTGAGCTCTTGTTTTGAAAACAAAGTCAAATGGTAGCATTGACTGTATTTACTGGAATATCTAGTCCACTAAGCAGCAGGGACCCCAACATAAATCCCTGCCCAATGCTATAGATTTCGTACCCACAGAATGGCTTTGGGGGTATTAAGTATTCATGAAAAAGTAGAATAAAATACAAAACAACAGCATTAAAAAATACTAAGGCTAAATGTTAAACCAAATTAACCAGGCACAACTGGTGAAAGTGGTGGAATTCCACACAAGTGATAACATTCTGTGTTGTGTTTTCCTCCTTAAGCTTTTCTGTGTTCTAAATCGTCCACAGTGGGCCTGTGTTACTTTTTTTTTTTTTTTTTTTTTTTTTTTTTCAGACGGAGTTTCGCTCTTTCACCCAGACTGGAGTGCACTGGCACGGTCTCGGCTCACTGCAACCTCCGCCTTCCGGTTTCAAGTGATTCTTCTGCCTCAGCCCCCGCTGTAGCTGGGATTACAGTTGCGCATCACCATGCCCGGCTGATTTGTGTATTTTTAGTAGAGACAGGGTTTCACCATGTTGGTCAGGCCGGTCTCAAACTCCTGACCTCATGATCTGCCTGCCTCAGCCTCCCAAAGTGCTGAGATTACAGGTGTGAGCCACCGCGCCCAGCCAGTCTGTGTTACTTTTTTTATGATCAGAAAAAAAAAAACAAAAAAACCTAATTTTAGAAACTGACACACAGAGAAAAGTAAAATAACATATAACTACTTTAGATCCTACACATGTAAAATGGATGATTCTGAACTAGAGTAGGGTGGACTCAGGCTTGCACTGTGACTTAGGGAAGTGCTGGCTATTGAACTGTTGGGTAAAAATAAGGAAGGGAAAACTGCAAGTTTCGGAAGCAGTCATCTTTGCTGACAGTTGTAGCAAAGCACCAGATGACAAAGCAGCCACTACTTGGATTTGAAGCCAGCTCTGCCTCTTACTATGCGTGTGACCCAATGTCATCAGAATCTCTCCAATCTGCTCTTGAAAACTGGAGTGATTTTGTCCACCTCACTGAAATGTGAGGATTGAAGTAATATGGCCTGCGTGAGCACCTGACAGGACTGTACCCAGGGACCTCCTATATAACATTCAGTAAAGCTGGAACCTAACACAGCTCTCTGACAACCCTCCGGAGGCTTAGCCTGCATTACTGCACCACTTGAAAGAAACAAAATTGTCCTTCTTTAAAAACAGGTTTACACAATAGCCAAAAGGTGGACGCAACCCAAATGTCCATCGATGGATGAATGAATGAACAAAATGTGGTATAGACATACAATGAAATGTTATTTAGCTTTGAAAAGAAATGAAATTCTGACACATGCTACAACATAGATAAACCTTGAAGACGTTACGCTAAGTGAACTAAGCCAGTCACAAAAAGGCAAATACTATGTGATTCCACTTATATGAGGTACTTAGAGTGGTCAAATTCATAGAAACAGAAAGTAGAATGGTGGTTCCCAGGGGCTGGGAGAAGGAAGAAATGGCAAGTTATTGAATAAGTGTAAAGTTTCACTTTTGCAAGATGAAAGTTTTGGAGACCAATTGCATAACAATGTGAATATGCTTAACCATACTGAACTATATACATAAAAATGGTTAAGACAGTGTTTATGTGTGTGTATTTTACCACAAATTTTTTAATTTAAAAAAACAAGTTTAGACATATGTAAAGTCATTCATTGCAGCTATGTTTATAAGAGCAAAACCTTAGGAACAACTTAAATGTCAATCAAGTGAGGACTAGCTGAACAAGTTGTGATATGTCTGTGCCACGCTATACTATGCAGCTCTAAAAAAAAAAAGAATGAAGAAACTCTCCATGTAGTAATATCTCCACTTAATAATGCTAAAAAAGCTAAATGCAGAACAGTATACTAGTTATAGGTATGCCATCAGTGTCTAAAAAGGAAGGAGGAAGGGAATAAGAGTAAAATGTGTTTATGTTTGCTTGCATATGCATAAAAAACTCTGGAAGGAACAGAAATAATTTATAATAATGGATATATATAAGCGGGGTAGTATGGTAACCAGACAAGTAGGAACAGGGGTGGGTGGGAAATTTTTACTGTTAAACCCTTACTAATTATATTCTTTTATTTCTGGACCATACGAATCTATAATCTTTTCAGAATTTGAATTTAAAAACACATATTTTTTCTTCAGAGTAAAAATTTTTACTGACATAGCTCAACCAAAATTGGGGTATTTTACTGACTATGAAGATGCATGGTTTCTCCAGTTTGTGCCCATTTCACAAAGGATATTCCAATAACGCTGCTCAAGGCTGACATCCAACAGGAAGGTCTTAGCAACCATCTCAGCTGAATGGAGTAAAGTCCATGCACTTACCTTGTCAACAGCCTTCAAGTCACAGCCTGCCTTCAGCAGGGTTTCCACCAGTTCCACATTTCCACGATCAGCAGCTACATGCAGAGGGGTTTGCTGCTTCTGCCATGAAATTAAGGAGGGGAACAAACTTGGACGGTGAAAAGACAAATGGAAAGTATAGCCATCCTATTTAGGTTCAAGGGAAAACACAGGTCATATATTTTTTAATGGATACTGGGGCATTCATTGCATTATTATTTGCAATAGTGAAAAACTGAAAGGAAATTACATGTTTAACAAGGAGACTCACTAGATAAATTATGATAATCTATATATTGGAATAACAGGCAACCATTAAAAATTATTTTTTTAAAAATGATTTCAATATTAGGTACCTAAAGTAGTCAAATATATAGAGACAGAAAGTAGAATGGTGGTTCCCAGGAGCTGGAGGAGGGAATGGGAAGTTACCGTTTAATAGATATAAAATTTCAGTTTGGGAAGATGAAAAATGTTCTGAAGATGGATGGTGGTGATATTATACCAAATGAATGTAATTAATGCTGCTGAACTGTACACTTAAGATGGTTAAAATGGTGGATTTTATGTGTATTTTACTACAATAAAAATTATTTCGAAGATTTTTTAAAAATAAAAGACGCTTTTGATATAACATTTGAAACTTTAGGAAATGATACTATCTAGTTGAGCTTGATTTAATGAAAAATACACATAGAGAAAGAGACAAAAATACAGTACAGAAAAATGCTAATGATAAGGTCTAGATGAAGGGATTAGAGTTTATTTTTATTGCCTTCTCAATGCATTTCTGTTCTCTAAATTTTCTACGTTATAATGTATAAAGGAGTCCAAGACTTCAAATTTCCTTCTGGAGTAATCATTTTCCTATCAAGAGGATAAGAGTTTCAAAAGAAATATCTGAAATCACAAGAAAATCACCCGTCTTAACCTCTCACCAAAAGGAATGCAGATGTGAAGAGATTTCTAAAATATTAGGGCAGAGAGGATCCTTTGATGTGATCTAGCCCAACTCCTTAACCAGAAAGGGAAGCAACTACCCCAGACTCACAGAGCTGGGCAATGGCATGTGGCCCACTACTCTTCCTACCAGAGCACAGGGCCAATATGCTGGGGATATTACCAAAAAACATTTATATATTTATTTATATTTTAATTTTTTTCTTAGAGACAGTTTCTTACTCTGTCACTCAGACTGGAATGCAGTAGCATGATAGTAGCTCACTGTAACCTCGAACTCCTGGGCTCAAGCAATCCTCCCTTCTCAGTTTCCTGAGTAGCTGAGACTACAGGCTCTACTAATTTTTTTTTTTTTTTAGCGATGAGGCCTCACTATGTTGCCCAGGCTGGTTTCAAACTCCTGGCCTCAGGCAATCCTCCTATCTTGGCCACCCAAAGTGTTGGGATTACAGGTGTGACCCAAAACACCTGGCTTCCAAAAAGTATTTCTTTTTTTTTTTTTTTCTTGAGATGGAGTCTCACTCTGTTGCCCAGGCTGGAGTGCAGTGGTGGCGATCTCAGCTCACTACAACCTCCACCTCCTGGGTTCAAGCAATTCTTCTGCCTCAGTCTCCCAAGTAGCTGGGATTACAGGCGCCCAGCTAATTTTTTGCATTTTTAGTAGAGACAGGGTTTCACTATATTGGCCAGGCTTGTCTCAAACTCCTGACCTCATGATCCGCCCGCCTCAGCCTCCCAAAGTGTTGGGATTACAGGCATGAGCCACCACGCCCGGCCCCAAAAAGCATTTCTTAAAGACTCACCTTCAAATGGCAGTGTGTCTAGGTGTTTGTCATTCAAGACATTACACTTATACTGACAAACCTATCAAAGATCTGTACCAACATGGAACAGATGAAAATGGAATGTATCAAATGCAACAAAACCCATTTTAACAATACTGCTACAAGTCTAGAAGGCAGGAAATGCACTAAAACATTAAGAAGAGTTATCTTTCTTTGCTGGGGACTTCAAACACATTAAGTTTTTTTAGCTTATATTTTTAATTTTACATACATATTTTATATTTAAAATATAAAATTTCCTATTTTTTATGTGTATTCTTGGTCTAATAAAAAAATTAAAGTGATGAAGTCTGGTTCTGAAAAAGGATAGCAAACCTAACAAACACTCCTTCCCTAGAGTACATCTAGCCAGTTCTGTCAAAACCAATATCACATGTGAGCACGAAGCTCTGCCTCTGTGTTCAGCAAAGATTTTGCCCATTGGGAAAGATTTTAGATATTAACGTAGTTGAATACATAAGTATATTTAATAACAAAAGGAGATTGGTTTTTTTCCCCAGAAAAACTTTTGGGATAGGTAAAGGCAGGGGAGGAGGCTAGGTTCCCTGGAGGAGAGAAGGGACCGAAGTACAGGTAAATCTTCATTCAGCTCAGAGCAAAATTGAGCTCATAGGTGGGAATTGGAGGAGACTGCAGAGATCTGAGTCAACGCTCTGGTTTCACAGTGTATTAGGACAGGCAGGCATGCCCACTGCACCATGGCTCCTCCCTAGCCGGAAGGGCACCGCAGAGCCTTCTCTGGGAAGAGGCAGCCAGAAGGTCTCATCTGGCCTCGGGACCCTGGAAAGGCTCCTCTTCCCACTCCCCTACATATCCTGGAAGAGGGCAGGCCAGCCCCAGAAGAGCCCCAGAGAGCAGGCTCATTCAGTGCCCACCCCCATTCCCTTCATCATTCCGTTGCGGCATTCCCATTTCCAGCCAGTGATGGATTACTTTAACGAGTCATTTGATTCTGCTCCAGTTGACTGAAATTGGAGTGATTTTTCTTTTATTCCAAGAGGCCTCTTTTGCCTTTAGGTAAAGAGAAGATACATTTACTGTCTTTAATATAGAAACAAAGCTTCCTTCTTGTGGGGGAAAGGCTCCCTGCCAATTACAATATTTCACTCTGGGGGAGTGGCTTTTGATTTAAAGAGCCTCTGGCCATTTAGCTCTGAGCTACTGTTTTTCTATCAAAAATGCTGGGCCTGTTAAACATGAAGGATTTAATCACGCAATGGCTGAACTCCAGTTGTGTGGCTGAGAAAGACGAAAGTATGTGTGTGGTCATGGAGATGGAGTGAGAGTTACAGAAGGAAAAGGATAAAAAGGATGCTCATGTTCCTCCCAGGAATTTTTAGGTACCTTGAACTTAATCAAAACTCCCCATAAACACACACTGTGTTGAAACTAAGAAAAGAGACCCTCCAGGCTCTGATTTGCCTGGCTTACCTGATTTAAGATGTCAATATCATGCTGTGCACTTAATAAACTGTTTACAACCGTGATGTGGTTGTTGATAACAACTAAATGAAGAGGGGACTCCTTAGGCTGCAGAGAGAAATAAAAATTTCAAATCCAGAAGGTTCTGGCTTCAACATTCAAATCAAAAAGCAACTCATTTCAGCAGCTATTTCCTGATGATCTCCCAAGTACCGAAACTGCCCATCCCAGTGGTGACCCTTAGTAAGTGTTCAGCATTTATTGTCATCCCAAGGCTTTGAAACAAACTCGTTCCCCAGCAATCGGCCCACCCCCTTTGTTCTTTCTGGAACAACATACTAAGCACCTACTATGGGCCAAGCTCTTTTCAGGTTGCTAGGGATTTAGTGTGAACAAACTCATTCTCAGGAATCTTCCAATCTAGTCAGGTAAGCAAATATTAATTTTTTTAAGTCACACAAATACAGTATACAATTAAGTGCTTTGGAAGTAGAAGAGCCAGTGTGGGGATAGGGGGAAGGCTGACCTTTCAGGAGGTCAGAAAAGACTATTCTGAAGAACTGACATTTAAACTCAAATATGAAGGATAAGTAAGTGTTAAATAGGCTGAACCACAGGACTTCTCAGAGACTTCAAAAAGCTAAAGGGCAATAAGAGTAGCCACAAGGGCAAAATCATTGCACATTTGGAATTTCCTGAATTGATTTGCTCTGGAGCCCCGACTCCTCAGTGTGCCCTGTAGGACTCGTGTCCCCCTTACTCAGGGGCACCATCCTCATGCTCAGCTCTCCCCGCACGGAGTCTAGCCACAAGGTGGTCACCAAGCCCTCTGCAGCCTGCTCTCCCGTTCTCCTTTGTGGCTAAACCACCTGTCTTCCCAGCCACAGCCCTTCATGGAGCCCCCGGCCCCTCTCACTTATCCCAACCACTGGCTTCTTACCCAGCCCTGCTAGGCCACAGGGCCTGTATCTACCCCCGACACTTTGCCTCCAGGCTCCTGTGCTGCTACAGTCCCACCCAGCTGCCACTGGCCTGTGGAGACATGAGAGGAGACATGCCTCCAGGAGTAGAGACGGCAGCTGAGCGGGGCGAAAAGGGAGGGAAGAAACAACGAAGGGAAGTGAGGGCAGAAGCGATTAAGGCATGAGAGAGAGGGAGGTGAGGGGCATCCAGCATGATAAGGGAGGGAGGCGGGGCACCAGGGGAAGGTGGACAGGGGTGTGACAGCAAGGGCTGAAGATCCAGTGACACTGTGCAGATCCGGAGCCGAGCTGAGTGTGAAGCGAGTGGCGAGAGGGAACAGGCGCCTACGAGGGTGAGTGATTAGGACAAGGGCAGCGTCGCTCAAGTGGAATAGCTGATATTAATGATACGCATCAGACACACTCAGCACATTCTCATCGTGGTGCTTATTACACATTCACTTCCCCAACTGTTTCTTTTATTTATTTTTTTCAGAGATGGGGTTTCACTCTGTTGCCCAGGCTAGAGGGCAATGGAGTCATCGTCATTCACTGTAACCTGAAACTCCTGGGTTCAAGCGAACCTCCCACCTCAGCCTCCCAAGTAGCTGAGGCTACAGGCATGCACCACTGTGCTTGGCTAATTTTTAAATTTTTGTAGAGATGGGGTCTTGCCATGTTGCCCAGGCTGCCCTAACAGTTTATACTCTGTTTTAAACACCAGGCTGACAGTTTTTCAAAAATCACGTCAATAACCCTAGACATTTGATCTCATATTCCCCACTTCATACATGAGACACAAAGAGGATCAGTAACTTCCACAAGGCCATGCAGCAAGGAAGTGGCAGAGACAGGACTTGAACCCAGACCTTTCTGACTCTACCATCTGCACCAGGCTCTGTCTCAGGAGATGGGGGTAGATGGATGGAAGAGAGACCACAGTGAGTTGGCAAGAGTGTCACCAGCAGATGGAGGGAGGGGAGACGAGGGGACAGGTAGAAGACCACAGCTGAGTAAGTCAGAGACTGTCGGAGGCCAGCAAGGGTCAGAGCAGACAGATGATGTGAGCAGGGCTATGGGAGCAGCATGAAAGGAAGAATTTCTGTGTAGGTCTCTTCTGCTCAGGAATAACCTCCTTGAAGCACTAAGCATGAAAAACGAGAAAGCATCCCACATTGCAAAGAAGTGGGCATTGGCCTTCTTGCCGGGGCCACCCACCTTGCAGGGGCCCAGCTCCTCCTGAGAAACAGGAAGTGTCCTTGGACTGAACCAGGTAAGTTCAGAGTCAATTCCCCCAACACCATGCTCCAAAAACTATCTGACATGATTTAAACCACATCCCTCCTCTTGAGTTAATACAATAAATAGTAATGGCTCAGCAAGATCAGAGGAAATCATATTCTCAACGGAGAAATGAAAATAGAGTGGAAAAATAGAGGCATGTTTCTTGTTTAATTCCAGCACAGAGGACCTTTGTTAATTCTGCCAAAGCCAATTCAAACGTCAGAAAACCTAAATCAGTATGAAGAATTGACTTTCAAAAGAAAAACAAGAACATTCAGTGAAGGGAGAAAAATTATCACTCTTCTTGATATGTACAGCTGCTTCATTATTTTCCCAGACTAATAAAATTAATACAAGAGTAATGGCATCTCTAGACGTATGAGAAAGCTTTTTTGCGGCAAATACAAATATTTAAAACACAAAGATTTCATTTTGTTCAGGAACTTCAATGACTTTCTAAAATTCATCCCTCGGATTTTATTTCTCAAGATTAAGACTCAGCCTCCAAAAGAAGTCAGCCAGCCTTCCCAGAAAGAATTCCTCCCTTGTGAAACATCTCATCTCCTACACGTATCTGCAAGGGGCATCTCCCTGACACAGCCAACCTCACGGCGCCAGGACCAAAGCCCGTGTCATTGGAATAAACTCACTTCCACTTTCTGGTGCAGATCAACGTTCTCACTGAGAAGAAAGTTGACAAGGGATGCATGGCCGTTCCTGGTTGCTATCTGCAAACTACTGATATTGAGCTGCAAGAGACAATAGAGAGGGCAAGGAGGAACTCTCATTATAATTCAGCATGTTTTCTGGTGTTTATGACATGGTAATCAGTTAATACAATGAAATAGTACAACTACAGTCGTGCATCACTTAACAGTGATTTGGTCAATGACAGACTTGAAGTGGTCCCATAAGATTACAATGGAACTGAAAAATTCCTATGGCACAAGTACTTAACTATGTTACTATGTTACTATGCTGTACAGGTTTGTAGCCTAGGAGCAATAGATATACCATATAGTGTGTTGTAGGCTGTACCATCTAGGTTTGGGTAAGTACACTCTATTTATGTTCACACAATGAAATCAGGCATTCCTCATAACATATCCCTGTCATTCAGAGATGCATGGCTGTATTTAAAAAAGAAAATCTGGCTGGGCACAGTGGCTCATGCCTGCAATTCTAGCACTTTGGAAGGCCAAGGCCAGTAGATCACTTGAGCCCAGGAGTTTGAGATCAGCCCTGGCAACATGGTGAAACCTTGTCTCTACAAAAATTAGCTGGGCTTGGTGGTGTGTCCCTGTGGTCCCAGGTACTTGGGAGGCTGAGACTGAGGTGGGAGGATGGTTTGAGCCTGGGAGGCAAAGATTGCAGTGAGCCGAGATCATGCCACTGCACTCCAGCCTGGGCAACAGAGTGAGACCCAGTTTCTAAATAAATAAATAGAAAATCCATTGTGTTTTTAATTACCGGGGTGAAGGGGAGCTATTATTAGGATGGTACAAAAGCAATTGTGGTTTTTTCCTAATTGTTTTTTTCTAAGTGTCTCCCATAAAAGTGTCAGAGCCCTAGGGAACACGTGTGCAACAGACTGAATGTTTGCGTCCCTCCCAAAATTCATATGTTGAAACTCTAATGTCAATGTGATGATGATAGGAGGTGGGGACTTTCGGAGGTTATTAGGTAATTCGTTGTTGACTGATTAATTGTAAGACTGCTACAAAGTATTTGCAGGTCTTTCAATTAAGGATGCTGCTGGAAATTGCTTTCCCGCAATTGCTGCATCAGTATCTCCTTTCCCACAGTCTCTGCAGTATAACCTTGCCACTCCCCTCATCAAGAGGCAGGGTTATTTTCTTCACTCCTTTGAATCCAGATGAACCCTGGGTGGAACCCTTATGAATGAGACCCATGCCCTTGCAAAAAGAGGCCAGAGAGCTGGCTAGTTCTCTTTCTGCCATGTGAGGATACAGCAAGACAGTTGTCCGTAAACCAGGAAGAGGGCCTCATCAGAACCTGATCTGCTAGCACCCTGATCTCAGACTTCCAACCTCCACAACTATGAGAAATAAATGTTTGTTAAGTCACCCAATTTTATGGTATTTTTTATAGCAGCCTGAGCTGACTAAGACACTATGCCTAGGGCAAATATGAGTTAAAGCCTCATTTCCCTTCTCCCAGGAAGTAGGAAGTGGACTAGAACCAGGTCTTCTCTCCATACACCTCAGCAAAACCCCTCTTTGAACCAAATAGGTGACTTGGTATTAGCCCCAAGAAAGGACTGTTTCCTGCAGCCCTGTTTACTGCCAGTCTCCCCTGTGCTAGGCAGACATTCAATGCTCAGCATAATTTCTACTTGCAGCTTCCCTCATCATCTTCCTACTCGGCCCTTTCAGCGCCTCTCCTTCCCTGTGCTCAGCTGTCTTTGCTTAGTGCCCAAGGAGTCGGGCACACTGCTTGAGGGGATGGTCTGCTCCTGGCACTCCTGCCATCCTCCAAATGGCCCAGCATGGTGCCTTGCAATAATACAAAGTCAATGAATTGGTTGTTGACTGATTAATTGTAAGATTGCTACAAAGTATTTTCACATCTTCCAAATAAGGATGCTGTTGGAGATTGCTTTCCCAAAATGGCTGCATCAGTATCTCCTGTCCCACAGGCTCCTCTGCAATATGTCTTTGCCACTCCCTTCATCAAGAGGTGGGGTTTATTTCTCCACCTCCTTGAATCTGGGTCGACCCTGTAACTGCTTTGACCAATAGAATATGGCAGAAATTCCAGCGTGCCAGTTCCAGGCATGGCCCCTAACTAGCCTGGCAGCTGCTGCTCTCTGCCTTTTGTAATGCCTGCTCTTGTAATCGTTCCTCTTAGAGGCCAGTTCCCAGGCTGTAGGCTGAGGCACATGGTGAGGCCCAGGTGAGCTCCCACCTGACAGCCAGCATTAACTGCCAGGCATGTGAGTGTACTCTCTTGGGTATTGGGCTCAGGTAAGCCTTCAAAATCCTGGCTGACTTCCAACTGTAATCACATAATAAACTCAAACTAAGAATCCTCTCAGCTGAGCCCAGTCAACCCACAGAGCCATGAAAATAATAATACATTGTTGTTTTAAGCCACTGAGCTTTGGGTTGGATTGTTAGGAAGCAATAGATAATGGAACAGATGCCAACAGCAATGACCTGTATATCTCTGACCAACTGAAATCTAGCTTGCATGATGCTAAATGCCTATATGACCTTGGATATGTGGCCTGTCAAGTACGGGCCTCTTTGTCTTTGCCTGTAAAAATGGCCCCTATATTAGTTTTCTATTGTTGTTATAAGACATTGCCATAAAATTAGTGGCTTAATAAAAATGTTTTATTTTATAGTTCTGGAGGTCAGAAGTCCGAAATGGATCCCACTGGGCTAAAAAAAGAAGTTCGCAGACCTATGTTCCCTTCTGGAGGCTCTCAGGAGAATCCACTTCCTTGTCTCTTACAGGTCTTAGAAGCCTCCTATGTTCTTTGGCTCACACCCCCTTGCTCCATTGTCAAAACCAGCAACAGTTAGCTGAGGCCTTCTCACATTGCATCACTGACATCTTCGTCTGCCTCCCTCTTCCTCTTTAAAGGATCCTTATGATTACATTGGGCCCACCTGGTAATCCAGGAGAATCTCATTTTAAGATCAGCCAATTAGCAACCTTAATTCCATCTGCAATTTAAATTCTCCTTTGCCATGTAACATAACATATTCACAGGTTCCGGGAATTGCGATGTGAACATCTCTGGGGTGGGGAACCTGACCCTGCCTACCACATCACCCCCTTCTTTCTCTGAAATCACAATACTACTGGGAGGATACGTGAGCCAGTAAATGTGTATGGTAACCGTAACTATTATTTTATCCATTCCACAAAAAATATATTGAGCACTTATTTTGTGCCAGGCACTATTTTAGATAGTGGAGGGATATGTTGGTAAACAACACTGACGAGATCTCAGACATTACATTTCAGTGGTGGTGGACAATCAATTGATCCATAGATTGGTAGACTTGTAGATCAGCAGATCAGTGGACTTAAATTAAATCTGCTTTTTAGATTCTAGATGTTGTTAGAAGAATAACATCAGCTAGTTGTAAGTTCTACAGCAAGACATAAAATAGCATGACTTGTTGGCTACTTTCTAATGGCTGATCAACAAAGCCTTCTTGGATAAGGTGACATTTAAACTGAGATCAGAATGGTCAGAAGTGCCCTCCCTGGGAAGATCAGAAGCCACCTAAAGCAGAAACAAATTTACAAGAAACTCAAAGCAGGAACCCTGTAGTAGGAGTCCACAGCATTTACCTCTAGGCATCATGGGCTCCGTGTGTAGGGCCTACAGACTTTTTATGTGCCAAAGAAACCGTTAAAATGTAAAACATAAAAAAATTATTGGTTCCACGATACCAAAAGAAAACCACAAAATTGAAGTGAATAAATATTTAATTGACATTCATACTTCATTGATTGTTAAATGTAATATTCATAAAATATTCATATTTATAAACAATTTGTAGGTTGCATTTTTTCACCTCCCTCAAATTCCCAATTATGCACACAGAGTTCTAAGAAATCAGAGTCAATCATAAATTAGGTGAGTCTGTCATAGCCAAATAATTGCAAAAAGCAAAAACAAAAAAGCCTTTTAGAGCAATTACCAGCAAAAAAAAAAAAAAAAAGTAAAGAGGAATGTGGGAGCACTTAAATATGTATGATAAAATGTGAGGTAGGACCTCCAGGAATGAGTTTTTAGGACCTACAAAAGCCTTTATTGGACCCAGGGCAGTTAATAGGGCCCTAAAGAGAGCCTGTTGCCCTAATTCTGGGCAGCCCCTCCACCCAACACAAATGGAGGAAGCCAGGTGTCAACTACATTCATAATCTCACTCCAACATCCTCCTTAGAAATGACTCAACCCTTTACCCACTCCCCTTGATGATGGGGAGGTGGGAGGGAGCACAAAAGCAATCTCCTGGAAACCAAGACTCAGTGTCAGCAGGTGAAGTGTGTCCAAGATCAAACACAGCAATCACCTACAAATGTGAAAGCAAACCAAAGTCCAACCCATCCCGGGCTCGTGTGTGTTCTTGCTGTTGGCTTCTTGCTTCACACTGCTTTTCTCCCCAGGGTTTTCACTGGGTTGGACAGATAGGTGTGGATAGCTAGTGGGGGCTGAGGTTGTTGATTGAGAAGTGTGCTGATGAACTCGGGAAAAATTCTAAAAGTAAAAGCTAAAAAATGGATTCACGATCATTTCCAGGCTGCCTAGAGCAGCTGAGACCACTGGCTGTAAGGACAGGGGCAATATGGAGCCTGAAGTCTCAGTCGGATGGGGAGAACGTGTGCATATGAAAATCACTACAAAGCAAAATACTTAAGGGCAAAATAATTAAGGACAAGGGTAAGGCAGTGTACAAAATAATGGAGTAAGCCTGACAGAGTCTTGCTAACCTGGGAAGCCTTCCCAGGAACTTGAAGGGGGATACCGACTGGGGACAAGGAGGCACCTGTGTAATGACTGTAGAGGCACAGCTCTCCACATTCTCCACATTCTGAATATTTCATGGCTCCCATGAATTCTTTTTTTTTTTTTTTTAATTTTTTTTTTTTAATTATACTTTAAGTTTTAGGGTACATGTGCACATTGTGCAGGTTAGTTACATATGTATACATGTGCCATGCTGGTGCGCCGCACCCACTAACATGTCATCTAGCATTAGGTATATCTCCCAATGCTATCCCTCCCCCCTCCCCCCACCCCACCACAGTCCCCAGAGTGTGATATTCCCCTTCCTGTGTCCATGTGATTTCATTGTTCAATTCCCACCTATGAGTGAGAATATGCGGTGTTTGGTTTTTTGTTCTTGTGATAGTTTACTGAGAATGATGGTTTCCAATTTCATCCATGTCCCTACAAAGGACATGAACTCATCATTTTTTATGGCTGCATAGTATTCCATGGTGTACATGTGCCACATTTTCTTAATCCAGTCTATCATTGTTGGACATTTGGGTTGGTTCCAAGTCTTTGCTATTGTGAATAATGCCGCAATAAACATACGTGTGCATGTGTCTTTATACCAGCATGATTTATAGTCATTTGGGTATATACCCAGTATTGGGATGGCTGGGTCAAATGGTATTTCTAGTTCTAGATCCCTGAGGAATCGCCACACTGACTTCCACAATGGTTGAACTAGTTTACAGTCCCACCAACAGTGTAAAAGTGTTCCTATTTCTCCACATCCTCTCCAGCACCTGTTGTTTCCTGACTTTTTAATGATTGCCATTCTAACTGGTGTGAGATGGTATCTCATTGTGGTTTTGATTTGCATTTCTCTGATGGCCAGTGATGATGAGCATTTTTTCATGTGTTTTTTGGCTGCATAAATGTCTTCTTTTGAGAAGTGTCTGTTCATGTCCTTTGCCCACTTTTTGATGGGGTTGTTTGTTTTTTTCTTGTAAATTTGTTTGAATTCATTGTAGATTCTGGATATTAGCCCTTTGTCAGATGAGTAGGTTGTGAAAATTTTCTCCCATGTTGTAGGTTGCCTGTTCACTCTGATGGTAGTTTCTTTTGCTGTGCAGAAGCTCTTTAGTTTAATTAGATCCCATTTGTCAATTTTGGCTTTTGCTGCCATTGCTTTTGGTGTTTTGGACATGAAGTCCTTGCCCACGCCTATGTCCTGAATGGTAATGCCTAGGTTTTCTTCTAGGGTTTTTATGGTTTTAGGTCTAACGTTTAAATCTTTAATCCATCTTGAATTGATTTTTGTATAAGGTGTAAGGAAGGGATCCAGTTTCAGCTTTCTACATATGGCTAGCCAGTTTTCCCAGCACCATTTATTAAATAGGGAATCCTTTCCCCATTGCTTGTTTTTCTCAGGTTTGTCAAAGATCAGATAGTTGTAGATATGCGGCATTATTTTTGAGGGCTCTGTTCTGTTCCATTGATCTATATCTCTGTTTTGGTACCAGTACCATGCTGTTTTGGTTACTGTAGCCTTGCAGTATAGTTTGAAGTCAGGTAGTGTGATGCCTCCAGCTTTGTTCTTTTGGCTTAGGATTGACTTGGCGATGCGGACTGTTTTTTGGTTCCATATGAACTTTAAAGTAGTTTTTTCCAATTCTGTGAAGAAAGTCATTGGTAGCTTGATGGGGATGGCATTGAATCTGTAAATTACCTTGGGCAGTATGGCCATTTTCACGATATTGATTCTTCCTACCCATGAGCATGGAATGTTCTTCCATTTGTTTGTGTCCTCTTTTATTTCCTTGAGCAGTGGTTTGTAGTTCTCCTTGAAGAGGTCCTTCACATCCCTTGTAAGTTGGATTCTTAGGTATTTTATTCTCTTTGAAGCAATTGTGAATGGGAGTTCACTCATGATTTGGCTCTCTGTTTGTCTGTTGTTGGTGTATAAGAATGCTTGTGATTTTTGTACATTGATTTTGTATCCTGAGACTTTGCTGAAGTTGCTTATCAGCTTAAGGAGATTTTGGGCTGAGACGATGGGGTTTTCTAGATAAACAATCATGTCGTCTGCAAACAGGGACAATTTGACTTCCTCTTTTCCTAATTGAATACCCTTTATTTCCTTCTCCTGCCTGATTGCCCTGGCCAGAACTTCCAACACTATGTTGAATAGGAGCGGTGAGAGAGGGCATCCCTGTCTTGTGCCAGTTTTCAAAGGGAATGCTTCCAGTTTTTGCCCATTCAGTATGATATTGGCTGTGGGTTTGTCATAGATAGCTCTTATTATTTTGAAATACGTCCCATCAATACCTAATTTATTGAGAGTTTTTAGCATGAAGGGTTGTTGAATTTTGTCAAAGGCTTTTTCTGCATCTATTGAGATAATCATGTGGTTTTTGTCTTTGGCTCTGTTTATATGCTGGATTACATTTATTGATTTGCGTATATTGAACCAGCCTTGCATCCCAGGGATGAAGCCCACTTGATCATGGTGGATAAGCTTTTTGATGTGCTGCTGGATTCGGTTTGCCAGTATTTTATTGAGGATTTTTGCATCAATGTTCATCAAGGATATTGGTCTAAAATTCTCTTTTTTGGTTGTGTCTCTGCCCGGCTTTGGTATCAGAATTATGCTGGCCTCATAAAATGAGTTAGGGAGGATTCCCTCTTTTTCTATTGATTGGAATAGTTTCAGAAGGAATGGTACCAGTTCCTCATTGTACCTCTGGTAGAATTCGGCTGTGAATCCATCTGGTCCTGGACTCTTTTTGGTTGGTAAACTATTGATTATTGCCACAATTTCAGAGCCTGTTATTGGTCTATTCAGAGATTCAACTTCTTCCTGGTTTAGTCTTGGGAGAGTGTATGTGTCGAGGAATGTATCCATTTCTTCTAGATTTTCTAGTTTATTTGCATAGAGGTGTTTGTAGTATTCTCTGATGGTAGTTTGTATTTCTGTGGGATTGGTGGTGATATCCCCTTTATCATTTTTTATTGTGTCTATTTGATTCTTCTCTCTTTTTTTCTTTATTAGTCTTGCTAGCGGTCTATCAATTTTGTTGATCCTTTCAAAAAACCAGCTCCTGGATTCATTGATTTTTTGAAGGGTTTTCTGTGTCTCTATTTCCTTCAGTTCTGCTCTGATTTTAGTTATTTCTTGCCTTCTGCTAGCTTTTGAATGTGTTTGCTCTTGCTTTTCTAGTTCTTTTAATTGTGATGTTAGGGTGTCAATTTTGGATCTTTCCTGCTTTCTCTTGTAGGCATTTAGTGCTATAAATTTCCCTCTACACACTGCTTTGAATGCGTCCCAGAGATTCTGGTATGTGGTGTCTTTGTTCTTGTTGGTTTCAAAGAACATCTTTATTTCTGCCTTCATTTCATTATGTACCCAATAGTCATTCAGGAGCAGGTTGTTCAGTTTCCATGTAGTTGAGCGGCTTTGAGTGAGATTCTTAATCCTGAGTTCTAGTTTGATTGCACTGTGGTCTGAGAGATAGTTTGTTATAATTTCTGTTCTTTTACATTTGCTGAGGAGAGCTTTACTTCCAACTATGTGGTCAATTTTGGAATAGCTGTGGTGTGGTGCTGAAAAAAATGTATATTCTGTTGATTTGGGGTGGAGAGTTCTGTAGATGTCTATTAGGTCCGCTTGGTGCAGAGCTGAGTTCAATTCCTGGGTATCCTTGTTGACTTTCTGTCTCGTTGATCTGTCTAATGTTGACAGTGGGGTGTTAAAGTCTCCCATTATTAATGTGTGGGAGTCTAAGTCTCTTTGTAGGTCACTCAGGACTTGCTTTATGAATCTGGGTGCTCCTGTATTGGGTGCATAAATATTTAGGATAGTTAGCTCCTCTTGTTGAATTGATCCCTTTACCATTATGTAATGGCCTTCTTTGTCTCTTTTGATCTTTGTTGGTTTAAAGTCTGTTTTATCAGAGACTAGGATTGCAACCCCTGCCTTTTTTTGTTTTCCATTGGCTTGGTAGATCTTCCTCCATCCTTATATTTTGAGCCTATGTGTGTCTCTGCACATGAGATGGGTTTCCTGAATACAGCACACTGATGGGTCTTGACTCTTTATCCAACTTGCCAGTCTGTGTCTTTTAATTGCAGAATTTAGTCCATTTATATTTAAAGTTAATATTGTTATGTGTGAATTTGATCCTGTCATTATGATGTTAGCTGGTGATTTTGCTCGTTAGTTGATGCAGTTTCTTCCTAGTCTCGATGGTCTTTACATTTTGGCATGATTTTGCAGCGGCTGGTACCAGTTGTTCCTTTCCATGTTTAGCGCTTCCTTCAGGAGCTCTTTTAGGGCAGGCCTGGTGGTGACAAAATCTCTCAGCATTTGCTTGTCTATACAGTATTTTATTTCTCCTTCACTTATGAAGCTTAGTTTGGCTGGATATGAAATTCTGGGTTGAAAATTCTTTTCTTTAAGAATGTTGAATATTGGCCCCCACTCTCTTCTGGCTTGTAGGGTTTCTGCCGAGAGATCCGCTGTTAGTCTGATGGGCTTTCCTTTGAGGGTAACCCGACCTTTCTCTCTGGCTGCCCTTAACATTTTTTCCTTCATTTCAACTTTGGTGAATCTGACAATTATGTGTCTTGGAGTTGCTCTTCTCGAGGAGTATCTTTGTGGTGTTATCTGTATTTCCTGAATCTGAACGTTGGCCTGCCTTGCTAGATTGGGGAAGTTCTCCTGGATAATATCCTGCAGAGTGTTTTCCAACTTGGTTCCATTCTCCACATCACTTTCAGGTACACCAATCCGACGTAGATTTGGTCTTTTCACATAGTCCCATATTTCTTGGAGGCTTTGCTCATTTCTTTTTATTCTTTTTTCTCTAAACTTCCCTTCTCGCTTCATTTCATTCATTTCATCTTCCATTGCTGATACCCTTTCTTCCAGTTGATCGCATCAGCTCCTGAGGCTTCTGCATTCTTCACATAGTTCTTGAGCCTTGGTTTTCAGCTCCATCAGCTCCTTTAAGCACTTCTCTGTATTGGTTATTCTAGTTATACATTCTTCTAAATTTTTTTCAAAGTTTTCAACTTCTTTGCCTTTGGTTTGAATGTCCTCCCGTAGCTCAGAGTAATTTGATCGTCTGAAGCCTTCTTCTCTCAGCTCGTCAAAATCATTCTCCATCCAGCTTTGTTCCGTTGCTGGTGAGGAACTGCATTCCTTTGGAGGAGGAGAGGCGCTCTGCGTTTTAGAGTTTCCAGTTTTTCTGTTCTGTTTTTTCCCCATCTTTGTGGTTTTATCTACTTTTGGTCTTTGATGATGGTGATGTACAGATGGGTTTTCGGTGTAGATGTCCTTTCTGGTTGTTAGTTTTCCTTCTAACAGACAGGACCCTCAGCTGCAGGTCTGTTGGAATACCCTGCCGTGTGAGGTGTCAGTGTGCCCCTGCTGGGGGGTGCCTCCCAGTTAGGCTGCTCGGGGGTCAGGGGTCAGGGACCCACTTGAGGAGGCAGTCTGCCCGTTCTCAGATCTCCAGCTGCGTGCTGGGAGAACCACTGCTCTCTTCAAAGCTGTCAGACAGGGACACTTAAGTCTGCAGAGGTTACTGCTGTCTTTTTGTTTGTCTGTGCCCTGCCCCCAGAGGTGGAGCCTACAGAGGCAGGCAGGCCTCCTTGAGCTATGGTGGGCTCCACCCAGTTCGAGCTTCCCGGCTGCTTTGTTTACCTAAGCAAGCCTGGGCAATGGCGGGCGCCCCTCCCCCAGCCTCGCTGCCGCCTTGCAGTTTGATCTCAGACTGCTGTGCTAGCAATCAGCGAGATTCCGTGGGTGTAGGACCCTCTGAGCCAGGTGTGGGATATAGTCTCGTGGTGCGCCGTTTTTTAAGCCGGTCTGAAAAGCGCAATATTCGGGTGGGAGTGACCCGATTTTCCAGGTGCGTCCGTCACCCCTTTCTTTGACTCGGAAAGGGAACTCCCTGACCCCTTGCGCTTCCCAGGTGAGGCAATGCCTCGCCCTGCTTCGGCTCGCGCACGGTGCGCGCACACACTGGCCTGCGCCCACTGTCTGGCACTCCCTAGTGAGATGAACCCGGTACCTCAGATGGAAATGCAGAAATCACCTGTCTTCTGCGTCGCTCACGCTGGGAGCTGTAGACCGGAGCTGTTCCTATTCGGCCATCTTGGCTCCTCCCACCTCCCATGAATTCTTAACTTTGTGTTTATTTATTGCATCAATAACCTTGCAACTTCAGTGGGAATCAACTCACACTACTTTGATTTTCCTCTCTCACAATCCCTGTGCATGTATATATAAATCCAATATTATATTAATATTTACTATACTATATTTTTTCAATTAGTGTTCTATGATTAACATGTTCAATATTGCAACATATTTTTAGTATTTATCACTATAATTTTTAACAGCTACATAATTTTCCAAGTAGATGCACCAAACCTTCTTTCAGCCTTCTCCTACCTTTCATTCCACGTATATGTTGTATCTAGTTCTTGGCTATTGGAGCTAACTTTATCATCTATCTGAATGCATGCAGCTAGCTTTCTGCCTTTTAAATTATTTCCTTAACATAATTTTCCATGTGTGGTTAAAAGGAAAGTGACAAATTGCTTTTCGAAAGATTATACAAATATAGACTCCCACCAGCAGAATACAGGGTATCAAACATGCCAGTTTGGGACTTTATTCTTGATTGGGAATTTATTCTTGCGTGTTTAAATTTGTACTTGTTGAAAAGAAATTGTTTATATATTGTGTGGATATAAAGATCTCTAAAATATATTGGCAATCAAAAGAAACCAAGGTGCAGAGCAGCATATATTATATACTGTGCTACTGTTTATACAGTGTTGGTATATATATGTGTATGGATTTAATTACATTTTCCATGTGGATTCATGGAAAATTCCTGGAAGACTAAATAAACTATTAAGGATGTTAGTTCTGGGGAGTAAAATTGCGATGTGGGGTTGGAGTAAGACACTTTTTTATCATATACCCTTTGGTGCTATTCAAATTTTTTGTCATGAGTTTTCATTACAATTAATTAGAAAAACAGAAAAAGAAACTAAACCATCTGAAGACAAAGCCATTGCAGGGGTTAAAAGCTGAGGCACTGGTGTCAGACATTAGTTTGAATCCTTGCACTGCTATTGACTAGTTGTATGATTCTGAATGATTTCCTTAACTTTTCCAAATTCTATTTTTGTGATCTAAAAAAATAAAAATAATAACACAGTCTCAAAAGTTTCAAAGGTTCTTAGCACAATGACTACATACAAAAGTATTCTGCATTTAGAGGAAGGCACCATCCTTCCTTCTTCCTGCACCAGGCTGACCACTTGAGCTTTCACACAATAAACTTTTTTTTCAGCGTCTTCTCTGTATAAGCCAAGCGTGCACTAGTTGCTATGAAAAAACAAAGTAGAATAGAGTGTCTGTTTCTAAGAAGTGACAAGTACTTGCTCATTTTGCCCCATTTTCAATTATTCCTTCCCCAAAAGAATAGAAAGAATGGCATTGCTTTTGAGGACACAGTAACTGGGGAATATTAGAGGTAAATCATTAATTCTTACCAAAAACAAAGCATATTATAAATATTAATTCTAAAGTACCAGTGAGTGGATCAATGTAGGACCAGTGTTTCCAAAGAACATTTTAAGTCTCCTTCCCACTGCATGAGTGAACATGGTCTGGAACACATACTTTATTTGGAATGTTGGTGTCACTTCCTGCTGTCAGCAGCACTTTGCTGCACTCTTCATGACCTCCTTCAACACTCAGAAAGAATGGTGTTTCTCCATTCCAACAAAAGGAAAAATAAGTTAAATTTAATTGCCCTTTGTCATGGAATGAAATTACTTGACAAACAACATGCTTTCTCTATGCCTTTTGTGCATTACTCTTAATAATGGATGGCATTTATTGAACAACTATGTGTCAACTTGTACTGCCAAGACTATATGCTTTGGCACAGTTAAATCACACAATGCTATAAGGGCAGGGTTAATATTATCCACATGTTACAGATAAGAAAACTAAACCTCAGCTGAAAAGTGTCAAAGTGGCTGGGTTCAGTGGCTCGGCCTGTAATCCCAGCACTTTGGGAGGCTGAGGCAGGCAGAATACTTGAGCTCAGGAGTTCAAGACCAGCCTGGGCAACGTGGCAAAGCCCCATCTCTACAAAAAGTTTAAAAAATTAACCGAGTATGGTGGTGGATGCCTATAGTCCCAGCTACTCAGGAGGCTGAGGTGAGAGGATCACCTGAGCCCAGGATGTTGTGGCTACAGTGAGATAGGATTGCATCACCACACTCCAGCCTAGACAACAGAGTGAGACCTCATCTCAAAACAAAAAAAAAAAGAAAGATAATCTCAGAAATAAGGAATTATAGTACAGTATGAAACATACAAAATTAGAAGTACGTTTGTACCAAGTATAACTTTAATCTTTACAACTGATTAAATGTTACATGACATTTTAAAAAATAACATTAATTAAAAAAATCTCAGTACTTCAGTTTCCTGAAACTCAAGACAAATACTAGAAGGACAAAGTAAGAGTTTAATTCAGGCCAAAACATAGAGGAAAAAGAAGGAGCTGGTCCCACACAATAGCTACTTGGCTATTTCCCTTTCCTCATGTAGAATTTCCTAAAAATATTTGGAAGAAATGCAGAATTCCTTCCCCATTCCCTAATGATTTCCCTCCTTGGACATTATTCTGCTTAACAACTGCCTTAGATAAATTCAGAAGGCTTTACTCATAGCTAATTAGGTATAAACAATCATGTTAACAGGAACACAAGAGTGTAGAAACCAGTGTTCCCATTCCAACAAGGTGGGAAAATTATATTCCAGGCTGCTTTACCTGGGTGCCTGGGACAGCCATCTGCTTATAAAGGCATTTCTCCGCCGGGTGCAGTGGCTCATGCCTGTAATCCCAGCACTTTGGGAGACCGAGGTGGGTGGATCACCTCAGGTCAGAAGTTCAAGACCAGCCTAGTCAACATGGTGAAACCCTGTCTCTACCAAATATACAAAAATTAGCCTGGCGTGGTGGCATGCGCCTGTAATCCCAGCTACTCAGGAGGCTGAGGCAGGAAAGTCACTTGAACCTGGGAGGCAGAGTTTGCAGTGAGCCGAGATCACACCATTGTACTCCCGCCTGGGCAACAAGAGTGAAGCTTCGTCTCAAAAAACCAACAAACAAACAAACAGAAAAGGCATTTCTCCCCATAATCTTTCTTCTCATTTTTCCAGGAAAATAGATGCAAAAAGACAAGTCCCAGTGGGAAAAACATTTATTAAAATAAAGTGTAAAGGAAACAATTCATGTCTTTAATATACCCAGAGCCTGATAAGGTTTCATATCTTGGACCCTACAATCTACTTCTAAGGATATACCCAAAGGCAATTGTGAGGAATTCAGACTAAGGTTTATATACAAAGAGGTCTGTGACAGCACTACCTATAATAAACAAAAATTGAAACTAAATATCCAAGAGCTACAGAATAGTTAAGTGAATTTGGGGCAGCTATGAAAAATATATTGTACATATATGCAGAGGAACAAAAAGGAAACTGGTAGTAAAATCCATCAGATGTGTCTAAGATCATCCTTTGAGCTGTGCATGGTAGCTCACACCTGTAATCTCAGTTGCATGGGAGGCTGAGATGGGAAGATCACTTGAAGCCAGGAGTTTGAGACCAGCCTGACCAACATAATGAGACCCTATTTCTAATAATAATAAATAATAATAATTCTTTGAGTTTAGAGAAAATACAAAACTGCTATTTATTTTTTATCTTGAATTTTAAAAATTTATATTTCTAGCATATGCTTTATAATGAATTAATTGAATTATAAATGTATATGTGATAGCCACATGATCAAACTTTCTTTACTGATATGGGTTTGCTACCAAGAATGTCTAGAAGCCACGGCTCTAGAGCATTCACATGGGTCACTCTAACTGATCTGGCAACAGCTTGTATCAGGAAACAGAGGCAGCCCACAAATGGACAAACATTATGAATGATATCCAAAAAGATAATATTATTATCACTGTGCCCTTAATTTTGTGCAAATGAAACCTATTATAATCTGAAATTAAAGTTTCCTGGGCTTTATGAGTTTTCCCCAATGTGCCCTGACTCCAAAGTTGCTAAAAGGAAGATGAAATCCACATGCATGCACATATTCCAGTGGTTTAAACATGTTTTAATAGAACAGGGAAAGCATAGCTAAGACTATAAATAACTAAGACTATAAATCCTGTGACTACAGGACTTGATCTCTGTTCTGGTTTGAATATTTGTGTCCCTCCAAAAATTCATGTTGAAACTTAAATCCCCAATGCAATAAGATTAAGAGGTGGCCTTTACAAGGTGATTAGGTCATGAGTGCTAGCTCAGTCAACCAGGTGGGTATAATTGTCGTTGTTTGAGCACATGCATTACATTGGAATGGGTATCAGTGGCTTAGAAGAAAATCTTAGAAACAACAGTGGGGCATTCTTTAAGAAATGCTGCATCTCCCATGCCGCTGTACTCCAGCCTGGGTGACAAAGCAAGACCCTGACGCTATAAGAAAAAAAAGAAAGTAAGAAAAAGAAAGAAAGAAATTGTCAAGACTGAATAAGAAAGTGATTTAGAAGAATCTAATTCAGCATGAAATTTAGAAACAATTAACTGAGTTATCTTGCTTATTTTTTCCTTTATATATGCATGTAAAAAACTAAAAGTCTAAACACATCTTCAAATAGGCAGCATAAAATAAATATTTTAAGTGATAATAAAGTTTTTTGTCATAGTTAAATGGCAGCATTATTTTTTCTGAGTGTTACATAAAATAATGGTGTGCCTTACAATCAATGGTATCTTAAGGTAAATGATTATGATACTAGTTCTTTCCGTAGCTCTCAGGAGAGGCATCAAGTTTAGAAATGATCAGAACATTAAACTGTGAAATCCAAGAGGACCCCACTGACCTGAGTTTCCAAACAGCCAGACAAAAAGTTACTGGACCATAGGTTGAGAAGTGACCATCCAGGGCAAATGACTCACAAACCCGCCTGCATAGCCACAGCCACATCCCCTGCACCAAATCCAGAACCAGTTTCTTTTTTCTTTCTTTTTTTTTTTTTTTTTTTTTTTTTTTTTTTTTGAGACAGAGTCTCTGTCGCCCAGGCTCAGGTGCAGTGGTACGATCTGGGCTCACTGCAACCTCTGCCTCCCGGGTTCAAGCGACTCTCCTGCCTCAGCCTCCCGAGTAGCAGGGATCACAGGCACCCGTCAGTACACCCGGCTAATTTTGTATTTTTAGTAGAGACGGAGTTTCACATGTTGGCCAGGCTGGTCTCAAACTCCTGACCTCAGATGATCCGCCTACCTCGGCCGCCCAAACTGCTGGCATTATAGGTGTGAGCCAGCGCACCCGGCTCCAGAACCAGTTTCCAGCTCGCTAACACTCCACCTGAATGTACCCACCTCCCAAGTGCCTCAAACAAACCCATTCAAGCCCTCATTACCTACCTCACTCACCTGCTCCCCCACTGTACTCCCCAACAACAGCCCAAGCCAGACAGCTGGGGGCAGAAAGTCCTCCCTCTCCCCAAGTCCTGGTCACAAGTCCTGTGGACTCTACCTCCTCCTACCACTTCATCCTGTTTGTTGCTCATGAGTGTCTCAGTGAGAAGCCTTCCATAGGTCTTGTTTCCCCCATTTTGGCAGTCACCTGACTGGTCCTCCCCACTTCTGGGCTCTCCTGGCACCAGTCTACCTTTCAAACAGCTGTGACAGTTACCTGCCCACACCTAAGATGAATCCCATCCCTTTTCACTGCTTAAAACCCTTCAAGGTATCTGCTGGCAACCACAGCAAAGCCAAACCCTCCCTCTTGTAAAGCATGGCCTTTCATCGTCTGTCTGCCTTGGCCCACTAAGCTTCCAGCTTTCCCAGCACTCCTATCCTCAATTTCTGCCACCCTGAGCTTGTCAGCCCGGAACACACCATACTCTTGCCTTGGTTCTTTTACTTGGACTTTTCCCTCTGAAATACTTTATACTCATGCCATCCTCAAAATCCCTCCTGCCAACGTTCATTACAATGTCAAGACCCAGATAATATATCACCTCTTCTGTGAAAACTGTAATTTCTGAAAAACATCTTTCTCTGTGTTCTCATGGCATTCTCTGTAGACTTCTATTATTGCATGTAGCCCAATACATTATTTGTTTTGCATGCCTTTCTTGCCCTGTAGGCTTCTAGAATAAGAATACATACTTCATCTGGCATACAGTACATATTAAACAACGTTATTTGAATGAATGCACGAATAAATGAATGGATTAACAAATGAAGTGCTGTGGGATACTTTGAAGAATAAAGTAAGAATCTTTCAGCATCACATTTTACACTCCATGGCACTAACACCTTTGTTTTCCTCCCACTCTTTTCTTGAAAGCCATTCCTCCAACCCTTCCACATTTAAGTCCTATGGCAATAACGAGCACTTCCACATACCTCATTCATCTCATTTATGTCTTGCCACTGGGCTAGCAGCACCTGCACTGCAGGACTGTGACCATGCTTCGCAGCGAGGTGCAAGGCAGTGTTTCCCCCCTGCAACAGAGACACACTCGACGTAGAAACCCCTGTGCCAGGAGAGCATGCTCCTTCAATAGTAAGGGCTGCAATGGAGTTTCTGGAAGTTTTCATTTTGGTTAAAGCTGCGGTCCAGAGTGTGGACCACTGTATCTGCAGTTTTAAGTGAAATTTATACATTTTTAAGTTTTAAATAAAAAGGTATAGTTTTTTGAACCAGTAGGAAAAAAATCATCCATGCTCCTTGTTCTAACTTTGCTACCAATTGCTAGCAAAACATGGAGCAACAAAAGCAATTCCATTTGACCTCTGTGAGGGTAAAATGGTGAAAGATTTCTGGGAGATCATTTTAGCAATATTGTATACTCAAAGATTTTAAAATGTGCAGAAGCCTTTGACCCACAATTCCATATCTAGGAATTTCTCCTAAGAAAGTCATCAAAGGTGTACATATAGATATGGACGTCTACCCCAGGGTTTTCCCCTCCCCTTTCATATAAGGCTGAGCCTCCAGGAGACCTCATGGGAGGAGAGAAGAGGGGTGGAGTTGATCATGGAAAAATCCATGTGGTCTATCGACTTCACAAACATTTATGAAGCAAAAACTGCCAATCTGGACAACCCAGAGCAACAGTGGAAGGATTTTGCCTGGATAGTTCATGATTCTCTCTGAGTACAGTAGCAATTTAACTCTCCTGCTGACTAAAACGCCCTCACCAAATCTACATGCCAATTGTTACCCCTCTACATCAATTGTTACTCCCCTTTCTCTTGTTCTCAGCAAAGAAATAAAAGTCCAACTCACCTTGTCCTTTTCTGAAGTATGCAGGTTTAGGAAGGTAAGTTTTTCTATCATTTCAACATGGCCCCTCTCAGCTGCCAAAAGAAATGGTTTTCTTCCTTTCTAAAAATCAATCACAAACCTCAAGCATTTATTACAGTCTTAGTGAACAAGCAAGACAATGGACAAAGCTAGCGACATTTCAAGGATGATGGGGAGTCCAAGATGGCCCTTCTTCAGGGAGGAAGATGATGCTATCTCTGACTCCAAATCAGATCAGGTTCTGGGTTTTCACTCAAAACTGTGGGAGACTCCACATCAGCATGAAATCTGTTTCATGGTGGCACACAAATACTGTTCAGAAAAGGTCCTCTCAAGCATCAGGAGAGGTGCAACATCACAGTCAGATGACAAGATTCCCTTTTAAATATAGCAATATTATGAACTTTATTTATTCCATAGTTATTTCACCATTTACTGAGAAGCTACTATGTGTCAGACCCTGTCTCAGGCACCTGCACATTATACTAAGCCTTCCCTTACTCTGGGGCTTATTATTTATGTGGCTCATTCAGACATGACATTTGATTAACTGCTTCTCCTTAGGCCTTCCTTTCTTCTTCATAGATTTATCTACAACATCTACTAAGAATCAATAGGAAAACTCTTGAGAATAGGTCAATACAAAATGGAATCAAGAAATGAGGCATTACCCAGAGAATACAGATGAAGAGAAATGTTTAGGTTTGATTTTTTTAGAAGATAAGCTCAAATATAGAATTTTCTGATTATGGAATTCCTCCTACTTTTCATGTTGCCAATGGAGACTATATTTTCCATAGCCAAAATGTCATCAAGAAAAGTGAAAGACCTGTCTTAGTCTGCTTTGTGTTGCTATAACAGAATACCTCAGGCTGGGTAATTTATAAAGAAAAGAGGTTTATTTAGCTCACAGTTCTGCAGGCTGGAAGTTCAAGGGCATGGTCTTGGCTTCTGGTGAGGGCTTTCACACTGTGTCATAACATGACAGAGAAAGTCAAAGGGATGCAAGCATGTGTGAAGGGACAAAACCCAAGAGCATCCTAGCTCCCACCTTTGTGGGAACTAATTTATTCCTATGAGAATGAATCTAGTCCCACCAGAGTGAGAACTCAGTACCTGAAGAATGTCACCAAGCCATTCATGAAAGATCCACCCTCATGACACAAACATCTCCCAATAGGTCCCACCTCCTACCACCACCAGATTGGGGATCCAATTTCAACATGCATTCTGGTGAGGACAAAGCATAGCCAAACTATAACAGATCCACAGAAAATGTAATGTTGTAACTTGAGATAATTAAAATAAGGAAAAGGAAGTTGTGGTGGCAATACGGTAGCAGAAGTATTTTCTTCAATTAAAGAGAAGAAAACACTCACAGATTGGCTTAGTGTGTTACTAACTGAAAGCTTAGCAAGGTGTCTTAATGTTAAAAAATAGATATGAGCCTCATCTAACACTTGATAAAATAGGGTAATGAAAAGATCACGGCCACTGTTAACCTGAGATAACAACATAGGAGCCCCCAATAACTGGAGAAAAAAAGGAAGAAAAAATGCTGAAATAATAAATGGCAAAAAGCGAAGACAAAAACAAATCTATAAAGATCAGTCCTACAGAGGTCTGTATTTATGCATGTATGGAAGCTGGAGAAACAAATTTGCACCAAAAAGTTCACCTAATTCATCATTCTTGGGCCACATATGTCACCAATGAGATCTACATCCCCAGCCCTTCAAAGGGTTTAGTGATTTCATTCTCAGGAAATCACTAAGAAATGGCAAAGGAAAGAAACAGAGACTGCTTGGAACCACAGTTTTCTGCTTTCAAGGTAGGCACTAATTGAAGGGTAAAATTTAATCTTGAGTCATGAGCAACTCTTTGGAAATGACAGACCAAAAATCATTGTGTTTGATATATCAATATCTGCAAATAGTGACTACAGGTAAAGTTTCATGTAAACAAATCAAAAAGAGGGAACAAGAGACAGTGATTATATACCAGATGAAAACATCTGGTCACATATCCTCATAAATAATTCATTCATTTGTTCAACAATTGTTGAGCGCCTATGAATATGCCAGATAATGTGCTAAGCAATAGAGTGACCAAGATGAGAAATATATTGCCCATCCTCAAGCTCAGAGTCCAAAAGGAGAGATGGACACATAAGCAAGTAATTATAATGTAATGTAGTAACCGAGTGCTGCTTATATATGGGGGTACATAACTCAGCATGAGTGTGTTTGTGGCTGGAAAGGCGGGTGGTGAGAAATGGTGGAAGAAGGCCTTTAAAGGTTGGTAATGCACTGGAACAGAAGAAAAGAGCACTTGTTACCTGATTCCTGCCTGCTATCTTTTACACTGGAGAATGACCCCTGGCTCATTTTGTGGAGCTGTTAATTATAGGCTCCTGCCTCTTCTACCACCTATCCCTTGGCCACAGTGCTTGGTTCAGGGATGGTCACATGCTAGGCCTATGAGAGCCAACCATGAGATATTTTTTTGGCTTATCCTATTTTTATTCTAGAGCCATCAGCTAGCTGTTAGTAGTCCTCTTTGCCACCTGATAAGAAGACCCTGCCTAAGAATGAAGTCAGCACAGTGAAAAGCAGAGTTGAAAACTAGGAAGAGATAAAGAGCCCTGCTGACATCATTTGATCTCCTGCATTCAGACATACCTGAATCCATGGCTAGATTTTTAATTGAATGAGCCAATAAATTCCTTTCCTTAGTATGGTTTGGGTTGAGTTTCTGTCACCTTTGACTAGATGGCTTCCTTAAATCAACTGCCTATGTCAGAGAATTATGAGCAACTTCAATGTCCACCAATGAGTCTTTTTTTCTTTTTCTTCTTTTTTTTTTTTTTTTTGAGACAGAGTTTTGCTCTGTTGCCCAGGCTGCAGTGCAGTGATACAATCTTGGCTCATTGCAACCTCTGCCTTCTGGGTTCAAGGAAGTCTCCTGCGTCAGCCTCCTAAGTAACTGGGATTACAGGCGCGCACCACAATGCCCAGCTAATTTTTTGTATTTTTAGTAGAGACGGGATTTCACTATGTTGGCCAAGCTAGTCTCAAACTCCAGACCTCAAGTTATCCACCTGCCTCGGCCTCCCAAAGTACTGGGATTACAGGTGTGAGCCACCGCGCCTAGCCCACCAGTGAGTCTTTTAAGGTTCAACTAAACATTTCAGACTCATAAAGTTATCACAGGCAACATCTGGCACCAGTCTTCTCAGAAGATGTGGGCACAAATTACAGCTTGTCAGTATCTATCAGCTGTTTTCTCTTCATGACACGGTCCACATAGCTGTCCAGGAGGTATTGTCTTTGGACCCCCAGATGAGCGCTTAGTTGCAAAGTGACAAGATCCACATTGGATGGGTCGGAGCCATCCTGGCTTAGAAGGCTCATGCCCCACAAGAATAAATATCTCCTGAATAACTCCTTAGGCACAGCTTTCAGGGTCCCCATGAGAGAGATGCCTAGTTCCAAGAGTCACTGCACTCAGAGAAGCCCAAAAGATGGTTTCCCCTTCTGGAATTTATAATTCATCTGTAGTTCTTCCCAGTCTAGATGGAATTTACCAATTAGAGGTAATTTTATCACAATCTATGCTGCTTAGTAACATAGTTAATAATCTATCTTTATTTAGTTTGCAAGGACACAGAGGCAAAAAGTTAATCAAAATTTAAATTATCATGCAGAAGGTAAGTGCTTTTGTTAGCTCTTTATGCACAGAGACCACAAATAATACATGAAGGTCTTGTGCCCTAGTGTGGCATTTGTTGCTTTGCCTTTATATTTACCTTTCTTCTAGTAACAGCACTTTCATTTTACTTTGCAGAACAACCACACATACATACACACACCCTGTCATTTAGCCCATTTTGTGCTGTCCATTTCCAGGCCTTACCTGCCTGCCTTCTGCCACATGAAGTGATTACATAACCCTGTCGTCACAGTGATTGGTTCGAGATTGGGCATATGATTCAGGTAGGGCCAGAGTTGTTCCTGAGATTTATATATAAACATTTAATGACAGATTATTTTTATTTCTTATGGATTGAAATCCATAAGGATATTAAACCTGAGGCTGCTAACAGCTATCTTTCCTACTATATGAAAAGTATACCTATGAATAATGCTGACAGGCAGACAGCTAAGAAATGAAGAAAGAAAGAGCTGGGTCCAGCCATGCCTGAAGCTGGCAAGATACACCCTCAAACTCTTTAGTTCGAAGTTAATAAATTACCTTCTTTGCTTAATCTCGATCAAGATGGATTTTTGTCTTTACAACAGAAAGAATTCTAACTAATACATATTTATCAGTTTGGTAACAATACTAATCTGTTCAACTTTAAAATGGCACTTTTCTTTTACCCGTGGTTGCTACAAAGCTTTGCATTACTGCATAGATAACAGAGTGAAAGAAAGCTTCACCTGCTAAGAGATGGGAGGTTCTGAGAAAAGACTACAGTTACCACAGATGAAACATCTTTCCTTTCCATGGAAACACTATTAGTTTGAACTTTGGAAGCCCTTTAAAACAGTTATCGTCCAGGAAAAAGATGTAAAAGCAAAATTACACAAAGTAAAGACATTTAAAATAATCTGTAATAAATATATGAAAAGGTAGCATAAAGATGAGATTATAGCATAATGAGATATAAATCTTTTCTCTCATTGAGTACATATTATTAGACAAAATAACAGGAATTTCAAAGATATATGTGGTTTTTAAACAATATAGTTTCTTATCATGTCCTTTATTTTTTTTAACTACCCAATCCTTTTTCATCACATTCAAATAGGCCTCTATCCAGGGCAGTCTCATAGGACCTCCCTTACTTGGAAGGCAGGAAGCTTTTCCAGCCAGGAGGATGGTGGAGCTTGGTGTCAGAGCCCTGGGCTCCAGGCCTTGGGCAAATCGCAAAGACTCCCTGGCTCAGGATCCTGCCCGTTTAAGTACTAAAAGAAGAAGGGTCCAGGATTCCTGTTCTTTTTTTCCTCTATTAACTCGATGTCTATTTAACCTAATTATAACAGGGTCTTACTCTGTCACCCAGGCTGAAATGCAGTGGCATGATCTCAGCTCACTGCAGCTTCCACCTCCTGGGATCCAGTGATCCTCCCACCTCAGCCTCCCGAGTAGCTGGGGCCACAGGTGCGCACCACCATACGCCAGCTAATGTTTTGTATTTTTTGTAAAGGCAGGTTTTCACCATGCTTCCCAGGCTAGTTCTCAAACTCCTGAGCTCAAGAGATCCTCCCACCTCTGTCTCCCAAAGTGCTGGGATTACAGGTGTGAGCCACTGTGCCTGGCTAACCTGATATGTTTTAACTCAATGCATTTAATTTTTTTTTTTGCATGTTAAGTCTGAGGGATTGGGATTGTTTATTATAAATTATTTTTAAGTTTATTGAGAAGATGAAGTAATCAAATTTGATGTTATCAAATTCAGCAAAAATTTCATAAATAGCCATTAAGTGGGTATCCAAAGTTCAACCTGACCTTCCTTTACCACAGGGATCCCTGAGATGTGTCGCTCTTAGGAGCCCCTGAGGAGAGGCGCTGGTGGGCCTCCAGTGCATGTTCCTGCCTACAACATTTCCCATCACCCCGGGATCAGGCACTTGAGGCAGGGGAAACCCTGAATAACTAGAAATTTCAGAGGTAAAAAAATATGTGTCATGAGGTTAAAAAAAAAAAGCAGTGTGTTAAATATGAAAAAGTGGCACTGGTGGGGTGGGAGACACTGGGTTAGTTCTCCCCTCACAGATGGGAAACAATAGATTTGATGAAATCTAAAGTTGTTAAATGTTGCCTTGGGTCTATATAAGAAAACAGGTGTCTTCTCAAGTCCCCTTCTACTCACTATCCCCTTCCCTCCCAGAAAAAGAAGCTTCTTTGTATTTTGACTTCCAGAGACTTTAAACCAATGGAAGTCTACCATATTCGTAGCTGAAACCAACCCAACATTGTACCACCAAATTCTTGTAAATATTCAACAAATATATGAATGGCGTGTGAGGCCTTTCTATTTCTCTCCCTCCCCAAACATGTTAGTCTGAGTATTTATTTTTGATCACCAGATGGACATTTACATGTAGATTCAAAATATCTATACTTTATTCATAACTCCTGGCTGCTCTAATCTCTCTCCCCTGGAAAGGCCTCAATGATTTTTATGGCTGTGGAGTTGGGGGAAATCTCAGAAGGTTTCCCAGCAACCTCCATCTCTCCCCACCCAAATTCCCCCTGGCCTAGTTAAATCCATTTTGTTTTAAGGGCCTCCTTCCAGGAAAGCTTTCCTTGTTAGCTTTTGGAGTTCCCTCCAGGCCAAAGAGATGGATTTTACCAAACCTGGCAGGTACACAAGCTCTCAATCACTTTCTGTTGATAAGAAACTAGGCAAGAGAGTAACACTGTGAAGGTGAAGATGCCTTAAATATCAAATATATTTCACAAACTCCACAATACCTTTAAGCAGATGCAAATGGGAAACCCAGCAGTAAATCAATAGACCCTGAGCTTCTGATCCCAGTTGCAACTGGCATTTCCCCCCACAATTTTTTTTATTATGGTAAAGTACACATAACTAAATTTATCATCTTAACCATTATTAAGTGTATAGCTCAGTGGCATTAAGTATACTCATGGTTGTCTAGCCATCACTACCATCCATCTCCATAACGCTTTTCATCTTGCAAAACTGGAATTCTGTCCTCATTAAACAATAATTCCCACTTTCCCTTCCTCCTAGCTCCTGGCAACTACCATTCCAACTGACTTTTGTCAACAGGTATGACCCACTCACAGATCTTAGAAAAAAAGTAGATTTTTTCTGTGTTTTCTATTCATCAATTTAGTTTTCTTAAGAGACTAAAGTTGGGCTCAGACTCAAAGAGTCTTCTTTCCCTAGATGACCCAGTGGACTCATTATTTGCTCATTCCTTGTATGTCTCTGAACTCAGTTTAAGATCTTGCAGCTGGACATTACTCTCTGCAGTTTGCTGCCAACCCTTTTTCCCAACAGATAGAGGAGGAAGAAGGTGAGAGAAGAGGACATGCCCAGAATCAGTTGAAAAGAGTTTTGGACAGGAAGGCTGCTGGCCAGCAGAAACTCAAGAAGTGGGGAAGGCTCCCCGCAAACCTGCTTTGGTTTCTGAACCCCATCAGCCTGCCTGATCCTTCCCACACACTACCATCTTTCATGGAAGCAATCAGGGCACATTGAAGGGGAAAATAACTGTGTGTCTTATGCATAACAGGCCGTCAACAAATATCTGCTGAACTGAACTGAATGGAATTCATTCATTGGCCACACCTCTATTTGGCATGGATAAAATTAGGAAGATTCAACTTCCTTATTCTGATACTAAATAGCATTTGACTATGATTGTCACTTTGAGAAAATCAGATAGGATATTTTATCCTATAACAATTGTTACAACAGTGAACACTTACAATGTGCCTGGCCTGTTGCTAAGTGCTTTATAGTCATTAGCTCATTTAAGCATCTCAGCAGTGGCTATTACAATATTGCTACATAGGAATGGCATAAACGAAAGGGGGTTATGGAATGGCTTACCACGAAGCGCATTTGCATAGGTACTTTTACATAAGATTGAGGAAATGTCAATCATTATATATCAAAGAATGGAGGTTTGCTGATTTAAAAAAAAATTATATGTGGGACAAGACTTCTCCTATCAACCCTTGTTGTTACCATAAAGTAGATTTTATTGTTTCCATTGTATAGATGGAGAAACTGGGGGTTTCAGAAATTGAAGAGCTTGCTTAAAACCACACAGCTAGTGCATGGTGGTACTAACCAGACCACAGCCCAAGTCTGTCTTCCTCTAAGCTGTAAATGTATAGTTGTTTAATCATATGTAGAGGAAGTCAAAGAAGTTTATAGACCTAATTTGAAGAAATACTTCTTATCATTAATATTGTTGTTTTTAAGATTAAGGTCAGAAAACAAATGTCAAAATTTTTAAAAACAGGTGAAATGAAGTGACTATTACTGACCAGCTTCTAAAGAAACTTTTATGGTGTAGTATTCTGGTGGCACAGAGAAAAGGAAATCCCATTCATGAAGTATATTCTACTGCTGAGAAATCAAAATGCCAAGTGCACAAAAGCTACTCCTGTATGAAGAAAACAAAACAAACAAACAAAAAAAAAAAACAAGGCCTAGAGGGAGATATTCCGGGGGAAGGACAGTCCCTGACATGACCAATACCCACTGTTAGTCTGAGAAGGGAGACAGCACAGCATGAAGGCTGGATTCAGCCAGACCTGGCTTCAAGTCCTGGCTCTCACTTTTTAGTTGTGAGACTTTTGATCAGGTGTTTGGTCTCTGAATCTCAACTTCCTCTCCTCTACAAATGAGCAAAATATTTTCTACCTTATAGGATTATTGTAGGGGTTAATGAGATCATTCATTCATTCAGCAATGATTTGTTGAGCATTGGTAGGTGCCAGGCCCAAGACCTCTTACTGAAATAATGTATGTAAATAGCTTTCCTCTGTACCTACATTAATAGATACTCGTTAAGTAGTAGCTGGTATTGTTATATATCTCCTTATGTAAAGAAAAGGAATATTGACAAATGCAGTAAAACTGCATTGTATTTCAAGGCTCATTACTGTATAGCTTTGGGTCAAATATATTCCCAAAAGGCCAAGTATAATAAAATAAAATTTAGGTACACATTCTGATTACTAGAGGGGATAGGATACTATCCACACTCTGGCCAGGATGAGGGAGTAGAATGGGAAGAAGGAATCTGGCTGCTTCCTCAACATTTCCTGTTCTCCCTACAAGCAGGGGCCAGGACCACCACTAATACCAACACTCCTCTTTGGTTCTGTGGTCTGCCATGGTGATGGAGGAGCCGGCTACAGGGCCGGGTCTGTCTGTGCTGGCTGCTTTCACAGCTGTACCAGAGGCAGGAAGAAAGTGAAATTTGATAGGGGTGTATGCAAGACCTACACAACCAAAGTGAACACACCTCATCAGGCTGGTTCAGGTCCTTGAGGTGCAGATCTTGAATAAGATACTCCACGATGCGCACATGATTGCTCTGAGTGGCAAAGTGGAGGGCGCTCATTCCATCCTGAAGAGAACCAGGGGTGGGGGAGATAGACAGTGACCTCAGAACTTCCTCTCTCCTGCAATGGTGAGGTAAGAGCTTTTGTCCAGGTGTGACCCACATACCTACCTGATTCTTGGCTCTCTGGTCTGCTCCAGCTTTAACCAGCATGAGCATGACCTCAAGGCTCCCAGACCAGGCTGCAAGGTGAATTACTGTCAAGCCGTGCTTCCCCAAGAAGACAGAAAAAGAGAATCTATCACTCTGACAAGCTGCAGCCATATACTGCCTCATCAACAAAGGCCAAATTAATACTAGATTGTTGAAAACTAAGAAATAGAGAATTTAATATGCAGCAAAAGTGATATTTCGGTCCTATGGGGAAAAATGGTTATACTTAATAAGTGGTACAGGCAAGTGGTTCTCCATCTGGAAGAAAATAAAATGAAAAGCTATATCATACCATACTCACAAAATAGCACACAAACAATAAATATATTAGAATAAAATCCAGACTATAATGTATAGTCTCTTAATCCAGAGTTAGAACAGATAGATAATAAAGTCAATTAAAAATGACAGATTTTTAAAAATGTATCTTTAATAAAGATAAATGGTTATTCTCTAATGCATGAAGCACACTTACATATGGAGGAGAAAAAGACAAACTCAGAAAAATGGACAAAGAAAGGAAATGGAAATGATTATTGTTTAAGTATCTGGCAATATCTATCAGAATTAAAAATACAACCAGCAATCCCACTCCTGGGAATCTATCCCATGAAAATAAAAATGTCAGTACCTAATTCTATATATATAAGGATAGTAATTGTAACACTAAAAACTGAGTGCAAGATAAAAGCCTATCAACATAGGAATGCTAAATAAGTTATGGAATAGTCAGACTATATAATGCAAGCATTAAAAATAATGAATTGGTGCTACAACAATTGACTTGGAAACATTTCCATGAGCTTTGCTAAATATGGAAAATAAGATAGACAATAAATATGATATAATCCCATTTGTTAAAAAGGAGTGATTAACAAAACCCCATACATGTATATGTATATATCTATATCTATCTATAGGTGGGTTGGTGGGTAGGTAGGTCGATTGATCAATATAGATATGACTATGTGAGCAGGAGAAAAGTACAGAAATAAACACACATATCTCAGATTGTTAAGTATGGTTACCAGAGGAGGAGAGGGTACACACAGGTGAAAAAAACACAAGTTATAAAGAGGATCTCATTTATATAGATGCTACTTAAAATATTTTATTTACACAAAATTATTTAGATTTGTCTGTGTGCAAACACATGTGCATAAAGTTGTGAGACTGAAAGAGACCAGGACTTAGTGACCTGTAGGGATGCTGTGGGCAGTTGTATGCTGACTTGTCTACCAAATAAGGAGAAAAGTGTGGAAGGAAGCATAGCCAGCAGTTAACACTGGTTATTTTAGGGAGGTGAGATTCGAGGGAAATAAGCAAAAAAATGCATCTGCACCCCGGGCCCTAAGTTACAGAAGCAGGATAGGGCAGACACTATGAGCCTGATCTTCAGGATCAAGCAGAACTAATCTCAAATTCTGGTCACTTTCTATCACTTTCAAGTACGGGGATCTTGGTGAACTTAGTTCTAACTCTCAGCTTCAGCTTCCTTATCTGCAAACTCAAGTGTCTGTTTTTCTGTTTCCTTTAGCTCCATGAAAAAGTAATCCATTTCCTCAGTACAAGTGCCTACCCAAAGGAAGCTCTCACACTACATTTTATTTGCCTTTTCTAATCAGTTGTGTTTGTGATCTGGAAACTGTTTGTTAGATGTACACAGTATGAGTAAATGACTAAGGAATGAGGGCCTGCAGTACACTTCTATTTGTAAAGTACATAAGCCTTTTGGCATTTATTTTGGCTGCCCCCAAGTTGCATTAATGTATTCTCTTATTCTCAGTAGAATTCATGTTGGGAGAGTAAAACAGCAAGTCCCAAATTATTGAGGCATAACTCTAAACTGGTGATTCTCAACTGGGGGTGATTTTGCCCCCAGGAAACATTTGGAAAAATGTATGGAGATATTTTTTACTGTCATGCCGTGGGTGGGGGGAGGTTAATATTGGCACCTAGTGGATAGAGGCCAGGGACACTGCTAAACATCCTACAATACACAGGGCAGCCCCAACGACAAAGAATTATCAGGCCCAAAATGTCAATAGCACCACTGTTGAGAAACCCCACTCTTAATGTGCATATCCTATCAAATTTATATTTCAGCTATCACTCTAGACGGTGAGTTAGTCCATTTGTAGGTTTACAATTCCAGCATGAAGAAGACTCTTCATTTCTGGACTCTTTGTTCCAAAGAGAAATGATGAACAATGACTGACTACTTGAGGTTCTTCAAAACATGTTCCCTAAACACAATTCCACCTCTTAATTTGGAGTTCCCTACAAGTCAGCGCTCTATATTTAGTAATACTAAATCTGCTTTCAAATAGAGACCAGAAGGCCAGGCACGGTGGCTCCTGCCTGTAATCCCAGCACTTTGGGAGGCCAAGGTGGGCGGATCACCTGTGGTCAGGAGTTCGAGACCAACCTGACCAACATGGAGAAACCCTATCTCTACTAAAAATACAAAATTAGCCAGGCATGGTGGCGCATGCCTGTAATCCCAGCTACTTGGAAGGATCGCTTGAACCTGGGAAGAGGAGGTTGCGGCAAGCCAAGATTGCGCCGTTGTACTCTAGCCTGAGCAACAAGAGTGAAACTCCACCTCAAAAAGAAAAAAAAACCACCAGAAATATTTGAGACAGGTGACAAATCACTCTTTGATAGGAGATCTATTTTTCCCTAAAAGGTAATTCCTAATTTCAAAGCAGCCTACATTTTAAAATTCGAAGCTCCGATCATAAAATCTAAAAGCTGGGAATTCAAGCTGCAATCAACTTGAGTCTCTAAAACCACAAACTCAGAGTGGAGCCATTGTTCCTCAGAGGCAATGAATCACCGCTCACAGGTGTAAACTCCCCGAGAAGAACCTCCATAAAAGAAATTCTTCTGATATAAAACTGGCATGCCTGAGACTACTTAAGACCATGTGTCACAAATTACACTCACAGTTGGCTCACGAAGCTCTGTAAAGTGTACATTGCTCAATAGTCACTGATAACCTGTCCTCATTGCCAGTCTCGTCATAGGTGAGGCCAATAATTTCCTCTGGGGAACACTTCCATGTTAGGAGCTTCCCAGAGGTAAGAAGCTTTGTCAGCAGATGTTTTTATCCTCTGAGCACCACTTGCACCCACCTGGGATTCTTTACACCTGTCTGGAGTAAGAGCCTCCATTTATCCAGTCTGCCTCTTCCCAGGACTCGGGGTTGCTGCTCACTTTGGTCCCTAGCATGCAGTGCCTTGAATGGTACTCAGCTGGTACAGTCTCTGTCCTTGCTCCCCAGATAGACTGTAGGCCCTGCAAAGCCATGACTCTATTTCATACCAGTGCTTCCCAAAAACAATCACCTAGGAATTTTTTAAAAATGCAGATTCTGATTAAGGCCTGGGGTGGGGCCTGAGATCCTGCATTTCTAACAAGCTTGCAGGTGATGTGCATGCTTCAAGTCCTGGGACTACACTTTAAATAGCAATGACTTCTGTCTAATTGAATCCTCAGTAGTTGACACTGAGACATATGCACAACAGCCACTGAATAAATATTGATGGTGAAGGGGATCAACTGTTGGCTCTTTGCAAATGGTGTTAGAACTTAGAAGAAGTCAAACTCAAGGCTCACCATTCAGATAAAGAAGCTGCCAGATTGGGTCAAACATGACCTTGGTTGAATTATGAAAAACATTTTACTAGTTACAGAGTAATGCCACTGTAGATGATTTAATTAGTTATAAATATATTTAACTTAGTGAAACCTTCAAAGCAGGAAAAAGAGACACACCAGGAATTACTATATTTCCCACCTGACATTATTTCAATCTTCAGGCAAAGTTAAGAGAAATAGTCATGCTTCAGAGACAAGGTAATACAAATAGATGTTTAGAAAAACCTCAAGGAGAACAAGTTGGTGAAATATCTCTCCATCATTTCAGGAATAATTGATTTGCACTCTGACACAAACCAGTCCTGTATTTAACATATTAGAAACATGGCAATCCTCAGATATTCTGTTTAAAAGAAAAGATGCAATCTAATATGGGCAATGGATACATAGGTGTTTGCTGTATGATTCCCGCTACTTTGGTATGTTAGAGATTTGGGGTTATGGTTTTTGTTAAAACGAAGTAAGCACAGTCCACTCTGTCTCTGCCACCAAAACAAATAAAATCTCTGGAAAGAATGCATGGAACGTACACTTACTATATACCCACACAAATTTTAAATTAAAATTAAAAAAAAAAAGAATGCATGGAACAGCTGAGGACTCTGTAAATGGTATCAGGTGGATTGGGGAAAAAATCAGAACTCAAAGTAAGGACAATCCTGCAGTGACTTTCCTGATTTTTCTTTTCCTTCCATACCTTCCAACTTGGACTCAAGGCAGTGCAAATCATGGAACTGTGCCCTGGGCACAGTCAGAAAGATTTCCAAGAGAAGCTCTCTCATTCTGGTCTAAAGAGGAGAAGGGAGCTCCTATAGAACAGAGAAGGTAGGGGAAATTCTCTGCTTCATTTTTCTCTACTGGCCCTGCCCCCTCCCCCAAGCCAAGCCCCACTCCCAAAGCTACAACTTGACAGTGGTAGGGGTAGCAGCAGTGGCTGGGCAAGCACCCTAAACTCTGACATAGGGGAATCTTTCTCTCTGACCAGAGGAACTGCGGTCATAAAGCAGCGTGGAGGGAGAATCCAAATGTTCTCTTGTTACCCTCCCCTACTTGGTCCTGGAGGCAGACCTATTTGTGGGAAGTACACAGCAGAGCGGGGAGACCACAGCCTTGGCTTTCCAGACAGAGGACCAGGAAAAGAGGGTGAGGAGCTAGAAAATGTAGGGGAGCTGATCATGGAGACGATGGAGCCTGAGAAAGTGATGGCATAAAGTTGTGTGTGTGCTCCTGGGCTTACCCCTGAGCTGTTTAATACACCTATTTATTATCAGAGTTCATAGAGCAAAGTCAATATTTGATGTCTCTGGGGCCAGTTAGCTTCTGTCTTCCACATTCCAGATTATACTCTGGACAATGATCTTGCTTTTACAAATGCATGCTATTGGCCATAAAGTCAATATGAGAAAATAAGCAAAAACCCAGGTCCCATAGGTAAAGGGGAAACAATTTAGTCCCCAAATTCAAAGAGCACATATATGTATATTCTCTATGAAGAGACCTTTCCAAAACGAACACTGCCAATTAAAATATTTTGTGTGTATGTGAAGAAAAGATGTCTAACTGGAATGATCAGATTCTCCCTGTACATTGGTTATGCTCCAACTTGTTCTACTCAAGATGAGCTTACCTTATCAGCAACATCCACCCTGGCCTTGTGTTTAAGCAAGAAATCCACTGCAGATAAATGATTTCTCCCCACTGCAAAATGCAGGGCTGTGCGGTTCATCTGAGGAAGCATAATTTATGTTTTTAGTCATCTGATCATTATTCAGTGATTTTAGGTTTCCTGTTTCTTGAATGGCCACACTTTTCTATCAAGTGTTTCTATTTTGATTGTTTGGCTCCACTCTTTGCCTTTACCTTTGAAAGTTATGAGAATTGTGTCCAGCCGAATTCTGCCTTCATTATGAGATAACATCAGAGAATTTGGCAGTCCACTGAAGGACACGCCGCAAGATGAAATTCTTGTTTCAGCTTATATTGTACTGTATTGTAGCATTATGTTGTAGCAATATAATGGGTTTTGTTTAGAAAGTAAAAGTTGGATTCCCCCCTTATGCAATCATTAATAATGGTAAATTTTTCTGCTTAGAATATACTAATAATGCATAGCGGAAATTTTCCTAGATATTCAATCCACTCGTGTTCGTTCTTCTCTAAGTTTTTGGACTGTAAATTTTACTGAAGCAAATAAATTCCTTCTGAAAGGAAGAAGGAAGGGAGGAAGGGATAAAAGGAGTGAAGAAAGGAGGAAGGAAAGAAAGACAGAAGGCAGAGAAAGAAAGCTATGACTATCTTGCTCCAAAGGAAAGTCAACATGATGCTCCTGGGATACCCAGAGACAGTCTAATACATTTCAGATAATGGAAGTTATGCTCGGAAGTGATATGTGTCATATTCCCCATATTCTAGACACTGCTTTTGCTCCCAAATAAGATGTCTGGGCATGGCTTTACTATTCTTTGTTATACATAAATAATAAAAAAATGAGAACCATTTAAATATTTGATTTTCTTGGTAGCATCAACCTAAATAATAAGAGATACTCTCAAAAGAAAATATATTTATTTGGGAATAAAGCATTGCAACGGGAATATGCATGTCATAGTAAAACTATGTGTGTATTTAGGGAAGTAAAAGAAGACAAAGGTTTTTAAAGGAAAAAATGAGGATTATATAATTGTTTTGAAATAATTATCCTTTGCTACAAAGTTCAACAACAAGCTGACGCCAGTCTTAGGCAGTTGCTGCACAGATGTCCTTGCAGAATATTTTCTGTGTAAGGTTGTGATGGCGTTTGTGCAAGGTTGTGGGTTTTGCAGTCTTTTGTGGTAGTTTTTGTTATCAGGTATACAAGCATGAGAACCCTGTATTCATGGCCTTCCCCAGCTCTATTTGTCAAGGTTTTCTTAATATCGGTGACTCCATTTTGATTCTGAAAACTTTCACAATAGCTAAACCAGTGATAAAATAAGTTCAACAAAACATGAGTTATGGCTGGGCATGGTGGCTCATGCCTGTAGTCCCAGCACTTTGGGAGGCCAAGGCGGGTGGATCACCTGAGGTCAGGAGTTTGAGACCAGCCTGGCCAACATGGTGAAACCCTGTAACTACTAAAAATACAAAAATTAGCCGGGTGTGGTGGCGTGCGTCTGTAATCCCAGCTACTAGGGAGGCTGAGGCAGGAGAATTGCTTGAACCCAGGAGGTGGAGGTTGCAGTGAGCTGAGATTGCACCACTGCACTCCAGCCTCGGTGACAGCACAAGACTCCATCTCAAAACAAAACAAAACAAAACAAAAAAACCCATCAGTTATTATGACTTTGTCTGAAATCTGGAGCTTTGCTCTACTATGTCAAATATGGGCTTATAAGCTCCACTATTAATTTTACTTGTGAATAAGGATGTAAGCCAAAATTGCACCCAAGATAATTCAATAAAATTACTTATATTTTTAAAATCTCCATCATCACTGGTTTTAAGGAACTCTACAAGTAACCATGTCAACAATTTGCTGTAAACAGTAAACAGATGTCATTAGAAAGTATAATACAATTCATTAGGAGTTTATAATAACTTGCCACACTGCAAGTTAAAGTATATCAGATTGTAGTATCTCTCCCAAGTACTTTAATATTAAGAAAAAGTTTAAAATAACAGAAAGTTGTATATGGAAAAATGTTAAATGTTTTGAATAGTATACTAGAGAATCTATTTCCTGCTACTTGGAAAAGTGATTATTGCTTCACTTACTCCCACAGTTAACCTTCCACGGTCATAATAATCTTCAAAGATATCTATCCACAAATATTTTTGAAACTATACAAATATTCCCTTCAAAGAGACTTGCTTATTTCTTTTCTTTTTCCTCTTTTCCATCCTTTCTCCTTTCTGCCTTTCCTTCCTTTCTTGATTCCTTTCTTTTTTTTTCTTTTTGTCCCTAAAATTGTTACGCTACAAAATGTTGCTGCTTTCCTATTCTAGGATATCTATGGAACATGAGCACTATATATACACCCATAACACATCACACACACACATTATACACAGACATACCAATCCCCACACTCATCCCCACACATAAGCACAAAGCCACACCACCCCCCTACTGCCGCCACATGCACAACATTCTTCCACTGCACGTGGGACATGATTTCAGATTCTGCAGCTTCAGTTTCTAGGACCTTACTGCCTGCGACAGACACAGGTTTTGTGAAACCTGAGTTTAGACTATTTAGGGAGTCTTCCTTAAAGCCAGAGTCAGAAAGCTTAAATAATTGCAGTTAAAATGCCTTACATTTTTTCAGATTTTACAAAATCATATAGTCATAGGAACATATTACTAGAGCCCTCTCAGTGCCTTACAAGGGGCCTGTACAAGCAAGGGCCCTGAAGCTTATGCTTCGTATACCATTAAATCCACCTCTGCCACACCCACCTTGAACCACTCCACAAATTGTCCTAAGCAATTGACACAGCCTCCAACCTTCACTTTGATAAACCTGGCCTCAAAGGACTATCAGGAAATCCTCACAAAAGCAAGCAGTAAAGAATCCAAATTTATGGCAGTGGACTTTCCCTCCGCTAAAACCCGGCACTTAAAGAACAAGTAAGAGCCAGGTTTTAGATAAGGCCTCATTGCCCAAGAGGGAGACGCACTACATTTCAAAACCAGTATAATGAAAATCCACACGCCTCTTTAGATTTTTAAATTTGGAAAAACAGAACCACAAAGGACATCATTGGCAAGAAAACAACCCAGATTGTATAGCAAAAAAATGTTCTGCCTTTCCAGAATGTGTGAGGCCAAACTGATCCACAGGCGACAATCCAGGACCAAGTCCGGGCCTGCAACCCTGACAGCTGGCTTTACTGCCCACCCACAGACTTTGAACAGATAGGCATGAAGATTCTGTGCACTCCCCTTCTTGGAAGAGGAATTAAAACACCCAGAGCCTCTTCCACTGTTTGACTCCACCTTTTAGCTTAAACACCCCGGGATTACCAACAAAGCAGCTCTCCCTTATCTCAGCCAGCACCATGATTTTTATTTTTATTATTATTTCAGATGTCCTGTGTAAATCCAAGCCATTACTGGAGAAGTCACTTGTCATATTTATGACTTCTACTCACATTGTTCACAACATTAATGTTAACCTTCTTTTCAAACAGCTTCTCCATAAGATCCAAATTATTGCTTTTAGCAGCATTCTGAAAGCTTCTCTCATTTGGGAGTACTGAAAGAAAGCAAAGCAAGCATGACTGAGGGAATTTAAGGAGGCCAAAGAGAAAGCATATTTCATAGGGCAAACCTTGTAACAACAGCTTTGAGTCTTTCACATTTTGCTGTTTTATTTAAGACATGGGAACTTCGCTTCAATATCTTACAAAACTGTAGTATCAAGATTTCATTTTCTCCTCATGCTGCAAGCGCTTTCACATCCTTAAAAATGTTCCTGGCCCCAAACAAAACATTATTCATGAGGACCACCCTGAAGTCAGTAACCTGGTATCTGGCTTAGAAGGTCAGAAGGCGGCCATAGACTTCCCAGGGGGCATTGTTTGTAAAAAACCTTGTACAAGATTAGGCAGGGAGGAGTCCAAATGCTCCTACAGCTTACAGAGATAAAACTGTTGTCTTCAGAACTCTATACCGAGGCCAGGCCTGCATGAAGATTTCAAAATGCAGCCCATCATACATACAGACACAAAGTTAAAGGGGATTAAAATGTTTTATTCTCATTTATATAAAAACACATAGAAGTAGATTGACATCTACTATAAACATCACATTTCACACACATATACACATTCATATGGTAGGCTTTATTAACTATCACAGAGAAGATTCCAGGGTTTATTGAGTTTTTTGTTATGTAGGGGAGTAGAGGGCTCTCAGAGGACAGCCCAACATAAGGGGTAAGACCAGAATTGAGGTTAAGTAGGAGTCAATAACATACCATCTCCAAACAGAAAGGACCGTAAGAGAGGTTTCTGTAGATGTGTTGTGGATTAGTTTCCTAAGGGTTTCCTTGTTTTTTAAATGGTACCATCATAACATTCAATGTTCCCCAAGTTTTTGCCGAAGCAAAGACCTTTCAGGATACTGCCAAGTCCAATCAAGGACCAACCAAGGAGTATCTTCTTGGGAAATATTGTTATGGGCTGAATTGTGTCCCTCCAAAATTCCTATGTTGAAGTCCTAACCCCAAGTACCTCAGAATGTTGACTATATTTGGAGATAGGGCCTTTAAAGAGGTAATTAAGGTAAAATGAGGTCATATAAATGGGCTCCAATCTGATAATGATTGGTGTCCCTATAAGAAGAGAGATTAGGACACACACACACACACACACACACACACACACACAGGGAAGACCAGGTGAAGGCAGGGAGAAGGTGGCCATCTATAAGCCAAGGAGAGAGGCCTAAGAAGAATTGAACTTTTCCAACATCTTGATGTTGGACTTGTAGCCTCCAGAACTGTGAGAAAATAATTGTCTGTGGTTTGAGCCATCCAGTCTGCTGTACTTTGTCGTGGCAGCCTGAGTAGACTCATGCAGATTCACATGTTCATTCTTTCTATTACCTGGATCCTTCTCTTCGTTCCTACCCCTACTCTTGTCACCATTCTAGGTGACTTCAACCTCCTCACAGATGATTAATCCAACACCTTGGCCTCTTAGTTCCCTGACTCTGTCACCTCTAATAATCTTCCCCAGATCTGACCTTAGCCATCAAATTTCAGAGACACATTCCTGAACTAATCATCCCTCAAACTGCACTACCTCTGAAATCTTGACTTCCAGAATCCTATTCTTTGACCACAACTTCTCATCCATTCAGCTCAGCTGCTCTAGTTCTCCAAGTCCAGAAATTCTGCAACCTTATGAAGTCCTCCAGTCCACAGTTCTAGCCCTTTTTCATATTCTTCATCTCTATGTCCTTACTTCCCTCCTTACCATGTTTAGATTCCATGGTGCCAGTCTGTTTTTGCTGCCATAACAAAATACCTGACACTAAGTAATTTTAAAAAAACAGAAATTTATTTTGCACATTCAGACCATAGCACATGGTCCACCTATGAAATCACTTCTATGCAAACACTTACCTCCCTCACCATTCTTTTCCTCCATTAGACTAGTTGGTCAGAATCCTAATTCTGAGATTAAATCCAACTGCTACTTGCTTTGTTTCTGTACCTGAACAGCTAAATGGTACTGGAGAAAAACACACAGCCATACTGTAGTAGACATTGCTAGTGTTCATCAATATCTGCTTCTTCTCTTCTACCTGGTCACATGTGTAAGCCCATAACCCAGCCTGGATAGTTGAGGTGTATCCAATGGACTGAAAGCACAAGTGATGGCATGTCACTTTGGGGCTGAGTCAGTGAAAAGCCTGTGTCACCCTCTAGGTCTCTTTTCCCTGCCTTATCAACACTGGAAGCCATGTGTTTAAATGAAGGGGTTACAAGATGGTGGTACCTCCATCAACTTGGTATTGGGACACAATTCTCCCTGGGTCTCTCACATTTCTGCACATCTTACAAGCAAAAGCACTGACTGGCTTTGCTCTTTACTACCTTTTCAAGGATGTTTGTATAGTGAAAAGCCTTGACAGACAGAGATAATATCTTCCTCTGGAGCAAAGGGCAGGTTTGCTTGCAGCCTTGGAAGAAAGCAATGGTAAGGCATGCTTACTGACTATTACAAAAGATTTGGGTTCCCTAAGCGCAGGATTTTTCTGTAACACAACCCACTGTGTGTGCAGGTGTCATTTGGCATCTTTATATCTCCCTGTGGGAATTGGGGCTTGGAGAACTGACACAAATGCTAACACTCTGGCTACTGCTACTGCTATGAGTAATGAAATTCATCAACTCTGATCCAGAAGTGTCTTCTGCCAGCATCTCTATCACCTAGCAAGCTAACTTGTGAGATTACAAGTAGGGTAAAATCTCAACCCCTTTATGATCCTTGACACCTGGGTTCCTGAGAGACTAAGAAGATGAGAGACCCTCGCCAACTTATTTTGGACATGCTACACGAACAAGAAATATATCTTTCTTTTAAATGTAAAGACAGGGTCTCGTTACGTGGTCCAGGCTGGTCTTGAATTCCTGGTCTCAAGTGATCCTCTCACCTGGCCTCCCAAAATGCTGGGATTATAGGTGTGAGCCACCACACCCAGTCAGAAATAGATCGTTTTTAAGTCCAGTCACTCAGATGTAGGAGTCATTTATTGCTGCAGGAAAAGCTTACTTTGTCCTGACTGATACACATGCTAACAGGTCTCTTAAATTCTTCCCCACTAATCTCAGCACGACTAGCTAGCCTCTACATTTCCCTAGTCTTCCCTTCTTCAACATGTCATATCCTTTCCTTTCTCCTCAAATATCTGAATTTACTAATCTACGTAATTTACTTCCTCCCACTACCATCACCTAATTCTCAGTTAATACCGTTGCCTCATAGTGAAAACAGAAGTAATAGGACACGAATTCCCACATCTTCCCACCTAGGTGAGTCTACCAACCTACCTTCATTTATATATGCAGGATGAAGCATCCCTGTACCTAGGAAAGGCCAACCTCTACACTTGGGCTCTGGATCCCATCCCCTTTTATCTTTTCAAGTGTTTCATATGTCAATCTCCTGGAAATTATCTCTTCTTTCCTCTAGATCACTTAATCTCTCTCCAGTGGATCACTCCCCTCAAAAAATACTGAGATGCCATAATACCCTATGCATAAAAAACCCTCCCTTGACCCCAGCTTCCTTTCCAACTGCTGCTGCATTTTTCAACTTTCCATTACCCCAAACTTAAGTATTCTATAATTGCTGTCTCCATTTCTTCATCTCACAGTCTTGTCTCAACCCATGCTAATCAGACATCTTTCCCACCCCTCTACTGAAACTGCTCTTGTTGAGGTCACTCCGCCTTGCCAAAACCCAGTCATCATACCTCCGTCATGTGCATTGAGCTCTTGGCAACTTTGACACAGAGGAACACACACTCCATGTAACATGTTCTTCTCTAGAGGTCTGGTAAACCAACTTTCGCTTTCTAGTCTTTTCTACTGGCTCTTTTTCCTTTGCTTGATCTCCAACTATTAGAATGCCCTAGGGTTTATATAAAACAAATAATCTGTTGATGTAGGCATGATTCCTCCATTTTACAGATGAGGAAACTGAGATCTTCAAAAGTTATACCACTTGCTCATGCTTTGTAAGTTATAGAATTGTCCCAGGCAGCCTGACTCCAACCACATTACCCTGTCTCATGGCCTTCACTGCACTTACCTTAAATTATCTTATTCATTTATTTGCGTACTTATTTTATTGTCTATCACCCCTCCACCACAACAGAATGTTCCACCAGAACAGGGGTTGTCTTGTTCTCTCCAACCCTACATCTAGAACATGCCTAGCAAATAGTTAAGCCCTTGAAAATAGTTCTAGAATGACTGAATGAACACTATATTGATGAATTGGTGTATAGCTTCCAAGCCTGGTTTAGGAAATAAGGCCGTCCCAGCCAGTAGGCTTGGATGGTGTGCCCCGTTAAGAGGCTTGAGTACTGGGAAGGCTGAGGTGGGAGGATCACCTGAGCCTGAGGAGGTCTGTGATTGCACTACTGCCTTCCAGCCTGTGCAACAGAGCAACAAGACCCTACACGCGGGGCGGAGGGCGGGGGCGGGGCGGAGGGCGGGGGGGGGCGGGGGCAGACTTAAATCGCTTTCAGCTTTCGAACTGCTTAACAGCTGCCTCAGTTTATGCTACACATTATTCCCAAGGCATAGATGATCCACTCCATGCTTTAAAAACTTAAGTGCAGAAAGATTAAGTGACTGACTTATTTAAAGTCAGACAATAAATCGGAGCATGAGTCACGATATAGGAGATAAGAGCACATGAAACTCTTATTTGCAAAAGGACTTAATCATTATTTTTAAAAGCCTCCTCCTTAATTCGGAAGAATAATACTGTCCTTCCACCCACAGTACATGGTGGGGGTGGATTCCAAAGCTGAAAACCAGCCAACAGGGAGTGCAGCGGTGCAGGCTGGGACTCGGGGTCCCAGGGCTGAGTCGCCTCGCCAGTTTCCCTCCTGCAGCGTCCGGAGGTGCTGCTCTGGGTACCTTCTCAAGTCCCTTCGACCCAGCCCGCCCCGCAGCCTGATTTTCTGAGACCTCGTCCCGGGACTCACGGAGCTCGTGTCCGGCAACTGCTGTGTCCTCCTCTCCAAGACCCTCCCGCTTCGGGATCCGGGACAGGCTCCTCCAAGGCAGGGCGGCCGCGCCCCACAGGTCTTCCCTGAGACCCTTGGCGGCCGCAGCAGCCCGGAGCAGCAGCCCCCCTGCCGTGGCCCCTTGGCCCCGGGCGCGCCCGGCGGGGTCCATAGTCTCCTCCGCGGGCCCTGAGCGCAGGGCCAGACCCAGACTCGGACCCAGATCCAGACCCAGACTCGGACACAGATCCAGACCCAGGCAGGCCCAGGGCGCGGGGGCTGGACGCAGGCAGGTCAGCCCGGCCGGAGCGCAGGATCGAGTCCGCTCTCTGTTGTGGCGGTTCGCTGGGCAACAAGCCCCTAGTTTCCAGCCCTGCCCTGACTTGGGCTGGCCTGGGATAATCCGCCCTCAGGTGTGGCGTGCACAGTGCTAAGGTTTGGTTCTCTGGAAAATAAAACATCCAGCGACCATCGAGAACGGGCCATGATGACAATGGCGGTTTTGTCGAATAGAAAAGGGGGAAATGTGGGGAAAAGAGAGAGAGATCAGATTGTTACCGTGTCTGTGTAGAAAGAAGTAGAAATAGGAGACTCCATATTGTTCTGTACTAAGAAAAATTCTTCCGCCTTGGGATGCTGTTAATCTATAACCTTACCCCCAACCCCGTTCTCTCTGCAACATGTGCTGTGTCAACTCAGGGTTAAGTGGATTAAGGGCGCTGCAAGATGTGCTTTGTTAAACAGATGCTTGAAGGCAGCATGCTCGTTAAGTCATCACCACTCCCTAATCTCAAGTACCCAGGGACACAAACACTGCGGAAGGCCGCAGGGACCTCTGCCTAGGAAAACCAGAGACCTTTGTTCACGTGTTTATCTGCTGATCTTCTCTCCACTATTATCCTATGACCCTGCCACATCCCCCTCTCCGAGAAACACCCAAGAATGATCAATAAATACTAAAAAAAAAAAAAAAAAGAATAAGCAGAGAAATTGGGGAGGGTATTCAAAGCTGAACAACTAATGGTCCAAGGATATCACTATCACTATCATTAACACATGCTTTAGTCACCAGGAACTGCCAATTTTACTTCTCAAATCTCTTAATTACATCTGCTTCTCCATTTTTATTTCCATTGCCATCATTGCTTGTCACTGAATTTATTGTAATAACTTCTTCATAAGAATTTATTGTAATACCTTCTTCATAAGAATTTGTTGTTAGATGGATTTATTGTCTGTTGCTACATTTCAGGCACAGAATTAAGCACCTTTTGCACAGCCTCACTTAATTCTGAGGTATGGTGTATTCTATTATTAGCCCCGTTTGATAGAAAAGGATTCTGAGGCTTGAAGACGTTGGTGGAAGAAACAGAACTTGCCCCTAACGAGCATGACTTCTAAGAATGTGTTGTCAAGGGCGTGACTCACTCACCTTGCTCTACAGCAGGGGGTCACTTTGCTCCATCCCCAGGCCAAATCCCGCTGCTGCCTGTTATTGTAAATAAAATTTGTTTTAACACATTAAAAAAAAAAATTCCTGCAAAATCTACAAGCCCCAATGAACTCCCAGCTCTACTCTACCACTTCTTTGTATAATTTTGAGAAATGTCAAGGTTGAATTTATAACTAACACTATAGGAACTTCAATATTAAATCATTTCTAAATGGGCTTCCAACATTTTCTTTTGAATAAAGTAAGACTTGATTTCTCATTTGAAGACCATGAATTTTAATCTTTCCTGGCGGATTCTTTTGAAAAGTGAAATAATACAGAAGCAAGTCAAATTCTGACCCCCCAAATAAACTTCAAATAAGAAAGGTAATCAGGTTTTCATTTATTTATTCTTCTTACAAATTTACAAAAGATGTATCATTTTAATGTAAATTATGTAATATCAATGTTCATTTCAAACTTGTCAGTTTTTCCCTTCAAATTATTGTGCACCAAATTTGAGGCATTAAATTCAAAACAATGTTTCCTAATCAATGAAAAAACAAACATGACAAAATATTATTTATTTTATCAGAACACCGCCCATAACCTCAAACTTTCCTCTTTTAAAAAAGGGAAATGGGCCTAATGTTTGTAATAGAGATATGATAAAAACAATAGCAGGTAAGTTGAATTGAGTATTATGCAGAAATATCAGACAATGTACTAATATGGAAAGTATAATATGTAAATGGAAAAACAGGGCACCAAATTATATGTATATGTAGCATGTTTACAAGTAAAATTCTAAAAATCAAAAGAAAATACCCACACAAAAGAAGGAATAATAGTGAAAACAGCAGCAGATCAATGGAAAGCATACAGCCAAGTACAGAAAAATCTCCCAGTCTGGGTAACAAAGTGAGACCCCCTCTCTACAAAAATTAGCCAGGCATGGTGGTGCATGCCTGTAGTCCCAGCTACTTGGGAGGCTGAGGTGGGAGGATGGCTTCAGCCTGGGAGGCAGAGGTTGCAATGAGCCAAGATTGTGCCACTGTGTGCCAGTCTGCGTGATAGAGCCAGACCCTATCTCAAAAAAAAAATTTTTTTTTAATATAAATAAAAAATAATTTTAAAAAAAGATCTGAATTGTGTTATCCAAGTTTGAAACTGCTTTCAAATTCTAAACCAAGAAATTTACTTTTAAAAAAATCCTCTTATCAATGACAGGAGAAAATGCATCATCATTTTATGCTATATAGCCTTATAATAGTATGTGGTACTTATCTTACTCTAACAGATGAGACAAAAACTCCAAAGCAGTGCATTATGTGAAACTTAGCCATAGCTGGACTTTATTTCCCTGACAGCTTGGGCTAAATAAGAAGCTATGAAGTATACTGTGGGAGGTATTTTCTTTTTCACTCTGTTTCAAATATCAGGTTAGTTCTCAAGCAGAATATTAATTCTAAGCGTGCTAATACATAAAAGCTTGCCCACATGATCTGGCCCTACTCATCTCTCTGATCTTGGGCCCTACAATTCTTCTCCATTCTTCATCCACTGTTTCCTGGTGGAGAGCCATCAGCTTCTATTTCCTCCCTTTGCCTAGAACTTCTCTCCCCCACCTCCACTTCCGAATTTTTAAAATAGTTTTGATCCTTCGTATCATTAAGGTTTCAGGTTAAATGTCACTTCCTCAGAGGAGCCTTCTCGGATCATCTTATTCTAAAAGTGTCCCCTACCTTCATGTTCCATTCCCTTATGCTGTTGTCTCTTTCCTTTGTAACACTTACCACTGAAATGTCTATTTGTTTAGTGTCGGTTTCCACAACTAGAATGTAAACTTCATAAATACAGTGATTTTTAAAACTTTGTTGGGCCAGGCGTGGTGTCTCATGCCTATAATCCCAGCAATTTGAGAGGCCGAAGTGGGAGGATGGCTTGAGGCCAGGAGTTTGAGGCCAACCTGGGCAACTTAGTGAGACTCCAGTCTCCACAAAAAATTTAAAAATTAGCTGGTGGTGGTGGGGCAGACCTGTAGTCTTAGCTACTTGGGAAGCTGAGATGGGAGTATGGCCTGAGCCACGGAGGTCAAGGCTGCAGCAAGCTGTTATCATGTCACTGCATTCCAACCTGGGTGACAGAGCAAGACTCTGTCTCAAAAAAAAAAAAAATTAATTAAGTTTCTTACTGCATCTCCAGTGGCTAAAACAGTACCCGACCTGCAATAAGTATTTGTCAAATAAATATGGAATGCAATTTAGCCATGGGAACAGTAACTTGTCTTTGAGTCCTGAAAGCTTTAAGTTTTTCCCCTAAAGGTCTAGACTAAAAAAATATGTTCAATTCTGAAGTAAACCTTTAAAACCAGGTCCTGTTCAAGGATTCCATATTTTTAAAAACATCTTCCTAGATTTCTCTTTGCCCTCCTCTACCAGACGATTTCTCCCTAGACTCCCACTTTGTATATTCATCTATTATAGCCCTCCCTACATTGAATAGAAACTGTCCCTGGGGTGGCTCTCCATTTTTTGAGGACAAACATGTCTTAATAATCTTTATGTCCTTTATCAGCTAGGATTCAGCTATAATTAATAGGAAAACCCAAGTAACTATGGCTTAAACAATTTTTTAATTTGTTTCTTGTGAAAGTCTCAAAGTGTGCAGGCCAGTGCTGATATGTCTCTGTTTTACAAAGCCCCAAGAATCAGCCCCTGCAGCCCACTACTCTACCATCCCCCTGTGCAACCCTTATGTTCAGGTGTAAACGGCAGCATCTGCTTCCAGGCAGCAGGATGGAACAGAGAAATAGAAAGAAGAGGCAAACAGAATGCTACAGCTGCAAGAAAGGAAGGTTCCCAGAAGCAACCACACACAGTACTTCCTTTTTTTTTTTTTTTTTTTGAGACAAGGTCTCGCTTTGTCACCCAGGTTGGAGTGCAGTGGTGCAATCTCAGCTCACTGCAACCTCCGTCTCCCGGGTTCAAGCGATTCTCTTGCCTCAGCCTCCTGAGTAGCTGGGATCACAAGTGTGTGCCACCACGCCCAGCTACTTTTTTGTATTTTGAGTAGAGACGGGGTTTCACCATCTTGGCCAGGCTGGTCTCGAACTCCTGACCTCAGGTGATCCACCCGCCTTGGCCTCCCAAAGTGCTGAGATTACAGGCGTGAGACACCGCACCCGGCCAGTACTTCCTTTTATATCCCATTAGTCAAAACTCAGTCACATGGCTACCCCTAGCTGGGAGGGTGTGAGCTTCAAGGATGGGAGATACATTGTAGTCATCAATTCTGTAACACCTATTTTTCACATTATCACATCTTTTTAATTGAGATACTAAGTTGTCTGCCTGAATTGAAGTTGAGTTCTTCCATAGAGGATTTGCATATGCTTCTGCCAGTCACTAGGGGCAATACTAACCTCACTTTAATTACATTTTCTGCTTGAGCTCTTTAGGATGATACCATTTGTGTGAATTCAGATTACAAGCCTACATGTGTACTGGTTTATGGTTCAAATTCTCACTGGCAGTCCCTCCTTCCAACCAGTGCCAAGGCTGAGCATGCAAATTGCTTTGCTGTGGGGAAAAGCAAGAGAGATCAGATTGTTACTGTGTCTGTGTAGAAAGAAGTAGACATAGGAGACTCCATTTTGTTATGTACTAAGAAAAATTCTTCTGCCTTGAGATTCTGTGACCTTACCCCCAACCCCGTGCTCTCTGAAACATGTGCTGTGTCAACTCAGAGTTGAATGGATTAAGGGCGGTGCAGGATGTGCTTTGTTAAACAGATGCTTGAAGGCAGCATGCTCCTTAAGAGTCATCACCACTCCCTAATCTCAAGTACCCAGGGACACAAAAACTGCGGAAGGCCGCAGGGACCTCTGCCTAGGAAAGCCAGGTATTGTCCAAGGTTTCTCCCCATGTGATAGTCTGAAATATGGCCTCGTGGGAAGGGAAAGACCTGACCGTCCCCCAGCCCGACACCCGTAAAGGGTCTGTGCTGAGGAGGATTAGTAAAAGAGGAAGGAATGCCTCTTGCAGTTGAGACAAGAGGAAGGCATCTGTCTCCTGCCTGTCCCTGGGCAATGGAATGTCTCGGTATAAAACCCGATTGTATGCTCCATCTACTGAGATAGGGAAAAACCGCCTTAGGGCTGGAGGTGGGACCTGCGGGCAGCAATACTGCTTTGTAAAGCACTGAGATGTTTATGTGTATGCATATCTAAAAGCACAGCACTTAATCCTTTACATTGTCTATGATGCCAAGACCTTTGTTCACGTGTTTGTCTGCTGACCCTCTCCCCACAATTGTCTTGTGACCCTGACACATCCCCCTCTTTGAGAAACACCCACAGATGATCAATAAATACTAAGGGAACTCAGAGGCTGGCGGGATCCTCCATATGCTGAACGCTGGTTCCCCGGTTCCCCTTATTTCTTTCTCTATACTTTGTCTCTGTGTCTTTTTCTTTTCCAAATCTCTCGTCCCACCTTACGAGAAACACCCACAGGTGTGTAGGGGCAACCCACCCCTACACTTTGCTCCCTCTTTCTTCATGGAAGATTTCTCCTTTATCCTTGCTCTGAAGGTATAAACCTTGGTGTCCCATATTTATGCAGTGGTAACCTGTTAGACTCCCTATCTTAGGTATTATTTCTTAGTGGTTTATAAAGAATTGATGAAATACATTAGTCTATTCTGGGTGATCATGTGCCAAGCTAAAATTCTAATAATATGGCAGAAAAGTAGAATGTTGAAGGACAACCAGGATCTCTGCCCAGAATTGCTAGCAAAACCCAAAAAACCATGGCGTATCTCAGACTTGCGGATGGTTTCAGAGATCACATTTGAAGTTTAGCATATTCTGAGAGGGAAAAAACTTTTGAGCCTTCATAAAAGAGAACTAGATTTGATCCTAGAAGTGACCCAACTTTTTTTTCCTTTTTGTCTCCAATTTAGGGAATCTCTCTCTCTCTCACTCTCTCCATAGACACCCAAGACCATGAGTGATATTAGGAAAGTATTGTCTACAAAAATGCACAAGATGATCTAAAGCAGGGAAAGAAACTGGTGAAAGCTAAGCAATGAGTTAGAAGGCCAGATATTAGACAACTGATAAGAACCTGATAAAAGAAATGGAAAGAAGTGTTTTCAAGAGGCCCTACAAGAGTAGACAGAACTCAATGATAGGTATGTGGTTGGCAGAGGTAGTGTGTGTGTGTGTGTGTGTGTGTGTGTGTGTGTGTGTGTATGTGTATACAGGAAAGAGTTTGAAATCATACTACACTTTACAGGCTGAGGTTAGAAGGGTTAGTACCATTTGCCTCTGAATTATCTTTAATCTCCCTGAGCATTCTGTAGACAGCAGCAGTTACAAAGTAAGACTATCACAATTACCTCGTACTGGTAAGGGGAACAGTTCAATATTATGGTTTGCTTAATAAATGGAATCATGTTGCCAATAGTCACCATGATGTCATTTGAGTTTTTCTTGAACAACTTAATTCAGTTATGTATTACAAAGCAAAAGCGATTAGTCCTTAATTATACAATTAAAGAACAGTTTTTTCTCCAGGGAAATAAGCATCACCTCTCTGTGAGGTTTACTAAAATCCTACCAACACAAAGTGTGTTCAAATATATCACTGCTTTTCAAAATGGAACCTTACTTCAAAGAAAATTCAGTACCAGGGCCAGGCATGGTGGCTGATGCCTGTTAATCCCAGAGCTTTGGGAGACTGAGGAAGGAGGAATGCTTGAAGCCAGGAGTTCAAGACCAATCTAGGCCACATAGCAAGATCCTATCTCAACAAAAAAATACAAAAACTTAGCTGGGCATCATGGCACCAGCCTGTAGTCCCAGCTACTTGGGAAGCTGCGATGAGAGGATCTTGATCCCAAGAGTTCCAGGCTGCAGTGAGTTATGATCATGACAATGTATTTCAGCCTGGGTGACGGTGAGACCTTGTCTCTAAAAACAACAGTTCAGCACCAGGTACACCAGGTATGATTTTTTTAAATGAAATATTTCCTCAAAAACAGTTTTTTTTAGCCCCAGGTTAATAGTCATATTTTAAGCCTTCTTCCAAATACTCCCAAGCCACTCCAAAACGACACAGTATAATAATAAAACATGTATAAAGCAAGCCATTATCTAATAAAGGGAAATAAATGCAATTGTCTCTTTCTGGAATGTCCACTCTTTAGGACCCAGTGTGACAGCAGCCCTTAGCCACCATTCTGTCTTCCCAGATAAAAACAATAAGATAGTAGTAAACACTTTTGGACACATACTATTTATTCATTTACATGTCAACAAATGACTCTCCGTATCTACTGTGTGCCAGGCCATACACTTCATACTTGGAATTCAGAGATAAGTGAAAGATAGCCCAGGATCTCTTGGGGCCTACAATCTGGTAGGGAGAAACCAACATCGGGGGCCATGCAAAGAATGTTTCAGGGTCTTTGTAGGGAAACAGGAGCAAAAAATAGTGACTGATCAATTTTTCCAGAGGGCAAGGAACACTTTTCTGAAGGTGGCCCTTGAGCTGAGTTGAAAGATGAGTAATTATGTAGGTGGGAGAGAGAAAAGGGGCATTCAGGAAGCATATTCTGGGCAGAGGGAACAATGGAGCACAGATGCCAGAAAGGAGAAACAGCTTGGTCTGTTCAGGAAACCCTGAATGCCAAGCCAGTGTTTAGAGTGCATCATGGACAGTGATATATAGGAGCTAGCTTGTATTGGCTTGCAAGAGCTGTTAAAGTTTCAGGAATTTTGTGAACTGGCTGACATCACATAACTTGAAATCTGTCATGGTGGGAGCATTTACACCACATAAATAATCATACACTAAAAATCACTCCCTTTTCCTACTCATTCCACTGCTAAATCTTGGAGACAGTTGAGAGCTTTTGAAAACTGCTTTTTTTTTTTTTTTGACATGAGAGTGCTATTATGGGAATGCTGTTTATAGCTAATCTGTAAAAAATGCATAAGATGGTTTAGAGCAGGGAAAACTGACAAATCAGTTGGAAAGTCAAGAGTTTAGACAACTGATAAGGGCTTGACAAAAGAGATGGAAACAAATGGATATTTTCATTTTCAAGAGGCCCTACAAGAGTAGACAGAATTCAGTAACAGATACAGGGTTGGCAGAGGTAGCAGTGGATACAAGGTGGATGAGTTAAAAAGTAAGGAGTAGTAAACAAATACATTTGTTAATGATGGCAGAAAAAATATCTCCTATTAATTGCTACATCTCTCTTGCCTTTAACTTACAGCCTTCTTACATATATGCCTATAACCACTGTCTACATTTTCTTAGCACAAAGTTCCTTCTTAAGTTCTGTTATATGGCTTCCATTACCCATGTTGATGCTGAAACTTCTTACTCTAGAAGGCCACTTCTTCAGTGGGGACACTGACCTTGCGGATACCACAAGTCCCATGCTAACTTTAAAATAAAACATTTCTGGTGGAGTGAATTAAATTTATAAATACTTCTTATAATGCTACTTTTCCTACTATCACAAAAGATTGAGGAAAGGTGTATAGCTCTATATTACAGGGACAATGTAAAGACTGATATTAAAAAAGAGACCTTTGAATTACATTGAAGAGAGGATTATACACATGCAAAGAAATTATTAGGCCTATGTCATTTGTTGTTTTATATGCATATATTCAAAACGCATAGCCCATCCTCCTTGAGACCCCCTAAACATGTTACGAATTTGAAGTGTCTCTGCATTATTCAAGTGAGGCAGGAAAAAGTTACTCTAAGTGATCTTTCTTTTTTATATTTTATTTGAATACAATTCTAATAATTTGACATTAATGCAGTAAAGGGTTAACCTAGCAGCCTCAGGTTACTCCAGCCCTGCACTTTTCAAAGAGAGGTGTCTTCACGTACTGGCCCTTCCTTGACTAGCTCCTGGGAAATGACCTGAGCTCGTGGAATTTCCAGTTTGATAATAGTGTTCTAGTATGCCTGAGGCCTTGGGCTGCATTTTGTTAGTTTGACGAGATAGTTTATGCTAACAGTATGAATCATGGCGAATGTCTGTTTTTGAATGGCTGAAGCCCTGGGCCATGAGGTATCACTACACCCCTGGGGTCTTGAGACTCAACGGGTAAGGTCAGTCACATGGGTGATGCATGCCTATGTGACTGACTTCCAGTAAACACCTTGGACACCAAGGATTGGTTGAGCTTCCTTGGTTGGCAATATTTTGCACATGCTGTCACACATTTCTGGGAGAATTAAGCATGTCCCCATGTGACTCAACAAGGAAGAGGCACCAGGAAGCTTGTGACTGAACTGATACAGAAATAGGGTACTGCAAATAACAAAGCCTAATATAACAAATTGACTTAGGGTTGGAGAGAAGAATTTAGGGAGTGGGGACACAAATACCACAGACTGGAAAACTGGTGACTTGTTTGGTGGTGTATTAGGGTCCTCTAGAGGGACAGAACTAATAGATGTATATATGAAGGGGAGTTTCTTAGGAAAATTGACTCACACAATCACAAGGTGAAGTCCCACAGTCTGCAAGCTGAGAAGCCAGGAAGCCAGTCTGAGTCCCAAAACCTCAAAAGCAGACAAGCAGATGGTGCAGCCCTTCAGTCTGTGGCTGAAGGCCTGATAGTCCCTGGCAAATCACTGGTGGAAGTCCAAGAGTCCAAAAGCTGAAGAACTTGGAGTCTGATGTTCAAGGGCAGAAGACATGCAGCACAGGAGAAAGACGGAGGCCAGAAGACTTAGCCAGTGTAGTCCTTCCACCTTCCTCTGCCTGCTTTTATCCTAGCTATGCTGGCAGTTGATTAGATGGTGCACAACCAGATTGAGGGTGGATCTGCTTCTTGAGCCCACTGACTCAAATGTTAATCTTCTTTGGCAATACCCTCACAGACACACCCAGGAACAATATTTTGCATCATTTAATCCAATCAAGTTGACACTCAATATTAACCATCACAAACGGCAAAAAAATATTTGGTCTAACTGTCAACAGCTGTCTTTGGAAAGAAGACCAAATACTGATTGAGGCTGTAGCCTTAGGGGAAATGCTAGGAGAAAAACTAAAAATTTTGCATGGGATGGCTCTTTCTTGCTGTGTTCAGCAAGGTTCTAGAAGAAAAAAATGTATTTTTTTCTCGATTGAAATTAGCTAGCCTGCAGAGTTGGAGGAAAATATCATCTTGTTAACGAAAGCAGTTTTTGCCATTTTTTTCTCTTTATTATAAAGGTTATATATGAACAAGAATATATAAAATATATATGTATAAAGAGTATTTTAAAAGTGAACATCCATGCAATCACCACCCAAGACAAGAAATAGAACATTGCCAGCATCCCAGAAGCACCAGGTGCCACTCCCCAATCACACTGCTGTACTTCTCCACAGAGGAAATCATTATTCTGGTTCTGGGGACAGCAAAACACTTGCTTTTCTTTACAGTTGTATCTCATATATATAACTATATACCCTTAAAACAATATAGTTGTTCAGTTTATACTGTTTTAAACTTTATACAAATGGAATCATGTTGATGGCATCCTTCTGTGATTTGCTTCTTTTGCTCTATGCTATGTCTGTGATATTCATCTATGTTGTGGTTAGCTATTTCCTTCATTTTCACCACTGTGTAGAATTCTACTGTTTCAATATAAATGCCATGGTACAATTTAACCATTCTACCATTGCTGAATATTTGGTTCATTTCTAACTTTTGGATATTGCAGTGCTGCTATGAACATTAAAAAATTTTTTTCTTGGCCACCTTCCTGACTGGGAAGAACTTTCTTGTACATGCTTCCTAGGATACATGTTCATTAGTTTTCCCAAGGCATTGTATTAGTTAGGGTCCTGACAGGGAAAAAAATAACTGTAATGAAAGATAACCTGCAAAGATGTATACTTCAGAGTGCAATTGCTAGGTTTTGAGCATGTTTATCTTTAAATTTACTGAGGGACAAATTTTTCCACAGTGATTGTTTTCAATGTAAGAGCTGACATCATCACCAAAACTTAGTATCATTAGATCATTTCATTTTTGCAAATAAGGTAAAGATGTAATACCTCCTTGTAGTTTTATTTTTTACTTCTCAAATATTAATATGGCTGGGAATATTTTCATGTTTCTTGGTCATCTGGATTTCCTTTCACTTGAAATGCCATATAAAGTCTTTTGTCCAAATTTCTATTGACTGTCTTTTTCTTACTGATTCATAGGGATCATTTATATATTCTGGACACTAGTTTTTCACCAGTTATATATATTGCAAATACGGTGGTTCTTTATATTAGGTTTATATTAGGTTCACTAAGTAGGTGAGATTATGCATGCTTATTACCAGTTCTTGTAGTTTTGCTGTATTTTCTTCAAATGCCCCAAATCAAAATTATAATAAAAAGAAAATGGGTTGGATATAATAGACAAAACAGGTAGTAAAGAATGTGAAGAAAATTCTGGGCACAGAAAACAAAAGTGAAGGCATAAGAGGGAGGAAGAGTGGAAAAGTAGAAAACCATCTCTATTAGATCAATTAAAGCTTTAAATTTTATTTCAAATGATTAAATATTACTAAATGATAATATTCAACTACATAAATCCTTAAATGAAAATAATTTAGCATTTATTCTAATATTGAAGATAATAAAAATAAACCTAAGGCAAGACAGAAAATAATTCACTATGGTACTATTTACCTTTCAGTACATTAAATCAGTGTTTCATTGAACTTAAATTTGTACATAATTTACATAAGTAAATCACACCATCAAGAACCATAATACTACAACTTTGTATTTGCCATAGTGTATAATAACATCAGTCATGGGATTGGATTGGCATGCTAGCAGGCATTAAGCCTAATTTGAAGAATCTAGTAATTAAAAGTCTAGTTACCACTTTGTCAAAGTCTGTGAGTTCTTAATTAAGCTATTCCTAAAATATTATAATATACAAAATATATATTTAGATCATAAGCTAAAATATGAAACGCAAGGGGAGAGAAAACAAAAATATAAAAGATTTAGCTCCTTAAAGAAGTAACAGAAAATGGCTTCCAACTTCATGTTGCAATTAAATAATAACTATTATTATATTATTGAGACAGAGTCTCGCTCTTCAGGCTGGAGTACAGTGGCAAGATCTTGGCTGACTGCAGCTTTGACCTCCCAGGTTCAAGTAGTTCTCCTGCCTCAGCCATCTGAGTAGCTGGGATTACAGGCGTGTGCCACCAAGCCTGGCTAATTTTTTTTTTTTTTTTATCGTTTTAGTAGAGACAGGGTCTCACCATGTTGGCGAGGCTGGTCTCAAACTCCTGACCTCAAGTGATCTGCCCATTCGGCCTCCCAAAGGGCTGGCATTACAGGTGTGAGCCATTGTGCCTGGCCTAACTAATTATTTTTTGAGAAGAACTCATTGATAGCACAAAAGTACTTGGAGAAACTACTTAAGCTAACTACTATTAAGCTGTCTTCTTTCACAAATATTAATAAAAGTACTGATAGAAATGTAACTAAGATACATAATGTGTTTTAATACACATTAATCTTTTGAATTACACATTTTCTCTTGAGGATTATAATAAAATGATGGTACAATTTATCCTTCTTTATAGATTTGTGGAAAGTACCAACATAATTGACAAGAAATGAAATACTGCCATTTAAAAGTCCTGTATTAAAATAAAACTACTTTGAATCATCTTAGACTAAATATTTTAAAAACTGATTCAAGTGCTTATTCATAAGATAATGGAATTTTAAATAAGAAAAGCCAAATTAAAAATTATATTTTAGGCAAAAACCATTTTAACACAGATAATACTGTGATATTTATTTTCCTGAAGAAAACCACTTATGCTAGTTACATTAATACTCTTCATAGAACTTAAGATAAATTTTAATTATGAATGCTCATGAAGTATTTAAAGACACTAGGATCAATGCCAACAAAGTAGTTAAGTGCTGAAAAATTCTTATGATAATATAGGCATGTGTGAATCTTTGAGAGCCCTTACAAATGTTTTTATATTCAGTATAAAAATAATAAAAAAATCACCTTCTTATCCCATTCCTAATTTCCCTTTTAAGAATTATCTCTTAACAGGATTGATTTCCAATTGATGTATAATGGAAGTAAAATTCTCATGGTTATAAAAAAGATACACAGAATCAGTATATGTATCTTAGAAAAGCAAACATCATCTGAGGAAGGATTATTGCACTTGCCTTCACTAAATAAATCTGCAAACTTAAAATCAGAAAGAACAAATTCATTGATTATAAAATAACTAGTTTCAATTAAAAATTAATGATAAAATGTTCAATGTTTACTTAAAAAATATATCAAGGGTATGTTTGGGATTGTTTGGTTTTATTTTCTTTGATGTTGAGTACTTTGTCATCAATCCTGGCCTAGAATGAAAAGGAACACACAATTAAAATGCAGGAAGAGATTCTAGAAAATAATTCATTTTTAATATTGATTACTTAATAATTTATAAAATAATTGAATTTTCATATTGTAGCCAGCTTTATTAAAGCTCAAATTAGCCATACCTTTTTGTTCTTGTTACAGCCTTCTGTACTCCACTTGAGCTACCTTTAGAGGAAAGAAAGTCAAGAAATTCCATAATGAATAATATGAAATAATTAAAAAGTTGTATACAAATTTAAAAAGTTAAAACTTATTGATTAAACTTCCTTAGTACTATATAGTTCATATGTAAACACACCAAAAACTATAATTTCTTTGTAATTTACTAATTTTATTAGCATTACACTTAATTTTATTGGTGAAATTTGGGTAGAGTCAGCACTACCAAAAAATAAGTTAAAGAGGCTTTCTAGTTATGCAGTTATAGTTAATTTACCACTGTGCCTTCACAGATGTTCTCTGAAGGAATTTGTTTGATTAGATCACTCAGCTCCTTAAACCTTTGAGTTCATTCTGTGCTAAATCAAGATCAAACCAAAGTTTTCCCCAAATTCACAATCTACAGGCTTGAGTTAATTCTAACCTATGGCAATGTAACCAACATTTCCCTAAATGGCGGCATACACAAACTACCCATTTAATAGTATATGTTTCAGATTTAACAACAATCTCATTAATTTTAATAATACATATTCCTAGAAAATCATGCAGTTTAAAACAATTACACACTTACCAGTACTTCTGGAGCTTTCTTTGGGTTGATTAACTGGGTTAAATTTATCCTTTCTTAATTCTTGGATAAAACTTTTATTTAAGCAAACATCCACATGCACATTGAACAGGGTTAGATCTGAAGTCTTTTGTTCTACGTTACAAACAGGACAAACTAGAGCTTGGCCTGTTTTCACTTCACATAAGTAAGGCTGGCGGTATTCTTGTCTAAATGATCCAACATCTTCGTTTTCCAATGAAACAGTAGAAGAAGAATTCTGATGACAGTGTTCAATATTAAAAGACTTGCTTGGGAGACTAGAACATTCTTCCTTGCTATGCTTATTACTTAAAGCATCTATGCTTTCTGCTTTAGATGAGTTATCTATAGTATCTACTAAAGCTATACAATCTACTGAAGATATTTCTTTAATTTTTGGATGGGCTTCATAATCTTGCTTCTCACAAAGTGAAGAAGCAGGAACATTTTCTTTCTTGTTAACTTTGGTAGCAGAAACATGTGAACACGAGAACATTTTAAAGTTTTCACTGATTGAAGGTCCATCAAGACATTCATCTACATGTTTATTCAAGGCTTCCAGACTGATGCACCCTTGAGCCCTAAAGCAAACAGGACAGGTAAGTATCTGACAGTCATCTGAATTCTCTGATATTTCCAAATTCTCATTCATCTTCTTCTTTAAAACTTGGAATGGTTGTGATGTCTGGAAACTTTGTTTATTCACGGCTTCACATTTAAATGTATCTTGGTGACTCCATTTCCTTTCTGATCGTTTTTTATCAAAGAAACTCTTCTTATGAGACATTTCTAGAGGTTTTACAAACTTATCTTTGTCAGTTTTCTCTAATGTACACTCAGTGGCTGACAGGGCTTGGTTTCCAGCCTGTAAAAAGCCAATAATGCTCCTTTGTTGGTGTTTCCTGTCCTCTTCATTGGGAAAACTAGATATCCGAACACCTAAATTAAACCAATCACAATCAATTTCAAATTGAACAAAGCCAATTCACTCACAATGCATAAAAACATTTTGTCTAGTGCTATGACATATACAAAAGGTTGGCTAGAGAGAAACTATAAGTAACATTTCAAAGCTGGTATTATAAGTACAGATTTACCTTCCTTTATAAAAGAATATCATTAAATATTAACTATTTGGAGTTAGTATAATGATGTAGGATTTTAATTCATATGTGACACATAATACCATTAAATTAATACCAGTAACTAACTGGAGTCAACTATACAGACTCTTTAGCTCTTTTTTTTCTAATAGACTTTATTTTTTAGAGGAATTTTAGGTTCACAGCAAAATTGAGCAGAAGGTACAATGAGTTCCCAAAGATCCCCTTTCCCTACACATGCACACCCCTCCACCACCCCAACTATCAACATGTGGCACTAGAGTGGTACATTTGTTACAATCTATAAACCTACACTGCCACAACATTGTCACTCAAAGTCCATAGCTTACATAGGGTTCACCCTTGGAATACATCCTGGGCGCTGGACAAATTTATAATGACGTGTCATTATAGAATCATACGGAATCATTTCATTGCCCTAAAATTCCTGTGTTTTGCCTATTTATACCTCCTGCCCCTCTTAACTCCTGACAATCAATTATTTTTTATGGTACTCATATTTGCCTTTTCCAGAATCTCATATGGTTGGAATCACACAGTATTTAGCTTTTTCAGACTGGCTTCTTTTACTTAACATTATGCAGTTAAGTTTCATTCGTGTCTTTTCATGAATTGATAATTCATTTATTTTCTGTGCTGAATATTATTCCACTGTCTGTATGTACCACAGTTTATTTATCCATTCACGTACCGAAGGACATCGTGCTTGCTTCAAAGTTTTGGCAATTATGAATTAAGCTTCTATAGATATCTGCTCTTGGGCTTTTTTTTTTTTTTTTTTTTTTTTTCTGAGGTGGAGTTTCACTCTTGTTGCCCAGGCTGGAGTGCAACAGCGTGATCTCAGCTCACTGCAACTTCCCGGGTTCAAGCGATTCTCCTGCCTCAGCCTCTCAAGTAGCTGGGATTACAGGTGCCCGCCACCATGTCCAGCTAATTTTTTGTAGTTTTTGTAGAGATGCAGTTTCACTATGTTGGCCAGGCTGGTCTTGAACTCCTGACCTCAGGCAATCCACCTGCCTTGGCCTCCCAAAGTGTTGAGATTACAGGCGTGAGCCACCGCGCCCAGCCTGGCTCTTTCAATTAACACTTTATTCAGTTGATTTCAGTGTGTGCTATATCTTTCATAAATAAAATTATGGCTAGTGACCCACTCCTTACTAGTAAAATGTGCATTTGGAGTGGTGATCCACATATATACTTTCAACCAGTACACTTTGGAAACATGGCTTGTTACTTTTTACCATGTAGTGGCTGGAGATGTGATTTCACAATGTCACAATCCTTTATCTGTAATTCCAAAATCCAAAAAGTTCTGAAAATTGTAAGCAACAAGTGATACCTGATGACTAAATTAATGTCATCAGTCTTTACAGTCTCTGAATATTTTGTTTTGCTACAGAAATATTAATGTGTTTGAACAGGGGGTGTTGCCCCAGATCCACAAAGAAGTATTACAACGTAATATACTCTACATGCACTGAATTTGCTTTCTAAAATCTGAAAAGTTTTGAATTTTGAAACACACCTGGCCACAAGAATTTCATTAAGTTATAAGGAAAATAACAACTTTAATTGACCCTTACTGGAATTAAACTAATGATCATGGCTTCACACATCAGGGTCTAATAACTAAGACAAATGGCAGCAGCAAAGGAAGAACTTCGTAAACAGGTTTAAGAAATAAAATGAAGGCGAGAATACAGGTGCTCATTGAGTTACAGTAGGATTGTATCCAGATAAACCCGCTGTAAATTGAAAACATAATAAGTCAATTTACAATACTTTCAATTTATGATGGGTTTATCGGGATGTAACCACCTTGTAAGTCAAGAGTGTACTGAAAGCATACAGCTTTCCCACTGTCGCAAAGTTGAAAAATCATTAAGTTGAACCATTGTTAAGTTGGGGGCCCCCTGTATTCCCAAAGTTGATTATTTGGGAAAATCTAGCAGATTTAAGGAAAAACAAAAAAATGAAAAAGTCATACCCATAAGCCTTAATCTCAAGGGATGTGGAAAATCAGCATCAATTTCTGTTTTTAGCAATTCCTTAGCAATGGCAAATATTTCTTCTGCAGTAGAAACAACAGATGAAACTGTAGATGCACGAGTTTTTACTTCAAAATTCACATTCTTCAACTTAATGGTAACAGTTCTACCCTATAACATATACAATATGTTATTTATTTATTTATGAGACAGGGTCTCTCTCTGTTGTCCATGCTGGAGTGCGCTGGCACAGCTGTAGCTCACTGCAGCCTTCAACTTCTGGGTTCAAGCAATCCTCTTGCCTCAGCCTCCTGAGTAGCTAAGATTACAAGTGCGTGCCAGTACACCAGCTAATTTTTTATTTTTTTGTAGAATCAGAGTCTCACTATGTTACCCAGGCTAGTCTCAAATTCCTGGCCACAAGCGATCCTGGCCTCCCAAAGTGTTGGGATTATAGGCATGAGCTACTGCACCCAACCAGAATACATTATTCTGTATGACTTCCTAACTTCTAGAAAAAAGTCATTTACATGTTAGAAAAATTCAGAAAGGTTTACGGACATAAGAATATGGAATTATAACCAATTATTTATAAAACATGGTGATAAACATATCATAAAGAATAAGAGGCCGGCTGCAGTGGCTCACGCCTGTAATCCCAGCATTTTGGGCGGGCGGATCACGAGGTCAGGAGTTCAAGACCAGCCTGGCCAACATGGTGAAACCCTGTCTCTAATAAAAATACAAAAATTAGCTGAGCGTGATGGCAGGCACCTGTAATCCCAGCGGCTGGGGAGGCTGAGGCAGGAGAATAGATTGAAGCCAGGAGATGGAGGTTGCATTGAGCCGAGATCACACCATTGCACTCCAGCCTGTGTGACAGGGCAAGACTCTGTCTCAGAAAAAAAAAGAATAATTAAAATACCATTTTAGCCAAAAACGTTTACTTCCCTTTCCAAACATAAGCTAAAATCCCATTTTATTTTGTTTTTGAGATGGGGGTCCCATTCTATTGCCCAGGCTGGAGTACAGTGGCATGATCGTGGCTCACTGCAGCTTTGACCTCCCAGGCTCATGCTATCCTCCTACCTCAGCCTCCCAAGTAGCTGGGACTACACACTCGTGCCACCATGCCCAGCTAATTTTTACATTTTCTTTGTAGAGACGTGATTTTGCTATGTTGTCCAGGCTGGTCTTGAACTCCTGGGCTCAAGCAATCCTCTGGCCTCAGCTTCCCAATGTGCTGGGATTACAGGCATGAGCCACTATGCCTGACCTAAAATCCCATTTTAGCCAGTAATTTTTATTCCCCTTCCCAACTGAATTTTTTTGTTTGTTTTTTTTTTTGTTGTTTTAGACAGAGTCTCACTCTGATGCCCAGGCTGGAGTGCAGTGGCGGGATCTTGGCTCACTGCAGCCTCTGCCTCCCAGGTTCAAGTGATTCTCCAGCCTCAGCCTCCAGAGTAGCTGGGATTACAGGTGCCCGCCACCATTTTTAGTAGTGATGGGGTTTCACCATGTTGGCCAGGCTGGTCTCAAACTCCTGACCTCAGGTGATCCCCCTGCCTTGGCCTCCCAAAGAGCTGGGATTACAGGAATGAGCCACCGTGCCTGGCCCCCCAACTGAATTTTTATAAAAGACCATTACAAGAGGGAAAGGTTAAATGATCACTTTTATTTTTACTGAATCTCTTTTGGAGGTTGATTAATTACCTACAAAGGAAGGAAAAAAATCTTTCTAAAAGTGTCTCACTGAAAACGACTTATGAATAGTTCACACTTATTGTGTGCCTTCTGCATTGCCAGATGCTATGCCAAACAATTTAATGTAAGAATTCCCTTTACACTTAGTGTTTTATGAGTGCAGGGTTTCAGTGGAGACAATGAAACAGTTCTAGAGATGGGTGGTGGTGATGGTTATAAAACAATATGAACTGTACACTTAAAAATGGTTAAAATGTAAATTTTATGTTATGTATATTTTAGTATCCCCTGGAGGAGGAAGTTAATTCCTGCTCTCTCTCATCTGAGGGTAGTTAGATTTACTGACTTACTTCCAAAGGGAAAAACACTAACTTCACAGTGGAGAAGCCTAGCAAACACTAACCAAGTGATGAAGGTTAATATCAACCATGACATCATGTGGCTATTATACACCCCATGATAGGATGTTATGAGAAGGACACTTCCTCTTTGTGATACTCTTTCTAAAAATCCATAACCCTGATCTAATCATGAGAAAATCATCAGACAAACCCAAATTGGGCGACATTCTGCAGAATACCTGTATAGTACTACCCAACACTGTCAAGGTCATGAAAAAGAAGGAAAAACTAAGAAACTATCACAGACCAGGAAACTGGAGAGACATGACAGCTAAATGCAATGTAGTCCCCTGGACTGAATTCTGGAAGGCAGAGACGACATTAATGGAAAAATAAGTAAACTCCAAATAAAGTCTGGGGTTAATAATTGACAATGTATTAAATGTCAGTTTCTTATTTTTGACAAATGTACTCTGGTAATATGTTAATAATGGAGGAAACCAGGTGAGGAGTATGCTGAAATTCTATTATTTTTGTGACTTTTCTGGAAATCTAAAATGATCATAAAATTAAATGTTTATTTAAATATTTTTTAAAAAGAAAATTCTTTAAATTCAAGGTATGATAGAGAAAGATACTCATCAGATATTCCACTCTTTGTAGTAATTTTTTTAAAACAAATTTTTTACTGATTAGCATAATAGTTTTACTGATGCATTATATGAACATAGTAAATTATCACATGTACCTCATAGTTTTGATCTTTGTAAAGATCAAATAAGTGTACTTCGGATATCTATCACCTTAAATATTTGTATTTTCTTTATGCGAGAAACATTCAAATTATTCTCTTCTAGCTATTCTGGTATGTAACACAGATTACTGTACACTATAGTCACCTTACTGATCTATTGAACACTAGGTCTTATTTCTTCTATCAAACCAGATATTTGTACCTGTGTAGCAATTTTAAAATACCTTTTTATTACGCTTTGTACTGACTCTACCTCTGGTTTGAGAGTGTTGGGAATACACTAAATATAAATTGTTGTGAGTGAAGATTATAAAATAGCAAGTTCAAAGCCTTATAGGTTTTGTTGTCCTGTGTTAAGCAACCTGGACTACAACCTTGAAACAAAATGCCTATTTTAGAAGGTCATTGTCTAAGTAAGAAAAACATTAAAGGATGATTGGAAAGACATTTGTAATATGTGAATACAATTCTCTGGAAATCCTTTCTTTTGCCTTATTCTCTAATGCCAGTGTAACTTTGGTTTTAACTTATTCAAATGTACTCCTGAGGTACAGAAGTAAAGTCCTCTGAATTATACTGAACCACTCTATTCTCATAAGGTGCTTCTTCATAGAATCACCTCATCACAGACTCCAGATATGGGTCAGAATTGGATTTGTATCTGACTGTTGGGGATAGGAATACACTATTCTGACGTTTATTAATTTGTATTCATCTTTAAGAAATGTGTAATCTAACTCTAGCTTTTAAGGTAGCATTTTACTATTAAAAAACTTAAAAACTAAGGACACCATATCAAAATAAAGCACCTTAAGTCTTTCTTTCTGTAGATCCTGAGCAAGCTCACTGCAAAGTTCTTGACATAGGCTGTATTGCTCTTCCGCTTTATTTATCTCACTGAATGTCCTAGAAAGACAAGAATAATTTTGGCGCACAAAGTAAACTATAATCCAGGATAATTTGGAAATGGTATGCATGTTTATATGGCTAGCATTAAGTTATATTTTTCTGTATTACAAAATAAAGTTTTCAGATGAACTAAAATTTAATTAAGTAAAAACATCTAAGATCTATATAAATAATGGAAACCCACCTAAACAGGAAAGCTTGATTAGCAAAGAAACAATTTTATGCTCTTGCTCTATTATATCACAAAAAAGATAATTAAAATTACCAACAGATAATGGTAATGCCTCCAGAACTTAAAACAGATTAGGGTATATGTATATATAGACTTTATTACAGAAGATTATCTTAAGAAAGTCCAAATGAGAACATCATTCCAATTACTGCACATGGATTTTATGGATGAGAAACATCTTTAAGTAGATTTAAGGGGTTGGCTCATGGAACCTACGCAGAGTTGTTTAATAGACAGCTGAAAATAGAAGGCTGATAAGATTAAATGTAGGTATTTTGAATTCATCTGCAAAAAAGTGTTGAAAGAAGTTGACAAGTGATATTAACTTAAAAGAGGATAATACAAAGAGACCAGAATGATGAGTATGGACCCTGAGCAAGTGACTCTTCAGTAAAGAGTCCCCTTTCTACTTCTAACCTTATCCTCAGCTACTCAGTTCTCTTCCCTAGTGGCAACCAATGTGTCAGCTTCTTATTCTTATGAATTCCTTAGAAATATTCCACGTATACGGGCGCCTGTAGTCCCAGCTACTCGGGAAGCTGAGGCAGGAGAATGGCGAGAACCCAGGAGGCGGAGCTTGCAGTGAACCGAGATCGCACCACTGCACTCCAGCCTGGGCGACAGAGCGAGACTCCCTCTCAAAAACAAACAAAAAAAAGAAATATTCCACGTGTGTGTGTGTGTGTGTGTGTGTGTGTGTGTGTGTGTGTGTGTGTGTGTATGTGTGTATATATATAAAATAAGCAAACAAGAAGACATTTTCCTCTCATTTTTTATATAAACAGTAGAATTTTAGATACATTGTTTAGTACCCTGCTTTTCTCAATTTATCATGGTGAGAGTTCCCCATGAGTAAATGATTTCCTCATTTTTATACAGCAGCATAATATTCTAATTTAATGATGTAAGGTAATTTAACCAATTCTCTATTCATGGATATTACAGTTTTTTTCTATCATAAAAAATGCAGTGAGTAACCCTGTATATATGTAAAATGACATGTGACTAAATCTGTGGAATTAATTCTTAGTAAAAGAATTATGGCATCAAAGTACATGTGTATCTGTGATTTTGATACATATTATGAAATTTCTTACCCCCTGTGGTAGGCTAGATAATGGTCCCTAAAGATGTCCACATCCTAATCCCTGGAATCTGTGAACCTAGTATCTTACATGACAAAAGGGATTTAGCAGAGGTGATTAAATTCTGACGGACAGAGATTACTCTGGAATGTCCAGCTGTGCCCAACGTAATCCCAAGGGTCCTTATAAGAAGGAGGCAGGAGGGTTAGAGTCAGAGAAAGAAGTTGCTGAGGCTATGAGCCAAAGATTCTGTGGCCTCTAGAAGCTTTTCATAAAGAAATGGACTCTCTCCCAGAGCTTCTAGAAGAAATGGAACTCTACCAACACATTAACTTTAGAACCGCTGACTTTCAGAATGATAGAGAATAAATTTGTTTTGTTTTGAGCCACTAAATTTGTAGAAATTTGTTTTAATAGCAATAAAAAAACCTAATGTACTCCCTCTAAAGTTTACACATTTTTCACTCCTACAGTCTTGCCAATAGAGTATGTTAGAATCTTTGCCAACCTGACTAGTGAAAGAAAGGTATCTGAGAGAACTTTCAATCTGTATTTCTTTAATTATAAATGAAAATGGTAGTAATTTCACTTGTTTTAAGAGCCATTTGTATTTCCTTTTCTGTTAATTATTTAGAACTTTGTTCATTTCTTCTGTTGGCTTACTGTTCCTTTTTATTGATTATGAGTTCTTTCTATATTAGAGAAGTTAGTTAGTTTGTGATATAAATTGCAACCTCCTTTCCCCCAACTTCATACCAAATTTGATGTTATATTGCCCATTTTAGAAAGCCAAGGGGAGAAAGTTTCCAGAAAAAAAAAGTGGAGAACACATTCCTGTACATAAAATAGTTTTCCCAATAGCAGAGAAAATGGCAGAGAAATTTATCAAATATGGCAATACTATTTTGCTTTTGGATTTTTTTTTTCTCTCTCTCTTTGATTGCTTTCATATGGACCAAAACCTAAAATAGCAATTTTTATCAAAGCCATTTATTATGTTGTATTGTAAAAGTTAATCAGCTTTTCTGACCACAAATAATATATGTGAAATATGAACACAATCTTGTACTAGGTCAGTGTTTTGTTTTGTCTTGTTTTGATTTTGAGACAGAGTCTCACTCTGTCACCTAGGCTGGAGTGGAGTGAGTGGTGCCATCTCAGCTTACTGCAAACTCCACCTCCTGGGTTCAATTCTTGTGCCTCAGCCACCCAAGTAGCTGGGATTAAAGTTTAAGCGACCACACCGGGCTGATTTTTGTATTTTTAGTAGAGTCAGGGTTTTGCCATGTTGGCCAGGCTGGTCTCGAACTCCTGGCCTCAAGTGATCTGCCCACCTCAGCCTCCCAAAATGCTGGGATTACAGGGGTGAGCCACCTTGCCGGGCCCTAGGTCAGTGTTTCTTAAATGTCTCAGTGGAAACTTGCTGCTTTGAGGAGATAATTGAGGGATGTTTCAAACAATGACTTATTTCCCCAAACGGTAAGTTTCCATCATTATTTCATTTGGTTTTCAAACAGGATTGTAAACCACTAAACTAGATCATCTTTAAGCTCTCTTTTATCAGTAATATTTTACTGTTTGATTAAGCTTCTGCTTAATCACCAATGTTGAAAGAATTTTAGGAAGAATTCCCATTGTTACTTCTTAAATTTCCGAAGTAAATACTCAATTGTCCTTATAAACAAGCTAGAAATTAAGATATGAAATTCTAAAATGCTTGGTTTTCACTAGGTAGGATTAAAACCAACATTAAAAAATAGCTGAAGTTAATTTTTGAGATTATAGCAACTGAAAATAATAGTCTTATACTAAGGCATTTATTGCAGGGAGTGTAAACTACTAAAAACTGTTATAGTAATTTGCAAATAGATTTCTTATTTCAGTGATATTTACTAAAAATTAATTCAATATTAGTTTAAAATAACATGAATTATGCACAATTAACAATAAATAATAAAACATTACCTCTCAACGCTCATACTTTTCCTCTCTCCATCCCTTGAAATGAAAAAAAAAGGTCTTTATTTTTCAAAGACTGAGTTTTTTTTAGTTAACCAAGAGGATTTAACATTATCAATTACCTTTTAGAGCTCTCAAATTTTTTATTAAAATTTATACATCATGAAAAACAGTTTTTTATCTAAAAACAAATCACCAAAGAACATAGGTAGGTAAGATGCTAATATGATTATGAATCAAGTCTATATCTATTGAAGAGAACAAACTTGAAAATAGGTAGATATTAGAAATTGCTTCTATTAAAAACCTGACTATCAAAAACCACAACTTATAAAAACAAATAGGAAGTGATAGCGTAATATCTTCCAGTTACAAAATATAATTAAATGTTAAATAATTTAAAATCAGTTATCTAGTTTTTGGTTTAGTATATTAACTTCTTTCTCCCATAGCCTATTCATTATTCATTTATACCACTCTATAATAGAACCTCAGTCAGAATTTGGTACACAGCTATAGGATGAAGATTGGGAATCTGAATCACCTAGTTTGGCTGTATTCTAGCTGCTCTGACAGGATTAGTTAAAACCAAAAAGTTGAAATGACATGTAGAGTACTCATTTTCCAAATATTTAGTGAACCTATTATGATTCAAGCACTGTTCTAGAACTTGAGGATATAGTAATGAAGGAAATAGACCAAGTACTTGCCCTCAGAAAACTTATATATTGGAGAAAGACAGATAACAAATATAGTAGTAAATATGGAATGGATTAGAATGGGAGAAGTACTCAGATTAAAAAGCAAAGCAGAATAGGGGAATAGAGAATATGGACAGAGGGAAAGGCAGGTTTGGTATTTGTTATTATAAATTACCTATGAATTGCATGTAAAAGCCTTACCTGGATCTCTAAATACCACAAGTTAATATATGTTATGTTACATCAGAACTATATTGTTTTCAAGCACTATGGAAATAAAAAAATTTTTGGATTAAAAATAAAGTTTTATTTCCTGCTATCTTCAAATATAATTATTTATAGTGCTGTGATATCTTCATCTTTCATTATGCCCACTGAAGATCAAAGTCAGCTAACTGTGGACTCAAAAGATTGAAGAGCAGGAAGAGATGAGAAAAGCAACACAACAAGCCTTGCAATCTCTGTAAAATTTAGTAGGCTTAATTAGTCCATCAATTTTATATGCATCCTCATTGATTTCTATTGTTGTCCTTTAGTTTAAATACAAGAATATAAAGGAGTCATTTTGAGGACAGGCTGACAAGGTGATGACAAAATTGTAAAAATAGTGCCCAGAGTTGACTTCCACGATTCCCAGTCTTTTAAAATTTCCTTCTTTTCACCTACTATCCCACAACAATTTACCTTCTACCTCTAGGGTTCCTCTTTTTAAGACCTAGATGAAAGAGTGGCAGGGAAGAAAACCCAGGGTATTTCCTCCACCTGTTCCCTCTTCCAGCCTTTGCATGGCTGGCTCCCTCAGGTCTCTCCGCCTTTGGATGATGGTTGCTAACCCTCACACTTACCCCCCAGTCATTTTCTATACCCTCACTCTGCTTTACTTTCTTCATTTGTTTATTTGGTTATTTTCTATCTCTCACACTAGTCTGTAAACTCCATGAGGGCAGGAATTTGTCCTATTCGCTGCTGTTATCTACAGTGCCTAGAATAGTGCCTAACACAAAGTAAAGTAGTCAGTACTGAATGAATGAATCCGGAAAAGAAAAGAAATGTAGTTTAAGGCTTTCGAAGAATCATTACATCTCCTTCCTTAAAGGGTGAATTATGGAATACGGCCATCTTTCTTTCCACAACAACCTGACTACTGGCATTTCTCTTAGGTTCTGAACAAAGAACAAGGTAGGGATAAAAAAGAAACTATCATTCCTCTTGTCTCTCTACACAACTGCTGACACCACAACCTAGGAGTGATTCTTTATTCTTCTTTTCTTTCCTCCTACATCCAATCTGTTGACTCTAATTCAAACATTATATTTTGAATTAAACTAGCCTGAAAGAATTTTAAAACATGTTATCCATATAGCCTCATCTCAATGGTTAAAACTGATATTGCAGCAAATGCTGAAGAAAAAGCAGAATGACAATACATATAGATACCTCGTCAGGTGTGTTGAACCTAGACCCAAGGAGATATGAAGGAAATAATGCCAAGATGTTTCAGAGAAAAGGAGAGAAAGCAATGCCCTCTGTTGGTAAAGTTCTGTACATGTAATAATTCCAAGGGCCTTTAACATTTTCTCTGTAACTTTTCCTATTCCAGAAACCTAGAAAAGAATCAATATTTATTATTAATAGATTTTAAAGTGAAGCTAAAAATTGAGATTACAACCTCATTACACTTTTTTTTTTTTTGAGATGGAGTCTCGCTCTTGTTGCCCAAGCTGGAGTACAGTGGTGCCAAGTTGGCTCCCCACAACCTCCACCTCCTGGGTTGTTCAAGCGATTCTCCTGCCTTAGCCTCCTGAGCAGCTGGGATTACAGACATGCGCCACCATACCCGGCTAATTTTGTATTTTTAGTAGAGATGGGGTTTCTTCTTATTGGTCAGGCTGGTCTTGAACTCCTGACCTTAGGTGATCCGCCCACCCTGGCCTCCCAAAGTGCTCATTATATCTTTTATCATCGATAAAAGGTATGAATAATGTGACTATCTTCACAAGTCATGCAAGAAAACTGCTTTAATTACTTTTTGACCACATTTACTAAACTAGCGTTTCATGGAATTTCAAAAGGCATTAAAAAAGGAGTGCTGTTGTCATATAAACTTGGGGAATGGTGGGATTGACAAATTTAAGTGAAACTTTTTATTCCAAGATTTATGAATTTTTAATATATTAATATGCATAGTGACACATCAATGGTACATTCCAAAGGTATCTGACCCCAGAACCTTTTTAAAGGGAATATCTATCCATACTTGAAAAACATATTGGAAAACACTGCTTTGCAGCTACTCCTCACATATACTAGTCAGTAATCATTACATATTACATACTGAGCATTGAAAAATATTTAAATTCATTCATGTACATTATGTTGAATGAGAAAAGCAAGTCCTAGAACATCATATACAGTAGTGCATAGTGCAATTACTGAAAAAATAGTGTATATATGCAGAAAAATCTAGAAGCTCTAAAAAATAATAAAGTATACACTTTCTGGAACCCCTGAGGGATAATTTTACCATTTTAAAAATGGCAAAATATTTTGGTTTATTCTCTGTCAAAAACAATTAAAATTCTAAATCTCTTTGAAGCATCATGCCCATTAATCTAGTAGCAATCTGGACTTTAGAACTAAGATAGCACTAAGTTACAGATGAAAGGACTGTTAGAAATATTCTTTTAATTTCCCTTCTCCTTGGCAGTAGTTCACTTAAAAATCTGATTATTACTTTCTTAAAAGTTTATAGCAAATAAGCTAAATCTCACTTTTATGGTTTCATAGAAAGGTTTCTTCAAGTCCAAATTCAATCATCCATTATAGTTCTTGCTTTTATCTATTATTTTAAAACTTTTAAGCAAAGAATGATTAACTATTGGCCTACACAGTATCTCTTCAGAATTCAGAGTACATATATAAATAAACTTTATGTAAAAATCTTACCTTTCTAATGGGTAAATCCTTGATGAAGTCCATCACAGCTTGTCTATTGGGAAGAATTTGGTATTGTCCATTTGGTTTATTCTTATCACTGCATACTTTTGCTAACATTGTATTTGGGGCAATGCCTTAAAAGAAGAATACTCTGATGACTCAAAGAAGTTGATATGTATGACTTTTAAATATGCAATAACAAAACAGAAAAAAAAAGTTAATTGCAAAAAATCTCAAATGATATATAATGCTACTTTAAAAATAACATTTGATTACCATCTATCTCCCCAGGGTTTGCTATGGTTTTAGGAAAATAAATTGTACTAGTTACAGTCATTGTGGCAGCAAAAATGAGAAATATTTAATTCTCCATGACATTTTAAAATGTAAGAGTAATTTCTGAGCTAAGCAATATTAAGTGTTACTATTAGCTTACTTACTACCTTTAGTAGGAATACAGATTTTTTTTTTTTTTTTTCAGATGGAGTCTTGCTCTGTCGCCCAGGCTGGAGTGCAATGGCGTGATCTTGGCTCACTGCAACCTCCGCCTCCTGGGTTCAAGCGATTCTCCTGTCTCAGCCTCCCGAGTAGCTGGGATTAGAGGCACGCAACACCATGCCTGGCTAATTTTTGTATTTTTAGTAGAGATGGGGGTTTCACCATATTGGTCAGGCTGGTCTCGAACTCCTGACCTCAGGTAGTCCACGAGCTTCGGCCTCCCAAAGTGCTGGGATTACAGGCGTGAGCCATCATGCCCAGCCCAGATTGTTTTTATAGTGGTTCTATATCTATCTCTAAGAAAAGATACAGAATATAATTTAGGGTGGATGTTTACTCTTTGAAAATGTCTTTTGCGTAGATTATCCACATAAAGCAAAAAATCAAAGATTCTGGTTACAGTATATTTAAAATAATGATAATTAGATGGTGTATCCTTTTTATGTTATTCACAAAACAAATTACTATTTTTCAAAAAGATGTTTCACAATTTCTAGGAGTCCTAATTAAGATAATTTGAAATAGCTATATTCAAATATATTCATTAAACAGTTCATTTTAATTGTTATATAGATCTTCCTAAAATGCATTATTCATTCTCATGCTTTGGTGTAGAAAGAAAAGATTTACCTAATCACAATATGGCTTTTACAAGATAGTTCAGGGTCCTCATGATGAATAACAGTTATTATGTTAAGAGACAGTGATGGCCTCATGGGTTATCAACATATGTAAATTTGTTTTTCCTTTTACCAGATTGTTCTGGATTGCTATGTTGCTAGTTAGTATTTCTTTTGTCTCTTACCTTGTGGCCGTCTGGGTTCTCTCCTGCAATGTAATCTTGGACAGGATTGAAGTCTCCCAAGGAAAAACTAATACTCAAGTTATTACATGCAAAACCAATAAAAATATATTTTGTGCTAGAAAAAGATAGCTATATGAAATTTATGAGTCGGGCGCGGTGGCTCAGGCCTGTAATCCCAGCACTTTGGGAGGCCAAGGTGGGCGGATCATGAGGTCAGGATATGGAGACCATCCTGGCTAACATGGTGAAACACCGTCACTACTGAAAATACAAAAAATTAGCTGGGCATGGTGGCATGCGCCTGTAGTCCCACCTACTTGGGAGGCTGAGGCAGGAGAATCGCTTGAACCCAGGAGGCAGAGGTTGCAGTAAGCTGAATGAGATCGCCCCACTGCACTCCAACCTGGGCAACAGAGCAAGACTCCATCTCAAAAAAAAAAAAAAAGAAAGAAACGTATAATCTTTTTTTTCCTTCAGGCTCATAGTCTGCTTAATTCCAATTTACTTACTAGGTTCACAGCTATTCTGAATAGGTAAAGTTGTTAGAAGTTGAATGAAAGACTAAGTAAGTAAAATGTTACTATATACTTTATAATGAGAAACTACTAATATTACACTTAAATTAGCCAGTCTGAAAATTATAACTACAGTGGCCATCAATACTCTTTTAAATACCTGCACTGGCTGTCAGTGTTGTTTTCTGCTCAATTCTGAAACGAATTTCCTTTACCACTTCCTGGGCTGATGTTCCAAAAACAACTGAGTTTTGGAGTATTTGAGGATTGTTTTGTTCTTCAAAGTTCACTTGGAAAGGATCTCCTGGGGGCTGCACATCAGAAGGACTCTCTTCAAAAAGTAGTGGAGAGATGGATCGTTCATGCTCACTCAGTTTATTAACTTCCTTTCCTGGATTATCTAAGTCATAAACAGGAAAATAACTCACCTTTATTTTAAGAAGTATATACTTCATAAGTTAGGTTTCCCTACATTATTTCTGAAGACAAAAACAAAAATCTAGTTTAGTTTAGTTTCTAGGATCCAAGATCAGAAATGCCATCATTTATCATTTAATGTTTTATAACCATTAAAGAGAACACTGATTATGAATTTTTCTTAAAAAGACTATTATCCATTTCCACAGTATAAATATTAAAAGGAAATATCTTATGTAAAACTCACTAATGTTCGTACCTAAATTAATTGAAATTCAGAATTAGGTTTCAGTTCACATTACCTTTTTCTTAAAAAAAAAAAAAGGAAATCTTTTCTTTATTCTTCTTTAGGAAGAAAAAGAATCTTCGAAAATTAGAATTTAGAATATAATAAACAATATATAATAATTATACTGAAAATAAGTTTTGTTTTTAGAAGGAAAAACACTTAACTTTTCTTCATTTATGGAAGAAACCTTTTAGATGTTAAAATAATCTGAATTTTCTTCTTTCAAATGCTGATTTTAATTTTGATTTGCTTGTTTATAAAGTATCACTTTGACTAAGGGCACATTTGTAATAAATAGAAATTACCTGTGAAAGTTATGCTTCTTTGAATATACAAATTCTGAAGGTCTGATTGGATAATCCAAGTTTAAGAAAAAGAGACGTTATTATTAATAGGCTATAAACTATTATTACAAAGTAAAGTAAAAATACCAGTCTGGTTATTGCCTCTTTATATTTATATTTTTCATAAATGGACTGTAAAATATTCTTAAATCTATACTGATACTAAAAATGTCTCCATGAACAAATCTATTAAAGCCTGTTTTCTTGGCTTAATGTAGAAGAAATACAATTTAAATGTATTTATAACAACCAAGGTTAGCAACAAAGCTTTCTGATCCCATCTCGTAATTTTATTACATATAAATATTTTCCAAATTAAGGTCAATACAGAAGAAAAAATTAAATTTCTAGTTTTAAGATGCATACGAATGTATATTACTTGAAAAATGTATTTGGCTGTTTAGGAAAAAATTTTAAAGATAATATAAAATAAATATGACAGACATCTGATTAATTTAAAAATTTAAAATATGTAGTGTGAAGTAAGTCATAGATGTTAATTCAGTCAGATGTTTTCCAAATCTGAATTCCCAGGGCACATACACAATAAGCTTATTTTCTTTCTCTCTTTTTTTTTTTTTTTTTTTAAGACAGGGTCTCCCTCTTGCCCAGGCTGGAGTATAGCTAGGACTACAGGCGCGAGCCATCACGCTTAGCTAATTTTATAATTTTTTGGTAAATATAGGGTTTCACAATCTTGCCCAGGGTGGTCTCAAACTCCTGGCCTCAACTGATCCTCCCACCTCAGCCTCCTAAAGTGCTAGGATTATAAATGTGAACCACCTTGCCTCGCCAATAAGCCTTATTTTCAAACTTACATTAGCTGATATTTATGTGCTTCAGTTCCTGTCATTTTTTAATATGCTGGTTTTAAAATGTAGAACAATTCAGAGGGGAAACAGGCCAGGCAAGGTGGCTCACGTCTGTAATCCCAGCACTTTGGGAAGCTGAGGTGGGAGGATCACCTGAGGTCAGGAGTTCGAGACCAGCCTGGCTAACATGGTGAAACCCCATCTCTACTAAAAATACAAAAATGAGCCAGGAATGGTGGCGCACAGCTACTCCGGAGGCTGGGGCAGGAGAATTACTTCAACCCAGGAGGCAGAGGTTGCAGTGAGCTGAGATTGTGCCACTGTACTCCAGCCTTGGTGACAGAGTGAGACTCCATCTCAAAAAAATAAAAAAAAATAAAAAAAAAATAAAGACTGTGAAACAATTGAAATGGTATCTACCTGGAGCCCTTTTCCCCATCTGGATGGGTAGAAGTCACGGTAAAGAAAGCTACAGAAAAACTGCAAACCAAGTAAGTTATCTGCCACATTCATAAACCCGTTCTGCAGAGTTTTTTATGCCATGTTTTGTACCTCATGCCTCTACCACCCTGCCCTCAGGTGAGCCACTGTGAGAGCAGAACTATACAGCAGGAAGTGAAGAATGCTGCCTTCTCACACATTATCAGAGCTGCTGCAGAATGTTCAGGTACCTTTTCAATCTGAACTACTTTCTACTTTTTTGTGAGGCCTGGCTGTGTAACTAAGAGCTGAAGTAGTTTCTTATTTGCTTTGTGACAGAAACATCTTTATAATCCCCATAACTAAGGTAATCAGAATGTAACACTAGGATTAAAGCATTTCATTTGGAAGACAAGTGCTAAAAAGTGTATGGTATTTCAGTTTCTTATATTATCTGGCACTCACCATCCAGATTTACATGGGAGAGTAAACATTTAAAAAATTATTATTTTATTTGTATGTAGAGATGGTAGTTAGCAATATATTTCCAAAGACAAACACCTTTTAGAAAATGGGGAAACAGCAAAACAATGTCTTGGACTTTAGAGGAAGATATATCAATTGCCTTCCACAGTTCCAATGCACTATTGACAATTTCCCATGGCATGATGTGAGGTGAGACACGCCTGAAAGTCCAGCCCACAGGTATTTACACATGAGAAGAAAAGTTTAACTATTCCAATTGTTTAAGAATATGAAAATACACGAAGAGGGCAATATACAAGTAAATATGTTAAAAGCAATAGATATTAAAAATTCACATATTCATAGTGAGTTTGGACATTATAATAAATGAAAAGAACATTAGTAGGCTGGGCGTGGTGGCTCATGCCTGTAATCCCAGCACTTTGGAAGGCCGAGGCGGGCAGATCACCTGAGGTCAGGAGTTTGAGACCAGCCTGGCCAACATGGTGAAACCCCACCTCTACTAAAAATACAAAAAATTAGTCGGGTGTGGTGGCACGCGCCTCTAATCCCAGATACTTGGGAGTCTAAGGCAGGAGAACTGCTTGAACCCAGGAGGCGGAGGTTGCAGTGAGCTGAGACTGCACCACTGCACTCCAGCCTGGGCAACACAGTGAGACCCTATCTCAAAAAAAAGAAAAAAATTAGTAGAAAATGAAAACATTTACTTTAATCCCAATGTAAAGCTTTTAAAACACATCATGCAAGTAATTGTTATGGGAGGCCCTCAGGGGATGCTTTGACATAATTATTTAATGATTTTCCCCCATTCTCTTGTGAAAGTAAGGAATTAATAAAGTAAGATTTTATACAAAGTGACATCAGGCTTTATGTTCCACATCCTCAAACAATAAAGTTACACCAAATAAGGAAAACCTTTTGCTCTGTGCCTGTGTCGAGAAATGATGATTATTGTTTAATGCTCCTATAAAAAAAAAGAGAGAGCTATCCCTTAGCACTTTAAATAAGGTAATGAAGTTGTATTTGATGCCCATATTAAACTTGCATCAAATGATGTGAGTCACAAATAATGTGAGAGAGTTAGATTAATGTCATTGTGGATCTACCATTTTTGCTTCAGGGAAAGTTACAAACAGGTCTCCCCAGCACTGCCTGGCCCGTCTGAAGCAATGAGTGGTGCACATGAAATGTTCCTGTGGGTTGTGAGCAAACCCTTCTGTGTCACTTTTTCATCCAGGTGAACTTTGTTCAGGGGTCCAGGACATCTCAGACATAATCATACCTTTGACAAAATGTTGAAAGCAGTATGTGTAATATCTGCATGTTTCTTGGCATTGCTTTTGGATAGGTCATAAAGGGATTATTTTTTTAAAAAAACCCTGGAGTCTTGAAATTATAAAGTCTAAGGCAAAGAAGGGAGTGGGAAGTCATTAATTTTGGCAGAGCTAAAAACAGTCATAATTGCTATAATAATTAGATTATAGAAAATTAGGAAAATGAAGAAAAATAGAATCATCCAATGTTTTGATATGTTTGAGGCTAGTCTTTTCTAACAACAAGAAAAGGCCGCTTTAAACAGACAACTTCCTCAGCTTCAATGCCATCCAAACTCTTTGTTAGTTAGACCTTAGGAAAATAACTGCTATAAAATTACTTTGTTCAGGGACTCTGCAGACTCTTAAGCTCAGAGATTTAACAATCACATTTTGTTTATATGTGATATTCCACATGTTTAACTCAGAAAACCCACTGGTATTTTTAAAATTTTCTGATTTTACATTTTTATAAAGGTACATATCTATCCCTTCTACCTATGCAGGCTAATAAATTAATTGGATTAATTCAAAGAGTTGTGGGTTTTTTTTTTTCACTGCTTCTTGGTTTGATAGTCTTAATAAGTTGCTTACCATTTTCTACAGAGCTTCCCATTTTGATGAAATACCTTCTTTTATCCTCAGGCCAATTTTGTCTTTCTTCTAAGTGCTTTGTTATATTCAAGTAGGCTTCATCAAGACTCATGGCCATAAAATTGGGATCATAATCAGCAAGTATTTCCTTAACCTTCAAAGGAAACAAAAAAAAGTTTAAATTTTGCTGTGATAGCAAACTTCTTCTGTCATATGTAGCTGATAAGAAATGTTAATATTCTTAGTTTGCAACTACAGTAACAATCCTGCAGTCAATAGTTCATGGATTTAAGGAATAAATAATCCACTACCAGGGAATATTTTCAAAATTTCCTTTTGTATTAAAATAGACCATGAAGGCAGAAGACCATAAAATAGCTTCATTTGATACAATCTCTATTTAGCTACCTATATCTAGTTATAATAAGCAATTCAAATAAATCTCAGAAAACATTATCTGGTAGGCCCATACAAAAAAATGGTTAAGGTTTTAGGTAGCTCGTCAGAAGCTGAAGTGGGAATGATAGGATTCTATTCCCTCCTGCCTTTTGTGATTTATTGTTTTTGGTTCATTTTAAAAAGGAATAATCTTATATAAAGGTACTATGTTGCTTTAGAAAATATTCCAATTAATTATAACATGCACATAAAAGTCCACTTAACATTAATTAATGCATTAATCCATACAGGAAAAGGAATGTTTTCTATTTCCTATTACTTATTAAGATCTGGAATGGAAAAAAATGACAATCTATAGTGTACTCCATGATTACCTTAAATGATGGGGAAAAGTCTGGAGTAACATCTTAGGATAAAAGAAATACATATAAAGATTAGAATTATAGTGGCTTTTAATTCAGAAATGCCTTTTATATAACATAGTGTTACTACATAAAACTATGACTTTTTTTTCTAACCACTTAAGTATTAGCTATAATTAGAGGCAATGGTTGTCAAAATAATATGCATATTTTCCAGCTTGGGTGACAGAGTGAGACCCTGCCTCAAAAAAAATTTATATTAGAAAACATATTTGCTGAATTACGTTAAGCTTCCATTTAGCTTTTAAAACTGTCTACTGTATCATGAGAAAACTGTTTCTTCTTTTATAAAAACAAAGGTTTTTAGCTTAATATAATTATGAACAGCTGAGTCAAAGGGAATTTTAGAAAATGGTGATATAAACTTGGCCAAGTTTTACTCAGAGAGTGCCTTAATTAGCTTTGTTCTTGTTATAATGTGCTCAAATAGAATCTTTCCAATGAAAATGAAACTCTGTGAAGTCTGTAACTGGCAGCCAACTAAGATTCTGAATGAGAAGTACTCCCTAGAGACACTGTTGAGTATTTATTAACTTCCTTTACATAGGATATTGCTGTAAGAATTAAAAGAGACGTTCCAGTAAAAATCAAGCACTTAAAGCTCCAATATTTTGGATAAAACAAAAATGGCTAACTGGGCATGATGGCTCATGCCTGTAATCCCAGCACTTTGGGAGGCCTGGGCAGGATAATTTTTTGAGGCCAGGAGTTTAAGCCTAGCCTGAGCAACATAGGAAAACCCTATCTCTGCAAAAAAATTTTAAAATTAGGTGGGTGTGGTGATGCATGCCTGTCAATCTAGCTACTCAGGAGGCTGAGGCCAGAGGATTGCTTAACTCAAGAGTTTAAGGTTATAGTGAGGTATGATCGAGTCACGGCACTCCAGCCTGGGCTATGGGGTGAGACCCTGTGTCAAAAAAAACGGGAGGGCTTTTTCTTAAATTTTCTAACCAAGTCATGAATATTTATGTATCCATAGGCAGTGATGAATTTGTTCTACAGTTCATTTACACAGAAGAACTCATTTGTTATCTGCATATAAACTAGCTAGATCCGGCTCAAATTTGAAGAGTTCTCTGACTTACATAAATAACCAGACTAAAATAACTAAAAACACTTTGGTTTTCACTGGCATACTGCCAGAAGTTTTGCTGAGTTAAAGTACGACTTTAAAAAATACCTTTTCTTACTAAACTTTTGTAGGATTTTTAAAACTTCTTAAAAGGCTATATTTATGATTAGTATTTTATCTCTTTTTAATTAGGAATACAATGAAAGAGATAAGCAGTAACCAAATGTAAGTGTGCTCCCCTCTCCTCCACCACCTTTTCAGAGGTATGCAAAAAGCACTTGCTGTCACAGACTGCCTTGGACAGAAAAAAAACAAACAAACCTGTGTTTAAACTTGGAATAGTGTCACTTCTAGGGAAAATGAGGTGGAATACAAATAAGAGGGGTGAATTTAAAGACCCCTGGTATAACTAAAGAGTAATAAGTATTAGGTCACAGTTTTTTTAAGTGTTTCCATTCAGGCAGCAGTCTTAAACACATTTTACTATAGCAGTCTAAAAGTATTTGATGTAGTAGTCTAAAATTTTAATTCAAAAATTAAATTCCAGCACTGCATGATAGACCAGTTGTCATAAAAAATAGAAAAAATGGCGGTTTTCACATATGACAGTTTGGCAATTTTAGTAAATAATCAAATCTACTTCAAAGATCCTTTTTGAAGCAATGGATTACTCCCTTTTCAATTATCAGTCTCTTAGACAGCAAATGATTATGGGGCAAGTAAAGTAGGCTAATCAAAATACATGAATTTTGTCACTGTTTAACAACATTAATAAGTAATTATTCAGACAATAGGTTGAAATTAATGATGAGTAGATTCTGTAAGTTATAAATAAAATGTGGTTCTAGAAAAAATGTATATTGTACATTAAGAAAAAATAGCTAAATTTAATTTTATATTATCATTAAGGCAGTTCAAAGTTTGAGGAAATGGGAAGTTTTCTAAGCAAATGAAAACTGCATGGAAAGGCAAAGAATTGGGAAAAAGAATGATGTATTCTGGATGCTATATGCAGCTCAGTATTCAATATACAAGCTGAAGAAGTGATAGGAGGCTCAACTGAAAGGATAAGCTAAGACCAAATCCTACGTGCTAAGGCACTTGGACTTGAGATTCTGTAGGTGACAGGAACTCAGTGAAAGCCTAAAGTAGGGGTGAGACATTAACTTACCTCTTTACTCACAGCTCGGTATTTGTCAAAGTTGGGGGGCACTATTATAAGTTGTGGGCACAGCCTCTTAGCAATAAATCCTGGCATGGCTGCACGAACACCAAATCTCCTTGCATGGTAATTTGAAGTAGACTGAAAGAAAATTGACCACATGGAAAAAAATACACAAACCTAAATGGACATATTGATCAATGCATTCATAAGAAACACATTAATATGTGCATTTTCAATTCAAGGACATTTCATTTATAGGCCAGTTTTTTGTTTTTGTTTTTGTTGTTTTCCAAAAATAGAATGTATTAAGCATTGTTTTTTATTAATGACTCAAGGTCATCATTCTATCATATATTTTTTTAATTATACTTTAAGTTTTAAGGTACATGTGCACAACGTGCAAGTTAGTTACATATGTATACATGTGCCATGTTGGTGTGCTGCACCCATTAACTCGTCATTTAATATTAGGTATATCTCCTAATGCTATCCCTCCCCCTTCCCCCCACCACACAACAATCCCCAGAGTGTGATATTCCCCTTCCTGTGTCCACGTGTTCTCGTTGTTCAATTCTCATCTATGAGTGAGAACATGTGGTGTTTGGTTTTTTGTCCTTGCAATAGTTTGCTGAGAACGATGGTTTCCAGCTTCATCCATGTCCCTAAAAAGGACATGAACTCATCATTTTTTATGGCTGCATAGTATTCCATGGTGTATATGTGCCACATTTTCTTAATCCAGTCTATCATTGTTGGACATTTGGGTTGGTTCCAAGTCTTTGCTATTGTGAATAGTGCCGCAATAAACATATGTGTGCATGTGTCTTTACAGCAGCATGATTTATAATCCTTTGGGTATATACCCAGTAATGGGATGGCTGGGTCAAATGGTGTTTCTAGTTCTAGATCCCTGAGGAATCGCCACACTAACTTCCACAATGGTTGAACTAGTTTACAGTCCTACCAACAGTGTAAAAGTGTTCCTATTTCTCCACATCCTCTCCAGCACCTGTTGTTTCCTGACTTTTTAATGATCGCCATTCTAACTGGTGTGAGATGGTATCTCATTGTGGTTTTGATTTGCATTTCTCTGATTATAGGCCACTGTTTTAATCCAAGTTTTGACTTATTCTGTCACGGTATTTTGATACCATGACCCTCTCCCATTACTATCCCTATATTTATAATGTGATACCAGGTATAAGCAAGACTGTGCTAATAAAAAGATTTTCTTATATTTCTACCAACTAAACTTCATTGGTTTTAAGGCATACTTATTATAGAATGAATATCAAAATTTGGATGATAGTGAGTTATGTTACATGAAAGTAATAGTATGGTAAGTTGTATAGAATAGTCATAAAATAATAGTATAGTACAATTAGTATAGATGTTACATTATATAAAGTAATAGTATAGTATAATAGTAAACTTTTCGAATTTGGTCTATTTGGGATTTTGGAAACTTTTCATCTAGAACAAAAATAAAAGGTCTATGTGGTCAGCCAAATTAAGTCTCCAAAATGAAGTGATTAAAGCTTAAAATAAGTTTAGAAATTAAGGTTTTTCTTAAGGCTTAATTATCTTTTTTGCTGAAAACATTTTGACTAGGAGATGGAACTACAAAAGTATGAGAGTAAAAAGGAGAATATTGCTTATTAAATCCTGTTGGTGATGATATCTGATGAAAGTCTATGTGAACGTGGTAGACCACAGTACTATTTATAAAACAAATTTTATCACAAATTAAATCCTTATTTAGAATCTCAAGTGAAATTTCAAAGAAATGCAAAACAGAAACAAATGAAGGGATTATTTCAGAATAATATGAATTTTCGTCTAATGATTTTCAAATGGCACTTAAAACATCTTGATAGTACTCAGAACTATACTAATCCTTGGTCAGTGTTCTGGAACAGAAAATGTGGATAGCACTAGAAACAAAACCAATGGTTTAGTAAATAAGTTTAATATAATTGACATAAAAGCTAGATCTATAGCAGAGGACAAACAAACTTTTAAATAAGAATTTCTCTAACTTTTAGATTTGTGGTATATTGTAGATCACAGCCACAATACTTTACAAGTTACTCTTATCAAAAGTGGGTTCTAGTTCCTCATGCCACGTGACTTGCCTTGATAAAAATAATGTGAAGGAAGTGACACTGAGTTCTGAAACCTAGGCTTTTGCTTTTTGTAATCCAGCAACCATTGTAAATATTTTGGGGTAGATTACTAAATGTTGAAGCAACAATGGAGAGGAGAAAGTTCTGAAGCTGGAATCCATTCCAATCTCCTCAGTCGAAGTGCCAGACCTATGAATGAAGCCACCTTGGATTTTTTAGCCTCAGTTAAATTGCCCTAGCCAACTCCAGGTAGAGCAAGGTTGAGCCATCGCCATCGCACTCTGCTCAAATTACAGAATCATGAGCAAATAAATTTTGGCTGTCCACTAAATACTGGGGGAGGCTGTTATGCAGCAATAGGTAACTGCTGTAGGATCTCAGTTGCAACTCTCAGTGCCAAGTTAGAACATTTCAAAAATCCATCAAATTCGCCAAAAAAGAATTTTATCAGTGGGAATAATCAAACAATCACTCCCATTAATTTGTAGATATACTTTCATATGTTTAATAGGACAAAAAGTTATGCTTAGTAGAAGGGAAAACTATTTGTTCAACATACAAAAGGGGTAATCTTTGTTTAAATATAACAATAATTTTGAATTTAGAAACAATAACTGATTTTTAGGAGGACAGAAATTGTAGGAAAGAAAATATTTTGTAGATTTCAAAAGCAGTTGGTTTAGCTTTAACATGGCTACAGCAAGTTTGTATGTATACACATACATAAACATACATAAATTTATGGTGTTATATCTTAATAAAATTAAATATATTTTTTGAAATATTTATTGATGATTTGTAGGAAAGGGGAGTTTCCTTTCAAAAAACAGTGTTTTGGAATCAGACTTATCAGCTGCCTGCATACTCACAGAGGCAGAGATAAAAAAACAAACAGATTATAGTTTTATAATAAAATAATCACTCAGTAAGAATTAGTTTTGTAGCTATCTAAGGCATGGGAAGGAGTTAGGAACAGGGAAGAACTCTTCTTGTTTTTCTAATACTTTTTAAATATTATCTCATCTATTTTAGTTGCTACTTTTAATTTCCAACACACTTTCAGCCACACATAGCTATCCTGGTTCTTCTAAGGTTAGAGTGGTAAAAAGGAAGAGCAACTCAGTAATCAGAAAAGCAAAAGTTCTAAGTCATGGGAAAAACAATTTAACTGCATTCTAAATGTACTCTATTAACGAAGTATGTTATTCCAGAACTAGGGTTGGCAAACCTTTTCTTTTCTGTGGAAGTCCAGATAGTAATCATTTTAGGCTTTGCAGATCACTTAATTATTGAACTCTGCTCTTTTAGTGCAACAATAGTAATAAATAAATGGGTGTGACTTTGTTCCAATAAAAAGCTGGATTTGGCCTGCAGATCAGTTTGAAAATCTCTATTAATACTTTAGAATAACATTTCCTTTTCTTTCTTCTTCAACTCTCTTTAACTAGAACGGTTACTTATGGAAAAATTTAATTTGCCATGGAAATTATTAGGTTTGTAACTTTGGGCAAGTTATTAAACATCTCTCTGAGTTTTCTTTTTTGCCAAATGGAAATAAAAACTAGTACCTTAAAGCAGCAGTTCCTAACCTTTTTGGCACCAGAGACTGGTTTCGTGGAAGACAATTTTTCCACGGACTGGTGGGGTGATAGTTTTGAGATGATTCAAGCACGTCACATTTATTGTGCACTTTATTCCTATTATAATTACATTGTAATATATAATGAAATAATTACACAACTCACCATAATGTAGAATCAATGGGAGCCCTAAGCTTGTTTTCCTGCAATTAGAGAATCCCATCTGGGGGTGATGGGAGACAGTGATAGATCATCAGGCATTTGATTCTCATAATGAGTATGTAACCTGGATCCCTCACATGTGCAGTTCACAATAGAGTTTGCACTCCTATGAGAATCTAATGCCACAACTGATCTGACAGAGCTCGGGCATACTGCAAGTGATGGGAAGTGGTTGTAAATACAGACGAAGCTTCGTTTGCTTGCCTGACGCTCACCTCCTGTTGTGAGGCCCAGTTCCTAACAGACCATGGACCAATACCAATCTGTGAACTGGGGGTTGGGGTCCCCTGCCTTAAAGTATGTTGAAAGGATTCAGTAATTGAGTCATATATAAGGCACCCAGAAAAATACTCAGCAAACTGGTAGACCTCAATAAAGAATTCCCCCTTCATGAAACAGTAAAGCTTACTTGAGTACGTTATAAAATTTCCTTTTTGTATTTGATCTTTACTTACCAGCATACTCATTGATCCTACAGCAATGGGTTTATCCTTCAATTCTGGATTGTCCCTCATTTCTACAGCTGCATAGAAAGCATCCATGTCAATGTGCACTATGGTATTGCTCAAATTTCGGCTTTGTTCTAATTCCATTGCAAATCTGTCAACCTTAATTTTTTAAAAAAGTTAACATACTTTTAGACAACATAATATTGAAACACCATTAACCACAACATTAATCTTAATTTATTAAGTGTCTATCAGTCTCTGTCCACACACCCATTCATCCATCCATCCATCCATTCATCCATCCACCCATCCACTTACTTATGGGTGTGTATTTTGTTGTTCATGGGTGTTTATGGGTTTATATTTTATTATTGTTTATAAGTGTTTATCTATGTATATTGTATTGTTTTTTAAATTAAAATTGGTAATTGCTTTTATTTTCATAGAGACAGCCTATCCTCAAATATAATTCCCTACTAACCCTTTCATCTCTCCATACCCTTAGGCACATAACAGGAACTTAATATTTAATGAATGAATGATCTAATCCAACTGCTTTTATCAAATGATTCTACTGCTTTATAAATTTGGAGTCCAACTCACTATAACTAAAAGCTTCAATGTAAGTAAAATAAACAACTGACATTTGATTCATAATAATAATGTCTTAAAAAAGCAACAAAGGAAATATACAACAAAATATAGTACCTCTTTGGCATATGATGTTTATGCTGAACAGGAAGGTACAACTGAAGATACTGTAGCATAATGTAAATGTTCCTCTGTAGAATTGCTTTTATAATGTTAAAATTTGATGTTAATCTATACAAGTAAAATTTAAAACCCAAGCTGTAATTTATTCTTCATGAACTTTAATATATATGTCAAATACAATAGTGAAGATTCTTAATCTTTAAAGAATTTTAGTTTCTTCAGAGAAAACTAACAACTTAGTTTTACAACGAGAAAGAAATGAAAGGGGGTAGAAATAAACAAAGGAAGCAAGTAAGAAAAGTGATTTTGCAGCAGACATACTCATTTCTAACTTCCATTTTTGTGGCCGGCCTCCACTATCAAGGCAAGAAAGGCTAAATACTCACTTTCCCAGCTTACCCTGCAGCTGGAGGTGGCTGTGTAATAGTTGTGATCTATGCAACATAGGGAAGTTACCAAGACCATTAAAGTAAAAATCATAAGAAAGCTATTAAATAAGCTGGAAAATATACAGAACATAGAACAGTACCTGGTACATGGCACAAGTTCAATAAATACATCTATTACTAAAAGGATCAATGGATAGCTGCATAATAAAACATTAAAAACTGAGAGAAAAACAGCCAGCAATGAGCAAGTGGGGTCATCTATGGAACGTGGAGTTCCCTCTAGCAAGTTTTCTCAAAGGTGGAGAGCTATAGGTGTATATGTGGCTTTTTCCCTCATGTTGTACTCCAGCTTTGCCTCCACTCTGCAGAATTTTTTTTATGTCCTTCCTTCTTAGTCTTACTGTGACACTAGCTGCCCACTAGTCGCAGGTTAAAACTATAACTCCTCTTTTAGAAGCAATCACCCTGACTCATGTTTGTCTACAGGAGGTACAGTGAAATCTGTAGGAGGCTTCCCCTTGTTTAGGCTACAGCTCACTGAATGACCTGGGTTGCTCTATGCCTTCCTCAGGCTGTTCCTCTGTCTAGAGTGCCTTTCCAAGCTCTGTCACAAGCCTTCAAGGATCAGCTGAAATATCTCTTCGTATCTTAATGGAATGTCTGTCCTCTGTGCCACAGAATTTAATGTTCCTTGCTTTCCTGCTCTTGCATGGCACTTACTGTATTAGATACTAAATTGTCAGTTCCTTCAGGAGAAAGACCTTATCTGATTTCAAATTATTTTCTCACAAGAGAGACGGGGAGGGGAGACTAGAAGGAGAAAAATAATGAATTTATAGCAGTATATTAAAGTTGGTTTAAAAAGTGAAAGGAGTACTAGTAGAAAAATCTTGAAGAAGGCTAACTTCTTACAGTAAAATCCCATACCTAATAAATGGAACCTTTCAATATTACCAAAATTTAACATGCTAATTAAAACCTACTTCTTTTAGTACCTCAATTCTGAACCAGAGAATAGCACCATGACCACATATAAACAAATTATGGAGATTAACAAAAACAAATGTAAACTAAAAACTACTCTATTTTAATCCAGAAAATATACCTAAGAAATAACAGTCAAATGAGAATAAGAAAGTGGCATCTGAAATACTTGGACATGGAATCATCTAGAAAAGAAAAAGATAATAAATAGAAAGCAAGTCAAATGGGAAAAAATTCTCCTCAGACTCATATATTAATGCTATAATAATGTCTTCAGCAAGCTATTCTCTTTTTTTGTGCTTAAAGCAAGTGTAGTTGCCAAAAGGAAACCTCTCCACTGCATGACTCATACATTCCACTTTCCTTTACTATCTCTCATTAGTCACCCTTGTCTGAACTCTTTTCTTTCTACATCAACCAGATGCATGCCACTACTGCTTTTAAAAGTTTCTTCAACTGAAATCCCCATTCATATTGTCCTTTCTTCCATTTTCCAATGACTTTCAAGTTCTGATCTGAGTCTCCAACATGCACGTTGTTCCTTTTGCTACTGCTCAAAACTGGTGTGTGTCACACTCGTTAAGAATAACGGCTTCGGGGATTCCCGGGTAAGATGGCTGCAGCTCCCAGTGAGACCAAGGCAGAAGGCAGGTGATTTCTGCATTTCCAACTGAGGTACCCGGCTCACCTCACTGGGACTGATTAGAAAGTGGGTGCAGGCCACGAAAGGCTAGGAGAAGCAGGGTGGGGTGTCACCTCACCTGGGAAGCACAAGGGGTCTGGGAACTCCCTCCCCTAGCCAAGGGAAGCCGTGAGGGACTGTGCCGTTGGTGAGGGATGGTGCTATCCAGCCTAGATATTACGCTTTTCCCACTGTCTTCACAACCTGGAGACCAGGAGATTTCACGGGGTGCCTACACAACCAGGGCCCTGGGTTTCAAGCACAAAACTGGGCGGCCATTTGGGCAGACACTGAGCTAGCTGCAGGAGTTTTTTTTCATACCCCAGTGGTGCCTGAACGCCAGAGAGACAGAACCGTTCATTCCCTGGGAAACGGGGCTGAAGCCAGGGAGCTGAGTGGTCTGGCTCAGCGGATCCCACGCCCACGGAGCCCAGCAAGCTAAGATCCACTGGCTTGAAATTCTCGCTGCTGGCAGAGCAGTCTGAAGTTGACCTGGGACACTCCAGCTTGGTGAAGGGAGGTGCGTCATCCATTACTGAGGCCTGAGTAGGTGGTTTTCCCCTCACAGTGTAAACAAACCCAGTGGGAAGTTCGAACTGGGTGGAACCCACCACAGCTTGGCAAGGCCACTGTAGCCAGACTGCCTTCCTAGATTCCTCCTCTCTGGGCAGGGCATCTCTGAAAGAAAGGCCACAACCCCAGTCAGGGGCTTATTGATAAAACTCCCATCTCCCTAGGACAGAGCACCAGGGGAAAGGGGCAGTTGTGGGCACAGCTTCAGCAGACTTAAACATTCCTGCCTGCTGGCTCTGAAGAGAGCAGCGGATCGCCCAGCACAGCGCTCAAGCTCTGCTAAGGAACAGACTGCCTCCTCAAGTGGGTGCCTGACCCCAATGCCTCCTGATGGCAGGGGTTGACAGACACCTCATACAGGAGAGCTCCAGCTGGCATCTGATGGTGCCCCTCTGGGATGAAGCTTCCAGAGGAAGGAACAGGCAGCAATCTTTGCTGTTCTGCAGCCTCCACTGGTGATACCCAGGCAAACAGGGTCTGGAGTAGACCTCCAGCAAACTCCAGCAGAACTTCAGAAGAGGGTCCTGCTAGAAGGAAAAATAACAAACAGAAAGCAACAGCATCAACATCAACAAAGAGGATAACCACGCAAAAACGCCATTCAAAGGTTACCAAAATCAAACACTAAAGGTAGATAAATCCACAAAGATGAGGAAAAAACAGTGCAAAAAGGCTGAAAATTCCAAATAACAGAACACCTCTGTTCCTCCAAAGAATCCCAACTTCATGCCAGCAAGGGAACAAAACTGGATGGAGAATGAGTTTGACAAATTGACAGAAGTAGGCTTCAGAAGGTGGGTAATAACAAAGTCCTCCGAGCTAAAGGAGCATATTCTAACCCAACACAAGGAAGCTAAGAACCTTGATAAAAGGTTACAGGAACTGCTAACTAGAATAACCAGTTTAGAGAAGAACATAAATGACCTGATGGAGCTGAAAAACACAGCACAAGAACTTCGGGAAGCATACACAAGTATCAATAGCTGAATTGATCAAGCGGAAGAAAGGATATCAGAGACTGAAGATCAACTTAATGAAATAAAACATGAAGACAAGGTTAGAGAAAAAAGAATAAAAGGAACAAACAAAGCCTCTTAGAAATATGGGACTATGTGAAAAGACCAAACCTACATTTGATTGGTGAAACTAAAACTGACAAGAAGAATGGAACCAAGTTGGAAAACACTCTTCAGGATATTATCCAGGAGAACTTCCCCAACCTAGCAAGAAACGCCAACACTCAAATTCAGGAAATACAAAGAAAAACACAAGATACTCCTCGAGAAGAGCAACCCCAAGACACATAATCATCAGATTCACCAAGGTTGAAATGAAGGAAAAAATGTTAAGGGCAGCCAGAGAGAAAGGTCAGGTTACAAAGGGAAGTCCATCAGAATAACGGCAGATCTCTCTGCAGAAACCCTACAAGCCAGAACAGAGTGGGGGCCAACATTCAACATTCTTAAAGAATTTTCAACCCAGAATTTCATATCCAGCTAAATTAAGCTTCATAAGTGAAGGAGAAATAAAATCCTTTACAGACAAGCAAATGCTGAGGAATTCTGTCACCACCAGGCCTGCCTTACAAGAGCTCCTGAAGGAAGCACTGAATATGGAAAGGAAAAACCGGTACCAGGCACTGCAAAAGCATACCAAAATGTAAAGACCACTGACACTTGAAGAACCTGTATCAACTAATGGGCAAAATAACCAGCTAGCATCATTATGACAGGATCAAAATAAATGCCCCAATTAAAAGACACAGACTGGCAAATTGGATAAAGAGTCAAGACCCATCAGTGTGCTCTATTCAGGAGACCCATCCCATGTGCAAAGACACACAACGGCTCAAAATAAAGACATGGAGGAAGATTTACCAAACAAAAAAGAAAGGAAAGAAAGAAAAGAAAGAAAGAAAGAAAGAAGAAAAAAAAGCAGGGGTTGCAATCCCAGTCTCCGATAAAACAGATTTTAAACCAACAAAGATGAAAAGAGACAAAGAAGGGCATTACATAATGGTAAAGGGATCAATGTAACAAGAAGAGCTAACTATCCTAAACATATATGCACCCAATGCAGTAGCACCCAGATTCATAAAGCAAGTTCTTAGAGACCTACAAAGAGACTTAGACTCCCACACAATAACAGTGGGAGACTTTAACACCCCACTGTCAACATTAGACAGATCAACGAGACAGAAAATTAACATGGATATTCAGGACTTGAACTCAGCTCTGGACCAAGCAGACCTAATAGACATCTACAGAACTTTCCACCCCAAATCAACAGGATATACATTCTTCTCAGCAACACATCGCAATTATTCTAAAATTGACCACATAATTGGAAGTAAAACACTCCTCAGCAAATGCAAAAGAACAGAAATCATAACAGTCTCTCAGACCACAGCGCAATCAAATTAGAACTCAGGATTAAGAAACTCACTCAAAATTGCACAACTACGTGGAAACTGAACAACCTGCTCATGAATGACTCCTGGATAAATATGAAATTAAGGCAGAAATAAGTAAGTTCTTTGAAATCAATAAGAGAACAAAGACACAATGTACCAGAATCTCTGGGACACAGCTAAAGCAGTGTTTAGAGGTAAATTTATAGCACTAAATGCCCATAGGAGAAAGCAGGAACGATCTAAAATCAACACCCTAACATCACAATTAAAATAATTAGAAAAGCAAGAGCAAACAAATTCAACAGCTAGCAGAAGACAAGAAATAACTGAGATCAGAGCAAAACTGAAGGAGATAGAGACACGAAAATCCCTTAAAAAAATCAATGAGTTCAGGAGCTGGTTTTTTTGAAAAGATTAACAAAATAAGCAGACTGCTAGCCAGACTACCAACCAAAAAAAAGTCCAGGACCAGACAGATTCACAGCCAGATACAGTGGCTCACGTCTGTAATCCCAGCACTTTGGGAGGCTGAAGCGGGCAGATCACCTGCGGTTGGGAGTTCAAGACCAGCCTGACCAACATGGAGAAACCCCACCTCTACTAAAAACACAACAATTCACAGCTGAATTCTACCAGAGGTACAAAGAGGAGCTGGTACCATTCCTTCTAAAACTATTCCAAACAACAGAAAAAGAGGGACTCCCCGCTAACTCATTTTATGAGGCCAGCATCATCCTGATACCAAAACCTGAGAGAGACACAACAACAACAAAAAAATTTCAGGCCAATATCCCTGATGAACATCAATGCGAAAATCCTCAATAAAATACTGGCAAACCAAATCCAGCAGTACATTAAAAAGCTTATCCAACGCAATCAAGTCAGCTTCATCCCTGGGATGTAAGGCTGGTTCAACATATGCAATTCAATAAACGTAATCCATCACATAAACAGAACCAATGACAAAAACTACATGATTATCTCAATGGATGCAGAAAAGACCTTGGATAAAATTCAACACCCCTTCATGCTAAAAACTCTCAATAAACTAGGTATTGATGGAACGTATCTCAAAATAATAAGAGCTATTTATTACAAACCCACAGCCAATATCATACTGAATGGACAAAAGCTGGAAGCATTCCCTTTGAAAACCAGCACTAGACAAGGATGTCCTCTCTCACCACTCCTATTCAACATAGTATTGGAAGTTCTGGTCAGGGCAATCAGGCAAGAGAAAGAAATAAAGGGTATTCAATTAGGAAGAGAGGGAGTCAAATTACCTCTGTTTGCAGGTGACATGATTGTATATTTAGAAAACCCCATTGTCTCAGCCCAAAAACTCCTTAAGCTGATAAGCAACTTCAGCAATGTCTCAGGATACCAAATCAATATGCAAAAATCACAAACTTTCCTATACACCAATAGACAAACAGAGAGCCAAATCATGAGTGAACTCTCACTCACAATTGCTACAAAGAGAATAAATAAAATACCTAGGAATACAAATTACAAGGGATGTGAAGGACCTCTTCAAGGAGAGCTACAAACCACTGCTCATGCAAATAAAGGAGGACACAAACAAATGGAAAAACATTCCATACTCATGGATGGGAAGAATCAATATGGTAAAAATGGCCATACTGCCCAAAGTAATTTATAGATTCAATGCTATTCCCATCAAGGTACCACTGACTTTCTTTACAGAATTAGAAAAAACTACTTTAAATTTCATATAGAACCAAAAAAAGAGCTTGTATAGCCAAGACAATCCTAAGCAAAAAGAACAAAGCTGGAGGCATCATGCTACCTGGCTTCAAACTATACCACAAGGCTATAGTAGCCAAAACAGCATGGTACTGGTAACAAAGCAGATATATAGACCAATAGAATAGAACAGAGGCCTCAGAAATAACACCACATATCTACAACCATCTGATCTTTGACAAACCTGACAAAAACAAGCAATGGGGAAAGGATTCCCTATTTAATAAATGGTGTTGGGAAAACTTGCTAGCCATATTCAGAAAACTGAAACTGGACCCCTTCCTTACACCTTATACAACAATTAACTCAAGATGGATTAAAGACTTAAATATAAGACCTAAAACCATAAAAACCCTAGAGGAAAACCTAGGCAATACCATTCAGGACACAGGCATGGGCAAAGACTTCATGACTAAAACACTGAAAGCAATTGCAACAAAAGCCAAAATTGACAAATGGGATCTAATTAAACTAAAGAGCTTCTGCACAGCAGAATAAACTATCAGCAGAGTGAACAGGCAACCTACTGAATGGGAGAGAATTTTTGCTATCTATCCATCTGACAAACAGCTAATATCCAGAATCTACAAGGAACTTACACAAATCTACAAGAAAAAACCAAACAACCCCATCAAAAAGCAGGCAAAGGATATGAAGAGACACTTCAAAAGAAGACCTTTATGCAGCCAACAAACAAAAAAGCACATCATCAATGGTCATTAGAGAAACGCAAATCAAAACCACAATGAGATACCATCTCACACCAGTTAGAATGGCAATCATTAAAAAGTCAGGAAACAACAGATGCTGGAGAGGATGTGGAGAAATAGGAATGCTTTTACACTGTTGGTGGGAGTGTAAATTAGTTCAACCATTGTGGAAGACAGTGTGGCGATTCCTCAAGGATCTAGAACCAGAAATACCATTTGACCCAGCAATCCCATTACCAGTTATATACCCAAAAGATTATAAATCATTCTACTATAAAGACACATGTACATGTATGTTTACTGCAGCACTATTCACAATATCAGACTTGGAACCAACCCAAATGCCCATCAATGATAGACTGGATAAAGAAAATGTGGCACATATACATCATGGAATACTACGCAGCCATAAAAAATGAATTCATGTCCTTTGCAGGGACATGGATGAAGCTGGAAACCATCATTCTCAGCAAACTAACACAGAAACAGAAAACCAAACACTGCATGTTCTCACTCATAAATGGGAGTTGAACAATGAGACCATATGGGCACAGGGAGGGGAATATCACACACTGGGGCCTGTTGAGGGGTGGTGGGCAAGGGAAGGGATAGCATTAGTAGAAATACCTAATGTAGATGATGGGTTGATAGGTGCAGCAGACCACCGTGGCACATGTATACCTATGTAACAAACCTGCACATTCTGCACATGTATCCCAGAACTTAAAGTATAATAAAAAAACAAATTTTTTTAAAGAAACAAAAAATAGAATAACGGCTTTGGTTCGGGTCCTAGCACTGCAACTCATTAGTTACAGGACAGGGAGCAATTTAACCCCTTTCATGCTTACTTTCCTTATTTGTAAAGTGGTACTAAACCAACCTCAATAGGTTATTGAAAGAATTAAAAGAGACACCCATGTAATGCACCTATCTAGGGATACAATAAGGGCTTAATTATCTATAATTATAAAGTAGAAGTTACATTTATTGGGTATATGTGTCATATAATATGCTAAGTGCTTCCTATGTTAACTCATTTACTGGTCATAATTCTGAGATCATAATTATTGTTCCCATTTTATAGATGAAACTAAAGCTCAGTAAGAGTAAGTAATTTGCCCTAAGTCATAGAGCTAGTAAATGTTAGCACTAAACACTGAAACCAGGTTACTCTGAAGTCTGTTTTTGATTATGTTATGATGCTTCCCTATAATAGATTTTTTAAAGTCTGTAATGTTGAAATACACTCAAATCAAACTGTAATGGTATATTTTCCATCCATATTATGTCTTATTTTCTTTATAAATATCCCATTTCTATTACATTGAGGAGACTATTTCAGAAATAATGTGTTTTTTTGGTTTTGTTTTCTTAAATTAGTATTTCCCCAAGACTGTTGAATAAATTTGAGTTAATAAAATCAATTGTTGGCCAGCCCTAGTGGCTCATGCCTTTAACCCCTTTGGGAGGCTTAAGTGGAAGGGTAGCTTGAGGCCAGGAGTTTGAGACTGGCCTGGGCAATATAGTGAGATCCTGTCTCTACGAAAAATTTTAAAAATTAACTGAGTGTGAAAGTGTACACCTATAGTCCCCCCACTACTTGGGAGGCTGAGGCGGGAGGACTGTTTGAGCCCAGTAGTTGGAGGTTGTAGTGAGCCATGATGGTACCACCACTGCACTCCAGCCTGGGTGACAGAGAGAGACCCTGTCTCTAAAAAAAAAAAAAAAAAAAAAAAAAAACAAAACAAAACAAAAAAACAAACCCCAAATCAATAAATTGCCAAAATGGTCAAAATGCACTGATTTGCTGTATAGCTGTCATGCAATGTAACATAAACATCTGTCTACTTGATTTATGAACCCATGTTCTTATACAACAATTTGTCAGTTACAAAAATGACTGTGCTTTAAGAAGTCCACTGAGATTGGGAAAGGGTGGAGTATACTTAGAGAGGTTCTGAACACCCTAGAGGTTCATGCCTGTAAAAGTTGCTTACCTCAGCTCGACTAGCAATAGTTCATACTATCATATCACACATAATAAAATCGAGTACTTGGAAATTTTAAGACTCTAAAATAGAAACACATTTCCTACGAAAACAACTCTGTTCTCTCAGGCCTTCTTGACTCCTTAAACTTCCTCAATCTCCTCCCATTTATACAAATTCTTTTGGAGGAAGCTCAACAAATGAAACAATTGAACAATCAACATAAAACACGTTTCCTGCCATTCCTGTTGCAAAAGATGCCAGAGAGCCTCTGATGAAATAGTCAACCAAAACTGGAACAAAATCTTAAATTCTGCTATACAATGAAAGATACTTTCTATTCCTTCAGATTATTAGTATATTTAAGGATATGAGCTTTAAAAATAGTATGAATAGCTAACAGTTGTTAGCATCACTTATATACTGTATCATTAAAACTGTTAAATATATTTGTAGATTATAGATCAATAAAATGAAAATGTCCAGAAAGTACGTTGCTTAAGGATTAATATCAATTTTAAAATAATATTACTGTGGATAGAACTGATTTTTTTAAAACCTTGATAAAATGATGCCTAAGTTTATTTGAAAGAAACATGCATGAGAAATACAAAAAAAATTTTAAAGAAGAGTTACAAGCGAGAATATTAAACTATATTCCTACCGTTCAATAACTAAAACTGTATGGTACTGATACAGGAAAAGACTGAATTGATTAGAAGAGAGAGTCCAGAAATAAATCAAAGAACAATTGAGAATTTTTTAATTTGGAAGTACTTCATTTCAACTCAGTGAAGAAAGGATTCATGATTCAATAAATGGAGTTGGGACAAGTGAATCACCACTTAGGGAAAATAATACTATGCAGGGAAAACATAACACCATTTAAGAAAAACATACTTCACACTTTACATCAAAACAAATTCCAAATTGACTAAAGATATGAGTATGCCAAGAGCTATAAAAATACTAAAAGAAGACATAGGCATGGTTATGAGGAATAATTTTCCAAGTACAATACCCAGACCAAAAAAAAAAAACAACAACAAAAATTATAAGAATATTGTTCCTGGAACTAGTAAGTGATAATAATCAGTTACAAGATATAAGGTTAATATACAAAAGTCAATCACTTTCCTGTATGCCATCAATGAACAAGTAAAATTTAAAATTTAAAACACATTACAGGCCCAACATGTTGGCTCACATCTGTAATCCCAGCACTTTTGGAGGCCGAGGCAGGTGGATCACTTGAGCTCAGGAGTTCAAGACCAGCCTGGCCAACATGGTGAAACCCTGTCTCAACTAAAAATACAAAAACTAGCCAGGCATGGCAGTGAGCATCTCTAATCCCAGCTACCAGGAAGTGGAGGCAGGAGAATTGCTTGAACCCAGGAAGAGGAAGATGCAGTGAGCTGAGGTCATCCCACTACGCAGCAGCCTGGGTGACAGAGGGAGACTCTGTCTCAAAAACAAAACAAAACATAAAACACATTACAATTTATATTAAAACCTCCAAAAATGAAATACTTAGGAACAAGTGTAACAAAATATGTACAAGATCAACATGAGGAAAACTACAAAGTCTGAAGAAAGAAAGCAAAGAAGAACTAAATACGGTCTCTGGCCTATGATGGTTCAACTTAAGATTTTTCAACTTTATGAGGGGTTTATCTGGACATAATCCCACCATTAAGTCAGGGAATATCTGGACTTATGATGGTTTGACTTACAATTTTTCAACTGTATAATGGGTTTATCCAAATGTAACTCCATTGTAAACCAAGGAGCATCTTTAAATGGAGAGATATTCCATGTTCATGAACAGGAAGACTCTATTATCAAATGCCAGTTCTTCCCAACTTCATCTATACACTCAATGCAATCCTAGTCAAAATCCCAGCAAGCTATTTTGTGGATGTCAACAAACTGAGTCTAAAATTTATATGGAGAGGCAAAAGATCCAATTAGCCAACAAAATATTGTAGAAGAAGAACAAAACTGAAGGACTGAAACTACTTGACTTCAAGACTTACTATAAAGTTACAGTAATTAAGAGAGTGTGGTATTGGCAAAAGAATAGACAAATAGATCAATGAAACAGAATACAGAGCCCAGAAATAGACTCACATAAATACAGACAATTGGTCTTTGACAAAGGAGCAATGACTCAATAAAATGGAGAAGAGTTTCTTTCTTTTTTTTCTTTTCTTGAGACAGAGTCTCATTCTGTTGCCCAGGCTGGAGTGCAGTGGTGCAATCACAGCTCACTGCCACCTCCACCTCCCAGGCCCAAACAATCTTCCCACCTCAGCCTCCCAAATAGCTAGGACCATGGGCCTGTGCCACCACCCCGAGTTAATTTTTTCTATTTTTTGTAGAAGCAGGGTCTCGCTATGTTGCCTAGGCTGGTCCTGAACCCCTGGGCTCAAGCGATCTTCCCACCTTGGTCTCCCAAAGTGCTGGGATTACAGGCGTGAGCCGCCACACCTAGCAAGAAAAGAGTTTTTTAACAAATTGTGCTGGAACAATTGGATATCCTCATGTTAAAAAAAAAAAAAAGAAAAAAAGATGAAGTTATTTCCTCCACAAAAATGAACTCAAATGAATCACAGACCTAACTGTAAAATGCAAAACTATAAAATTCCTAGAAGATAACATAAGAGAAAATCTAGATGGACTTGGATTTGATGATGACTATTTAGATACAATACCAAAGGCACAATCCATGAAAGAAAGAATTGATAAACTAGACTTCATTAAAATTAAAAATTTCTGCTCTGTGAAAGATACTGTCAATAGAATAAAAAGAAAAGCCACAGGTTGGGAAACAATATTTGCAAAAGACATATCTGATACAGGTCTGTTGCCCAAAATACACGAAGAACTCTTAAAAACCAAAAATAAGAAAGCAAACAGCTTGATTATAAATGGTCAAGGACCTTAACAGACACCTCAACAAAGAACATATACAGATGGCAAATAAGCACATGAAAAGATGCTCCACATCATATGTCATCAGGGAAATGCAAATTAAAACAACAATGAGATACCACTATACACATATTAGAATAGCCAAAATTCACAATACTGACAACACCAAATGAGGGCAATGATATTTAGCAACAGGAATCCTCATTCATTGTTGGTGGGAAGACAAAATGGTATGGTCGCTTTGGAAGACAGTTTGGCAGTTTCTTATAAAGCTAAACATATTTTTATTTTACCATATTATCCAGCAATTGCGCTCCTTAGTATTTACCTAAAGGAGTTGAAAACTTATGTCTACACATAAGCCTGGCCATGGATATTTACAGCAGCTTTATTCATAATTCCCAAAACTTAGAAGCAACCAAAGTAAACTTTAGTAGGTAAATGGACAAATAGCTTGATAGCTCAATTATTTTATGTGCTGAATATTATTCAATTGTCTGTGGTATGGCTCACGCCTGTAATCCCAGAACTTTGGAAGGCTGAGGCAGGCGGATGACATGAGGCCAGGAGTTTCAGACCAGATTGGCCAACATGGTGAAACCCCGTCTCTACTAAAAAATGCAAAAATTAGCTGGGCATGGTGGTGGGCACTGGTTATCCCAGCTACTCGGGAGGCCGAGGGAGAATAGCTTGAACCCGGGAGGTGGAGGTTGCAGTGAGCCAAAATTGCACCACTGCACTCCAGCCTGGGCAACGAAGTGAGAGAGACTCCATCTCAAAAAAAAAAAAAATTGTCTGTGGTACACCCAGACAATTGAATAATATTCAGTACATAAAATAAATGAACTATTAAGCCATGAAAAGACATGAAGGAAATGTAAATGCATACATTTACATTACACTGCATAAGTAAAAACAATCAGTCTGAAAAGGCTACATCCTGTATGATTCTAATATATGACATTCTGGAAAAGGGAAAACTATGGAGATAGTAAAAAGGTCAGTGATTGCCAGGGGTTAGTGGGGGAGGGAGGGATGAATAGATGGAGCACAGAGTATTTTTTTAGGGCAGGGAAACTACTCTGTCTGATACTATAATGGTGGATGCACCTCACTGTACATTTGTCTAAACCCACAGAATGTACACCACCAATATTGAACCCTAATATAAACTATCAACTTTGGATGATAATGTTGTGTCAACGTAGATTCATAAACTGTAACAAATGTACCCCTCTGGTGGGGGATGTGATAGCAGGGGAGGCTATGCCTGTGGGGAGACAGGAGTATATGGAAAATCTTTGTACCTTTTATTCAATTTTGCTGTGAACCTAAAACTGCTTTGAAAAATAAGGTCTTTTTATACAGGCTTGTGTTTGTTCACTGCAGCACTATTCACAACAGCAAAGACATGGAATCAATCTATATGCTCACCAATGATAGACTGGATAAAGAAAATTGTGTACATATACACCATGGAATACTGTGTGGCAATAAAAAAGAATGAGATCATGTCTTTTGCAGGGACATGGATGGAGATGGAGGCCATTATCCCTAGTAACTAACAAAGGAACAGAAACCACATACCGCATGTTCTCACTTATAAGTGGGAGCTAAATCATGAAACCACATGGACACATACAAGGGAACAACATACACTGGGGCCTACTGGAGGGTGGAGGATGGGAGGAGGGAGAGGATCAGGAAGAATAACTAATGAGTGGTACTACGCTTAATGCCTGGGTGACAAAATAATCTGTACAACAAACCCCCACGACACCAGTTTATTTATATAACAAACCTACACATGTACCCCTGAACTTAAAAGTTAAAAAAAATAAATTTTGAAGGGAAAGGAAGATATATATATATATAATCTTTTTTTAAAAAAGTCACTGGATTTGATTACATAAACATTAAAAATTATATGGGAAAAACTACAAAATTAAAAGACAATATATTGGAAAAGTATTCATAACAAATGGCAAGAAAAAATCTCTAATATATTAAGACCTTATAAATCAAGATAAATAGATATAAACTCCCCCAGACATGTGGGCAAAAAACATTGCTTTAGGCTGCTGCTTGAACCCCAAAATCTATTCTTCCTTCCTTCCATGGTAATGGATTTTCAGCTGGGCACATGGCACCCAGCTAAAGTTATAGCTTCTCCTGCAGTTAGGTGTGGCCATGTAACTTAAATTCTTGCCAAAGAATGTCAGCTGAAGTAATGTGTGCAACTTCTTTTTCACTTGTTTAATAGCAAATTACTGTACTTGCCTTCAATATTTTCCCTTTCTTCCTTAACCAGGAGATGGAATATGGATGGAAAATAATTCACTTTTGTTAATTCAGGTAAGGATAACACCAGGGGATGATGGAACAATATGATTTAAAGAACCTGGGTCTCTAAATGATAATCAGCCACTCACCAGCTAGAACTACTCACTTATTATGTGAGAAAGAAAGCAGCTCTTATTTAAAATATTACATTTTTGGTCTCTTGTGCTAGCAACTTAGTGTATATACTCGCAAACAGAATAAAAGAGGAAATTCTCATAATAAGGAAATATTAATGGTTTACAACTATGTGAGAAAATCAATACTTTCATGTTGAAAATGTAAAATGATACCATCTTTGGTCAAAATAACAGCACTAGAGTACAAAGATAAGAATGATAATCACAGGGTTGCGTATGAAATAAAAAACTGAAACCAAGGTGGGATATGGTAAATAAATTATGGTACCTCCACACAGTGGAATGCTGTGAAGCATTAAAAATGATGATATGACAAATAAATCATCTTTCATCATAATAGAAGACCACTTAAAAATTATCTTGTGCTCTGAGAAGGCATATGTATCAAAAAATCACACATTGTATAGTTTGATAAAGAAAACATAAAATTTATGATCTTTGAACTCTGTCACAAGAGAAGGATTTTGTAGCATATTAGATTAATCTAATTTTATTGTTACCTTATAGACTATAGAGCTCTGTTAACATTGGATCAGATTTTGATAAAGAGCAAATTCCTCTTGCCATGACTTGTTTTACTATCAGAAATTTGACTGCTTTGAGTTGTCAGTCTACCACACAGTGCCCTGCAACTTGGATATTTCCAAACTTTTCTCCTGAAATAACTTTTAATAGAAGAGGAAACTTGGAGTATTTACTTCCCAAAGATCCTGGAGAAGGCAAAAACCTTCCAAGGTTTTAGAAGTCTTGTGTTTTGTCTTAAAAGTTCATGTACATTTGGCATTCTAATCTATAGTGTGACTTTTTATTTTACTATAACATGATTATGTTTTAAGTTACTCTCCAATTTAATTAGTTAACATATTCCTCAAATTTTTTTTGCAAAATCAGCATTGCAGAAAACATTCCACATTTATCCCGTGGCCTTTTCTAGCTGCGATGTATACAATAAAAAGAACATAGGCTTTGGATTAAATCCTAGTTCTGCTAACTACCTGTCCTATCAAGCTGGGCAAGTTACTCAACTTAATTAAGACTTCATTTACTCTTCTGTATAATAGAGGTGACAATGTCTATGTGTGGAGTCTTTATGTAAATGAGCAGAGCAACACTTAGCAAAGTAAAGTATGTTCATTTGCTGAATATGTATGCTTTACAATATAATGAACATTTACATTTCATCTTGTTTTCAGTTATGACTTGACAATACATTTTAACTGTCAATTACTATTCTACCAGCTTCCACTTTATTTAACAATTTAATTAATACCTGTAATTGTGCTTTTCTTAGCTGTTGGCTGGTGATTTGAGCTTTTTGTTGCATCATATTTTCAATTCGTTGGTTGACTTGCTTTTCTTTCTTGAGCTCATTTCCATAAAATCTGGACCCCTATGGAGGAAAACAAAACAAAGCATAAGAAAAATGTCTGAAGGAAAGCATCACTGTAGTATAACCTGGTGGCTAAGAGCACATACTCAGGAAACAGAAGATTAAATTTAAAACTTAGCTCTACTACTTACTAGCTAGGTGACCCTAAAATTATTTAATCTTTCTACATCTCAGTTTCTTTATTTGTAAGATGAATTTATTAGTAGTTAACTAAATCACAGGATTGTTGTGAGCAGTACTTAGCACAGCACAAGCTCTCTGAGATGAATACAGGTTTGCATTCAGAAAAGAACAGTATGTCCTAGGTAGGATCCACAGTGGGTATCAAAGGCCTTAGTGGGTTGGATCATCAGTTATCTATTGCATTAAAAAAATACTCCTTACAAGGTATTTTCAAATATTTAATGTTAAGTCATTAAAGAAAATGTAGAAAATAATTCAAAAAACTGCCCATCATTTCATCACTGAACATAGTGTCTATCCATTTATCTGGTTGATAGACATTTAGCTTATTTTCACTTTTTGGCTACAGTGAAGAATGCTATCATAAACATTTGTGGACAAGTTTTCATGTGGACATATGTTGTCATTTCTCTCAGGTAGGTAACTAGGAGTAGGGTTTCTTTGACATATGGTACCTCTATACTCAACCTTTTGAGGAAATGCCAGTCTGTTTTCCAAAGTGGTTGAACCATTTTAAATCCCATCAGCAACGTAGGAGGGTTCCAATTTCTCCACGTTCTTGCCAACATTTGTTACTGTGTCTTATTTATTATAGCTATTCTAAGCAATAGTAGCATGAATGGCATCTCTTTGTGGTTTTTAAATTTTTATTTCCCTGATGACTAATAATATTGAGCATCTTTTCATGTGCCTAGAGTCATTTGTATATCTTCTTTACTGAAATGTCTATTCACATCTTTTGACCATTTTTTGATTCGGTTGCTTGTCTTATTGAGTTGTAGACATTTTCTGTATATTCTGGATATAAGTCTTTTATCACATATGTGTTTTACAAATATTTTACCCAAGGCACATTGCTATCTTTTTCTTTTTTTTTTAAGAGGTTGGGGGGTGGGGTCTCATTATGTTGCCCAGGCTGGTCTCAAACTCCTGATCCTCCTACCTCAGCCTTCCAAAGTGTTAGGATCACAGGTGTGAGCCAGCTCACCTGACCTATCTTTTTATTTTTATTGCTGTCTTCTGAAGTGTAAACATTTTAAATTTTGATGAGGACCAATTAATCAACTTTCTTTTATTGATTGTTCTTCTAGTATCACATCTAAGAAATTTCTGCCTAACAGAAGGTCTCAGAGGCTTTCTCAAATTTTCTTCTAAAAGTTGTATTGTTTTGGCTCTTTAAGTCTATTTTGAGTTAATTTTGTGTACGGCGTAAGGGTTTTGTTTTGTTTTTAAGAGACAGGGTCTCACTATGTTGCCCAGGCTGGTCTCAAACTCCTGGGCTCAAGTGATCCTCCTATCTCAGCCTACCAAAGTGCTGGGATTACAGGTGTGAGCCACTGTACCTGGCCCTTTTATTTATTTTTATTGCCTGACTGCACTGGTTAGAACTGTTAGGACTATGTTGAGTAGAAAAGGTGAGAGTGGACATTCTTGCCTTGTTCCTCATTTTAGGTAGAAAGTGTTCAGCCTTCCACCATAAAGTATGATGTACACTGTAGGCTTTTTTATAGATGCCCTTTACTAGATTGAGGAAGTACCCTTCTATTTCAAGTCTGTTAAGAGCTTTTAGCATGAATAGTGGTGGGATTTTATCAAATATGCTTTTTCTGAGTCTACTAAGATGATCGTGTGGTTTTTTTGCCCTTTATTTTAATATGATGTATTACATTAATTGATTTTCAGATCTCTCTCTTTTTTTTATCTTTTTCTGAGAAGGAGTCTTGCTCTGTTGCCCAGACTGGAGTGCAGTGGTGCAATCTTGGCTCACTGCAACCTCCACCTCCAGGATTCAAGCAATTCTCCTGTCTCAGCCTCCTGAGTAGCTGGGACTACAGGCATATGCCACCACGCCTGGCTTATTTTTGTATTTTTAGTAGAGACGGGGTTTCACCATATTGGTCAGGCTGGTCTTGAACTCCTGACCTCCGGTGATCCACCCACCTCAGCCTCCCAAAGTGCTGGGGTCATAGGCATGAGCTTGGCCGATTTTTAGATCTTAAACCAACCTTGCTTTCCTAAGATAAATCCCATTTGGTTATGGTGCATAATCTCTTTGCTATATTGTTTAAATCAGTCCTCTAATATTTTGTTGAGGACTTTTGCATTCATAATGATGTATAACCTTGTGTTTGGCTTTGGTATCAGGGTGATACTGGCCTCATAGGAGTTGGGAAGTGTTCCATCCTTCTCTATTTTCTAGAAGAGCTTGTGGAATATTGGTATCATTTCTTCTTTAAATATTTGATAAAACTCACCAGAGAAGCCAAATGGCCTGGTCTTTTTTCTTTGATGGGGAGATTTTTAATTACTAATTTATTTCCTTATTATATAGGTCTATTTAGATTCTCTGTATCTTCTTGAGTCCATTTTGAAAAATTGTAAACTTCTAGAAATGTGTCCAATTTATTGGAATTTGTTTTAAAATACTCCTCCCTCCAAAAATCAGTAGGGGAAGGGTAAGATAGATAACTATATTTGCAAAAATGTTGGTAATTGTTGATGCTGGGTGATGATTATATGGGGATTTACTTTACTATTCTCTGTAATTTTCTATATATTTTAAATTTTCTGATAAGAGTTTTAAAAAAGTAAAAAGTAAATTGTATTGCTATGGAATAGTAACAATTAGAAAATTCCAATTTAAACAAGGTACCATTTATGATAAACTCACCTCATGCACTAGAGGAATATATATTATTCTATGTATTTTTATATACCAATCATGTGATATGTGCCAATTATATATGCACCTATATATTTTTGATATATATCACATAAAATTTATATGAAAGCAAAGCTTCAAGAATACTCAAGATATTCTTGAAAAAGAACAAAGTGTAAAAAAAAAGAAATTGTGCTAGCAGATATCAAGGCTTATTATAAAGTATGATAATAAAAAAACATGTTGTTTACATACAAACAGGCAAATGATCCAGTGGAACAGAAGAGAAAGCACACCAGATCAGTAGGAAAAGAATGGACTATTTAATAAATTGTACTGGGTCACAGAGAATAGAGAGGGAGGATCAGATAGATAGGGACATCTAGGGTAACCTACATATTCTATTTCTTAACCTAAGAACTAGATTCATAGGTTTTATTTGTTTTATTCTTTTTGAACATTTTTATGATGAAAATATCAAAAAAGTCTCAGGAAAACGCAGGAAAAACATGAATACAATAAACACATATAAAACTATCACTCAGATTTAACAGCTGTTAACATTTTACTGTATATGCTTCATTACAAGTGAAACATTTTAAATTATAAATATCAAGATATTTAGCCATTCCACAGAAGATTTCGGTATGCATTTAAAAATAAGGCCATTTTCCCACTTCATCACAGTAACATTTTCATAGCTAATGAAATTAACAATAATTCCTTAACTTTTTATCGTGGAATTTTCAAATCTGCAAAAGCTGAAAAAATAGTACAACGAACACCTATATACCCTTACCTAGATTCATCAATTAATATCCTGCTACATTTGATTTCTTCCCCAACTTCTATGTATATATGTTGGGGAAGTATGAGTGTATACACACACACATACATACACACACACACACTTTCCCCTCCTTTTGGCTAAACCATTTTAAAGTAAGTTGCTGTGGACATCACCACGCATTTCCTAAGAACAAGGATATTCTCTTAAAGTTTACATCTTTCTACATGTATATTAATACATGTATTGTGTTTATTAATATACATAACATATAATACAACATACTAATATACATTATATATCATGTATATATAATGTATATTAATATTGATATACATTAATACACATAACACATTAATACATATATATTCTATAATATATAAATGAAACAAAAAAGTGGTAAAAAAATTAAAGAATTCTTTTATAACCTTGAAGAAAGCCATATGTAGTTGACATTCAACTACATAAAATGGAGCAAACAAAAAATTTCTGAACAGGAGAAACTACCATAAGCAAAGTCAAAAGATAACTAATTATTGAATGTGCATATGTATACAGAATATATAATCAAAGTTCATAAAAAATGAAATACAAATAATTTTTAAAATATCAAAAGAGCTCCAGGCACAGTAGCTCATGCCTATAATCCCAGCACTTTGGGAGGCTAAGGTAGAGGGATTGCTTGAGGCCAGCAGATCAAGACTAGCCTGGGCAACACAGTGAGACCGCCTCTCTACAAAAAATAAAAAGTTAGCCAGGCTTGGTGGCATGTGCCTATTGTCCTAGCTCTTCAAAGTCTGAGGTGGGAGGAACACTTGAGACCAGGGTGAGGCTGTAACGAGCTATTATTGTGCTACTGGACTCCGGCCTGGGTGACAGAGTGAGACCTTGTCTCAAAAAAAAGAAAAGATATGAAACTAATTTTTCATAAGTGGAATACAAATTAATGCTATACTATATTACCTCAGATTGCCAAATACAAAAGTTTAGTAATACACTGTGTTGGCACAGTTTCAGTATGGTAATACATACTCTCAGATATTTGTAGTGGAAGTGTGAATTGATAGAAACACCATGGAGGGTAATTTGGCAATTCATAAAAATCACACATGCATATATTCTTTTGTGCTATGTGTAGTTGGTGAAACAATTCCATTGTAGGAATCTCTTCCACAGTTATACTTGCACATATAGAAAGTTATAAAATACGTTATTCCCTACTTCACTAGTAATGTTTGTAAAAATAAAAGACTACAAATGACATATATTTATCCATAAACTTTTTGGATGGTTCAATAAATTACATTATATCCACACACACAGGCATACAAAGAATGAAGATCTTTATTTACCTATACAGAAAGAGCTCCAAGTTATATTAACTGAAAAAAAAAAATCCAAATACCTAAACAATTTCTCCCACTGGGGTTAAAAAAAAAGGTGAACAGGAACATATACATTATTTTGGTTTTAAATGCCTATTATATGCATGTGAAATAGAAACCTGGATGGTAGGAGCAACAGAATAGAAGGGAGATTATTCCATACCCTTTTGTAGTTTAAAAATAATATATATTAAAATATTGAAATATTAAATACAAATGATATTCAAATGATTTTCTTTGAAACAGAAAGTTAAAAGGTCATTAAATTACACACATCAAAAGAAACAAGAAACATACCTTCGTGGCTTCCATTATAATTTTGTTAATTTTCTCTTTATCTAATCCTTCCATTCCTGCTTTATTATCATTAAGTCCCATCCTAAGCAGAAGATCATCTTTGTAACTGTCACACTTCTCCTTTGTGCTATCCATGGTATAAACTTATCTGAAAAAGCATAAAGATAAACACTGCTTTTAAAACCATCTGTGGCCAGGCGTGGTGGCTCATGCCCGTAATCCTAGCACTTTGGGAGGCCGAGGCGGGCAGATTGACTGAGCTCAGGGGTTCGACACCAGCCTGGGCAACATGGTGAAACCCTGTCTCTACTAAAATACAAAAAAATTAGCCAGGCATGACGGCATGCGCCTGTAGTCCCAGCTACTAGGGAGGCTGAGGCAGGAGAATTGCTTGAACCCGGGAGGCAGAGGTTGCAGTGAGCCGAGATTGCGCTACCGCACTCCAGCCTGGGGGACAGAGCGAGACTTTGTCTCCAAAACACAAACAAACAAAAACCAGAAAAAACTCCAAAAAACATGTTGTGGGGGTGGGGGGTGGGGTGGGGCAGGAGGACCATGTACATCCGTTATGCATCAATAAAAAAGTTTTAAAACGTTAAATGATATAGAAATCAGCAAAACAAAATTTTTAAATGACAGTTAAGAATTTTTAGCTACTAAAAATTATTACTCAGATTTTAAAAATTACAGGTGACTCTTAGACAACACGGGTTTGAACTGAGAGGATCCACTTATATTTGAATTTCTTCCGTTTCTGCCACCCTCAAGACAGAAAGACCAACCCCACTGCTTTCTCCTCCTTAGTTTATTCAACATGAAGACAAGATGAAGATCTTTATGATCTACTTCCACTTAATGAATAATAAATATATTTTGTCTCCTTTATGATTTTCTTAATAACATTTTCCTTTCTCTGGCTTTCTTTATTGTAAAAATACAGTACAGAACAAATATAACATACAAAATACATATTAATCAACTGTATACCTTATTAGTAAGGCTTCCAGTTTACAATAGGCTATTAGTAGTTACGTTCTTCAGGAGTCAAAAATTATATGTGAATTTTTGATTGTGTGTGGGCAGGGTCCCTAGCCCCTGTGGTGTTCAAAGGTCATCTGTACTATCACAAGATTATGATATTCTTGGAGAGAAGAAAGGAATTAGCATTTTCTGCATGCTCCATTCTAGCTACTATGCTTACGGCACTACATGTGAGGGCCATAACAGCCCTGAAAGATAGATATTATTCGCCATACAAAAAGATAACAAACCTGACTCTTAGAACATGTCTACTGACACAAATTTGCTAACAAGTGGCAACACATGTGTTGGAACCCAGGCATGAGTAGAAAACTTACGTTTCTACCCAGATTAAAACATGGTATAGAAATACAAAATAATACTTCCTCTACTATACACGTTAAGTTCAAATGCATTTATTATCTACTGTATGCAGATCTCCTTCTTAAGGCAATGAAAAAATACAGAAAAAAAAACCTAGAAAGTTACGTCATCTCTAAGGTTAAGAAAAATCCTTTCAGATAATAATTATTTAATATCTTTATATACTTTATAGTTTATCTTCACATACATTAGCTTTTAAAGATATTTACAACCATGCAAAACAGATCTGGTTATTTTCATATTAGGGAGAAAAAAATGAGAACTTCAGCAAGATTGAATGAATTGCCCATCATAACTGTTAGTAAGTGGAAGAATTGGGATTTGAATGCAAGCCTTTTTACTTCAACTCTGATGCACTCCATGACATTACGGTTGCCTCCAATTTGGGGATCATGTATGCTATAAATAAGTGGCCAGATGAACAGCTGTCATGAATCTAAAATAAATTACGATTGTGACTTATTTGTATGATTTAGAGAGGGCACTCATTTACTCCACTCTGCCTTGAGGATCTTCCCTTAACAATGTTGCTTCTGTTTTTGGCACCAGCAAAGAATAAAAAGAATTTTGGAAGGGACTCTGAATACTGTGACTATTAGTGGTAGTTTCACTAGGAAAAAAAGTATACATCATGGTAGTTCTCAAACTTTGCTGCACATTAGGCCCACCTGGAGAGCTGTGACGCCAAAGCTCCTCCCATACCAAATAAATCAGAAGGTCTGGGAGTAGAAGCCAGATAGGAGTATTTTAAAGAGATGCCCAGGTAATTCCAATGTGTCCCAAAGTACAAGAACCACTGGTATAGATGTTATTTCGTAGTGCCCAGGGGAATATAGGTTGGTTTTTTGTTATCATTTGAATTTTTTTCCCTTCGACTATCACACTGAGCTAAAATTACTCTATATTTTGCCTTACGCTTCATTAATCCAATTACCTGTCATTGTCTAGTAAAGCAGGTGAATGTAATTCAGTCATAATTTCACCATACCTTCACTACTAAAGAGTGAAGTGGCTAAATGCAAACATCCTACATTTAAGCTGTCTTGCCCATATATTTCTGGGTTTGTCATTGTTGTTATTCATATTCATTCATTCATTCATTCATTCATTCAGAGACAAAGTCTCACTCTGTCACCCAGGCTGGAGTGCAGTGGTGTGATCTCGGCTTACTGCTACCTCCGCCTCCTGGGTTCAAGCGATTCTCCTGCCTCAGCCTCCCAAGTAGCTTGAACTACAGGTGCACACCACCATGCCTGGTTAATTTTTGTATTTTTAGTAAAGATGGGGTTTCGTCATGTTAGCCAGGCTGGTCTCAAACTACTCAAGTGATCCATCTGTCCCAGCCTCCCAAAGAGCTGAGATTACAGGCCTGAGCCACCACACCTGGCTCTTGTTGTTTTTTAGAGACAGGGGTGGGTTGCCCAGGCTGGACTTGAATTCCTGGGCTCGAGTGATCCTCCCACCTCAGCCTCCGAAATAGCTGAGACTGAAGGCACATGCCACAACTCCTGGCTGCCTTGCCCTTTAAAAGATGAAATGTATAAAAGGAAAAGACATATTATTGAATGCCTACTCTTCACATATATTAATTGCTTAGCCAAAAAACTCTTGAGAAGAGGCCGGGTGCAGCATCTCATGGCTGTAATCTTAGCACTTTGTGAGGCCAAGGCAGGAGGATTGGTTAAGCCCAGGAGTTCAACACCAGCCCTGGTAACACAGTGAGACTCATGTCTACAAAAATAAAAGTAAAAAATTAGCCAGGTGTAGTGATGCGCACCTGTAGTCCAAGCTACTTGGAAGTCTGAGTTGGGAGTTTCACTTGAGCCTGGGAGGTCAAGGCTACAGTAGGCCATGGTCATGCCACTGCACTCCAGCCTGGGCAAGAGAGCAAGAACCTGTCTCAAAAAAACCAAACCAAACAAACAAACAAAAAACTCTAAGAGTTGGTTTTGGTGCTTGAATCAAAAGAATTGGGCTATGGGCAATCCTGGGACAAGGCAAAATTGTGAGATAGGTAAAGTTAGTTTTTTGCTACCTTCCTGCTTATTGATACCTAATTACCATGAAACTTTTGTCCAGTTTCATAGGCATATGTTGACTATCATCTACATGCCAATGACTTACAGGTTTATAGCACCAGTCAAAATACCTGTTTGCCATTTCAAGTTTAACATGTCCAAAAGTAATCTTTTCATCTGCCTCCATCCCCTCCAACCAGCTCCATTTACGGCCTTCCTGGTATCCATTGAGGGCAACTCTAATCTATTCCAGTTGCTCATGCAAATAACCCAGGAGTCATCGTTGACCCCTCTCTTTCTCATACACCCACATCCAAACTATCAGGAAATCCTGTGAGCTCTGCTTTCAAAATCACCCCGAATTTATTCAGGTTACTAGTTAAAAATATAAGGCACAGCTGGGAGCAGTGACTCATGCCTACAATCCCAGCACTTTGGGAGGCCGAGGTGGGTGGATCACCTGAAATCAGGAGTTTGAGACCAACCTGGCCAAAATGGTGAAACCCTCTCTACTTAAAATACAAAATTAGCTGGGTGTGGTGGCACATGCCTATAGTCCCAGCTACTCAGGAGGCTGAGACAGGAGAAACGCTTGAACCTGGGAGGCAGAGGCTTCAGTGGGCCAAGACTACACCACTGCACTCCAGCCTGGGCCAGACAGAATGGGACTCCGTCTCAAAAATAAATAAATAAATAAATAAATAAATAAATAAATAAATAAATAAGGCTGGGCGCGGTGGCTCACACCTGTAATCCCAGCACTTTGGGAGGCCGAGGTGGGTGGATCACGAGGTCAGGGGTTCGAGACCAGCCTGGCCAATATGGTGAAACCCCATCTCTACTAAAAATATAAAAATTAGCTGGGCGCGGTGGCAGATGCCTGTAATCCCAGCTACTCAGGAGGCTGAGGCAGGAGAATTGCTTGAAACTGGGAGGTGGCGGTTGCAGTGAGCCAGGTTGCAGTGAGCCGAGATCACGCCACTGCACTGCAGCCTGGGCGACAGAGTAAGACTCCGCCTCAAAAAAAAAATACATATATATACATATATGTATATATATGTATATATGTGTATATATATATGTGTATATATGTATATGTGTATATATGTGTATATATATGTGTATATGTGTATATACACACACACACATATATATACCCACACATATAAGGCAAACTTTTGTTTTTGGTGGTAATAAAGATGGAAACTTAGAATTTTTAAGAAAGAATTCTAAGGAAAAAGTTTTAGTGTGGTAGGCCTCCTCCCACCTATAAGAGGTAAACAAAGCTATATAAAAAACCACACTGTGATCAAAGTCACCTGGAATTAATCTACCAGAAAATATGCAAAATATACCAAAAGTAATAAGAGAGAAGGGGAGGAGACAGGGGATGGGGGAAAGGGAGAGTGAGGGAGAGAGAGGTGGCGGGAAGAGAGAGAGAAGTATGAATACGAAAGGCTAAACTACAGTAAGTTCCTAGGTGGAGCTTGTTTCCTATTTCTAATATACTATAAATAACCAAATGCAATAATTTCCTCAGAAAACCTTTATATACTTTAAGGACAAATACTATTTTGAATCTCCCAAATATTCAAATATTTAATACTTTGAACAGATTTAGCACCCAGCACAAAATTTCAGAATGTGATTAAATGCTCGTTATTCTCTATAAATTTAAATACAATGAATTGAATTAGGGATATTACTCTACATTTAAAGTAGTAATTTTCAAACCAATACATCTTATATGATCTACTTTAAAATTTCCTTTTTCATTTTCATTTATTGCAAAAATACTTTTTGAAATTTCAAGAAAATAAAAAATCACAATTCAAGACTTTAACAGATTATTTTTCCATGTTCTTCAATTATTTTACATACAGATACATGAAAACATACACTGAAACCATATGGCCACAATTTTTGTATGACAAAAATGAAAGTATAGGTGCAACTTTGAATTTTTAGCTTTAGCTTTTAATATTTTTGCAAAACAAGAGGAAAAAACTTTAAAAATTATTTTAGACTGGATTTGAATGATTTTCTCATTTACATGTGTCACTGAGAGAAAGAACAGAAATAATGAAATTCCACAGATCCTAAACCAAGAGTATATACACTAAAACTCAAGTTTTTTACCAGAGACAGAAGGCCTGCCTTGTGAGAACCATGCATGTATTCTCTTCTACTGCCTTTCTCCTTTTTTTATTCATTTAATTGGTTCTAGTGAAGAAGAATGGGACAGAGGGAAATTTAAAAATCTATACTCTACTTCATCCTAAAGACATTAAATTCATTCTTATAGAACAATAAGTGGAAATTATCTTCTTTCGACAGGATGAATAATATTCTGATATAAACATATTACCTACAGTGTCAATTCAAAGGTCAATTCCCCAAGCCCCAAGTTTTTGTTTTTGTTTTTTGGTTTTTTTTTGAGACAGAAGACAGAGTTTCAGTCTTGTTGCCCAGGCTGGAGTGCAATGGTGCGATATCGGCTCACGGCAACCTCCGCCTCCCAGGTTCAAGCGATTCTCCTGCCTCAGCCTCCCGAGTAGCTGGGCAGCTGGGATTACAGGCATGCACCACCACGCCTGGCTAATTTTGTATTTTTTGTAGAGACGGGGTTTCTCCATGTTGTTCAGGCTGATCTCAAACTCCTGACCTCAGGTAATCTGCCCGCCTCTGTCTCCTAAAGTGCTGGGATTATAGGCATGAGCCACTGCGCCGAGCCTCCAAGTTTTTAAGTTTCTATTTGGATGATGAGTTGCATATTTTATAAAAAGCCTTCCAGGTTCTTTAACAATGAAAACTTTAACTCAGAAATAAACATACTCAAAAGTGTGAAAATCTAAGTTTTTATCTTATAGGAGTTGATTGTTTCTTGGAATGCTGAATCAACATGAAGGAGATAGGCTGGGAGTTTCTTTGGGCACTAGATGTCGGCAAAAATACCTATCTATATAAAAGTGATGCTAAACAGACTAATTTTGTTTCAGTAAAATGCACAGGTCTTAAGGGACAGTTCATACTAATGTCCTTAGAAAACGAGAAAACATTTCTCCTGTAGTACCTTTTTTGGTACTGTATTTTTTAAGCTCTACAATCTAGAATATTACAATTTTAATATAAAATTAGGCCAGGGGCAGTGGCTCAGGGTTGTGATTACAGCACTTTGGGAGGCCAAGATGGAAGGATCATTTCAGGTTAGGAACTCAAGACCAGCCTGGGCAACATAGTGAGACCCTGTCTACACAAAAAAATAGCCAGGTGTGTTGACATGTGCCTGTAGTCCCAGCTACTCGGGAGGCTGAGGCAGGAGGATTGCTTAAGCCCAGGAGTTCGAAGCCGCAGTCAGCCACGGTTATGCCACTGCACTCCAGCCTGGACAACAGAGAAGAGTTTTTAAGAGACAGGGTGATGAAGCCTGTGTCTTTAAAAAAAAAAAAAAATTACAACAGAAGCCAGGATAATAGGATAGGGCTACACTACAAATAAGAAATTGAGATACTGTGCTATTTATCTTCACACTACGCTCCACACTATTGGAAGCAAAATATCTAATAAAATCAAAAAGAGTTGTATAAGCTATTATTATTTTCCTGTCCTGGAAAAATGATCCTTTCAATTGTCCCCTTTGCCAAACTGCTCCTAAGTTTCTTCTGAGTTCTAACCTTGATATTGTTTCTTGATCCACTGCTCCTGACTTTTTAGTTTTCTTACAGCTCTAATAGTGTATGGCAGGGGTTTAAAACTCCTTAGCAACATAACCCTGTTCAAATGAAATTTTAGATAAAAATCTCAAATATTTCCTTAGATCTCTGTTCTACTGATGCTACTTTACAGCTCTTCTATAATTTCTTCATATGTATTCTATCACTAATTTAAAAGAATAAATGGGTAACCTACAAAAAGGGGAAAGCTCATAGTAAACTTCATTTATTTGACTCTCCAAATTCCTTAGAAATATTTATGCAAGTAGGGTGTGGTGGCTTATGCCTATAATCCCAGCCCTTTGGGGAGCCAAGGCAGGAGGATTGCTTGAGCCCAGGGGTTTGAGACCAGCCTGGGCAAGAGAGTAAGACGCCTGTCTCTATAAAAAAAAAATTAAACGTGGGAGGCTGAAGTGGGAGTATCTCTGAAGCCTAGTAGGTCTAGGCTGCAGTAAACCATGATAGTGCCACTGCATTCCAGTCTGGGTGACAGAGACACCCTGTTTCAAAAAAAAGAAAAGAAAGAAAAAGAAATATTTGTGTGAACACTAACATACATTGCGATTGTTACCAACTCAAAGACCGCAATAACAGTTGTTTAATATTGATGAATTTTAAAAGATGGTTTCCATAGCAAATCAGCTCTGAAAATCATTATTCTATTTTCTTCCTAGTCATATCATACATGCCTAAATACCAGAAACAAAAAAATTAAACATCCCAAAAATACTGCTTCGGGACTTGCCAAAACATGATAAAAAAAAAAAAGCAGCAAGAAGTTGTGGTCTTGGAGTGATTAAGCCAAAATGATTTAGAAACATAATCACATACCTTCCTTAATAATCTTTTATTCTTTTAAGAGCACAATGTTAAAAAGAGCCTTACTTTTAAAATACTGACAGTCCATTTGGAAACTATTATTAACCCTGTGCTATAAAAATACACTTAAACGGCCGGGCACGGTGGCTCATGCCTGTAATCCCTGCACTTTGGGAAGCTGAGGCGGGTGGATCACCTGAGGTCAGAAGTTTGAGACCAGCCTGGCCAACATGATGAAATCTCATCTCTACTAAAAATACAAAAAATTGGCTGGGCATGGTGGCACATGCCTGTAATCCCAGCTACTCAGGAGGCTGAGGCAGGAGAATTGCTTGAACTTGGAAAGTGGAGGTTGCAGTGAGCTGATGTCGCGCCGCTACATTCCAGCCTAGGCAACAAGAGCAAAACTCCATCTCAAAAATAAATAAATAAAAAAAAAATAAAACCACTTAAACACATATTATATAAAAAGCATCTGATAATAAACAACGGCATCTAGGATTTACACTAAATTAGTAAAAATAATTATTCTCAATTGATGAGATGAATGTTACAGTTTTTCAGAATTTGTCTAACAGGTTTTCCGGTCTTCACCAGAAAGCTCCCACCACCCCTGCCAAAAAAAATTGATGAGATGATATCTCTCTCTCCTCTGAGATACTATAACTTGGTTTGTATTTAGTAACATTTATTTTTTTTGAAGTTTCAAAAAACACTAATGGAAGGTTTATGAAAGAAAGCATGAGTTAAAAAACATTGCAAAACACCGAGCTAGATTAGTTCATCAAACTATCACAATATGTGGTTTATGTTAGCTTAATATGTGGTTTAAGTTAGCTTAATTTTTTTCATAAAAGAAAAAGCAGTCCAGACTTACTGGTAACTTTTTTAAATTAATGAGATCCAAATATGCTGTTTATTTTAAGAAGACTTTAAAAAATGTGCACATGGTATAGCATTATGAAAATTCATAAAATGTTAACAGCTACCTCCAGCATATGAAGTACTTATTTCTATACTACAAAGTACACTAAAAAATAAAATTTGAGGCTGGGCCTGGTGGCTCAAGCCTGTAATCTCAGCACTTTGGGAGGCCGAGGCGGGTGGATCACAAGGTCAGGAGATCGAGACCATCCTGGCTAACATGGTGAAACCCCGTCTCTACTAAAACTACAAAAAATTAGCCAGGTGTGGTGGCAGGTGCCTGTAGTCCCAGCTACTCGGGCGGCTGAGGCAGGAGAATGGCATGAACCCGGGAGGCAGAGCTTGCAGTGAGCCGAGATTGCGCCAGTGCACTCCAACCTGGGCGACAGAGCAAGACTCCGTCTCAAAAAAAATAAATAAATAAAAATAAAAAAATAAAAAAAACAAAATTTGAACTGCAAATAAAATATACATTTTCTAACACTACTAAAATAATTATTATAAAATACACATTTCCTAACACTACTAAAATACTTTCAATAATACTTCACAGATGCTAGGAAAAGCACAAAAGGCACAACAAACTAATGCCATAATGTGTAATTAAGTGACCTGCTTCTAACAAATAGATTATAGCAGAAGTAGAAGTGATGGAATGTAACATCTAAAAATGGGTTAGGTTAGGGGGGCCAAGATGGCAGACTAGAAGCAGCTCATGCGCATTGCTCTCACAGAGAATAAGCAAAAGGGCTACTGAACACTGACCCTGCAAGCTGATCATCTGAGAAACAACGTTGAGATCTATCAAGGCAGCAGGGAAACACAGAGAGCACGGAGGAATGAAGGTGGGCACCAGCTTGTCTGGGCTGAGCACAGAGCCAGGAGAACCTAACCAACACCGCAAACGGTGAGTGAGAGCCCCCAGGGGGATTCACACTTTCCACAGAAACCTGTGCAAGACTGGGAATGGGAGATTCCCCCTGACCACCCTGTGCCCCCCACCCCCATGCTTCTAGACTGAGGCAGAGCCACTGAGATGTTTGGTGGAGGCAATTCTGAAGCCCAAGGGCACCTCTACAAGCTTTGCGCCCCGGAGCAGATCAGCACCAGTGTTATAGCCTCAATAGAGGCCGCCACTGCAGTGCCTGAAAGCAGTAAGATTTCTCCACTACTCCTTGCTGGATGGGGCTCAGCAACAGCCTCCAGCCCAGTGGTCCTGCTTCAGCCAGAATTTGGCTGGCCACTCCATCTACCCTTGCCACAGGTAGCCAGGCAGACAATGCTTGCTAGAGCTTCTAGCCCAGCAGTCCTGCTTCTGTGTGAACTCAGCTGAAGGATGCAGCTTTCTGTCATCCCAAGAAATGCTGGGACAGCAAACTACATGACCCTACCCGCCCCCGTCACTGGTAGCCAGGCAAGCAATGCTTGTGAGAGCTTCCAGCCCAGCAGCTCCACATCTGTGTGAACTCAGCAGGAGGGCTCAGCTTCCTGTTGTCCCAGTAAACACCCAGACAAGACAGCATGTCACCCTGCCCATCCCTGCCTCTGGTAGCTGGGGGGCAACACATGCTAGAGCTTCCGGCCCAGGGGTCCTGCTTCTATGGCAACTCAGCTGGTAGGCACAGCCTACTATTGTCCCAGCAAACACCCAGGGGGCAGGGTGGGTGCCTCCACCCACCCCCACCACTGGTAGCCAGGTGAGCCATGCCTGCTAGAGCTTCTGGCCCAGTGGTCCTGCTTCTGCCTGAATTTGCCGGGGGTACAGCCTCCTGTTGCCATGGAAACACCCAGATGGCAGAGCAGGCAATTCAACCCACCCTGCCTCTTGTAGCCAGATGGGCCACATCTACGAGAACTTCCAATCCAGGGTTCCCACTTCCACCTGAACTCTGCAGGCAGGCACAACCTCATGTTTCCCCAGGAAGCACACAGATAGCAGATTAGGGCTGATGTTGCAAGAATGCAGCCTCTCTGCCAACTGAGGAACCTGACTGAGGAAGCCCTGTGGACCAGAACACCCCCCAAAAAATGTAGGCACAGAGAAAGTAATCAGAGAGCGCTCCTCCAAGACCCAGGAACAGACTAGAATCAAAGTTCATCAACTGAATCCACCTTATACCATAATCAAATCCCCAAGGGCATCAAAGAAGAGAAAAGCAAAAAAATCCATCCAAAGGACAGCAACATCAAAAACTGAAGGAATATGAGCCCACACAAATGAGAAAGAACCAGCACAAGAACTCTAGCAACTCAAAAAGCCAGAGTGTCCTCTTACCTCCAAACGACCACACTAGTTCCCAGGCAATGGTTCTTAACTAGGCTGAAATGTCAGAGACAGAATCCAGAATATGGATAGGAACAAAGATCACTGACATATAGGAGACAGTCAAAACCCAATTCAAGAAATCTAAGGATTACAATAAAACAGTACAGGAGGTAATAGACCAAATGGCCATTATATGAAAGAACCAAACTCATCTGATAGAGATGAAAAACACATCAGAAGAGTTTCAAAATGCAATCCCAAGTATTAACAGCAGAATCCACCAAGGTAAGGAAAGAATCTCAGAGCTTGAAGAGTAGCTCTCTGAAATAACCCAGTCACACAAAAATAAAGAAAAAACAATAAAGAAGACTGAACAAAACCTCCAAGAAATAATGTGATTATGTAAAGAGACCAAATCTATGACTCATTTGCATCCCTAAAAGAGAGAGAGAGAAAGTAAGCAACTTGGAAAACATATTTCAGGATATTGTCCATGAAATTGTCATGAACTTTGCTAGAGAGGCCAACATTCAAATTCAGGAAATGCAGAGAACCCCTGTGAAATACTGCACAAGATCATCCCAAAGGCACATAGTCATCAGAGTCTCCACGGTCTGAAAGAAAAAATGTAAAGGCAGCTAGAAAGAAGAGGGAGGGCACCTACAAAGGGAGCCCCATTAGGCTAACAAGCAGACTTGTCAGCAGAAACCTTATTAGCCAGAAGAGATTGGGGACCTATATTCAGCATTCTTTAAAAAAAAATTTTCAACCAAGAATTCCATATCCAGCCAAACCAAGCTTCACAAATGAAGGAGAAATAAGATCCTTTTCAGACAAGTAAGTGGTAATTGAATTAGTTACCACTATACCTGCCTTACTGAGGTCCTGAAGGAAGTGCTAGCTATGGAAAGGAAAGACTGTTACTGGCCACTACAAAAGCACATTTAACTACACAGACCAGTGACACTACAAAACAGCAACACAAACAAGTCTTCATAATAACCGACTAACAACATGACAGCATCAAATCCGCACACATCAATACTAACCTTGAATGCACACCCCAATTAAAAGACAGAATGATAACTTGGATAAAGAAGCAAAATCCAATGGTATGCTGTCTTCAGGAGACCCATATCACATGCAATGACATCCACAGACTCAAAGTAAAGGGATGAAGAAAAATCTACAAAGCAAACAGAATACAGAAAAAAGCATGGATTGCTATTGTAATTTCAGACAAAACAGACTTTAAATAAACAAAGATCAAAAAAGACAAAGAGGGACATTACATAATGGTTAAGGGCTCAATTCAACAAAAGGACCTAACTTTTCTAAATATATATGCACTCAACATAGGAGTGCATAAATCAAGATTCATAAATCAAGTTCTTAGAGACCTATGAAGAAACTTAGATAACCACACAATAATGGTGGGAGATTGTAACACCCCACTGATAATATTAGACATATCATTGAGGCAACAAACTAACAAACATATTTGGACAGAACCCAATCCAAGAAATCTAAGGATTACAATAAAACAGTACAGGAGGTAATAGACCAAATGCCATTATATGAAAGAACCAAACTCATCATCCCTGAATATGGATAGGAACAAAGATCATCGACATACAGGAGACAGTCGAAACCCAATCCAAGTCAGTCTATCCCTGTTTGCAGACAATATAATTCTGTACCTAGAAAACCTCATGGTCTCAGCCCAAAAGCTTTTTTTTTTTTTTTTTAAGACAGGGTCTCGCTCTGTCATCCAAGCTGCAATGCAGTGACACAATCTCAGCTCACTGCAACCTCTGCCTTCTAGGTTCAAGTGATTCTCCTGCCTCAGCCTCCTGAGTAGCTGGGACTACAGGCATGCACCACCATGCCCAGCTAATTTTTGTATTTTTAGTAGAGATGGGGTTTCATCATGTTGGCAAGGCTGGTCTTGAATTCCTGACCTCAAGTGATCCATCTGCCTTGGCCTCCCAAAGTGCTGGGATTATAGGCATGAGCCACCACGCCCAGCTCCAAAAGCTCCTTGATGTGATAAACCTCAGCAAAGCTTCAGGATACAAAATCATTGTACAAAAATCTGTAGCATTCCTGTACACCAGCAACCTCCAAGCTGACAGCCAAATCAGGAATGCAATCCCATTCCCAATAGCCACAAAAAGAATAAAATATCTAACTAGGTATTGAAAGGGAGGTGAAATAGCTCTACAATGAGAATTAAAAAACACTGCTCAAAGAAATCAGAGATAACACAAACAAATGGAAAAATATTCCATGCTCATGGATAGAATGAATCAACATTGTTAAAATAGTCATGCTCCCAAAGCAAATTACAGATTCAGCGCTATTTCCATCAAACTACAAAGGACACTCTTCACAAACCTAGAACTAGAAAAAACTATTTTAAATTTCCTATGAAACCAAAAAAGAGCTCGAATAGCCAAGGTAACCCTAAGCAAAAAGAACAAAGCTGGAGGCATCACATTACCAGACTTCAAACTATATTACAAGGATATGGTAACCAAAACAGCACGGTAGCAGTACAAAACAGACACACAGACAAATGGAACAGAATAGAGAACTGAGAAGTACAACCACATGCCTACAATCATTTGATATTTGACAAAATCAACAAAAACACGCAATGGAGAAAGAACTCCCTATTCAATAAATGGTGCTGAGATAACTGGTTAGCCACATCCATAAGACTGAAACTAGATCCTTTTATTACATTATACACAAAAATCAACTCAAGATGGATTCAAGACTTAAATGTAAAACCTAAAACCATAAAAACCCTGGAAGATAACCTAGGAAATAACATTCTGGACATAGGCTTTGGCTAAGATTTCATGATGAATATGCCAAAAGCAATTACAACAAAAACAAAAACTGACAAGTGGGACCTAATTAAACTAAAGAGGTTCTGCACAGCAAAAGAAACTGTCAACAGAATAAAAAGAACCTACAGAACGGGAGAAAATTTCTGCAAACTACGGATCCAAGAAAGGTCTAATATCCAGCATCTGTAAGGAACTGAAACAAAATTTTAAAGCAAAAAAAGAATAACCCCATTATAAAGTGGGCAAAAACATGAACAAATACTTTTCAAAAGAAGACATACACGTGGCTAACAAACATATGAAAAAATGCTCAACATTACTTATCATTAGAGAACTGCAAATCAAAATCACAATGATATCACCTCCCACCAGTCAGAATTGTGATTTTTAAAAAATCAAAAAATAACAGATGCTGGCAAAGTTGTAGTGAAAAGGAAACACTCATACACTACTGGTGGGAATGTAAATTAGTTCAGGCATTGTGGAAAGCAGTTTGGCAATTTCTCAAAGAACTTAAAACAGAATTACCATTCAACCTGGCAATGCCATTACTAGGTATATATCCAAAGGAATATACATCGTTCTACCATAAAAGACACATGCATGTGCTTGTTCATTGCAGCGCTATTCACAATAGCAAAGGCATGGAATCAACCTAAATGTCCATTAATGGTAGACTGGATTTAAAAAAAAAAAAGTGGTACATATACACAAAGGAATACTATATAGCCATAATAAAGGATGAGATCATCTCCTTTGAGGCAAAATGGATGGAGCTGGAGGTCATCATACTAAGCAAACTAACATAGAAACAGAAAACCAAACACTGCATGTTCTCATTTATAAGTGGCAGTTAAACTTTGAGTACACAAAGAAGGGAACAACAGACACTGGAGCCTACTTGAGGGTGGAGGGTGGGAGGAGGGAGAGGATTGAAAAACTACATATCAGGTACTATGCTTATTACCTGGGTGACAATCTGTACACCATACCCCATGGCATGCAATTTACCTATATAATAAATGTGTACATGTACCCCTGAACCTAAAATAAAAGTTAAAAAACAAAAAATCAAAAATGGTTTATAATGGAATGGGACTTCCATCTTAGATGTTCTTATTCTCTCTTGGATTACTAACTCTGGGGAAGCCAGGTGCCATGTGAGACAGCCCTGTGAGGAGGTCATGTGAGTGACCATAGAAGTGGATCCTCCTCTAGTCAAATCTTCAAATAAGAATACTGCCCTAGATAATAACTTGACTGGACCTTCATGAGCCAGAGACATTTAACTACGCTGTGCTCATATCCTTGACCCTCAGAAAGTATGAGATAAGTTTACAGCTTACTTTCTTATTTTTTTTTTTGAGACAGAGTCTTGCTCTGTCACCCAGGCTGGAGTGTAGTGACACAGTCTCAGCTCACTACAACCTCCACCTCCCAGGTTCAAGCTATTCTTTGCCTCGGCCTCCCAAGTAGCTGGGATTACAGGTGCCCACCACCACGCCTGGCTAATTTTTGTATTTTTAGTAGAGACGGGGTTTCACCATCTTGGCCAGGCTGGTCTTGAACTCCTGACCTCGTGATCCACCTGCCTTGGACTCCCAAACTTCTGGGATTACAGGCGTGAGCCACCACACCCAGCCTCAAGTTTTATAATTATCTCATATGGATAAGCACTGGTCCACAGCCCACATTTTGGGTAGCACTGGTGTAAATAGCTATATACTGGTGTAAATAGCTATATATTATATACTGGTGTAAATAGCTATATACTGGTAGCTATATACTATATAGCTATATACTATATACTGGTGTAAATAGCTATATACTATATACTAAATATATATAGTATATTGTTTATACATAGTATATAAACAATATACTATATATATTGTTTTCATTTGAATGATGGTAAGAATTTAAAGCACAGTAATGAACTGATCAACAGAATAATTGATGCCAAAAAACTTTTTCCCGTAGAACCTGTTCGAGGAAAAAAAACATTTTCATTTTAGTTATATTTCAACTAAAATATAAATTTCAAGAGGGGTTTGGGTGCAGTGGCTCACGCCTGTAATCCCAGCACTTTGGGAGGCCGAGGCAGGAGGATCACGAGGTCAGGAGATCGAGACCATCCTGGCTAACACGGTGAAACTCCGTCTCTACTAAAAAAATACAAAAAATTAGCCGGGCATGGTGGCAGGCACCTGTAGTCCCAGCTACTCGCAAGGCTAAGGCAGGAGAACGGCATGAACCTGGGAGGCAGCTTGCAGCAAGCGGACATCGCGCCACGGCACTCCAGCATGGGCAACAGAGCGAGACTCCAACTCAAAAAAAAAAAAAAAGAAAAGAAAAGAAAAAAATTTCAAGAGGGCAAAAACTGCTACAGTGCTAGGCCATTAGACCTGTTAATTATTAAATGTGTGTTTAATGAATGAACAGACTAATATACAGATAAAAATAAAATTAATAACAATATATCAGTTAAGTTTTTACAAACACAATAATTGTAAAAGTTAACATTTGGCTCTTATAGTATTTTACATGCATGATATAATATTCATCAGAGATGAGGAAACTGAGGTATGTATTTAGTAGGTACCTTGGATAAGGTAATACAATTATCCAAGGCTGAGGCTGACAGAGTCGCTTGAACCTGGGAGGTGGAGGTTACAGTGAGCCTAGATCATGCCAATGCACTCCAGCCTGGATGACAAAGTGAGATTCCAACTCAAAAAAAAAAAAAAAAAAAAAAAAAAGAAAAAGGGAAAAAAAAATACAAAGAGGCTGAGGCAGGAGAATTGCTTGAACCTGGGAGGTGGAGGTTGCAGTGAGCCTAGATCGTGCCAATGCACTCCAGCCTGGGTGACAAAGCAAGATTCCATCTCAAAAAAAAAAAAAAAAAAAAAAGAAATACAAATAGATTCAGCTTTTTGAATACCCTGAAATGTGAGAAACATAAAGAAAAATACATTTTGGATCAACTGGAGATCTTCCCAGTAATCCAAAGGGTAATTCCTTCAATAATCATAGCATCTAAAACAGCTTTTCACCAGACATTACCTAACCTAAAAACTGAAAAATCAACTATCAAGTAAAAAGGGCCCTATATTTCTACTTAAAGGAAAAGGGAAAGTAAAGGGAAAGCATTATTCAAAAAAGGAAAGTTTTTGTTGTTGTTAGCCATTTCATGTGAATTTGAGTCAACTAAGATTTACTGCAAAATTTGTGCTGATAGTTCTATTGTATCTCCTGGAATGTAAGACTGGATATGAAGGGTACAATTTCATCTATATGTACATGTTTATATTCAATTATATGTATGTACTTATACAAGTGAAATGTATTAAGTATTTTTTATACTATTTCAATCTAAAAGATCTCTATATACTCCAGTATACATTTTGATATGTTTATATATATATTACAAGATTATAATCTGTGTACTTGGCCTTTCATATCCATGGGTTCCACATCTGTGTATTCAACACACTCTATATAAAAAATTTTTTTAAAAAATCTGTACTGAACATGTACAGACAATTTTCCTTCTCATTATTCTCTAAACAATAGTATAACAACTATTTATACAGCATTTACAACTATTTGTATAGCATATACTATGTAACAGTATAACAATTACTTATACAGCATCCAAACCATGCATCCATGGTTTTTATGTGTGTGTTCCTCTCCAAATCTCATGTTGAAATGTGATCCCCAATGTTGGAGTGGGGCCTAGTGGGAGGTGTTTGGGTCATGGGGGTAGGTCATGACCTATGACCCTCATGAATGGCTTAGTGCCCTCCTTGTGGTAATATGTGAGTTCTTGCTCTGAGTTCACAAGAGATCTGGTTGTTAAAAAGAGTGTGGCACCTCCCCCCTCTCTCTTTTGCTCCTGCTCTCTCCATGTAATGTGCTTGCCTCCCCTTTGCCTTCTACCATGATTGGAAGCTTCCTGAGGCCCTCACCAGGAGCAGATGCTGGCACCATGCTTCCTATATAGCCTGCAGAACCATGAGTCAAAATAAATCTCTTTTCTTTATAAATTACCCAGTCTCAGATATTCCTTTAAAGCAATGCAAATGGACTAACACAATTAGGTATTCTAAGGAATCTACAGATGATTTAAAGTCTATGGAATACTATATAAAGGTTATATGTAAATGCTATGCCATTTTATATCAGGGACTTGAGCAATCGTGGATTTTGGTGTCTGTGGGAGGTCTGGGAGCCAATCCCCCATGGATACCAAGGGATAATTGTATTCACTTAATGTCATGAAAATACAAAACTTTACATTTTATAACATCTATTTCATTAAATTCTCTCTATTTTTGTTTAAGAGACAGGATCTTGCTTTGTCACCCAGGTTGGAGTGCGGCAGCACAATCATAGCTCACTGTAACCTCGAACTTCTAGGCTTAAGTGATCCTTCTGACTCAGCCTCCAGAGCAGGTAGGACTACACGTATGTGCCACCTTGCCCAAATTTTTTTTTTTTTTTGGTAGAGTGGAGTTCTTGCTATGTTGCCCAAACTGGTCTCAAACTCCTGGCCTCATGTGGTCCTCCTGCCTAGGCCTTTCAAAGCGCTGGAATTATAGACATGAGCCACCATGCTCCACCACACTCTAATTTTAATATAGCATCAATGTTTATTCCAATGATAAAAGTTCATGCTTGCTACAAAAAATTTTATATCAGAATGCATAAAAGGGAAACAAAGATAATAAATATATCATGCAACAAATCCAGAGAGAATGATCATTAATATAATATTTTGGGATACTTCATTACTTTCTTCTATGTCTATTTCTTCATATATTTTATACAAAAATGACATCACACTATTCATACTGCTTTGTAACCTTTTCTTCCCCTCTTAATCATGGAATTATTTTTATTTAAATAATTATGGAACTATATAATCATTTTTTCTTCCGTATTTTTTTACTTACATGGAGTATAAATGTATCATCTATATATTTTAGACATAGTAGATTTCATCCTACATATTGTTTTCTAGTCTGTTTTCTTTATTTAAAACTGTATGAAGGGAAATTTTCCATGCCATCATGATGTGTCTGGGCATCTGAATTTAGTTCGGCCACTTGGGGATGGCTGAACTTTTAACTTCTTGCTTCAAAATCTTTGTCTGAGAGTACCAATATTCTAATATCATTTTTAATGGCTGTGCAGTGTTACACTGTATGGTTGAACGATATTTCATATAACAGCTCCCTAGTGACAGCAGTTAGGTTGTTTCTAAATTTTCTCTATTATAAAAAATGCTGTGATGAATATCTATGCCTATAAATTTTTAGGCACTGGTCTTAATAAGACAGACATTTTAAAAGCAACACATGGAATTCTTTAACAAGTGGTCTTCTTACCTTCTTACCTATCAGCCTGCCTGGTTATCTATTTCTTTCCAAAAAGATTTTGAGATACCTTATAAAAAGAATTAAAAATTTAAGTGAAAGCAAAACTACCAGGTTCGGAGAAGAAAAGCAGGTATGTCAACAGTAAAGTCCAAACAGTTGATCTAAGAATAAAACTATATATATACACACACACATACACATGTATATATACATATATACACACACGTACTTGTGTGTGTGTGTGTGTGTGTGTGTGTGTGTGTGTGTGTATATATAAATTTTTTTTTTTTTTGAGACAGGGTCTCACTCTGTCACCCAGGCTGGAGTACAGTCATTCAATCCTTCCACTGCAGCCTCTCAAGTAGCTGGGACCACAGGCGTGCACCACCAAAACCAGCTAATTTTGTTTTATTTATTTATTTTTGCAGAGACAGGGTCTATGTTGCCCAGGCTGCTCTAGAACTCCTGGGCTGAAGCAATCCTCCTGCCTTGGCCTCCCACAGTGCTGAGATTAGGGGTGTGAACCACTGCACCTTGCCAAAACTACATCTTAAGATTTCCAACAACTAGAATAAAAAAAAAGTTTGATTATATAATTCTTTTTAGAGGAGAATAGAACAAAGCATATTCTCCTTGGAGACTTTTTTATGTAATGACTTATATATAAAAAGCCAAATTTAATACACAATATCTTTCACTACCATTCATATCAAATGCAGAAACAAAGTCAAAAGGGGTATCTTATGGTTTATGCTTATGAACATTAAAACTCAAATCAGACTGAGAGATAAACTCCACATACCTAGCTGACTCTCTTTATCTACTTTAGATACCTCTACCTTTTACTTCAAAAGAAAATAAATGGTTTTAGGTTTTAAAATATTCACATTAGGCCAGGTGCAGTGGCTCATGCCCATATCCCCAACACTTTGGTAGGCTGAGGCAGGTGGATTACTTGAGGCCAGGAGTTCGAGACCAGCCTGGCCAACATGGCAAAATACGTCTCTACTAAAAATACAAAAATTAGCCGGTTGTGGTGGTGCACGTCTGTAATCCCAGCTACTCAGGAGGCTAAGGCACGAGAATCAATTGAACCTGGTAGGTGGAGGTTGCAGTGAGCCAAGATTGAGCCACTGCACTCCAGCCTGGGCGACGGAGCGAGACTCTGTCTCCAAAAAAAAAAGAAAAAAAAAAAAACAAAAAAAAAACCCATTAAATCAGAAGTTTATCTCTGTTTAAATCATCCTCTTAAAATACCATGAAAAATATTGAAAAAGAAATAAGGAGACAAACAAAACAAACAAAAGGGTACCAAATGGGACAAAGAATGATTGGATAAAGTTTAATTTACATAGTAAAAATCTTATTAATTAGGTGCTGAGGTTTTTTATTTTCTAAGAGAGAAAAATTTCCCCTCTCATTTCCTTTTCTGAAAATAAGAGCTTCCTAAATCTTGTTTTTGCTGAAGTCAAAGCAGTAGTAAAAGTGATTTCTCTTTTACAATACTGTCAGTGGTTTCTTCCCTTTTCTTTTTTCTTTTTTTTAAGAGACGGAGTCTCACTCTTCCCTTTTCAAGATACAGCCAACCTCTCTACAGTTGAACAAAAATGAAACAGATAAAAATATAAAATACGAAATTCTATAAAGGTTGGTTATATTTACTATGAAAGCTAAAAACATGCATATATAAATGGTAACTAATGTTTTCCAACAATTTACCATATGCCAAGCAGATACTAAGTGCTTAAGAAGCATCCTCTCATTGCTACTCATTAGTTTAGATATTTCATTTAAGTGTCTTTAACACATAAGGAAATTGAGGTTAGAGAATTTATATAATTCACCCATGATCACAAGAGGTACTCAGGCTGAAACTCAAATCTAGATTCTGTCTCCGGAGCCCGCATTCTTAATCAGTATGCCAAATACACAACTACACCTAAGATGCCAGTTTTATTTTATCTTCATTCTCAAAAGATATCTTCATCAGATATAGAATTGAATTGACAGCTTTTTTCTTTCAGTACTTTAAAGATGTTGCTCCATTGTTTTCTAGACTCCATTATTTCTGCTAAGGCCATGATCACTCAAATTGTTGTTCCTCTATGTATGTTTTCCTATTTTGAGAAAGTTGTGGCTATTACTATTGTTTCTTCCTCTTCCTATAATCTCTCTCATCTCCCTTTGGAGGTTCAATTACCTGTTACTCCTGTTATTACTCCTTTGCTGTTGTTCCACAGGTACCTGACTTTCCTTTTCTGTTGTTGTTGTTGTTTTTAATTTTTTCCCTTACTCTTCTTCATATTGGTTATTTTGTATTGCTCTATCTTCGAACTGACAGACCAATTCCTCTGTCATTTCCATTTTGCTATTAAGTCCATCTAGTAACATCATTTTGATTTCAGATATTGTATTTCTTAGTTCTACAGTTTCCATTTGATTTTTTATATTTTCCTTTTTTGCTGAGATTTCCTTTCTTTATAATGATACAAACATATTTCTTTACTTCGTTAAGCACAGTTTTAATAGTTGTGTTAAAGTCTTTGTCAGATAGTTCAACATCTGGATCATCTTGGGGTTACCATCTGTTGACTTGTCTTTTCTTTGAAAATAGTTCACATTTCCCTGGCTCATATATCAAGTAATTTTAGATTATATCCTCGATACTGTAAATGCTATGTTGTAAGAACTCTAGATTCTGTTTTATCTTTCTGAAGAGTGTTAATATTTTTGTTTTAGCAGGCAAATAAATTCTAACTGAAAACTCTCTATGTCTGGTAAGGAGAGAGACTCAGATCTCAGTTCAGATTGCTCTCAATTTGCCGTGGGCATGCATGTAGACTATGCAAGTCAGAGAGTCAGGTGAAGCTATTATACAGCATTTAGAATTTCCATTATCTGGCTCTCTCTTTTCTTGGGTGCCTTCCCTACTCTTTGGTAGCACTGGCCCCCTTCCCCTGGTTCTTTTGGACAGAATAATGGGGGGTTTTGTACTGGAACATTAGTTATGCCTTACTGTGCCTGCCCTCAAGGCAAAGCTGCAAAGAATGAGAATCTCACTCTGTAAGGGTTGCTTTGTCAAAGTTTGATACCCTCCAAAATCTATCTGTTTTTTGTTCCAGACCCCACAAGTAATTGATTTTTTTGTTTTTTTTTTCTAGGTTTTCAGTCATGTGCAAGAGCTTACTTCTCCATACTGGAAGTAGAAGTTTCTCAAAAATTTAAAAGCAAATAAACTTATACGTAATTTACTTCATATTCCTAAAGTACTAAAATAACTTTTGCTCTCCAAAGTACAGCTATTCCACATGTTTAAACAGATGTTTGCTGACAGCACTGACTTCTCCAAGAGCCTAAGAGAGGAGAGCAGCCAATTAAACTCCACTGTCTTCTAAAATTTTAATCCTAGATTGGTTTCAGATGGGTTAAGACAGTCATTCAACCCACAAGTATTTAAGGAAGGCACCTGGGACTGACTCAGTTCCTAGATTTAAACCTATTCTGTGAACTGTCCACCCCTACCTTCAAAGTACAGAGATGAAACAGGTTCTCATATTCTCTATGAGCACATCCTCCTACTCCTGCTTCCTCTTATCTGCCCTTTTTACAATCTGAAAGTTTTTTTTTGTTGTTTTTTTTTTTTGAGACGGAGTCTCACTCGTCACCCAGGCTGGAGTGCAGTGGCGCAATCTCAGCTCACTGCAACCTCTGCCTCCCGGTTTCAAGTGATTCTCCTGCCTCAGCCTCCTGAGTAGCTGGGATTACAGGTGCCCGCCAGCACATCTGGCTAATTTTTGCATTTTTAGTAGAGACGAGGTTTCACCATGTTGGCCAGGCTGGTCTTGAACTCCTGACCTCAGGTGATCTGCCTGCCTCGGCCCCGCAAAGTGCTGGGATTACAGGTGTAAGCCATGGTGCCCAGCCTACAATGTGAAAGTTTTATCTGTCTCTGACATGCAACAAAGATGCCTTCCTCACCTCCCCAGAATCCTCATCACGCATATATTTAAATTGTTTTCTAGTTTAAAAACACTCTCAAGTGAAAAACAAACCAACAAAAAAACCCAAGGCTTTCCAAGGCTTCAAAAATTCCCAGGCCTTCTTTCAAGAATATAACCTACAAAACCTACTGCTTGAATCATGTACCTGTTTAACTTAATCACAAAACAGTTTGGGTTCTCATTCCACAGTAAAACCAGCAAAAATTCCTAGAAAGAAGCAAAGGTCTTTGTTTGCAGAAAGCCTTTGTATCTGGAGTTTACAGGTATTTCTTAACTTTACACATCTTTTCACATATCTGCCTGAGGGCTAAGGTAAATATTACTGCATATTAGTCATTGATCCCCTTGACTTTACTTTGGTCCTTGATAATTCTCTTAGATTGCAATTTACACAGTATGGTTCTACTATGAACTGATTTCTACAGTGCGATCTACATGACAGACATACCTTTCTTATGTGGAAACCTGAAAAATGATTTTAATACTTTAGGTATTTCTAACTAAAATGACATTCAGATATCCCAATGGATAGGTGTTTACTAAATACATCATATATAATATTTTCTATTTTTAAATGCAAAAAATTTTACTAGATTGGACAAAGATAAATCAACTAGCAGTATATTATGATGTGCTTTGACCTTTAAGATAAAGAGTATCTTATTTAGGCAAATTATTCTTATTTTGTAATGAATTACAACAGCTAACCCTGAGACAGGGGAAGGAAATATAAATCAGCTCAGCTTTGGTTGTAAAATAAAATTGAAGAACGTAGTTACATTAGTCATTATATACCACCAGTGTCTTTTATCTTTGAGTTTCTTCTTTGAGCAAATTTATTTGTAAACATTAATATTTTATATCTTATTTTCTTAGAAGTCTTCCAAAGAAAAAAGGATTCTTTTTTTTTAACAGAATAAAACTGATTCTATCCTACAATTACTATATGAATGTATTCATCCTCTTTATAAATTTAAGATGCATAATAGAATCTTAGGGATCCTGTTTTTCCTATGCTCTGTATTTTAGTATTGCATCATCCTAGGGTTTATTTAATCATTACTCATGAATTATTTCTTAGGAGATATGCTAAAAATAAAATAATTTAAAAATAAAATGGAATCACCTAAAAAGATGATCCAGTAGGAAAAGAAATCATTTTTATATCATACTTCAGCTTTCAAAATGTTTTCCGCAGTATAACATCTTTGAAAGCAGAAAAGCATAGAAACCTCATTTTTGCAGTCTTCTTTTTAGTGGCTTTTATTAACACCATTAAGAGTTCTGAAACCGGTTTTGGGTTCCAAAATAGTAAGTAGAAGTAAGCTGGCTTCATTCCCTCACTAGAGAAAACCAAAAACAAATATATGGTGCTGAGATTATTGCTAGTAATAGCCCAGAACTCAAATATGTAGATCAAATGGTTCCAAGGGACACAAAAAAGTGAAAAAGACTCCAAGCAGACAGAAAAAGAATCAGAATTCAATATCTATGACACCCCTCCCCACAACCTGCCTGACACCAAGTATGTGGAAAATTTCCCTGACTCACAGTGTCTAAACTGGAAAAAGTGAGACTGAAGTAGACAACCAGTTTCCCCCACCATCTTGGGGTCCTGACAGAAGACCTGTCCCTGACCCAATCCATGGGAAGCATCATGAGTACACAAAGGGAGAAACAGCCCTGAGGACACTCAGAGACAGATGGGGAAGGCAGGACTACCATTCCCAGTCTTGGAAACTCTGCTCTTTAACTTAGTCAAAGGAGACACCAAATCAGAGTACTTGTTCGGCAGGACCACTAGGTAGGAGGTACGTTCCACAGGTCCCCTGGGCACAAACCCCTAGCCAGCCTTTCTACACTGCTGAGATATCACCTTTGGGACCTCCCCAATTCCTAACAGGCAACACTCTGATCCTTTACTAGGGCAGAGGCAAAGCTGGAATTAAGCCTCCATCTAGTGCCAAAAAAGAGGCAGAGTGACCTAGCAGAAAAAAAAAAAGAAATTCAACAGGTAAGTTACAAAGAATCTCTAAGCAAACATGTCCAATAAAAACCAAACTAGTCAGAGAAGACTAAAATAAATAAATAATGTTTCAATGCAAAGACATAGATGTACATCCAAAAGAAACAACAGCAAACCATTATCTCCTCAAATGGACAAAGCAAGGAACCAGTGACTAACCCTAACGAGAGAGTGATATGTGAGCTCTTGGACCATGAATACAAAATAGTGATTTTATGGAAACTCAGTGACATCCCAAATAACACAAAAAATCAATCTAGAAATGTATCAGAGAAAATTAACAGAGTTTGAAACAATAAAAAATCAAACAAATCTTGGTGGAACTGAGAAATACGTTTGCTGAACTAAAAAATTCATTAGAGGCTCTCAACAACATAGTGGATCAAGCAGAAAAAAACAATCAGTAAGCTAGAAGGCAGGCTATTTTAAAACACATAGATGAGGAAAAAAAATAATAAAAAGGAATGAAGATTGCCTAGAAGATATAGAAAATCACCTCAAAAGACTAAATCTAAGAATTACTGGTATTCAAGGAGCTGAGCAAGAGCAGGAGTAGAAAGTTTATTCAAAAAAATAAAGCTTCCCAAAATCTAAGAAAAATATCAATATTCAGGCCAGAGAACACGAACAGATTTGACCTAAATAAAACTACCCCAAGGCATATAATAATCAAACTCTCAAATGTCAAGGACAAAGAGAGGCTCTTAACAGTAGCAAGTTAAAAAAAAGCAAATAACATATAAAGGAGCTTCAATTTGTTTGGCAACAGACTCCACAATGGGAACCAAATAAGCCAGGAGAGAGTGGGATGACATTTTCAAAGTGCTGAAAGAAACAACTGCCATTGAAGAATATTATATTCAGCAAACCCATCCTTCAACTACAAAAAAGGAAAGATAAAGTCTTTCCCAGACAAACAAGCACTGAGAAAATTCACCATCACCAGACTCATTTTACAAGAAACACTAAAGGGAGTTCTTCAATCTCAGAGAAAAAAAATGTGCAAAAAGAAAACATTTAAAGGTATAAAACTCATTGCTAGTCTATTACAGGCACTGTGGTTCATGCCTGTAATACTAGCTACTTGGAAAGCTAAGTCAGGAGGACTGCCTGAGGCCAGGAGTTTAAGACTATCCTGGGCAACATCATAAGACCTTATCTCTAAAAAAAATTTTTTTTCTAATTACCTGAGCATGGTGGCAAATGCCTGTAGTCCCAGATACTTGGGAGGCTAAGGTGGGAGAATCATTTGAGCCCAGGAGTTCGAGACTACAGTGAGCTATGATTATGCCACTGCACTCCAACCTCGGTGACAAGGCAAGACCCTGTCTCTGAAAACAAAAATAAAATAAATAAAATCCTCTGGTAAAGGTAAGTACATAGATAAACCCAGGATGCTCTAATACTATAATTGTTTTTGGTCCTCCCATAATTCTAGTATGAAGTCTAAAAGACAAACTTGTTAAAAACAATCGTAGCTACAGCAACCTGTTAAGAGACAGGCAATATAAAAATATGTAAGTTGAGACAATAAAAAGTCAAAATTTTAGGGGTGATAGAGTTAAAGTGTAGAAGTTTTTAAATTTCTTTGTTAGTTTCTATTTTTTTCTTTGCTATCTAAGATAAGTTGTCATTGTTTTAAAATAACTTGTCATAGCTCTAAAACTTTTTAATAAACCTCACGGTAACCACAGTGCAAAAACCTATAATAGATACACTAAAAATAAACAGCAATTAATTAAAACATACTATCAGAGAAAATCACTTAACCACAAAAGAACACAGAAAGGAAAAGAGAGGAGTACAAAACAACCACAAAACATGCAATAAAATGGCAATAATAAGTTCTTACTTACCAATAATAACACTGAATGTAAATGAACTCAAGTCTCCAATTAGAAGACACAGAGTAGATGACTGGATAAAGAAACAAGACCAAACCATACAATTCCCACAAGAAATCCACTTCACCTACACAGACACACATAACACTCTAAGTGAAGGGCTGGAAAAAGGTATTCCATGCAAGGGGAAACCAGAAAAGAGCAGGAGTAGCTAACATATCAGATAAAATACGACTATAAGTCAAAGACTCCAAAAAGTGAGCAAGAAGGTCACTATATTATGATAAACAGGTCAATTCAGCAAAAGGATATAACAATTAATATCTAAGCATCCAATACCAGAATACCCAAGTCTATAAAGCAAATATTGATAGACATAAAGGGAGAGATAGAGTGCAATATAATAATAGTAGGAGACTTCAACACCCTACTCTCAGGAAAGGACAAATCATACAGACAGAAAATCAACAAAGAAACAGGGGAGTTAAACTAGACCAAATAGGCCTAATTGACATTATAGAATATTTCACCCAACTGCTGCAGAACAGACAATCTTTTCATCAGCATATGAAACATTCTCCAGAACAGACCACATCTTAGGCCACAAAACAAGTCTCAAAAAGTCAATTAAGTAGAAATCATATCACATATCTTTTGTAACCACAATGGAATAAAACTTGAAATCATTAACAAGAGGAACCTGGGAAACAATACAAAAAATTAATTAATTGTTTGATTTAATTTGGAGTAAGTTCAAATCAAATGACTTGTTCCTGGCAGGGCATGGTGGCTCATGCCTATCATCCCAGCACTTTGAGAGGTCAAGGTGGAAGGACTGTTTGAAGCCAAGAGTTTGAGGCCAGCCTGGGCAGCACAACAATACCTGGGCTGGCTGGGCTTGGTGGTGTTATGCCTATTGTCCTAGCTACTCAGGAGGCTGAGGCAGGAGCATCACCTGAACCAAGGAGATTGAGGATGCAGTGGGTCATGATCACACCACTGCACTCCAACCTAGGTGACAAAGTGAGACGCTGTCTCTATTTAAGAAGGGAATTTAAAAATATTCTGAATCAAATGACAATGGAAACACAAAATACCAAAATCTATGGGATAAAGCAAAAGTAGCAGTACCAAGAGAGAAGTTTACAATAATAATTGTCTACATCAAAAAAGGAGAAAGATTTCAAATAAATAACCTAACAATGCATCTCAAAAACTAGAAAAGCAGGAACAATCCAAACCCAACATTAGTAGAAGAAAATAAATAATGAAGATAAGAACAGCAGTAAATAAAATTGAGACTAAAAAAATACAGGTCAACAAAAGTTGTTTTTTCAAAAAGATAGATGAAATTGACAAAACTTTAGACAAATAAAAGAAAGAAAATTCAAATAAATAAAAACAGAAATGAAAAAGTAGACATACCAACTGAGACCACAGAAATACAAAGAATCATTATATACTATTATGAGCAACTATACGCCAACAAATTGGAATAGCTAGAAGAAATTAATAAATTCCTGGACACTTACAACCTACCAAGATTGAAACATGAATAAACTGAAAACCTGAACAGACCAGTAAGTAATAAGATGGAAGCTGCAATAAAAAGTCTTTCATCAAAGAAAAGCCTGGAACCTGATGGCTTCACTGCTGAATTCTACCCAACATTTCAAGAATAACTAATTCTCACTTCTACTCAAACTCTTCCAAAACAAAACAAAACAAAAAATTAAAGAGGGAATACTTCCAAACTCATTCTACAAGGCCAGCATTACCTTGATATCAAAACCAAATAAGGACACAACAAAAAAGAAAACTACAGGCCAATATTACTGATGAATACAGATGCAAAAATTCTCAACAAAATACTAGCAAATCACATTAATAAGATCCTTCATCATGATCAAGTGGGATTCATCCAAGGGACGCAAGGATAGTTCAACATATTCAAATCAATAAACATGATACATCACATTAACAGAATCAAGAACCAAAAACATATGACCATTTCAATAGATGCTGAAAAAGTATTTGACAAATTCAACATCTCTTTATGATAAAAACCCTCAGCAAACTGGATACAGCAGGAACATGTTCCCAAATAATAAAGGCCACATGTGATAAAACCACAGCTAACATCACACTGAATGGTGAAATATTGAAAGCCTTTCCTCTAAGATCTGGAACAAGACAAGGATGCCCACCTTCACCACTGTTATCTAATATAATACTGAAAGCCCTGGTCACAGCAATCAGACAAGAGAAAGAAATAAAGGGCATCTAAATTGCAAAGGAAGGAGTCAAGTTATCTTTGTAGGCAACATAATCTTATATTTACAAAACCCCTAAAGACTCCACCAAAAGCTGTTAAGAACTGATAAACAAATTCAGTAAAGTGTCAGGATACAAAATTAACATACAAAAGTCAGTACAGACTTTTTTTTATTTAGATTGCTTTCTTGATTTATTTTTCATGTTGTTTGCTGTTAGAGCATAACATTTACAATAGTTACAAATAATATAAAATACGAAGCAATTATCTTAAGTGAAAGATCTGTAAAAGAAAACTATAAAACACTGATGAAGAAAATTGAAGACACAAATAAAAGGAAAGATATTCTAAGCTTGTGGAATTAGAAGAATATTGTTAAAACGACAATACTACCCAAAACAATTTTCAGATTCAATGCAATCTCTATCAAAATACCAGTGACATTCTTCACAGAAATAGAAAAAGAATCCTAAAACGTATATAGAACCACAAAAAGACTCTGAATAGCCAAAGCAGTCCTAGGGGAAAAGAACAAAGCTTGGGGCATCACACTATCTGACTTCAAAATATACTACAAAGCTATAGTAACCAAATGACCATAATACTGGCAAGAAAATAGACACATGGACAAATGGAACAGAATAGAGAACCCAGATATAAATCCACACATTTACAACCAAGTAATTTTTGACAAAGCAATCAAGAACACATCATGGTAAAAGGATAGTCTCTTCAATAAATGGTGCTGGGAAAACTGGATAACCACATGCAGAAGAATAAGACTATCTCTCAGATATTTCTTCCTTATCTCTTTGATTTTTGATACAAAAATCAAATCAAAATGGATTAGAAACTTAAATGTAAGATCTGAAATTATGAAACTACTAGAAAAATGTATTTGGGAAATACTCCAGGACATTGGCCTGGCCAAAAGTTGTTTTATTTTGTTTTTTTGTTTTTGGAGACAGGGTCTCACTCTGTTACCTGGCTTTGAATGCAGTGGTGTAATCACAGCTTTCTATACCCTTGACCTCCTGAGCTCAAGCAATCCTCCCACCTCAGGCTCCTGAGTAGCTGGGATCACAGGTGTGTGCTACCACATCCAGCTAATTTTATTTATTCATTTAACTTTATTTTTAAACTTTTAATGTTTTAAACTTTTTTCTTTAATTTTATTTTAATTTTTAAACTTTTAAAATTCTTTTTGCAAAAGTAGGGTCTCCCTATGTTGCCCAGACTGGTCTGAAACTCCTGGGGTCAAGCAATCCTCTGCCTCAGCCTCCCAAAGTGCTGGGATTATAGGCATGAGGCACAACTCTTGGCCTGGCCAAAAACTTTTCTGTGTAAGACCACAAAAGCACTGACAACCAAAGCAAACGTAGACAAATTAGATTATATCAAGCTAAAAAGCTTCTTCACAGCTGAGTGAACAATCAACAAAGTGAAGGGACAACCCACAGAACAGGAGAAAATGTCTGCAAACTATCCATCTGACAAGGGATTAGTAACCAGAATATATAAGGAGCTCAAACAACTCAATAAAAGAAAAATAATCTTATTTAAAAATGGGCAAAAGAATAGACATTTCTCAAAATAAGGCATACTAATGGCCAACAGGTAAATTAAAAAAATGTTCAACATCACTAATCATCATAGAAATGCAAATCAAAACCACAATGAGCTATCATCTTACCCCAGTCAAAATGGCTTAAAAAAAATTTTTTTTATTATACTAGAGACGAGGTCTCACTACGTTGCCCACGCTAGTTTTAAACTCCTGAGCAGCTCAAGTGATCCTCTCACCTCAGTCACCATGGGCGGCCTAAAATGGCTTTTATTAAAAAGATAGAGAATAATGGATGGTGGCAAGGATGTGGAGAAAGGGGAACCCTGCTACACTGTTGGTGGGAATGTAAATTAGTACAGTCACTATGGAATACAGTATGGAGGTTCCTCAGAAAACTTAAAATACAACTACTGTATGATCTAGCAATTCTACTACTACGTATATATCCAAAAGGGAAATCAATACATTGAAGAGATATCTGCACTCACACGTTTATTACAGCACTATTCACAATAGCTAAAATATGGAATCAACCATCAATGGATGAATGGATAAAGAAGATGTGGTCTATATACACAATGGAATTTAGCCATAAAAAAAGAATATTGGGCCTGGCATGTTGGCTCACATCAAATCTCAACACTTTGGGAGGCCAAGGCAGGAGGATTGCTTGAGGCCTCCCTATTTCAAGAATATATGGAATAAAAATTTGGGTTTGCTATGTTTTTATTTTTATTATAATTTCTAATAAAGTTGTTTTTCCACTATCCCTTTATTGCTGCTTCTCAGGACTATTCATAAAATGACCAAAAATACAAAAAATAAAATGATAGTAAATGACAATGACTATTTTTCCTGATAATACCAAAGGTTAAATCAATACGTTTTTCCTTTTAGTAGCAACACAAGACAAGGGGATAGTTGCAAGAGGCTCCAGAGATCATTTAAATTATTTATGCGTAATTGGAACATATATTTGCTAGTGTACACTAGCAAGAAAAGAGCTGTAAACTGGCTATATGTTACTGCACCTTAAAAATGCATGTGGATGAATTTTCTTTTAAGAAAACTGTTAAACTAAAGAAAAACTATGTAACACACCTAGAATGTAATCTATCTGGCTCTGACAGATTCTCAAATGTTTAATCATTTAAAAAATTTGGGATAATAGTTTTTTGGAATTTTTTTTTTTTTGAGACAGGGTCTCACTTTGTCACCTACACTGGAGTGCACTGGCATGATCACAGCTCACTACAGCCTCAAACCTCTGGGGTCAAGCTAGCCTGCCACCTCAGCACCCTGAGCAGCTAGGACTACAGATATGTGCCATTATGCCTGAGTGACTTTTCTAAAATCTAAAATCAATTCTATATGTATTAAAAGTTATGTATTGCAAGCGCCTAAGGTCCAAAGTCTGGACTAGACTATTCACTAGCGATGATCTGGGCAATTAACTTCTTTGAATGTTAATTTCCTCATATGTAAAGTAAGAATAATGTCTACCTTGCAGGATTTTTGTGAAGAGCGAATAAATCAAATGAACCTAAAACAATGTTTGACATTTTGTAGGCCTTTGGCAAATGATAATTGCTACTTACAAAAGGCTATGATGTTATTTGGTTCTTTGGTGTCTGACCAATTTTAATCATGTTAGTGATTTTTTTCTTGGGCCTTGTTAATTGCAGTTCCCACAACTTCTCTTCAATCATCAACCAAGTTAAACTTATTTCATTCATCAGTTATTATTTACTGAAAACCTCCTATGTCACACACAATTTTAAATATTTATTCACTCTCTACACATAATTATTGTCAGAATACCTAGACAGAAAAATGCTAGAAAACAATGAATCTACAGAAGAAGTGGTTTATATCTTACTTTTATAGCACCCCAGTCAGATTATCATATAGCAAGATCTTAATAAAGATCTTAAACAGGGATAAAGTATATTTTCATAAACTATCACCATAGCAACATGTTCTATAAAAATATATTTTTTCAACTTATTTGACTAAGAAGAAAAGGATGTGAAATTATAGTAGAAGTGAAACAATAAAAAGGTTAGAAAAAAACAGGAAGCAAAACACGTTTACTAAATAACTATCAAGAGGATTCTACTGATACCTAATATACCACCACACTGCTTTATATAGTATGCCTTTAAAATATTAATAAAAGAATTTCTCACAGTAACAGGAAGAGACTCAAAAGCTAAGCAAAATAAAAACGACAGAAAGAACATGTGTACATGCCAAGAGTGGGCACTAATACTGTTCATTGGTGTACCGTACTGTGTGCTTTTTAGACTAAAAGATTTTCCAATGTTATAGTGAAGCCTATGAAATACCAACTACTCTAACAAGTTTTTATCCCATAAACCAAACAGATAGGAGTAAAAGATATGGGAATACATTTTCAATTTCATTGAATAGTAAGAATATTTCTGCTTGAAACATTCCTAGCCTGGCTCTCATTTCTACAATAGGAAACAGGATAAAAAGGGTGGCCTACACACCCTTTGAAATTCCATTTCTGAAATCACTGTCTTATTCTCGAATGTTAGAACTTTTTATGAGATCTGACATATTCTCAAGCAGCTGTGAAGTGCATTAAGGTATCAATGAGTATCCCCATCTACCTCTTCCCTCCCACTTTTCCAAAAATACAGCTGTCTTTGGAGACTTAAATGGTAAAAATCAACAGATAAAGGAGTCCTAGACAGATATGCAAAGTCACCTTAAGGATCAAAGCTGCAGAATAAGACATGGCAGTATGAGCATAATATAATAATAATTGATATTAGTAAAAGAACTCATCAATATAAATGGAGTGTGGATGGTCAGAAAAAGAAGAAAGTAAAAGAAAGCAAGATAAATATTGGCAATGCCTACTTAAATATCCATTGCCACGATAGGGATAACCTAGCTTCATGCTACCAACCATTCAGAATCGTAATTAATCCCCCATGCAGGAAGAAAAAAATATGATACTGGGATATGGGAGAAGGTCATCAAGCCTAGATTTGAAACCAGGATATAAAGAGCTGGAGTTACAGGCACCTACCACCATGCTCGGCTAATCTTTGTATTTTTAGTAGAGACGGGGTTTTACCTTGTTGCCCAGGCTGGTCTCAAACTCCCGGCCTCAGGTGATCCACCCACCTCGGCCTCCCGAAGTGCTGGGATTACAGGCGTGAGCCACCACACTCGGCCAGCGTTTTCCCTTAGACTCGAAATTTCGCTCCTATCGTCCCATCCTTGTAGTAAGAAAGTACTCTTTCTAAGGTTTAATAACAAATTTTACTCTTGGCAATTACAAGGAAATCGACTATATTAAAATAGCTAACGAGAGGAAATTACTGAAGCTACAAAGTCAAAGTCTCATAATCAAAGTTATCCTTGACAACTGACAAGAGTTGTTAGATCTTCTATTGGTCTTTCTGCTAATTCAACCCTAGTCTTAAAACAAAAATAGCCTCCTATTGCCTAATCCCTTGTACACACAAAACCACTGCACTTCGGTATTTCTAATACGAGAAAGTTTCTATATATCCAACCTTTCCTATCTTTGAGGGGCAGGCATGGTTAACGTGGTTCTCAGTAAGATATTCATTTACAACCAAGAGAAAATCCCAGGCTATCATCTCACATTCTTGTTTTACTTTAAAAACCTTTCTAACGTCATTTATTCTCTGACAACCTCAAAATTACTTTCTACAAAGCAAACTCTAGAAATCTAAAAATGCGAAGTGCGTGCTTGTGAGAAGGTACTAAGGAAATTCTTCCTTTAAACGTCAAATGTGAATTCTAACTTCTAATGAGTAAGACCCTCGAGATTTACAGCGGTGGTCTGGTGGAAAGAAAACCCTTGGCACTAGTAGCTCACAAAACCCCAGCCCATGGTTGAGGCGGAAGCGGCCAGATGCTCCCGGGCTTTCGACAAGCCGCCCTGGAAAGCAGGCCCGTCATCTTCAGCGGAAAGCTCTCTCACGTCTGGGCCCGCAAGCCCGGAGGGTTCGTCATAAACACACAAGGCAAGGATAGAAGCGAGGCCGAGGGGCTGGTCACGCAACTGTCAAACGAAGCCCACCCACCGACTGACAAGGCCCCAAGGGGACAAGCGATCCCCGCGCGGGATACTCACCCGTTACCTCAGGATCGCGACTACAACTCCCAGGAGGCTGCGCGAGCGACGGACCAACGCCCTTCCCAGAATGCAGCACAGCTGCATCCCTACCCCGCCCTCTCCTTTCTCCGCTCCTCCTGCTTTTCTACCCGTCGTCACCCGGGAGAGCCGGAGGTAGGGTTCGGGAGGAGGATCCCGAAGGCTCGGCGTGTCGCGTCAGACGCCGGGAGGGGGACGGGGCGGGGAGTAGTGGGGGAGAATGGGAGGACGAAGGGGAGGGGAAAGGACAGGGGAGGGGAGGGTAAATAGTGGGCCAGGCAGGAAGATGGCGGCGGTAGCGGAGGTGTGAGTGGACGCGGGACTCAGCGGCCGGATTTTCTCTTCCCTTCTTTTCCCTTTTCCTTCCCTATTTGAAATTGGCATCGAGGGGGCTAAGTTCGGGTGGCAGCGCCGGGCGCAACGCAGGGGTCACGGCGACGGCGGCGGCGGCTGACGGCTGGAAGGGTAGGCTTCCTTCACCGCTCGTCCTCCTTCCTCGCTCCGCTCGGTGTCAGGCGCGGCGGCGGCGCGGCGGGCGGACTTCGTCCCTCCTCCTGCTCCCCCCCACACCGGAGCGGGCACTCTTCGCTTCGCCATCCCCCGACCCTTCACCCCGAGGACTGGGCGCCTCCTCCGGCGCAGCTGAGGGAGCGGGGGCCGGTCTCCTGCTCGGTTGTCGAGCCTCCATGTCGGATAATCAGAGCTGGAACTCGTCGGGCTCGGAGGAGGATCCAGAGACGGAGTCTGGGCCGCCTGTGGAGCGCTGCGGGGTCCTCAGTAAGGTGAGCAACCCCTGGTGCCAAGGGACCCCTGGCCAGACTCACCTGCAGCGAGGCAATCCGCTGAGGCGGTGGGGTGGGGCTGGCGGGAGGCGCGGAACGTGCCGGGGTGCGAGGCTGAGTGTTGCTGCAGCGACTAGGGATGAGGCGGGGATATAGGGGCACTGTCCTTGTTGCCCGGGGGCTCGTCGGGGGCAGCCGAGGACCAGGGAAAGGGTGTATAAACCTGAGATCCAGTTTGGGAGGCCAGATGCGCGCCGTGACTTGGGACTTAGGGCGGCAGCTGTCCCGGGTGTAAGGAATCCGGGTTGGGCTTCAGCGGTGTCCGAACGACTGGGCATGGGAGCGGTTCAAGTCGGACCTCTTAAAAGAGGTTGGTCTCTCTGAGGATGCCAAGCCGAGTAGGTTGGGGGGCACTGCGGACGCAACTCTTTCGACAGAAGCTGGAGCGACTCAGCTTGGTGTTGAAATTTGAGGTGTTGAATTCTGCTAGGTTAGATGTAGTGAGACAGATGAATGTGGAGGACTTTCTCCCTCACCCTGTACCTTAGTTCAGAATAGAGATATTGAATCGGCACATGATGGGTACAGGAAATATTCATAGTAACTTGGAACATGTGAGAATGGAGACTGATCTTTAGTCCAGGAAGAGCATTACTTAATAATAAAATATTTTTGCGGTAAGGGGTCGAGGGTAAGGAAAAGATGTTTTATCTTTTATATATTTTTTAAAATCCCTGTATCAAAATTTTAGCAAAGCAGTCATTATAGGACTGCAGGTGGATGATCTCTTGATATTACATAGTTGTGGGGATTTTTTTTTTAAGTTTTTGCTGTAAGAAGATTCACGTAGCCTTTTTGACTTCTCTCTCCCTTCCTGTTAAACTTTTTTAGACATGGCTGGAGCTAGCAGTTAACTTGGAGAGGGGGAGCTGGGCCAGTCCCTCAACAAGCTGGTCATAAGATACTATGTCATGTGCAGCCAGTGGCTATTAAGAAATCACCCTGTTTCCAGTATTCATATTTGGCAAATCACTTGGACATTATTTGTGGAATTGTTTCATATTAGGCTTTTATAATGTCTAGAAAGCTAATGAGAAGGGGGCCAGGAAAGGCATGAGTAGTCAGAACTAAGGATTGCAAGTGTTGACTTTTATTTGTATAGCAGCAAAATTATGTTGTATATTGATGCTGTGATCATTCTTGAAATTTCAGTGCAAGGTTTTCAGTAACGAGAAGCTCCTCAGGATTTCTTTAGATTAAATGTATCCTGTAATTTAGGAATCTCTATTGAACACATTGTGTAGTAGGTATACATTTTCAGTTGGTAATAGGAAGTGGGTTACTTGCTTCTCAGTGATTTTGGTAGTTTCATCACTGCTCATAAGATGGGAAGCTGACTGCCATATTAGTATTGTGATGTGTTAAGTATTTTACGAAACAAATTGTACTTTTGACCTACTGATAATTACTTTTTTGGGGGTTGGGGGAGTGGAGTGACCGGGGGAAAAAGTAACCAGTGCTCTGGAGTAGGTATACTATAGATAAAAAAATGGAAGACCAATCTCGATATTTAAATGCATACAAATGTATTTGATCACCTCTATGGAAGGTGAATAGCTTAAATTTTGACTGTTGCTGCATATGTAGAATGAATAGGAATAAAGCTTTTGGTATTCTTGCTCAAAGCTATGAAGGAAATTTTCCTGAGATTTACCAATTTATGGTTATATACAGTTTTCTGGAAGCTTTTTAATCAAGGGTATTCTAAATTGAGTATATATACTCATACTGAGTATGGTAGATGTTTTTAAATGTAAATTATATAGTTTGAATTCTTTGTATTCACCTGGTAATTTAAACAAAGGTCAGAACTCGGATTTTGTTCTTTTCCTTCCATTGAGTAATGTAAATAAGTCCCGGTACAATTCATTTTGTTTCTCCCCCAAAATGGGGTGGATTTGGAATGGGCTTGGGTAAATTTATATTAGAAATATACCAGTTCAAAGGGTATTTTCCATATGGTAATCTGAAATACATGGAAATACCTATGAAGCATATTTCTTATAAATCACTTAAGTGTATAGATTCCAAAAATACTAGATAGACAATAATTCTATCTAGTTATAGCAAGTATCGTGATGGATCATGGTGGGGAAAAGATGCATGCCTTAGTAGGACTTGAGAGCACCTAAGCCTGGATAAAATAATCTCATTCAATTTCTGAATTTCCTCCATCCTTCATGGTTTACCTTCTGTTTTTCCACACACCAAACTGTTTGAAATTCTGTCCATCCTTAAGAGTCCAAGCCAAATACTGTCCTTTCCATAAAGCCTTTTCTTATTTTGCCATCATTCAAGACCTCCTTCACTTGAATTCCCATAGCATTTTGTTTGTAGCTTGCTTCTGACTCTTATTCTAAATATATATTTTTTTCTCTTGAGTTTGTGTCTGCTGGCCTGTTGGCCACAGTAATATTTGATTCCCCTGCAGTGTCTAGCATATTGCCTTATCTGTATTTGTTAAATGGGGAAGAGTGAGGGAACATTATGAGAGCAGAGAAAAGACAAAAAACTTGTCTTCCAGGTGTCATGATACAGCTAATACTTACTGAGTAAAGGGTCCTGAAGCTGATACAGTTTGTTCAGTCTCTTATAAGAACTAATATTAAGTTATGGATACATAATTGCTGGGGCTTCTCCTCTAACATTGAAAGAGTTCTATTCTAGTGAGAAATGCTGAAGGTTAAGCTTCATTAGCTATGTATAACTCTTCCTCAGATTCAGAAAATACTATGTCCAGGCACTGTTCTAAGTCTATTCTTGTTTAAACTTAACTCTAAGAGAATTTGACAAAGAAAAAAAGAACACAAAGAGAATAAGTAACTTGACCACTGTCACAAAGTTTAGCCTTATGAAGTGTGGTAATTGTAAATGAGGTAGGATTAATCCATGAAGGGTCTTGAATGCCCTAAACAATTTGTATGACAGTCAGTGGGAAGTTGTCCATGTAAGTTTTGGAGCTAGAGACTCAATACGATCAATGTAAGAAAAGTAGGCAAATATGCTTAGTAAGTAAATAAGCTTGTGTAAATTATGAAAAAAACAGAAGATACTAGAGAAAAAATTATTAAGTCTCCTAAGGAATACAGGAACTGGATAATTTGATTGGAATAGTTGAAAATGAGAAGAGGAGGCAAATTTAAGGGTTTACTATGAAGGAAAGATGAGCAGCTTTTGGTAATGGGCTATAAATATTGAGAAGGAACACTTAGGTATTGAGTATCTTCTGTGACTATGCTAGGCATTTTCATTATTTTATTCGGCCGTCAGTCAACAGGCAAAGAAACTGAAGTTTACAAAAGTAACTTGTCAAAACTCTCTTCACATGAGTTATAAAATAGTTGAGCCTATTTTATCCTATATCCACTAATCTGTTTGTATATCTAATACACTAACTCTGAGCAGAAGTAGCAGTCTCCCCAAGGAAGTAGGAAAATAGGAAGGAAGTATACTTTATAGGAAGGTGAATTCAGTTTTATTGGTAACTATCATTTATTTCAAGCCCGTGTCTAAGTGGTGGTACATCTCAAGCAGTTAGAAATAAGGAAATGGTGATTGGGAGCCACTAGAATGAGTTAAATGTTGGCTTGGGTGAGTTCTCAGAGAGTGGTTGTAATGATGGGGCTTAGAAAAATTAAGAACTGGCTAGGGATGGTGGCTCACCTGTAGTCCCAGCACTTTGGGAGACCAAGGAAGACAGATCGCTTGAGCCCAGGAGTTTGAGACGAGCCTTGGCACCATAGCGAAACCTCATTTCTACAAAAAATTAGCCAGATGTGGGGGTGCACACCTGTAGTCTCAATCACTTGGGAGGCTGAGGTGGGAGGATTGAGCCCAGGAGATTGCGGTAAACTGAGATGGTGCCACTGCACTCCATCCTGGGTGACAGAGCGAGACCCTGTCTCAAGAAAATACTAAATAAAAGAAAATTTAAGAAGTGAATCAATCTCAAAAATGCTTAATTAGAGAACAGAAAAATAAAAGATTTCTCAGTGGATATAGAGCCTGAGCCAATGCAGTATATTTTGGCAATCCATTTTTAATTAGTTTTTGGAATTGGCAGATAGTTTTTGAGATTTTTCTATACTTAACACCCCAGAGCATAGATAAAAACATGCAAAAATAAGTATTCCTGTAAAGGTTACATTTCTGCCTTTTCCAGTTTATTGTGATCTTCACTTTGCAGCAAGACTTTAGCAACACAGAAACTCTTAAGGTATTGAAGACAATCCAATATGTTTTTGAAAAGCAATTTTATTTTTGTTTTATTACTCTTGAGTTTGAAAAATGCATGTTCAGAGGAACTTGGAAAATGTATTGGCCATTTTTAATATTATTCAGTTCTGTAGAGGAAAAGTTAAAGTTGATGCCAGCTTACTAAAGATTATTATTTTTATTTTGATATAGTTACAGCTGTTATAAATTTTCATATAGGAATAACAACAAAAGTAGAGTTTAGCAATAATTGACTTTATACTTCCGTTGATTTAGAAGGCTTCATGCAGTCTTTGGTGTCAGAATGAGAGACTACATACATAACTGAACATACTTCTCTGTTGAATATGTTAATTATGACAAGGACCAAAACAAATATCATGAAGGTACTTAGGAGAGGATGAAAGCATACGAAGAATAAACAATAATTTTAACCAAAATCTGGCTTTCGTTTTATTCTTCAAATGTTAGAAGAAAATGTTATATTTTATTTCTTACAGATTTATTTATAATATTGTAAAAATTACTGAAAATCATTATGCAATCTAGAAAATCTCAACTTTTCACTTTTTGTAATCATTTTACTGTTTATGCTTAGAATTAAGTTGGACTTTTCACGTTTTGGTTTTAAAATTAGATTGCTGTTTCACAAAGTTTGGATTTCTAAAATACTTCTATTTTTTGTTTTCTTCTCTCTTCCCTTCCCCTTCCCACTCCCAGTGGACAAACTACATTCATGGGTGGCAGGATCGTTGGGTAGTTTTGAAAAATAATGCTCTGAGTTACTACAAATCTGAAGATGAAACAGAGTATGGCTGCAGAGGATCCATCTGTCTTAGCAAGGCTGTCATCACAGTAAGTTCCTTTTCTTCTTCATTCAACAAATATTTATTGAGTGTCAGCTACATACCAGGAACTGTTCTACGTGTTCAGGATACATCCGTGGATAAGATAAAGATCCTTGTCCTTGTAGAATATACATTCTAATACTTTTTTCCATAAAGTGATTTTACTGTGGTTTTTACTACATATTGTTATTTTGCATAGACATGTAGTTTTTATCTGGTGGGTATATCAAACCAGTTTAAGGGCTTCAGGAAAAAAAAATGTTTGAAGCCTTTTTATTTGTTGAGGCTGGGACAGTTACTTTGTAGGTTACTGAATATTTAAAAATAATACATCTTGTAAGTAACATTCTAAAATTTTAACTTAAAAATATAAATGTAAATTCATTTTTAAACTTTTTAACATTGAGCTAATGCCATCTCTTTGTGGAGTTGGGAGAAGCTGTTCTCATGTTCCTCACACATGATTTGCTATTTACAGTTTTGATTTCTCTAATGTGGAATAAAAGCCTGAAGATAACTTTTGAAAAACTCTAAGTATAGGCTCCTTCTAACTTTTTATGATTTCCCCTTATATTTTGCAGTTACATCACTTTTCTCCAATTCAACACCCTTTAAAAGAATAACTCACCTTCGTTGAGTCATTCTACTTAGTTTACATTTTGTTGTTCTTTTTTTGTTTTTTTGTTTTGTTTTGTTTTGTTTTTGAGACAGTCTTGCTCTGTCACCCAGGCTGGAGTGCAGTTCTGTGGTCTCAGCTCACTGCAACCTCGACCTCCCAGGTTCAAGCAATTCTTCTGCTTCAGCCTCCCAAGTAGCTGGGACTATAGCCACGTGCCATCACGCCCGGCTAATTTTTGTATTTTTAGTAGAAATGGGGTTTCACTGTGTTGGCCAGGCTGGTCTCAAACTCCTGACCTCAAGTGATCCACCCACCTCAGCCTCCCAAAGTGCTGGGATTACAGGCATGAGCCACCGCGCCTGGCCTACTTAGTTTACATTTAACTTAGTATATAGAAACAACTGTTCCTTTTTGCACTCGTAGTCATTAGACATGAATAATGTTTAAGATATGTAAGAACTATAACAAGTAAACTGGCATAAACAGGTTTGGGAACAACCAACTGACTTGTTAAGCATGTAACCCAACTAGTGAGAACAGAAGTACCTGATAATACAAAAAATAGCATACTGGTTAAGAATGGTCAGCATGCCATGGGCCAAAAAAAAAAAAAAAAAAGTGTTGGCTAAGGCCAGACAGTTAAATAGAGGTCAGTTAAGGGAGCTGTTGTAGTTAAAATCTGAAAATGGGTACGTTAAAACAAAAATACAGAGTTTACTAACTCACTCAAAGAGAAGTCACATTTTGTGATAGAATTTATTTGGCTTATAAAAGTGAAAGATATATATATAATACTTCAGATTTCCGTTAATATCTAATCCTTACTTAGCGTATGTTTGTTATGCATTTAGGGAAAATCTTACAGTATTTTTACATTATTTTTTATACATTATTTCCCCCCTTGTATATTCAAAGTTTGAAAACAAAAGTTTAGAATTGAATATCAAGTTAGAGAAACACAGAAGAAATATTTGGAAGTGTTGATAATGAAACTACGCTCTCTATTCTTAGAGACAATTTTTAGGAAATAGCTTTAACATAAAGGCTCAGTATTTATTTTGACTGGTATGTGGTACATTGTAATGTGTTTAGAAATTGTATCTAGTTTAATATTTTGGGTGTTTTTCTTCCGAGATAGATCATTATTCATATCAATGGACAGAATAGTGGATTGAAATGTACCTTGCGATCTTGAAGTGTTTTTCCTTGATCCTCCACTCCCCTTCTTTTGCGTATTATTATTGGATGTTTATTAGTTGCAATGCTTAACTCTTTGAAAATAGTATAATGATTGATGTAAAAATGGGGAGGAATTAAATTTTATCTTTATTATTCTCTAAGTAGTAGTATTCCTAGAGTACCATGCTAGTTTCTGTGGATTTAAATATAGTTATTCTGTCTTGAATTATGGACTATAATAATGTTGCCTGGCTTATTTGGAGAAAAGAAAATTTTAAATTAAACATTTAATTTAAATGTTTAATTTAAATTAAACAAAAAATTTAAATGTTTAATTTAAATTAAACAAAAAATTTAAATTTTAACATTTATATCCATCTTCTCAGGAAGAAAACAGTGTTACTTTATTGTAATTGATTTTTGTTATAGCTATATGTACATGCATAACTTTCATTGTGGTACATAGTAAAAGACATGCGTAGGAACAAGAAACAATTTGAATTCTTTGAAGGAGAGATAAAAGTAGAAGTAAAAAGATGAATTAGGCAACAAAATCTGTGTGGTAGTCTTAGATACAATGAAATGGATGATAGGAAAAAACACAAGCATTTATATTATTGAACTTGAACTTTCCTTGCCCTTTGGGTTCACAGACTCCATGTTACATATTTAAAGGAAATTAAAAATATAACTGAATTCAGTGAACTCAGGATGAGTTTACAAATTAGAGTATGTACTTTAGTTAAATAAATAAATGTAATAGTAATATTCCTCATTAAATTTTAATAGGCATCTCTTGGTATTTTTTTTCCTTAAATATGGGCTATGCCTATTGTCACTTCATGTCAGAATACAAAGAATGTAAATGTTTAATTTCTTTATATGGCACTCTTATGAAATTGATAATATTCACGTACAAAGAAATCTGGGCTTGAAGAGTTGATGTGACTTTACTGTAACCATTCATTACTATATTATTTGTTGGTGGACCTAGCATCTGAACCCACATTTCTTGATAGAGCCTAATCCATTTTAAGTTCATTCTTAGTTTAATGATTAAATCACTCTTAATTTATAAAAACAATATTCTTTATCTGTGTGATAATAAAGTGGGTGAAATAATTTCAAGGAAGAAAGTATGTCTTGAGAGAATTTATTCCTTAATGTGAAAGGATTGACAGTAAGTAGGTGAGAGGAAAAATAGTATTCCCTTACTTTGTGTAAAAAGAGCTATTTGTATGTAGAATAAGTGTTTGTAGAAAGACAGTTGAATTCTTCAGTTATTATAGCTTGATACTTAGAAGACCCAGCCCCTGCTACAAAATTTGCCGCATAGTAGATATTCTGAATATGTTAGTTGTAATTGTTTCAATTAAAAGCAAATGTTTATGGAATATTTACACTGTTTACTTTTTATATTCTATTTTTAAAATAAAGTGCACATGATAAAAAATATAATTTGTGGCATTAAAAAGTTTAAGAAGTACATGCTGCTTTTTAGTCTTGCACTTGAGGGACAACCAAACTTAAATTTCTGGTCATCCTTTCAGAAAATATGTAGGACTATACAAGGATTTGTTTATATCTTTCATAAATATTTACACAAATGGTATCATATTAAGCCTATTGTTCTGCACCTTGTTTTAATACAACTTACACATTAACTGTTATATTCTGTTGAATCGTGTGGATATATTATATTTATTTGCCTGGACCCTGTTTTTGCACATTTAAATCATGCCTAATTTTTATTACAATCATTATTGAAACAAATATGTACTTTAAAATTTGTTTTTAGTTATTGTCAAATACTCCTTCAAGAGTACCACTCCTCACTCCTACCAGTAGTGAATGAGTGCCTCTGTTTCTCCTTACCCGCAAGTATTGAGGAAGTTGGGTTTGGCAAATGTTAAAGTATTTGTCAAACTGCTACATTAAAATGGTATCTTATTATTTTAAATTGCACTTTTTATCCATGAGGTTGAGTAACTTAATAATTTATAGCCCATTTTTATTTCTTTTTCCTTTTCCAATTGCTTATGCACTTTTTTTTTGGTTTTTCTTTCCTTTTTGGCTTGTAGAAACTCTTCATATGGTAATTAACCATTTGGCACATTTGTTGCAAATATTTTCCCCCACATTGTCACTTGTCTGTTTCTTCTTTGCTTGTTTTATAGTCTATATTAGGCCCTAGAGAAATCTTAGATTTTTACATACTCTTATTGACATCTTTTATTACGGCTTCTGTATTTACTTGTTTAGATAGGTGTTTCTCTCTCAAAGACTATCTCTCTATATGAATGTAGATATATTTTCATCTAAAATTTACACTTGAATTTTGATTCCTGTGGAAGTTATTTTAGTTTAAGGAGTGATATTGATGTTTTTAGTTTTTTTTCCACATGACTAATTATGTATCCTGGTAGCATTAATTAAATAACTAACCTTTTTCCAAGTGGTTTCAAACACCACTTTCATCATATATTACGGTCCCATATTTATTTAAGGTTGTTTCTGGACTCTCTTCTGGGCATTTGGCTTGTCCTTCTTATCCTCTGTTTAAAATTATATTGTGGGTATTTCATCAACCAGTTCCTTAAACTGCTAATGATTCATTGGTGAAGATAGAAGTAATTTATTTGCAGTTACTAAAGTTAAAACAGGTAGAGATTTTTGGTATAATATCTTCAGATAGAATTAGTTTTCCTAAGTTCTGTAGTTTCATGTCTCACCTTAGGCATCTGCCTTTGTATACCTCATATCTTGTTGAACTTTTAAAATCACCAGATGAGTAGAATTCCTATTATTCTTATCATAGGTTGGTTTTAGGGAAATTTGCCAGTTTTATGTTTTAATATTTTTGGAAGGAAAACTGAAAGGTAATGAAAATGTTACTGTTGGATTAAAAAACAAATTAAGTCCAAATAGTGATTAGGCAAGTTGGTGAGGTAGGGGGTTGCTGCAAGAGCGGAAGTTGAAAGATCTTGGAAAAATTAAAGAAACTTCATAGAACCCCATCTCTACATCAAAAAAATACACAAATCAGCTTGGCGTGGTGGTACACATCTGTAGTCTCAGCTTCTTTGGAGGCTGAGGTGGGAGGATCACCTGCTTCAGCCTCGCAGGTGGAGCCAAGGTGATGCCATTGCCCTCCAGGCTGGGAGACAGAGTGAGACCCTGTCTCAAAAAAAAAAAACAAAAAAAACAGACAATGGAGATATAAAAGCAAGGGAAGGAAGTGTTCAAAATTGAAGAGAACCACAAAAATAAACATAAATTTTGAAAGTGCCAAATAGTAGTCAGATGTAAAAAATTTTTGAATGTGGAATTGTAAAATGAGAAATTACATTATGGAAATGAACTTCAGCAAATTGGGTATCATCAAAGATGATTAGTGCCATAAATAGTCATTATAAGAACTCCAAATTAGCGAGAAATCCAAGAAGAAGGCCTTTTCTCAAGTGTGCAGTTTTTCTATGTTGAACAGTATTAGTGAGAACTAAAGGAAAGAGAGGAAGGTATGCAGCAAATAAAAGCACTAGATAAGAAACTAGTTGTTAATTCTCATTGGAGGAGCATTTGTCAGTGAATTTTTAAAGAAATGAGACTCTTCGATCTGCTAAGATTTATGCTTTGAGAAACTCATAATTTATCTGTTTAGCAGTTCATTAGAAAAGAATATATTCCATCTTTCAATAACATGATTCAGATAATGTAACTCAAATAGCGTGAAGTAGAAAGTACTTAAAATATTTGGTAAGAGGCCTTGGAAGAAGAAAAACATGAAAAAGGGCACCTGTTGAAATCTGGGTTTCAGAATGTGGAAATAACTTACAGAAAATTATATAATTTTAATTATATAATTATACAATGTATTCATTTGCTAGGGTTGCCATAAGAAAGTACCACAAACTGGGTGACTTAAACAACAGAAATGTATTGTTTCACAGTTCCAGAGGCTGGAAATAGGATCAAGGTGTGGGCAGGGTTGGTTCCTTCTGTTGGCGGTGAGGGAGAAGCTGTTTCATGAGTTTCCCCTTACATCTGGTGTTTGCTGGCAATCTTTGGTACTCCATGGCTTGTGGATGCATCACTCCAATCTCTGTCTGCATGTACACATGGCATTCTTTTTATGTATTTGTCTTTTTCCAGATTTCCCCTATTTATCAGGACACCAGTCATACTGGATTAGGGGTCCAACCTACTCCACTGTTATCTCATTCTAACTAATTAAATCCACAATGCTGCTGTTTTCAAACAAGGTAACATTCAGAGGTACTGGGAGATAAGCCTTGAACATATAATATGATTTTGAGGGGGGCACAGTTCAACCCGTAACACAAAGTATCTGTTAAGCCAAGAGCCCCAGTCTGATTGCCATCTGTTATTTTATGACGTCACTGGGCTTAAGAAAATTGTATATGTGGTGCATTTTATTTTGTGTAGGGGTTGTAGGAACATGACTGTTAAATATTTATAAAGCAACTCTTAATTCCGAAGTGCTTAAAACGTTGTGCATGGGCCGTGAAGTCAAATCTGGGTTCAGACCTTAACTGTGTGTATTAGTCCATTCTCATACTGCTGTGAAGAAATACCTGAGACTGGGTAATTTATAAAGAAAAGAGATTTAATTGACTCACAGTTCTGCATGGCTGGGGAGGCCTCAGGAAACTTACAATCATGGCAGAAGGCACTTCTTCCCAGGGCGGCAGGAGAGAGAATGCAAACCAGGCAAAGGGGGACAAGCTCTTTATAAAACCATCACTCCCATGATTCAATTACCTCATAACAGGTCCCTCCCACAACACATGGGGATTATGGGAACTACAATTCAAGATGAGATTTGGGTGGGGACACAGCCAAACTGTATCATTCTGCCCCTGGCCCCTCCCAAATCTCATGTCCTCACATTTCAAAACACAGTCATGCCTTTTCAACAGTCCCCCAAAGTCTTAGCTCATTCCAGTATTAACCCAAAAGTCCAAATCCAAAGTCTCATCTGAGACAAGGCAAGTCCCCTCCACCTGTGAACCTGTGAAATCAAAAGCAAGTTAGTTCCTTCTTAGATACATTGAGGGTATGGGCAGTGGGTAAATACACCTATTCCAAATGGGAGAAATTGGCAGGCAGCCAAATCTTAAAGGTCCAAAATGATCTCCTTTGACTCCATGTCTCACATTCAGGTCACTCTTATGCAAGAGGTGGGCTCCCACCACCTTGGGCAGCTCCGTCCCTGTGGCTTTGCAGAGTACAAGCCCCCCTCCTGGCTGCTTTCACAGGCTAGCATTGAGTGTCTACAGCTTTTCCAGGTGCACAGTGCAAGCTGTGAGTGGATCTACTATTCTGGGATCTGGAGGACAGTGGCCCTCTTCTCACAGCTCTACTAGGTACTGCCCAGTGAGGATTGTGGGGGTGGGGGGGCTTCAACCCCACATTTCCCTTCTGTACTGCCCTAGCAGAGGTTCTCCATGAGGGCTCCCCTCCTGCCGCAAACTAATGCCTGGACATCCAGGTGTTTCCATACATCCTCTGAAATGTAGGCGGAGTTTCCCAAACCTCAGTTCTTGACTTCTTTGCACCCACTGGCCCAACACCGTGGGAAAGCCGCCAAGGCTTGGGGCTGACACCCTCTGAAGCAATGGCCTGAACTGTCCTCAGAGTGGCCTTGACCCCTTTTAGCCACAGCTGGAGCTGAAGCAGCTGAGACACAGGGCGCCAGGTCCCAAGACTGCACAAAGCAGCAAGGCCCTGGGCCCAGCCCAGGAAACCCATTTTTCCCTCCTAGGCCTCCAGGTGTTTGATGGGAGGGGCTGCCATGAAGGTCTCGGACATGCCCTGGAGACATTTTCCCCATTGTCTTGGTGATAACATTTAGCTCCTTGTTACTTATGCAAATTTTTGCAGTAGGCTTGAATTTCTCCCCAGAAAATACGTTCTTCTTTTCTGTCACATCAACAGGCTGCAGATTTTCCAAACTTTTATGCTCTGCTTCATCTTGAATGCTTTGCCACCTAGAAATTTCTTCCTAGAAATTTAAGACCTTAAATCATGTCTTTCAAGTTCAAAGTTCCATAGATCTCTAGGGCAGGGGCAAAATGCCGCCAGTCTCTTTGCTAAAGCATAACAAGAGTCACCTTTGCTCCAGTTCCCAACAAGTTCTGCATCTCCATCTGAGGCCACCTCACCCTGGACTTCATTGTCCATATCATTATCAGCATTTTGGTCAAAGCTATTCAACAAGTCTCTAGGAAGTTCCAAACTTTCCCACATTTTCCTGTCTTCTTCTGAACCTCCAAACTGTTCCAGCCTCTGCCTGTTACCCAATTCCAGAGTTGCTTCCACATTTTCGGGTATCCTTATAGCAGCACCCCACTCTCTACGGTACCACTTTACTGTATTAGTCTGTTCTCATGCTCCTATGAAGAAATACCCGAGACTGGGTATTTCTTTTTATAAAGAAAAGAGTTTTAATTGACTCACAGTTCTGCTTGGCTGGGGAGGTTCAGGAAACTTAAAATCATGGCGGAAGTCACCTCTTAACAGGGCGGCAGGAAAAAGAATGAGAGCCAAGCAAAGGGTGGGAAAGCCCTTATAAAACCATCGCCCCCATGATTCAATTACCTCCCACCAGGTCCTTTCCACAGCACATGGGGATTATGGGAACTCCAATTCAAAATGAGATTTGGATGGGGATGCAGCCAAACCATATCACTGCTTACAGCCAAAGGTACCTTTGGCAGATTACTAAATTTCTCTGAGCTTTCAGCTTCCTTAACTGATTAAACAAGGGGGATAATGTCTAAGTATGGAATGATTATGTAATTAAAAGAAATAACATATAAAAGTACTTGGTACAATTCTTGGCACATAGTAGTAGTCTCTCAAATTTATTTTGTGAAATGTTTATGTTGGGAGTAAAGCCTACAGTTAAAAAATTAAAGAACAGAAGTTGTCAGACCCTTTTATCAAAGGGGGACAAAGATGCAGTTGACTCACTAGAGCCGGGATACGTAGCGTGTCATGTTTGAACAGATTCTCATGCAACTCTGTTCAGAAATTTTCTTCCACCAAATAGTTCTATTTACCAACCTAAAAAAATAGTTAACTCTTTATATGTTTTCTGTGTATTCTTGATAGTCTTTTTTTCTTTGATCTATTTATTGTTTCCTACCTTTTTTTGGTTTTCCTTATTCTATGTCTTTTTTTAAAAAAAAGATATGTTGTGCCTTTTAAAAAATCACATTGAGATATAATTTACACACGGTCAAATTCACCCTTTTAAAGTATACAGTTATAGTTTTCACAAATGCATACAGTCATATAGTCATTACCACATGAGTATATAAAATATTTCCATCCTCCCAGATAGTTCTCTTCTGCCCCATTGTAGTCAGTTACCCTCTGTGTCCCCAACCTCTGGTAACCACTGTTGCAGCATATTATATACATGGAATCATGCAGTATGCATCTCTTTGTGTCTGGCTTTTAACTTACCATAATGCTTTTACTACTCATCATGTTGTTACATGTATTCTTAACTTGTTGCTTTTTATTGCTGAATACTGTTTCACTATAGGGATATACCATATTTTGCTTATGCATTCACCAGTTGACGGATATATATTTGTTTCCAGTTTTGAGATACAATAAATAAGGCTGCTCTAAACATTTGCATGCAGGTCTTTGCATAAGCATATTTTCATTTCTCCTGGGTAGATACCTATGAATGGGATTGCTAGGTTGTAAGGTAAGTATATGTTTAACTTTATAAGAAACTGTGAAACTGTTTTCCAAAGTGGCGGTACCAGTTTACCATCTCACCAGCATTATGTGAAAATTCCATTTGCTTGGCATTTTTGTCAGCATTTGGTATTGTCACATTTTTTGGGTTTTTTTTTTTTTTTTAATCTTAACCATTCTGGTAGGTATGTAGTGATAGCTCATTGTGGTTTCCATTTGCATTTCCCTAATGACTAATGATGTTGCACATCTTTTCATTTGCTTATCTGTATCTCTTGTGATGTTTGTTTAAATATCTTGTGTTTGTTGTCTTAATGTTGAGTTATGAGAATTCTTTATATATATTCTGGATACCGTAACGTTTGTCAGGTACATGTTTGGCAAATATTTTCTCCCAATCTGAGAGACTGATTTTTATCACTAACACTAAAAATTTATCTACAGTTAAGACCTATTTGAATGTGTATTTTGATGACTTTGCTCTAAGTTCTTTTTTTTATTTATTTATTTTTTTTTCAGCTAATTTTTTTATTATACTTTAAGTTTTAGGGTACATGTGCACAATGTGCAGGTTAGTTACATATGTATGCATGTGCCATGCTGGTGTGCTGCACCCATTAACTCGTCATTTAGCATGAGTTCTGAACAGCATTATTATTTACTTTTTTCTATGTTTTGTGTATAGAGGCAACATTTCTCACTGTTTTTACATTTTTATTTTTTATATTGGATCTGCAGTGGCACTCTGTTGTTTAAAGTGACAAAGCCTTAAATTTAAAACTTGCTGACAACTCGTTAAGTAGTGCATTCACCAGGGAAGCTGGTATTCCTGTTGAGCTTCCTTTGAGTGAGTGCTGTGTAGGCTTGGCCTCTGTCTTTTTTTTTTTGTAAGTGAGATAGGGTCTCAGTCTGTTGCCCAGGCTGGAGTGCAGTGGCGTGATCTCGGCACACTGAAGCCTCTACCTCCTGGGCTGAAGTAATTCTTCTGCCTCAGCCCCCCGAGTAGCTGAGACTACAGGCATGCGCCACCATGCCTGGCTAATTTTTGTGTGTTTTTGTAGAGATGGGGTTTGACCATGTTGCTCAGGCTAGTCTTGAACTTCTAGACTCAAGCAATTTGCCTGCCTCAGCCTCCCAAAGTTCTGGGATTACAGGCATGAGCCACTGCACCTGGTCATGTCTTTATTGAAGGAAGAAAATTATGGCTGATAAAGAAAGCTGAGCTATTCTCTTGGTTTCCAATTTAGAGAATATATATTATCCAACAATTACGTATTTTAAAAATATACTTTCCCTCTAATGAGGATTCATCACTTGAAAAAGATTACTTATAAATTAATTATACGGAACCAAAAGACTGAGAAGCCATGACCAGTTGAATCTTATCTAGATTTTAAGGCAGTCTGTAAAGTGATAATGTCTCAAGGGTGGGAGATAGGAAAGGGTAATGATTCCTGAAAACTTACATATAAACCCAGTTTCATAAAGTAAGGTTGTCTCCTGTTGTGAAAGACTTCAAATAGTTTCACTTGGCTTTTTACAAGGTAGGAATTTCATCCAGGTAAAGGTACATCTACTTTATCTTCTTATGAAGAAAAGAAATGGGGCTAAAAACTGTCGAAATCCCAAAAGACAGGGTGGACAAGAGAGGAAACTACAGAAGACAGCATTGTAGAAACTGGAAAACAAATGGTCAAGTGCTAAGTGAGTTAGTAAATCTGAGAAACCCAGATCCTAAACTATCAGTTAGGGAAGCTCAAAACTAGATCTACATCATAATTATATAACATTGTAGCAGTTCTGGATACCTCCTGGAATGGAGAGTTGGGGGTGGAGAGTGTATAAGGAAGATGAGTTATATGTCAATTTAAGAAACAATCAAATCTCTCTATTTCCTCCCCACACTGGACCTCTATAGAGAAAAAAATCGTGGGTGTCTGGTCTTGGAGGGTAGAGGAGTAGTCACCAGATACAATTGAAATCAAAGTATCACACTGAATACAGAGGAGGGATTAGGGAAGCAAGCAAACTAGCTACTGAGCCTCACATGACCCTATCCCACCACTATTCCCCAACTTCCAAACTCTGGCCAACAAACTTTAATCCTCAGGACAGGAGGTTGCTGGGGTCTTTTCTAAGAATCTGACCAGCGTAAAAGTTTTGACCTAAAGATAACAATATAGCTTCCCTAGCAAAGTAGCCCAACTAGATTATCCTGTGGTGAAGCCCATTTTTGGTAAACTCAAAGTACAGCCTTTGGGTTTCGAGTCAGAAGATTCCCTACTGTTAAAAATGAGCAGACAGCAAAGGACTATCAGTCATATGAAGAAAGTTTCCAATATGAAAGAGATCAAGAGAATCAGTGCAACACTAGGAAACACATTATTCAGATGTCCAACAAAAAGAAGGAAATTTGTCAGTATTTTTAAAGAGAGAAGAGTTTTTGAAATCATGAAAAAGTAAGTATACTATAAAAAAGGAAGAGGTTAAAAAAGAGCTCTTGGAAATTATAAATATGGTAGCAGTGAGGAAAGAAATTAGAAGAGTTAGAAGGTAGAATTATAGACATTTCTAGAAAGTAAAGAAAAAGATTTTTGTTTTTTTAAAGGTAGTAAATAGGACATAGGTAAAATTAAGGAAATAATCCAGGAGTTCTAACATCTGAACAGTAGGAGCTCCAGGCAGAGAGAACAGAGCAGAAAGGGATTATCAATGAAATAATAAAAGAAAAATTCACAGAAATAAAGGACAAGAGTTTTACATTGAAATCATCAAGCAAGGTCCAGTATAATAGATTTTTAAAAAGACTCATGTTAAAGACACATTGTGCTGAGCCAGACCACTGGGAAGAAGATCTTGGATGCTTCCAGAGAGAAAAAACATAACAACAAAGGTTAAGGATTCAAAATGACTGTGGACTTCTCAAAAGCAGTGCTGGAAACTAAGATGCAATGGCTGATGCCTACATTCTTCTGAAGAATAATTATTTTCGACAATGAATTATATATGCATCCAAATCACCAAGCGAGTATAAGGACAGACTAAAAGCATTTTAAAATATGGTCTCAACAAATTTACCTCTTGTTGTTTTAAAAAATATTTTAGAGATGCATACTTACATGTCTACAGATGAAATGATATGTTTAGAATTTGCTTCAGAATAATGCCTTTGGAAGGGTATGAATTGATGAGGATGTAGATTTTAAAAAAGAATAACCATGAGTTAATAATTGTTGAAGGCAAATGATGGTAAGAGGGTTCATTATTCTGTTTTTTTGCATATATGTGAAATTTTTCATAATAAAAAGTAAAATACATCCACAGACACAGACGTCTGTCTTCTGCTGAAAGATATGCCCCATCAAAACAAGGAAGAATTAAATAAGAGGAAAATGCGATAGAGGTTATTGTACTCAAAGTGTGATCTCCAGAGCAGTAACATCAGTATAAACTGTGAACTTGTTAGAAATGCAGATTCTCAGGCCTGCCCCAGACCTAATGGATCAGAAACCCTGGATATGGAGTCCAGCATTCTTTCTTTAACAAACCCTTCAAATGATTCTGATGCGTCCTAAAGTTTGAGAACCACTTTCCTAAAGCAGGAAAAATAGCTTTGCTCAAGTAAAGAATGGACATGACTGGTGTTTTGTATCATCTCATTTTCTTAACTGCTTGCTCTCTGGACGTTGATAGTTGCTCTGACATGTAAATCAATTGAGTTGTTATACATAAAAAATACTGTATTGTGCTATTTGTTCTAACAATCTCAACAATCGATGTAAAAGTTCAAATTTAAGGAAACTCTTGAGTATAGTGATTGTATCAGAAATGGGAAGAGGTATGAGGGGAACATATGAACATGCCTTATACCAACCTGGCTGCTTGTCTAACTGGCACCTTGACATTGTTTGCTGACTTTGTCAATTGAAATTTTTATTAATCTGGAATGCCTTTTCCTCCTCTGGTATCAAAAGCCTGTCTTTCCTCCTGGGCTCAACTAAACCACAGCTTTTCAATGAACCACTTTAGATCTCATTCTCATCTTTCTGTCTCTACCATCAGATTTTTAAAATTTTATTTATTTATTTTAAACAGGGCCTAATGCTGCCGTCCAGGCTGGAATGCAGTGATGCAATCATGGCTTGCTGCCACCTTGACCTCCTGGGCTCATGATCCTCCTGCCTCAGCCTCCGTAGTAGCTGGGACTACAGGTGCACCACCACACCTGGCTATTTTTGGGGAGTTTTTTTGTTTGTTTGTTTGTTTTTTGGTAGAGACTGAGTCTCGCTATGTTGCCCAGACTGGTTTCAAACTCCTGAGCTCAAGCAGTCCTCCAGCCTTGGCCTCTCGAACAGCTGGGATTACAGTGTGAGACACTGCACCTGGCCATTACTATCAGATTTTTTAAAATATAAATAAGGACTGAGCAACTATGACATGTGTTGTGCTGGCTATTTTATGTATTATCAGGAAAAAGGTGAAAATGATTAGGGAGAGAGAAATAAAGGTAAGAAGAGCTACAACTGTTTTTCATATCAAACCTTGACTCAAAGAGTTCAGAATGATTTAACTCTTTAAACTGTGTGGGCTTCTGAGTAGCTGAAGACAGTGGTAGGTGGTAGGCTTGTGGTAAGCCGCATCCCAAAATGTTATCTCCCTAAAAGATACAAAATAACTTCACATCTATATCATTTTGACATGAAACAACACCTTGAACATTACTTGTAGATAGATAATGGCAAAACTGCAAAATAATCATGTAAGAAAAAGGTAACACACTCAAGTGCAGTGGTCCTACATGCTTTTACCCCATTGCCGCAAGGGGACCCTGTGGCAAGGAAAATTAGACCAAGATATGTTCCTTGAGAAGACAGAAGGAGCACTAGTGAGGGAGAGCTGGAAGAACCACCGGAAAGATTAAATCCACCCTTTTTTTTTGTATTTTCAGTGCAAAAAACTAACCAGACAGATCAGAGCAGGATTACAGGAAAAGGATTTCAAAGTATAAGTACTTTAAAGGGCTAGACAGCCATTTAAATGTGATTTAAAGAGACACACTTCTGAATGTCTAACTTCTGGAAGACAGAAAAGGAAAACAAAAGAGTTCTTTGGAAATTGGATGGTCAAGGAAAAAATTTTTAAAGACCTGCAAGAAAAAAAGGAACCAAAAAATGAGAAGGCCTACAACCCTCTTCTCTACTATTAAAGCAAAACTCCACTGAGGTATCTAGACTTTGGCAAACGACAGAAAGAAAAAGATGCCATTAAACGAAGGATATTGAAAAAATGCCCCCAAATCACAAAAATAAACAGAAGGAAAGTGAAATCCTTTCCTTTAGTTTATAAAATTAGGGAAAAATTCATACAAATCAACTAAGGAAAATTCCTCTAATCCCGTAAAACTACTTAAGAAGCAAAAGAAAACTATTAGTATACACTCCAAATAGAACTCAAAATATACAACACTTGGGTTTGAAGATAAGAAGAACCACCTTGAGTCACAAATTCAAAATCAAGAACAAAAATGGGTGAAAACCAGGGGAAAAATGCAAAAAGAATTGTACTCAAAGAGATGAAAGAAAATGACAATAGATTATCTTAAATGAAGAAAAAAAGTTACCAGATACTGAAAATAGAGTCAAATGAAAATTTAGGCTGGGCACAGTGGCTCACGCCTGTAATCCCAGCACTTTGGGAGGCCGAGGTGGGCGGATCATGAGGTCAGGAGATCGAGACCATCCTGGCTAACATGGTGAAATCCCATCTCTACTAAAGATATAAAAAATTAGCCAGGCGTGGTGGTGGGCGCCTGTAGTCCCAGCTACTCGGGAGGCTGAGGCAGGAGAAGGGCATGAACCCAGGAGGCGGAGCTTGCAGTGAGCCGAGATCGCGCCACTGCACTCCAGCCTGGGCGACACAGCGAGACTCTGTCTCAAAAAAAAATAAATAAATAAAAATTTCGTACAGGTGTTGAAGAAAGAGTAGACAACAATGAAGAGAATGAAAGTAAGATAAAAAGGATCAGAAAAATTACTGAAAATGGAAAACAGACAAGGACTAATTTTCATATTACTAGAGTCTCTGAAGAAGAAAAAAAGGTTTTTTATTATACTTTAAGCTCTGGGATACATGTGCAGAATGTGCAGGTTTGTTACATAGGTATACATGTGCCATGGTGGTTTGTTGCAACTGCCAACCTGTCATCTACACTAGGTATTTCTGCTAATGCTATGCCTCCCCTTGTCCCCAACCTCCCGACAGGCCCCGGCGTGTGATGTTCCCATCCCTGTGCTCATATGTTCTCATTGTTTACCTCCCACTTCTAAGTGAGAACATACGGTGTTTGGTTTTCTGTTCCTGTGTTAGTTTGCTGAGAATGATGGTTTCCACGTTCATCCATGTCCCTACAAAGGACATGAACTCATTCTTTTTTATGGCTGCATAGTATTCCATGGTGTATATGTGCCACATTTTCTTTATCCAGTCTAACATTGATGGGCAATTGCTGTTGTGAATAGTGCTGCAGTAAACATACGTATGCATGTGTCTTTATAGAAGAGTGATTTGTAATCCTTTGGGTATATACCCAGTAATGGCATTGCTTTCTAGATCCTTGAGGAATTGCCACACTATCTTCCACAATGGTTGAACTAATTTACACTCCCACCAACAGAGTAAAAGCGTTCCTATTTCTCCACATCCTCTCCAGCATCTATTGTTTCCTGACTTTTTAATGATCTCCATTCTAACTGGCGTCAGATGGTATCTCATTGTGGTTTTGATTTGCATTTCTCTAATGACCAGTGATAATGAGCTTTTTTTCATGTTTGTTGGCCACATAAATGTCTTCTCTTGAAAAGTGTCTGTTCATATCCATCGTCCATTTTTTGATTTTTTTTCTTATAAATCTGTTTAAGTTCCTTGTAGATTCTGCATATTGGCCATTTGTCAAATGGATAGACTGCAAAAATGTTCTCCCATTCTGTAGGTTGCCTGTTCACTCTGATGATAGTTTCTTTTGCTGTGCAGAAGCTCTTTAGTTTAATTAGATCCCATTTGTCAATTTTGGCTTTTGTTGCCATTGCTTTTGGTGTTTTAGTCATGAAGCCTTTGCCAATGCCTATGTCCTCAATGATATTGCCTAGGTTTTCTTCTAGGGTTTTTATGGTTTTGGGTCTTACATTTAAATCTTGAATCCATCTTAAGTTAATTTTTGTATAAGGTGTAAGGGAGGGGTCCAGTTTCAGTTTTCTGCATATGGCTAGCCAGTTTTCCCAACACCATTTATTAAATATGGAATCCTTTCTTCATTGCTTGTTTTTGTCAGGTTTGTCAGAGATCAGATGTTTGTAGATGTGTGGGTGTTATTTCTGAGGCCTCTATTCTGTTCTGGTCTATATATCTGTTTTGGTACCAGTACCATGCTGTTTTGGTTACTGTAGCCTTGTAGTATAGTTTGAAGTCAGGTAGCATGATGCCTCCAGCTTTGTTCTTTTTGCTTAGGATTGTCTTGGCTATATGGGCTCTGAAAAAAATTTTCTTTAATGAGGCTTTATTTAAAACCATAATCAAGGAAAAATGTCTCAGAATAGAGAAAGAGGCTGGAGGTACCCATTGAAAAGGATACTGGGTACTTGGGAAAATTAACCCAGAATGATAAACTGTGAACAGTAAAACTGTTAGATCAAATATAAAATTCTTCAAGGAAAAGGAACAAATCATAAAAGCAAAAATAATTGGATTAGCACCACACTTTACAAAATTAAGAAAGAAGGCAACAGGGAGCAGCGTTTTTAAACTTAGAAAAAAAATGTGGATCAAGGATTTTATGTCCAACCAAGTAGTCCTTTAAATATCAAGTCTTTTGAAAAGTGATTTTAAAATAAGCTATGTACAACTTTGATAAAAATTAAAACTTAAAATTTACAGTTTAGCAATACTATATGAAGTATATTTGCAAATAATTTATTAGTTTTTAAATTCACACTTTTTAGTGATAAATTTGCAAGTTCTATATAAAAGTAAATCTTTTTTGGAAGAAACAACATTTTCAAGTTACTATTTTTGTTGTTTAGAAGACTTGAATTGGCAAGAATTCATTTTTTTAAAAAAAATATTATGAGTACATAGTAGGTATTAATGGGGTAGATGAGATATTTTGATACAGGCATACAGTGTGTAATAATCACATCGTGGTAAATGCAGCATCCACCACAAGCTTTTATCATTTCTTTGTGTTACAAACATTCTATTTTTAGCTATTTTTAAATGTACAGTAAATTTTTGTTCACTCTAGTCACTGTGTTATGCTATCAAATACTAGATTCTTATTAATTCTATCTAACTATATTTTTGTACTTATTAACCCTCCACACTCCCTCCCTCTAATCTTCCCAGCCTCTGGTAACCATCATTGTACTTTCTGTTTTCATGAGTTCAATTCTTTTTATTTTTACCTCACACAAATTAGTAAGAACATGCAAAGTTTGTCTTTCTGTGCCTGGCTTATTTCACTTGACATAATGTCCTCCAGTTCCATCCATGTTATTTGAAATGACAGGATCGCATCCTTTTTAATGGCTCAATAGTAGTCCATTGTGTATATCTACCACATTTTCTTTATTCGTTCATCTGTTGTCGGACACTTATAATGGCCATTATAAATGGGATGAGATAATATCTCATTGTGGTTTTCAGTTGCATTTCTGTCATTAGTGTTGTTGAATACCTTTTCTCATATGTGCTTGCCCAGTGTATGTTGTCTTTTGAGTAATGTCTATTCAGATCTTTCAACCATTTTTTAAGTGGATTACTAGATTTCTTCTTATAGACTTCTCTCATCTCCTTGTATATTCTGGTTATTAATCCCTTGTCAGATGGGTAGCTTTCAAATATTTTCTCCCATTCTGTAGGTTGTCTCTTTGTTGATTATTTCTTTATCTGTAGAGACGCCTTTTAACTTGATGTGATCTCATTTGTCCATTTTTGCTCTGGTTGCCTGTGCATACGTGGTATTTCTCAAGAAATCTTTGACCAGTACAATGTTCTGGAGTTTCCCCAGTGTTTTCTTTTAGTAATTTCAGAGTTTGAGGCCTTAGATTTAAATATTTAATCCATTTGATATGATTTTAATGTATAGCAAGAGGTAGGGGTCTAGTTTCATTCTTCTGCTTATGAATATCCAGTTTTCCTAGCACTATTTATTGAAGCGACTGTCCTTTCCCCAATGTATGTTCTTGGCACTTTTCTCAAAAATAAGTTCACTGTAGGTGTGTGGATTTGTTTCTGAGCTCTGTTCTGTTTCACTGGTCTGTATATCTGTTTATATGCCAGTACCAAACTGTTTTGGTTACTATAGCTCTGTAGTATAATTTGAAGTCAGGTAGTGGGATTCCTACAGTTGTGTTCTTTTTGCTTAGGATATCTTTGGCTATTCTGGGTCTTTTGTGGTTCTGTATACATTTTAGGATTGTTTCTTGTGGTTTGGTGAACGATGTCATTGTTATTTTGATAGGGATTGCATCAAATCTGTAGATTGTTTTGGGTAGTATGGACATTTTAACAATATTGATTCTTCCAGTCCATGAATATGTGATATCTTTCCGTTGTTTTGTGTCCTCTTCAGTTTCTTGAATCGCTGTTTTATAGTTTTCATTGTAGAGATCTTTCACTTCTTTGGTTAAGTTTATTCCTAGGTATCTTATTTTATTTCTAGCTATTATAAATGGAATTACTTGATTTCTTTTTCAGGTTTTTATTGGCATATAGACATGCTGTTGATTTTTGTGTATGTATTTTTGTATCCTGCAACTTTACTGAATGTATCAGTTCTAATAGTTTTGGTGGAGTTTTTAGGTTGTTTCAAATATAAGGTCATTATCATTTCCAGATAAGCATAATTTGATTTCTTTCTTTCCAATTCATATACCCTTCATTTCTTTCTCTTTTTCAATTGCTCTAGCTGGGACTTTCAGTCCTATGTTGAATAGCAATGGTGAAGGTGAACATCTTTGTCTTTCAGATCTTACAGGAAAGGCTTTCACTTTTGTTCCATTTATTATGATACAGGCCATGGGTCTGTTGTGTATGACTTTTATTATGTTGATGTATGTTTTTTCTATGCCCAGTTTTGTGAGGGTTTTTATCATGAGAGGATGTTGAATTTTATCAGTTTTCTCAGCATCAATTTAAATGACTTTATGGTTTTTGTCCTTCATTCTGTGGATATAATGTACCACGTAGATTTGCGTATGTTGAACCATCCTTGCATCCCTGGGATAAATTCCATGTGGTCATGATGAATAATCTTTTTAATGTGTTGTTGAATTCAGTTTGATAGTATTTTGTTGAGGATTTTTGTATCAATGTTCGCCAGGGATATTGGCCGGCAATTTTCTTTGTTTGATGTGTCTTTGTCTGTTTTTGGTATCTGGGTAATACTAGCCTCATAGAATGAGTTTGGAAGTATCTCCTGCTCTGTTTTTCGGAATAGTTTGAGTAGGATTGGTTTAGTTCTTCCTTCGGTGTTCAGTAACGTTCAACAGTGAAGCCACTGGGTCTCAGGCTTTTCTTTGCTGAGACTTTTTATTACAGCTTTGACCTTACAACTTGTTATTGGTCTCTTAAGGTTTTAAATTTCTTCCTGGTTCAATATTGGTAGGTTGTATCTGTCTAGGAATGTATTCATTTCTTCTAGGTTTTCCAATTCTTGGCATATAGTTGCTTATAGTAGCCTCTAATAATCTTTTGAATTTCTGCAGTATCAGTTATAATGTCTCCCTTTTCATCTCTGATTTTATCTATTTGGGTCTTCTCTCTTTTTCTTAGGTTGTTGATCAAAGGTTTGTCAATTTTGTTTATCTTTTCAAAAAACCAACTTTTCATTTCATTGATCTTTTGTATTTTTTTGTTTCAATTTCATTTGTCTCTGATGTTTATTATTTATTCTGCTAATTTGGGGTTTGGTTTGCTCTTTTCTTTCTTTAAGATGCATCATTAGGTTGTCTATTTGAAGGTTTTCTACATTTTTTATCTAAGTGCTTATTAATATAAATGTCCCTCTTAGTACTACTTTCACTGTATACCATAGGCTCTCTTTCCTTTCTTTTTGTTCTTTTTTTTTTTTTTTTTTTTTTTTTGTATTTTTGTGTAGACAGTGTCTTGGTTTATTGCTCAGGCTCATCTTGAACTCTTGCCTTCAAGCAGTCCTCCTGCATTGGTCTCCCAAAATGTTAGGATTACTGGTGTGAAACACCACTCCCAACCTCCCATGTATGTTTTTGTGTGTTTTATTTCCACTTTCATTTGTTTCAAAAAAATTGTTTAATTTTCTTCTTTTTTCATTGGCCCAAACTGGTCATTCTGGAGCGTGTTGTTTAGTTCCAAGTTTCTCTTGTTATTGAATTGTAGTATTATTGCATTGTGGTCAGAGAAGGTACTTGATAATGATTTCAGTTATTTTGAATTTTTTGATTTATTTTGTGGCCTAACATATGGTCTGGCCTTGAGAGTGATCCATGTGCTGAGGAGAATGTGTCCTCTACAACTGTTGTATAACATGATCTGTAAATATCTTTTAGGTCCATTTGGTCTATAGTATAGATTAAGTCTGATGTTTCTTGATTTTCTGTCTGAAATGATCTGTCCAGTGCTGAAAGTGGGGTGTTGAAGTCTCCAGCTATTGTATAATGGTCTCTCTCTTTAGTTCTGTTAATATTTGCTTTATATATCTGGGTGGTCTAGTGTTGCATATATATTTACTATTATTATATCCTTCTGAATTAACCCCTTTGTCATTATGTAACGACCTTCTTATTTCTTGTTGGTTTTGTCTTGAAATGTTGTCTAAGAATAGCTAAGCCTGCTATTTTTTGCTTTCCATTGGCATGGAATATCTTTTTCCATTCTTTTATTTTCAGTCTGTGTCTTTATAGATGACGTGTATTTCTTGTAGGCAACAGATCATTGGGTCTTGCTTTTTTTTTTTTTAATCCATTCAGTCACTCTGTCTTTTGATTGGAGAGTTTAGTCCATATACATTCATACTGTTATTAATAAGCAAGGATTTACTCCTGCCATTTTGTTATTTGTTTTCTGGTTATTTTGTGGTCTTCTTTTTTTTCTTTCTTTCCTGTTTTTTTTTTCTTTTTATGTTCGTGTGCCGGTGATTCTCTCTGGTGGTATGTTTTAATTTTTTGCTTTTTGTCTGTTGCAGGTTTTGTCTGTTGTCTGTTGTAGATTCGATGTTACCATGAGGCTTTCAAATAACAAGCCATTATTTTAGACTCATGATAACTTAGCACTGGTTACAAAAAGAAACAAACTAAGAAACAGAGAGAATTCATAAAAACTCTATAATTTTATCACCCCCCACTTTTAAACTTTTTATTGTTTCTCTTTATATGTTATACTGTCTGTGTCTTCAAAAGTTGATGTAGTTATCATTTTTTGTAGGTTCATCTTTTAGTCTTACTACTCAAGATATGAGTAGTTTACACACCACAATTAAGGTGTTATATATTCTGTGATTGTGTACATACTATTAGTGATTTTTGTAACTTCAGATGATTTCTTATTGCTCGTTAATGTCTTTTTTTTTTTCCCCAGACTGAAGAACTTCCTTTAGCAGCTCTTACAAGACAGGTCTAGTGTTGAAGTCCCTCAGCTTTTGTTTTTCTGTGAAAGTCTTTATTTTTCCATCATGTTTGAAGGATATTTTTGCTGGATATACTATTCTAAGATAAAAGTTTTTTTCAGCACTTTATTTCATGTTCTATAATGTTTCTACTGAGAAGTCTTCTGCTAGATGTATTGGAGCTCCATTGTATATTGTTTCTTTTCTCTTGCTACTTTTAGGATCTTTATGCTTAATCTTAATGCCTTGATGTAGACTTATTTGGATTAAATCTTCTTGATGTTCTATAACCTTCTTATATGTTCATATTGATCTCTGTGTTTGTTAATTTCTCTGTTGTTATCGCTTTGAATCAAACTTTCTACCTTCACCTCACTCTCTATTTATACTTTAAGGCCAGTGACTCTTAGAGTTGCCCTTTTGGGGGTATTTTGTAGATCTTGTAGGCTTGCTACATTCTTTATTCTTTTTTTATCTCCTCTGACTATATTTTCAAATAGCCTGTCTTCAAGCTCACTCATTGTATCTTCTGCATAATTAATTATGCTGTTGAGAGACACTGATGTATATTTCATTTTATCAATTGGATTTTTCAGCTCTAGAATTTCCACTTGATTTCATTAAATTTGTACAGTTTGTTAAATTCAGATAGGAGTCTGAATTTCTTCTCTGTTTATCTTCAGCTTCATTGAGCTAACTCAAAATAGCTATTTTGAATACCGTATCTTAAAGGGCACATTTCTCTGTCATTCTGGGATTTATCACTGGTGCCTTACTTAGTTTGTTTGGTGAGGTCATGTTTTCCTGGATGTTCTTAATGCTATGGATGTTCATTGATTTCTGGTCATTGAAAAGTTAGGTATTTATTACAGTCTTCGCAGTGTGGGCTTCTTTGTACCCATTCTTCTTAGGAAGGTTTTCCAAGTGTTCAATGGGAACTGACTGTTGTGATCAGTCCCTAGTTGCTATAGCGGTATCTGCATTAGGTGGCACCCCAAGCCTAGTAATGCTGTGACTCTTGCAGACTCACAAATAGTACTGCCTTGCTGATCTTGGGTATAATCCAAGAGAATTCTCTGGATTACCAGGCGGAAACTCTTGTCCTCTACCCTTTCCCCTAAATGGAGTTTCTTTGCGTTGAGCTGCCTGGAGCTGGGGTAAAGGTGACACAAGCACCACTGTGGCCACTACCACTGGGACTATCCTGGGTCAGACCCACAGCCACCACAGCACTGGGTCTTGCCCAAGGCCCACAGTGACTACTGTCTGACTACTGCTGGTATTTACTCAAGGCCTAAAGGCTCTCCAGTAGGTGTCAGTCAGTAGGTGACAAATTTAGCCAGGCTATGTCCTTCCCTTTAGGGTGGCAAGCTACCCCCTGGGCCGGGGCCTGGAGTCAGAATCCTTAGGTGTCTACTTGGTGCTCTATTTTACTGGGGCTGAACTAGCACCCAAGCCACAAGTCCTTCCACTCTTCTCTTACCTTTCCTCATGATAGAGTGCCTTCGTGTGTTAACCACCACCCCAGGCCTGTAATGAGTACTGCCTGGATACTGCCAATGTTCACTCAAGGTCCAAGGGCTCTTTAGTCATCTTGTGGTGAATCCTGCAAGGCCTGGGTCTCTCCTTTTAGGGTAGCGAGCTCCCTTCTGGCCCAGGGCTGGTCTAGAAATGGCATCCAGGAGCCAAGGCCTGGAATTTGGGACCCCAAGAGCCCATCTGGTGCTCTATCCCAGGAAAGAAGTAGTTTTAGAAGCTAAGTTAAGGTCATTAAAATATATTTTTATCAAGTAATTATAATCAAATAAGTTCTGGTAAGGTCCTGTAACATTCCGGTAACATTGTAAAAATATATTTTGGGATCTCTGACATCCCATTATTTTGTATGCTAATCCTACTAGATTGTGATTCATATGAGAGGAGAGATCATATATAACCACAAAATTAGCATTTTCTTTTATTATCATTGTAGCCAAAAATCACAGTAATATTGTCAGTGTCCGTGCCTTCGAGAGCAAAAATTAAAGACGGGGTTTTGTTTTATTTAGAGATTCTCAGAATTGAAGAGTTAAACTAATCAAGCAGATACATCAAGTCAATATGTTATATGAAAGAACTGGAAATGAATAATTAATAGTTATAATTAGCTTTCCTATATATTTTCCTGAAAAATTTGCAGTTAAGATTTACAAACAGAAAACAAATTGTTTAAGATATTTTACATTTGGGGATGATATAGTTATTCAGACTGACTTTGGGAGTCTGTTCCTCTTAGGCTGTTAAGCACATTTTTATTAAGTAGCTTTTGTTATTTTAACATCTTTTATTGTAGGGTGGGCTGGGAAGGTTTCTCTGGCTAAATATTACCGTATTTTAATTAGTTTGATGCCACTAAATTTAAGGTGCACCGTATAATTATATACTATAGTAACTATTCAAATTTATATCATTTGTAGGATATATCCTTATTTCAGGGATGTAAAACTGTGTGTGTATTGGGGCAGTTTTTATAATGAGTGAAATGGGGAATTTGAGAAGCAGTCTGAAGGTGGGAAAGGAATGAGTCATGCCATTTAGAAGAAGTGGTGACCAGGTGAGAAGGAACAGCAGTTGTAAAGGACAACCAAAGCTAGTTAAAGAAGGCCAATACGACTGGAGCAGAGTAGACACGGGGAAAGCAAAGTGGTAGTGAGGCCTGGTTGTGGAGAGCCTTGTGGATCATCCATAAGGACTTTGACTTTAATGCTGAGCGAGATGGGAAGTTGCTGGAGGTTTGAGCAGAGGAGTGATTTGATCCGTGCAACAGGATCACTTGGGCTGCTGTGTTAAGAATAGATTGTAGGAGGCAGGGATGGAAGCAGGAAAATAGAATCAGGCAGCCTTTAAAGGCTGTTGCAGGTAATCCAGATGAGAGATGCTGGTGGCTGGGACCAGAGTTAACAGTGGTGGAGATTACGAAAAGCACTTGGATTCTGGATTTCTTTTGAAGGCAAAGCTGACAAGATTTGCAGATTTGCTAATGAATTCCTATGGAGTGTGAGAGAAATGAGAAATCAGATTATTCAGGTCGAAGCAACTGTATTGTTACCATTTACAGAAATGTGGAAGCCTTCTTGAGGAAGGCAAATCAGATGATCAATTTTGGATTATGTTGAGAAGGCTGTTAGGCATTATCAGAAGATAATAGAGAGAGCAACTGAGTAAAAAAGTCTGGAGACCAGGGAAGAGGGCCCAGTTGGAGTTATGTGTATGCATGCACACGTATGCGTATATTACGTAGGGCATGTATGCGTGTGAGTTTATCGTTTGATTCTTGCAGCATTGACGATTGCTTCAGAATTCCATTTTTCCCCCTTGTGTTTAGTCTGTGATTTTATTATTAGAGGTTTTCTTCAAATGTCTGATGAGCTTTGGCTCTCCTTAACAATGAGATATAAGGAGAGATTAAGCAACCAGCTTCTACAAAGGACTTTCATGAGGGAAGGAAGAATAGAGTTGACCGATGGTGTATTTTTAAGTATCGTTTTTGTTTTTTAACTTATTTTGAAATCATTTCACATAGAAAAGTTGCAAGAATAATGTAGGTAACTCCTGTAAGTACCTAGGTTCAGAATATTATGTAAATGATGTAGTGTTTTTCTCAGGGTATCACATTAGAGACATAGATAGTGGTCCCTCATTTGACAGTAATTTCAAGAATCCAGCAAAGGGCCAAGGGGTTGTCTAGTTTTTCTTCTTTGTAGTTTCTGTATCTCCTTGAAACTAGAAGGTAAGGTCCATGGAATATATGTTAAGACTGTGTAAACAATAAGATACCATCTCACACCTGTCAGAATGGCTATTATTAAAAAGTCAAAAAACAACAGATGCTGGCAAGGTTGCAGAGAAAAGGTAACACTTACATACTGTTGGTGGGAGCATAAATTAGTTCAACCATTGTGGAAAGCAGTATGGCGATTCCTCACAGAGCTAAAAGCAAAACTACCATTCAACCCAGCAATTCCATTACTGAATATATACCTAGAGGAATATAAATCCTTCTGCCATAAAGACACATGCACTCGAATGTTCATTGCAGCACTATTCACAATAAAAAAAAGACATGGAGTCAACCTAAATGTCCATCAGTGACAGATTAGATAAAGAAAATGTGGTACATAGACACCATGGAATACTATGCAGACATAAAAAAGAGTGAGATCACGTCTTTTGCAGGAACGTGGATGGAGCTGGAGACTATTATCCTTAGCATAGTAATGCAGGAAGAGTACCACATGTTCTCATTTATAAGTGGGAACTAAATGGTGGGAACTCATTAACACAGAGAAGGGAACAATGGACTCTGGGGTCTACTTGAGGGTAGAGGGTGAGAAGAAGAAGAGGAGCAGAATAGATAACTATTGGGTACTGGGTTTAATACCTGGGTGATGAAACAATCTGTACAGCAAACCCCTGTGGTAAGAGTTCACCTATGTAACAAACCTTCACATGTACCCCCAAACCTAAAATAAAAGTTAAAAAAAAAGACTGTAAAAATCTTATTCCATCATCATCCTTTTCTCTAATTTAGCAATTATTTATGATGCCTCACCCACTGAATCTTAGTTTAATAATGTTTGCAAAGTAGTGAGTTTTTTAATGCTGCAAGCATTGCAGAGTTTATCAGCTAGCATATTATTATTAAAAACTCAACAAAACACAGTCTTTTTTTTTGTCCCATTTAATATCATAGGGGACTTACCTGTTTCTGCTTAATATTGAATGTGTTATAATCCATTACTGTACTTATATATTTTGATGATCAAAATTGTCCTAGATATGGCTAATAGAAGCACCTTCGAGCTGATTTCTTGGTCCTTTTGACAAACGCGTGTGGCTTTTTTTTTTTTTTTTTTTTTTTTTTTTTTAGTACTTACTTTCAAGCTCAAGATTTTCCGGATTCATCTTATCTTACACCTCCCTTGCCCCAGTCCTGGACCATTTCTCTGAGGAGCCTTGCTTGCTTTGGATGGAGAAATAGTATCAGATAGGGGGTAGAGGGTGAGAGTTTCACTACTCAATATAGGCTTTGCCTTGATCTTTCTGTTTTGAACCCTTTTCCTCAGCTTTCTTTGATAGTGCTTACTTTAGGGGTTCTTTCAATTCAACATATCCAAATAGAAAACCTCTAGTCTTCTGCTAGAAGGGTAATTTGGTTATTTTTAGGGATGGTGTCTAAGCAGACTAATTGCTTCTTACTTTTAATCAGTTCTTCTGTTTATAGCTTCAGAGGAATCTAGTGTTTGAAGTTGCTGATTCTCATTCTTTTTATTCTTTCTGTGGTTCTTTGACACAAATAAGATTGCATCTTATCTTGTCCTCCGTCACTGCACACTTAGATTTCCCTAGTCACCTGTGACATCTTAATTTGCTCGTTTGCTTTCAGATATCTAAAATTTGATTGAATTCTCTTTTTTTGTTGTGTTTTTTCCTCTTTTCTTTTCTTTTTTTTATTTTTTTTTTAGAGGCAGAGTCTTGCTCTGTCACCCAGGCTGGAATGCAGCAGCAGGATCTTGGCTCACTGCACCCTCCGCCCTAAGGGTTCAAGCAATTCTCCTGTCTCAGCCTCCCAAGTAGCTGGGATTACAGGTGCTGCGCCACCACACCTGGCTAATTTTTCTGTTTTTAGTAGAGACTGGGTTTTGCCATGTTGGTCAGGCTAGTCTCGAACTCCTGACTTCAGGTGATCTGCCCGCCTCAGCCTCCCAAAGTGCTGGGATTACAGGCGTGAGTCACTGTGCCCGGCCTCTTCCTTCTAATCTTCTTATTTCTAGTTTAATGCCTTTTTTTATCTTTTAAGTGGGGTTTGTTAAGTCAAGATGAATGTATCAATCTGCCACCATATTTACCCACAGGTCTTATGTATTTTTAAATGAACTTTTTTTCCTTTAACAAAAGTATTATGTATCATTTATGGAAAATACAGGTAAGCAAATGAAAACAATTAGTAAATGAAAACAATTAGCTCTACTCATATAGTTTAGAGGTAGTTACTGTTAATCCTTGATGTGATTTTTTTTATATATACAAACTTGCTTATTAAAATAGCTGGATAATATTCTATAGAGTAGGTATCATATTAGGCTTTTTGTTGTTGTTGTTTGGTTGTTTTTTTTTTTTTTTTTTTTTTACAACTTATTAGACCTTTACTCTCATTGAAGTGACCTTCTATGAACTTATATATGCTATATATCATTATGGTCGGGACATGAGGGTAAGCAATAAGGCAGTTACAAAACCCCAGAAATTTTTAGAAATCACACTAAGAGGTTTTAAAGACTGTGCCAGAGGAGATTTTGGTAGTATCATAGTTCATGTCTTTCATGAGCTGGGATGTAGTTTCATGGAAACACAACAGAGAGTAGAAAACCTAACCAATTTTACCGTATTTTATCTTAAAAAAAAAGACTATTACTGTGTTACATACAGACTTTCAACCTGCCCTGTCTTCAGCCCAGCTGTACCCTTGATGTTATGGATCAGAGAAAGCCAAGTAAGGGGAGAGCCAATAAGCAGTATCAAAATGAGGCCAAGACATTTAGAAATTTACTTACAAAGATGGTTTACAAGAGAATACAGACTTCAGAAGAACCAACTCTCCAAATAAAAATGCTGTCAGTTTTAAAGGGGGGAAAATAAGATTCCAAAGTTTCCATCTAGTCTCTACATAGTAGGAAAAACAACCGTTTTTCATACTTTGCATATGATTATCATATCTGCAAAGGTTATCATGTATCTTCAGATAACACCTTTGCAGAAGTCAAGGACATAGGGAGTCAGTAGTTAAAGGAACAGCTCAAGGTTTTGTTAATTTGGGAATTTGGGGGACTTTAAAACTAAGTGAGATGACTGGATTTTTTTTTCCCCCATCTCGGAGTACAAAGTGTCTTTTCCCCTTGACTTTTGAATGTGATGTGCAGGCTTTTCCATAGTTACGCAGAACAAGGCATCAGTTTTGCCTCCAAGGAAGGGCATTATGCATGGAAAAGAAAAACCGAAGTATTTTTCACTGTCTCCAGTGTTGTTTAGGATAGCAGCAGAAGTATTTTACTATCCAGTTCTGATGGTTTTGATATATCCAACAAGTTATCATTTTGATTACCTAACTACCTTTGCTCTAGTTTCTTATTTTCAAGCCTTTAAATAGAATGAGAAGCATGTGTGAATAGGTGGGAGTTAGAGGTTAAAATTTTAGATAAGGTGGCAAAGGAAGGGATTCACTTGAGTCAAAACCTTAAGGAAGTAACAGCTAAACAATGAATATATTTGGAGGAGAGTATTCTAGGAAGAGGAAAGAGCGGCTCTGAGGTTAATTCAGGGGTATAGAATTTGTCGTGGAGAGCACTGAAGGACTTTGAACAGAGGAGTGACATGATTTGGTTTTCCTTTTAATCATTCCGTTATATATACTAAATACATGGTAATAGATAGTGATAGGTGCAAAAAAAAAAATCACAATTTCCATGCTTTTCTTATATCTTAACAGAGTTGGGATACAGTTATCTGAAGCCCAGTGTTACAAATTGGAATCAAGAAAACAACCTCTTTAACTTACCATTTAATTCATCTACAACTTAAAATGTTTTATGCTGCCAGATTATCTAAAGCTTGTTTCTTTTGTCCACCTTTGTTTGTGTTTTTATGTTAAATAAATAATCCCTATGAATTGATAGAGACAGATGTTTTAGAGAAGCTTGTATTGTTTCAAAACTAAATTAGTGTTTTTTAAAACTTGATTTTTTATTGAATAAAAAATAGGTTTTTTAAAGCATATAACTGACATTTGAGTGCTTTTACTATTCCAAACATTGCTCAAAATGTTTTCACTATTTGCACATGCAAAATGTGGATTATCACATTCTGTCCTCTCAAAAATCCAGTGAAATAAGTTTTATTATTACCCCCACATTCATAGATAAGGAATTGGAACTTCAGAGAGTTTAAATTGCCTAAGGTTACAAAAGTTTATATACCATCTGTGACCTCTGATAGGCTGGAAAGTAACATAAGCAAGTTCTGTATATGAATATACTGATTCCAAGGAAAGCTAAATTGGTAATTGTTGGAAAAAGAAAAAAAAAAGGCTAATATTAAGCCCCCAAGCAGGAAAACAAGTATCTGAAAGAACAGACCTTTGGCAAGTTTTAAGAAAAGGGACCCCAGGAACAGTGTAATTTTCAAAGGATATGTTAATCGTGGTATTCACCGTGTTTTGCGAAAATGCCTCAGGAGCCATTTGGTGAGAGTGACAATGATCTTGAGGGGAAAAGAAAATGGTAGGGCTCTTCTTTCCTTCCCCATTCCCATACATTTTAAAAATATGTAGGTATTAAAGTTAAGATTTGGGAAGGTGGGGCAGCAGCAGACAGGGTTCTATCACTTAAAACGAAAATTGGGAAAACATTACACTAAATTTGGTGCTACTGGTCACTAAAAGTCTTTTCACTCTCTTTATTTTGATCCCATGCTGAAACTTTTATATTTGATTTTTCTGAATAGGATTCTTACAAGGAGCACATTTACCAGAAAATTGAAATGTCTGGCTATCATGGCATTTGTTCCTTGCTATAAATCATTAAATTGTCAGTATGGTATGTTCATTGATACATTCCTAAATCTCTTAGAAGCATCGTAGGTTAGACTTGAGAGTCTCTCTATGTCTGGGGCACTGACAAGATGTAGTTTCTAGATTTGCAGAACTTTGTTTACATGCCTTGGACTGTGGGTATTTTCCCAGTATCATACCATGTATGTTAGGTACTAGATATAGCTAGTTGGCCTCCTTTAACACCTCAGTCCTCATTGTGTCATTAGCCTGCCCAGTGGATGATAATCTCATGTAGTCTATTAGACTCCCTCAAATAGACTACATGAGATTATTAGACTCATATAGTCTAATAGACTACATGAGATTATTAGACTCATATAGTCTAATAGACTACATGAGATTATTAGACTCCCTCTAGTAGAAGAAGGCATAGGAGCTTTCTTCTACTAGTTTCATAGTTTTAGATATTTTATTTCAGATTTTAATTCACTTACAATTGAATTTTGCATATGGTGAGAAGTAAGCATTTAATTTCATTGTTCTGCATGTGGATATCCAGTTTTCCTAACACGATTTGTTAAAGAGACTGTCTCTCTAGTAGAGGGAGTCTAATAGACTACATGAGACTATCATCCACTGGGCAGGCTAAATTCATTATTAGTAAGGCTAAATTCATTATTCTTCAGATTGGATTAGTGCCTAAAATCATTTATTTTTAACTGACTTCCGTGATATACTAAGAGAACAGATCTTCTACTTGATTAAGCTGTGGGTTCTACTGTCAGGTATTTTCATTACAACTTTATTTCACCAAACTGTAACTGTAGCAGGACGAGCCGCAGACAAAACCTCTCAGACACCGAGTTGTAGAAGGAAGGGCTTTATTCAGCTGGGAGCATTGGCAAGCTACTGCCTCAAAATCCGAGCTCCTCAAGTGCACAATTTCTGTCCCTTTTAAGGGCTCACAACACTAAAGATTTCACATGAAAGGGTCGTGATTGATTTGAGCAAGCAGGGGGTACGTGACAGGGGCTGCATGCACTGGTGGTCAGAGAGAAACAGAACAGGGCAGGGAGTTTCACAGCGTTCTTCTATACAATGTCTGGAATCTATGAATAACATCGGTTTTTAAGTTATGAGTTGATTTTTAACTACTGGGTTTAGGCCAGGCAGGCCCATGTCCAGTTTTGGGCCTGGTGCCGGGCTGCCTGTCTTTGGTTTTACTTCCCTGTTGTTTTTTCTTAGAACAGGTACTGAGTATAAAATAATATGAGAGGGTCTTTCTCTTCCTTCATAACAATGATTAAGATTGACAGCCAGCCCTTTTATTTTAAAGTAACTTTTTTTTACATTTTAAAAAAATTAATTTTAAAAGTTGACATGTAACATGTATTTATTGTACACAACATGCTTTTTTGAAGTATATATACATTGTGAAATGGTTAAGTCTAGCTAACAAATATATTACCTCACATAGTTATCATTTTTGCAGTGAGAATACTGAGCATCCACTCTCAGCATTTTTCAAGAACATAGTATGTAATCATTAACTATAGTCACCACGTTGTACAATTTATCTCTTAAACTTAATCCTCCTATCTAACCATAAGTATGTGTCCTTTAACCAACATCTCCCTAACCCTCCTCACCTGCTAAACACTCCAGACTCTGGTAACTACCATTCTACTCTCTATTTCCATGAGATCAACTTTTTTAAGATTCTACATATGAGGGAAATAATGCGTTATTTGTCTGTCTGTGCCAGGCTTGTTTCATTTAATGCCCTCCAGATTCATTCATATTGTCAAAAATGACAGCATTTTCTTCTTTTAAATTCCTGAATCAGTCAGATTTGGTGGCTCATGCCTGTAATTCCAGCACTTTGGGAGGTCCAGACTGGAGGATCACTTGAAGCCAGGACTTCAAGACAGCTTGAGCAGCATAGCATAGCAAGACCCTGTCCCTACAAAAAATTTAAAAAATGAGCTAGGCATGGTAGAATGTGCCTGCAGTCCTAGCTACTGAGGAGGGTGGGGCAGGAGGATCACTTCACCCCAAGAGTCCAAGGTTGCAGTGAGCTATGATCATGCCACTGCTCTCCAGCCTGGGCAACAGAGCAAGACCCTGTGTCTTAAAAAAACAACAAAAAAATGGCTGCGTAGTATTCCATTGTGTTCATATACTATATTTTCTTTATCCATTCATCTGTTAATGGACACTGAGGTTGATTCCATATCTTGGCTGTTGTGAATAGCTATAATAAAAGTAGGAAGTACAGATGTCTCTTCAACATACTGATTTTATTTACTTTAGATATATACCAAGGAGTGGCATTACTGAATTATATGGTAGTTTTTTTTTAATTTTTCGAGGAACCTCCATGGTGTTTTCTTTAGTGGCTCTACTAATTCACATTACCAACAAGTGTAGGAGGATTCCCTTTTCTCCACACTCTTGCCAACACTTAACTCTATTTTGTCTTTTTGCTAATAGCCATTTCAACAGGAGATAATATCTCATTATGGTTTTCATTTGTATTTGCCTGATGATTTATGACATTGAGCATTTTTTCATATACCTGTTGACAATTTATATGTTTTCTTCTGAGAAATGTTTGTTCAGGTGTTTGTGCATTTTTTTAATTGGGTTATTTTCTTGTTATTGAGTTGAGTTCCTGATATTTTTCGGATATTAATCCCTTATCAGAGATATAGTTTGCAGATATTTTCTCCCATTCTGTGGGTTTTCTCTTCACTTTGTTGATTGCTTCTTTTGCTGTGCAGAAGCTTTTTAGTTTGTTGAAATCTCATCTATTTTTTATTTTGTTGCCTATGCTTTTGAGGTTTCATTCAAAAAATTCTTGCCAGACCAATGTCATGGAGCATTGCTCCTGTGCTTTCTTCTACTAGTTTCATAGTTTTAGGTCTTATATTTCAGATTTTAATTCACTTTCAGTTGAATTTTGCATAATAGTGAGAAGTAAGCATTTAATTTCATTCTTCTGCATGTGGATATCCAGTTTTCCTAACACTATTTGTTAAAGAGACTGTCCTTTCCCCATTGTGTGTTTTTCACATCTCTGTCAAAAATTAGTTGGTTGTAAATGCATGGATTTATTTCTGGACTCTATTCTATTACAATGGTCTGTGTGTCTATTTTTATGCTAGTTACCTGTTGATTTGATTCCTATAGTTTTGTGTAGTATATTTTGAAGTCAGGTAGTGTGATCCTCTCCAGCATTGTTCTTCTTGCTTAAGATTCCTTTGGCTCTTTGGGGTCTTTTCTGGTTCCACATGAGTTTTAGGATTACCTTTTCTGTTTTTATGAAAAATGTCATTGGTATCTTAAGAAGGATTGCATTGAATCTGTAGATTGCTTTGGGTAGTGTAGACATTTTAACAATACAGTCATGTGTCACACAGTGATGTTTCAGTCATCAGCCTACCACCTTTTCTTTTTTTTTTTTTTTTTTTTTGAGATGAAGTCTCACTCTGTCACAAGGCTGGAGTGCAGTGGCGCAATCTTGGCTCACTGCAACCTCTGCCTCCCAGGTTCAAGCAATTCTACCTCAGCCTCCCGAGTAGCTGGGACTACAGGCATGCGCCACCATGCCCAGCTAATATTTTTATTTTCAGTAGAGATGGGGTTTCACCATGTTGGCCAGGATGGTCTCAATCTCTTGACCTCATGATCTGCCTGCCTCAGCCTCCCAAAATGCTGGGATTACAGGCATGAGCCACCACGTCTGCCCAGCATACCACTTCTAAGCCAGTAGTCCCATAAGGTCATAATGGGGCTGAAGATTATCTATCACCTAATGATGTTGTAGCCATCATAAGACCACAGCTTAATGCATAACCATTTCTATTTTTAGATACACAAATAGTTACCCTTGTATAATAATTGTCTAAAGTATTCAGTAGAGTAACATGCTGTCCAGGTTTGTAGCTTGGAAGCAATAAGCTGTACTGTATAGCTTAGGTGAGTAGTAGGAGTAGTAGGCTATACCATCTAGATATGTATAGCTGACGAAATCACCAAAAAGCATATTTCTCAGAACACATCCCCATTGCTAAGTGACACAAGACTGTATAAATTCTTCTAATTCATGAACATGGGATCTCATTCCATTTATTTTTGTCTTCTATTTCTTTCTTGAATGTTTTATAGTTTTCAGTGTAGAGATCTTTCACTTCCTTGGTTGAATTTATTCCTAAGTATTTTATTTTCTTTTTGTAGCTATTCTAAATGGGATTATTTTCTTCTTTTTTTTCCCCAGATAGTTCATTGTTAGTGTATAAAAACACTAGTGATTTTTTTATGTTGATTTTGTTCCCTGCAAGCTTACTGAATTCATTTATTAGTTCTGACGGTATTTTGGTGGAGTCTTTAGGGTTTTCTATATATAAGGGTCATGTAATCTGCAGACAGGGACAATTTAATTTATTTCTTTTGTCTTGCCTAATTGTTCTGGCTAGGACTTCTAGTACTATGCTGAATAGAAGTTGCAAGAGTCGGTATTCTTGTCTTGTTCAGGATCTTGGAGAAAAAGCTCAACTTTTCCCTGTTCAGTGTATTAGCTGTGAGTTGTTGCATATGGCCTTTAGTGTGTTGAGGTACATTTCTTCTATAACTAATTTGTTGAGTGTTTTTATGAAAGGATGTTGAATTTTGTCCAGTGCTTTTTCTGCATCTATTGATCATAGGGTTTTTGTCCATCAATTCTGTTAATGTGATGTACCACATTTATTGATTTGTTTGTGTTGAACCATTGTTGGATCATTGCATCACTTGATCATGATGTTTAATTTCCATGTATGTGTGAATTTTCCAAAGCTCCTCCTTTTATTGACTTCTAGTTTTATACCATTGTGGTCAGAAAAGATACTCTATATGATTTCAGTTTTCTTAAATTTGTTAAGATTTGTTTTGTGGTCTAACATATCTATTGTGAGGAACGTCCCATGTGTAGTTAAGAAGAATAATATATTCTGCAACTGAAATGTTCTGTGTATATGTGTTAGGCCCATTTGGTCCAGAGTATAGTTTAATTCTGATGTTTTCTTGTTAATTTTCTCTCTAGATGATCTGTCCATTGCTGAAAGTGAGGTGTTGAATTTCCCTACTATTATTGTGTGTAGTCTTTCTCTCCAGATCTGTTAATATATGCTTTATATATTTAGGTGTTCCAGTGTTGGATGCATATTATATTTATAATTGTGATATCCTCTTGCTGAATTATCAATATATAATAACCTTTGTCTCTTTTTTAGTTTTTGACTTAAAGTCTATTTCATCTGATAGAAGTATAGCTATTCCTACTGTCTTTTGGTTTCTAGTTGCATAGAATATCTTTTTAAATCTCTTTACTTTCAGTATGTATATGTTGAAATGAGTCCCTTATAGGCAATATATAGATGGGTCTTTTTAAAAATCCAACCAGTCACTCTGTGTCTTTTGATTGGAGAATTTAATCCATTTATATTTAAGGCATTTATGTATTGATAGATAAGGGCTTAACTGCTGCCACTTGTTTCCTAATTGTTTTCTATTCTTACTGTCATTGTGGCTAAGTGATTATCTCTAATAGTACATTTGATTCCTTGCTTTATATTTATTTTTTGTATTTATTGCAGGTTTTTTGCTTTGTGATTACCATAAGGTTTACAAAAAAAAATAGTTATTTTAAACTGATAACAACCTAAAAATAAACTCTTTTTACTACACTGTCCCTCAGTGTTTTGAATTTTTGATGTTACAATTTACATCATTATTGCATATTCTTTACCAAATTTTGAATCCAGGTTTGCAAAGTTTTCTGTTCTTATTCTTTGAATAACCTTTCTACCTGTTTGCCTTTCTCTACTCCCTCTTGAACTCTAATGACTCAAAAATTTGCTTTTAATGCTATCTCATAAATTCCGTAAGCTTTCTTTTATTCCTTTTCAATCTTACTTCTTTTTTTCCTGACCATATATTTTCAAATAACCTGCCTTCAAGTTCACAGATCTTTTGCTTCTTTGATTTTGCTATTGATGTTCTTTATTGCATTTTTCATTTTATTCATTGTATTTTTCAGCTCCAGTATTTCTGTTTGATTTTCTTTTAATTATTATTTCAATCCATTAATTTTCTCATCTTGTCATTTGCTATTTTCCTCATTTTGTTCAATGTTTCTGTGTATTTTCTTGAAGTTCATTGAGCTTCCTTAAAATAGCTGTTTGAATTCTTTGTCAGACTTTTGAGACATCTCCATCTCTTTTGGGTTTGTCATTGGAAGTTTATTTTGTCTGTTTGATAAGGTCATGTTTCCCTGGTTGTTCTGGATCCTTCCTGTTGTGCATCTATATCCGCATGTTGAAGAAATAGGTACTTATTGGAATGTTTGCAGTCTGGCTTTATCTGGCTCTTTATCAGTAAGCATGTTGTTAGATCCTGGGCAGGTCATCTGGTGTGATCTCTAAGCCCATGACTGTTGCAACTGTTACAGCATTAGGCTTTCTGTACCCAGAATTACCATGGTCAGTATAACAATAGACTAGAATCTGTTGTTACCACGGCTGGCACAGCTCTGGGGTGCATCTGAAAATCATGAGGCCTACCTGTTACTGAGGTTTGACTGAAACCTAAGGCTGCTGTCATCATCCAGCAGTGATGGGAGCCAGAGATTGAGTCCATTTTGTGAGGGCTATAGTTTACCACCTGTCACTGGGATAGGTGAGGAGATTCAGTTCACAGATACCAACCTGGATTCAGTTACCATGAGGGGTCTGCCTGGCACTGGATTTTTACTGTGGCAGGCCCAGTATTAGGAACCAAGGGAAAGTCCTACACTTCTCTTTTTTTCCTCAAGCAGAGGAGATATCTCTGCATTCTGCTGAGTAGGATTGTGGGAGGGTTGACACAGATACTGTAAAATTATCCTTTCTACCCTCTTCAATGGGTATTTTCTTATTAGTATGCCATAAACAGGTATTGTGAACTTTCACTTGGTTTTCTCAGCTCTTTTGAAGATGTGTTAATGCATGGATAGTTATTCAAAATGATGTTTCCACAGGGGGATGATCACTGGAGAGTCCTCTTTCTCCATCTGGCTCTGCCTTCTTATAACATTAATTTGTTTCATTACAAAAGTAATGTCTATCCATTATCAAACTCTTACCAAATACAAAAATTTCTAAAGAAGAAAACCACTTGTAATTCTAACACTAAGGGCCAACCACTTTTTGCATTTTGTTGAATGTTTAAGTTTTTCACTTACAAAAACTTGTAAAATTTAGAAGTAATTGTACATTCTTAAAATCTTGTAAAAATAGAGTAAATGGGTTCCATTTATTCATCCAGTTTCCATCTATGGTCTGATTTTACATAGCTATAGTAAAATATCAAAAACAGGAAATTAACATTGGTACAACTCACCTTAATTTATATTTTACCAGTTTTACATATACTCATCTGTGCATCTGTGTAGTTCTATGCAAATTTATCACTTAGATTCTTGTAACAATCATCACAGTCAAATTACAGAACTGTTTTATTGCCCCATAGATTTCTTATGCTACTTTTTTTTTTTTTTTTTCTTTTTTTTGGAGACAGAGTCTCACTCTGTTGCCCAGGCTGGAGTGCTATGGCACAATCTTGGCTCACTGCAGCCTCTGCCTCTCTGGTTCAAGCGATCCTCTGGACTCAGCCTCCCAAGTAGCTGGGACTACAGGCATGCACCACCATGCCCAGCTAATTTTTGTATTTTTGGTAGAGATGGGGTTTCGCCATGTTGACCAGGCTAGTCTTGAACCCTGAGCTCAAGCTATCTGCCCACCTCAGCCTCCCAAAGTGCTAGGATTACAGGCGTGAGCTACCACGTCCGGCTTCATATGCTACCTCTTTATAGTTACAACTTTCTCCCTTCATTCTACTCTCTAATCCCTAACCGCTGGAAACCACTAAGCTGTTCTGCAGTCCCATAATTTTATTATCTTGAGGATTTTATAAAAGTGGAATCATACAGTATATAGCTTTTTGAGATTGGCTTATTTCACTCAGCATAATTTCCTTGAGAATCCACTAAGTTGCTGAATGCATCAATAATTGGTTCCTTTTTATTGCTGGGTAGTATTCCATCTCTGTACCACAGTTTAGGCATTCACCAATTGAAGGACATTTGGGTTATTTCCAGTTTGGGGCTGTTACAAATAAAGCTTTTATGAATATTTTTCTGTATGTTTTTGTGTGGACATTAGTTTTCTGAATTTTATGTTCAGCATTCAATAAAGAGGATCACCTGGAACCAGAAACCACATTAGATATTTTAGCAGAAAGTGTTTAATATAGGAAATTGTTCAAACAGTTGTGGGAGAAGTGAAAGAATAAAAGAAAAACATTGAGGTAATACAGAAGTGATAATTGCAAGGACCAGCTTCTAATTCTTAGACTACAGCAACAAAGAGAAGTGGTTTGGGTTATCAGAACCTGTAAGTATGGAGGGATAGTCCTGCAGAGGTGGGACTCAGAAGAAAAGTTGCTGCCTGCTGGTGTTTGTACCATTACCTTAGGACCCTCCTGGAATGAGGCTTAATAAACCTCTGAGCTGAAAGGGCCACCTAGCTAATGAGTACTTCCGGAACTCAGAGAAAGGATCTCTGAAGAGTTGAGGCTCAGCTGGAGAGGGTTGCTCTTTATCTGCTCTTGTTATCTCAGAAGCTTAAAGGAAGTGCTTTGTGCAGCTGGGTCTCAGACATCTAGAAGGGGGATTATAGCTCGTGTATCTTATACTCGAATATCCCACTAATCTGTAAAGGAAATGTTGTGGAGCGACACCTCATACAACTAAGAAGTGGCGCATGCGTAGCTGGTACTGGCATCTCTGAGGTATCTAGATGAAGCTGGTCCAGGGAGTTTTAAAAGAACCTTTTGAGTGGAACTGACTGCCACTGCCAGGGCTAAGGACTTTTGCTGGGCAGATGCTGATGGAAACAGTGTGCAGACAGCAAGGTGCAAGTTCCTTCTATCTTGTTCCTGGCTTCTAATCCTTATCTAATGTCCCACATTGACAGAACCCAATAAAAGGGGGCTGGCAGAGGAGAAATATAGTTTGCAGCATCCCAGTTCCAGTAGCACAAAACAGTATATAGAAGGGTGGATTTAAGAGAGATAATAGGTTGTTAAGTGGCATTCTTATCATCAAAATCCTTTTTGCTTTTGAGGAATTCCCCACTATGTGAGTGGAAGGTCTCCTTCAAATGATCTGTAAAGACCAGATACTTAATTGCTTCCTCTATCCTACAATCTCCTATCTTGTTAACTCCCCTTAGTTAGCATATGGGCATATGAATTAGGCCTAAACTATCAGAATGTTGCGCTGTCCTTCTCTACCCCCCCTTTTCCTTGTTTTCCTCTCCAGCCTTACTTTGATTCTATAACAGGACCAATACAGAGAATCAAGAGACAGGAAGTTTTTCTTCTGATAGTGCTGGCAGCAGGAGAATGCAGTTTCCAGTAGAAGCAGTGCCAGTAGTGGCTTTACAGGGTCCAGAAGTGGAAGCAGTCCTGTCCATACAAATGGCACCTGTGGTGCAATCCCAGCAGGGGTTTTTGTTGCCTAGTCTACCCTGGCTCCTTTCCATTTTCTGATCTCAGTTCTTTGTATTTCTTAGCAATATGAACTGCCTAATACCTTCTAAATGAATTCCTTTTCTTCTTAAGTGAGCAAGAATCAATTTCTGTGGCTTACAATATAGAGCACTGATTGATTCATCTTGTTTGTACCTAATAGGATTCATTTAGCTGTCTTGTTGAGTAAAGAAATTCTAATATTTTGTGTTTATTTGTAAAAACAGAAAAGAGATGCTAGACTTAGACAATTTTAAGTCTTCAGCCTCACAAGTGTTTGGCAGGATATTTGGAAATTATCAGATATCCTACTGTCAGGGTAGAATAGGGTCAAATCTCCATTGTGATGGTGGTGCTAAGTGTCTGTAACTCTAACAGAAAAATCAGCCAACCATTTTTCTGACTGGTAGAACCTGGGAAAGTTACTTGCTTTAACCAGGGCTATTAGAAAGCAAGTTGAAAACTTGAAAAAGGAGAGAGCTAGAGGAAGGGATCTCAGAATTGTATATATAAACTCTTCAAGTCTCTGGTTGACTCCTGAACCATGCATGTGTGCACCTGACTGAGAGCAGTCTGAACCATGTCCGTCATGGCAGAGATGTGAGAGAGCTAAAACTCCATTAAAGAAAACCTGCCATCATTTTAGCTGTAGGAACCAGGCAAAAGAACCTAGATAGTAAGGAGATAATCCTAAATTACAGCGCCAGAGAAAGAGAACCTAAAATTCTGAGTATAAAACTCCGGGCCACTTGCGGTGGCTCATGCCTCTAGTCCCAGCACTTTGGGAGATCAAGGCAGATGGGTTGTGTGAGTCCAGGAGCTCGAGACCAGGGCCTGGGCAACATGGCAAGACCTTGTTTCTACAAAAAATACAAAAATTATCCAGGTGTAGTGGCATGCATCTGTGGTCTCAGCTACTCCAGAGGCTGAGGTGGGAGGATCATGTGAGCCCAGGAGGCAGAGGTTGCAGTGAGCCAAGATTGCACCACTCCAGCCTAGGTCACAAAGTGAGACGCTGTGTCCAAAAAACAAACAAAAAACACTGCTCAAGTCTTTACCAGACCACCCTGGGCAACAATGCAAGTTTGGGCCCTAGCCTTCTGGGTGCCAAGAAGGGGAAAGAGGCCTTAAATATGAAGACTTTTCTTTATCTGCTTGCCTTCACCCGCATCCCCCATAGCACCCTGTACCCTATTCTCTGTAAGAATGTCTGATTTAGTCTGTCCAGAGGGTGGAGAGTAGGGCCTCTAATGTTACTATGCGGTAGGTGAGTAGTCACCAATGCTTGGGATGGGCATGTGGGGTTTCAGGGGTCTAGTTGCACCTTTTAATGACTCAGTCAATTCTGGTCTCAGCTCCATCCATGCCTTAACCTCTAGTGCTACCTGCTGCCTCCAGTTCCTTTACTTCTCCAATGTTGTGTGCAAATTGGCTTGATTCTTTTGTCTTCTTTTCCCTGGTAGATTTTTAATTTTCAGTTTTCTCAAGCCTGTGAAACTGGTCCAGTTTTCCCATAGAACTGATGTTTATGGTTTCTTTTGCATAAACCTAGCACTTGACCCTCCCAGTCTTGAAACTTGAGAAAGTTACATTTGTCTTATCTGAATTCCTTTCTCAGGAAGCCAACCATCAGGCCTCCCAGGTAGTATCAAAGAACTGAAAACTTACCAGATCACTGCATCTGGACAATGAGATGCCAGAACTCTTACCTGGCATAAGTGCCTAACCAACCACCTGCTTCCTGTTGAGCAACTCCTTTTCCTTACCCCTCCCTAAGTCTTATGTTTCCACACATGGTTATATTTCTTCCCTCCTCTATAGACCCCTGATTTTAGTTAATCGGGGAGATAGATTTGAGACTGACCTCCCGTCTCAACTTTAGCACCCTATAAAGCCTTCTTCCCTGGCAATAATCATTGTCTCAGTGATTGGCTTGCTGTGCTGTGAGCAGCAGGACCTAGACCAAACCCCTGGTGTTTTGGTAACACCTGTTAAGTCATTTACCACATTCCAACTGTGAATTTTGGTGATAAGTTTTTTCTTTTTCTTTTGGACATTTATGTCTCTTTTGTTCCTATAAGGTTATTTTGGTAGGGAGTAGGTATAAGTGCCATGGATTTATTCACCTTTTGAAATTTTTTTGTCCTTAACAGTGAGTGTTGACATGAGAAAATATGGAACCCACTTTTTTATAGATGTCTTTTTCCTGTAGCATGCATTCTTAGTGGTGGTGATACTTGGTTCTTCGGGAGGGTTGAAATCATAGATAAAACAATGGTTTATGGCCCCAAAAAATTCTAATGGACAAAAATCTTATCCTTAGTATTTAATTGTGGGGTAGAGGGTTTGGTAATGCAAAAACCTTGAGAAACAGTGTCCTATAGCATTTCCTTTATTCTTGAAATTAATTAACTTTACAGAATATATATTCGTGTTAATCTTTCTGTGTCTGTTTTTCCTGGGCATAGTGTGTCTTTCTGTTATGTATGTTATATTTTCATGTTTGAAAACACCAGCTAAAGTATTTGCTTTATCTCCTTTGATACTCTACATTATTATATTTCTTTCATTTTGTGCTTTTCTCAAATCTGTTTAACATGTCCATGACTTTTTTTTTTTTTTTTTTTTTTGAGACGGAGTCTTGCTCTGTCGCCGGGCTGGAGTACAGTAGCGCCATCTTGGTTCACTGCAACTTCTACCTCCCGGGTTCAAGTGATTCTCCTGCCTCAGCCTCCTGAGTAGCTGGGACTACAGGCGCGCGCCACCACACCCAGCTAATTTTTGTATTTTTAGTAGAGATGGGGTTTCACCATGTTGGACAAGATGGTCTCGATCTCCTGACCCCGTGATCCACCCACCTCGCCTCCCAAAGTGCTGGGATTACAGGCGTGGGCCATCCATGACTTTTTAAACCTGGCTTTTTGTTGTTGTTTCCCACGTTTTTAACTCTGTTTTTTGTTTTTTTAACTCTGTCAGCCCTCTTTTCATCACTTGTCACCTTAATTCTTCTTTAAACTTTTTAGTCTTTTTTTCCTTTAGATCGGGGGTCCTCAAACCCTGGGCCACAGACCAGTACCAGTCCATGGCCTGTTAGGAACCAGGCCGCACACCAGGAGGTGAGTGTCAGGCAAGCCGACATTACCTCCTGAGCTCTGCCTCCTGTCAGATCAGCAGCAGCATTAGATTCTCATAGGAGTGCAAACCCTATCGTGAACTATTTATGCGAGGGATCTAGGTTGCACGCTCCTTATGAGAATCTAATGCCTGATGATCAAGGTGGAACAGTTTCATCCCAGAACCATTCCCCGCAACCTGTCTTTGGAAAAACTGTCTTCCATGAAACCGATCCCTGGTCCCAAAAAGTTTGTGGACTGCTGCCTTAGATCATATCTTATATTTATCACCTCTCAATGTTTTCCATCTAATTTTGGCCTCTATCCTACATTTGTTTCTTTCTAATAATTACTTCTCAGCACCAAAACAAGGAAAATGAGACCAGTGAGGAACTTACCTCAATCACAAAATTTAAGGAAGCAAGAAAAAACTCAATAATCAAGATAAATATTTTATTGCAATATTTTTTAAAAGGACTAAATTACTGTATAATGAGCAAAATATCAAAATTTTTAATAAAGACAGGATTGATTGTTACTGAATGAAACAATCTGTTAGAAGTTTGGGGCACATATGTGTGTGTAATATAGTGATGTGAGCTTTATTGCATAATACATCCTCTTAACCAAATCTGTCATTTCCTTTGCCCTGTAGACTCATCTTCTCTCGTTTTTTTTTTTTTTTTCACTTTGTTGAGATGTAAAACTTTTGTGTTATTCACAGACTTTCTATACCACTTACAATTCATGCTTTTCTCTTCTGTGCCACCTATGCTCCAGATCATAGATGGTAGAAATGGCTCCCTTGTCTGCATAAGAAGGTGTTTGCCAGAGAAAATGGTGAATTATGAGCTATATGTTCTTTTATTTTTCTAAAACTTTAATAAGTATATTTAACACATTACAAAATGTAAAACATTTTAAGAAATACTGGCTGGAAATATAATGGGAATTATCATGGAGTAAAAGTTTAAAACTCCTGGGCTACTTACAGCAATAGACTGATCATCTGCTTTACTTTATTTGGTTCTTTAGATTAGCATTTCCCAATCTTTTTGGCACCAGGGACCAGTTTCATGAAAGACAATTTTTCCATGTAGTGGGTGACGGGGGATGGCTTTGGGATGAAACTCTTCCACCTCAGATCATCAACCATTAGATTCTCATAAGGAGCGAACAACCTAGATCCTTTGTATACACAGTTCGTTGTAGGGTTTGTGCTCCTATGAGGATCTAATGCCGCTGCTGATCTGACAGGAGGCAGAGCTCAGGTGGTAATGCTTGCTTGCCTGCTGCTTACTGCCTGCTGTGCGGCCCAGTTACTAACAGCCCATGGACTGGCACGGGTTTGTGACCTAGAGTCTGGGGACTCCTGCTTTACATAGCATATGTTTCATTTCCTCCAAGAAGCTATTCTCAGTAATTAGACTTGATTCTTAACATGCCTGGATATTTATAATTCAGTTAAATTTATGATCATTATTTATGAATGTTGGACGTTATCGCTTATGTCTTTCTGTATTTATAATTACTGAAGCAGGATATGCATTGTTTTTCCCTTTTGCTTCTTTCTAGCACACTCTACTTCTCATTTGTAGGTTTATTATTGTCCAGCACATACTGATTCAGGAAATTTAACTTGAATCCTTTAATCAGTCAGAACCATGATTTCTTATCTTAAGTTGTTTCATAGCCTAAAGAAAATGGTAGAGTTAGTTTATATTGTGTTTGCTAAATAAACTGATGAGATAAAAGGTGGATGTTGTTAAGGGAGGGAGAGAATAAACAATAAACCCTGGGAGGAGTACAGGATGTAAATTGTGTTAAGCAAATAAGTTCACTGTCGTGTTGCCCAGAGCGGATTCTTTTCCCTCCAAGGTTAAGAATCTTTTTAGGAGAGGATATTGATTGACTCTCTCTACTGTATCTGGTGGAAAAAGAGGTGGTAAATGTGATGTATTCCTGTCATATTTTAATTCATTTATTGAGATTAAAAACAAGGATGTAAAACATTCATTTTTTATATTCTTGAGTCAAGAGCACTGAATCAAAAAGTTGACATTTTCACTAAATGTTTACACCTTAATGCGGAGTTTTCTCTAGATAGCTCATGTAGATCTTATGTAATATTCATTTTATTTTTTTCCTTTAGCTGGAAGTGCTCCTGGTTGTTACTATCAAAGACATGTAAAAGCCTAGAAGTTAATTTTAGATACTTAAAGGGAAATGTTAACATTTTTATCTTGCTTTGTTAAATTTCATAAGATTTGATAAATGAGATATCAAGAATATTTAATGAAATAAAATTATTAATGGGCATTTACTTTTGAATAATGGAGTAAGAAAAAAGTAGTAAATGTCTACTCTAAAACTTATTTTGGCCTTAAAAAATATATATGCTTTTAGCTCGGCACAATAGCTTGTGCCTGTAACCCCAGCAACATGAGAGGCCAAGGTGGGAGGATTGTTTAAGGCCAGGAGTTCGAGACCAGCCTGGGCAACATAGCAAGGCTCCATCTTTTTTTTTTTTTTTTTTTTTTTTTTTGAGACGGAGGACTCACTCTGTCACCCAGGCTGGAGAGCAGTGGCGCAATCTCGGCTCACTGAAACCTCGGCCTCCCGGGTTTAAGCAATTCTCTGCCTCAGCCTCCCAAGTAGCTGGGATTACAGGTGCCCACCACCACGCCCAGCTGATTTTTGTATTTTTAGTAGAGACAGGATTTCACCATCTTGGCCAGGCTGGTCTTGAACTCCTGACCTCGTGACCCACCTGCCTTGGCCTTCCAAAGTGCTGGGATTACATGCATGAGCCACCGTGCCCAGCCAGCAAGCCTACATTTTTAAAAAATTTTAAAAATTAGCAGGGCATGGTGGTATGTGCCAGTAGTCCCAGTTGGGAGGCATGAGGATCACCTGAACCCAGGAGTTCAAGGCTGGAGTGAGGCTGTGTTCATGCCATTGCACTCCAACCTGGGCAATAGAGCAAGACCCTCACCTCAAAAATAAATAAAAATAAAAGTTATCCTTTTGGTGGTGTTCTCACTAGTTAACTCAAAGCATTTGATGAAAAATATCAGCTCTGTTTTAGAAATAGATGTTTGTAGCATATGTGACAACTCATTTGTAAGAGTAGTGAGTGAAATTTGGCTTTTGGTAACTGTGCCTTTGTACATTCTTATCTTCAGACAAGTTATTTGAGCAGAAAAATAAAAAGTAACAAGTCTCCCACCAGCACAGAATGAGTATGTTCATGTTTTGGCTTTGGGGTGTAACACTTCTAAGGATATAATTAGCTTTGCTTTTCATTTTCTACTTTTTCTCCACAGCCTCACGATTTTGATGAATGTCGATTTGATATTAGTGTAAATGATAGTGTTTGGTATCTTCGTGCTCAGGATCCAGATCATAGACAGCAATGGATAGATGCCATTGAACAGCACAAGGTAAGATCCCTAATGTTTACCTGTCCATGGAGGACTAGGTAAGAGATTGTTGACAATACCTTAAAAAAAAAGTTGACATGTGACATTAGTTACTGAAACATTGAACATTATTTGGATGATAAAGATTAAAGCAGTTCATATGTAAATTTTTGAAATAATTTTTATTTTTAACACTTTAGTTGTACTAAGGGTATTTGCTATGATAAATATTACTCGGCTGGGCATGGTGGCTCACGCCTGTATTCCCAGCACTTTGGGAGGCCGAGGCAGGTGGATCAGCTGAGGTCAGGAGCAATACCAGCCTGGCCAGCATGGTGAAATCCCTTTTCTACTAAAAATACAAAAATTAGCCGTGCTTAGTGGTGAGCACCTGTAATCCCACCTACTCAGGAGGCTGAGGCAGTAGAACCGCTTGAATCCGGGAGGCAGAGGTTGCGGTAAGCCAAGATTGGGCTACTGCACTCCAGCCTGGGCAACAGAGCAAGACTCCATCTCAAAAAAAAAAAAGATAAATATTTTTCATTGTTAACTACATCAAAAATATACCCTTTTTCATAAAACACATTTCGATTTTTTATTTAGGTTTTGCTTCATAATAAATACCTTTTTAATGATCTAAATAAAAGGATTTTTGAAATAACATTGGATTATAAAACCCCAACTTATAAAAGTTTCAATGTTGATTTTTGTTATAACTTTTTGGGTAAATTCTTAGTACGAACATTTGTAAATCAGTTATTCTTTGTAAATGTGAGGCTATCTAATGATAAACCTATAGAAAGTCTTTTTTATATAAATATATAAGGTACATTCATATAATTTAAGCTAGTCTTTGACTTCTGTTAATAAATATTAAGTAGACTAAAGAAATACATTAATAAATCTGTATTATTAGCTAATTCAGTAATACCATGATAAAACAGAGAACGTTCTAAATCCACCATGTCATTCTTGAGTATGACTTAAGAGAAGTTTTGCTTGTTTACGTACTTGCCTATACTTGTTCGTTTGAGTTTCACAAAGTTGTAGTTGAAACACCTGTTTTGGTTATTTCTAACAGGCACAAAACACACACACACATACCACACACACACACACACACACATTTTTAACAGGCACAAAACACACACACACACACCACACACACACACACACGCGCGCCTATACCCATACACCCAAGAAAAACCAGTCTGGCTTGAGAAAGAAAAGCTAACACGATTGATAAAGAAGTATGCGATTGTGAAATCTCAGGCACTGTTTTGGGTATTTTTAACAAGCACAAAACACACACACACACCCCTACACCCACACACCCAAGAAAAACCAGTCTCACCTGAGATTTCACAATTGCATACTTCTTTATCAATCGTATTAGCTTTTCTTTCTTGGTTTATTGATTTAAGATTTCTCCCAGCCTAAATAAAATTGACTATGTTACCTTTCTTTTTTTTCTTTGTTTTAGCTTTAGGACTATATATTTAAACTTTAGTGTTAAGTTTTTAAAACATTTTCTAAGTCTTAGTTATCTTGGTAATGTTACTTCAGAAAAGTCTAAATATGGAAAAAAATTATTGTTTTTCTATTATTTAAAAGAGAAATGAGCTACTATTCAAAAAATCTCAATGCTCTGGAGCCAGGCCATGCATGCAGCCTCTGCCATGTATGACATATGTGAGCTTGGCTGTGTTAATTAACCTCTTCTTAGTGTTTATTCTCAGCTGCCATGTTGGTACTTCTGCTCAAAGTAGTAGTAAGACATAAATGAGATAATATGCAAAGTTACTTACCAGAATGACTGATGTATTTCCCCATTTATGGCATATAGGAAAAGCAAGAGACTTGGAGTCTCAACTAAATTCACTAAATTATACCATCTTGTTTCTGGATGAAGAGTTTTACGTTAGGTGAGAGAAGCTAAATGTGCATATAAGGAGAACAGCCTGTTTCATGTTATTTAATCAGGGCCAGCCGTCTCACTAGTGATTAAAGATGTTATTAAGTAGAATTAATTTCTATATTTTTAATGGAGATGACCTTTAAGGGCTTAATCAGTTGATTTTTATTACAGGGCAAGTTTTTTTCTGTTTTAATTAAACATATTTTATTTTGCTCACTTTTCTCTGTTAAGTCCAATGACAGTTCCTTTGCAAGGTTCCCGTTTTGTGTTTTCTTCCTTTAGTGAAGATTAATGCACGAAGTATATATTTCTCCTTTAGTGTTGATTTCTTTACATCTTTGAACAATGGATAGATTTAATCTTTGGGTCTCTCTCAGAGCAGTGGGACTTAAGCTGAGATAACAAATTTTGAGTGATTTTTAGTTCCTGAAAAAAATACTCAACTGCAGGGTTGTGATGCATTGTACAAGTTTGCCCTTTCTTTTTTTTTTTTTTTTTTTTTTTGAGATGAGGTCACTTTGTCACCCAGCATGGAGTGTGATCTCGGCTCACTTCAGCCTCTGCCTCCTCGGTTCAAACGATCCTCTCACCTTAGCCTCCCAAGTAGCTGGGACTACAGGCATGCACCACCGTGCCTGGCTAATTAATTTTTTGTATTTTTGGTAGAGACACGGTTTCGCCATGTTGCCCAGGCTGATCTTGAACCCCTGAACTCAAGTGATCTGCCCATGCCAGCTTCCCAAAATGCTGGGATTACAGGTGTCAGCCTCTGCAGCCAGCCACCCTTTCTTATTTTTAAAGATAGTTTATTTGTAGACTAGGAGAAATCATTGTTAATTGTTGTTAATATTATTTAATGTACTAAAGTAAAATATGTGATGTATGCCAACTGAGCAGCCTATCAGTGAATATTTAAGTGAATTCATATTTAGAATATGAATTCTAAAAGTAAATTGTTGAGTTATTTAACATGTAAGAAGGAGAAATTTCAAATGTTGTCATTGTTTTTTTTCCTCCCATAGACCAGGGCTAGTGAGATGTTTCTTGATTCATTCTTCAGTATCATTAAGGAATATTGATTGTGGAAGCTAAGTTTAGTAATTTTACTATTTAAGTATGCATTATCGTCTTGATCCTCTATATAAAACTGTACAGGCATAATGATGATAATGATAGGAGCTAACACTTATTGAGGATCACCAAGTACTAATCATTGTATTAAGTGCTTTATGTGTTTTATTTTCTCCCTACTATCCTGAAAAATAAAGTAGTATTTTGCAGAAGAGGAAACAGGTTTAGATTAAAATTAAGTAATTTGCCTGAGACTGTACTGTCTTTTAGTTTGTGATTTCTGAGTATTCAATTTTGTGTTAATTCTCTTGTCTGTCTGTTACCATTAGTAAACGGACTGTTTATGAACAATTCCCATGAGCTAACCTCCTGCAAATTGTGGTGTATAATCTGAGTTCTCCTACTATACCTATGCAAGATAAATATGAACTCATTTTTCTTTTCGCCCGTGGATTGTCAAACAGGACAGTATATTATATTGGTAACTGTTTCAGTAGCGGATTTCAGACTCCAGAGTCTGGCAAATGTGGATTTGAATCCTGGCACTACTATGTATTAGACTAGTGCAAAAGTAACTGTGATTTTGGACCATGATTTTTTAAATCATTTTAACTAGGCTCAAACACATCTTTATTAATCAAAATAGGAACCATTACAATCAACACATTTTTACCAATAAGAAATAAGTTTGTTTATTCCTGTAGCATAAAAATCTGTGCTTCGGGATTCTACAAACTCTTGGAAAGCATTTTCTGCATCCTGCTGGTTGTGGAAGCATTTTCCCTGCAAAAAGTTGTCAAGATGCTTGAAGAAGTGGTAGTCAGTTGGCAAGAGGTCAGGTGAATATGGCGGATGAGGCAAAACTTTGTAGCCCAGTTTGTTCAACTTTTGAAACATTGGTTGTGCAATGTGCAGTCAAGACATTGTGAAGAAGAATTGGGCCCTTTCTGTTGACCAGTGCTGGCTGTAGGCATTGCATCGCATCTATTTGCTGAACATACTTTTCAGATGTAATGGTTTCACCGGGATTCAGAAAGCTGTAGTGGTTCAGACCGGCAGCAGACCACCAAACAGTGACCATGACCTTTTTTTGGTGCAAGTTTGGCTTTGGGAAGTGCTTTGGAACTTCTTCTTGGTCCAGCCACTGAGCTGGTCGTCACCAGTTGCTGTATAAAATCCACTTTTCGTCACATGTCACAATCCGATCAAGAAATGGTTCTTTATTGTTGTGTAGAATAAGAGAAGATGACACTTCAAAACTTGCGATTTTTAAAATTTTCACTCAGCTCATGAGGCATCCACTTAATTGAGTTTTTTCACCTTTCCAATTTGCTTCAAATCCCAAACAACTGTAGAATGGTCGACATTGAGTTCTTCGGCAACTTCTTGTGTAGTTGTAAGAGGATCAGCTTCCATGATTGGTCTTAGTTGGTCGTTGTCAACTTCAGATGGCCAGCCACTACTCTTCTCATCTTGAAGGCTCTCATCTCCTTTGCAAACTTCTTGAAACACCACCGCACTGTATGTTCGTTAGCAGTTCCTGGGCCAAATGCATTGTTGATGTTGCAGGTTGTCTCTGCTGCTTTATGACCCATTTTGCACTCAAATAAGAAAATCTTTTGAATTTGCTTTATTTGCTTTTTGTCTGACATCATTTTTGTAGTCTAAAATAGATATAAACAGCAAGTAATAAGTCATTAGCAAAAAACAAAGCAAGAAATGCACATTAAAATAATGTATAATATAACCACATTTATTTAAGAATGTAATCCAATATCAAACGGCAAATTTCAACAATGCAAAAACTGCATTAGCACCAACTAATACTAGCTAAGTGGCCTTGGTAAGTTATTGAAAGGAGGAAAATAATGATAGTTTACGGTATGTGTTACCATACCCTCAGCACCCCCACACCTTAACAAAAATAAGCAACAAAATAACCTATCCATGATAAAACAATAGTATTATACTTTGCGGTTAGCCTGGGCACCCATAATTCCAGCTTATTCAGTTCATTTCACAGTTACTTCATCAGTGCACCACTTGCCATTAGTAGACCTGTATTTTTCTGTTCTGATGCCATTGGATGGGCTTTTGTTAGGGCTTACCTGGAAGGTTTTAGTTATTTTCAACATCTGGAGGAAGAGGTCGGGGGTTTCTTTTCCATCCTTCCCAGAAGACCCTTATGCTGATTATAAATTCTTTGTATTGATCTGTTTCACACATGCACATTCACGCACCCTCCACTCGTGCTCTCTCTCTCTCTCTCTCACATACATACACGCGTGCAAACAAAATGAGTTTTATTTTACAGGACTTCTAAACAATAATAATGGTGATAGTGATGAAGATAGCTAACATTTTTGAGGATTTATGTATGCCTAACATGATAAACAATTTATATATATTATCTCATTTTTTTCCTCACTTTCATGAGATTAGCATTATTATCCTGTTTTTACAGATTAGGAAATTGGGGCATAGAGAGGTGAAATAATTTGTCCAAGGTCAATCAACTAGTTAGTGAAGAAGTCAGCATTCAGACCTAGGTCTTTCTGACCCAAGAACCAGGGCTTTTGGCCAGGAAGCAATTCTGTGCTGTAAGTATGTATTTCTGTGAATTATGTTTTGTTGACATAAATCATGGGCTTCTTGAATCACAGTATTCTTGTATTTTCTGTTTGTTCCTCATATCTATATTATTTAGACCATAACTTCTTAAAGACTCAGACATATTCTTATTAAACTTCTTTGTAGGAATCAGCAAAGCATTGGGCACGCAAATTTTTTATTTGAAATAATTTACAGTATTGTAAAACAGATTTTATGGGAGAAATTTGTGATATTTGAAGGCTTTTCCCCCTTAAAATCCTCATGGTTTGTATTACAGTGATTACTGACAGAATACTTTCTGTCTAGCTTTACTGTTTTTGCCCTCCTTGGCATCCATTCTAGAATGGTTGCTCACTACAAGAAAAGTTTTAACGAAATGACTGTATGATTTAAATATTCTCAATGTATTAGAAATCACATAATTCAATGTGACATTATACAGCAGCCCCTGCAGAAAAAAGTTATTCCCGAGGTCATTCTTAAATTCAAAAATTATATTTCAATTTATAACATAGAAAAGGACATATGTATACCAGACCAGTAATTTTATTTAGAAATATTGTGCTGGCTTTAATCTGTGGAGTCCATTAATATTCTGCATTTCTCCTTATGATTTTGAGACAATGCTAAATTATTTTTAAAGATAGGGTTTTGTTTTAAATATCTTAGCCATCTTTCATGCTGTCTTGAGGTCAAATGAGATAGTGTTTGTAAAAGTTCTTTAAGAAAAAACTGAAAGCTGTATGAATTAAAGTTAAGATTGTGTAAAGTTAAGCTAACATTTTTCTAGTAAAGAGGTGCCTGTTGTCAAAGGGCTCTGTGAGCATTTTCTGTATAATTTGTCAAAGATATATAATAAACCACTTTTGATGCTATTATTTTTTTAAATTATAGGATTATTTTCAGAATCTTCTACAATTAGAATACATGTGATTTTGATTAAACAAAGTTTCTGCTTACTATGAAAAAAATGTACTCCCCCACTTCAACCCTTCAAATCCCTAAAACTAGCACGAAGGCTTTCCTGACGCTAAGAGATTTAAAAATCATTTTGAAAAAGTTAAGTTTCTTGAAAGCCTCTGACAGAGTTTATGGTAATCGTATAACATTCTCATTTCCATAAAGGAGCAACCTTAGTAGGTCCTAAAGTGTTGGTGCCTATGGGCCACACAGACTTTCCCCACGTTGTGGAAATTATCCATGACACAAAGATTCATATGAAAATATAAAATTAGGGAGGAAGAATCCAAATGGTAATTTTTACAGATGTTGATTTTCTGTAGTGGGAATCTAGAGGCAATTGTCTTGTCATTTAATATTTGTGGAATTGTTCTTACCCTTTGTGAAGGCCAAATTCATGTGTGAAGCATCAATGAACTTTGAAAGAAAGGTTTATTCTCAACCTGAGAAGGTTAGAGATTTCTGTTTGAGGAAATTATGTGGAAAACACTTTTTGAAAGGAACATATATTTTACTTGAAATAAAATGAAGTGTGAAAAAAGTTTTTTACTGAGAGAACCCCATTGTTGAGCCATCTAAGTGAAGCTCAAGACCCATTTAGAGATCTTTTAAAAATTTTGTTCCTTTTGCCATAATGAAATATTTCCCCCATGCTCTGTCAGAGTCAGTTTGATTTGCTGTGTTTTTTCTAATTTTAGGAGCAATTTCTACTTAGTTGACACTTTCATTTTTTTGTCTTAAATTTGACATAATCTTAGGAAACTTCTAAAATAACTAGATGGCAGAATTATTAACTCTTAGTAGTTTTTAAATATCAAGGTCATATAAAGTCATACTGTTGGTTTGTGCCATTTAAAATCAATATTGGATTTTAACAGATACCCTCTCTATACTTATCTGCCTTATAAATTATATAAAACTTAGCTTTGCATTTGAATGTGGTTTAACTGGGAAGTGTTTAAGAATGCAAATATAACATTATTTTGAGTGTTTACTTCATATAAGTAATTTCATGAGTGTGTTAGAACCAAGTCTCCATTTACCTATTTGCATCATATGATGATGACAGAGGATCAAATTTTACTTCCTCTTTACATTCAGGAGTTTTAAATTTTGAGGGAAGGACGCATAAATAGTTCTTACAGTAGTCGGGGCTCTGCCATTTTCTCAAGCTGTAGAAAAATCAGTACATAGAATCACAACTGACCTTTATTAAGCAGCAGAGAAACTTCATGTTGTCTCTGGATGTTTCAGTCATTAAAATCAAGAATTTGGTTCCTAATAATGGGAGTTAACTGCCAAATTGCATGCGGTAATCCATACACGGTTAGTAAATTTTTTTAAAACACCACAATGTAGATAGTATCAAACTACCAGCATTTTTGAGGTTGGTGAAATCAAAGAGGAAAACAAGGTACCAACCCCCTTTAGTTTTTATAGTCTTCTGGAATAAAAACAATTCAGTTGTCGAGGGTTTATAAAGTAACTTCATATTTGTCAGTTTTTCCTGCCTGCAGTATTTGAAAACTGGCATCTGAGACATTAGAAGTTTATTTTGTCAAGGTTATGGATCATGACCCATGACACAGCCCTAGGAGGTCCTGAGAGCATGTGCCCAAGGTTGTTGGGTTACAGCTTGGGTTATGTTTTAGGAAACATAAAACATCAACAATACATGTGAGGCATACATTGGTTCAGTCCAGAAAAGCCAGAAAACTTGGAAGGGGTGGGAAGCTTACAAGGTCATTGGTGGATTCAAATATTTTCTGATTGGCAGTTTGTTGAGTTATTATCTAAAGGCTTAGAATCATAGAAAGAAGTGGCTGGGTTAAGATAAGGGATTGTGGAGACCAAGGTTATTTCTTACATAGATGAAGTCTCATGGGTGGCTGCCTCACCAGAAACAGTAGAAGGCAAATGTTTTCTATACAGATCCTTAAAAGGCTCTAGACTCAGTCTCTTCGGGATCAGAAAAAGACCTGGATCGGGAAAGGTTCTCTATTCTCTATAGGAAGTAAGTTTCCCCTATGAGACAGTTTTGCGGGGCCATTTCAAAATATGTCAAAGAAATACATTTTGGTGGAAAATACTTTGGTTTCTTTCAGGGCCCTACTCTCTGCCATGTGCTGTTATACTAGAGTCAGGTTGGAAGCTATAGAGTCTGTTCTGTTAGTCTTAGAATCTCTGTTTTAATGTTAATGCTGGTCAGCCCCGTGCCTGAACTCCCAAGGAAGGAGAGTATAATGAGGCATGCCTGACCCACCTCCCTTCCAGTCATGGTCTGAACTAGTTTTTCAGGTTTAGTTGGGTCCTCTTGGCCAGGAGGAGGGTACATTCAGCTAGTTGGTGGGGCACCTAGAATTTTATTTTTGGTTTACACCCAAATACTTCAAAAAGTAAATCTTAAAGAGAGAAGAAAGGTCAGTGATTTTTCAGGTGGGTTCTTCTGTCTGGGAAGGTGCTTAGCTTTTACCAAGATAGTAAAAGGATTGGGAAGATTGTACACTGAGTAGTGAAGAAAGAAGATATTTAGATAGCTAGTCATATTAACTAATGCAACCAATGAAGAGATGTAACTTAACAAGATATTATGTCAAAAAGACAGGGAGATTGTTAAAAATCAATACAAAAAGTTTAGGAAGTTCATTTAAGGGGGGAAAAGCCAGAAGATTTGACTGCTGCTTCATAATAGGATGCTGAAATGGGTAGTAAACATAAATAAAGGTACTCCATGCTATTAATCATCAGAAAAATGCAAATGTAAACCTCAGTGAGATAACACCATATACCCATCAGAATGGCTTTAAAAAAAAAAACACCACCACCAAGTGTTGGTGAGGACGTGGAGCAACAAGTAATCTCATACATTGCTGATGTAAGTTATAAATTGTGCACACACTTGGAAAAAAATTTTTCAATATCTACTAAAGCTGAGCCTAGAGGTCCCCTCTGCTCAGATGCATATTGAAAATTTGAAGCTCTCACAAGTATTGATGTCATAGGTCCATTCATTTTAATTAAGCTGTTTAGATTATGGGGACTAGAGGCCAACCTATATTCCCTTGAGAAATGGGAAAATTCCCAGCAACCAAGAAAATTTAGAATACGCTACCTGCAAGGCAAGTTGGAATTGTATACTTAACTCAAGTGCTTTTATTGTTAACAAAACTCCAATCACCTGCCCTCAGCTACAATTAATATATCTGTTTCATCCTATTATTTCTTTTCTCTTTTTTGTAATTCCTGTTTATTCATAACTTTTGCTCTCCTATCCTATTCTTAGTTTCTGTTTCCTTGGTTTGTCATTTTTCTGTCTTTTGATTTCAACCCCTAACTGCCTTAATCTCTTAGTATGTCCCAAAGTAAAAGAAAAAAGTCTAATTGCCATTTCACAGCACATTACTATGAATTTGTTAATTATTTGTTTTTAAAGAAAGTTTAAAGGAAGGGGTAGGATTGGCAGTTATACAAGTATAATGTTCTGAAAATGCATTTTATGATTTTGCATAGAGTTTACCAGATTTTCAAGTTTTTATAATGTTTACTATGTGTTTGCCACTAACAATTTAGGTTACTGTTACTAGATTTTCAGCTTATTTCTCTATCCTTTTTTCGTCTGTAATTTGTAAACTATTTAGATAACAAGTTATAAAAAAAGGTTAATCTAGAGTTAAATAACTGTTCCATATAATTCTTACAGAAGATATTAAAGAAAATGAGATTACATACTGCAAAAGTTATTTCTGTACAATGCCCTAATGTGGTATTTAAATTTTTATTTAATGAAGAGGGAAGATTTCTGACAGTCACTGGGACACATGGGATTCTGCTTTTTTCTATATTTAATATGGAAAAGTAATGGTGGGAGACATGGCTTATACATATTGACAGCAATATAAACTGTTTTCCAATTTTGCTTGCTGAGTATTAGGACATTAGCTGGGAGAAAATGTTTCCTAAAGTCAACACAGAACTGCACTTTTTCATCAAATCTTTTTAATCACTTAAAAGTATTGTACTTATATTATCGTTATTGCTTGGTACATATTCTCAGCTTGTCTGATACTGAGAATGAAAAACAACATTGGGGTAGGAATAATAAAAATAGGTAGCAAAGTAAATTAGTATCCCGCAGGTTAAAATATTACCGTAACTGAAAACAGTTCTATCATTTTTCAGTCACACAGGAAGTCCATGTACTTCATAGGCAAATAATGATTAAGATAGGAATGCTTATATTGCTGTTCAGTTCTTAGCCCCTTGTTCTTTTTAGTAGTACTCCTCTGATATATAGAGGGATAGAAGGAATAATTCAGCACTTTAATGTGTTATTTAATTCTCACAGAAGCCCCATTTTACATAAAAATGAAATTGAATGGATTATGAGAATATTGATTATTGATTGGTAAGTAGTAACATTATTTTTTCAAGAACAGCAACCTAAAATACTCATACAGTTAGCTCTAACAATGTTTACAAGTCTTAAAACTATTCCTGCAAATTGTTGTATTACATAAATGTTATTGACTCCTCAACCATGGTTTTTTAAAGTAATATTTGTTAATTATAAAGTAAGAAAATACAAGCCGGGCATGATGGCACATGCCTGTAGTCCCATCTACTGGGGAGGCTGAGTCAGGAGGATTGTTTGAGCCTGGAGTTTGAGGCTACAGTGAGCTATGATCACATTATTGCACGTTAGCCTGGGTAACACAATGAGACCCTGTCTCTTTAACAAAAAAAAAAAGGAGGCCGGGTGTGGTGGCTCACACCTGTTATCCCAGCACTCTGGGAGGCTGAGGTGGGTGGATCACGAGGTCAGGAGATCGAGACCATCCTGGCGAACATGGTGAAACCCTGTCTCTACTAAAAGTACAAAAAAAAGATTAGCTGGGCGTGGTGGTGGGCACCTGTAGTCCCAGCTACTCGGGAGGCTGAGGCGGGAGAATGGCATGAACCTGGGAGGCAGAGCTTGCAGTGAGCCAAGATCGCGCCACTGCACTCTACCCTGGGCAACAGAGCGAAACTCCGTCTCAAAAAAATAAAAAATAAATAAATAAATAAATAAATAAATAAATTTTTTTTAAAAAAGGAAGAAAATATAGAAACTACCTTCAGTCTTATAACCCAGACAACGGTATATTTTTCTCTTCTGTGTACCTTTTCCTTCAAAAACATTATGGATGGAGATAGGATTTGGGGAAGATGGCAGAGCAGGAAGCACCCAGAATCTGTCTCCCCACCTAGACAACAATTACCCTAGCCAGATATGTCTGATATAACTGTTTTGAAACTCTGGAGTCTGCTAAAGGCTTGCAAGTTCCAGGGAAGGCTTGAGTGGTAAATTGCTGTTAATTTCGGTTAATTTCAGCTCTTAACACAGTAGTAGCTTCCTGTACCTCCACCCATCCCAGCCCCGTGGCAGGCAGCTGTGCATGTGTTCCTAGAGCAATCCATACACTTGTGGGAGCCAGAGTGAGCACAAAAGATTCTGTCCTCTAAATACTAGGGATCTATGCTCTGACTGCAAGTTATGGCTTCTTATCACAGAGGTGCAGAAAAAGAGGTGGGTGACCATTATTGTTGCAGGTCCCTCCCCCTCTGGCTGTAGTGATTTCTAGGAGACTTGAAGGGCCAATGCCCTCTTTCTCCTTAACTTTTCTCCTTTTCCTTTTGGGAGCGAGACATTAAAGACTAGGACATTCATAAACAACTGCATATACACAAAAAATTAGAAAGTGATGATTGTGCATGCTCAGGGAAAGGTGCAGGGCTAGAAAAAATCCGAAGAAGACCTTACCTTTCCACCTCAGGCTGGATCCTTGGCACAGAAATAGCCTACGACAGTAAAAAATAACAATAACAAATAACAAACCCTGAGGAAAAAAAAGAACCTGATTTCCAGAGTTACCACACTAGTAAATTCAAAGTTCCAGTTTTCAACAAAAAAACACAAGGCATAGAAGAAAACAGGAAAATGTGGCTTTTTCAAGGGAAAAATGTAGATCAACAGGAACTGTCCCTGAAAAAGACTTGATGGCTGATCTACTAGACAAAAGACTTTAAAGCAGCTACCTTAATGATACTCAAATAACTAAAGGAAGATGTGGGGAAAGTTAAGAAAAAGATAAATGAACAAAATAGAAATATCAATGAAGAAATAGAAAACCTGAAAAGAAATCAAAAAGAAATTATGGAGCTAGAAACTCTAGTAACTGAAATGAAAAATTCACTAGAGGTATTCAAAGGCAGATTTGCACAAACAGAACAATCAGTGAACTTAAATATAGGACAACGGATATGATTTAGTTTGAAGAACAAAAAGAAAAGATTGAAGTGAACAGAGCCTAAGAGAACTATGGGACACATCTGACAGACCTCCCTATACATTTTGAGAGTGCCAGGAGAAAAGAGAAAGGAGCAGAAAGAATATTCAAAGAGATAATGGCCGAAAACTTCCCAAATTTGATGAAAGACATGAATATAAACATGTGAGAAGTTTAATGAACTCCAAATAAGATAAAATCAATGAGATTCACAGATAAAATCAACTTTCAAAAGACATACAGAGTATCCTGAAAGCAATCAGAAGCAGCTCATCATATAAAAGGAATCCTCAATATAATTAACAGATTTCTTGTCAGAAACTTTAGAAGCCAGAAGGTATGGGCCAATGTATTCAAAGTGCTAAAAGGAAAGAACTGTCAACCAAGATGCCTATATTTGTGGAGCCAGGCATGGTGGCATTGCACCTGTAATCTCAGCTACTCAGGAGGTAGAGGCAGGTGGATCATTTAACACCAGGAGTTTGAGACCAGCTTTAGCAACATCGCAAGACCTCATCTCAGTAAAAACCCAATCCTATGTCTGACAAAAGTGTCCTTCAAAGGAGAAGGAGATAGCAGGTGTGGTGGTGTGTGCCTGTAGTCCTAGCTACTTGGAAGGCTGAGGCAGGAGAGTCACTTGAGCCCAGGAGTTTAAGTTTAGCCTGGCAAAATAGCAAGTCCTTGTCTCTTAAAGAAAGAAAAAATTAGTTTTTCAGCAGTAAAATGAGGGAATAAAGTGAGGGAGAAATTTAAACACGCCCAAATAAACAAAAGCTAAGGGAATTAGCTTTGCTATTTGCCACTAGACCTGCACTGCAAGAAATGCTTAAGGGAGTCCTCTGAAGTGAAATGTAAGCATACTGGACAATACCTCTGAGCTGTATGAAGAAATAAAAATCTTAGTAAAAGTGCATGAGCAAGTATAAAAATTAGAATTATTGTAATAACAGTTTGTAATTCTGCTTTTTGTTTTCTACATGATTTAAGAAAATGATACATGTTTAAGAACACAATTAGTCTAAAAGCTAATAGTATTGTAACTGGTTTGTAATTGCAGATTTTGTTTTCAGTAGACTAATGGATTTAAAAGAATATTTGCTTATTTTTTTAGTCACACAGAATATAAAGATGTAATTTTGTGACATCAACAACTGAAAGGGGTGAAGACAGAGCTTCAAAGGAGTAGAGTTTTTGTATGTTACTGAAGTTAAGCTAGTTTAAGTTCACATTACAGTGTTATAATTTCAGGATGTTAAATATCATCCCGATGATAACCACAAAAAAAATAGGTATAGAAATACACAAAAGGAAATACGAAAAAAATTCAAATATTTCACTATGAAAAATCAACTAGGCTGGGTGCAGTGGCTCATGCCTGTAATCCCAGCACTTTAGGAGGCCGAGGCGGGCAGATCACGAGGTCAAGAGATCAAGACCACCCTGGCCAACATGGTGAAACCCAGTCTCTACTAAAAATACAAAAATTGGCTGGGCATGGTCACGTGGGCCTGTAGTCCCAGCTACTTGGGAGGCTGAGATAGGAGAATCTCTTGAACCCAGGAGGTGGAGGTTGCAGTGAGCCGAGATTGCACCACTGCACTCAGCCTGGTGACAGAATGAGACTCTGTCTCAAAAAAAAAAAAAAAAAAGAAAAGAAAAGCAAAATCAACTAAACAGTGATAAACTAGACAGTGATGCAGGAAATGAGGGACAAAAATACTAATAAGGCACATAGAAAATAGCAAAAATAAGTAAGTTCTTCCTTATCAGTAATTACTTTAAATGTAAATGGATCCAACTCTTCAATTGAAAGACTGACAGAATGAATTAAAAATACATGATCAGGCCAGGCGCAGTGGCTCACATTTGTAATTCCAGCACTTTGGGAGGCTGAGGTGGGTGGATCACAAGGTCAGGAGTTCAAGACCAGCCTGGCCAAGATGGTAAAACTTCATCTCTACTAAAACTATAAAAATTAGCTGAGCGCAGTGGCGGGTGCCTGTAATCCCAGCTACTCGGGAGGCTGAGGCAGGAGACTTGCTTGAACCTGGGCGGCAGGGGTTGCAGTGAGCCAAGATCACGCCACTGCACTCCTGCCTGGGTGACAGCAAAAACAAACAAAAAAAATGATCAACTATATGCTGTCTATATGACACTTGAGATCCAAAGACAACAAACAGATTGAAAGTGAAAGAATGGAAGAAAATATTCATGCAAATAGCAACCAAAAGAGAGCAGGGTTAGCTATAGTAATATCAGAGAAAATAGACTTTAAGTTAGAGAAGGTTTTAAGAGACAAATAAGGACATTGTGTATTAATAAAAGGTTCACTGCAGCAAGAAGACTATAACAATTATAAACATATCTAATGACAGACCATCAAAATAATATGAAACAAAAACAGAATTGAAAGGAGAAATAGACAGTTCTACAATAATAATTCAATGCCCTTTTTCAGTAATAGACCAGACAGAATTAAGTAAAGAAACAGAGAACTTAACACAATATACCAACTAGGTCTAAAAGACATATACAGAACACTGTACCAAACTATAATATATACATTTTTCTCAAGTACACATGGGACATTTTCTAGGTTAGATCATGTATTAGGACACAGATTAAATCTTATTCCATTTTGAAATAAATACCATATAAAGTGTCCTCTCTGACCACAGCTGGGTGACTTGAGAAATTAGTAACAAGTAAAACTGGAAAATTTACAGAATCATGGAAGTTAAACAACTAGTGGATCAAAGAAAAAATTACAAGGGAAATTAGAAAATGCTTAGAGTTGAATAAAAACATACCAAAACTTTGAGGATACAGTGAAAGCAGTGCTAAGGGAGAAATATAGCCATAAACACTTATATTAGTAAACAAGACCTCAAATCAACAACATAGCTTTACAAATTAAAAAGGAAAATAATGTAAATCCAAAGCTAGCAAAAGGAAGGAAATAATAAAGATGTGAGCTGAAATCAACAAAACGAGAATAGAAAAACAATAGAGAAAATCATTGGAACTAAAACTTGATTATTTAAAAAGATCAAGAAATTTGACAAACCTTTAGCTAGATGGACTAAGGAAAAAAGAACATTCAAATTACCAACATCAGGAATTAACGTAGGGATGTTATAGCAGTCCTACCTTATTCACAAGGGTATATGTTCCAAGACCCCAAGTGGATGCCTGAAACACCACAGATGGTACTGAGCTCTATATGTATATATATAAATTTTTTTCCTATGCATACATACTTACGATAAAGTTTATTTTAGAAATTTGGCACAGTAAGAGATTACCACCAATGACAAATAATAAAATAGAATAATTATAACGTATACTATAGTAAAAGTTACATGAATGTGAGCACATGTGCGTGCTCACTCTGGCTCTTTCTCTCTTTTCCGTTCTCTCCCCCTATTTCCCCCTCCCTCTCTCCTTTCAAAATGTGTTACTGTGCTATACTCACCTATTTTTGGATCAGAATTTCCACAAGTAACTGAATCTATGCACATGAAACCAGGGAAAAGAGGGGATTACTGTACTACTGACTATAGAAAATAAAAAGAAGTGTAAGACATTATGAAAAATTTTATGCCCTAAAATCGGGTAACCTAGATGAAATGGACAAATTCCTAGAAACACAACACTGACCAAGACTAAATCAGAAAGGCTGGGCACAGTGGCTCTTGCCTGTAATCCCAGCACTTTGGGAGGCAGTGGCAGGTGGATTGCTTGAACCCAGGACTTTAAGACCAGACTGGGCAACATAATGAGACCCCATGTCTACAAAAAATACAAAAATTAGCTGGACGTGGTGGTGTGCACCTGTAGTCCCAGCTGCTTGAGAGCTGAGCTGTGAGTATTGCTTGAGCCTGGGAGGCAGAGGTTGCAATGAGCTGAGATTACTAGACCTGCACTGCAAGAAATGCTTAAGGGAGTCCTCTGAAGTGAAATGTAAGCATACTGGACAATATCTCTAAGTTGTATGAAGAAATAAAAATCTTAGTAAAAGTCAATGCATGAGCAATTATAAAAATTGCTCTCCAGCCTGAGTGACAGAGTCAAATTAATAGTATAATGAGATACCACCTTAAACCCATTAGGGTGGCTATTATCAAATAAATAACAAGTGTTGGCAAAGATGTGAAGAAATTGGAACCCTTGTGCCCTGTTGATAGGAATGTAAAATAGTACAGCCAGTGTGAAAAATAGTATGGCAATTCCTCAAAAAATGAAAAATGGAATTAACATATGATCTACCACTTCTGGGTATTTACCCAAAAGAAATGAAAGAGGGATCTTGAAGAGAGTTGTATACCCGTGTTCCTGGTATGATTCACAATCACAAAAACATGGAAGCAACCTATGTGTACATAGATGGACAAATATATAAGCAAAATGTGGTATATCCATTCAATGGAATATCACTCAACCTTTAAAAAGAAGGAAATTCTGCCACATGCTACTGAAGCGTGAGGACACTATGCTAAGTGAAGCCAGTCACCAAAAGATAAATACTGTATGATTCCACTCATATTGGGTGCATAGAGTAGTCAAATTCATAGAGACAGAAAGTAGAATGGTGATTGCCAGGGATAGGGGGAGGGAAAAATGGGATGTTGCTGTTTAATGGGTATAGAGTTTCAGTTTTGTAAGCTGAAAAAGTTTTGGAGATTAATTGTATAATAAAGTGGATATACTTACCACTACTGAACTGTACTCTTAATGGTTAAGATAGTTTCACTGTTTCAAAACATGTAGTGTATCCTTATAACAAATACCCACGTTCTTAACAATAGAGATGCATTCTGAGAAATGCATAGTTTGTCGATTTTGTTGTGCAAACATCATAGAGTGAACTTATGTATAGATGGTATAGTCTATTACACACTTAGGCTATATGATAGAGCATATTGCTTCTAGGTTACAAACCTGTATAACATGCTATTGTACTGAATATTGTAGGCAGTTGTGACACAATAGTAATTATTTGTATGTCAAAACATAGAAAAGGTACAATAAAAATATGGTATTATAATCCTATGGAACCACCATCATATATGTGGTCTGTCATTGACAAAAACATTATGCAGTGCATGACTGTACATACTAGAACAAAACACTTTTATACCAATACTGTTGTGACACATTTTAAATATTGGATACTAAATGAATATAGAGGCTGATAGTTGAGTGTAATTGTATTTCTACCTCTACCAAGACCTTATTAGCAATGCATGGACTTGATCCTAAGAGAAACAGGGAGCCATAGATACAGGTATATGATATTATGTAATCAAAAGCCCTGAATTACAAGTGTAAGAAAAGAAGGTTGAAACCAAGCAGAGAATGGGGGCAGCTGTTATGGCCCTCTACTTCTATGGTACCATGTTATATTTGGGCATTTTTTTTTACTTTGGATGGTCATAAGCAATGTCTTACTCTCTTCTTCCTCTCTAGTATACTTGTAACACTCAGCTTTTTAGCCCTGAGTTAGGTAAGTCATTGCTTAAGACACAGGAACTAGGGTGTATGATAGGCCCTGGTTAATTTTTCCAGCTTCATGTCACTTTAGCATTTTGCCTATTCAGATATTTCTGTAAAGGAAAGTTTATCGCATGTTCTAGTTTAGTAGAAGAAAATGCCAAATGAATAACCAGCTCCCATAAATGACCTTCAAATGAGTTGCTATATTTGATATTAGTTTTTAAATTATGATACAGGAATGACTAGGATTTGAAAAAGCTCTCCCGTGGTGGTTTGTGGGCAAATTTTTGCAAATGTTCTGATTTTCAGCGTGATTTGAGAAAAGTATCTTGAGGGTAAGCAAATAGGGTATTCAGTGAAGTTAATTGTACTGTACCTAGGTTTTAGACCATTGAAATATGATAAAAATCCTGTTTAATACTATTAGAAAATAAATGTTTTAAAATTTATTTGATTCATGATTGGTTCAGTTCCTGGAAATTATTGTCAGTTGAGCCTTTTCTTATAAAGTTAGTTTTCTTTCATATCTCTCCATCTGGTTCAGCAAGGGACTGTCTTATTTGGTTTCTACTGTATATGTACATTTTCAGTCTGAGTCTTGGTATTTAGGTTTAGTATAGAGAATTACACTTCTGGACTAACCATATCGTTTTACAGATAAAATGAAGCCCAGGGAAGGCAATAAGTAATGTGTCTAATTGTCTGTTACAGTGATTCAAAAGCACATTTTCTCACTCATGTTCTTGTGGGGTTTTTGCTACAGACTATAACTTCTCTAGTGGGGGACCCATAAGTATTTGAAAGCCTAAATAAATTTTAATATTAATGAGCATGAAATTGTCATGCTAAATTTTACCTCAGATAATATATTTATATTGACCTGGACAAGCTAAAATTGTTCCCATTGCGTATTTTAAATTACAATTTTATTGATTAAATTGCTGTCTTAGGTATTGTATCTGGCTCCTCATGTGGTTTGTTTTAAAATAGTAATATTGAAGTTAAATGTATGGATGCTCACAACACAGTCAGCTTGTTTGATTTTATTACGGGTTTCAGAATTTTATTTTCAGAAAAATCCTTTATTGTGCTTATGTTAACATTTAATCTTGTATTTTCTCATTTTCCATAATTAAAATGGAGAGAGACAATGTAGTTTAGGTGGAGGGAGTGGGAGTGAGGAACTGTGACATTAACAGCTAGGTAATTTTTGACACCATGAGGAAGTTACTTAATTTCTCTCTCAATTTCTTTGCTGTGCTTCTTGCTACAGAGTGTTATTAGGAAAAAGAAGAAGGTTTTCAAAAGGCAAGTGCTATTTTTTTTTTAAAGCCAACCTTTTTACTATGTTTTATACCACTTTCTTTGGAGGGTAGATAGACTGATGAACAAACTGTTCAGAATGATAATGTACGAGTTTATCTTCCACATAATTAAACCAAGCTACCAAATTTAGCTGCAACTTTAAGAGAGGTTTTTTGGCTTTTTTTTTTTGTTCAATTCAGTTTTTAGACATTTCTGGTATTTTATTTAATCGATAACTTTGAACTATATTATTTAATTTGAAATGCTTTTAAATGTTCTCAAAGCATCAAAGTCTAAAGCATAAAGGTATATATATATTGGATTTAGTCTAAAGGTTACTATTTTTTTTTGACCAGTAGTAACCTTCGTATCAGCTTTCACATCGAAAAATATTACTGACCTCCTCTAGTGGCCAAAAGATTGTTAATTTAAAAACATGTTCAGGCTGGTATTGCTCTTAAAAGAAAAAAAAAAAGATATGTCCTAATATAACAAAGGTATGGTCTCATTACTGTAGTATTCAGAAGTAGTAAACCTTGATCTGGGTAGGAGGTGTTTCAGTAAGTGCTTCATTGACCCAAGATGTTATTTTTTATTTATGTAGAACATGCTTAGGAATACTGCTTACAAATACTAACAAATTTGGGAAGCAGTTTTTTTGCAAAAAATTTGTATGAGGGATCTTAAAGCAAATATGTTGAAATGGAAAAATACTCCTATAGTAACTATATTTGAATTCCAGATTATTAATTTTGGTAGAATTTATGTTTTCAAAATAATGGATTGGTGATTAGAGGTTGTAAATGAGTTCACCTTCTTTTTTCTTGTGGAAGAGTAAGTGGAATTAAGAAAAAGCCAGTATGCCTTTAAAGTACTGTCCCCAAAACTGGTGCCACTGGGATTTTGAAAGCATGTTACAAATTTTAAGAACATTTAACACTGTATCAGTTATGACCACTGAGTAATTTCTTCTCATTTTCATCCTTACTTCCTTAACCCTGCTTCACCCTCAAAAAGCAGACATTATAAATGCAAATAAAAACTGTGGGTTTTCAAAGTGGATATCTTGAGAAGCCAAAGAGATGTGTTAACAAATTTTTATCAGTTTTTTAGAACAGTTTGATAACTTTTCTTTTAGAACTACTTTTGGTCCCTATAGTACTTTTTAAAGGTACTGATATCTTTGATGATAGATACGATTTTTGAGAGAAATTAAAAACTAATTGAGAGCCATGTCATATAAATAAAATCAATTTAAGAATTTAAGCTCTTCCTTTAATATAATGAGTCTTTTCTTTAATTTTTATTCTAAAATCACCAAAATGATTTGAAATAGCTCTATTTTGTGTAATAAATTGCTCTCAATATGGTTATGATAGGAACATTCAGGAAATTTCACACAATGACAGCATCATTAGCACAATTGTAGACATTACCAGAATGACTAATTTTTAAACAATGAAGGTGTATTTGTGTGTATATTTGTATTTGTTAAAAACTCAAAATTTTTATATTTGTAGTTATTGTAGTTACTGGCATAATGAACCCTCATTATTAAATTGAATAACAATGGAAGTAGGATTCATGAGTATACTATCTTTTCTTTTTTCTTTTTTTTTTTTTTTTTTAATGAGACAGAGTCTCACTCTGTTGCCCAGGCTGGAGTGCAGTGGTACAATCCCAGCTTACTGCAACCTCTGCCTCCCGGGTTCAAGCGAGTCTCCTGCCTCAGCCTCCCAAGTAGCTGGGACAATAGGCGTGCACCACCACACCCAGCTAATTTTCATATTTTTAGTAGAGACTGGGTTTTGCCATATTGGCCAGGCTGGTCTCAAACTCCTGACCTCAAGTAATCCACCTGCCTTGGCCTCCCAAAGTGCTGGGATTACAGGCGTGAGCCATCATGCCTGGCCTGTTTTCTTTTTCATTGGAATTATTTATACAGTATATAATGAAACTTATTTAAATGAAATTTTATTAGACTTAGAAGTACAAGTGTACTAAACTCGTAGCCTCCACATTTATCTGTTACCCATCACTTAAAATGTGTTGCATCGATTTTGCTGAAATGGAGTCTTGTTTTATCATGTCTTTGTTGTAAGATGATGTTACTTGTTTTGAAATAGTGGAACTTGAAGAAATACATAAGGGCACAAGACATATAGTGAAGACACCGTTAGTAAAGTGTTTAATGTTTATATTTTGTTTTAAGATCATTTTAAAAAATCAGTAGTTTTGACTTGCTCTGTTTAAGACTCATTAATACTGGACATGAATAGGGTGGATTCATTTGGATTTAAACTTCATACTGGGCCAGTTACAGTGGCTCCTGCCTGTAATCCCAGGACTTTGAGAGGCCAAGGTAGGAGAATCGCTTGACCCCAACAGTTTGAGACCAGCCTAGACAACGTAATAAGACCCCGTCTTTAAAAAAGTAAAAAATAAAAATAAATTAGTGGGGCATCTTTGCTGCATGCCATTAGTCCCAGCATGCAGCATACTTGGGAGGCTGAGATGGGAGGATTGTCTGAGCCTGTGAGATCGAGGCTCCTGCAAGCCATGACTGCCACTGCACTCCAGCCTGGGTAACAGAGCGATACCCTGTCTCAAAAGAAAAAACATATATATTCAAACTGTTGAGTTTTGAATATTTTCAAATAAATGTCCAAAATGTGTTTAATATTATAAAATATGGATTATAAGTTGTAGGGGGTATTATTATATTTCAAAAGACATTCCAATTTTGCTTAGAAATGAATCACACATAGGTATCTAAGTAACTTCTGAAATACCTTATATTTTCATCTGTTACAGAGAGATTCTTATTTTTAATTGCAGTCTCCCATATTTAAATCTAGCAAAAGAAAGAAAGGAAAGGGAAAGGGAAGGAAAAGGAAACCTTTACCAAAACCAGTATAAGAAATAGAGTACTACACTTACAAAGCTAGCATTGTGTCTCAGAAAAGAAGAAACTAGAGCCATTTTAGGTAAAGGACCTAACATGATACCTTTGCTCTAGGATTTTAATACACCTCATTCTTTCATAAGAATTTTCCACACAGGTGGCCGAGTGCAGTGGCTCACGCCTGTAATCCCAGCACTTAGGGAGGCCGAGGCGGGCAGATCATGAGGTCAGGAGATCGAGACCATCCTGGCTAACACGGTGAAACTCTGTCTCTACTAAAAATACAAAAAAATTAGCCAGGCATGGTAGCGGACGTCTGTAGTCCCAGCTACTCGGGAGGCCGAGGCAGAAGAATGGCGTGAACCCGGGAGGTGGAGCTTGCAGTGCGCCAAGATCGCACCGCTGCACTCCAGCCTGTGTGACAGAGCGATCCTCCGTCTCAAAAAAAATAAAATAATTTTTCACACAGGGACCTGCCGCTGCCCCAGCTGGCATGCATGCATGCACAGACCCCTATAGGTACACAAATATATGAGGACACCTGCAGGTACCCTGCTGGTGTGCACATGAGCAAGGACCCCCACTGCCCCACCTGTGCATATGTGCAGGGTGAGGGAGCCACCACCACCCTACCAGAGTGCTTTTGCCAGCAGTCCCCATCAGAGTGTTTTTACCAGCAGACTGGGAATGCCTTATCCCTCCAGTACAGCAGGTGCTTAACCTCTAGGGGCCAGACAGTAATCCTGGTCTCAGCCCCCCAGGATTAGAACACATCGCTAAGGAGTGCTGAACTAAGCCTTGGCCCCCTTAAAGTGTCCAGAAACGAAACCAATCAACTAAACCCAACTTACACCACAGTCAATTCCTTAAGAGCCTCAAACAATATAAAAAAAGAAAGCCCTATCCAAAAGACAGCAGCTTCAAAGATTAAAGGAACACCAGCCCACAGAGTTGAGAAAGAATTAGCACAAGAAGTCTAGCAACTCTAAAAGTCAGTGTCTGCTAACCTCCAAATTACCACCTAGCTCCCCAGCAATGGCTCTGAAGCAGACTGAAATGGCTAAAATGATAGCTACAGAATTCAGAATCTGGATGGCAAGGCAGCTCCTTGACAAACAAGAGAAGGTTGAAATGCAGTCCAAGGAACACAGTTAAACAGTCCAAGGGTTGAAAGATGACATAGCCATTTTAGGAAAGAACCAAACAGAACTTCTGGAAATGAAAAATTCACCACAGGAATTTCAGAACACAGTGGAAGTATTAATAGCAGAAAAGACCAAGCTGAAGAAAGAATCTCATAGCTTGAAGACCACTCCTTTGAATCAGTGCAGACAGACAGAAATAAAAGAGATAGAATTTTAAATAATGAACAAAACCTCCAAAAAATATGCCTACATCAAGAACTTAGAATGATCACAAATTTACAACCTAACATCACCATGATGAACTAGAAAAACAAGACCAACCCCAAAGCCAGCAGGATAAATCAAATAAAATGAGAGCTGATCTGAATGAAACTGAGACATGTAATCTGTGCAGAAAATCAACAAAATGAAAACTTGGTTCTTTGGAAAAATAAGATTGATAGACTTCTAGCTAGACTACTAATGAAAAAAAGAAGATCCAAATAAACACACTTAGAAATGACAAAGGTGACATTACCACTCATCCCACAGAAATACAAAAAACCCTCAGAGATTAAAAACCTCTGTGCACAAAAACTACAAAACCTAGAAATAGGTGAATTCCTGGAAACATAAAACCTTCCAAGGTTTGACCAGGAAGTAAATGAAATCCTGAACAGACCAATAACAAGTTCAGAAATGGAATCAGTAATTAAAAAAAAAAAAACCTACCAATCAGAAAAAGCCGTGGACCACATGGATTCATAGCTCTATTCTACCAGATGTATAAAGAAGAATTGGTACCAATGCTACTGAAATTATTCCGGAAAAAATTAAGGAGTACATATTCCTCCCTAACTCATTCTGAGGCCAGCATCATTCTTATACCAAAACCTGGCAGAGACACAACAAAAAACTTCAAGCCAATATCCCTGATAAACTGAGATGCAAAAATCCTCAGCAAAATATTAGCAAATTGAATACAGCAGCACGTCAAAACACCACCACAATCAAGTAGGCTTTATTCCTGGAATGTAAGGTTGTTTCACCATATGCAAATCAATAAATGTGATTCATCAGATAAACAGAACTAGAAATGAAAAACACATGATCATCTCAGTGGATAACAGGAAAGGCCTTAGATTAAACATCCCTTCATGATAAAAAAAAAAAAAAAAAAACCTCAACAAACTAGGCATTGAAGGAACATACCTCAAAACAATATAAGCCATCTTTGACAAACTCACAGCCGATGTAATACTGAACAGGCAAAAGCTGGAAGTACCCCCTGTGATAACCAGGAAAAGACAAGGATGTCCACTCTCACCACTCCTATTGAACATAATGCTGGAAGCTCTTAGCCAGAACGATAAGTCAAGAGAAGGAAATAAAAGGCATCTGGATTGGAAAAGAGGAAGTCAGACTATCTTCACAGATAATAAATATTATTCTATTCCTAGAAAACCCCATAGTCTCTGCCCAAAGGCTCCTAGAACCAATAAACAAATTCAGGGTATAATATCAATGTACAAAAATCAGTACCACAAGCCAAGCACCATGGCTCATGCCTGTAATCCCAGCCCCTTGGGAAGCTGAAGCAGAAGGATCACTTGAGACCAGGAGTTGGAGACTAGACTGGGCAAAAAGAGTGAGACCCCATCTCTACAACAAATCAAAAAATTACCTGGGTGTAGTGGCATGCACTTGTAGTCCCAGCTACTTTGGAGGCTGAGGCAGGAGGACCACTGGAGCCTAGGAGGTTGAGGCTTCAGTGAGCCATGATCACACCACTGCACTCCAGCCTGGGTGACAGCACGAGACCCTATCTCGATAAAACAAAATCAGTACCATTTCTATACACCAATAACATCCAAGCTGAGAGTCAGATCAGGAATGCAGTCCCATTCACAGTAACCACAAAAGGAATTAAATACCTAGGAATACAGCTAACCAGGTAAGTGTTAAAGATCTCTACAATGAGAATTATAAAACACTGCTGAAGGAAATTGGAGATGACACAAACAAATGGAAAAACATTCCGTGCTTATGGATAGGAAGAATCAATATTGTTAAAACTGCTGTAATGCCCAAAGCAGTTTACAGATTCATTGCCATTTCTATCAAACTACTAATGTCTTTTTTCACAGAATTAGAAAAAACTATTTTAAAATTCATATGGTACCAATAAAGGTCCCAAATAGAACAATCCTCAGCAAAAAGAACAAAGCTGGAGGTATCACACTACCTAATTTTAAACTGTATTACAATGCTACAGTAACAAAACAGCATAGTACTGGTACAAAAACAGACACATGACCAGTGGAATAGGTTAGATAACCCAGAAATAAAGCCTCACAACCACAACCATCTGTTCTTCGAAAAAGTTGACAAAAATAAGCAATAGGGAAAAGGCTCCCTATTTAATACATGGTGCTAGTATACCAGGCTAGCCATATGCAGAAGATTGAAACTGGATGCCTTCCTCTCACCTTGTACAAAAATTAACTCAAGATGGATTAAAGACATAAATGTAAGTTCTAAAACTATAAAAACCCAAGTAGGAAATCTAGGACATACTGGTCTAGGCATAGGCCTTGGTGAAGATTTCATGAAGAAGTCTCCAAAAGCAATTGCAACAAAAACAAAAATTGACAAGTGAAACCTAATTATAGAGCTTTTGCAAAGCAAGAGAAACTATCAACAGAGTAAACAGACAACATACAGAAAGAGAGAAAGTATTTGCCAACTATGCATACAACAAAGGTCTGATATCCAGAATATAAGGAACTTAAATCAAGCAAAACCTAAACAACCCCATTAAACGATGGGCAAAGGACATGAACAGACACTTCTCAAAAGACATCCATGCTGCCATCAAGCATGTGAAAAAGTGTTCAACATCACTGTTTGTTAGATAAATGTAAATCAGAACCATCTCACCAATCAGAATGTCTGTTACAACAAATTCAGAAAATAACAGATGTTGGTGAGGTTGCAGAGAAAAGGGAATGCTTGGCCGGGCGTGGTGGCTCATGCCTGTAATCCCAGTACTTTGGGAGGCCAAGGCAGGCGGATTACGACGTCAGAGATCGAGACCATCCTGGCTAACATGGCAAAACCCTGTCTCTACTAAAAATACAAAAACAAAATTAGCCGGGTGTGGTGGCTAGCGCCTGTAGTCCCAGCTATTCAGGAGGCTGAGGCGAGAGAATGGCATGAACCCTGGAGGTGGAGCTTGCAGTGAGTTGAGATCGCGCCACTGCATTGCAGCCTGGGTGACAGAGCAAGTCTTCATCTCAAAAAAAAAAAAGGGGGGGGGAATGTTTATACACTGCTGGTGGGAACGTAAATTAGTTCAGCCACTGTGGAATGTAGTTTGGTGATTTCTCAAACAACTTAAAACAGAACTACCATTTGACCAGCAATCTCATTACTGTGTATATACCCATAGGAATATAAATCATTCCTCCATAAAGACCACATGCATGTGTATGTTCATCACAACATTTTTCACAATAGCAAAAACATGGAATGAACCTAAATGCCCATCAACAGTAGACTGGATAAATAAAATGTGGCATATATACCCCATGGAATACTACACAGCCATAAAAAGGAGTGAGATCATGTCCTTTGCAGCCACATGGATGGAACTGGTGGCCATTATCCTTAGTAAACTAATGCAGGATCAGAAAAACAAATACTGCATGTTTTCATTTATAAGTGAGAGCGAAATAATGAGAACACATGGGCCAAATCATGGAGCTTATCTAATAATTTATGTCCAACATTAGCTCTAATTAGTTCATTTCCAACCCCATAACACAGAGAAGGGATCAGGTGGGTGATGCCAACAGTTCCTGCCATGACAGAGCTCACATAGCAGGGCCACAGAAGCATTGTTCATCCAAAGTGTTTCCTGAGCTCCCTCTGCCTGCTGGACCACCTCTTCAGTGTAGTAAGTCTGGAATGGGTGCTAATTCCCTTCTTCATGAAATGGATGCAGTTAGAGGCCATTATCCTAAGTGAATTAACACAGGAACAGAAAACCAAATACCACATGTTCTTACTTAAAAGTGGGAGGTAAACATTCAGTACATATGGACACAAAGAGGGAAACAATAGACACTGGGCCCTACTTGAGGGTGGAGGATGGGAGGAGGGCTAGGGACAAAAAAATACCTGTCAGGCACTAAGCTCACGTCCTAGGTGATGAAATTATTTTATACCAAACTCCAGCAGCATGCAATTTACCCATGTAATAAACCTCCACATGTATTGCCTGAACCTAAAATTAAAATTGAAAAACAGTAAGTCTTTTGTTTGTTTGAGATAGTCTGTCTGTGTCACCCAGACTGGAGTACAGTGGCACAATCCTAGCTCAGTGCTATCTCGAACTTCTGGATGCAAGGGATCCTCCTGCCTCGGCCTTCCAAGTAACTGAGACTACAGGAGCACACCACAATGCCCCACTAACTTTTAAAAACTTTTTTTGTAGAGATGGTGTCTCGCTTTATTGCTCAGGCTGGTCTTGAACTCCTGGGATTAAGCAGTTCTCCTGCCTTGGCCTCCAGAGTGCTGGGATTACAGGTGTGAGCCACTGCACCTAATCAAGAACTCTTTTTTTTTTTGTGAACTGATTGCTGTAATTAGAATTCCATTTTGCTGTGATTCTGTTATGTTGAAACAAGCTTACATTTTTTTCTTTATCAACTTTATTGGGGTACAATTTACATTTACATTCTTAAAAAGTACCCATTTTAATTGTACAGTTTCAGTTTTGACAGATGTAGTCTACACTTCCCACATTTTCTTCTACCTCTTTGTATTCAGTGCCCCCATTGTACTCTGGCCTGCTCTTGTTTGTCATAGATTAGTTTTGTCTTTTTTAAAAATCAGTTTTCTTGAGGCATAATTTGCATACCATGAAGTACATGCTTTTGATTACCTTTTCATTAATCATTTTCCTGGCTCCAGAATGTTTATATTCCTTCATCACTAAGACATTGCTTTGAGATGTGGATTCATGTAAGTCTCGGAGAAGAGCTTTGATTCCACCTTGTCTTAAAATTATGTGTAATTTGTTAGCCAATTAAGAGTTGAGAACATATTGAAGTACTTTTTATAGATAGAATGTTTTATAAGCAAGCATTATTAAAAAGTGTGACCATTTTACTTTGGCAACTGGTAGGTGTTAGAAGTTTGAAATTTAAGAGGCTACTTGTTTTCATATGGATAAATTCCTAGTGTCTGCCTGAAAATGTCCATTTCTTTTTTCATGAACTGTTACTTTGGTTACAGATTCCTTTCCTCCTCTCGTCATCCTCTTTCTTTTTTTTTTCCATTTTGACCAGATCCATCATCTGATTATTGATGTTGGGGGTGGGGACAAGTTTCCTCCTCCTTTGAGATTGTTACTGTTGTACCTTCAGAGAATTGTCCCTCTTTGTTGCTGTTCCTTGCCATTGTTACTACCACTTCTAATCTCTACTATTCTTTTTACCCTTGCTTTTTTTTTTTTTTTCATTTTTTCTTATATTTGGATGAACTTATCTAGTTTCTGATAGCTTTTCAGCACTTAACACTGCCAGGAACCAAACTTTATGGTGACCATGGGCTCTTAACTGTTTCAAGGTAATATAGAGGACGGCAGGCTATTTTTGATTTACTTGCTTGTTTAAGAGACAGGGTCTTCTTGCTCTGTCACCTAGGCTTCAGTATAGGGGTGCGTTTAGAGCTTACTGCAGCCATAAACTCCTCGCCTCAAGTGATTCTTCTGCCTCAGTCTCTCAAGTAGCTGGGACTAGAGGCACAAGCCACCACACTGGTCCAGGGCAGGAGGTTTAAAGAATTCCAGGATATTTTGGGCAGGCAGGGTGGCTCACGCCTATAAGCCCAGCACTTTGGGAAGCCGAGGCAGGTGGATCACCTGACGTTAGGAGTTTGAAGACTAGCCTGGCCAACATAATGAAACCCCGTCTCTACTAAAAATACAAAAATTATCTGGACATGGTGGCACACGCCTGTGATCCCAGCTACCAGGGAGGCTGAGGCAGGAGAATCATTTGAACCCAGGAGACAGAGGTGGCAGTGAGCCGAGATTGTGCCACTGCACTCCAGCCTGGGCAAGAGACAGTGAGACTCTGTCTCAAAATAATAATAATAATAATTATTATTATTATTATTATTATTCAGTTTCTATTTAGAGGTTTTCAAAATCCCAGATAACCTGAATTTTATGTACTGTAGGCTGGAGGTGGAAGTAGGGGTAGGGATGTTTTTTGACAAAAAGACCATTAATCTGAGAAGCGGAAAATCCAGAGATTACTATAAGATCCTAGATGGCTAAAACATTGAATTTCTGTCACTTAGTGTAAAGTAGGATTTAGAAACATTTATGGATAAAGATAATAAAGATGGGGGATTATTTGATAAGAAACAAAATGTAATTATCATACAAATGTAAAGCCAATCTACCTTGAAGAGATAATAGGACACAAGGGAAGATTTTTGGAATGTGCTTTGTTCTTTAAGTTTAGGTACCATCAGTTCTTTTGCAACTTTAAATGAATTTAAGGTTAATGAATTAACAGTTTGGTTTTAAAACCCAATCTAGGTTAATGACAGCTTGTTTCTTTCTTTGTGTTGATTATAATCTTTGCCTCTTGTAAATATTTTTTTTTTTTTTTTGAGACAGAGTCTCGCTCTTTCACCCATGTCAGACTGCAGTGGCGCAATCTCAGCTCACTGCAAGCTCCGCCTCCCAGGTTCATGCCATTCTCCTGCCTCAGCCTCCCGAGTAGCTGGGACTACAGGCGCCCGCCACTGCGCCCTGCTAATTTTGTGTATTTTTAGTAGAGACAGGGTTTCACCGTGTTAGCCAGGATGGTCTCAATCTTTTGACCTCATGATCCGCCCGCCTTGGCCTACCAAAGTGCTGGGATTACAGGCGTGAGCCACCGCACCCGGCCAACTATTTTTTAAAATTAATGTGTGTTCAGAGTCTCCTCTTTTCTTTGTAAATTTGCTTCCATTTTATTGCAAATTGCACGTTTTTTTTGATTGGGTGCCACCATTCCAGGAGCTCCGAGATCCTAGAATATTAAAGTTAAGGTAAATGAAGTGATACTAACTGGAAAATGTTTTAAACTAGTGCTAATATCATTTACATAAAAATAAACATAAAACTTTTATTTATTAATTAAACCATAGAAGCTTAGTATTCTTATAGCTAAAAAGAATATTTTCCAATTAGAATAATATCATGGGTAAACCAATAGCTATATAGAAATGTAATAGATTTTCAGGAATTAGACCACAGAGGCTATAAAATGTCAATGGATATATTTTCTATAACACATTGTATATAATTTTGTTTCCTAATATTAATCTTGAAATGTTTGTAACTTTAAATAATTTTTCATTGTAACCATAGGTTTGATACTAAAAATAATTAGATATTATTTTACCACTTGTTTATTGAGTAGAATTAAAATTAAATACAATGTAGCTTTTTGTTCCTTTGTTTTCACTGTTGATCTCTAAGTATTAAAAAAAAATTGATGTTTACTAAACCTACAGGTTTGTTTTCACCATTCAAATGAAGAAAAGCTGTTCAATATAAATACTTACCTAGAACCATAATAGTACAGAGGAGCAGGATTGAAATCAGTCAAACCATGATAGATATGATATATTGTCAAAGGATATAATACAGATGCCTTGGTTTTTCCACACAAGCATATTAATTCACTGTACTTTTTTGAGACTTGAGTTTTACTGTGTCACCCAGGCTGGAGTGAGTGCAGTGGCGTAATCTCGGCTCACTGCAACCTCTGCTTCCCAGGTTCAGGCGATTCTCCTGCCTCAGCCTTCTGAGTAGCCGGGATTACAGGTGCCCGCCACCATGCCCGGCTAATTTTTGTATTTTTAGTAGAGACAGGGTTTCACCATATTGGCCAGGCTGGTCTCAGACTCCTTACCTCAAGTGATCCACCCACCTTGGCCTCCCAAAGTTCTGGGATTACAGGCATGCCTGAGCCACCGCGCCTGGCCTAATTCACCGTACTTTTAAAAAGTAACAGTAGAAAATAATCAGAGATCCAAAATACCTGGTTTTAGTTACTTGGAAGTTCAAATGTTTTAATTTCTTTGTCTATATTGTTATATTGCATTTGTATTAGAGAAGGTAAGATATAAAATTTATGCTCTGAAGAGTATCATCCCCATCAGTTATCTTCCATGGGATGCTGACTTAACAGACTAGCAAAATTGGAAACTTCGTGCCATGAACTGTCGAGGTGGTTACAAAAATTTAAAAGATACAAGCTGCTTCCAGAAAGATCCAAGTCCAGTAGTAATAACAAAACACAAACTATTGTGAATGGTAAATGCTGTAATTGTGATGTGTTAAGAATGGGTGAGAATACATAAAATTACCATTTTGACCACTGTTAAGTGTACAGTTCTGTGGTATTAAGTACATTCACACTATTGTTCAACCGTCACCATCATCCATCTTCAGAGCTTTTTTATCTTCCCCAGCTGAAACTCTGTGTCCATTAAATAATAACTACCCATTCTTCTTTTCCCTGCCCCTGGTAACAACTATTCTGCTTTCTGTCTATGAATTTGACTACTTTAGTTTTCCTATTATTAAACAGTCTTTGTGACCACTAGCCCAGCACATAGTAGGTATTCAATAAATTTCTAAATTAAATGGCATTTAGGAATTGAAAGGCATTGCTTATGTCAGTGGATTGACTATATATCTTATGTGCACCCAGACTGCCAATTGTTATAATAACCTTGTTAATTCATAGGAAACCTTTTGTTTTCTCAAGTATTTTTTATTTAAATTCTTTTCACATAGTTTACTTTTTTTTTTAGACTGAATCTGGATATGGATCTGAATCCAGCTTGCGTCGACATGGCTCAATGGTGTCCCTGGTGTCTGGAGCAAGTGGCTACTCTGCAACATCCACCTCTTCATTCAAGGTGTGTAGTTAATGGATGCCTTAAGTTAAACAACATAAATTGAGTTTAGTATTGGATGTTGTGAACAGAACATATGTGATAATTTTTTGAACAAACTTTTTTATAGTATAATTTATTTGAAGTTATTAGAGAAGTACTTTTTAAGGTATAAAATAATAACTCATATAGATGAACACATGTCACTGATTTTATTTCATTCATTCATTAATGAGGTAAAATATAAAAAAACTGGTTCAAAGGAAAATCTGAAGAATACTGAAATGATTTGTGAATATGGGAAAAACTGGTCAGTATCCACAGATTAATAATCAGTGCTTCTGCACCAGACAAAATTCATTTGCATCTCTATGAACAAGAATTATTTATACTACTCAGTTTTTTACTAAAAGAGTTGTAAAATAGCTCAAATGCAGTGAAAGGCAAAAGTGTCTATATGATCAAATAGTACTCTCCCAAGGGTACCATAAATGACAGCTCACCATTACTTTGAAAGGACACAAGTAATATTTTTTCCCATTTCAAAGTCTTTCACAGTTGTTCCACACAATTTTGTTTAATTTGAAAATACCAAATGTTATATTTGCAAACTGTCAGGTATTACTGCTTTCTTGTTTTCTATAAAAAATAGGGCTTATTTATAAGTGATATCACGAGGTTATCATCATTCATAAGTGGCTTATCGCTATCAAGCCAATAGATTCATCAGTTTCAAGCCTATTCCTAGAAGTATTATATTGAACTAGACAGCTCTCCTTATCCCATGCCCTCAGTTATAAGGTGCAGACCTTAAAAGTTGATGAAATACCATAGGACCACATGAAATCCAGTTTTGTTTTACTTGAATTACATCCCCCTATTTTATGTTTTGCAGAAAGGCCACAGTTTACGTGAGAAGTTGGCTGAAATGGAAACATTTAGAGACATCTTATGTAGACAAGTTGACACGCTACAGAAGTACTTTGATGCCTGTGCTGATGCTGTCTCTAAGGATGAACTTCAAAGGGATAAAGGTTAATTAGGCTATTACCACTATTTTTACTTGGAGAATGAATGGATTAAAAGCCTCTTGATCTCAAAGGGTAATGTCTTTAAGTGATAAAGGTGTTTATAGTCATTTTTTGCTGCAAACCCCCAGTGAAACAGATTTCAGTGTCCTTGTAACTTGGGTACTTCAGTTACACATACTAATTCATTTTGATCATCCATACCAGATGCCATTGAAGACCTTTATTTTATTTATTTACTTTTTTGTTGAGACATGGTTTCATTCTATCGCCCAGGCTGGAGTGCAGTGGCGCGATCATAGCTCACTGCAGCCTCAAACTTCTGGCCTCAAGCAATTCTCCCATCTCAGCCACCCAGGTTGCTAGGACTACAGGTGTGCATCACCACACCCAGCTAATTTATTTTTCTATTTTTTATAGAGACGGGGGTCTCACTATGTTGGTCAGGTTGGTCTTGAACTCCTGGCCTCAAGCAATCTTCCCACTTCGGCCTACCAAAGTGTTGAGATTATAGGTGTGAGCCACCACACCAGGCAAAGACTTTCAAATGATACTCTTTATTCCATTAAAAAATGATATCTATTATCTTGGTATTATGGATCATTTCACATTATTATTATGTCTGATAAATTTAGCCCATGATGAGTCTTAGAGGAGATAAGTATATGTTAAATCCTTCAGATCTGAAATCAACCAGTTGATCTCTTTCTCTTTCTCCCTCTCATTTCTCTTTTTCTCCCCTTCTCTTTTCTTTTTGCCTTTTCCTCTCTCTCTCTTTTTCTTTCTTTTTTTTTTTGAGACAGAGTCTCGCTCTGTCACCAGGCTGGAGTGCAGTCGCGTGATCTCGGCTCGCTGCAACCTCCGGCTCCCTGGTTCAAGTGATTGTCCTGCCTCAGCCTCCCAAGTAGCTGGGATTACAGGCACGTGCCACCATGCCCAGCTAATTTTTGTATTTTTAGTAGAGACGGGGTTTTGGCCAGGATGGTCTTAATCTCCTGACCTCATGATCTGCCCGCCTCGGCCTTCCAAAGTGCTGGGATTACAGGCCTGAGCCACCGCGCTCGGCCCCCTCTCTCTCTCAGTCTCTCCCTTTCTCTACCCTTTTTCTCATAGAAGAAGAATCAGTAATAGAAATGGAAGTAATAATTGTATGTACATTTAAAAATAATTTTATTGAGTTCTTATTTAAAAGAAACAAGATATCTTCAATTAACTTTTAGTGTTAGGTTTATAGTTTAACTTTCCTTTGTTAGTCCCAAAAATACTGCTGATGTCAACATTGTTCTTCAGCTTTTTCACTTAATTTATTGTGATGGCAAAAATTAACTACTCTACCATTATTACCAAACAGGACTAAGTTCATCCCCAATATAACTAGGTGGCTTGACATGGTTTCATTTCTCTTTTTTATTAAATGTGTTTGATCTGGATCCAAGTTCTTTTTGTCTATTCTATATTCCCTTTTTCTGCCTTCTTTGGATGAAATTTTTTTCATATATATATAATTCCACTTTATCTCCTTTGTTAGCTTCTTAGGTATAACTCGTGGTTTTGTTATTTTAGTGGCTACTTTAAGGTTTATAGTTTGCATATTTAACTTACCACAGTCTGCCTTCAAGTAATATACCACTTTATGTGTAGTATCAGAACCTTCCAATAATGTAGTAGAATGTTCATAGCTCCCTGTGACCTTAAACTCCTGGGCTCAAGTGATCCTCCTGCCTCAACTTCCGAACTGGCTAGGACTACAGGCATACACCGTCATATCTGGTTAATTTTTAAATTTTTTGTAGAGATGAGGTCTCGCTATGTGGCCCAGGCTGGTCTTTAAACTCCTGGCCTCAAGGGATTCTCCCACCTCAACTGCCCAAAGTACTAGAATTACAGGCTTGAGCCATTGTGCCTGGCCTTGAAGTTCTATTTGTTAATATAAAAACTTTTATTAAAGGTTTTGGTTCGTTAATGTGTGATTTTTTTTTTTTCCCCTCTAAAAATAGAAAACACCTGAACTTCTGTTTCTCCTTCATTAAAAAAGTATACCTTTTAATCAATTTAAATGTTACAGATTAGCTTTAAACAAAAACAGGATACATATAGAATATGATGCCTTGTTTATCTTAATGGTCCATACCAATAGCGTATAGTATTAGAAGGACAAAAGTGATGGTGGAAAAAGTGGAAGTTGGAATGCAGTGATAACCAGGTTGTGTAGATGATTTGAAAAATAATAATAGACATTACACGGAATCTTTTCTGCTACATGTTTAAATAAATAGCAAATTGAAGACTGATGTATTAGTTTGCTAGGGCTGCCATATCAAAGTACCACAGACTGGGTGGCTTAAACAACAGATTTATTTTCTCACAGTTCTGAGATAAAGGTATTGGCAGGGTTGGTTTCTTCTGAAGGCCATGAAGGAAAAACCTGTTCCACGCCTCTCTCCTTGGCTTATAGGTAGCCTCCCTATATCTTCACATCATCATCTTTCCCTTTGTATGTGTCTGTGTCCAAATTTCTTCTGCATATTGTACAGTCATAGTGGATTAGTGCCCATCCTAATGACCCCATGTTAACTTAATTACTGCTTTACAAACCTTGTCTCCAAATAACAGCCATATTCTAAGGTACTGGAGATTAAGGACTTCAACATATGAATTTCTGAGACACAATTCAGCCCATAACAACTGATTTCCCTACAAATGTTATTTGTGAGATACTGACTGATTGATTGATCCTTTGATTTTTATTTGATACTGGGTCTCCCTCTGTCACCCAGGCTGGAGTGCAGTGGCACAATCTTGGCTCACTGCAACCTCCGCCCCCCAGGCCCAAGCAGTCCTCCCACCTCAGCCTTCCCAAGTAGTTGGGACTACAGATGTGCACCACCATGCCCAGCTAATTGTTGTATTTTTTGTAGAGACAGGGTTTTGCCATGTTGCCCAGGCTTGTCTCAAACTCCTGAGCTCAAGCAGTCTGCTTGCCTCTGCCTCCCAAAGTGCTGGGATTACAGGCATAAGCCACCACGCCCAGCCTGAAAAAGCTATTTTGTGTCTGTTTTGGAGGTGGAAGGTTATGGTAAAGGGGTAGTTTGAGAGGAAGATTTAATGTGCTGGTGGCTGAGAAATATTTGGGTGGCAAAAATAAATAGATGTCTGGCTGATACTGTAATCATCTCGGGGAGCTTTAAAAAAGAAATAATTGTATCATACCCTTCACCATAGTCTCACTAAACCAGAATATTCAGGGGTTGAGGGGAGAGAGAGAGATTAACGTTTTGTTCTTTAAAAGTTCCTTGATAGGTAGATAATCAAAAGTTCCTTGATATGTGGATACCCTCTCTAGTAGAAGTATGAGCTAGCATTATAAACAAGCCTTCTGAAGGCAGAAGGAAAGCACAGCAGAAAGGGGAAAACAAATATTGTACAGAAGGCTTTTGAGTTTTCCAAGAAAACAACTCCTTTAAATTGTGAGAATAGGTCAAATCTAGAGCAAATGAAATATCTCCTGCTTCTGTAGAAAAGAATGCATGAAGGTAGAGTTGAAGAGTGAGTAACAAACTGTTTTAACTTTTCATTGATATGATGCAAAAAAGTAGGGAAATTTGAAAAGGCCCCGGGAAGTAAGGATCTCAAAAGGTACTTGAAGGTCATCTTTATGGGATTATGCCAGGGGACTAATTTAGGAATAGTCGTATTATAACTTCAACTGATGGTCAGCATGATTTTTTATCTGAGTATGGTTTAAAAATAATGTATCTAAAGACATTGCACAGCATATTTATTGAGCATATGAGATCTTACTCATCTTTGTATTTTCACTGGTAATCAAGATATGCTCATATTGAAGTCTGTAGGAATGATGGAAGTGGAAAAGAAAAAGAATTGAATATTGAGATCACAGCCAGGTAGAAATGAATACAGGGTATTAATAGATAATAGTTTATGATTTGTAAGAGTTGTTATAGATGATTGACAACATTTTCAAGTGGTTATAAAAAAATGAAATAGTCCAGTAATTAGAAAATGGCAGTACAGAAGATTTTCCATGGTGATTCCTACCATTTAATCAAAGAAGGGAAATAAGGTATCGAATTGGGCTCTGCATCCATAAAAAAGACAGCTAAGATAGATGAGATGTTCCTTATAGAGCCACGGTGCTCCTGATGTAAAAAGATACATGCAGTAAGTAAGACATTAGTTTAAAATGTAGATTCCTTCTTTATAAAGGGAGTTCCTGAAAAGATAAAGGAGCCATGTAGGCTGGGTGCAGTGGCTTACACCTGTAATCCCAGCATTTTGAGAGGCAGAGGTGGGCAGATTGCTTGAGCTCAGGAGTTTGAAACCGGCCTGGGCAACATGGCAAAACCTCATCTCTACAAAAATTAGCTGGGCTGGTGGTGTGCACCTGTGTTCCCAGCTGCTCAAGGGGCTGAGTAGGATTGCTTGAGCCTGGGAGGTGGAGGTTGCAGTGAGCTGAGATTGTGCCACTGCACTCCAGGCTGGGCAACAGAGCCAGACCCTGTCTCACAAACAAGAAGAAGAAGAAGCCACAAAAAGCTTGATAAAAGCAGCAAATAATGTTGGGAACTAAGATGCAGGAATTTGCATTATGAGTGGAATGCGTAGTACAGAGAATTAAAGCATGTGGCGTAGTAGAAAAAGGGATAGCACATAGAAGAAAGAGGTATGTTAAAGTAGAACAAGAGAGATTCTGTTTTTGTCTGGAATTAGAGAAAAGGGATGCCTGGATACAGATACAGCCTGGGATGAATGAAAATTGATATCATGGTCAGGAGATTGAGACCGGATTCCTGGCTAACATGGTCAAACCCCGTCTCTACTAAAAATACAAAAAATTAGCCAGGCATGGTGGCAGGCGCCTGTAGTCCCAGCTACTCGGGAGGCTGAGGCAGGAGAATGGTGTGAACCCGGGAGGTGGAGCTTGCAGTGAGCCGAGATCGCGCCACTGCACTCCAGCCTGGGCGACAGAGCAAGACTCCGCCTCAAAAAAAAAAAAAACAGTCGATATCATATCTGCAAGTCATTATATTTTCCTTGCACATCAGAAATAGTATATATAAGAACTCTCGCCTGGGTGTGGTCACTCACACCTGTAATCCCAGCACATTGGGAGGCCGAGGTGGGCGGATCATGAGGCCAGGAGTTTCGAAACCAGCCTGGCCAACATAGTGAAACCCCTTCTCTACTAAAAATACAAAAATATTAGCTGGCTGTGGTGGCACGCACCTGTAGTCCCAGCTACTTGGGAGGCTGAGGTGGAAGAATTGCTTGAACCTAGGAGGCAGAGGTTGCAGTGAGCCGAGACCATGCCATTGCACTCCAGCCTGGGTGACAGAGTGAGACTCCATCTACAAAAAAAAAAAAAAGAACAACTCTTAGAGGCAAGCTAAGGTGTCTTCTGCATAGAAGGCACCCTTATAGTCCTGTTCAGCCCTTCTGGTCCTCTTACAGAGTGGAAATGGCCCCACGGAAGGGAGCAAGAGATAGGAAGACTACAGGGTGAAATAATTCATAACTCAGTAACCTTCCCTTACACAAATGAGAGTGAATATGGTTTAAAAATAATGTATCTAAAGACATTCCACATATTTGGGTGGCAAAAATAAATAGATGGCTGATACTGTAATCATCTCGGGGAGCTTTAAAAAGAAATAATTGTATCATACCCTTCTCCATAGTCTCACTAAATGAGAATATTCAGGGGTTGAGGGGAGAGAGAGAGATTAAGATTTTGTTCTTTAAAAGTTCCTTGATAGGTAGATATTTATTGAGCATACCTTGATTACCAGTGAAAATACAAAGATGAGTAAGACTTCATACTCAGAATCAGAATCCAGAGTAAAATGACTCAGTTGAACATAAGAATAGACATTAATTTCTATTTCTTTTCATCCTAATTTCCTTAAATATATTTTATTTAGTGGTAGAAGATGATGAAGATGACTTTCCTACAACGCGTTCTGATGGTGACTTCTTGCATAGTACCAACGGCAATAAAGAAAAGTGTAAGTAATACATTTTTCCCCTCAGCTGGATAAAATATACTTTCAGAAGTTATGTAACAACTCACAAGAAATAATTACCTGATTAATTTTTTAAAAAGCAGTAGAACTGGTGGAATCCAAGTGAAAATATCTTCCAAGGCATGCAGGTAAAAATCACATTCTGACATTATGTAATAATGGTAACTTTTACATAAGGATGTCCAGCTGTCCCAGCATCATTTGCTGAAAAGACAATTTTTTTCCCTTGTCTTGGCACCTTCGTGAAAATCTGATAGACTGTAAATGCGAGGGTTTATTTCTGGATTCTCAGTTCTGTTGAGTTGATGTACGTGCGTATTCTTATTAAGAAAATATAAGCTTTAAAAAAGCTTTATTGAGATACAATTGACATACCATTTAAAGTGTATAATTTGATAAATTTGGATATTTTCGTGAAACTATCAACACAATCAAGATAGTTAACATTTATATCACCTTCAAAAGTTTTCTCCATCCCCTTTGTCATTCCTCTCTCCCCCATTCCTGAATAGCCACTGATCTATTTTCTGACACTATAGATTAGTTTGCATTTTCTATAATCTAATATAAATGGAGTCATACAGTATGTATTCTTTTTTTGCCTGGCTTTTTTCTTAGTTTGAGATTCATCATTATTGTTGCATATATCAGTAGTTCAGTTCTTCTCATAGCTCAGTAGTATTTTATTGTATAGATATACCATAGTTTGTGTATCTAGTCATTCATTGGTGGACATTTGGGTCGGTTACAGTTTTGACTATTACAAATAAAACTGCTATGAGCATTCATATACAATTCTATTCATGGAAATTTATTGTATTTATTTTGGGTAAATACCTAGGAGTAGAATGTTCTAATCATATGGCGGGTGTGGGTGTGTTTAATTTTTAAAGAAACTGCCAAACTGTTTTTTACCAGCCACATATGAGAGTCCCAGTTCCTCCATATCCCCACCAACACTTAATATGGTCAGTCTTCAAATTTCAGTCATTCTAATAGGTGTGTAGGGATATGTCATTGTGGTTTTAATTTGCATTTCCATATTAACTAGTGATATTAAGCACCTTTTCATGTTTTTATTTGCCATTTATATCTGCTCTTTGGTGAAGTGTGTGTTCACATTTTTTACTCATGTTGGGCTTGGTGATTATTATTATTATTATTTTGAGACAGAGTTTCCCTCTTGTTACCCAGGCTGGAGTGCAGTGTGGTGATCTCAGCTCACCGCAACCTCCACCTCCCGGTTTCAAGTGATTGTCCTGCTTCAGCCTCCTGAGTAGCTGGGATTACAGGCATGCGCCACCACACCCAGCTAATTTTGTATTTTTAGTGGAGACGGGGTTTCTCCATGTTTGTCAGGCTGGTCTCGAACTCCCAGCTTCAGGTGATCCGCCCGCCTTGGCCTCCCAAAGTGCTGGGATTACAGGCGTGAGCCACCGCGCCCAGCCAGTGTTTATTATTAATGAGCTTTGAGGTTACTTCATATATTCTGGATAGAAGTCTTTATTAAATATATGCCACACAAGATTTTCTCCCAGTTTGTGGCTTATCTCTTTATCCTCTTAACAGTGTTTTCAAGAGCAGAAATTTTACATTTTGATTTAAGTTTCACAATTTGTTCTTTGATGGATTATACCTTTACTGTCATATCTCTAATCGTTTTTAAAGTCAAAATTGACATTATTTCATTTATAATTATTCTACTAGAATGATTTCTTAACTATAGAATATTATGATTTCTTGTTTGCATCTTTGAGTTTTAAGATTTTTTGTTTAATTCAAAAGCTAACCATGAATTAAAATGATAAAATTGAAACGTAAAAGGCATTGAGTTTAAGTGCATTGGTCCTGGATTTAAATTTGTATGTTTATTTTTAAATTGTATATTATTTTATTAGATTCTTTAGTTTATCTTCAGATTTTTTTTAATTCTAGGCTTTTCAAAATAATAAGGTAGTTCTTGCCATAATTAGGTCCTACTCTAAGCTGTCAGAATGTTATTGTTAAAGTATTGCTCCTCCTACCATTTGATTAATTGGGTGCAGCACAGCAAATAAATTTCAGGAAACAGAATCTAGAAAAAAAGGACTTGAAAGTACATATGCTGCCACGAAGCTTCTTTGCTTATAGAGCTTGGATAGGAGATTTTTAAATGTTGGCCTACAGGAGGAAAATTAAAATCCCAAAACCTGCTCTGACTTGCTAATTTTCTAAACATTTTCTAATCTTAAATTGTGATGAATTATTTCCTCATTAGAGATATTTTCAGTGAATAATTTTCATTTTCAGTATTTCCACATGTGACACCAAAAGGAATTAATGGTATAGACTTTAAAGGGGAAGCGATAACTTTTAAAGCAACTACTGCTGGAATCCTTGCAACACTTTCTCATTGTATTGAACTAATGGTTAAACGTGAGGACAGCTGGCAGAAGAGACTGGATAAGGTAAGACTAGGTTTTTTTCCTTTTAAAAATAATCACATTTAAGTTTTACGTATTGTTTGAATATTTAAAACAAGCTAACTTCTTAGGGAAGAATCTTGGGTTGATAGAAATAGCAGATGATACTACTACTCTGAAGCTTTATGGGCATCCTAAACTCATTTGCCTAACAAGATTCACCAATTACTTGTTTAGTTACTATACAGTATGCTTTCTTGAAAGATTTAATATAAAAGTTTTTGTGATGATGTTAGTAATGCTTTGGAATAGAAGTGTTGAGCCATTTAACATTACACACCTTTAGGTGCATGATGTATGAAACTGCATTTAAGGCATATGAACTAACTTATATGCCAATTTACAAAGTTAAACATTTACTTATTATAGTAATACTCATGTATTTTTTCCATGGTCAGTGATACCATTTAACATACATTATGTTGTTTGAGCATTTGCCCTATGTTCACATTTTCCCACCTTTGTTTAAACTGCAGCACTGATAATATTATAGTATGACTCTTTAGTTTCTAGTGTGAAGCATGGCTCAGTGGATTTGTTAAGTAGGAAAACTTCTATTTATAATTCAGCTTTAGAATAATAGTAAAATGTTAGAGTTGAAACATACCTTAAAGTTCTAGTCCAATGCCATCATTTTATAGAAGAAGGAATTGAGGCCCAGAGGCTTGTCAAAAGGTGAAAAGTAATAGAGTTAGAGGCATTTTTCTCTATTCTTTTATATATCAGCTCTGGATGCCAGATTAGACATCAGCCAGAATCATATTCATTCTGAGTTATATTGCTTGCAGAGTTTGAAGGCCTTTGAATTTGAGCGGGACACTAAGGAAAGCAATGATAGCACTATGTGTTTAGGAAGGTTCCCATGTTTTAGAAGAAAAGAGAGCTGTTCAGAATGCACAAGTGCAGGTGAGAGTAAGCCATTTTGATTAGGAATATGTCTTCTTTTAAAATAGGTAATGAAAACATCCTTTTAAGGTATAGAAAATTTATTATCATTCTGGAGCCAAACTATTATTATCTTCAAAGATTTCAACTCTATACTCAGTGTGGATCAAATTGAATTATTAGAAGAGTCCCTGTTCACAAAAAAAAAACAATGTATTGAAAAACAGGACAACTCCCTAAATACATTAGACTAATGGTTCAAGATTATCATTCAGCTAGTCCAGACTAGCTTATTTCCAACTTTTTGGCAACTTTCTCTCTCTTTAGTCTCTTTTTCCTTCACTAAGGGATCATATTCTTTGGTCATATACTCTAACCACATTGCCTAAAATAATTTTTTTTAAACCTTTGCACATTATATACCACTTCCTGATTATTTTAGCATTCAAGTTTATTTGCCATGTTGAAAAGGGGAGATAGATTTTTGATTGCTTTCAGCATTGTTAATCTTACCAGTTCTCTTTCTTTATTGGGTAGCAATGAGCAGAGCAAACCAAAGATCTGCGGGAAAAAAACCACTTTTGTTGCTTCTCCATGCAACACTCTCCACCAAAGAACAGCCAGAAAAGATGGCAGGCAGTATTGGTTAAAATCTGGACACTACTGTGTTTTATAGTCTTCTTACAGATCTATCTGATGTCAAATTTTATTAACCTTTTCCACTGTAATTTTTTCTCAAGGTTGAAATAACTGGATCCCAGTTACATTTTACATGGAATGTAAGTGTGTGTGTATTTGCACATGTGTGTACACACAGTATGTGTGTGTTCATATATATATACATAATATATGCAGGGTATGTGTGTATTTATTGGTAAGCAACTCTATTCAAGAACTTTCTAATCTTTTGTATGTAGAGTGTGTGTGTGTGTGTGTGTGTATATATACACACTAAAGACTAGAAAGTTCTTAAATAGAGAAAGTTGTTTATCAACAAATACGTCTTTCAGGTAATTCTTAGAATTGAGAAAGAAAGTACAATGATAACAATATGGTTTCACTGAAATTGTTTCATTCAGGTGTGTGCCTGCTGTGTGCTTGACTCTAAGCTAGGAATGGGAAAACAGTGATGAGCAGGAAATAGTCTCTCAAGGGGCTTAAAATCTAATGAGAGCAATTAAATAGGTGATAATAACAGCTATTTAATAATAGAATTGTCTATATTATACTTTTATGTAGATTTATAATGTCAGTTCCAGGATTCTTTCAGCTAATTGAAAATACTATTTTGTAGTGATGATTTTTATTGGTTACCTATAATAATAATGATCCTTTCCACTGTAGAAGAAGTGTACTTAATTGTTAGCCAGTCATGTCCAGGAAAACCAAAAATTCTAAAATTAGGCAATTATGGTTAACAGTGTTAATAAGAGATAACCTGTTCATTGAAGATACATTTTCTTACATTATTAGATTCACAGGTGTGTACTTTTACATACATTTTCACTTTCCTGTAAGTCTTTAATATTATTGCTGTGCTGTGCATTTTTGTTTTATTCATTTAAAATTAATACATAACATACATACAATGAAGTGTACCAATCTTAAGTATACTACCTGATTTTTTTTAACGTTTGTATACACCCCTTAACCATAGACAGATCAAGATATATAACTTTTCTAGCACCCTAGAAGGTTCCTTCATGCTCCTTCCTATTCCATATCATACCACCACCCCAAGAGGTGATCATATGGTTTTAACCTATGTCATTATAGATTAGTTTTGCCTGTTCTGGAACAACATACAAATGGAATCATACAGTATACTTTTGAGTCAGGCCTTCTCTTTCCTTCAACATTTGACTGTGAGATTCATTCATGTTGTTATATTTAATAGTAGTTTATTCTTTTTTATTGCTATACACTATTTTATTGTATAACTTTTTATTGTATGACTTCAATTTGCTTATCTATTTTCCTGTTGGTGGACATTTAGATTTTTTTCATTTTTTGGCTATCATGAATGAAACTGCTATGAGAGTTCTTGGGGCATATCTTTAGGTATATTTCTCATACCTTGGAGTAGACTTCTTGATTCATAGGGGTATATGCTTAACTTTAGTGGATACTGATGATTTTCCAAAGTGATTATTTCTACCAGCAATGGGTGAGGATTCCAATTATTTTTAATTCTTGACAGCATTTTGGTATTGTTAGGGATGTGTGGGTGTGTGGGTGTTGTTGATGTTGTTCACTCTTGACTGTACTTGGTATTGTGTGTGTGTGCGTCTGTGTGTGTGTGTGTGTATAGGTGTTGGTGTTGTTTGATTTTGGGGACAGTCTTTCTTTTTTTGAGAGACAGGGTCTCACTGTGTTGTCCAGGCTGAAGTGCAATGACTATTCACAGACACAGCCATTAGTATACTACAGCCTTGAACTCCAGGGCTCGGGTGATCCTCCTGCCTCAGCCTCCTGAATGACCAGGACTACAGGCACATGCCACTGCACCTGGCTTAGTCATTCTGGTGGATCTGTAGTCCCATTTTCTCTTTAGTACACAAAAATCAATTAATGAAATCTTTGGGTCTAATGAACCCATTGATTCATTGATTTCCACTGTCTTTAACGCTGATGTGGTATTTAGAAGTAGTTTGCTTTGTGTGAGTTCAGTTTAGACTTTAGCCATTAAGTTCAGTGATACACTGCATAACGACATTTCCGTCAGTGATGGACCACATATACAACTGTGGTCCCATAACATGATAATGGAGCTGAATAATTCCTTTTGCCTAGTGACATCTTGATGATCCTGACCCTGTGTAGGCCTAGGCTAATGTGTGTGTTGTCTCTTAGTTTATAACAAAAAAGTTTAAAAAGTTAAAAAAAATAAATTTTTTAAAAAATAGAAAAATGTTTGTAGAATACAGTATAAAGAAAATATTTTTGTGCTGCTGTACAATGTTTATGTTTTAAGATATCTTATTACAAAAGACTCAAAAAGTTTAAAAAATTAAAAAGTTTATAAAGTAAAAGTTACAGTAAGCTAAGGTTGTTATTGAAGGAAGAACATTTTTAAATAAATGTAGTGTAGCCTAAGTATGCAGTGTTAAAAGTTTACAGTGGTGTGCAGTAATGTCCTACGCCTTCACATTCATTGACTACTCACTCACTCACTCACCCTGAGGAACTTCAAATCCTGCAAGCTCCATTCATAAGTGCCCTGTGCAAGTATACTGTTTTTTATCTTTTATATCATATTTTTCCTGTCCCTTTTCTATGTTTAGATTCACAAATACTTAACCATCATGTTAAAATTGCCTTCAGTATTCAGTGCAGTCATATGTTGTAAATGTTTATAGCCTAGATGTGTAGTAGGCTATACCATCTAGGTTTATATAAGTACACTCTATGATGTTTATACAAGAATTAAGTCGTCAGTGACACATTTCTCAGACTGTATCCCCATGGTGAACTAACATGTGACAGTAAATACATGTGGCTTTCACTAGCCTTCTTTAGATCACAAGCATAATCTGTTCTCTTATGATTTTTGATGATCACGCTCTTCAGAGTAGTGTTTTTTTGGGAATAAGGGGAAATAGGAAGAGCTGTTTACATTTCCTGTAGCCAGAGTGACCATGAATCCTGGTTTGACCAAGGCAGTTCTTAATTCAGCAAGATTATTACTAACATTCCCTTTCGCTTTCAAAAGTGTGGTGCTTACATTACCCAATAGGGGGACCAAGCAAATCAGTCTTTTAGAAAATGGAATTTGGACAAGGTAAAAAAAAGAAAGAAAAGAAAAAAGCCATGTATGACTATTTGAAATGAGGAAATAAAAGCATTAGATTATTTACAAACATACTGGACTCCAGTATCAGTTTTGACCCAGTGAACCCCATTGTTGTGGAAATAAGTTTTATATGGGACCAACCTTTGTTATTTTAAGTGTTGACCCTGGGTCTTTTAACCTTTTAGAGCTATAGGCCCTATCATTAAAAGGAGAGTGTTAAAATACATAACTAAAGTCTTTTTCAACGCTAAAATACAGTCTTAAGCAGCAGTGAGAAAGTATAAGAAGGTTTTCTTTCTTAGAATATCTTTTTAGCATTCATTGATCCCACCTACTGAGTTCTTTTCTGGTATTACTTGCTGTTTTTCTTCATACCAAAATAAATGTATCTCTTAACTGGGGTTGGTGGGAAGGGGAAGTATAAGAATGTATAGTAGGTATTTTTCAGGTGCTAATTTACCTGGGTTTTTTTCTTTTCTTTTCTTTTTAAGTATACATGCAGTTACTTAACCATTTAAACACATAACCTACTTTTAAGGTGATTTTAGTGGTGATTTAAATCGTAGGTTGTGGCCGGGTGCAGTGGCTCACACCTGTAATCCCAGCACTTTGGGAGGCTGAGGAGGGTGGATCACGAGGTGAGGAGTTCGAGAAAAGCCTGACAAACATAGTGAAACCCCATCTCTACTAAAAATACCAAAATTAGCTGGGTGTGATGGCACAAGCCTGTAATCCCAGCTACTTGGGAGGCTGAGGCAGGAGAATTGCTTGAACCCAGGAGGCGGAGGTTGCAGTGAGCCGAGACCATGCCATTGCACTCCAGCCTGGGTGACAGAGCAAGACTCCGTCTCAAAAAATACATACATACATACATACATAAATAGTAGGTTGTAAGTAATTTATAGCCTAGAGAAAAGTGTTTTCTTGGGCAGAATAATACTCTTATTTTTCACAGGAGTGGAATTTTTTTGTGTCAAATTGTAAAATTTCAGTGAAATGTAGAGGAATTCCACCTAAAAGACTTCATTGTAATTAAAATGCCTGCCTCAAATTACAGATTTTTCACTTCTTTTTAATAGGAAACTGAGAAGAAAAGAAGAACAGAGGAAGCATATAAAAATGCAATGACAGAACTTAAGAAAAAATCCCACTTTGGAGGACCAGATTATGAAGTATGAATTTATATTTTGATCTTAGAGAAACACATAGATCATGTCTATCACAAAAGTGATTTTTTAATAATACTCTTGTAACCTTTAAATATTCTAAATATATAATTTTTTCCTCAGTGTTTATGTTAATTCAGTGTATATTTCATGATATATAAATGCCAGGCATGCTCAAATATATATTTCTTATTGCCTACAAAGTTTAGGCTTCAAAAGGCTTAGTATTAGGCCTGTTCACTTGATAGGACAAATTTTTATCTCCCCTGTAAAGATGATCATTTTTAATGTTATCTACTTTTTTTTTTTTTTTAACATAAAAGCAAACTATAAAGGAAAAATCTGAGTACTTTGCAGACAAAAAGATTTTAGTCTGTACTATACTGTGAGATCTTTTTTTTTTTTTTGAGACCGAGTCTCGCTGTGTCACCCAGGCTGGAGTGCAGTGGCGCGATCTCGGCTCACTGCAAGCTCCGCCTCCCGGGTTCACGCCATTCTCCTGCCTCAGCTGCCCTAGTAGCTGGGACTACAGGCACCCGCCACCACGCCTGGCTAATTTTTTTGTATTTTTAGTAGAGACGGGGTTTCACCATGTTAGCCAGGATGGTCTCGATCTCCTGACCTCGTGATCCGCCCGCCTCAGCCTCCCAAAGTGCTGGCATTACAGGCGTGAGCCACCCCGCCCGGCCTACTGTGAGATCTTATCCATAGCTGAACATAAAACTGTTCTAATTGTCTTTGTTTGAAAATGTCTGAAACCAGCTTTTTTCTCCTTGTGTTTATTTGTTAAGCAGGTAATAAAATCTCCTTCACATGTATATACACACATACATTAAAATCTTATAAGCTTTCTATATTAAGAGAAAAAAATGTGTAAGAAATATATTTGGTAATTGCCATTAAACAATGTTGAGGCTAGCGCACTGGCTCACATCTGTAATCCCAGCACTTTGAGAGGCCAAGGCAGGAGGATTGCTTGAGGCCAGGAGTTCAAGACCAACCTGGACAGCATAGCAAGACTTCATCTCTATAAAATAAAATAACAAAAATTATCTGGGTATAGTGGCACATGCCTGTAGTCCCAGCTACTGAGGAGCCCAAGACTGCAGTGAGCTACGATTGCACCACTCCACTCCAGGCTGGGTGACAGAGCGAGACTTTGTCTCTTTAAAAAAAAAAAAAAAACGTGTTGGCCAGCACGGTGGTTCACACCTGTAATCTCAGCACTTTGGGAGGCTGAGGCGGGGGGATCACAAGGTCAAGAGCTCGAGACCAGCCTGGCCAATATGGTGAAACCCCGTCTCTACTAAAAAAATGCAAAAATTAGCCGGGCGTGGTTGTGAGTGCCTGTTGTCCCAGCTACTCGGGAGGCTGAGGCAGGAGAATCACTTGAACCCGGGAGGCAGAGGTTGCAGTGAGCTGAGATCGTGCCACTGCGCTCCAGCCTGGGCAACAGAGCGAGACTCCGTCTCAAAAAAAAAAGTGTTGATATTTCTGAAATGAGCAGTTTAAAAATGGGGTATCAAGGAGTACCACTGAGGTGGAACAGAAGAATAAAATAGTTGTAGTTATATTTATGAAAACAGAAGAATTTTTTCTTGCTACTTTTGCTCTAGAAAGGAAAACTAAACAGCTGCTCTGCTGTTGCTGAATTTTTTTGCATTGGAATCAATTTCCAACTGTGAGAGTGCATTCTGATGAGACTTAAATTGTAATATTTTTAAATTATTCTCAATTTATCCCTTCTAAAATGTATTAAAATTACATAATTAGCTATCCTCTGAGGTTTTAATATGAGGTATTATAATGATGATTTTTGTTTTGAAACTAAACAAATTATTTTGCTATTTTAGAATTATTATTTTGGAAGAAATACCAACTTTTTAAAGTACCTTATTTTTTAATATTATAAATAAAATGTATATTCATTATAGGAAGATTGTACAAAAATTCAAATAAGCCAATAAAGCCCATGTTTTAAATTTAACAATATATGGTACAGTTTATCATCTACCAGCAGTATGTAAGTATAATTTGTGTACATATTTATCTCTGCTTCCATCAACACAGGTTTTGTTTTTTTTTTCCTAGGGGTAGAGGACAGGGGTGGAGGGAAGAGGGGCCTTGTGCTAGGTACATGCATTTACTAGTTTCAAAGCCAAAAAATTGCTTTATGTATGTAATTGAGCATTTTAAAAATTATGTTTATCAGATATTCATGTTTCTTTTTTTTTTATTTTATTTTACATTGGAAGTACACATGCATGTTTGTTACATGAGTATATTGTGTACTGGCAGAGATTGGGCTTCTAGTGTGCCCCTTACCCAAATAGTGAACATTATACCAAATAGCTAATTTTTTAACTCTCACCCCTCCCTCCCAACCTTCCTCCTTTTAGAGTCCCTACATTTCCATCTTTATGTCTGTGTGTACCTATTATTTAGCTCCCACTCATAAATGAGAACATGCAGTATTTGACTTTCTGTTTGTGAGTTAATTTGTTCTGGGACCAAACTGAGGTTCGGGCTGCTATTTCTCACGGCCCAATAACGAGATGCAGATGAACTGGGGAGGAAGAGAGTTATTTCTGTAACTGGTTACAGGGAGAAGGTCTGAACATCATCACCAGACCAACTCCAAATTACAAAGTTTTCCAGAGCTTATATACCTTCTAAGCTATATGTCTACCTGTAAGTGTGCATTCACCTAAAGACATAAGTTACTAACTTCTTTTAATCTATAACTAAGGTCTGAGTCCTGAAGACCTTCCTTTGGAGCCTCAGTAAAGTGCTAGAGTGATTACCCTTATCGTGTCTCCTACTATATCACATAGGTTTGAGGAGTTCCTTCAGACCCCTAATACACTTGTTTGTGGAGGACTGGGGAGTTTCTTCAGACCCCCAGTAAAACTTGTTTAATCCTAAATGGCTCCTATTAAGAATTCCTTCATTATTGAAGAAACAAGGAGTTGTTCAATGGGAACAGAGTTTCAGTTTTGTAAGATGAAAAAGTTCTAGAGATCTTTTACATTGCAATGTGCATATACAGTAATTAACACTATTGTACTATACACTTAAAAATTGTTAAGATGGTCAATTTTATGTTTTTTTTTTTTACCATAATAAAAAAAAAACAATTGTGCCAAAAAAAAAAAAAAAAGAATTCCTTCATTATTTTATCACGCTTTAAGGCCCAGGAAAGGCCTAGGCAAAACTCTTGATGGGCTTTTGTTACATCCCAGCCTTTGTATAAGGGCACTGGCTTTTAATATTTAACTTAAACATTCAGTCAGTACTGAAATGGTTGTTTAGTGAGACCTGGCCTGTGACAAGTTCACTTTGGATAATGGCCTCCAGCTCCATCCATGTTGCTGCAAAGAATATGATTTCATTCTTTTTTATGGCTGCCACGTTTCTTTTTTACGATTAACTTGGCCATGTCCTTTGGTTGTTTTCTTATTCGTTTTTTTTGTTTGTTTGTTTGTTTGGGTTTTTTTTCCCTATTGATTTAGAAGATGTATAGAATTTGCCTTTTTTTTTTTTTAATTTTTTTCCTTCGTACCTTAAAAAAGTTTGGTAGATTTTGACATATAAAAGTTTTAAACCTTCGTGTAATTAACTCCTCAGTCCTTTGATCCACTTTTCTCCACATTTGGTATCATGCTTAGAAGGGCATTTTCTATTTTAAATAATCATATTTTCTAATTTTTTATTTTCCAATGGTCTCTTCTAAATATATTAATACATCTGGAGTTTTTAAAATAATGATACAATATAGAAACCTATTTTATTCCACTAGCATTTGTTGAATAAACATCCTTTATTCACCTATTTGAAATGCACTTTACTCTTTCTTAGTGAAGAAACTGGTTAAGGGTACTCTAATTATTTTTTTTCTCACTAAGTTAAATTAAATATACAATTCTTTAGATAAACTGGGAACTGTTTTTACACTTCCCCTTCTTTTGGAGTTTTGAACCATCTATCTTTTCTTGTAACAATATTATAGTCGTATGGGTTTTAGACACTTAATTCAAACTATGACTCTTTTTGGTTATAATCAGACATTCATGATGTTCTAATTATAAAAAAGTTCTAAGTGTTTCTGACTTCTGTAGCCTCAGAAATTACTTTATAATCTTAAATTTATTCCTTAAGACTTACCATAATGTGGCTGGGTGTGGTGGCTCACATCTGTAATACCAACACTTTGGGAGGCCGAGGCGGGCAGATCACCTGAGGTCAGGAGTTCAAGAGCAGCCTGGCCAACATGGTGAAACGCCCTCTCTACTAAAAATACAAAAATTAGCTGTATTAGGCATGGTGGTGTGCACCTGTAGTCCCATCTACTCGGGAGTCTGAGGCAGGAGAATTGCTTGAACCGGCAGGCGGAAGCTGCAGTGAGCCAAGACCTCGCTACTGCACTCCAGCCTGGGCAACCAACTGAGACTCCATCTCAAAAAAAAAAAAAAAAGACTTACCATAATGTAGGGCACTACACTAGGCTTGGAGAATACAACAAGAAACAAGGCTTATAAGGATCCTGCCTAAGGGCCCTACCTGAATGCATAATGGGAACAAAGGCTAATAGACAGTTATCATAATGTATGTCATGAAACACTTTTAATGCAGGGAAGGTGTTGAATCAGAGATGTCTTCCCGGAGGGAAAGAACCTCTTAGGAGGAAAGAACCTCTTAGCAGAAACCTTAAGAATGAGTAAATTGAGTAAAGAGTGTTTTCCAGTAGTCAGAAGCAAAATAATATTTTTCCTCAGGGGAACTGAAAGTAATTCTCTTTGGAAGGTAGAGCCTCCACAAATTGAGAGGAAAGAATGGTTAAGAGACTGACTGGAAAGATCAACAAGAATTAGTTCAGATCCTGAGACAATAGGTTTTAATCAAGAAAATGACATTTTCACATTTGCAGTTCAGAAAAGTCATTCTCCCTGCAGTAGGAAGAATGGATTGAAAGTAACAATTGTGACTGGGCACTTGGACACTTTTTGTATAATATAGATGAGAGTTGAAGGTGGCCTAAATTAGAGTCAAAGCAGGAGGAATAGAGAGGCACTGACAAATTAGATACAGTAATCCCATTGTATCAGTGGTTGGGGGGGATACATTACAAGACCCCCCCCCCCCCCAGTAACTGCAGATAGTACTGAACCCTATATACACTGTTTTTTCCTATATGTGCTATGTTTTTTCCTATATGTATGTACCTGTGATAAAGTTTAATTTTTATTTTAACAATAATAAAATAGAACAATTATAGTACTGTATTATAGTAAAAAGTTATATGAATGTAGTCTCTTTCTCTCTCAAAATATCTTATTGTATATAAACCACATAAATCAAAACCACAGATGGGGGAGACTATTGTATTTGGAAAGTAGAATTGAAGGGTGTGATGATTGAATGAGGGAAAAGGAAGGAATCCAAGATTAGGCCCAGGTTTCTGCAGATACGTGTGGAGATAGAAGAGGAGGTTTCAGACACGTTGCAATTGAGGTGAGTCATATGAGGAAGTCTTCTATATTAGATACAAAGATCTGACCCTTAGAAGAGAGATGGTCTGGCTGTGAATTTAGGAGTCATCAAAGGATGACTGAAGCGTTGGATATAAGTAAGAATGCTGTGGGTAGAGCAAGTATGGAACCCTGAGGAACACCAACATTTAAAGGATAGGCAGAGAAGGGGAAACCTACAAAGGAGCCCCATAAGAGTGCTTAGAGAGGGAGAGGGGAATTTAGGAATCTAAGGGTAGAGAACTCTTCAAGGAGAGTTGTTAACATAAGAAATGCTATTCTAAGGGGGCAGATAAGTAGCTCCTGCCCTTAGTAAGCATGATGAGATAAAAGGGTTTTTTTTAAAGTCCCTTTTAATAAAGAAAATTTTATGCCAATTCCTTTAGTTCCTCTCCCAAAGGTTTACCATTAAAGGAAAAACCATTTCATTTGGCAAAATAGAATTTTTGTTGTTGTTGTTGTTGTTGTTGTTTGAGACTGAGTCTTGCTCTACCACCCAGGCTGGAGTGCAGTGGTGCGATCTTGGCTCACTGCAACCTCTGCAACTTCCGCCTCCCAGGTTCAAGCAATTATTGTGCCTCCTCCTCCTGAGTACTAGGTTTATAGACGTGCTCCACCACACCCACTGATTTTTGTATTTTTGATAGAGACAGGTTTTCGTCATGTTGGCCTGGCTAGTCCAGAGCTCCTGGCCTCATGTGATCTCCCCTCCTTGGTCTCCCAGAGTGCTGGGTTTATAGGCATGAGCCACCATACTTGGCCAGAATTTTTAAATGCTGTAGTTTTCAATTAGACTCCTGAGGCTCTGACATGATTGCTTAAGGACTAGAAATCCACATGTACTAAATCACTGTAGATTGAATGAATATTAATATTTTTTAAATGTAGATGTGGTTAAATAGTATTTAAAATCATTAGAAAATATGCTTGAGTTTGGATATTTTGTGTTTTCTCTGATCAACAGAGAGCAAAGTTGTCCTGCTGTCATTTTACTGTCTTTGAAATGTTTTGATTTTGTAAAGAGAATCCTGCAGGAGGAAGGCCTCTAGGGTGTTGTTACTATTTTTTCATGACCCTCTTGTCCCAGATGGTCATTAGATGGTATATTCACTTTGTGATGCTTCACTAAGATATGCACTGTTCTGTATGTTTGTTGTATCTGAATAGAAAGTTGTTTTTTTTTTTTTTTTTTTTTTTATGAAGTAGGTTGTAGGGGACTGAGTCCTCATAACCCTAAAAGAAGAACTCCATTAAGTCAACATTTCTTATATGCCAAATGACAAGAACGTGACCCCATACCTCCCACCCTTCCAGTGTAGTTCCAGGTTATGGTGGGGATAGGACGATGTTGCTAGATACTTTTTAATGGACTAATGATGACTTGGGGTTATGAGTTTAACTGGGAAGATTTCACCAATTGTTCATGTGTCTTATTTTATATATTTTAACATTTAAGAAATGCTAAACCCAAGCCTACCTTTTAGTCTCTACTTTTATCATAATACAAAGCTGTTGTTCCACTTACTTGGTTCATCACAGCAGGAACATATGTTGATTGTTTACATTTTGTTATTGTTCTTTGTATGTTTATCTTCTGATGCAGCTGAGGTTCCACTTGCATGGGAATCACTTGAGGGAATTATTAAACATGTATATTCCAAGGTTCCACTGAAGACCTACTAAGAAATAATTTTTGGCCATGGAGGCCTGGGAATTTTCATTGTAAGAAGTCTCCCACACAATTCCCCAAGTGATTGATGGCCATTATTCTGCCATCTAGCCAGACTATCAAGCATCAACTCAACTTTTATTTCCCCATGAAACAATTACCTGTGCTTAGGAAGATCCGCCTCTGAATGCCTAGCCGTACTTATTAGCTATAGTTCTTGTGCAAATTTTTACTTACCTCATTGCAATTTTATATCTCTGTTGTCTCTGTCATAAGTCTCAACTCTGCTACTAAAGAAGCCCTAGATAATATATAGCTGAATGAGCATCACTGTTTTCCAGTAAAACTTTATGGACACCAAACTTTTAATTTCAAGTAATTCACACATGTCATATTATTACTTTTATTTTTTCCAGCCATTTAAAAATGAAATTCTTAGCTCACAGGCTGTACAAAAGTAGGCAGCAGACTGGATTTGGCCCTTGGGCCATAGTTTTTGCCAATCTCTGCTCTAGACTATTATCCCAACACAATATTGGTCAATATACAGTAAGTAAATATATGAGTACTGAGTGAATTAATTGTAACACTCGTGATTTTACACAGAGCATGCATATGATCTAGTATACTGACTGCTTTGTAAATATGTGTTCAATAAATGTTTATTAGGTCAATTTTCAAACTCAAGTTAATACCAGAGTTATCAGAGTTTTCTGTTTCTTTAAATAAACTGCTTTTTTCTCCACTGTGTGTTGGAATAGGAAGGCCCTAACAGTCTGATTAATGAAGAAGAGTTCTTTGATGCTGTTGAAGCTGCTCTTGACAGACAAGATAAAATAGAAGAACAGGTATATCTATTATTGAAAATTCTAAGCTGAAATTTATTTTAACACTATAGGCATTCCTTGGTGTATATTATTTCATGTAAATAGAATTTGAACATTGTGAACTTAATAACCTAGAAGCTTAACTGTGAATACATTGAGTCACAAATGTAAAATAATCTTTTTTTTTTTTTTTGAGACAGAGTCTCGCTCTGTTGCCCAGGCTAGAATGCAGTGGCGCGATCTCGGCTTACTGCAACTTCCACCTCCTGGGTTCAAGCGATTCTTCTGCCTCAGCCTCCCGAGTAGCTGGGACTACAGGTGCGCGCCACCGTGCCTGACTAAATTTTTTTGTGTTTTTAGTAGAGACGGGGTTTTACCATATTGGCCAGGCTGGTCTCGAACTCCAGAGCTCATGATCCACCCGCCTCAGCCTCCCAAAGTGCTGGGATTGATTACAGGCATGAGCCATGGTACTGGCCGTAAAATAATCTTTATAAGTCAGTTCCTTTATATGTGAATTTCCAAGCAATAGAAAGAAAACCAATAATTGTTAAAAGGAACCATGCGTAATTAACATGAACTTAAATAGAAATGCTCTTTTTGCTTATTTCCCTTTAAGTGTCCAGCTTAAAACATTCTTTTAATATAAAGCATATATTTAGTCTAAGTAAAAAGCTTCTTTGAATTTTTCTTCACCAAGTATGATATGAAAAGGAAGATGACCAAAAACTTAAGGTTTTTCATCTATATTAGTATTGTTTTTATTAACCCCTTTATTACCTTCACTACTTCACCTTCAGTTTCTTTCTCACTTTTGCTTTGTTCAGTGTTTTGTCATCATTATTGAGTGTATAGCAGTTACACCCAGCTGCTGTGGAAATTGAAGAAAAGTATTTCTTAAACCCATTAACTAGCTTCAAGATTAATTTGATACTTTGTCTTCTTTAATTTGGCAACAGTACAGTTACCATACGTTACAACTAGATGGTACTTAAGGATGAATTTTGTTATTTCCTCCCCTTGTTTAAGCTATGCTAGTTATGGTGGAAGCTTAACCTTTTTGGGGGGCAAGTATTAATAAACTGTGGCTACAGAGTATCTTGCCAAATAATCATGTATGTGTCAGTTTTATACTACAAATGAATTTGCATAGAAAAGTTGGCTTGTTCGTTTCTTATCATTGCTAAGACAGTCATGGCTATTATGCTCTTATTGGTCTACCTAAGGGTAAATCACCTGCAGTAGTAACTGCTTCTCATGTGTATCTTTCGTTATTTTTTTAAAAATTACTGATAAAAAGTTCATGTCACATTAATTTGTAAAGCTTATTGCTCATTTTTTTTATACCCAAAAGATGCTATGTACCACTCAAGAAGAGTGGGAACTTTTAGTTCCTAAATGGGCTCTACTTTTGGAAACCTAAAGTACTACCTGAAGTAGCATTATTTATTTGTTTCCCTTAGTTTTTTGTCTAGGATGTGCTGTTTTGGGAAAAAGTAGTGAATGAGTCAAGACACCTCAGTCTTACTCTTAGTTTTACCTCTAACTAACTTTGTAGCTATGAACTTATCACTGAATTCTCTGGGCCTTGGTTTTCTAATCTGTGAAACAAAGGAGACAAGATGATTCAAAACATCTCTTCTCTCTAAAATGCTACTCTACTGAATATCAGTATGGTGATTGAGTTGGGTTTGAGAGAATTGATGAACCCTTCCGTAAGCTTTAGAAAAAGAAATATTCATGGGGCCATCCAATCAACTTCATTCTATTCTTGACACTGTACTAGATGCTCTGCAAAATAGTCATTGAACAGAGCATTGTTTTTCTTGCCTAAGAGCCAGGCATGTTGATATGACAGAGATACAGTGTGGTAATACTCTATAGAGTAGTGAGAGCTTCAGTAATCCATAAAATCAGTTCCATAGATTTAGATCATTTCCCTCTTCATATTCAGTGTATATTGCACAGATCTCTCAACAACACAGCCATTAAATAGATATTCTCCAAGTGACACTTACATCACACATGTTTGAGTTTACGTTACTTGCAAACATAGGGAAAGAAAGATACATGGGATAAACTGGTGCATGAGAAATGAGATCTTAGCAGTTGGTTGAAATAAATGAGAACAACTGAGGCAAACTAAAGAGGAAGAAGGGCAAGTGGCAGCTTAACAGGAGTAAGATGATGAGATGAAGGGCAGAATACCTTCATGGAGAGGAGGCAAAGAGATATACATGATATGTTCTTAGGAACATAACTGAAGCAAACAATGATATTATTTCTAATTATATATAAACCTGTGAGTCAGCCTTCCAGGGGCGGCCTGCTAAGGTAGAATCATTGGAATGATTTGGCCAGGGTTTGGATAGGAGAGAATTGGCAGCAGCGTTAAGATTGACCCATGATAAATAATGCTATGCAGGTAGCAGGGAGTCTGACTAGGAGCAAAATCAACGAACTTATCCCTTGCCTAACATAGTATCTGTGGAGTCAGAAAGAAGAGGTTAAATTGGGATATCTGAGGCAAGTATCAGGATTTGCCATGTCTGCGGAGTAGTTTCATAATTCTAATGGTTATAAGCACTAAGGCGTTCACTAAGTGAATGTTGGTAGTTCCAGGTTATATTATCCATTCTTGAGTTACAAAATACACTTTAAAACCTTCCCATCTTAATATTATATGTTTTTTTAGTCACAGAGTGAAAAGGTGAGATTACATTGGCCTACATCCTTGCCCTCTGGAGATGCCTTTTCTTCTGTGGGGACACATAGATTTGTCCAAAAGGTAAGCTAATGTCAGAGTTTACTAAAAGTACACCTTGTATTGTTCTTCATTGTTGGTGGAAATATCTTTTATTTGAGACGGAGTCTCACTCTGTCACCAGAGTGGAGTGCAGTGGCGCGATCTCGGCTCACTACAGTCTCCACCTCCCGGGTTCAAGAGATTCTCGTGCCTCAGCCTCCCTGGTAGCTGGGATTACAGGCATGTACCACCACACCCAGCTAATTTTTGTATTTTTAATGGAGACAGTTTCACCATGGCCAGGATGGTCTTGATCTCCTGACCTTGTGATCCACCCACCTCAGCCTCCCAGAGTGCTGGGATTACAGGCGTGAGCCACCATGCCCAGCCGGAAATATCTTGTAGTATATAAGTTTTCTCCCCTTTTCATTAATTTAAGTAATGAGACTGTTTTTGGTTTTATATATTGTATTCCATATACATCCTCCAAAACAGTTAGAAATTTTGTTCTGAAAATAAAGTTCTTTCATTTTTATTTAAGGGGAAAGTTGGGGGTGGGCAAATAAGGAGTGGCTAGTCCAAAATAGTTAACCAGAAGTATATCCAGTTATACTAAATCTCTCTCTTCTTTGGGGTTAAATGGTATTACTTTGTATTATTGGAAGCACTACATTCTTTTTTGGAATGATTTTGGAACATAATACATAATAGGTGCATGAAGTCAGCAGTTGCTGCTGTGCTTGTTTCATATAGTGCTTTGTTTTCTCTTCCCTTTATCTTGTGTTTGGAAGTTGGTACTGAATGCTCTGTTGTGCCTTTGTTCTGATTACTTGGTTTTTTCTTTGTCTGTCTCTGGTAGCCCTATAGTCGCTCTTCCTCCATGTCTTCCATTGATCTAGTCAGTGCCTCTGATGATGTTCACAGATTCAGCTCCCAGGTACTGTATGAATGTATAGAGTGGACTTGAGTCTTTCTGTGCTATATTTCAGCCTGCTTTCCCAGTTCCTAGAAATCTTTTGGTTAGGCCACTGATTTTAGTTTTGAATTTTAAATAGTAACATTAAGCATTAAAAAGGTCTTCCTTGTCTACTAAATAGTTCCTCTGTCAGGTTTGCATGTGTCCTTTACTATTCACAGCTTGGAATTTTGTCATATAGGAGGTACTCCAGAAAGATTTTCAAACTGAATTGAAACAAATAGAAGATACTGGGTTTTGTATATCATGTAATATCTGTTTCTTCAGTCAGGATTTAGCAGTTTTGATGGACGTGGTCTATATGATATGTTATAGCAGAAAAGCAGATTTTAACAGTCTCACTTTTAAGCTAAAGTATCTCCAAATTATATTCAACAAGGAAATCACTTTTTAATAATATGTTTCATTTCCATTATAATACTAAGCTCTATTGAGCAGATTGTGTTTTCCTTATGCAAATTACCTTTGGATATTATAAATGAATATTTCTGTTCATATGCTAAATCTATGGAAATTTGTTTTAATTTTTAGCATTGGTAAGGGTTTAGGAATTTAAGACAGGAAGCTGGATGCTTGCGGTCTCTAAAGTCTGTACCCTCAAAATAAAATCAGATTACCATTGGAAGAAGTTTTTTTTAGTGTCAGCGTTAGTTCTTTTTTTAATTTTCTTAATCTTCACATCTTTGCCATTCAACTTTTTATCTTTCTGGTGATTGCATTTTATTGGACTAGATTATATTATGTTAATCTTATATTAAAGACCTGAGCACTCTGGTCAGAATGACTCAGTTTAAACCCTGGTTAGGTGTATGATCCCAGTAAGTTTTCTAACTTTTTTGTGCTTCATTTTTATGATTTAGCTAGAACCTGACACATAATAAGTGCTCAATAAATGTTACCTTGTATTGCTATTATAACATAATTTCTTTGAGCTAATAAAAGTTATCTACATCATTATTTTTTCCTCTGTGAGAGTATTGCTATAAAAGTTTTTAAAAGTCATAGTTTAAAGAGATTTCTATTATTTTTATGTTTATAAATAAAGTTTACATTAGTTTTTAACCTGCAATAGAGAAGAATATTAAGACTTTAATTTTTCTGACTTGTACAGCGTTTTTCTCCTTGAATACTCTTAAGAAAAAGATTTAGCAATTCTGGATCAGAAATCATCCATAACCAAATATACCACAGTATATTTTACCTTTTGCTTGTCCATTTATGCATTTTTTTTTAATTTTACTTATTTATTTTCGAGACAGGGTCTTGCTCTGTTGCCCAGGCTGGAGTGCAGTGGCACGATCTGGGCTCACTGCAACCTCCATCTCCCAGGTTCAAGCAATTCTCCTGCCTCAGCCTCCCAAGTAGCTGGGATTACAGGCACGCACCACTATGCCCAGCTAATTTTTGTATTCTTAGTAAAGACGGGTTTTCACCATGTTGGCCAGGCTGGTCTAGCACTCCTGACCTCGTGATCTGCCCACCTCGGCCTCCCAAAGTGCTGGGATTACAGGTGTGAGCCACCATGCCCGGCCCTGCGTATGTTTTTAAAAAGAGACTCATATTCATAATGAATCTGTGACAAAACTACATAATACTGGGAGACTTTGGTTTATTGTGCTAAGCTCCACATTGCATTAAAATCATATCACAGACTAATCAAAAATGCAGGAATACATAGGCTATAAATGAAAGAAAATATAATGACAGCAAAGAAAGAATGTAAGCCAGTAATAAAGAATGCCTAAGAATTAGGGGTTCAGAACCCAAACCAGGGCCCTCACTGTAGTGCTGTAGAACAGCTGAATTGCTTTTAAGTCCAGGTAACTATATCACTGAGAAGCAGGTGCCTATATTTTTACAAAATTTTGCTGACAGCTTACTTCTTCGTAATATTAATAACCTTTTGTAAAACTCATGTATGTAACTTGAGAGAAATCTTGCTGGATTTTTTTCTCTAATATATGGTGCTCATGATTGATCAGATCCTGTTTTAGCCTTTGATTATGTACTGTTTTATATGCCAGAAGAGGTAAAAATGAAGAAAATAACATTAAGGTCTTCAAGTATTTGTTGTCCTTGCTAAAGCATTAGTTGTCATTAGCAGACGTGGACTCTAGCAATTCACTGTTGTAATTAAATTGTGTGCCTTATGTTCAGCAGTTCCTTTATAATAGATGACTAATTCCCAATTGATAAGATTTTTTGTTTCAGAGGATGTTACACTGCCTTATCAGCCATTATCAAAGGATCTAGCAAGTTGATTCTGTATAGTCACACTTGAGAATATAGCATTGGATGTAGATCTGGAGTTAATATTAGTTGAGAAACATTGTGTTATCTGGAAAACTCTTCCAGTTCAACACAGTGTAAAATTATAGTAGTGACTATACAGTAGTGTTACATTTTACAGTTCTCACACCCTATAGAGACTTTTGTATTAAGCAAAATAAGAGGCTCAAAGGTTATTCATTAACATTAGAAACACTTATGTTATATTACATTGCATCGGTCTTTTCTGTTTTTTGTTTTTTTTTTTTTTTTGAGACGGAGTTTCGCTTTTGTTGCCCAGGCTGGAGTGCAATGGTACGATCTTGGCTCACTGCACCCTCTGCCCCCTGGATTCAAGCGATTCTCTTGCCTCAGCCACCTGAGTAGCTGGGATTACAGGCACCTGCCACCACACCCAGCTAATTTTTTTTCATTTTTAGTAGAGATGGGGTTTCACCATGTTGGCCAGGCTGGTCTCGAACTCCTGACCTCAGGTGATCTGCCCGCCTCGGCCTCCCAAAGTGCTGGGATTACAGGCATGAGCCGCCACACCTGGCCTACATCGTTCTTAATACACAAATATACATCAGTTACTCCACAGCGCTTGATATGGGAGGTAACCAAATTCTTTGTTTTATAATATCTTCATAATTAATTAAAAAACTAAGTCGACATTTTTAATCACCTTTAATAATTTGCCAAAATATTATATAAGCATAATATAATCAATTCTTACTTACTCCAACAAATTTTAAAAGTCCAGATACAGATACCATATCTAGTTTCTTGATCATTTATATCAGCTCCCATACAGAAGCCTTCTAAATCTCTGGTAATTTCACTTTGCTGTTTATATAAGTGTTGGCTCATGACTACCTTGTTCTTCTTGAAATGATGTTTTATAGCCTTGAATTGGCTGAAATAATCAAGTGTACAATTGAGAGATGCCCTGAAAACAGCTTAAAATAAAATATGTACATCTACTAGGAAATTAGTACCAACACATGAATCTGTCTGATGGGCAGATATTAGGAATGAAGTCACTCCAGATCTGAGAAATTAAAGTTGTAAAGGACTGCAAGTTCTGTGTTTTTGTTGTTGTTGTTGTTGTTGTTGTTGTTTGTTTTTTCATTTTTGTTTTTTGGGTTTTTTTGAGACAGAGTCTCATTCTGTCACCCAGGCTGTAGTGCAGTGGCACGATCTCAACTCACTGCAACCTCCGTCTCCCAGGTTCAAGCGATTCTCCTGTCTCAGCTGGGATTACAGGCACACGCTATCACACCCAGCTAATTTTTGTATTTTTAGTAGAGACAGGGTTTCACCATGTTAGCCAGGCTGGTCTCGAACTCCTGACCTCAAGTGATCTGCCCGTCTCGGCCTCCCAAAGTGCTGGGATTACAGGCCTGAGACACCATGCCCAGCATTTTTTTTTTTTTTTTTTTTTTTTGTAAAGAGACAAGGTTTCACTTGTCCAGGCCAAGTGCAGTGGCATGATCATAGCTCTGTAACCTGACCTCTGACCTCTGACTTCCTGGACACAAGTGATCCTCCTGTCTCTCAGCCTCCCAAGTAGCTGGGACTACAGGCATTCCACCACACCCAACTAATTGTTTTTATTTTTTGTAGAGACAGGGCCTTGCTATGTTGCCCAGGCTGGCAAGTTCTTGAAATAATGGCTGTGGCCACAAACTAGAAAATAATTTTCAGGTGTACAGAGAATAGAAAGAATTTAGATTCATAAATTGATCATTTTGTTCACAGTTATTTGCATAACACAGTTCACATTTAAAGGTGTCACCTTAGAAATCAAAGGGGAAGAACATCATCCTCTATTGAAAAAGAAAGAAATCAAAGGATGTACAGTGAATTTGCAGCTTAATCTATGGGGAGCATCATTGCAAAAAATGGTTCTGTGTGAGGCTCTTTCCCACCCTTTGTCCATAGGAGCACATTATTGTTGTAGTAATTATTTCACCCCTCTCCCTTTTTCAGTGTACAAGTGATACATGCTAATTTTAACAGAACTTGAAAGTAGAATAAAATTAAAATAATAGTTTACTAATATTCCATTTATCTTCTCTCATATATATGAGATAAATATTAAGGTGTATGTACTTATCCATATGTGCCTGATTTTTTAAAATCCTTGTATATGCATCTTTGCACCCTTATCTAATTATTTCCTTAGAATATATTCCTAGAAGCATAATTGTGGGAACAAAGGCCATGAACATTTTCAAGTGTTTATTTTATTATTTTATTTTATTTTTATTAATTTTGATACAGGGTTTTGCTTTGTTCCCCAGACTGGAGTGCAGTGGTGAGATCACCACTCACTGCACCTTGACCTCCTGGACTCAAGCGATCCACCTGCCTCAGTCTCCTCAGTAGCGGGGGCTAAGGACTACAGGCACATGCCATCATGCCCAGCTAATTTTTTTATTTGTAGCAGAGACGAGGTCTCACTGTGTTGCCCAGGCTGCTATTTTATTTATTTTTTAAGAGATAGGGTCTCATTCTGTCTTCCAGGCTAGAATGCAGTGGCACAATCATAGCTCACTGCAACCTCAAGCGATCTTTGCCTCAGCCTGAGTAGCTGGGACTACAGGCATGGGCCACCACTCTCAGCTAATTTTTTTTTCAATTTTTTATTTTTTGTAGATATGGGGGTCTCACTGTGTTGCCTAGGCTGGTCTTGAACCCCTAGCCTAAAGTGATCTTCCCACCTCAGCCTCCCAAAGTGCTAGGATTACAGGCCACAGGCCTCAGCCAAGTTTTAAAAATTTTTACTGCCAAACTCTTCATTAGAAAAGTTGAACCAGCTTACATTCCCAGGCCAGTTTTCTATTGATATAGTAGCACTGAATATTATAATTCAGTTAACTTTTGTCAATACGGTAGGCTAAAAGTGCTATGTTCTTAGCCATCTCTCTTTTGGGTTAACAGTGCACTATTTTGTTATTAATAATTATTCTATCTAACAAGCCCCCTCTATGGTTTTGTGGCTTTGTAGTAAGCATAGTTGTATTTCCTTTTTTGAGGTGGAGTCTTGCTATGTTGCCCAGGCTGGAGTGCAGTGGCGCGATCTCGGCTCACTGCACCCTCCGCCTCCCGGGTTCAAGTGATTCTCCTGCCTCAGACTCCTGAGTATCTGGGACTACAGGCATGCACCACCACGCCCAGCTAATTTTTTATATTTTTAGTAGAGAGGGGAGTTCACCGTGTTAGCCGGGATGGTCTCTATCTCTTGACCTCGTGGTCCGCGTGCCTCAGCCTCCCAAAATGCTGTGATTACAGGCATGAGCCACCCTGCCTGGCCAACATTTCTTTTACATGCATAAAAGAGATCTGAGCTGTTTTTGAGCCCTTCTAGACTTTCTTTTTTTTTTTTTTTTTTTTTAAGTAGATGAGGTCTTGCTATGTTGCCGAGACTTAACCTCAAACTCCTAGGCCCAAGCAATCCTCCCAAGCTGCTGGGACTACAGGCATGAACCACCATGCCCAACTTAGACTTTTATTGTACTATCAAAAGGCAATTTTCTTTTCAAATTTCTGGGTAATAGTGTTAGAAAAATCCTACTTGGTAACATCCAGAAATGGCATCATACTGAGTGATTCAAATGTGAGATGGAAGAAAAGGTTAGAATTGGAGTGAACGTCCCCTCTTATCTCAAATGTATTTTATCTCCATTTTGTTTCATAGTTTATTAGTTTGAAGATGCTTTGAATGTCACCTAATCATTTTCAACTCTAGGTCCAGAAAAATCAAGGGCATGATTTCTGAAATTACACTTAGCCTAATTAAAACTTAGAAACACTGTTCACCTTCTTCAATGTTTTTGACTGAGTCTTTTTCATTTATAAGTGACAGGAGGTGTTACTATAACATTATTTCCTAGAATGTCAAATTTTGAGCCTAATAGCATGGTAAATTTGGCTATATTTGTTGTTTTTTGTTTTTGTTTTTTTTTTAATGAAACTTAGTATTTCCTTGTTTCCCACTTCTTTTTTTTTTTTTTTTTTTTTTTTTTTTGAGACGGAGTCTCTCTCTGTCATCCAGGCTGGAGTGCAATGGCGTGATCTTGGCTCACTGCCACCTCCGCCTCGCAGGTTCACGCTATTCTCCTTTCACAGCCTCCTGAGTAGCTGGGACTACAGGCACCCACCACCACGCCCGGCCAATTTTTTTGTATTTTTAGTAGAGACGGGGTTTTACCATGTTAGGCAGGATGGTCTCGAACTCCTGACCTTGTGATCTGCCCGCCTCAGCCTCCCAAAGTGCTGGGATTACAGGCGTGAGCCACCGCACCTGGCCTCCCACTTCTTTTTAATATGTCGTGTCATAACTGAACAGTAAAGTGAGCAGATTATCAGGTTAAATCTGAAGTGTCAGTCTGGTCACCAGTGCCCAAGTTACTGCCCCTATGGTAATATTGGTTACTTTGTATTTTCCTACAGCAAACATAAAATTTGTTATAGTGAGATTTTTACCTGTATACCTCTCTTAACTTTAATGTTATTACCTCAAGGAAGATATTATCATGAATGAAGATTCCATGATGAAAGTTTTGCAGAGTTTATTGCAGTAATTTAGTACTTCATTAGAATCTTTAGTTTTTTAGGAGCACAGTACTGAATGTTTGTTTCTTTGTTGGACCTTTTGAAAACCGGTTTTCCATTGATGCAGTGTAGCTGTTACAGGAATATCATTTTTAAAACGTTTTTATACAGCATGGCTGAAAATTGAACCTGGGCCTCCCTCGTGGCCTACCATTGAAGGAACAGCATTTTTTGCCTATCTAGAAAGACAATGTTAAATGTGCTATCTATATATTTTTTAACTTGTGCTACCTACTACGCGTTTATATTTGTGGAATCTGTTTTCTTTTGGACAAAACCACAAATCAAAAACACCTCATTTCTTAGGCATTTGAAATCCCTAATTCAGAATAATCTCCCAAACAGAAACACAACTACCTGCATTCTTTTTGACAAAAGAGCTAAGTAGCATTAGAAAATTATTTTAAACCCAATTCTGTTTTTTAACAGAATAAAATTCTTCTGTTCTTCACATTCTTCTTTCATAGGTAACCTATTGAAAGTAGGGTTTATTTGGGGGAAGCATTTCTTTCTGTCTCTTATCTCATAATAAATACAGGTGTGCTTAACTACTAGTTTCCTACCTCAAAGATATACTCAAATCTAAAGATGTTTAAGATTTTGGGATCTGAAGAGTAAACATTTCTCCTAATCACAATGTGACAGAGACAAATGAATCAAGCCAATGCTACTTTTATTTATGCATACTAACTGGAACTTTTCTTTTTGGAAATCAGATACATTTTGTATGTATTAGTAATTTGGAATCCTGCATTGGTTATCCTCGCCCTCCCAAAGCAGATTCTGAAATTATAAAGGTGCACAGGTTCTCCATGCAACACCAAAAGTTATATTTTCCAAGGCTTTGTAAAATTGTAGAATGTCCTGTTAAATTTCTGTCAAATCAGTAACTCACACTGTTTTGAGAATTATGAATAAAGGAATAAAATATTGTTAGTGTTTATTTAGTACAAAAGTAGATTATAGAATCTCAGCATTTTTGTCAAAAAATTTCTTTTTGATGATTGACAGATCAGGAGACACTTAAGGCCATACCTGCTTTCAGTAATCAAAAATGCATTTAAGATCCAGAAACTTGAGGTAGCAGAACATCACTATCACATATAACATATCCTTTGGTATAGAAAATTATATTCCCAGAGTGAGTTTCTTTTTTAAAACCATTAATGAGGCCAAGGTGGGAAGATCACTTGGGACCAGGAGTTCAAGACCAGCCTGGGCCAGATGGCGAGACCCTGTCTCTACAAAAAATTAACTGGATGTGGTGGTGCACTCCTGTAGTCCCACCTACTCAGAGGCTGAGGCAGGAGGATCCCTTGAGCCCAGGAAATTGTAGTGGCAGTGAGCTATGATCATACTACTGTACTGCAGTCTGGGCCACGAAGTGAGACCGTGTCTCTTAAAAAAAAAAAAATGTTAGGCATGGTGGCACAGGCATATAGTTTTAGCTACTTAGGAGGCTGAGGCAGGAGGATCACTTGAGCCCAGAAGTTCAAGATTACAGTGAGTTATGATTGTGCCGCTGCACTCCAACCTGGGTGACAAAATAACCCTGTCTCTGGCGGGTAGGGGGGAAGTTGATTATTTACTTTGAAATATGTTCAAAACTGATTCCTGTTCTATATTCCTAATGAACAGAATAGACTTTATATAAAACAAATAGTTAAACTTAAGGATAAAATTTTAATGGAAGTATAATATATATATCTTCCAGCTCTTCTGTCTTCTAATGTATTTATTACAGAAAATGAAATTACTTTGTTTCCGCAATCTTTGTATCACTTCAGTTCTCCAATAAATCTGAGAATTCTGGTAGTGTGAAATATTCAGCTTTCTTTGCTTATTTACATAAAATGTATAAGGACAATTTGTGATAATTAAGAGTTACATTTAAATATCAGGAAAAAGTTATAAATTTAAATTAAAAAATTTTAAAAGGAAATTATTAGAAATTTTAAAAGAATGAACTAAAAGGTGATTATATGTAAATGCTTGCATATATGAATATTAGCATTGTCCCCAAAATAATTTAGAACAAAGAAATTGGAATCAAATAAATAAAGGTTTGATTATTTTTAAATTGGCTTATATTCCATGATAAAAGAGAGGTTTATCAGTGGCATAAGAAAGGTTTTTCACCTTTTTTGTATTGAAATCTTTGACATATACATATATATCTTTGCTCATCTTTGTGTATCTTTGCTCGTATGAGAGCAAAGATATAGGCAAAGATATGCTCTCTCTCTCTATGTCTTTGTTCATACCAGACCTTCCTGATATCTCCACATAATCTTAAATATAGGAACATTAGACTGGATGATCTCTGTGCCCCCTTTATCTCTACTCTTCCATTATTTTATACTTTAACACATCATCTCTGTTTTATGATATAGAATGGAATATTTCTTTTTTCCTGAAAATGCTTATTTTGGTCACTTGATACACATTAGGCCAATATGTGTTACTTGAGTGACCCATCTTCCTTCTTTTCATTTCTGTCTCCTGTCATTAACCTGGATATCTGGAATGTGGACTAAACTCTTCAAACACTATGTAAAACCTACTAACCTTTGTGCATTTGGTTGCTCAGCTACTAAGAGCACCATTTCTGAACTGAAGTTAACTGAAGACCATTCTGTTTTAGAGATTATGACATACCTTTTGGATTCTCATGCCTTTTTCCTCCCTTCTCAAGGTTGAAGAGATGGTGCAGAACCACATGACTTACTCATTACAGGATGTAGGCGGAGATGCCAATTGGCAGTTGGTTGTAGAAGAAGGAGAAATGAAGGTAATTCCCCCTGAAATGTTATAGATTGCCAAAGGCGTCTCTGTTTCAGTCATATTATCATTACTATTGATATGAATAAGGATAGCACTTTCAACTTACCTTTAAAACAAATTATTACATGTGATCAAAGCAGTACCATATATTGAGCAATAAAATGTCTTTTTGCTTTTCTGGCTTTGCCTTTACTAAAGGTTTTTATGATTATAATATAAATATATGATTAAACCTTTCTGTTTTGACTAGGCCATGAAGAAAATAAAATTTAGAGAATTAGATATGACCAGGTCACAATTAGCTGATGGTCCTGTATTTGGATATTTCCTTTTGTTTTGTTTTTTTAACATACTGAATGTTGTGCCTAGATGACACTTTGTTTCTCTCCCTTTTTGGTCTATACCCTCCTTCTTTTCCCTTCTCTTACTGCACCTTTATTTGATATTTGGACATTGGTCAGTTAATCTTGTTTACATCCCTAAACACAAGGACAGAAAATAAGAGCAGGGACTGAGAGATACAGAGATGGATTGAAAAGCAAAAGCAACATTGAATTTTGGATTTTCTCATTCCTAAGGAACTATGCTAAATAAAGATACAAAGATAATAAGACACTCTCCAAGCTAAAGCTTTAGTTAAGGAAAAAGAATATTGACATTTAAAAGATACTATTGGCCAGGCACAGTGGCTATGCCTGTAATCCCAGCACTTTTAGGAGGACATGGCAGGCGGATTACTTGAGCTCAGGAGTTCAAGTCAAACCTGGGCAACACGGTGAAACCCCGTCTCTACCAAAAATACAAAAATTAGCTGGGTGCAGTACCACACACTTGTAGTCCCAGCTACCCAGGAGGCTGAGGCAAAAGATTCCTTGAGCCAGGGAGGTCAAGGCTGCAATGAGCCGCGTTTGTGCCACTGCACTCTAGCCTGGGTCACAAAGTGAGACCCTGTGTGAGATATATATATATATATATATATATATATATATATATATATATGCATGCATGCTATACTTGGCTCCATCTGATAATGTACTGAGTGAAGAGTACAGATGAGTGGTGGAGAAAATCAGAAAAGAAAGATCTCTGTGATTTGAAACAATTAGATTGTTTTACAATGCAGAGAAGCATTTGAACTACATCTGGAATTAAAAAGAAAGTTGTGACAAGGGTGAGGTGAGGGCATTTTAGGAAAAAAATTATAATGTGAGCAAAAACTTGAAAGCAAACTTTTTAGTCAGGATTTTTTGCATAATCTATGTTGACCAGAATTATTCTAGCAAATAAGATATAATATTAGATGCTGGGATTTCCTCTCCCCTTGAATAAGGAACAAAGTAAGACATAAGATAAAACAGACAGATAAATGAGATACCAGAATGTTAGCTATAATTCTGATAAGGTGATTGTAGAAAATAGTTTGAGATCAGCTGCTACAGGGTCTTGTTACTCCAGAATTAAGCATGTTCCTGGCATTGCTGGATAATCACAAACCTTCACTACAGAAGCAGGCCAGGATGTATGCTCTTCGCGGAAGAAAGGGTTGAGCCAGACCTGCCTTATTTCTTCTTCTGTAGTCATCGTTCAGTCACCGTAGAGTCACCTCCCTCTGGGGAGGAGGAAGTGAAGTACTAAAGAGAAGCCAGGAGTGATGGTCTGGATGACGTCCCTCTACCTGGAATGAGGAATAGAAAATAACTACTCCTACAGCCCACAGTGTTAGAGAGAAATTGGGCCTAGATAATGGGAAGCATAAAGTTACTCTCTAAAGAGAACAATCGTTGTCTATAACAATTGTCTACAACAGTAGACTAGCCACTGTATGAAAAGTATCTTTTTTTTTTTTTCTTTTTTTTGAGACAGAGTTTTGCTCTTGTCACCCAGGCTGGAGTGCAATGGCATGATCTTGGCTTATCGCAGCCTCCGCCTCCTGGGTTCAAGTGATTCTCCTGCCTCAGCCTCCCAGGTAGCTGGGATTACAGGCACCCGCCACTACGCTGGGTTAATTTTTGTATTTTTAGTAGAAATGGGGTTTCACCTTGTTGGCTAGGCTGGTCTTGAACTCCTGACCTCAGGTGATCCGCCCGCCTCGGCCTCCCAAAGTGCTGGGATAACAGGTGTGAGCCACTGCGCCTGGCCTGAAAAGTGTAATTTTAAGAAGATCAAGCTGATAGGGAAGAAACTGGAGAACAAGCAGACTACTTAAAAGAGTCAGGCACAAAGTGATGAAAGCCTACCTAGAACAGTAGAAAAGTCAAACTGTTGGATGTCTTAGCGAAGACATTTTAGACAAAAAATAATAATGTGAGCTAGAGGCCTCCCTGCTCTGCACCTTTGGCACCACATCTAGGAACTGCCAGTGCCATGGTGTCAATAGATTCCTGCCTCACCCCTAATCATCTCTTCTATGCTTTATTAAGAACAGTTTTTGACTGGTGGCAGTGGCTCATACCTGTAATCCCAGCACTTTGGGAGGCCAAGGCGGGCAGATCATCTGAGGTCAGAAGTTTGAGACCAGCTTGGCCAACATGGTGAAACCCTGTCTCTACTAAAAATACCAAAAATTAGCTGGGCGTAGTGGCAGGCGCCTGTAATCCCAGCTACTCAGGAAGCCGAGACAGGAGAATCGCTTGAACCTGGGAGGCGGAGGTTGCAGTGAGCCGAGACGGCGCCATTGCACTCCAGCCTGGGCAACAATAGCGAAACTCTGTCTCAAAAAACAAAAAAGAATAGTAAAGAGCTTACTAGCTGTGTGAACTGTAAAGGGAGGAATCAAAAGTCTAGAGTTTCTAGTTTGGGTAGCTGGGAAAACGGTGGTCCCAATAATATGAGTAATAAATAGGTAGGGGAAGGTAGTCTGTTGAGAGATACTCTAAGAAAATCTATGTGAAATGCCTAACAGTGTCCAGCCCCATAGGTCCTTCATAAATTGGCACTTGGTTCTCCCCCATGATGACATGTTTCATTTCTCAAGAGTATTTATCACATAATTATCTAAAGTAGCAAACTCTATAATTTTAAAATAATTAATTTTACTTAGCATTTAAGGTATGTAACCTCAGTATTTAAAGCAAGATAGATCTGTATTTACGTTTTTGCCATCTTAGCTTTCAGCCATTGATTTAACAAATAACTGAGTGCCTATTGTGTTTCATATACTATTCTAGCTGTTGGGGATACAGCATTGAACAAAGCAGACTTAATTTAGTATCTTTAAGGAGAATATATTCTAGCCAGGTTTATTTGGTTTTCTTAGCCATGTTAAACAGTCTTTTGAGAATGGTAAATAATGCCTAATTCAAATTGATACATTTATTTTTAAACAACTCACAATAAGTCATTTATCACATATGCATGTTTTTATCTGAGGTTTACCTTGGATTTATAATTTTAAGTACTTTTTTGTCTGTTAATTTGAAATTTTTAATTTTCTTTTAGCAGAATATGTTCTATAAATAGACTTTCATAAAAATCTAAAGAGCAGCTGTATTAAAAGCATGCTTTCCTGCTTTTATGGGCTTGATTTTTAATTTTCAAACAGTTTTGGAATTATGTTCTCTTTAGGTATACAGAAGAGAAGTAGAAGAAAATGGGATTGTTCTGGATCCTTTAAAAGCTACCCATGCAGTTAAAGGCGTCACAGGACATGAAGTCTGCAATTATTTCTGGAATGTTGACGTTCGCAATGACTGGGAAAGTAAGCTGTCATTATTAATATATTTTAATCTATTATTTTGAATTTAATATCAAATCCAACCTAGTTTTCTGCATCTCCTACATAGTTTACAAAGTCAACGTAGAAAGTATTTGGAAAATCATATAGAGGACTAGCAATACATTTATGTAGAGCTTTTCAGTGTATGAAATGCTTCCTAGTATGTAATTTGATCCAATAACCTCAGTAATCCTACAGTGATAGGTAGGTATTATTGCTTATTTTACATACAAATAAAGTAAAATTCAGATAGGCAAAGTGACTTGTCAAAGGCAACAAGAGCTATATGGTGGAGAAGCCAAGACTGAAATTGAAGATTTCTGTTTCATCATCTACTCTTTCCTAAACTGTTTCCGTGGTAAATCCTAGGTGAATCCTTTTGTGATTACTTTAGAATTATTTTATTTTTTTAGACAGAGTTTCGCTCTTGTCACACAGGCTGGAGTGCAGTGGTATGATCTCAGCTCGCTGCAACCTTTACCTCCCCAGTTCAAGTGATTCTTCTGCCTCAGCCTCCCAAGTAACTGGGATTACAGGCGCACACCATCACGCCCAGCTAATTTTTGTATTTTTAGTAGAGACGGGGTTTTGCCGTGTTGGTCAGGCTGGTCTCGAACTCCTGACCTCAGGTGTTCCACCTGCCTTGGCCTCCCAAAGTGCTGGGATTACAGATGTGAGCCACTGCACCCAGCCTAGAGTTATTCTTAGTGTGTATTCCCCTTAGACACAAAATTTCCTAAGTATAGATACTTCTCAACATCATCAGATGTTTATCATTGGCAGTTTGACATCTCTTTTTCACAGAAATAGCCACCTAAGATTAGATATAACAATTTATTTAACATCAATAAATTGGGGAAAAGGGAAGGGTTTTAGTGTTAGGGAATTATTTGTGCCTGAGTGATGCAGTGGTGATTAGAATTGCTTTCTTGCTGTGGAAGATAGATAATTGGGCCAAAGAAAATGAGGCTTCCTGGTGATCAGACCTCACATCCCTAATCTGTAACCATAATACTAAGTATTAGCTACCTTCCATTTGGATGTAACCTAGATAGGGCAGGATCCTGTTCAATTTACCATACTGTCCATTCGTACTTGACTTTCAACATAAGTGAATTGATCACATTCTAGGAAAAGATAATATATCTTTTTATTATTCTCTTCATTTCAGCAACTATAGAAAACTTTCATGTGGTGGAAACATTAGCTGATAATGCAATCATCATTTATCAAACACACAAGGTAAAGATCTCTTCATTCATCCTAAAAGGATTTCAATGTAGTTCAAACTCAGACATATAGATTCTCTAAAGTAAAATTGGGGAGGTTATTAAAAGCCACAAAAATCCAAAGACTTTATTAAATAATGATTCATGAATGTCATGTATTTAAAAGGTATATCAACTTGTTCAGAACAGAAATATGTGCAGGCAAGAATCTGAGAGATACAATCTAGAAATAGAGTGCTTGATAAAGATCAACGGTTAGTTCCCTTTGTGCACTTTTTATTTTTAAAGAGACAGGGTCTTGCTGTATTTCCCAGGCTAGTCTCAAACTCCTGAGCTCAAGTGATCCTCCTGCCTCAGCCTCTCAAGTAATTGGAACTACTGGTGTATGCCACACTCTTAGCTTTCTTTATACACAGTTTAAGTCTAGAAAAGAGCCTTCTGAAATACTGAAATCCATTTAAATACCTTTCTAGTATCTAGTTTCTATAAGAGGTAAATGATAGTTACCAAATATGAAAGTGAATTATAGCTTCCTGTGACAACAACAATAAGGGTAATGGCTAGCATGGTATTAGCCTATGTTAAGACTAATAGATATAAAAGTAAATGGATTATCTGAAAGCAAAGAAAAATCACAGAGCGTGACTTGAGAGGTTAGTCATACACCAGAGCATACAGAAACATAATTTAAGTTAGCTCCCTTTCACCTTATTTCTTCTGCTATTCTTGATATTTAAAATTATAGAATCAATAGTTCTCTTGCCTTATTCTGCTCTTTCTCTTCTGAAAACTGCCCAATAACATAATGTGTATAGCATAATAAAAGGAATTAAAATTTTGGAGAGATCCACCAAAAACAGTATTAAACATTATAAAAGAAATGTAATGATTTAATAGGTACTTTGTTTTTCCAATTCAGTGAGTGCTTCATTTTTCTTTTTAAATGGTTTTTGAGTGCAGTATATGAAAACATTATAAGTCTGTTATGTATTTCTTAAACTCAGTCTTGTCATCTGAGACATCTTATATCTAATAATTAGGAGCCATACTTAATTTTACACGGTAGCTGCTCAGAAATGCATAACAATTAAGATTCTGTTTCAGCATACAAATTTTGAAGTCTAATTTGAAATCTAAAATTTAGTAAATGTCAGAATATTAATTAATCACCCTATAATTTGGAATGAAGATAAATGACCAATAATTTAGAACCAAAAGAACCTTATTATCTGAAAATAATCCATCATGGAAAACAATCTGCTGAAGGTATTCTGCTAGATAAATAGTAGATGGAGGGAGGGTCATATAAGTTGTATCAGGATTGAAAAATAAAACTAAAAATTATTAAAATAATCTTATATGTAACAAAATTTGTTACAGTTATAATTATTTGCCAATTCTTGGAATAAACAAATTGTCCTGGAATCATTTTTTCAAGAAAATCACATTACATTCGCAGTGTATGTAACTATACCACTCACACTATATCTGAAATTTATCATCACCCCAAACAGAAACTCCGTACTCATTAAGCAACAACTCCCCATTCCCTCTCCTCCCATTCCATAATAATGTTCTGCTTAGACTCAAAGTCTATAGTGTTATTTACACTACAATATTTTTCCCTTTAAATTTGACATCTTTTGCAGTATGGTCTTAAAAGAGGGCTACTGGTCTCTTGATATTTAAGTCATTCTCATTCTTTAAATTTCTATCTTATCATCCTGTGGATTTGTATTCATTAGGTCTAAATTTGCCAAATCTTCATGTATTACTTACTGTCTCCACACAATTTACCCAACACTATATTTATCAACTACATGAAATTTTGTATCTTTAAAAAATGAATCATTTCATCTTGCAAATGATTTGTATTGTATGCTATTTATTACTCTCAGTAATCAGGAATGACGCTGCATAACAAGGACTAGTCCAGATACATATACGAGATAACCAAAATAAAAGTAACTTAAATAGGATAAAAGGTTTTTTTTCTCATTTAAAGTAGGTAGTCCCATTTATTGAAGACCTAGGCTCCATGTCATTCCCATAGTATATGTTTCCCCTTGCATACCTTAATATTGAAATATTTAATCTAAGTGACTTAGAATTCTTTCTAATGTGATTTGATTCAAATAAGTCTTTTTTCATTAAATCTTTGAATCTAAGTAGAACATAATCATGGAGTATGAGGAGAGAGGAATGGAAAGTTGTTGCTTACTGGGTACAGAGTTTCTGTTTGGGATGATGATAAATTTCAGAGATAGCAATATGGTTACATAACACTGTGAATGTAATTAATGTCCCTGAATTGTACCCTAAAAGTTAGTTAAAATGACAAATTATACGTGTATATATTTTACTGCAATTAAAAAAATAGAACATTATTCCTTTTATTATATTGTTCTGCAAAGCTATTAACTCTGTTCATAATTAATCATTTGGTAGATATCCTCAGATGCTTTCCATTTAAAATTTGAGAGATTTTACCTTCAATTAAGACATTTATTGGCATTACGTTTCTCTTGTTAGTTCCATGTTAGATCTGTTTTTCAAAAGATTTTTACTTCTCCACAGAGGGTGTGGCCTGCTTCTCAGCGAGACGTATTATATCTTTCTGTCATTCGAAAGATACCAGCCTTGACTGAAAATGACCCTGAAACTTGGATAGTTTGTAATTTTTCTGTGGATCATGACAGTGCTCCTGTAAGTACATGTATATAAATGTGTATAATTAAACAATATAAAGCTAAATACACAATGCGGGACAAAAATGATAAACACAGCCCATACACTATACTTGATTTGATAATGGTTCTTAGATTTTATGTTGGATTGACTGCTAGGAACAGTATAGCCCATGTGTTGTCTGAGGGCAACAGTCATGCCTATGAACATTCCACCAGGGCCGTTTACCTTTCCTTCTAATGTTTCGTGAAACAGCCAAAAGGGCAGTACATACACTGGGCAGTAGGCTACTTCCCACAGTTATCTCTTAAGCCGTTATCAACTGCCAGCCAAACCTCTGTGGTTTACCACAATTTAGCTCCATTTACTACTTAAGAGGAAGGGATCCTGGGCAACATGGTTAGACCCCATCTCTATTAAAAAAAATTTTTTTTTTTTTTTTAATTAGCCAGGCCTGGTGATGTGCACCTGTGGTCCCAGCTACTCTGGAGGTTGAGGCGGGAGGATTGCTTTGAGCCCAGGAGTTTGAAGCTGCAGTGAACTATGATGGCACCACTGCACTCCAGAGTGGGCAACAGAGCAAGACCTTGTCCCCAGAAAAAGTGGGTGGGGAGGAATCCTGGTGTCATATCAGCTTGGTGCTTATAAGATTTCACTGGAGATACTTTTAAGAGTTACGATTTTGGTTAACCTAATATAATATTAGACCAGCAGAGTTTACAAAATACTGGGTATCTACTGATGCTTTGTTTTTTGTTTTGGCAGCTAAACAACCGATGTGTCCGTGCCAAAATAAATGTTGCTATGATTTGTCAAACCTTGGTAAGCCCACCAGAGGGAAACCAGGAAATTAGCAGGGACAACATTCTATGCAAGATTACATATGTAGCTAATGGTATGTATTTTATTGTTTTTGCTCTTTGATAATGTGGCTGTTCTTGATCATGACCTATATGACAACAATTTGGACAAATGCCTTTTTAGTTCTTATCCATTAGATTACTAATTTTTAATTTGGAGAAAGGTATATCAGAATTACTAGAGAATCTTTGAAAGTACAGATGTCTGAATTTCACCCTGGAACTACTACTATATGAGTATTTCTGAAGCTAGAGCTGGATAGGAAAATTTTAAAACTTTATCCCTAGGTCACTGTATATACCCTTCTTTTTTTTTTTTTTTTTTTTTTGAGATGGAGTCTCGTTCTGTTGCCCAGGCTGGAGTGCAGTGGTGCAGTCTCAGCTCACTGCAGCCTCCGCCTCCTGGGTTCAAGCGATTCTCTGCCTCTGTAGCTGGGATTACAGGTGCCCACAACCACGCCTGGCTAGTTTTTTGTATTTTTAGTAGAGACGGGGTTTCACCATCTTGGCCAGGCTGGTCTTGAACTCCTGACCTCGTGATCCACCCACCTCGGCCTCCCAAAGTGCTGGGATTACAGGCGTGAGCCACTGCGCTCGACCTAGCCTTCATATTAAGCACCATTTTCTTAGATATTTGCCTCATAGAACAGATTTATTATTAGGAATATAAGCAACAGTGGGGAAGGAAATTAAGAGTTCTTTTACTCATTGTCAGCCTTTTTAGCTTTCTGAATCAATGTTCCCCTAGTCCTTATTAGTTGCTAGTTACATATTTATTTCTCTTTGACATTCATTGTCAGGCTTTTTGTTTTCTGAGTCAGCGTTTCCCTAGTCCTTATTAGTTGCTAGTTACATATATTTGTTTCACTTTGGATAGGTCTTTTCATTGCTTGCTTTGGGTCCTTACTTCACCTGCTTTGCACCTGGAGTAATCATTGCAACCTCTCTCATCAAAAGTCATACCTTCTTTATACAGGGCCATAACTGCTAGTATGTTCAAAGAAACAGTTGTACCTGAGTAAGTTACTATTTCATTATAGTACAGATTTGTGAATAATCTGCCCTAAATAACCTTAAGTGGTGCTATACTAATTTTTGCAGGTAATTTCGGGAACTAAGAACATTGTAGAAAGGTTATAGATGCTTTCTTATTTGCTGTCTGATTATGTCTGATGGATAGTGTTAAGGAATGAAGGGTTGGGACTTAAAAGATCATAATTGGTCCAGCTGGGTACAGTGACTCAGCCTGTAATCCCAGCACCTTGGGAGGCTGAGGCGGGCGGATCATGAGGTCAAGAGTTCGAGACCATCCTAGCCAACATGGTGAAAACCCATCTCTACTAAAAATACAAAATTAGCTGGGCATGGTGGCGTGCACCTGTAATCCCAGCTACTCCGGAGGCTGAGGCAGGAGAATCACTTGAACCCCGGAGGCGGAAGTTGCAGTGAGCCAAGATCGCGCCACTGCACTGCACCCTGGCAACAGAGCAAGACTCCGTCTCAAAAAGAAAAAAAAAAGATGCTAATTGGTCCAATGTGAGGAATATTTTAAAAACAAGGGAACAAATTAAGTGCTTCACATATGTTTGGAGAATTGTATCTTAATACATTTTAATTTTCCTTTATCTTGCAGTGAACCCTGGAGGATGGGCACCAGCCTCAGTGTTAAGGGCAGTGGCAAAGCGAGAGTATCCTAAATTTCTAAAACGTTTTACTTCTTACGTCCAAGAAAAAACTGCAGGAAAGCCTATTTTGTTCTAGTATTAACAGGTACTAGAAGATATGTTTTATCTTTTTTTAACTTTATTTGACTAATATGACTGTCAATACTAAAATTTAGTTGTTGAAAGTATTTACTATGTTTTTTGATGTTCCCCTATAGAGTATTGTTTCGTTGGTTTTTGTTGTTGTCGTTGTTGTTGTTTTAAACAGGGTCTTGCTCTGTTTCCTAAGCTGAAGTGCAATGACACCATCACGGCTCACTGCAACCTCAACCTCTGGCCTCAAACAATCCTCTCATCTCAGCCTTCCCAGTAGCTGGGAGTCCCCACAGGCATGTGCCACCATGCTCAGCTAATTTTTTATTTTTTGTAGAGATAGGGGTCTTGCTATGTTACCCAAGCTGGTCTTGAACTCCTGGCCTCAGACAATCCTCCTGCCTCAGCCTCCCAAAGTGCTGGGATTACAGACATGAGCCACCGTGCCTGGCCTTGAAAATTGTAGTTTATAGCCTTTAAAACTTAATTCTTTTATTGTTTCCTTTTTCTTCTAATGCTTATGTAAAGAAATTTTGATATTATAGAACTGTAGAATTGTAGAAGTGCAAACTTCCTGTATTCTTTCCTTTCCCAGAAACTGTTATTTTTGTTGTATATTCCTCCAGATTTTTCTGTGTATGTACTGACATATTTTTGAATGTTAAAATGTTTATACTTACTATTATACAAAATTCTTGTTTTATAACCTTTTTTTCACTTAACAATGTATCTTGACTATCTTTCTTTATAAGACATGAGATGTGTAAAACATCTCATTCTTTTAACATCTGTTACATGCATGTTGCAGAATTTATTAACTAGTCCCATGTTAATGTCTGAGTTGGTTCCATATTTTTACTGTCAACCAGTACAGCACTGAACACCTTTATGCAAAGAGGTAGAATCTTTAACTTTATTTTGGTGTTGTTGAGACAAAGTTTCTCTCTTGCTGCCCAGGCTGGAGTGCAGTGGTGCAATCTTGGCTCACTGCAACCTCTGCCTCCCAGGTTCAAGCGATTCTCCTGCCTCAGCCTCCCGAGTAGCTGGGATTACAGGCGTCCATCACCACGCCCAGCCTATTTTTGTATTTTTAGTAGAGGCAGGGTTTCACCATGTTGGCCAGGCTGGTCTCGAACTCCTTACCTCAGGTGACCTGCTCTCCTGGGCCTCCCAAAATGCTGGGTTTACAGGCGTGAGCCACTGCACTCAGCCCAAAATCTTTAACTTTTTAAAGTAAGTGATACGTTAACATGATTAAAAGCCAAAAGTGGCCAGGTGCAGTGGGTCACACCTGTAATCCCAACACTTTTTGGGAGACTGAGGTGGGAGAATGGCTTGAGGCCAGGAGTTCAAGTCTAGCCTGGATAACATAGCAAGATTCCATCTTGACAAAAAACAATTAGGCGTGGTGGTATACATGTATAGTCCTAGGTACTTGGGAGGCTGAAGCAGGAAGATCGCTTTGTCTGGGAGTTTGAGGCTGCAGTGAGCTGTGATTACACGACTGCACTCCAGCCTGGACAGGTAATGTCTGTCAAAAAATAAATAAATAAAGTCAAAAGTATGAAAAAGTTATACAGTAAAATTTACCCTGTCTTGCATTCACCATATAGTATTAACATATGCTATTACTAGTTTCTTCTAGAAAGTTTTTAATGCTTGAATGAACAAATACAAGTGTATTTTCTACACAGATACACTTTTTTTGTTGTTAAAGAAGCAGCAGCATACTATAAACACTGTTCAACATCTTATATTTGCATTTATTTTATCTTGAAGGTCTCACATATTTGTAAGGAGCTTCCTCATTTTGATGGTTATACAGTATCCCATTGTATAGATGTACATAATTTATTTAATCAGTTCTGCATTGGCGAATATTACAGTTTCCAATTTCTGCCAGAGCAGTGTCATAATTGTATCCATATGTCATTTTGTACTTGCAAGTTTATATGTGGGAAAATTAATAGATGTGGTACTACTGGCCCTGCTAGGGGTTTGTGCATAATTTAGATACTACTTTTCATAGAGGTTATAGTAATTGACCATCTCAACAGCAATAATGAATTGGAGTCCCTGTGTCCCACAGTTTTTCATACAACGTGTAAAACAAAACTTTATAACTTTCCCAACTCATTAGGTGAAAAATACTCTCTCAGTGTAGTTTTAATTGTATTCCTCTTCTTATGACTGAGTTTAAGCCTGCTTTAGTCCATTGAGAATCTTTTGTATAGTACTATTTCTATAAATTCTATTTTGTAATAACATTTAAAATATTAGTAGATATTGCCAATTGTGATACACAAATGGTAAGCAATAACATGAATATTCTCTCATTCTCACCTACACTGGATGTTAAATAATTGACTGAGAAATGTATATTCTTGAGTCCTTTTCTTTAGCTAAAAATAATAGTCAATTATATAATGAAATAATTTTAAACAAGTCTGATTTCTAATGATGTTTATAGTATGTCTTTCTTTTAAAAAATGCAAAAGCTAAATTTATTGTCCGATACTAACTAATATCCCATACTAACATAAGGGATATTGCATTGATGTCTCAGTTGTTTAGCTTTATCCCAGGAAAAAGGGTATTTGAAAATATTAAATAGGTTCCAGTCTTAGTTACCTGAATGATTGGTGTTTTGGAATATAGCCTTACCCTTTAGGGATTCTCTCTTCAAGCACAAGTGCACTGCATTCAGTGTGCTGACAATTTTTATATCTTGTACTTTAGAATTGTTATAGCTAGATCTGGACACATTACTTCTTATCGATTCTGAGTCTGTGCCATATTTATCAAATAAACCAGAAAACTGATGGCACGTGACAGCAACAGGCTTATCACCCTGCTTCGCTGTGTGTCTCTTTGCCATGGCCTCTAGGGTTTTTAAAGTGGTGCTGTTTCACTCTATCCAAGACCAGATTTTGTTTCACTCTAACTATATCTGCCTTCTCTCTTCTTCACTATGACCTCACTGAAACGGCCTCCCTCTTGATGCTTTATGATGACTTCCTTACCAAAGGTTCTCAGATATTCAACCAAGCAAGGCAGAAATACAACTTTGTATTAAAGCAAGAGAAATCTGAATGCAGTTGTGTGTAAAACATGCTCTCAATTATATTTGAGAAGAATAATTTTTTAAACAGTTGAAAGATAAATGGTAGGATATTAGCAGCATTTGCTTCTAGACTTGGATTTAGAGCGGTGTTTCATTGACTCTCTGTGTGTGTGCATGTGTATGTTCACAGATTTTTCATTTGTGGACCTGGGAGGGAGGAGCTTGGAATCTGAAAAAATTCATCTCTGGGGAAGAGAGGTCTATTGTTTGTGGGTACATGTATATGTGTGCAAAGATACAGCTGAAAAGATTCATTGGCCCAAACTCAGATTTGGCTTTTTGAGTCCAGATTGAGCTTCTTTCTAACAAAGATCCAAATTCAAACCTTAACATGGTAAAATCTTTGTTACTGTAACGTAACTTTTTTTTTTTTTTTACAATAATTATGGAAGATAAATGTATGAAGTCGAACCCAGCATTGAAACCCTAGGAAAGCGAACATTCTTAATTTTGGTGATGGAAAAAAATAGTAACATTCAATAATGTGTGTATCATCTTTAGAGAAAGTTCTGTAAAGAGTTAATAAGATCCAAAGTTGTTTAACAGTAAAAACTTTATATATATATTATATATAATATATATTTTTATTTATTTTATTTATTTATTTATTTATTTATTTATTTATTTATTTATTTATTTATTTTGAGACAGCATCTCACTCCTGTCGCCCAGGTTGGAGTACACTGGAGCGATCTCAGCTCACTGCAGCCTCAACTTCTCAAGCTCAGGTGTTCCTCCTACCTCCCTGGGTAGCTGGGACTATAGGCACACACCACCATGCCCGGCTAATTTTTTATACTTTTAGTAGAGTTGGGGTTTCACCATGTTTCCCAAGCTGGTCTCAAACTCCTGAGTTCAAGCAATCCGCCTGCCTCAACCTCCCAAAGTGCTGGGATTACAGGTGCGAGCCACCTAGCCCCGCCAGTAAAAACTTTTAAACTCATTTGACAAAGAGGTCTGAGCATGTTTGTTGATTAAATAAGGCAGGCCTCTCTCTCATAGCTTGAATACATTTTTTAAATTCTTGGTAAGTAGTATTGTATGTCATAATTTTTATTGCAGGCTAAGAGGAAAGAAATGCCATGTTGTGGAGTAAAAATCCAGAGACCTTTCACTGATTACCTCTGCTCACCTATATTGCCCTTTTTTTTTCAGGTGCCTGTGCCCCCTTTATTTTACACAACTATGCAAATTGTGAGGCCAAGGATGTGACTGCAAACAATTAAGATTTGATTTACATGAATAAGCTTTCTTCTCCATGAAAATACACTGTGTCACTTCACACTTGGTCTAACACACACACAAAATTCTCACCCTAGGTGGCACAGATACACTCAGCATGCAATATTAAGTACAATTTCCATTTTATTTTTCTCCAGAGAATAGTCCATCTTCAGTCTTTAAGGACTCAGCTCCTTACATGGGCTTTGGTGGGGGTCATGGGGCAGCACCCGCAGGTCTAAATTGGGGTGGAGGTGTTCGATCCTTCTCCTTCATGAGATCGATTCCTGACTACTTTGTTGTGAGTTGCACAACTCACACAGTAATATAGCTTCACATAACAGCTTGGGAAGCACATAGACATCAAAGACACTCGCTTCGGAAATGTCCCTGACTGCTGCGACCTTCACTGTGTTTCAAATGACGAATTTCTTAATGGCCTTGTCCTTGGGCACGCATCAGGCACGGTTCGTGCAGCAAACAGGCTGCACGTGGCTGTGGCCCTTTTTGGCACAACCATTGTTCCTTCTTTTCTTTGTCATCTTGGAGGCCTGGACTGTAGAGAGGACTGTTCCCGTTTTTTTTTCTAACTTTTGAAAAATTCCATATACCTTTGATTCCTTGCTGATGGAATAAGTTCAAATTTGTAAGGTTAATAATTTTGCATTCATAATGATAAATTTTAATAGAGATTCCATGCATTCCATGAATATGGAGGGTGGGAGAACTCTGTTCTGGTAGTCTTGCAGCTGTTCGTAGCAAACATACTGCTGAGTTTTTTACTTGTCTTTTTTTTTTTTTTTTTTCCTTCAGTGACTGAAGCAAGGCTGTGTGACATTCCATGTTGGAGAAAAAAAGAAAAAAAAAAGCTGAATGCTCTAAGCTGGAACGTAGGATCTATAGCCTTGTCTGTGGCCCAAGACCTTGGCCTTGTGTACAAAAATGACAAAATATTGCAATAGCAAAGCTGAACATCTAACACTAGCTATCTCTTGCTAGATCTCCTTGCTCAGCATATAACTATAAATACATGTAAAATTACATGTATATGGCTATATTTTTATTTGCTTGCTCCTAGAAGAGAAAAAAAAATCAACTTTGAATCACAACTAGGAATTGATGCTTTAATTTTTGGATACTTTTTCAGAATTTTTAATTTACTATGGTCCGGCCTAAGATCCTCTGTTGTATCAGGTTTTGTGCACAAAAGAAAAGCACAAAAGTTGAATGCACATGGGGCATGTGCTTTCTGTGCACCAAATATCTGGATGAGGTTCTTTTTTCAGGCCTACAGTCAAATCTGTGTCCAGAATTTTTTGACTTTTTTGCTTTGTATAATCATAGAATTCATTGCTGCTGATTTCTATAATGATTCATGTTGTCATGTGTCTCTTAATAACTGAGGGCTGTCAGTAACCTGTGATTTTGCCTTTTCTATAGTCTTACTCCCATGAAGAACCTTGGTTCTGATGGAGAAAGTGAAAAGCTTTATTTCTTCCCCTAGATATCTTTATATTTCTATTATATTTTTTAGTTGTGTACTGTGTACTAGAGATTTTTTTCAGTTTGTTATGAACACAATTTGGTAAGCCCTAAATTGGTTCTGCCTGTCTCCAAACAGAAACATCTGTACAAATCTTGTTGGTATAGACTACTTTCTGGAAAATGGTCAAGATAAGTTCATGTTTTCTTGAAATTTCTAAGATAGTATATGGTATCACTTGTTTAAAGCAAATCAGACTGAGTTTGACATTTAATTCAATATTTCTGGTATTCAGTAACGGGTATATATGTTTGTTCTTCCAGTTTGGGTCAGTTTAAAAGATATGTTGCAAAGTATACATAGAAAATGTGAGCAATGCCTCTCTTTGCCTTTTGATCAGAAACTTCAGCAGAGCGGTAAGGATTCCACATGATTTAAACTGAAATGCTTTTCTTTGTTGCTGTAAGAACTTAAAATGTAAAATACCTTTTTCAGTTTAAGTCCTGTAAACAACATTGAAGCATGGAGATGAGGCAAGGAATAGTACTCACTGAAGTTGAAATGACTGCCCACTTCAAAATCTTCATTGTGTTTACACACCAGTGTATTTATACAAATCAGAGGCATTTTGTAGATGCTTTGCTGACTTGTTCAGCTCTGTAAAAACACAGAAATCAGACCCATTTTGTAAAGCGGAAAATCATGTTACATGGAACATGTCCTGTATATATCACATACATGGTAATGGAGTCTTAATGATAAGTGCAAGATAATAATTTAATGATGGGATTAGTCTGATCGCTTAATATGCACAATCCTGGAAGTGAATTACTTGCATCAGATATAGTGATATTTATTATTCTGTACAGAGAGAAAAATACATATAAAACATATGCTTACATTACATGCACGCGGATTTCATGCTCCATAATCTTTTCTATTTTTTAATTTACCTTTCTGTAAATGATGTGCATGGAATATGCCTTATAGAAAAATGCTGTTCATAATTTGACTACGTGGAAAAGTGCCTATATGGTGGTAATGCTAGTAAGGCAAATAAGACAAATTATCATGTTGGTTTACTACATCACCAGTTAACATTTTATATTGTGATGTTTAAAAAAGAAAAATTTATACCTCAAATGTGTATTTTATTTTACAATCAGCTGTGGGGTATGGGGTTGGGATGGGAGAATGGGGGGGTTGGGGAGGGCAGGTTTATTCACCATAGCCGCTGATAAGAATCTTCAAAAAAATTCTATATGCGCACTATAAATGTTTCTCTGTTTGCCATTTCTGGTAACTATCATGAACACAGACAGTTAACTCTTTCATAACTGAATTGGATAGCTTTATTTTACAGAAGTATGGCAAGTTTACAAAGCAATATCTAAATCTAATTATCATTAGTTGCATTTGGACTAAATGTGATGATATACTTTTGCAATTGATTCTGTAAATAAAAGGATTACACTAAAATATTTGTATTAAAAGAAGAAAAGATAACATTTTACCTTTAGATAACTGCACTTGTACCTCACTAGAGTTAATCCCACCCAATCAGATTGAGAAATAAATTGGGGAATGTGGAAAGAGTCCAAAAGAGGTCAGAATTTGGAGAGGTACTGGCCTTCTGGACAACATTTAGACCCTCTACAATTATTTTCATTAAGCTGATTCCTACATCCTGAATATTCATGTTTTCTCATCTACAGATATTTGTCTTCCCCCAAACTAAAAGAAAAAAAACTACCCTTTACTCTCTTTTCTACTCAGTTACTCTTTTGTGCTATGTTAGAAACTTGAAATATATTGGTGATGTGGGGATTTTGTCCCTGACTGCCCACTGTACAGGACAAGAGAGTACAGTGTTTCAGTTGGAATTCAGGACTCCTGGTTTTGAGGTAGAGGATGATCACTGCAGTACTTGGTTTGGAATTGCCACAGGGGTAGCTAAACCAAAGGAGGGTTATATCTGCAAGGGAGGTGTAAGAAGGCAAAATAAGGAAAAGGAGGAATGGGTTTTCTATTTGTTCAGTTTCATCAACTAATTTATACACTTAATACAACTTCAGTGTCAATTGCTATTAAGAAATTTTTAGTTGGGCTGAGCTGGTTCTCTTGTGAAATTGTGCTGGTTATCTTTAAGCTTATCAGTTATTTGTCCAATTAAACACTTTTCACCAGTATTTAGTCCGAGTTGTACAGACGATGTATTTGGATTTTGTCATGGTTCATCTACAGACTCAAAACATAATCATTTTAAAGTACCTTGGGAGTGTGTAGAGTAACTTCTATAATAGCTTTATGATCCTGATGATGTTTTTTAAACACAATAAAGTTGGATCTTCCATGTTACAATCACAGAATTAAAACCAGTATTTAAAGTGGAAAAGTATTAAAATATTATGGACAAATATGCTGGCTTGATTTGTTTTCCTTAACCCTGAGATATTGCCCTACTCTGAATAGTTAAGAGCTTGAAATTCAGTGTTCTTCCCGTAACCCAGTTAGGGATCAAGAAAACTACTGAGTTGCAGCCTAAATTTTTTTTTTTTTTTTTTTTTTTGGAGACAGAGTCTTGCTTTGTCACCCAGGCTGGAGTGCAGTGGTGGGATCTTGGCTCACTGCAACCTCCACTTCCCAGGTTCAAGTGATTCTTGTGCCTCAGCCTCCTGAGTGGCTGGGATTACAGGCATGAGGCACTATGCCCGGCTAATTTTTGTATTTTTAGTAGAGACAGGGTTTCGCCATGTTGGCCAGGTTGGTCTCAAACTCCTGACCTCAGATGATCCACCCACCTGGGCCTCCCAAAGTGCTGGGATTACAGGCCTCAGCCATCGCGCCCAGCTCAGTTTTTTTTTTAACAAAATATAACAGGAGGAATATATCAAGTACATGACATGTAATAAATATTTTGTGTATCTTTTGTCATATGTATTACACATACGTGTGTAATGGGTTACAGTTTACAATGAATTTCTTACTGTGGATCACATCCAGAAGTTTTAAAAGATTGGTAGAGAAGCCATATTCACTTGGGTGTTTCTAAAATGGAAGCACAGTGCTGGTGAATGATACACACTTATTTTGTAATTGAGCTGTATGCATTTAATCATAAATAAATAATCTCATTTATTTAAATCTCGTTTAATCTCAGCTCCACTTGTTGCACTCAGGTAATTTATGCCCTAGAACAACCATGAAATGGGAAGTGTGGACTTCCATTTCACTCAGTCAGTGGATTCATATTGAAAGGCACTGAGCATATTTCTCTCCTAGTGTTCAAAGATACATGCCATCCAAACAATGTGATCTGTAAACAAAAGCCAACTACTTAATCTGGTGGGATGCTGGAGGGAAAATCTGACTTGTGTTGAATTTGATGACAGAGAAATATTATGTGGTCCTCATTCCTAGAGGGATTTTCTAGGGCACTTTTAACTGTGCAGTTTTTCTTTAGACTTGACTTTGGCATATAACCTGCAAATAAGGTGTAGTTCTAACTAGCAGTTTCAAATGAGGTTGCTTTTATAGGATCTTCCAGATTTTCTTGCCATTATTCGAACTTGGTTACAACAGAGTTCATACTATCATTTATATTGTCTACCTTTTAAGACACATTTTCTGTGAACGTTCCACATCTGTATACTTTGAATAGCCTTGCACAAATACCATAAGTGAAGCTACTTTATTTGGCCTCTTCATTCTCTCTTCCTATAGAATTCTGTGAGGTTAGTACTAGAACAAATCTTTAAGATCTCTGAAGTTATTAGAAGATGCCAAACCAGGATTTTCCTGTCACCCAGGCTCTGTGGTTGATGAGGTGGTGTGTGAGGGTATCTCCGCCGTGTCTGTACCGGCACTATGCCTTTTCTGACTCCTCCCCACTCAACAGTCCTGTGGAGGTGGTAGCGGTGATTGGTGGTACCACCCCTGTTTTACAGATGAGGGAACAGGTTGGGGTTACAAACCTACTGATTCCCTGACTCTTAAGTTTTTTTTTTTCCCATTAGACTCTACTTTTTAATGCCTATGTGTAATATCTAGAATATAGTGTTTGATGGACTAGAAAGAGCTAACATGCTTGAAGACTAGCAATTTTGGTGTATGGGTCTTAGTCCCACACTTCAATATTGGCTTCACAAAATTCCAAATACACATGGTTCCTTAACAATGGTTCGATTTATGATTGTTCGACTTTATGCAAAGCACTACAAATACAGTACACTCCAACTTACCATGGGGCTGCGTTCCGATAAACCAGTCATATATGGAAAATACCGTAAGTCAAAAGTACATTTTCAGCCGGGGGCAGCGGCTCACACCTGTAATCCCAGCACTTTGGAAGACTGAGGCGGGTGGATTGCCTGAGGTCAGGAGTTGAAGACCAGCCTGTCTAACATGGTGAAACCCCTTGTCTCTACTAAAAATAAAAAAGTTAGCTGGGTGTGGTGGCATGCACCTGTAATCCCCAGCTACTCAGGAGGCTGAGTCAGGAGAATTGCTTGATCCCGGGAGGTGGAAGTTGCAGTGAGCTGAGATTACACCACTGCACTCCAGCCTGGGTGATACAGCAAGACTCTGTCTCCAAAAAAAAAAAAGTTTTCAACTTACGTTATTTTCAACTTGCAGTGGGCTTATCAGCACATAGCCACATCATAAATGGAGGTGCTTCTGTCAAAAGTACATTATTGTTTTATTTTCAACTTACAGTGGGGCTTATCAGTATGTAGCCCCATCATAAGTCAAGGGGCTTTTATAACGATGTGTCTTACAAAATCCCACCAGATACAGAAAGGAGGGCAGTAAAGATGAAATTTGATCACAATTAGGTGCTTAAACTTTCTTCCTGTCCTCCAGCTCAGAGGATGAAACAGGAAACTGAGTCATAAAACACTACTACAAACAAGCCCAAGGATTTTATCCCAGATTTTCAACCCAAGGATGAGCTGCAATATAACTATCACTGTTTTGTTGGCTGCCTGCCACAGAATGACCACTGAGGAAATAAAGCGAGCTTTGGATTCACTGCAGCTTGGTTTACTGTGGTTCTTTTCTGTATTACCGTTGTTAGGATTGGGAGGTTTAAGTGGTAACTGGGTCCAGCAGCAGGGAATCTGCGTGCAGCAGCTAAATCAAGGTTTAGTCAATGTCCAAAACACTTTAGCAAATTGGATATCAGTAATTCCCCAGCACCCTAAAACAGTTCCCAGAGCAAGTATTTATTGAGCTCCTACTACATGCCATGAAGGATTGGAGATAAACGATAACCAGCATATAGCCTTCATTGTTGTCATAACCAGGCTTTTAAGAAATGTATCCAAAGTTAAAGGAAATAGGCTGGCCCGGGCGCGGTGGCTCACACCTGTAATCCCAGCACTTTGGTAGGCCGAGGCAGGTGGATCACGAGGTCAGGAGTTCGAGACCAGCCTGGCCAACATTGTGAAACCCCGTCTCTACTAAAAATACAAAAATTAGCTGGGTGTGGTGGCGGGCACCTGTAATCCCAGCTACTCGGGAGGCTGAGGCAGGAGAATCATTTGAACCCGGGAGGCAGAGGTTACAATGAGCCAAGATTGCACCATTGTACTCCAGCCTGGGCGACAGGGCAAGACTCCATCTTAAAAAAAAAAAAAAAAAAAAAAAGGATTTGAGATCAGAAGCATTTGAATAAGGTACATTGAACAATAGATTTAGCCACATTTGAGATGTACAAAAGTGTTTTTAATTCTTGGTTCTCAGTTCTCAAAAGATAGATAGGAAATAGGTTGTTGCTGTGTTTTAAGTTTACCAACCTCTGTACATTGATAGCACCACATTAATGGTATTCATTTTAATTTAAAACTACAATTTATAGTCTGTGACTCACTTTTCATTCCCAGCATCCAGTAGGTTTTTGTTGTTGTTATTTCTAAGTAAATTTCCAAGTTCCTGGTTACCATGTGTTAAACATACTGAGAAAGAATGAGACTTAGAAGTCAGAAGACCAGAGGTTCTCTTGCTCTCTCACTTGAACAGCTTTTATCTTGGGCAAATCATTTTAATGTGTCTAAGTCTATTTTAATCTATAAAATTATACAAAGCCACCTACTATGGCTACATCACAGGGTGGTTTGGGGAAGAGCAAGATAATGTATTTTAGTGCTTTAAAAACTTTAAAGTACTATGCAAATACTAAGGAATACTAAGGCAACTACAAATATGTGCTAGGTGCTGGGTTTTGAATGGTAGAGATAGGAAGATGAGCAAGAGACAGGAATAATGACAAGTTGCAAACATTTGGAGGCTTTGAGCAGAACTGTAAGTTACTTGGCTTGTCTGGGGTTTAGTCTACCTCCAGGACATAACCAGTAAGGGAGAAGACTAGGGGGAGAGGCACAGGCAGTTGGTAGAAAACCTTGAAGTGTGTAAAGTTTGATCTTTGTTCTGCCAGCAATGGGAGACACCGAGGGACTTTTTGGAGCATTATTATTGTACACGTTTTAGAAATATCTGTGGGTCTTGCCACCTGGTTTCGTTTGAATAGGGAATAAGTCAAATGGTTTTGGTTTTGTTTTTTGATACAGAGTCTCGCTGTGTCATCCAGGCTGGAGTGCAGTGGTGCGATAGCTCACTGCAACCTCCGCCTCCCGGGTTCAAGTGGTTCTCATGCCTCAGCCTCCCGAGTAGCTGGGATTAAAGGCATGCACCACCACGCCAGACTAATTTTTATGTTTTTAGTAGAGATGGGGGTTTCTCCATGTTGACCAGGCTGGTCTTGAACTCCTGGCCTCAAGTGATCTGCCCACCTCAGCCTCCCAAAATCCTGGGATTACGCCATAAGCCTGATGGTGGTGGTGGTGGTGTTTTGTTGGGTTTTTTTTTGTTTTGAGATGGAGTTCTGCTCTTGTCCAGGCTGGAGTGCAATGGCGCAATCTCGGCTCACTGCAACGTCTGCCTCCTGGGTTCAAGCGATTCTCCTGCCTTAGCCTCCCGAGTAGCTGGGATTACAGGCATGTGCCACCGCGCCTGTCTAATTTTGTATTTTTAGTAGAGATGGGGTTTCACCATGTTGGTCAGGCTCATCTCGAACTCCCAACCTCAGATGATCTGCCCACCTCGGCCTTCCAAAGTGCTGGGATTACAGGCGTGAGCCACTGCACCCCCTCAACTGTTATTCAGTTCTATAATATGTCCTTTTCCTTTGTATTTGGATTATATAACTACTATGATATTGCTTGTTGTATTAGTCTAGAAGCTCTACTAATAAGCTAGGCTGTAGCTTATCAGCTCAACTGACCAGTAGAACACAAGGCCCCACCTAAAGTCAGAGAGCAGTTTCAATGGAGTGTATGTTTAAGGTGGCAAAAAAGTGAAAAAAAAAATATGGATAGGTTGTGAATAGCAGTAAATGAACCTGGAGGGGCAGAAGAGTTTTTAACTTCAATGAGAAGGTGCAAGGATGAGATCCAGGAAAAGGAACACCATTATCTTCTTTTCCCCTAGGACTTAAGCTTTATAAAGAGATGCCAGCTCTCCCAGCCAGAGATAGTGGCAGATAAGCAAGGGGTCAAAAGAAATGCAGGGCAGCCCACAGTAGGTCTGGGCTGCAAAGGGTTATGGCTAGTTAGCTGCAACTGCTGAGGAGAGACGATGAAAACAAAGATTGACTGAGTCACCTCTGCTGACAATCCCTGTGGTGCTCTGTGGAAGGTACTAGGCTGTTCTCTAAAGTATCAATACACATGAGATTCATATCATCCACTACAAAAATATACATGTTTCCATCTTTGGATGATAAACTGATTCTGTGTTTATATGAGGACACAATAAATACAGCATTTCATAGACTACGTAGAGCTAGATACCTCCTTAGAAGCCAGCGAATCCAACTGTCATTTCACAAGGAAACTGAAGACGAGATAGGAAGTGAATAGCGTAAGGTCTCACAGCTAGTCAGTGCCATAGCAAGGACTGGAATGGAAGTCTCTGGATTTCCAGCTCCCTCAACACTGCCTTCCTCTGTTGTGACTGTTTTCTGTTTGGCATAAGTGTGGAGTATATTAATTTATTGCCTCGGCCATTCAACAAACTTAGACCTTTAATGTAAGGCACTTGTTTAAGGTAACAAGAAAAGACATAGTCCCTGCCTTCCAGAGACCTCAGTCTGGAAAAAATGGGGGCAAGATTTATCTCTGCAGTACAGAATAAAAAATCTTTGGCTTTTATTTTTATATATTTTTTATCATTTAATTTTTTGTTTGATAATGTATATAATTCAATATAATTTATCAAGAAATATTAACAGCCTGGCCAACATGGTGAGACCCTGTCTCTACTAAAAATATAAAAATTAGCCATGCACGGTGGTGCATGTCTGTAATCCCAGCTACTTGGGAGGCTTGAGGTAGGAGAATCACTTGAACCTGGGAGACGGAGGTTGCAGTGAGCTAAGATTGCGTCACTGCACTCCAGCCTGGGCAACAGAGTGAGACTGTCTCAAAAAACAAAATTATTGGAGGTGCGTGTCCAGAACTTTTTCTGATGGGGTGTTCAAGGTTTGAGTTCTACTGGCATAGTTAAATGCTGTCCTGAGCAAGTTAAAGATGGCTTTTCCCCCAATAACTTTCCATTTAAAATTACCATTCTCTTGGCTATACCAGCAAGCTTCAGTTATTTAACTGTTGTACAGTTGAATAAGGTACTGGTCCATGTCCTGTTAGGAAGCAGGCTGCACAGCAGGAGGTGAGCAGCAGGAGAGCGAGCATTAGGCTGAGCTCTGCCTCCTGTCAGATCAGCAGCAGCATTAAATTCTCATAGGAGCAAGAACCATATTGTGAACTGCGCATGTGAGGGATTTAGTTGCACTCATGAGAATCTAATGCCTGACCTGAGGTGGAACTGTTTCATCCCAAAATCATCCTCCCAACCCCACCCCATCTGTAGAAAAATTGTCTTCCATGAAACCGATCACTAGTGCCAAAAAAAGGTTTGGGACCACTGGGTAAAAGCATCCAGGTGTGTTGAAAGAGGATTGGCCTGAGGTAGGCGAGCTCTCCATACAGATCTGAGTACCTTTTGTTATTAGAGGATGGAGTTTTAAGAACGAGAGCTCACAGGTTATGTCTTAGATCAGAAAGGACTGAGGAAGTGCACCAAAGCTTGATTTCATTGTAAGAGCCCTTTGAGGTTATAGCCCAAGTCTAGACAGTGAAATGGGCAGGAAGGTAGAGGCTCCTCTGTTAATTCCTTCGTGAGCTTCAGGGCTACAGGAGAACATCACACATCACGCAGGGCTAATACTCTATTTGCTTTATTGTGTCCAAGGATTCTACTGAGTACAATCCCAGCTGATTTTAGAGTGGAGACAGAATTGCCCCAACTGCAACCCCCCCACCTCCACTCCAGCCCACTTCAAATTTGCAAGTGACATGAAAGCAAAGGACTTCCATAATCAACACAGGGTAGATGACCATAGCCCTTCTAGTTTGGATTACTTCCCGATGCTTTCCTTCCAACACACACACACACAGACACACACACACACACACACACACACACCCCGTATGCTTAGTTAGCTGGCGCGCACACACATACACACCTTGTATGCTTAGCAGCTGGCACAAGGCCCTCCTACTTTTATGCTCCCTGCCAACTGGCTTCAGAATTAGCCAACTGGAATGCTGTTGCCTGGGTCTAATCCTGCTCCAGCACTACAATCCTGGGACATTAAAGTTCAAAGGAGTCAAACTTCATAGGGCAGGTGGGGTGAGGATGGGGAGTGGACAGTGATACATACCCTTAACAGGAGCTCAATTTTTCCCCCTATTTGGCCCTTTGCAGCAGAGTGCAGGGAACAAACAGGAGGGTAAACGGAATAGGTGATGGCAAATGCCTCTCTCTGGGGCAGTCACTCCACAGGTTGAAGAGATGGAGAAGACCTTCAGTGTTGTTCTGGGACAGGAGGGGGGCGTGTGAGGAGCACCAAATTCAAATAACATTTTCTAGTTAGTTATTACATCTCTCGGGTTAATTCCAATTAAATTTTTATTAGCCAACACTCGGTCTCTCCCCAGGTGTTTCCCAACCTTGTGCTACTGAATAAACAGTTTTGTAAAACCATTCATTCAAGCCCCACCAGGCACCTCATACTGAAATTCCAACCTATTAGTGCAGCAGCAGCAGCAACTGTTAACTGCCACGTTCCGGCCCCACCCCAGAACAAGAGAATCAGAAATCGCTGGGGCAGGGCCCAGCAGTCTGTTTAAGCAGGTCCTCTGGGTAAATGCACACTCATTTGAGAGCCGCAGTATTAAAGCCATCTTTTGCATTCAGCCTCCTAACTCCAGCTGTTAGTGTGAGGCTCTTCTTTTGGCCTTAGGGAGCAGCTGTTAGAAAACTCACATCCTGATGCAAGAGTGCCCATACCTCCCTCTGCAGCTCTCAAACTTGCTCAGGATGGAAAACAAGCGGCAGGGATAGGGGTAGGAGGGCTGTGTTCCAAGCACACCAAAATGAAAAAAGCAATCCGTTAAGCTTTAAATATATAATTGTAAACTAAATCATCTGCCATCTTCTCTCGGCTTCCAGTGTAGAGGTTACCCATTATTTTTGCTAACTGGCAAAGTAATTAATAAATTCAAGACTTACCTAGCGTAGGAGCATACTTCGAGAAACACTGGTCATGAAAAAATCTCCACAATGAACATAATGCTCAGGAGATTGGTATTGATGTGTTTTGCTCTTCAGTGTGAGATGTGCCCCTTAGATTTAATCCTGTATCGTCTCCTGAAATCAAACATCCTGTCCTGCCACATGCATCTCATTGCTCAGCAGATCACCCAGGCAGAGAGCAGGCTTAAAGATCCTTCACTCTCTTCTGTCCAGCCTGTTCCACCCTGGAGAGGGCTGAGCATACAGGTGACCACAGGTCATTTCAGAGAAAAACTCAAACTGATTCTCTAGTATCTGGGCCTTGGTTCTTTCTTAGTGCTCACACATACCTTTTTACCTCTAATTACAGCAAAAGTGTAGTCAATAATTTTCTGTAAATTACTGACTCACAGTAATTTCTAAAGAGGCCATCCTCAGCTATACCAAGCTGTACAAATTCCCCTCTCCAATTCAGCTCACACAGCTTAAATGCTTGCAATGGCTGTTTGGTTGTGGCTGCCCCTCTTCTCCTTAACTAGCCCTCCCACTCTCACTATCCAAAAGATGTCTAGTTGAGATGATAAATCTGAACTAATCAAACCCTCTAAGAGAGCTCATTTTAATGTAATAGAATACTGCTATCAATCAATGTTGTAGAATTTGAGAATAAATGGTCATGTGAGTCCTAGCATGAATTACAGGTTACTACTATGACCAGACTTTACAAGCTTCCAGACCTCAGGGCTAGGGTTAATCCAAAGAAAAAAGGTTACTGCTTACACTTATTGGTATTAACTTCCTTTTCATTATTTACTGAAACTAGAAAAAAGTATTCTATAACAAAATGTATACAATTTAGTAATTGTACAAAACATTAATCCAGCAAGATATTAATTACAGTCACTAAAATGAACACTCAACATATTTTTCACTGCCACTTCCATGAAAAGCTCAGAAAAAGTCACTGGCTAAAAAGTCACAACAAAAGCAATTTAAGCTTTACGTACAACAGAAAAGGTAAATCTTCCACAATAACAATGCAGACACAATCACTAAGAGGCTCTCCATGCTGCCATGGTTTCCTGGAATGTTTTTCAGAGTCCATCTTCTACAAGAGACATCATCAGCTTTCCAAGAGCAACACTTGAAGCATTAGATGTAATACAAAATAAGGAGTTCTTTATTATTTATACAAAACTTGTACATTAAAAAAAATTAAGATTCAATAACTCTGCTGACCCCCTGAGAAAGCTAAGAGCGTTCGTGGGTCCATCAAAGAGCCCTGTGTGAATGTTTCAGTCACCAACCTCCTGGCCACAGGAACTAGGCACAGTTCTAGGGCCATTCACGTGGCTCCTTCACTGGCTCTGAAAGCTGACTTTCCCTTTCATTAGGCTCGGCAAGCAAGCCAGGGTTTCCTGGACAACATTAAAGAACATTATCTTCTCTGGCCCAGGCTAGAGTATTTTATCAGTACACAAGTTGATTTTTATTTCTTGAACACTTCCAATAAACTAGCATAAGTTTTATTACAACATATACAGATTTGATACAGTTTACAAAAAAAACTAGATTTTTCAACTAAATAAAAATGTCTTTTAAGCAATTAAAGTTGGCTTAGAGACATGGTATTTTTCTTTCAAAACTGTGTTTCTACAATGATTTCTAAGGTCCCAGTCTTGCTTGTACTTGACAGTCACCCTCATCTAAGCAACATTAAGAGCTCTGATATCTTTAGTAAAGAATACAAAACCCTGTGTTTCTTAAAAGCCTAATGCTGAAAGACATGTTATAGCCAATCCAGACAAACATTTATATTTAAACATTTATATTTAAACAAAAGGCCTCTCTGAACAAATAGCCTGCGGAGATAAATACAGTGATTTGTTTTCCTGATAGAACTATTTAGCATGTTTAACACATTATTCTGTAGTTTGGGAATAAGAGTGTTTCTTCCCTTGAAGAAAACAGGTCCCCTTCTGAAGAATAATGCTGATTACCCCCCAAAATCAAAATAGACCAGCACCAAATGAAGTATTAATTTACAAACATGAACTTAGAACTTAGCTCTTACTTCTTGAAGTTCTACATCCCAGACTTAATAAATTAACTACAAAATCAGGAGTTTCATCAGCTACAGTATAATTTAAAAATCCATTTTCAACTGGCAGGAGTGAGGGAGAAGGTCAATTGCACTGATCACCATGAACTTCAAGAATTTCATCAAAACTTTTTTCCCAGCTTATATTTGCCTTCAGAGGTGAGCTGTAGATTACCATCTCTGATGCTTTAACATACAATATTCTTGTTGAAATCTCTTCAAAGAGCACAGCATGTAAAGCACTAAACTGTGTTCAGATCTGAGGAGTCTGCATGGAAAGAACCTGAGACCTCTCTGAAAGAGCCAAAAACCAAGTGGCTGTCTCAGTGATCACATCTATTCATCCTCCACAAGACAATGCATTGAGCTTTTTTAATTCACAGATTTTATGTTAGTCCTTTAGAACCCAATGCCCATGTTCCAGTTCAGAACTGTCGGGCTATTCAGGCTGTCTTCTTGGTGCAAGCTCCTTGGAGGTCTTGTAAATTGATCTTCGACCTATGGTAGAAAATGACAAAGTAGCAATATATAAATATCAGGAGTGTAGAATTTTAACTTGGAACTACAGTAGATGAATAGTAAGTTTTTACACTGCATATTTTTTGAAGTATAGGGGGAACATGTTAAATATATCTTTGAGTCTTACCTGTTGTGAATCATGTGACTTTTGACAAGATGTCCTGCTGCCAATGCTGCCATAAGTGACAATTCCCCAGCCATTACGGTCCCACACACAATTCGGGCAAGCTGCCGGGCATTTTCCCCAGGATTATCTTTGCATGCTCCTTGAACACCTAGCATCTGTAGCCAGGGAGAGACACAACAAGATTCACCCTTAAAATCATGACCAATTTCTTACTAAATCAACTAAAAACAGGGCAACTGTAATGGCATCAGAATAGAACTAGACTCCACTGGAAGCACTAACTTTCCAAGACTTGACAGCCACACCTGACAGTGCATAATACCATAGCTAACATAATATTCACAGCCTGACTGGCAGTACCCTTAACTCAGTAGATGAACATTCATTTGCTCTCTTCATCTACTTTCTTATCTAAGCATAAGCTTAAACATGCTTATTTGGACACAATGGATTAGGCTGATATGACAAAAGAGTTTGGAAAAGACCAATTAAAATAGAGGTGAGTGATACATAGTCTCAGATAGAAAGAGAAACCCAGAGAGTCAGAACTAGGCTTGTGGACTCTATGCCTGATACATCATACCTGCAAACAGGCTTGCTGAGGTAGTAGGTTGGTCCCACCACCCACCGTTCCTATCTCTATAGATGGCATGGTGCAGCTGATATATAAATCTTCATTTGTGGGACCACTTGCTTCCATTAAAGTAATACAGTTTGAACTACCAACATTCTGTGCTGCATCCTGGAAACAAGAAAAGAAAAAATATACAATATACTTCTTTCACTTAGAAAGACGTAACACAAGAGAAGTGGAGGCTGGAGAGCTCACCTGTCCACAGGCAATGTAGATGGCGGTGACAATGTTTGCTGCATGGGCGTTGTAGCCTCCTATGCTCCCAGCCATGGCAGAGCCCACTAAATTCTTGTTAATGTTGACCTCAATCATAGCCTCTGTGGTAGTCTTTAATACCTACAAAACAGAGCTGTGTACATTTAGATGTTCCTCCAGAAGGTTCAGGGGAATGTTACCCAAATCTATCTTTCTGAACCTCCAGAAAACAAAGTTTAGATGTGGCCCCATTTAAGCCCTGTCCTCCATTAAAAAATAAAAAAAATTAAAAAAAATCAGTAAAGTTTGTTCCTATGGATGATACACACAGACAGATGGGCAAGGTACAACAGTCATCTTTGATGGAAAACACTGTCCCATATATTTAACTTTATTTAAAATGTTAATACTCCTTTCCCCCATTTTTAAATACAATTAAAGATTACAAAATAAAAAAGATAAATTATCCATCCAGTCACTCACTTCTCTGACAACCTTGGCTGGAATGACAGCTTCACAAACAACAGATTTTCCTCTTCCCTCTATCCAATTTATAGCAGCAGGTTTCTTGTCAGTACAATAGTTACCACTAACGGCTAGAATCTGCATTTCAGGGAAATACTCGTGAAGTTTTGAAAGTGCTTTCTCTGTACCCTGTTAACAAGAACCCAAAACACACACATATTAAACTGCATGAAATATTCATCCTTCATCCTTATGAGAAGAATTTGTATCTATGATATATTTCTAAGTATAATAACTATACTTCAAAGAAACTGAGCACAAAAGTAACAGCTGTTTTGTTAACCATCACAATTACTTTCTTGGTCAGGTATAAATTCCTAATGTGTTTCTTTCTCGGTATGAAAACCAAGTTCTTTGTAGTCATTGTTGAAAAAGATGTAGATAAAAGATGATAATGTTAAAAATATTCAATAAAAATACTCATATTTATATGTCACTGGGGAATGAGTAATAAATTCCATCTTCTAGTTATTCAGCTGTTACCTAAAACCCCAAGTAATGAAGTCTGTAAAGAGAAGTGGGTCATAAGAGTTGATCTTGTGATTCGACTCTTATGTCGTTGAGCTTTATATTACATAAAATACAAATAAGCTTCCCAATGACTTCCAATTAAATGGCATTAATTCAATTAACAACTCATACCTCAATAATCCAAAACATATTTATTGGCAATTAAAAACATAATTTTATTGTGGTGAAACACATAAAATTTACCATCCTACCCATTTTTAGGTGTACAGTGGTAAGTATATTCACACTGCCATGCAACAAATCCCCAGAACTCTTTTTTAAGTTCTGGGATATATGTACAGAACATGCAGGTTTGTTACATAGGTATACATGTGCCATGGTGGTCTGCTGCACCTATCAACCTGTCATCTAGGTTTTAAGCTCCACATGCATTAGGTATTTGCCCTAATGCTCTTCCCCTTGCCCCCAACCCCCCGACATGCCTCGGTGTGTGTTGTTCCCCTCCCTGTGTCCATGTGTTCTCATTGTTCAATTCCCACTTACAAGTGAAAAGGTGTGGTGTTTGGTTTTCTGTTCCTGTGTTAGTTTGCTGAGAATGATATTTCCAGGCTCATCCATGTCCCTACAAAGGACATGATCTCATTCCTTTTTTATGGCTGCACAGTATTGCATGCTGTATATGTGCCACATTTTCTTTATCCGGTCTATCATTGATGGGCATTTGGGTTGGTTCCATGTCTTTGCTCCCAGAACTCTTTTCATCTCACAAAACAAAAACTCTGTACTTACTAAATAACAACCACCCATTTTCCCCTTCCCCAAACCCATGATAACCACCATTCTACTTTCTGTCTCTATGAATTTGACTATTCTAGACACCTCATTCAAGTGGAATGATACAGTATTTGTCTTTTTGTGACTGGTTTATTTCATTTAGCATAATGTCATCAATGTTTATCCATGCTGTATCATGTGCTATAATTTCCTTCCTTTTTAATGCTGAATAATATTCCATTTTATATAGACATATACATACACACACATACAAATACATCTAATTTGTTGTCCATTCATCCAACAACGAACACTAAGGTTGATTCCAATTCATGGCTATTATGAAAAATGCTGCTACAAACATAGCTGTACAAATATCTCTCTGAGAACTGCTTTCAGTTCTTTTGGGTATATGCCCGGAAGTGCAACTGCTGGATCATATGGTAATTTCATGTTTAAGTTGTTGAACTGCCATACTGTTTATTGGCAATTTTAAAGCTTATACAGATGCTCCTTGACTTTTGATAGGTTTATTAGGCTGTAAACCCCACATAAGCAGAAAATATCCTAAATTGAAAACAGACAGACGGACGGACGGACAGACGGATGGATGAATGGAGTCAGGGTCTTGCTACATTGCCGAAGCTGGCCTCAAGCTCCTAGGCTCAAGCTAACTTCCTGCCCCAGCCTACCGTGTAGCGAGGACCACAGGTGTGTGCCACTATGCACAACTATTTTTTTTTATTGTTTGTAGAGATAGCATCTCACTGTGTTGCCCAGGCTGGTCTTAAACTCCAGACCCCAAGCAATCTTCTTGCCTTGGCCTCCCAAAGTACTGAAATTATATTGGTGTTCTTAAAGACAAATCTTGAAGAGGTCAGCTTCAAAGGTGGTCTCTTGACTGGATAAAGTTTTGAAATGTCAATACTAAGATTGTTCCCAGTCCTAAGTAAACTCAGGATATGTGTAATGCCAAGTCTAAATTAAATCTATCAAATGTAAGGAATACCAATCAACAAATGCCTGATTTGTTTTTTATAAAAGTACTTTCATTTTAATAAAAGTACTTTCAGATACTCTGCCTACACTTACCTTTGAAATCATGTTCATCCCCATGGCATCCCCTGACCTGGACTGGAAACGGATATAAAGGTTGCGTCCAGCTATACTTGTATGAAGTTTCTGTAGACGTGCAAATCTATAAATAAAAGATGCAAAGACTGTGTTTTATTCTTTTATTATTATTATTTCTTTGTTTTTTGTTTTTTTTTGAGACGGAGTCTCACTCTGTGGCCCAGGCTGGAGTGCAGTGGCTTGATCTTGGCTCACTGCAACATCCACCTCCCGGGTTCAAGAAATTCTCCAGCCTCAGCCTCCCGAGTAGCTGGGATTACAGGCGCGGGCCACCATGCCCAGCCAATTTTTGTATTTTGAGTAGAGACAGGGTTTCGCCATGCTGGCCAGGCTGGTCTCGAACTCCTGGCCTCAAGTGATCTGCCCGCGTTGGCCTCCCCAAAGTGTTGGGATTACAGGCGTGAGCCACTGCGCCCAGTCACAATTATTTCTTAATAAACTTACACAGTTCACATAAAAACAAATGTGTTAGCTTGAACTATACTATGGTTATCATTTGTGTTGATTATGCTACTTTATTAATTTTCTTTATTTGAAGTAAGTCTTATTATACTAATATTTCTCTCCTATTTGAAAAATCTTTTTTTCTAAGACAGTTCTCTCCTAGGCAAAGTAACATCTAATCAAAATTACTAGCTCACACTTTTTTTTTTTTCTTACTAATTTACCTCTGTGGAGCTATTCATTTGAATCAACATTCTTTTTTTCCCCCCAACCAAGCATAAATATTACTCATTTTAAATGAATGGCTTTAAAGTTGATATTCTGTTATGTGCTCTTTAGCAGGTAATATGTTAACAATTATGTTTGGTAATCACAGAAAATGACACTGGTTCTAAAATAAACAAATAGATATAACTGTACATACAAATCCACTCACACACCTGCTAGTGCTGTCAAATGCCTCCTTTATCACTGCGAACCCTTCAGATGTTTCGAGCCAGGCTTTCACTTCTGCAGAGTCACAAGCACGTGGAAGACGCACAACTGGGCCACGAGTCATCCCATCTGCAAGGACTCGGCTGCTGGCACCTCCACCAAGCTACACAGTATATGTTAGAGAAGCAAGCACATGTTACCCAAAAATGCTCATGCTTGACCCAAAAGGTATCACTAATTGTCCTTAAAACTCTTCTCATTGCCTTACTTATGATGTATTTTTAAACTGGCAAATATATAAATGCCAACTTACACCTATTGCTCTGCAGCCTCTATTGGTGCTGGCCACAAGACAACCTTCTGTTGTTGCCATTGGAACCTGAAATTCTTTTTCATCTAAGCAAAGGGGTCCTGCCACTCCAACAGGGATGGGCATATATCCAATAACATTCTCACAACAAGCTCCCATCACCTAAAAGGTAAAGTCAGGCACCAAATGAAAATCTATATAGTAAATGCACAAAATTTTATCTCAGCTTGTCAGTATAACTATCTTCAAACTTAATCCTTTAGTATGTATTCTTTTTAAACAAAATGTTTAATTCACCTTTAAAAAGTGTTTAAAATACTAAAATCTTTGAGTAATGACTATAAAAGCAGGAAATATATTTTTAATTTCTATGACCTACATCATAAGCAGAATAAAAAATTAGGATAAAATGATTTAAAAGGAAAATGTTTTATAAAACTATGTACATATATGAAACTAATCAAGAAAAAAGATTAAAAACATACAAAGCAAATCTCTCTTAATCGAGAAAATAACATACCAAGGAGTAATTATAATCCCTGTAAGGTAGGTACTGGAGAGAAGAAGGTTCTGAAAGCTTCTTGGAAAGTAACTGTCGGCGAATAGATACACCACGCTCATGAGTTTCCATCAGAGTTTCCAACTTGTAGGCTGGGATATGCTTAGCATTGACTAACTGGATGATCTCAGCATCACTAAGGAATTTTGCACCTTTCTAAAGAAATGGAGAAAAAAAATGAAATTGTGGTCAGAGAGAGAGATGAAACAGAAGACTTGAAGGACTGTATTTCATGTTATAAACCATTTAATACAAACAATGCTAAGCTAAAATAATGTAATTTTTAAATTAAATCACTGTAGTTTTTAATTAAAAGATACCTCTGCAAAATAATTCATTTAATGCAAAAAATGCCAAACAAAAATAATATAAATACCGTATCATTAGATTTTACAATACAAAGACAGGCTTGCACTAATACACCATAAAAAGAAAAATAAATGTGAATTTAGCAAGGTTTCAAGTGTGTGTCAGATATAACAGCTATTGTTTAAACTCTAGTAAACTTGCTATTTTTGATATCCTGAACAGGCAATATATTCACATGGTTTAAAAACTAAATATTAAAAGAGATATAACAAAAAGTCTTCATCCCATCCCTGTCTACCATCTGCCCAGTTCTTTGCTACCTACACATAAATAGGTACCACTGTTTCACTGTGTATCCATCCAGAGATGTTTTTAGGCATGATTATAAATATGCATATATATATATATACACGCACACATATGGGTATATATTCACACAAGTGTTGGGCCAAAGGGTATGAACATTTACAATCTTATAAATTTTTATAATTTTTACAAATTTATTAATTTGAATAAACACGGTCCAATTGCCTTCTCACCACCAATGTAAGAAAAGACCTTTCCAGCCTGGGGGCAGTGGCTCACGCCTATAATCCCAGCACTTTGGGAGGCCAAGGCGGGCGGATCACCTGAGGTCCGGAGTTTGAGACCAGCCTGACAAACATGGAGAAACCCCGTCTCTACTAAAAATACAAAATTAGCCAGGAATGGTGGCGCATGCCTGTAATCCCAGCTACTTGGGAGGCTGAGGCAGGAGAATCAATTGAACCCAGGAGGCAGAGGTTGCGGTGAGCCAAGATCATGCCATTGCACTCCAGCCTGGGCAACAATAGCAAAACTCCTTCTCAAAAAAAAAAAAACCAAACCAAAAAAAAACCCAAAAAAACAAGAAAAGACCTTTCCCTACAACCTCAATAGAGTATGTTATTAAACTTTGGGATTATTGCCAATCTGATGAGTGAAAATATCTCAAGTACAATTTTAATTTGCATTTCTCTTAGGATGAAGTTAATCACCTTTTCACATTTTTAAGAGCCATATGTACTTTTTTCCTGACAATAGACTGATTATCTGCTCTTTTTAAAAATTAGATAAAAATTTAGTCTCATCAATTTGTAGGAGCTCTTTATATATTAGAGATTAGCCCTTTAGCCTTAAATATAAATTGCCAATATTTTCTCTTGGTTTATTAGCTGTCTCTTGACTCTGCTTGTGGTGGTGATATACATACATACACATACACACACACACACTCACAATCACCACCCTCCACAAAACTGGTACCAGTAATTCCATTTTGTGGGTTTATTCAAGGATCTTCTTTGCAAACACTAATATTAGCCTAATTTTTCAAAAGAATAGTAAGATAAACATTAGCTGGTTTATGTATTATCAATGCAAATTCATTCATTCTCTTAGTAAGTTTACTGAGCACCTATGAAATCCAAGGCCCTCTCAAGACATGGACTTAGCCATCTAAGAGCCCGATGTCTAATAATGGAGATATTCATGTAAATGTGATATAAGCAACAAGGTACGACTGCCATTAAAAATGCACAGTCTCTATATAATGGATGCTTCAGAAAAGAAAGGTTACTTCTGTTTGGCGGAATTGAGGTAGGTTTCATAGAGATGCTAGCATTTGCCCTAAAGGTGTGAACACCTGGAGAGGGGGAGACATGTCAGATGACAAGAATAGGAACCCAGAGTTGGGAACTGTATTTAAAGAACAATGACTAAGTTTAGCTAAAAAGCATATGATTGAAGAATGCAGGCCGGGCATGCAGTGGCTCATACCTGTAATCCCAGCACTTTGGGAGGCCAAGGCAGGCAGACCACTTGAGGCCAGGAGTTTGAGACCAGCCTGGCCAACATAGTGAAATCCCATCTCTGCTAAAAACACAAAAATTAGCCAGACATGGTGGCGCATGCCTGTAATCCCAGCTACTCGGGAGGCTGATACACAAGAATCGCTTGAACCTGGGAGGTGGAGGTTGCTGTGAGCCAAGATGGTGCCACTGTACTCCAGCCTGGGTGACAGAGTGACACTCTGTCTCCAAAACAATAATAATAATAATAATAATAATAATAATAAAATAAAATTTTGTCAAGTATACCTCAATAAAGCTGGCAAAAAATTGCATTTTACCAATAAACGTATTAACATATATTTAAAAGAAAGAACCATATTAAGCAGACATGGATGGAACATGATTATTTGCATGAAAGCATGAGTAGATTCATATGGTCATGTAGGCAGAAGGTCCTGTTCAAATGTCAGAAAGAAAAGCAAACTTCCTCATGGGTATCAAGCTTACAAAACAAAACAAAAACAAACTTTCTTCTATCTTTGAAACTTGTCTCTGTGTTAAACTCTTTCTAGGCCTCAACACACCTATGAGAATACAGTAGTCACTCATCTCTATGATAAACAGTAATAAACTAGAAAGAGTTTTGACTCTGGAGTCAGAAAATCTTGGACCCTGCTATCAGCTTTATCATTTCCTAGAGGTACTACTTTGGGAAATTAAACATATTGGAGCCTCAATGTTCTCATCTGAAAAATAGATAATTGTACCTACCTCTCAAGGTTGTGTGAAATAAAGAAAGAAGATAGTATCTGTTAGTCATGTTACACCGTGCCCAGAACTTAGCTGTAGTGTTCAGCAGATACTAGATTTTTCTTCCTTGAAAAAGCTCCTTTGTAATGAAAAATGCCACATTGGAGTTTATGTTATCATCCTCACCTCTGCATTCCCAAGTATCTGTAGACATTCTTCATTAGGCCGAGGTTCCCTGGGAAGTTCAATTTCAGGTTCCTGTGTCACCAGTACTGATGAAGTATCGAGTAAGGAGGAGTTACCAACCACAAATGTAGCTCTGTTTGGGGTATCTGTTTCAGCCACTAAGGGTTTTATAACCTCAACTGTTCAAGAAATCAAAAGAAATCTCACAACACGGCACATAATTTTGAAAACAGACTACTTTTTGACAAAGCAATGAAGGATTGAAAGCGAAGAGAATAACAAGTTACCTTTTCTTTCTCGGTTTATCCCTGTCTCTTCCTCTACTGAATCACATTTCTGGTTATTTCTGACCAGCATAGGTTCACGTCTACAACAATTGTCTGGGACTTTCTTTTGTGTCACTACAGGAGATGTGATAGGGTTTTTTAATGAGAGTGTAGATTCTGTCTCTGTTTGTTCAAAGAAGATGTACTTGACAGCCAGAAGGAGAGCTAAACTTAGGGTAATAACTTGTTCAATATCCATGCTGATCATTCTAAATAAAAGAAAGCAAATTAAAATCTTATTCAGAAATGTAAAGGACACAATCTAAACTTACATTAGCATAGAGTGTTATGATTAATATATCACAAAGTAGATTTCAATTAACTTACTTAGAGAGATAAAACTGCCAGAGGGAAACACTTGGTTCAATTCTCTTGGACACATTTTCATCCAGTCCTAATGAAACCTTAGAAGTATCTGCTGTACTGTTTTGAGGAGAAGGATCAGCTATCCAGCGACTGTGAGCATGAACAAGAACCAAGCCTAGAGACTGAAATAAAATTTTTAAAGTAATGTATCCTCTGCATATCAATAGAACTTAAATTTCTTATCCCTAGCAACTGGACAGCCAGACATTATCTCTCATAGCTTCCCCTTACCATGAAAAAAAAAAAGCCCCAAGCTTGCTATGCAACTAACTAAAGTAGTGACCCCACTGAACTACTGAAAACACCCCAAAGAACAGGCTTTCAACGAGAGATAAGGTGGGGGAACTTAAAAAGTCTGTTTAGGAGAGAGGGGCTAATAAAGACCAGGAGCCTCAAAGAAATGAACACATTAAGAAAAAAAGGAAGAAGGGGGTGCAATATCATTGAATGGGCCAAAATTGTAGAAAAAAAGAAATCTTAAAAATAATGAGATTGGAACTGAGGATACTAAAAGAAGAAGAAAACCATGTCATTACCATAATCATCTTGACCCTCTGAGTTACAGGATTCGGCTTATTTTCTTCTTCTTCTAAAACTCGGGCAAAATGGCTGAGCTGCCAAATTGGACGACCCTCGCGGCTTTCCCGAGAAAGCTACAAATTAAGTCAGTGTGACATTAGAAGGTATTGATTCTGTTTAGGTAAACTGTGTAAGCAGAAATCTTACTCTTCTACTAGTGCCATATGTAAGAATTGGTCTTACCTCTAATACCAAGGACACACAAGCTGGGAAGAAAGTCATGAACACGAAGTAGTTGGCAAGAACTGACATGCAGCCAAAGCAGCACATAATTTCAAGCTGACGTACCCCTGGTTAGAGAAAAATTAAAGATACAACTAGTAAAGTCTACGTTATTTTTTATGCTGCATATATCACAAGGATATATTTGTCTTCCTGCAGGTGGACAAAACATGAAAATATTAGTACATTAAGCTCCTTGCCACTTACTGGAAATAGAATTAGCAACTTAGAGGTGATGCCAAGCCTTAGGAAACAGCAGGAATAACAACAGAACTCTAAGTCCCTCAAGAGCAAAGCTCTTGCCTTCTCTCATGTCCCCATATCACAATGCCAGGCAGAATGGTAGTGTTTAATACACAATTGATAAAACATATGTGTTTCCAATTCCTTTTTGTCAAGCAGTAGTGCCTTATTATTAAATAAGGAGAGGACAGGCTACTCTAACAGAGCAAAACCCCAGTGACACTATTGATCTAATCCCACTTGTTAGGAGAAAAGCAATTTGCCAATTAACCAAGGATTTTTTATATAAGTAGAATATCCTGCCAGTTATGCCAGTCCTGATATAAGGTCAAAATAATATTTTTTGTGTACCAACAAACTCTAATTTCAATATAACCTCTATGATGCCTACTGAAGTTCTTATAATTTTGGTTATTTCATTGATCTGTTTGGAAAATGATATAATACAAAATGCCAACTTAAGACTAAAAATTAACAAACATATTGTACTACAACTGTTTAAGGTATCATTTGGTGATCTCAAATAGAAAACAGAATTATAGAGGCTAGAAGAGACCTTAGATGACCACCAAATCCTTCTCCCTCACTTTACAAATAAACTTGAGTATAATATAAAACATATTTCTGATGTCGCTCAAACATAACAATGCTTTGAAACACAAATTTGAATTGTCCTATAAAAACTGCTCACAAAAACTCAAAGTTTTATTTTATTACCTACATTTTAAGATATAATTTGACTGACTAGAACAAGCATATATTGTATTTTTTTAATTCCCAATGCTTTGAAACATAAATTTAAATTGTCCTATAAAAACTGCTCACAAAAACTCAAAGTTGTATTTTATTACCTAAATTTTAAGATATCATTTGACTGACTAGAACAAGCATATATTGTATTTTTTTAATTCCACGATTACCCTCAAATGTGGAAATTCAAGAGACTACAAAATCACAATAACAAAAGCATTATAAATCAAACTACATTTTAAATAGTAGCTGAATATAATCTTTTCAAACTTGAGGCCATTAAAACCATACTTGACCAATGCTTTCATGACTTGACTATCTACTATTTCTCTCTGCACAATATTCACTCATGTTGTTGCCATATGCTCTCCAGGCATTCTTCCTTACTGTGTCCCCAGATAAGTCTCTCTACACACAAAGAAACAGCACCAATCCACAGACATCCAAGAAGCTAAGACTTTCTTCTTTTTGTACTGGCTTTTTCAAAGGGTTACTTCCAAGTTAATATGTGTTAAATCTGTCCTTTTTTACCGTAACCCAAATCTCTAATTATACCATTTCTGTATAGCTGTAAATGTCTCACTGTCTTCTCCAACCACAAATCTAATCACTTCCTTTGTCTACTTCTCTGACCATATCATGACAAAACTCATCGCCCAGCTGCTTTCCACATCATTATTATTTCAATGAATAATCCCATGGTTTCATGGCCCAACTATTACTTCCTGGCGAATCCCCTTCTCATATATTCTTTTGCTTGAATAAAATCAAACAAGTACATTTTCACCTGATCAACATTTTTTCTTGAGTGTAGTGGTGGTTACAAGACTATGTCATTGTCAAAACTCATAAAATTGTACTCCCAAAAGTAAATTTTAAAGTAAGTAAATTTTTAAAATTAAAAAATATTTTATTTGCTAAATAAAATCTTTGTTGAATAAAATAAATAAATAATAATTTGCTCTCAGAAAGTTAGAAGCAATATTACATTTTTAATATACTATCTACTGAAGAGGCCTAAACTAATGACAATAATTTACCCCCTTAAAAGTTAGATAATTTACTTCTGAAAGAATGAGGCATCTCATTGAGGGCTCTAAGGTACCAGGAAATACACAGTAGTTAACCAAGTATGGTCTTTATAAGAAAGCCATAAAATATAATCCTAATGATTAGGAGACCTTCACACAGCGTAATATATTCCTTCTGGCAAATTTCCATGCCAGTCTGTAATTTTTATTCTACATAATGAAGTCCTATGTTTGATATTAATATCTAATTCTCTACTATCCAATTAAGAATGAAGAAACATGTGTTGAAGCTAATGCTGGGTACTTGCTGAGATGTACTGCTTACTATCGGATTAAATATTTCCAATCACCTTATTAGGTGAATCTTACTCAGATCTGTCCAATTCCTGACTCTTTTCTCCCTACATGATAATTAAAACACAAAGAACCAAGTCACCAATTGAGTCTAAGTAACAGCAGGGGCTGGAAAGTGTTTTCCAGACCAACCTTGGAATGCAATGTTGGTTAAAAAAACAAACAAAAGAAATCAAATGAATAAAAATATCACAAAGTGGAACACAAAGAGAGGATGGCAGGAGTGAAAAATAAATCAGTAACCTGCTGCTAAGTTTCCACCAAAGCAAACAGGCCAGATATACCCACACACTAATATAATAAAAAATTTTAAGAGTAATTTAAAAGTCAGAATTTAACAATAAATAATACAAATCCAAGATGTTCTTTTTCCTCTTTAGCGACATACCTATTTTAAAATATGGCAAAAATTGCTTACAAACCTGACATGGTACCAACTCCAATCACAAGACATTCAACAAGAGCATCGAGGGTAAACGTAGGACCTAAAATTGCCATTCCACGAGCAATATTTTCCCTTACTTCATCCTAAAACAGATCAAACATATCAATGAAGGCAAGGGACAGAACAACTTTTTTAAATGTTAGAGCATCCTATGGCTTATATTAATATCAAATTACTATTCAAAGAGTAAAATATACAATATGATAAAACTAACAGGTATTCAAGATACAAAGTATGATTGTAATATAAAGGATTTTAAAAAATTTTTTTTTGAGATGTAGTCTCACTTTGTTTCCCAGGCTGGAGTGCAATGTGCAATGGTGTGATCTTGGTTCACTGCAACCTCTGCCTCCTGGGTTCAAGCAATTCTCCTGCCTCAGCCTCCCGAGTAGCTGGGATTACAGGCACCCGCCACCATGCCCAGCTAATTTTTGTATTTTTAGTAGAGACTGGGTTTCACCAGGTTGGCCAGGCTGGTCTGGAGCTCCTGACCTCAGGTGATCTGCCCACCTCGGCCTCCCGAAGTGCTGGAATTACAGGTGTGAGCCACTGCGCCCAGCCAAATTTTTAAAAAAGAACATATAGTGCCCTGATTCCCTTTCCACTGAATAAGATATTTGTTAGGAATATTCCTTTGAGGTAGTGCATTAACTCTGTCATTTAAATCACACATAATTAAATCCTACAACATTCTATATTTTTACCTACCATGACAGAAGCTTAGTTGCAAATTTTATGAGATCATATTAGTATTAATAAAACCAAACTTATTTCCTTGTTAATATGTTCAAATGATCACACACTTTCATCAACAAATAATCAGGGCAGAATTGTGTGCTATTTTATACTCAAGATACTCTGATATAATATTGTTAAAATGGTTAGGTTCTTCAAAGTGACTAATGAACATTAAGATGAAACTTAAAATAGGAAATAATGCCAGTGTTAATTTAAGGGGTTTAAAAATAAATCTGGCCAGGTGCAGTGGCTCACACCTATAATCCCACCACTTTGGGAGGCTGAGGCGGGTGGATCACTTGAGGTCAGAAATTAAAGACCAGTCTGGCCAACATGGCAAAACTCCGTCTCTACTGAAAACACAAAAATTAGCCGGGGATGGTGGTGCACATGTGTAATCCCAGCTACTCAGGTGGCTGAGGCAGAAGAATCCCTCGAAACCAGGAGGCGAAGGTTGTGGTGAGCCAAGATCTCGCCACTGCACTCCAGCCTGGGTGACAGAGTGAGACTACATCTCAAATCAATCAATCAATCAATCTACCCTGGGTTTCTCTTCCATTAGATCTTGTTCTGCTCTCTGATGTGTTTCACTAGGAAAATACTCTTATTTACCCAAAAATTATTATTACCATAAGTTCTGAAAACTTTCAAAAAGAAAAATGGGGGCAATTCCAAATTCCAGTAGCTACAGAATCATAATTGAGTTGTTAGATACAGGGGACTGTTCCTGGGGCACTTATGGAGACCAGTCTTGGGACTTGAGAATTAAACTTAAAACTTTGGGCAATTCTTAAATCTTGTGCTATGAAGAAACGCTATTAATCCTTCCTATTAATGTAAACTGAAAAAAGGAATACTATTCACATTCCTATCTTATAAATAATACTTACCTGTGAGTTGGAACTGAGGGCAAACTTTGCTAATGTGCTTGCTCTGGAAAGGTCAATCAAAAGTAGGAAAAAGGGCAAAGCTTCACTGGAAAAGAACAAAATGATCAGATAAATTTAACGGGAAAAAGTATGATTTTAAAAAAATTCTTTTTAGAACAAAACCTTTCCCCCTCCATACTGTATGATCCTGTAGTATGTGTACCTTTCTGCAGACAAAAAAGTATACCCTATATTTCTTTGGCATCCTCAAAGCTAAACATAGTAGTTGCTCAAAATATTTGTTAAAAATATTTTTAATGTTAAAATGTAAGTATATTTACATTTAAACACCTTTTGATAATTTTGTATCAAAGTATCATCCTTAGTAAAAAATATCTCCTTGGATTACCATTAGGGAAAAAAAGTGGAATATATAAAAATTTTCATTGATCACTACCTGTGGAAGGATAAACTAAACAAACTTTCTGTAAACTAAATTGGCAATAATAGCACTAAAAAGCTCTTAAAAAAAAAAAAGCAAAGCTCTAAAAAAAGCAAAACCACTGTCTCACTTCTAGGAATGTATCTTAAGAAAATGATTACAAATATGAACAAAAATTTCGTTACAAAGACATTCATCACAGTGTTGTTATTAATAAAAAAAATTACATAACCTAACAGTCCAACATTAGATGATTAATAAACTACAAGACGTTTAGACAGAAGAGAATACATATAGCCATTACAAACAATTTAGTTTAACATTAAGGACATGGAGGCCGGGCACAGTGGCTCACGCCTATAATCCCAGCACTTTGGGAGGCCAAGGCAGGCGGATCACTTGAGGTCAGGAGTTTGACACCAGCCTGACCAACATGGCGAAACACAGTCTCTACCAAAAATACACAAATTAAATGGGCATGGTGGCAGGTGCCTGTAATCCCAGCTACTCAGGAGGCTGAGGCAGGAGAACTGCTTGAACCCGGGAAGTGGAGGTTGCAGTGAGCCAGGATCGTGCCATTACACTCCAGCCTGGGTGACAAGAGCGAAACTCCATCTCAAAAAAAAAAAAAAGGGACATGGAAAGATGTTGATAAACTATTATTAAGCATAAAGAAATTATAAAACAATATATATGATATCAGATATTTTCTTTAAGTATAAAAACAGTAGAAAAGGATATATGCCAAAATGTTAATAGTTATTAAAATTAGCTAATAGTAAAATTATACAAAAAAATTTCCCCTTATTTTCTTAACTTTTGAAAATGTACCTTTACAGCATGGGGAAGAAAAGTTTTTTAAAATGTATTTTGACAGAAAGTATATTTAGGTTTTAAATACTTACTTCAAGCCTGTCAATTCTTTGTCTAAGAAGTGAATGACAACTGTACTGAATACAAAACTTGAGAAAATTGTGAAAAGGCCAGCAATACCTAAAATGACAAAAGTTCAATACTAAAAAAACTTTATCCTTTACTACACAAATAATAACAGTGTCACACAGCATTCTGAGATAATACTAGTTTACTCCAAATTATTAAGGTCTCAAATTTCAGAATGTCTAATTGCCAATAATAAGGAAACTATTCAATGCATGCAGCACACTTTCAGCAATACACATATTTCCAAATACATGATTTGAATGAACAGGTTTATTTCCACAGCAAATCAAAAATCTGATGACACCAGAAGTTAAATATGTAAAACTATTACCCAAAATATATTTTGATCCAAGTTGACGTAAATTCTGGAACTGGAAGTAAATATACAGGATGGCTATGCATCGTGTTATTGTCAGAATTATAATGTCACTGCTCAAAACATCCTAATAGGAGAGAAAGAAAAGGAAATTCCATTAGCTTTGACTTTTAAAATAAGTAATCAAAACTAAGAATTTTTATTTTGCATGTGTAATTCATTTATATAGTCATGAGAACATAAATGTAAGCACAATACAAGTCCAATAAAAATATCAAACCTACAAATCAAAAATTAAATCCAACTTTTAATCAAACCACTGTGGTAAGCCAATACATCACCACAATTTTTTTTTTTTTGAGACAGGGTAACATGCTGTTACCCAGGCTAGAGTACAGTGGTGCAATCACAGTTCACTGCAGCCTCAACCTCCAGGTTCAAGGGATCCTCCTGCCATGGCCTCCCGAGTAGCAGGACTACAGGTACATGCTACCACACCCAGCTAATTTTTTAATTTTTTTTGAGATGGAATCTCGCTCTGTCACACAGGCTGGAGTGCAGTGGCGCGATCTCGGCTCGCTGCAAGCTCTGCCTCCTGGGTTCACGCCATTCTCCTGCCTCAGCCTTCCGAGTAGCTGGGACTACAGGAGCCCGCCACCATGCCTGGCTAATTTTTTTGTATTTTTTAGTAGAGACACGGGTTTCACCATGTTAGCCAGGATGGTCTCGATCTCCCGACCTCGTGATCCACCCGCCTTGGCCTCCCAAAGTGCTGGGATTACAGACATGAGCCACCGTGCCCGGCCTTTAATTTTTTTTTAAAGACTGGGTCTTACTATGTTGTCCAGGTTGCCCAGGCTGGTCTTGAACTCCTAGGCTCAAACAATTCTCCTGCTTTGGCCTCCCAAAGTGCTGGGATTACAGGCATGAGTCACTATACCCGGCCCACAATCATTTTTGACTATTAGTCACTTATAAAAGATGTATTTCTCAAATAAAGTCAATTACATTCATTTGTAAAGACAAAGCAAAATAAGAGCATTTCCAGTGCATTCCATGTAAGCAGAAATTTGAGGTAAGTTCCAAAATACTAAAATAAATATTTTACTCTAACTTTTAAAAATTATGTGCTCCCTATAGGGGCTTAAGGGCTCTTCAAAAATTGAAAATGTAATTTACTTTAGTCAGTATCAAATTAACTTCACTAACCTCTTCAAACTTTGGACATTCATAATTCCAACCACAGATCTTATTGTTACCAGTAAACATGTTCATGGACATCATGCAGATGGTCAGTGTCACTGTCCCCACTATGACTTCCCAGGGATGGGAGGCCACAAAGAGGCCATGCATTCGAAAAAGTCTTGACAACATTGTAGCTACAGAATCCTTGGATCCTGGAAGGAATATCAAGGGTGAACACTTAGTATACAGCTCATTGTATTTTTAGGAAAAGATTTTAAGGAAAAGTGTGCTATAAACCCTGCTTTGTATGCACAGTGTCCCATACATATGACTATTTGATACTGTTCCTTATAATTCTGGAAAATAATTATAAAATTAAGAGAACTATGTTATTTCTTCTTCACTCAAACAATAAATCCTTTATTACTTACTGGCAACCAACTTTAAAGCAGCCATTTCTTAAAAATTATATGAATTCAAACATTTAAGATCAAACCAGATAAGTATCTCGACCTTATTACCTAAGCCTTGCAAGTAGAAGAGCAATCAAGCAGAAAACACAAGTGAGAAACAGCTATTCACATTTTCTAATTACCTAGATATAAAATGCATGTTAAGTATCTTCTTCATCATCTACATTCTGATTACACAAAAGGTAAACACCCAAGAATCCACTTATTGAGTGTCCTGCTATAAATCATGTTAGTTGATAAGATCCTCAAGGGCAGGGACCTCTTGTACTTTTTCATTCCATAGAACATATGGCATAATGTCACTAGCAAAAGGATGTTTAATAAACCTTCCTAACATTGCTGTCAACAGAAAAAAAGTCTTTTCTGATAGATGTTTCTACATTAATAAAACAGGGTTAAGAATTTTGCTGTGGTGGCTGCTTTTCTTCTAGCAGATTCATCAACAATAGTGCTAGAAGACCAATGGAAAAGCATTAGATGTGAAAAGCTCCAAACTTTCACAACTAATCAAAAGCTGGAACAGTACTAGAAGAGGATGACTGGCTGAAGTATCTGTATATAGCATTCAAAAAAATTCCCAAAAGAACATATAGAAGATTTTGATTTACTGACTACCATGACTAAATTTCCTGTTTGCTAAATAATAATTATGACATTCTGATTTTGAAAACAAATCTTCTATTACCATTGGTCTCCACAAATAAACCTGCAAGTCTTACTTCTTTCACTAAAATCAATGCCTGTGATAAGGCATATTAGTAACCTGCAAAAATCAACCAAAAAGATTTAAAAAGCTCATTAACTGCCACTCTAGCAAGAATTCAAATGAATCTCACATTTAGTAATAAATAAAAGTGATTCATCTGTTGAAGACAGACTATAAAAAGGCAATCAAGTAAGTGAAAGAAAGCATTAATCTATTTATAAAGGGTTAGGGGAAAGACCAAAAAAAAAAAAAAAGAGCAGCTTTAAGGAACCAAAGCAAATACCAAGTGTCATCTCTCACTGCATCACTCCATGTTCTCTACATTTCAGACATACCACACCACTAGCTAAACAGTTTTCAAACTGTTGATCCACAACAACTGCATCAATTACATCATGACATCAATTTTGTCGTTAAGAACAAACATTTTTAAATAAAATAAAATAGAAAACAATATTATAAAAAATAGCTGTTGGGTAAGCCAGGTAGTATGGGTAGGTATTATTTCTTAAAACTATGTTTCAAGAAACTATACCTATATAAGTGTGTGTCTGGCTTTTAAATTAACGTGTATTTCCTACTGTGGGTCACAGTTTTAAAAAGCTGGCAGTACCTAAAGGAATATAAATGTGGCATGTACCTGCCTGTGTTTACTCATGCTTTTTCAACCTTCCACCCTGAGTCTTATTCATCAATTTACCCTCCAGCACCTTGCACTCATATACAGCATTGCTCAACAAATGCTGGCTTAAATTCTTAAGCTATAGTAGCATGTATTTTATGACACATCTTGAAACAGACCTAAAGACGACTTTTTTTTAAGGCACCTAGATATGGATGTAACCCATGCCCTCTAGTTTAAGGCTAAATGCAGAGCATTCAGGGAACTTATTAATGGGGTACGGGAAGGAGAAACATTTTACATACAGGCTGAGTATCCTTTATCCAAAATGCTTGGGACCAGAAGCGTTTCAGATTTTGGATGTTTTTGAATTTTGTAATATCTGCATTACATTTATTAGCTTAGCATCCCTAATCCAAAATCCAAACTCCAAATGCTGCAATGAGCATTTTCTTTGAGTGTCAGGTTGGTGCTCAAGAAATTTCAGATTTTGGAGCATTTCGGATTTCAGATCTTCAGATTAGAGACAGTCAACTTGGAACTATCCTGGAAAATGAACAACAGCAACAAAATACTTTCTATTAAATTAGCAGGTACTTGGACTTTTAAGTATTGGAAATCTTTAATCAAATCTTAGATTTGAACTCTACTTAATTATAAACAAAAGACTCACTCACTAAAAGGCTAGATTTTCATCATGGTATTCTATCACATAATTTCTTTCCTACATTTAAAACACAACTCTACCAACTGTTCTAAAGGATCAATTAGCATCAAAGTTCCAGAAAGTAAATTAACTACATGTTTCAAAATTAGGTCAAAATTATTTCTAACCCTCTTTCCCTGAAAAAAAAACTCTTCAGCTCAGATTATTCCTCATTATGTCAATCAGATTCATTGTTTTAAAAAGTTAATTCATTTGAGTTAAAATCTTAGCTGCAACCCAGAAGGAACACTAACTTGTGAACAAATTGGTTTAACATCATAAACCCATAATTATACATTAGACACATTATGTTTTCCCTCAAAAGATTTTATGGTGGCATTGTAATTCTGGGACTTTTTTTCCTAGGTGTAAAGTCATCTTTGCAATATTCAAGGAAAAAAATTACACATGATTCTGTCAGCCGCCCCTAAACACAGAGAACTCCACCTATTTGGAAACAAACTGAGCAATCTTATGAGGGTGTGTCAAAAGTAACCATAATTATAAACAATCTCATTTCTCAGGAACATCCTCCCCGTTGCCCTGTGATTACGCAAAGCATTTACATGCCATAGAATTCAATCGTCCACCTTCATCAGCAGTTGCAAATGTCACAAGCAGGCTACAGGATAGCTCCTGCAAATTAAGTTGACAGTATTTATGCAATGCTGCAATAAAAATTAATTTTTTTTTTTTTTTTTTTTTGAGACGGAGTCTCGCTCTGTCGCCCAGGCTGGAGTGCAGTGGCGGGATCTCGGCTCACTGCAAGCTCCGCCTCCCGGGTTCACGCCATTCTCCTGCCTCAGCCTCCCAAGTAGCTGGGACTACAGGCGCCCGCCACTACGCCCGGCTAATTTTTTGTATTTTTAGTAGAGACGGGGTTTCACCGTTTTAGCCGGGATGGTCTCGATCTCCTGACCTCGTGATCCGCCCGCCTCGGCCTCCCAAAGTGCTGGGATTACAGGCGTGAGCCACCGCGCCCGGCCAAAAATTAATTTTACTTAAAGAAACAAATAGGCAAGGTATGCCTTACTTATTCAGACTAAAAAGTATGCTGCAAACTTTTACAGATTCTTTAAAAGAATGGATAATTCTTAAATGTCAATCCAATCTGCTACAGAAGCCACCTACCATGGCCAACTGCAGAAAAGGATGTTTTGGCATCTTACTTCCTCCTACTCAGCACTCCGCCTGCATTACACATTCCAGTATTTGATTATATACTATCTCACAGTGTTCTCAAATTAATAAATGTGTACATTTTGTCTCTTTGAAGCCAAGAACTGCGTCTTATATGGCAGTCATTTTCAATCCCAACAAGATCTAGCATTCTGCTGCTCAAGCTGGTATTCCAGAAAGAAGGAAAAAAAAAAAAAAAAAAACGAATCTTGCACTGGCAATCAGGAAATCTGGATTCTATACCCAATTAGCTCACATTCTATTACATGTTGTTTTTTAAGTCATATCTATTCTCTTCATTCACTTATGAAGCTAGAGCTCCAAAGTTCTCTGACAAAGATAAGTGTTAAATGGAATCATATGAAACTGCTATTTTTGTAGGTTAGTTGAATTTTAAATACTGGCAATTTCACATGGGTCAACCTAAGTAGACCATGTAATTCCATAATGTGGCTATCTATAGTCTAGAAACTAGACCATAAAGGAATACAAAGAGTGTGTGCATGCACGCATACTCACACTCTTATCTTGAAATGGTTATCCCACATACCCGACAATTTTCATGTTAATGCTGTAACCTATGTGCAATTTTGTTTAACCTTCATGTTACTAATTCCCATTTGTTTTGGCCACCAAGTTTATCATAAGTTCTGGAAGAACACTACAACAAAGCAGGCCTGCAAAATCCAGCCTATCCCCAAAGTACTGTCCAGGTCTTTGCTAGATTATCTCTAAATTGCAAAATGCCTTTCACTGCATGGAGAGGAAAATAAATTCATAAGTAAACAAAAAGTACATTCTCTACCTTGTGGGACGCCGAAATCATGCACATTTAGTATAGCCCAGAAACAAATGCTTCCTACGACTCTGCAGGACCATGTCTAAGAAGGAATATCCTCAAATCCTGAAATATTTCAAACGACTACTTAAGAATGGAGTACATCGACCTCCTCCTACTGCAGAAATTAACTGTTCTATATTTGTATCTCCAAGGTACATTTTTCCTAAAAGAATATCAGCACCAAGGAGACTACACCCCTTACCAAAAAAAAAAAAAAAAAAAGAGGGAGAAGAATCTTTTGAGTCATTGTGCGAATCCCCACGTTGGGCTCCGCATCCTCTCAAGCCGTTCTCCTGTAAATAACCAGACACATCTACACCAATCCACGGTTCTTTCATGGTTCTAAGTTAGTCAGCAGTATTTACAGAGATCTTTCCCGTCACCTAAAAGAAAGGTGCTAACGAACAGCAGTTCCTGGGCGTGAATGCCCGGATCCCGGGATGCAGGCGCTTCTCCCGTCTGCCCTGCGAGCTGCCGGCCCGACAGCCCCATAGACCCCTAGCATTTCTCGAATCCAGGGGCCTCCGAGGTCACCCTGCCTGACACCCTTTCCGCCCCGATTTTCGTGACCGTGCAGCCAGCACTGCCTACTCTGACTGAACAGGGACGATGAACGCAGCTACGCCCCGCGGGTCCACCGATGATGACCGCAGTCACGAAGAGGCCAGACCGCCGCCCGCCTCTCAAGCCCACCCCGGGACCCCGGGTTACTCCGGCACTGATGCCGGCCGCCGCTCGGCCTGCCGGGCCTCAAGGACATTCCTTGCAGTCCCCGCGGGTCCGAGCTGCCACACCGACAAAGCGCAACCGCAGCCCCCTCCAGGTCCGCAGGAGCTGCCGGTAGCCACTTCCCAGGGCCGAGGGAAGCTCCAGAATTGCCACCAACACAGCCCAAACCCCGCTCCCACCCATCTCCGCCCCGCTCCCCGCCGCCCCTGCCCCTCTTCTCGGTCACCGCCCGCCTCACCTCCAGATCTCACTAGAGGCCACCGAACCCCGGCGCCGACGCTCAGCCTGGCTCCAGTTAACGCAGTCGCGGAGCGGAAGGAGCCCTCACCTTACGCACGCTCGGAGCTGGACGAGCCTTCGACCAATAAGAGAGGATCGTTCGATTGTCTAGCCAATCGCCTGGGGGCTGCTCGGCCTGACGGCGCTACGTCACGAACGGTCGCCTTAACAACCGCCCACAGCTCTCTGCAGGGCCAAGAACAGGCACCGCACCATCTCTCACCACGGCTCGGCCAACCAATAGCCGTTCGAGTCCCAGCACTAGGGCCTGCCTATTGGTCCTAGAGCTGTGGGGGCGCACGCATGGCAGCTGCCTAGGCGGAGGCGATAGGGGACCAGGCGGGTGGAGTGTCCCACAGCCTCAGTGCCTGACCCGTGCTCGTCCTGGCTGTGATAGTACAGTAGGAGGCAGTGATAGGAAGCAGAATCGGAGCGTGAGGGAAAACGCAGGGTCAGGTCGATGACTGAAAGCTCAGTTACTAGCGCGGGAGAGATGGAGGGAAGCGGAGGCGGCCATGAGAAAAAGAGGAATATAAAAAAAGGGAAGGTGGCGGCGACGGGCACCTCAAACCTGTAACTGGCCGGTAGCCGAAACCAGCGCTTTCCCGAGATTTACCCATTAGTGTAAATGGCTCCGGTCACCTGCGTCTCTCTCTCTTGTGTGCGACATCCATTGCATACTGGATTCTCTCTGAAATGTGCCTCTCCTGCGTCTTCTGTGCGTTCCTTCTGCTCTCCGCCTGGTGCAGGGCTTTATTATGTCTTACTTAAAACAGTGCAATAGCCTCTCCTAACTGGTCTTCCCAGTCTTACACGCATGCACTTCCCAATCTGTCCTGCAGAACTCCCACATGCAGTATGTGGCATACTACTTCCTATTATGCCATAGACCCAAATCAGCGTTTCTCATTGTCTACTGGATTAAAGAAAGAACCTGTCACCACTAATATGGCCCCACCACACATTTCTGACGTATCTCTACTTTCCTGTGCGAACCTTACAGTTCAGCCAGGAGTAACTGGCCCTTCTTCAGTCACACTCAGTACCTTTTTACCTCCCTGCTTATGTTCTCTTTGTTTACCTTGGATATGCCTACCCATTTTAACTGCTGAGATCCTAAATATCCCTTAAGGACTTTTTCATATGCCACCTCCTTTCCTAATTCCCTCAAACACATCATCACTCCCGACCTTGAAAACCCATAAAATTTCCGTAGTATTTTTTTATTTGTCTTACTATCGTATGTGGAAATTTATTAAGGACAGGAATTGTATTTCACTCAATTTTTAAAGCCCATATTTTGAAACACATTACGAAGAAAACACTAAACACTCCTTAGTTTTAATAAATGATTATAGATTCTTATAATCCTTATATAATAGGTATTATTCCCATTTTACAAAAAAGTAAAAATTAAAGTTTGTCAAGCAACTTGCTGTAGATCACATAGATAATGAGCAAAACTGGAATTTGAACCCAGATCTAATGCTTAGGCTGGTTCTACTGTTCCCCACTGCTTCAGTGTAAGACCTTCATTCATATCTCTTTACCAAATGTTGCCTTTGAAATGCTCATTATGTGAAGTACACACTGTGGTTGGCATGGGAGATATAGTGACAAACATGACAGACATAGTGCCTGCCTTTATGAACCTTGCACAGTAAAGAAAACGGGTGAACTACCCAAAGATTGCAGTGTTCTCTTAGCAGCCTTGTCAAAAAAAAAAAAAAAAAAGAGAGAAAAGTGTGTAAGTACCGAGAGCCTAGAACCTGTCATATTTTTAATGCCGCTAGAAGTCTCAAGGACCAAATATCTCAGAAGTTACAGGTTGTACACATGCCTACTAATGTAATTCAAATAAGGACTAAAGTTGTTACCAAAACAGGCTTTAGCCCAAGATTTAGAAATTTTCATTCGCAAACTGCCTAATTGGGAACTCCAATAGGAATATGAGTTCCAAAGCAAGCAATAAAGAAACACCAGTTGTCTAGTTTTATGCTCTTAAAATAAATTCTATATCCTTCCCAAAAGGTATTTCAAAAGAATCTTTATAGCACTTAACTAATAATTTGTACTTAGTGATAAATCACAAAATTTGGTATGGACACAAGGTAGAAAGGGAGGGTGGGGGAAGCGCCAAGGAAGTCCATGTGCCGCTTCCTCATATGCATTTAACCCTTCAAGGAAAGAGTTTATAAAAGTATAATTTTTTTATTTTTAGAGACAGAGCCCAGGCGGGCGTGCAGTAATGGGTCCGGAATTGGAGGGTTCTTGGTCTCACTGACTTCAAGAATGAAGCCGTGGACTCTCGCGGTGAGTGTTAACAGCTCTTAAGGTGGCGCGTCTGGAGTCTGTCCCTTGTGATGTTCAGATGTGTTCGGAGTTTCTTTCTTCTGGTGGGTTCGTGGTCTCGCTGGCTCAGGAGTGAAGCTGCAGACCTTCGCGGTGAGTGTTATAGCTCTTAAGGCAGCGCGTCCGGAGTTTTTCGTTCCTCCCAGTGGGCTCTTAGTCTTGCTGGGCTCAGGAGTGAAGCTGCAGACCTTCGTGGTGAGTGTTACAGCTCATAAAAGCAGCGTGGACCCAAAGAGTGAGCAGTAGCAAGATTTATTGCAAAGAGCAAAAAAACCAAGCTTCCACAGTGTGGAAGGGAACCCGAGCTGGTTGCCAATGCTGGCTCAGGCAGCCTGCTTTTATTCTCTTATCTGGCCCCACCCACATCCTGCTGATTGGTAGAGCCGAGTGGCCTGTTTTGTCAGGGCACTGATTGGTGCGTTTACAATCCCTGAGCTAGATACAAAGGTTCTCCACGTCCCCATCAGATTAGTTAGATACAGTTTCCACACACAGGTTCTCCAAGGCCCCACCAGAGCATCTAGATACAGAGTGTCGATTGGTGCACTCACAAACCTTGAGCTAAACACAGGGTGCTGATTGGTGTGTTTACAATCCCTGAGCTAGACATAAAGGTTCTCCAAGGCCCCACCAGAGCAGCTAGATACAGAGTGTCGATTGGTGCACTCACAAACCTTGAGCTAAACACAGGGTGCTGAATGGTGTATTTACAATCCCTGAGCTAGATATAAAGACTCTCCACGTCCCCACCAGACTCAGGAGCCCAGATGGCTTCACCCAGTGGATCCTGCACCAGGGCTGCAGGTGGAGCTGCCTGCCAGTCCCGCGCCGTGCGCTCACACTCCTCAGCCCTTGGGTGGTCGATGGGACTGGGCGCCGTGGAGCAGGGGGTGGTGCTCGTCGGAGAGGCTGGGGCTGCACAGGAACCCACGGAGTGGGTGGGAGGCTCAGGCATGGCGGGCGGCAGGTCCCGAACCCTGCCCTGCGGGAAGGCAGCTAAGGCTCCGTGAGAAATCGAGCGCAGCGCCGGTGGGCTGGCACTGCTAGGGGACCCAGTACATCCTCCGCAGCCACTGGCCTGGGTGCTAAGTCCCTCATTGCCCGGGGCCAGCAGGGCTGGCTGGCTGCTCCGAGTGTGGGGCCCGCCAAGCCCACGCCCACCCGGAACTCCAGCTGGCCCGCAAGCGCCGCACGCAGCCCCGGTTCCCGCTCACGCCTCTCCCTCCACACCTCCCTGCAAGCTGAGGGAGTGGGCTCCAGCCTTGGCCAGCCCAGAAAAGGGCTCCCACAGTGCAGTGGAGGGGGGGGCTGAAGGGCTCCTCAAATGCTGCCAAAGTGGGAGCCCAGGCAGAGGAGGTGCCAAGAGCAAGCGAGGGCTCTGAGGACTGCCAGCACGCTGTCACCTCTCAGTAACACGATCTTAGCTCACTGAAACCTCTGCCTTCTGGGTTCAGCGATTCTCTTGCCTCAGTCTCCTGGGTAGCTGGGATTACAGGGGTGCACCACCATGCCCGGCTAATTTGTGTGTGTGTGTGTGTGTGTGTGTGTGTGTGTGTGTGTGTGTGTATATGTATACATACACTTTGTTTTTCTTTTTGAGACGGAGTCTCGTTCGGTCGCCCATACTGGAGTGCAGTGGGGCGATCTTGGCTCACTGCAAGCTCCGCCTCCTGGGTTCACGCCATTCTCCTGACTCAGCTAGCTTCCCAAGTAGCTGGGACTGCAGGTGTCAGCCACCACGCCCGGCTAATTTTTTTGTATTTTTAGTAGAGACGGGGTTTCACCGTGTTAGCCAGGATGGTCTCAATCTCCTGACCTCGTGATCCGCCCGCCTCGGCCCCCCAAAGTGCTGGGATTACAGGCGTGAGCCACCGCGCCTGGCCCAATTTTTGTATTTTTAATAGAGACGGGGTTTCGCCATATTGGCCAGGCTGGTCTCGAGCTCCTGACCTCAAGCAACCCGCCCGCCTCAGCTTCCCAAAGTGCTGGGATTACAAGCGTGAACTACCGCACCCGCCTAAAAGTATAATGTTAAGACCCCCTTTAAAAGTAATGAATGACCCACATTGCCATCTTAATCCATCCTCTTTACTATTTACATATATAAATGTGTTAGGCTTCCAACCTTAACATTTCTGGTTTTTGTTGTCATGAGTCATGCTTAAAGATGGGGAATTATAACAAAAACAATAATACTAAAATATTTATATTGCTGCTTCTATATGTCAGCCACTTGTCTAAGTGCTTTTGATATATTAACTCCTTTTATTAAAAGTCCACTGAGGAGAACAATAGTAGAATCTGCATTTTACAAAGGATGAAGCTACAGAAACAGAGATGTTAGGTAATTTGCCTAATTCCACATAGCTTGGAAGTAGCAGAGCCAGAATATAAACTTTGAAATGTGGCTCCCAAGCATATGCCCTAAACCACTCCACTGTCTTATCTTTTGTATTAGCATAATGTGCACTATTTTGTATTAGTACATATCGTATGATTGTTTAATTTTCTGATGCTTCATTACAAAAGACTTTTCATAATATCAGTGAAGAGTTGTACTTGTTTCCCTTTACAGCTCCCAGCTGTGTTCAAATTTGTATTTTCCAGCCTTGGGCAGTTTTCTTTCTCTTTGTCCTGCACAGTGTTTTTTTGTTTTGTTATGTAATTTTAAATTTCAGGATAATTTTTTTAGACTAGCTTATTGCAAATGATAATTGACCACACATAGCTGTTGGCAGATATGATGACTGACTATCACTCCTGCCAAAGGTCAGTAGATATCCACTGAGGGCCTTACTCTATGATAGGCAAAGGGTTAGGCCCTCAAGGCAGAGAGTTAAATAGGAAAATATATACAAACAAACCCTTCCTAGATAACATGGTCAGTGTTCTGAGTGAGGTATACACAGGGTCCAGTGAGAAAAGTTTGGGTTGTGTTTTGAACAAGAGGAGCAAATGGTCTGAAGTCTATTCTAGGCACAAAGGCTAGTATTGTGAGCATGAGAATGGAGGTGATGCAGATATAGAAGAAAATTTAATTGGTTAGAAATCTTAAAGTACTATAGAATACAAGACATTTAAAAGGTAGGAAGTCATGAGCAGCTTGGCAGAAGATCTCAAAGTCCCTAGTGGTGACATTTTACATGCACGAAAGTCTCAGCTGCTGCTCCTCAATAACAAAACTAAAGATACTGCTTCTTTGTTCCTAAAACTTCCCAAAAGGAAATGAATAGATGAAGCCTCTCTTGACCTTAGGAAGAAACGTCTCTACAAGACTGAGTACACACAAAGATTTCTGCTGTTCACTGAGCCTGCTTTCACTGTTTAACTGGTCTTGTTTGTTTTCTCCATTCCTCTCTTTAGACCTTGCCCTAGCTTTGTAGAATAAGTTGGGTAGTAGTAACAAATTGTATTAGAATAATTTTTTTTTCTTTTAAAGGAATTTATTTTCTTCTGGGAAACCTGCATAATGTAGAAACAGTATAACTATGATGATGCGTAAGTGTCCATGTCTGAGATTCTTAGGGATTTGGTTCACACAGAAGTCAATGAAAGATCAAGAAAGAATGAAACAGACAGGGTGTGGTGGCTCACGCCTGTCTGTAATCCCAACACTTTGGTAGGCCAAGGTGGGTGGATCACCTGAGGCCAGGAGTTCAAGACCAGCCTGGCCAACATAGAGAAACCCCATGTCTACTAAAAATACAAACATTAGTTGGGTGTGGTGGTGCACACCTGTAGTCCCAGCTACTAGGTAGGCTGAGGCAGGAGAATCCCTGGAGCCTGGGAGGCAGAGGTTGTAGTGAGCTGAGATCGTGCCACTGTACTCTAGCCTGGGCCACAGAGCGAGACTCTCTCAAAAAAAAAAAAAAAAAAAAAAAAGGAGTGGAACAAATTAGAACTAATTGTGACCCAAGTATGAGCACCACTTCTCCCTCAAGAGCAAACTCTGGGCCAGGCACAGTGGCTCATGCCTGTAATCCCAGCACTATGGGAGTCTGAGGCAGGAGGATTACAACCTCTGCCTCCCAGGTTCAAGCAATTCTCCTGCCTCAGCCTCCCGTGTAGCTGGGATTACAGGAGCCCACCACCAAGCCCAGCTAATTTTTGTATTTTTTTTAGTAGAGATGGGGTTTCGCCATGTTGGCCAGGCTCTCGAACTCTTGACCTCAGGTGATCCACCCGCCTTGGCCTCCCAAAGTGCTGGGATTACAGATGTGAGCCACCACGCCCGGCTCATTCCTAGCTTTATATAAGCTCCCAGATAGCAAAATCAGTTGACAGAGACCAGAAGGAAATGAAAATGGAGGGAGGAGATAAGGAAGAGCTCGGAAAAGAGCTGGATAAGATCCTACCAGGCAAGTGTGAAAAAAAGACGGAAGGATAATGGTCTAAGGGGACCTGCCTCAGCTTTTCTGAGCAACCCCATTGAAAGAGAAGCCTAACAGCAATTGCTCAAGGCAATACCTAGCTAGGCAATCTTTTAATGCAAAGTTACTGTCACTTATAAGTAAAAATGGCCCAAATAAGCTACAGAACTCTAACTATATCTGCTGCAAATTGCAACAAATTTGGCTACAAGTAACAGATAACTCAAAAGAAGCTTAAAAAGATAAGCATTTATTTATTTCTTGGGTAAAGGAAACTGGAAATAGATAATCCAGGACTAGCATGGCAGCCCATGATGCTTTCCGGGACCCTCCTGTCTCCCTGCTCCACCATGCTCAGCATGCAGCTTCCATCCCCAGTGTCACTTGTGGTCCAAGATGGCAACTGGAGTGCCAACCTTCATATCTGCATTTCGGTCCCTCTGGAAGGAACAGGTTCAAGACAAAAGGGCAAAAACAAACAAACAAACTAACAAACAAACAAAAAAACCCAGCCCTTGTTAGCTGTTTTTTTATATCTCACATTTTATATCTCAGTGGCCAGAACTACAAGGTCATACCTAAGTACAAGGAAGCTGGAAATGTAATCTTTATTTTTCACAACAATATGCCCAGCTCAAAACTGAAAAAAGCATCTTCCATGCTATCCACATACTGGGTGAGCACATAATAAGTACACGATACATTTGTTGATCACCTAACTCAAAAACAGGAAACAATTTTACTATCAAGATTTTGGGGGAATAGGAAAGGACATAAGTCTAATATCAAAGATGTATTATTTTATAAACATTAGCTTGAAATGTCAATGGAATTCTTAATAACACCTAGACTTGACTTTTAGCTAAGTGTTTCAAGGTATAATGTTACAAATGGTCCACCATTAAGAAATAATCTAGGGAACTAACAAAGTATTCTGTATCTTAAAATAGAAAAAAAAAAAGGCATCACTGGTCTTATTCGTTGCTATACCTCCAGTACCTATTAACAGTCAATGAATGAATGAATTACAGCAACTTTCCAAGCAATTTGTGATCTTGATTTCCCTCTGATCCAGATTCCTTGCTTTTTCTTTTGCATGTTTTTAATACCCAGCAAGTTCTCAGTGCTGCTTTGACCCTGTACCACAGGCTGCCTCCCACTCTGAAATTTCTTAGGCCTGTGAGACCTGCCTCCCAGAGAAGGCTTCCAGTTCTTTCCATATTTGTCCCAGCTGCACTGAACCGAAGCTGCAGTTATTTGTGCTTCCAAAGCCCATGGATTTGGGGGCACAATGAGCCCTGATGAGTTTTCTGGCTGGATTTATCCCTAAAATCTTACTTTTCCCCCTTACTTTGTACTTTCCAGACTTTGGGTAACTCGTGCTACTTCAATGACAGCATGTTATGAGACATTCTTGGTAAAATCTCCCTAGTTAGGTCTCAGCACTCCTGAAGCTAGTTTTTCCCTTCTCATAGAAAGGAAACGGATTAACAAACTATCCACCTTTCTCAAGCAAGATATTACCAAGGTCTCTGTGCTTCTTCCAGAAAGATAGGCTTCATGTCTTCCCCAAAGGAAAAGAACACCAAATGTCTGCAAAGACTCTGCTCAATGCTTGTCTGTTGAGAACTCTTGCTTGCTTGTTCTTTTGAGATATAGATATATAGATACTGATATATACACACATGCACATATATATATCACTATAAATAATTTAGGAAGGAATTGACCCATGTACACCACGGAAACTTAAAAATTTATAAGTGATGTCACGAAGGGCCAATAATTTTTGCCCCAAAGAAGATAATGAAAGCAGCCAGGACAGCCTCTCTTCTTGCCCAGCCATTTATTTAAACAGTTGCTTTGGAAATCCTACAGGAACTTGGCCATAGGCTATGAACAAAATCTTCTGTCTCTACCCTAGCCCTTACCAAGGAAACCAACTAACTTTTGGAATCTAAGACTGCTTAGATCACCAGATAATCCCAATTTTGGTAAAGAGCTCAAAGCACAGATGGCAATATCTGTCCATTGCTTAACAGTGTATTTAATACGGCATGAAGAAACAGTGAAAGAGTTTGACTGATCTCTGCCTCTAGAAATAAAAAGAAAAAGAAATATAGTTTGGCACAGAGAAGGAAGGCATCCTGCCTTAAGGCAGGCCTTAAATGTAGCAGAATCACTCCTTTCCACTCCTTCTCTGCATAGGTAGATACACCTACTTCTCTTGGTTTCATTCTTCTTTTCAAGAAGGGCAAACTGAGTCTGAAACTTCACCCTGTTTCTTCAGTTGATCTTTTTTTTTTTTTGAGACAGTCTCACTCTGTCACCCAGGCTGGAGTGCAGTGGCACTATCTTGGCTCACTGCAAACTCCACCTCCCAGGTTCAAGCAATTCTTCTGCCTCAACCTCCCGAGTAGCTGGGATTACAGGCGTGCACCACCACGCCAGGTAATTTTTGTATTTTTAGTAGAGACGGAGTTTCACTATGTTGGCCTGGCTGGTCTCGAATTGCTGACCTCATGATCCGCCCGCCTCGGCCTCCCAAAGTGCTGGGATTACAAGCATGAGCCACTGTGCCCAGCCTTTTCAGTCGATGTTATTCCTCCTCTACCATGAGTAGGACTGTCTTGGTTTGGGAACCCCAGAACAAAGACTGAGTAAAAAACTGGAGTATAATAGTATCTTTGGGGAATGATCCCAGGAAGTCAGAATAAGGATAAAAAGAAAGGTTAACAGGGAAGAAGGAAAGGCCATCATCGGAAGTATTATTTAGCTAGTTACCATTGTGGGCAACTGGGCTTAATACTGCTGGGGACCCTCTAAAAAAAACTGCAGAATGCACCCCTGAAGGATGGGGGTGGAGGTGAGGTGAGACATTTATCCATCAACTCCAGACCCTCTTTGGCTGAGAAATGCCCTCTAAGAAACATTGCCAGCTTTGTGTGTGCAAGGGCTGAAATACTTAGGCTTTAGAAAAGCCTTGAGGCAGGAAAGGTGAAAGACACGATGATGGGCACTTGAGCAGGGAAGCCTTCAGCTTGCCAGGAACTGTCTACCTGGTAGACTCTACCACACCTGCAGCTGAAGAGGAGGTATGGCCAGGAAACGTAGCAGAGTACTGTGTCTGCTATAAGGAATGCATTATGGGCTGCTATACCAGACTTTCATTCCTTTTACTTTCCCATTTGGCCTCTTTTGATGGCAAGCCCTAAGTTGTTTTAGAAGACCTGTTCCCCCTGAGATTTTTGTAATTCCTTCCTAAAGCTTGGACAATAGTATTTCATTCACAGACCACATTCTAAAGGCCTCTCTTCTCACTCTGGTTGTCCTTGGCCTCTGAATAGGCCTGGTCTCCATACCTGGTAGCCTTCAACATTTTTAGGCTTGCAAGTAAGCCTGGATTATAATGCATGGAAAGTGACCAATATGTATGTTTGTTGATGGTCCTAACATTAGTGAAATTCTGACTCTTTCTATAAATACTATTAAGCAGGAATTTCTCTAGCCAAGTGAAACCAACAAATATTTCTTTCAGTAAGTATTTCAAAGAAAGAACAAGAGAGTTAATGGGTAGTTAAGTAGGAATTTTTGAAGTTTTGACAGATAGGTGGTTACTATGTTTCCAATATCTAATATCTTATTTTGTCAGACAGAGGAGGCATATTATTTGTGAGAGTTAGGTTCATTCTAAAATCAGTGCAAAAAGAAAAATTAACTCCAATAGGATCTCAAGGTCTTTAAAAAAAAATGAGGAGGAAAAATGTCAGAGTCAAAAATACCATTGAAATCCCTTTATATTTCTTAAAATACAGTATGCAAATTTTGTTTTTACAGCTTTGACAAAAATTCTTATACACACTAAGTTGGAAACTCCCTGACTATTGGAAGGAGTCTATCGTAAATAGTTAAGTATTCCAATATTTCTGCCTTTAATATTTCACTATTAAATCCTAAAGTGGTGGCCAGGCATGGTGGCTCATACCTGTAATCCCAGTACTTTGGGAGGTCAAACCGGGCAGATCACTTGAGGTCAGGAGTTCAAGACCAGCCTGGCCAACGTGGTGAAACCTCCATCTCTACTAAAAATATAAAAATTAGCCACGTATGGTGGCGGGTGCCTGTAATCCTAGCCACTCAGGAGGCTGAGGCACAAGAATTACTTGAACCAGGAAAGCGGAAGTTGCAGTGAGCACAGAGCAAGACTCCATCTCAAAAAATTAAAATTAAAATTAAAATTAAAATAAATAAAATAAATACTAAAATGAATGAGAGCTGGGTAAGTGTTAATATACATTCTTACTTGCCTACAGAGTTGCTCTAATCTGTGTCACTGTTACTTGCTATATGCTATTACATTTGAGATTTGCTTGTTGTTGTGATGTATTTTGCAAATATTTCTTCCAGTTTGTCAGTTGTTTTTTGACTTTGCTTATTTATGGTGGTGTTTGCCATGCAAAAACTTGTGGTTTTAAAAAAATGTAGTATTTCCTTGGCCAGGCGTGGTGGCTCACGCCTGTAATCCCAGCACTTTAGTAGGCTGAGGCGGGCGGATCACAAGGTCAGGAGATCGAGACCATCTTGGGTAACACGGTGAAACCCTGTCTCTACTAAAAATACAAAAAATTAGCCAGCCGTGGTGGCGGGCGCCTGTAGTCCCAGCTACTCGGGAGGCTGAGGCAGGAGAATGGTGTGAACCCAGGAGGTGGACCTTGTGGTGAGCCAAGATCGTGCCACTGCACTCCAGCCTGGGTGACAGAGACAGATTTCGTCTCAAAAAAAAAAAAATGCAGTATTTCCTTTATTGCATCTACATTTTGAGTTATACTTAGCCTTTCACCACACCTAAGTTATACAAAATTTATCTGTGTTTTCTTTTAGTTCTTGTTTGATTTCATTCTTTACATTAACATTTCTGATCCCTTTGTAGTCTATTCTTGTGGTATGAGGTGTAAATACAATTTTATCTTTTGCCAAGTGGCTTTATCCTTGCTTTTATACATGAAACACTATTATCTGCAACCACACATTTATAAGGTCTCTCTCAGCGTGAAACTCTTCTGCCTGTAGTGAATCACAGGGGTTTTTTTTTGGTTTGTTTAGTTCCAAAGGTACTACTTTCTAAAACTGTTTACTGACTCTGGGGATGTACTTTATTTGGAGCCCTAGTGGCTATGGAAAGAATTTTAAAAGCATTTTTCCAATTGTCCAGCCTGCTCAGGGATTGTGGAAATTTTAAATAAGGTAGATGATTTAGTTCCCATGATTAAGAAGTTCAATTTGTGGAAGTGCATGTGGAGTGATTAAGAAATAATTGCAGGCAGCATAGAATTAGTGAATTTTACTTTTTGAGTTACTGCTTACATAGCAGGAAGTATTTCTTTGCACGAGGGCAATCAGTCTTAATGGAGGAATTGCTTTTGAACTCTTCATTTCAGCAGCAGGCAATGGAGAATGGAGAACCTAACTCACAGTGGCTCAAACATTTTTTCCCTCTCATATCAAGAAATCTGGAGGTGGGTGGTTACTGGCATTGGTTCAGCAGCTCCACAGTGTCAGGGACAGCACCTCTACCATTCTGCTGGCCTTTCCCACATAGCTTCAAGGTGGGTGCTGAGGCTCCTACTATTACATCTTAGTTCAAATCAAGAATAAGGTGAAAAGGCATACCAGCTGCACCTGACTCATTTATCATAAAAATCCTTTCCCTAAACTTCTTCCAAAGACTTCTATGTATGTGTCCTTGACCAGAACTCTGGCACCCTTAAAGGCAAGAGAAGCAGAGAAATAGAATATTGATGTTTTCTAACCTCTGTTGGGAAAAACAGCAAGGAAGAGATAACCAATGAATCTGCCACATTGAAGTACATATCTCTTTTATGTTTGCTGCAAACAACGCCTAGAGTAGTACAAGTCTGAAATGGAGCACCAGATCTTATGAAGTCTAAGCAAAAGTTAAATAAGCAGGATTCAGGGAGGAAAGGGACCTTGATGCATGAGTTTGGGGATCTTCTCGTTAGAGCTCTGCTGTTAATAGCATGCAGCTTCCAGTTCCTGGTCTCTGTGTCCCTCAATTCAAATGCATGTGTGAGAGGTCAAGTGGGTCAGTGTGGGTTAGCTGCCCACTCCTAGTCAGGGCACAGGAGGGATCAGGTCATGGAGTGCCAGCCTGAGGGTGGCATAGGGATTATCCCTGGAGATGCTGGAGCAAAGGGATGGCACATTTTAGTTTATGTAAAACTAAATAACATACAATTTTAAGCAATTTGGTATGTTGATATGCGATAACTGGTTGTATGTTATCAGATCCAGAAACCCAGAGAAGACAACTGCCCTTTTAAATAGAGTGTTGTGTATATATCCCCAGTTTCAGAAATTTAGCAGGTGATGAGTTTGTTAGTTTTTGCAGGATACTATGATATACTAAAAAGAAAATTTAGTCTTTGTTCCTGGTACACAGCTCCTAAACTAAAACCTTTGGAATCCCTTGGAATGATACTAGCTTTTTTTTTTTTTTTGAAACAGGGTCTTGCTCTGTTGCCCATGCTGGAGTACAGTAGCACAACCAGAGCTCACTGCAGCCTCAACCTTACAGGCTCAAGCAATTCTCCCACCTCAGCCGCCCAAGTAGCTGGGACTATAGGTGCGCACCACCACGCTCAGCTAATTAAAAAAAAAAAAATGGCCAGGCGTGGTGGCTCATGCCTGTAATCCCAGCTCTTTGGGAGGCCAAGGCAGGTGGATCACTTGAGGTCAGGAGATTGAGACCATCCTGGCAAACACAGTGAAACCTGTTCTCTACTAAAAAAAAAAAAGATACAAAAATTAGCCAGGTGTGGTGGTACGCACCTGTAGTCCCAGCTACTTGGGAGGGTGAGGCAAGAGAATCGCTTGAACCCAGGAGGCAGAGGTTGTAGTGAGCCGAGATCATGCCACTGTACTCCAGCCTGGATGACAGAGCAAGACTCTGTCTAAAAAAAAAAAGATTTTAGAGGTGAGGTTCTCACTATGTTGAGGAGGCTGGTCTTGATCTTCCAGGCTCAAGCAATCCTCCCACCTTGGCCTCCCCCTGTGCTAAGATTATAGGCATGAGCCACTGCCCCCAGCCTACTAGCATATTTTATGTGCTAATGAGATGACTGGCAACTGGGGGCACCTAGATAGTGTTAGGGTGGGAGCTGGTCACCAGAAAGACCATGATTAGGCATGTTAGATGGTTGGAATTTTTAGGCCAGCACTCCAACCTCCAGGCAGGAAGGAGAAGGTGGAGACTGGGTTAGTCACTAATGACCAATTATTTAATCCATTGTGCCTACTTAATGAAACCTTCATTAAAACCACTAAACATTAGGGTTTAGAAAAGTTCTGGGTTGGTGAATACCATGAGGTGCTGGGAGAATGGTGTGCCTAGAGCGCATGGAAGCTCCAAATCCCTACCTTGTCCTCTGCATCTCCTCTGTTTACTTGTTGTATCCCTCATAATAAATAAGTAATGGCAAGTAAAGCACTTTCCTGAGTTCTGTGAGTTGTTCTAGCAGATTATCAAAGCTCAGGAGGAGGCTGTGGAAACCCACAAATTTGTAGCCAGATGGAGAGAAGTACCAGTGACAATCTGGAATTTGTGGCTGGCATCTGAAGTGGTAGTAGTCTTGTTGGACTGATCCTGCCACCAAATTATCCTATTTAAATTTTTTTTCTTTCTCTCTTTTTATTTCCATTTCCCTCCTTGCTTACTGTATGTTTAACTTTTTTTTTTTTTTTTTTTGAGACAGAGCCTTGCCCTGTCACCCAGGCTGGAGTGCAGTGGCACGATCTCGGCTCACTGCAACCCCCACCTCCCGGGTTCAAGCTATTCTCCTGCCTTAGCCTCCCAAGTAGCTGAGATTACAAATGCGTGCCATCACGCCGGGCTAATTTTTGTATTTTTAGTAGAGACAGGGTTTCACCACGTTGGCCAGGCTGGTCTCAAACTCCCAACCTCAAGTGATCCACGCCCCCTTGGCCTCCCAAAGTGCTGGGATTATAGGCATGAGCCACTGCACCCGGCCAGTGTTTAATTTCTTAAGAATAAAATGGTAACCTTTGCCCTCTTTCTTTCCACCAAGCACAGTGTCCCCCTTATCAAATGATATGCTTGCTTATAAATTCCAGGAACTGAATCTTAAAACAATCCAGTCACCTACTGAATTCTCCCCCACCAGGAGATTACCTCAAGGTTGCAGTGAATTTACAACCCTATTGTGGTGGAAATGGCACAAGCCCATTCCACCACAATAGGGGGCAATAATCCAAGATAAGTCATCAGAGCAAGTCCTGTAACAGACTCACACTTTCGGCCGGCCGGGTATGGTGGTTCACGCCTGTAATCTTAGCACTTTGGGAGGCTGAGGCAGGCAGATCACTTGAGGTCAGGAGTTCGAAACCAGCTTGGCCAACATGGTGAAACCCTATCTTTACTAAAAATAGAAAAATTAGCCGGGCATGGTGGTGGGTGCCTGTAATCCCAGCTACCGGGGAGGCTGAGGCTAGAGAATCGCTTGAACCCGGGAGGTGGAGGTTGTGGTGAGCTGGGATCAAGCCATTGCACTCCAGCCTGGGCAACAGAGCGAGACTCCGTCTCAAAAAAAAAAAAAAAAAAGACTAAAAAATACCAGACTCATACCTTCTAGCCCCTTCAGCATGCCTGTCCCCCGCCCCCCACTCCACCCATAGCAAGCTTCGCTTTTTAACCCGTTGCATTCTGTTCAAAATTTGATTTTTTTCTTTTTTTGAGATAGGGCCTCTCTCTGATGAAGCCTCAACCTCCCAGGTTCAAGCGATCTTTCTCCCTCAGCCTCCCAAGTAGCTGGGCCTACAGGCTCATGCCACCACACCTGGCTAATTTTTGTATTTTTTGTAGAGATGGAATTTCACCATGTTGCCCAGGCTTGTCTCAAACTCCTGGGCTAAAGCAATCCGCCTGCCTTGGCCTTCCAAAGTGCTGGGATTACAGGCGTGAGTCACTAAGCCCTACCTGAAATGGTTTCTTTAAGGCACAAAGCTTGGCCATTTTCCCACTGCTAGCTCTGGAATAAAGTCACTTTCCTTCCACCACTCCTTGCCCTTGTTATTTGACTTTGCAAGCGGCAAGTGGCCGAAACTGCATTTGGTTACACTTCATTAACTTTTGGGATCTGAAGCTAATTCCAGGTAAATAGTATTAGAATTGAATTGAATTGTAGAATACCCAGCTGGTGTTGGAAATTTGGTGAAGTGATGTTGGAAAAGATAGCACGCATTTGATGTCATAAGTTTTGTGAGTGAAAGCAGCACAGAGATAGATACCAACAAAGCAAAATAAGGAGAGGATGAGTCAGGATGACCCTGGAGGCCTCCCACTGCGACAGCAGAGGCCTCCTCCCAGCTTACTCAGCCAGAGGATAGGAGCCTTGATTTGGAAGAGTGAGTCAGAGAAAGTGGTAATGGAATTCAGAACAACGGTGAGCTTTAAGAAAGAGAGCATGCTTCAGAGAGACCAAGAATGACAGCTATGGATAAAGAGTTACAAGGGCTTAAGGCATGGCAAGCAAGTTAATAAATGGCTCTAAGGTAGGTGTCTTTGGCCAGCTGTACGGCTGAGGTCAGACGCCTGAGAAGTAGACTAAGAGTTGGTGTGGTTTGGCTGAGTCAGACCCCAGGATGGGGTCATACTAAGGGTCCGAGTAGGTAATAAGGATCCAGTGTCAAGGAGAAAAGTGGGCTCTGTCATATCTCTGAAAGTAATTTCTTCAAAAGCCAGTTTGCCAAATTGACCAATTTGCTGAAAAACATTCAAACACCTTAAACAAATCTGCGGGAGTGTCAGGGTCAGTTTCCTAATTTTAGAAACCAGATCGTGGATATTTTGGGTCTGACCATCTGATATGGCCAAATCTCCTCAGCCTACCTTAAGTGGGTTAGTCACTTGAACTTCAAGAAACATCTAATTGCAAAATTACTTCCCCTTTAATTTGTGGCCGCTTATATAGCGATGACCACAGATTGAGAAATTCACAGAATTTCTTGAAATTTTCAGAGCCTTCTGGGGACATGAGCGCTTAGAAGAAAAAGTGCTGATGCGTTTCCTGCTCTTCACCTCTCCTCCCTAGGCCCGCACCTCCAGAAGTGTTTCCACCTGCATTAGGCCAGCGCGATGTTCGCTCATGAACCAAAGCTATGGAATAAAACCAGTGAGCCAAAGGCAGATACAGATGAACACTTGTGGAGTTGTCCCTCTTCTGGCTGTGAAAAATAGATATTTATTTTTGGCTGCTAGCTCTATTTACTCAGTCTAGCAAACTGCAGAGAAGCTCCAAATGCAGAACTTATAGGGAGTGGAGTGTTTTTTTGGCTTCTTCTTGCCAAGGTATTTTGGCTCTTGACAGGGGTCGTCTGTGTGAGAAATCTCCCTCCTCAGGCTTCTTTCCTAGGGTGGTGAGAAGATGGGAAGACTGTGGCTATTGACAAACGGTGCTGTACATCCTGCCCTTCTCAGTAAATGACTGTTAATGAATTTAAGTGTTTGGCAGGTAGAAAGCTCTTGCCAGTGATCAAAACATGCTGTGTATACAGCTGTGTGCCTTTCTGAGGGCAGGAAAATTGGACTCTGATGCACAGAGGTTTGTGGATTCCTCCATGTGTTTTGAAACCTATATTTGAGAAGTAAGTATACCGAGCTGTTGCTTGGGAGAAGTAAACACAGCAAGCTGGAGATAGAGAAGTCACAGCCATAGAAACAGAAAACCTAATTAGGAGCAGAGTAGGAAAGCTGGACTTGCAAGAAAACTTAGACATCTCTCCCCTTCCTCTAAGCCAGTGTTCTTGTTCTATAAATAGCTAAGAAAGCTAGGTAGAATTAGACTGGAATGGGCTGAGAAGTAAACTAGGGCTGGGCGTGGTGGCTTACACCTGTAATCCCAGCACTTTGGGAGGCTGAGGCAGGTGGATCACTTGAGGCCATGAGTTCGAAACCAACCTGGCCAACATGGTGAAACATAGTCTCTACTAAAAATACAAAAATTAGCCGGGTGTGGTGGCAGGCACCTGTAATCCCAGCTTACTGGGGAGGCTGAGGCAGGAGAATCACTTGAACCTCGGTGACAGAAGTTGCAGTGAGCAGAGATTGCACCACTGCACTCCAGCCTGGGTGACAGAGCAAGACTCCATCTCAAAAAAAAAAAAAAAAAAAAAGAGGAAGTAAACTGGATTAGAGGAAGAGGTGTCATGTGCTCCAAAGGAAGGAAAACTGATTACAGGTATGTGAGGAGAGCAATCTCCCGAGCAACTATGATCTGAGGGTCAAACCCTCAAGACCCTATTTCTCGCCCTGATTTGCCTGACTTATTGGGCAGAATCCCATCTGACTTGTCTATTTCTAGGTTGAGTTCTCCCATTTCTTCCTAGTTAGGTGGTATTTACAAGCCTCTTCTAAAAAACTTCCAGCCAGGCATGGTGGCTCGCATTTGTAATCCCAGCACTTTAAGAGGCCAAGGCAGGAAGACTGCTTGAGGCCAGAAGTTCAAGTTCAGCCTAGGCAACTGTTCTGTGTAGGAAACGCGCAAGGGGAGAAGAAAAGACACACGCACAATACCTTTAAGGGTAAACAACCTTTATCCCATGTAAATGGCAATGCAGATATAATAAGCAAATGATATAATAAGCAGATTGATATAATTAGCAAATCGCAATAGGAAGAGGAGAAGGGAAAAGATATTTACATTCACCAGACTATGGAGGATTCACCACCAGACTGGGAAGCAATAGCCTGGGCTCCAAAGTCGGCCACTCGTCCATGTACAGATGATGAGAGGTCTCATGAAGCTTCGGCGCAGTCTGGGACCCTAACTCTTTTTGTAACAAGTTGTTGGCATGAGGCCCCGTCACGAGGGTTCTTCATGACTGGGCTCAAGGAACACAAAAAGGTCAACCTGTTTTTGTGATTGTCTATTGTTTTTCAATAACTAATGTATCGGAATAGATTGAAGTAGAGATTTCTCCGAAACAGTGCTGGATGAATGCCTCAAGGGGCTCACACAACCTATTCTGGGACTTGGTGACCATTGTTTGTGTCCATGTTCAATTGAATTCAAATTTAATATTTAACTTTTCCTCCACAGCAACATAGTGAGTTCTCACCTCCACAAAAAGTAAAAAAAATATTAGGCCAGGCACGGTGGTTCATGCCTGTAATCCCAATAATTTTGGAGGCTGAGGCAGGAGGATCACTTGAGCCCAGGGGTTCAAGACCAGCCTGGGCAACATAGTGAGACCACGTCTCAAAAGAAAGAAAGAAAAGAAGGAAAGAAGGAAAGAAGGAAAGAAAGAAAGAAAGAAAGAAAGAAAGAAAGAAAGAAAGAAAGAAGGAAGGAAGGAAGGAAGGAAGGAAGGAAGGAAGGAAGGAAGGAAAGAAAGAAAGAAAGAAAGAAAGAAACAAACAAACAAACAACCAGGCATCGTGGTGCGCGTCTGTAGTCCTAGCTACTTGAGAGGCTAAGGTGGGAAGATCACTTGAACCCAGGAATTCAAACCTGCAGTAAGCTATGATTGTGCCACTGCACTTCAGATTGGGTGACAGAGTGAGACCCTGTCTCAAATAAACAAACATAAACTTTCCACGTGATCATGGTTCCTTGCTTATAGCCTCCTGTCACTGTTATCCATGGGTAAATTCCCAGACCTAGTGCTTCCTGGTCGGCCTAATTTTAGAGCCATCTAAGATCAACAATAAGGTAATATTAGTGTAATAAAATGCTGGGTCTGGAATATTTTAATACCTACTACTATGGTAAAAATATTTGGGATAAAAATGACAGGCTGGACACAAAAGTTTCCTTTCCTCACTATCTGACAAAATCTTCAAAAGACAGTGAGAAAGAGGCAAAAATTTCACTTGTAGCCACAAAGCAAGGGAAGAAGTACAACGTTGTGTCATAAGCCTTAAAAAGCATTGCTCGGCCGGGCGCAGTGGCTCACGCCTGTAATCCCAGCACTTTGGGAGGCCGAGGCGGGTGGATCACGAGGTCAGGAGATCGAGACCATCCTGGCTAACACGGTGAAACCCCGTCTCCACTAAAAAAACAAAAAAAATTCTCCGGGCGTGGTGGTGGGCGCCTGTAGTCCCAGCTACTCCGGAGGCTGAGGCAGGAGAATGGCGTGAGCCCGGGAGGCGGAGCTTGCAGTGAGCCGAGATCGCGCCACTGCACTCCAGCCTGGGCAACAGAGCGAGACTCCGTCTCAAAAAAAAAGAAAAAAAAGCATTGCTCAAGGAACCTAACAGGAGACTTTACCTCTAACCTCTTAAACCTACCCCTGCCTTTTCCCATTAAGCAAGACAGAGAAATTAGGGAATTTGATCCAGTATTCCTTAATAACTCCCACTTAGGAGAGAAATAAACTGAGGTAGCCAGTAGACAGCCCAGGGAAAAGTCAAAGAAACCCAGGAGAGAGGCCAACAGCACCCACAGTATGTCAGCAAAGGCAGAAAGAACTGCCAGGGGTCACCATTTTCTATGTCCATGCTGAATTAGGGAAGTGACCTGAATTATGGAGGTGATCTGAAGCCTGCTTCAATCAGGTGGAGGCTTCCTGGGTATAAGAAATCTCAGAAAATAGAGCAAAGCCCAGATGACTTGGTAACAGGTGAATGTAGTGACAAAAGAACTCTCCATTTCAGTGTCCTCAATATTGAATAGAACTCAGCATTCAGCTTTAAAGTGTTTGTTCTTAGAGGAAGGCAAATAGGTGTCTAATATGGGAATAGTAATAAGAACAATTTCTCCATGTAATACATCATATAAACAGAAGGCCCTAGAACAGGGTTTCTCAAATTGAGCACTTGACATTTGGGGCCAGATAATTCTTTTGAGTGTATATTTATGTGGGGAAGGAAGGGGGTGTCCTATGACTTGTAGAATATTTAGTAGTATCCCTAATCTGTACCTACTAGATGCCAGTAGCAACACCCCCACCACCACAGTTGAGACACCAAAAATGTCTTCAGACATTACCAAATGTTGTCTAGGGACAAAATTACCCTAAGTTGAGAACCACTGTTCTAGAATCTAGACACAACAGCCCACTGCTTCTATGAGGTACAAAGAAATAAACAGTATGGCAACTTGATAAAAGTACTACATTCAGAAAATAAAGGAATTAAAGAAAGGAAGCTGGCAAACTAGAGATGATAATAAATCTACTCTAAAAGAAAAATATAACTCAAAGAAGAAAATTCTTCCCCATCTCTTTCTCATTATAAAATAATTTATTAAGAATATACATCCAACAAAATGAGAGTTGGTCATGGTTTACTATCTGGGAACTAAGGCAAAATCCTCTGAAAAGTAGAGTGAAATTTTCCACTGTCTCTCCATGGTGAGATATGAAACCCTCCGGGGCTTCCATTGAAGGCCTTCAGGAGTCACATCCCAGGAATAAGAGAAAATTCATGGTAAATTAAGTCTTACTAAAAATGTGACACTAGCTTAATACAGCTCATTCATTATTAGATTAATGGAATTGGCCCCTACTCTGTCTAGTAAAGGAAAAGGTGGAATTCTTTGTTGGTAAATGGCATCTTTAGAAGCCACTACAATTTTTATGTACATGTCCAGAATTCAATACAAATCATTACTCATTTGAAAATCATGTGACAGATAACCAAGAGAAAAAGTAGCAATAAATAGACACATAGGTGATCCATATCACCCTTAGAGTCAGCAGATAAAGGCTCTAAAGTATCTATGATTAATATAGTCAAGAAAATAAATGAAAACAATTTTAATAAAAAATGGATAATTAAAGGAACCTATTAAAAATCAAATGAGCATTCTACAGATGAAAAATATACTATCTGAAATTAAGAACTCGATAGATGTGTTAACAGTGTTTTGATTATAGCTGAAGACAGGTTTACTGAACTGGAAGATGAATCTATAGAAATATTCCACACTAAATCACATGGAAAAAAATACATTAAGATAAATTCAGATACAGTCTAAAGGTCTAACATACATGCAAATTAGAGACTCAGAAGTAAAAAAAGAGAATGAGTTTGAAATAATATTTGAAAATCTTTTGGTCAAGAATTTTCAATCCTGATTAAAAAAAAAAAAACAACAAAAAAAAAAACACCAGGCTGGGCTTAGTGGCTCACACCTGTAATCCCAGCACTTTGGGAGGCCAAGGTGGGCGGATCATGAGGTCAAGAGATCGAGACCATCCTGGCCAACATGATAAGACCTCGTCTCTACTAAAAATACAAAAATTAACAGGGTGTGGTGACACACGCCTGTAGTCCAGCTACTCGGGAGGCTGAGGCAGAAGAATCGCTTGAACCCAGGAGGCAGAGGTTGCAGTGAGCTGAGATCACGCCACTGAACTCCAGCCTGGCGACAGAGTGAGACTTTGTCTCAAAACAGACAAACAAACACCACCAATCCACAGATTTAGAAGCTCAGTGAACCCCAGCAGTGAGCCCCAAGAACACTTACTACCAATAAAGATAAATAATCAGAAAAACAGACTTAGCCTTACAGTTGCTCCTTTGGAGGAATTCAGTCATTTGTATTCTGGGTCCTTTTAGGATTTTATTTTGTCTTTGGTTTTCACCTGTTTGACTATATGTGCCTGACAGTTGACTTTTCAACAAAAATGATAGAAGACAGAAAAAAATGAAATGACATAATCAAATGGCTGAAAGAAAACAACTACCAATTTAGATTTCTATGCCAAGCACAATATTCTTCAAAACTGAAGATTGAATAAGGATTTTTTTTTTTTTTTTTTTTTTGAGACAGAGTTTCACTCTGGTCATCCAGGCTGGAGTGCAGTGGCGCAATCCCGGCTCACTGAAACCTCCGCCTCCGGAGTTCAAGAGATTCTCCTGCCTCAGCCTCCTGAGTAGCTGGGATTACAGGCACCCACCACCATGCCCAGCTAATATTTGTATTTTTAGTAGAAATGGGGTTTTGCCATGTTGGCCTGGCTGTTCTCAAACTCCTGACCTCAGGTGATCCACTCGCCTCAGCCTCCCAAAGTGCTGGGATTAAAGGCATGAGCCACTGTGCCTGGCCAAATAAGGATGTTTTGAGACATATACAAATTGAAGGCTGAAAAACTTCATCATCAGCAGGGCTGCATCAGAATAAATACCAAAAAAAGTTCTATAGGCATAAGGAAAGTAATCCCAGATGTATGCATGGAGCTGTGGGAAAGCATGAAGAGCAACAGAAATGGTAAGTATGTGGCTAATATAAATTAAAATTGAGTGTACAAAATAATAGTAGTAGTGTGTGTGGAATTTAAAATATATGTAAAATGAAAATGCCTGACATCAATAAGGCAAAAAGCAGGAGGATGTAAACAGAGTTAATATGTTCTAGGGTTCTGCATTATCAACTAAGAACTAAAAGTAATAATTTGTGTTAGACCATAATAAGTCAAAGAGGCATGTGGTAATCTGTAATAAACGAGTGTATAACTGGGCCCAGCGCAGTGGCTCACACCTATGTTCCCGGCACTTTGGGAGGCTGAGGTGGATGGATCATTTGAGGTCAGGAGTTCAAGACCAGCCTGACCAACAGGGTGAAACCCTGTCTCTACTGAAAATACAAAATAAGCTGGGCATGGTAGCGCTTGCCTGTAATCCCAGCTAGTCGGGAGGCTGAGGCAGAAGAATCACTTGAACCCAGGAGGCGGAGGTTGCAGTGAGCCGAGATCGCACCACTGCACTCCAGCCTGGGCAATAAGAGCAAAACGCCGTCTCAAAAAAAAAGTGTATAACTGAAAAGTTAATAGAGGTGACCAGGCATGGTGGTTCACATCTGTAATCCCAGCACTTTGAGAGGCCAAGGCGGGCAGATCACTTGAAGCTGGGAGTTCAAGACCAGCCCGGGCAACATGGTGGAACCCCATCTCTACTAAAAATACAAAAGTTAGCCAGTGGCAGTGGTGAGCGCCTGTAATCTGAGTCATGAGAATCACTTGAACCAGGGAGATGGAGGCTGCAGTGAGCTGCGATCATGCTACTGCACTCCAGCCTGGATGACAGAGCAAGACCTTGTCTCAAAAAATAAATAAATAAATAGTTTGTAGAGGGAAAATGGAATAATAAAACTAATTGATTCATTCAGAAGAAGGCAAAAGAGAATTAAAAAGGAACATAAAATGGGTTGATTAAAAACAAAAATAGTGAGATGGAAGATATAAATTAAATCATATCACTAGCTATATTACATAGAAATGCAAGTAAAAGACTGGGAATGTCGGACTGGATTTAAAAGCCCAAGTATATGCTGTTTATAATAGACCTACTTTAAATATAAGGACAAAAAAGGTTAAAAGTAAGTAAAAGAATGAAAGAAGTTGTATCAAGTAAACGCTTTTCAAAAGCACGTAGATACGACTATAGTTATATCAGAACAAAAGCGTTACTAAATATAATGTTTTACGCTTCCAGAAGCATTACTAGATACAATGCATTACATTAACAAATTAAGGATTGCCAGATAAAAGAGGGGCATCTCATAAGGATAGAGTAGTCAATACAAATAGGATGATAACAGAACCCTAAATCTTTGTGCATGCCATAATATAGCTCCAACCGGATACAGGAAGAAACACTGGAAAGAACTAAGTGGAGAAACAGATAAATTCATAATCATAGTGGGAGTCCTTATGATTTTTTTTTTTTTTTTGAGACAGAGTCTCGCTCTGTCGCCCAGGCTGGAGTGCAATGGCATGATCTAGGCTCACTGCAACCTCCGCCTCCTGGGTTCAAGGGATTCTCTCTACCTCAGTCTCCAGAGTAGCTGGAATTACAGGCACATGCCACCACACCTGGCTAATTTTTTGTATTTTTAGTAGAAATGGGGTTTTGCCATGTAGGCCAGGCTGGTCTTGAACTCCTGACCTCAGGTGATCCGCCCGCCTCGGCCTCCCAAAGTGCTGCGATTGCAGGCATGAGCCACCGCGCCTGGCCCAGATGTTCATTTTATCACCATTTCAACTTTTTTGTGTGTTCAGAAATGTCTATAATAAAAAAACTGGGGAGGAAGCATGGTCTGAAAAAGAAGGAATTGTTCTGCATATTCCAGAACACAGTTTCTCTCCAAGTTCTTGAATCTTTTAATCTACTTACTTAGGTAGTTGGAAAGTTCTCAGACATTGAAGGCATGCAGGGAAGAACAAGTGAGGAGACAAGGTGGAAAAGTCAATGCAGAGAAGCAAAAGAGACTAAAGGAAATGTGTCAAAACGTTGCCAGCAGTTGCCTCTGGGTAGTTAGATTATCACTTTTTAAAAAAATCTCCTTCTTTGTAGTATTCCATAATTTTTATATTTTCTATCATGATTGTTGATTATTTTTATAATGAGACAAAATAAAATAAATTTAATTAAATAGAACAGGAATGAAAGAGTGCAAACTGGTAAGAAAGATGTAAAAATTGGTTAAAGTTTGGAATACACCTGCCCTTTGGGGCAGAGATGGTAGCTGATTTCTGCTTTTCTTAGAAGTAGAAAACATTTACAGAGAAATGTGTTTTGTTTCAGAAGTGTAAAAAAAAATTACAATCCCAGAGAAACTGGAGGGAAGAAGTAACTTGACTAGAGTAGTGGTTTAGACATTGGATGGGAAAGGGGAGGGTTTTCTTTTCCTTAGTTGTGCCTTTGGCTTTAAAGAGTTTGGGGCTTTTGAGGGCTGACGCTAGAATCAAAGGAAACGGTGAGGGAGATGTTCAGGTTTCCTTCCAGAAGACTCAAGCCAAGTTGGAAAGAAGGCAGGGATTTAGAGCACCCTTTTGGAAGTAAATGTGAATGTAAGGGTTCCCAAGTTGTGAAAAGTGAAGGGCAGTTTTGAAGCCAGAATTGCTCTTAGAGATTGTTTACCTGCATTCTCTCAATAGAAGATCCGGAGAGGTTAAATGACTCAAACAAGGTCAGCCAGATTAATGACAGGAGCCAAACTAAAAACACGTCTCATGCAAGGATTCAGCTGGGATGTAGTTAGTGGACATACTATAAAAATGAGCATTGTATAGTGTCTGGGTATCTAATGTGTGGCTTATCTGAAGTATTTTAGACCTTCAGAACTGTCCAGTAAAGTAACTCATATGAATAGTTTAGGTCACTGGGGGCATTAACTGCTGTGTAACTGATTACAGCCAGTAATCATGGTAGCAGTCTGGACTGATTAGTAATGATAATTGAAGTTGAACATAATTATATGACTTTATCCTGTTCTAATTTAGTGTTAAAATTAGACCATGAAATTGAAATTATGCAGGTTAATTAACTTGAGAAGAAAAATAAGCATTTATAAAACCTCCAAATTATACACATAGACTTCAGATAACTCAGACCCTCATATGCCAACTTTGGAACTTCTTGACACAGATTTTAACCAACTAAACCTTCATGTAGCCTTCAGAATCACCACATAGCCCATTGTTGAAAAAACGTGGCTGACCCTGGAAAGATGGAAGGAGATATGTGTTTTCACTGTTTCAGGCTATGAGACTCTGTGGTTTAGTCTCAGCCCTGCCCTAACAAGTTGTGTAAGTCTTGAACAAATCACTTAACTTTAGAGACCTCAGTTTACTTATAGGTATAGATTGTACTTTAATCTCAGTATTGTGCTTTAATCTCAGTATTGTGCTTTCCTACCAAAAAATGTCATTTGAGGCCAAGGGTGGTGGCTCACTCCTGTAATCCCAGCACTTTTAGAGGCTGAGGCAGTAGGATCATTTGAGCCCAGGCGTTTGAGATCATCCTGGGAAACATGGTAAAACCTGTCTCTTCAAACAATAAAAAAATTAGCTGAGCATGGTAGTGCACGCCTGGAGTCCCACCTACTTAGGAGGCCGAGGTAGGAGGATGGCTTGAGCCTGGGAGGTTGAGGCTTCAGTGAGCTGTGACTGTGTTACTGCACTCCAGCCTGAGTGAGAGCCTGTCTCAAAAAAAATCTCATTTTAGTCAACTGTTTATGACAGGAAACATTTGCAAGCAGTTTATTTTGAACCAACATAAGCCAATTTGTTCTATAATTGTCAGGTAAAAGTCAGTAACCTGGCAATTAAGGTTAGGCGGAGTGTCTATGTGCCTCTCCCTCACAATCTTGTTTCCAGGTGGTAAGCAAGGTTACGATAAAGGGAAATCATAAAACAAATTCTGCCAAACCACATTTGTAAGAAAGCAGGCCAGGTGTAGTGGCTCATGTCTGTAATCCCAGCACTTCAGGAGGCCAAGGAAGGAGGATCACTTGAGGCCAGGAGTTCGAAGTTACAGTGAGCTATGATCACACCACTGCAGTCTAGCCAGGGTGACAGAGCAAGACCTTGTCTCTAAAAGATAAAATAAAATAAAATAATAAAATAAGTACAAGCAATCACATAACAAGATCTTCTAAACTCAGAGCAGATCCCGGCTTCAGGCATTCTTTCTCTAACCTGAGAGGTTCACTCTGAGGACTCAGGACCTGCGAATACTATGACTGGTTCAGGAAATAGACTCCTTAATGAAGTGACAGCTACTGGATGCATACTTTTCAAGTACGAAATGGAGAAAATAGCTTATTATTATCTCTACCAATTTAACTGTCTACAAACCACAGTCATTCATCCATTCATTCATTCAGCAGATATTTACTAAGCATTTACTGTGTGTCAGGCACTGAGGACACAAAGGTGAATTGGACCAAAGCCTTGGCTTCAAGGAGCTAATGATCTGGTGTTTTGAAACAAGTAAATTTAGATTATAATAGAGTAGGTACTACAAGAGGGAGCTGAAAAATGCTACGGAGGCTCCCAAACTTGGGCCAGAATTTCCCACCACCTGCAGGACATATCTTTGGGGACATACTACAAGCAACTCTAACGAAACATGACCAAAACTTAACTTGCATCCCCTTGCCTCCCACTCCCACAACCTGCCCTTCCTTCTTCTTGTAGTACCAGCCAGAACAAGCACAGCTTGTGGCTATGTCCGTAGGCTTCTAAATTGTGACAGTGAGTCCCCTCCCCTAAAGACTGTGCTGACTGCAGAGGCACTAGGTGTTACCCTAATCTGTTGGTTGTCCCACACAACTGGATACAGAGTGAACACCTGCCTAAAGACAGCCATTCCAGAAACCGACCCGCTGCTGGCTAAGTGCCCTGATAAGAAAACTCTATTCCAATAGGGACAGCATTTGGTTAGGCCAACTCTCTTCCTAGGAAATTTGAACTGTAGGTCTGAGGAAAGAGTCAAGCAGTTGGCAGGAGCAGAATCCAAAAGACACTCAGAAGACAGCGTACAGAGCCATGAGTGAGCAGAAACTATTCGTATGATAGACTTGAGGAAAAGGGTGAAGTGGTTGATGGGTGGTAATGAGATGGGGACAGAGAGATGCTGTCACCATAAACACAAGGGCCCATGGAGCTGCCACAAAAACAAGGACAGTTGGTTTATGCTTTGGAGCCTTAGCTGATTTAAGTCTCTAAGCTATGCTTACTCTTATAGCCCAGCAATGCTGGTGTCCTTATTTTTACTTGTGAATACAATAGTCTGCTAATCTCTTAGTTGTAATCTGATGACTATTGTCTTCCACGAAAATTGCTTAATGAATTATCTCTCTACATAGTCATGCAAAGCTGAAGCTTGGAAGTCGTCCTTTATTCCTCCCAGTCCCTTGCCCCCCATCGTGGAGTCCTGCACATTCTACCTTTTGGAATTTCTCTTCAATACACCCTCTCCTTTCAACTCTTATTATCTATCCTGCAATTTTAAAAAGTAAATTTATGAAAGGATTTGACATAGGCATTATTTGAAAAAAATATTTCTTTTTTACATAGAAACCTTAAGAGAATCAATGGAAAAACTTAGAAATAATAGCACATTGTAAAGTGGTTGAATATAATAAAACATCTTTTTAAAAAATAGCTTTTCTTTATAGAAACCATAAAGGAAACATAATCCTATTCATGAGCAGCCAACATATCTGAAATATCATATGTAACTTTATCTTTATTTTTTTTGAGACAAAGTCTTACTCCGTCACCCCAGCTGGAGTGCAGTGACACAATCTTGGCTCACTGTAACCTGATTCTCCCACCTCAGCCTCCCGAGTAGCTGAGACTACAGGTGCCCGCCACCATGCCCAGCTGATTTTTTTAAAAAATATTTTTAGTAGAGATGGGGTTTCACCATGTTAGCCAGGATGATCTTGAACTCCTGACCTCGTGATCCGCCTGCCTCAGCCTCCCAAAGTGCTGGGATTATAGGCGTGAGCCATCGTGCCCGGCGATTATTTTTAAAAGAGAAATGTGGTCAGGCGCAGTGGTGGATCGCTTGAGCTCAGGAGTTCAAGGCCAGCATGGCCAATATGGCAAATCCCCGTCTCTACAAAAAATAAAAAAGGTAGCCAGGTGCAGTGGCATGTGCCTATAGTCCCAGCTACTTGGGAGGCTGAGGTGGGAGGATTGCTTGAGCCTGGGAGACAGAGGTTGCAGTGAGCTGAGATCAAACCACTGCACTCCAGTATGGGCAACAGAGCAAGGTCTTGTCTCAAAAAGAAAAAAAAAAAAAAAAAGAAGGAAAGAAAAACAGAAATGTGTCAACAAGAATATGAAGAAAACAGCAAACTTTAGAAATACACGCAGAATTCAAATAAATGTCTTTGTTACTTCTTATGACAGTAAAAAGAAAACTCTATTCCAATAAGGACAATGTTTGACTAGGCCAATTCTCTTTCTAGGAAACTTAAACTGTAGATCTGAGGAAAGAGTCAAGCAGTTGGCAGGAGCAGAATCCAAAAGAAAGTCAAGAGACAGTGTACAGAGCCATGAGTGAGTAGGAACTATGAGTATGATAGGCCTAATTTTCCAAGATAATGCGAGGAGATCTTCATTTCTTGTAAACAAATCCTATTGATATCCTTGGATGAGGAGACTTAGGGATATAAACATGTCAAATTCAGCCCAAAGTAGTATGTGGATTTAATGTGACCCCTATTAAATTCCCAACAGGAATTGTTTGGAGAGGACAGTGCTTAACAAAATTATCCTAAAATTAATATGGAAAAAGTTGTAAGAATGGCAAGGAAAATTTTACAAAGAATAGCTAGGAAGACTAGGACTCCCACGTATCAAAATAAACCACAATAATAAAAGGTTTATAGATAATGCAAGAATATAAAAATTAATGGAACAGAAAAAAACCGCCAAATAGACCTTTGCATAAATAATTATTATAAGATACAACAATGATTTAATATACACTATAACTCAACAGGAAAAAAATAAATTATTAAATAAATGATTGGGGATCTAGGGTTAGGTATTGAAAAAAGCAATCATTTAAGACTTTGATGCCATCCATCTATCTGTCTGTTGTGAACCTAAATAACAGACACAGAAAGAGGTTCTCTGAAAGAAAATGATATTTATTTGGGAGTAAGCGTTGCAATGGAAATATAGTGAGTGTATTCAGGAGGGTGGTTGTCAAAGGAAGACAAAAGTTTTTAAAGAAAAAAATGAGGAGGATTACACAATTGTTTTGATACAATTATCCTTGGCTACAAGGAGCAGTAATAAGAGTGGCATCAGTCCAAGGTTGGACAGGCAGTTGCTGGGTAGATGACCTTACAGAAGTATAAGTCTGAATAATAACAATTGCAAAACCAAATCATTAAGGAGACACACACACCAATTTATTTTGGATTTTAAAAAAGGTAAAATGGTAAAATGAAGAGAAACAATAATGCTCCAAAGCAAGATGGAGCTTTCAGCTAAATGGTCTATTTCTCCTTTGTTCCATATAGAATACCATCATATCTTCTTATGTAATTCTAAACTCCACCCAGCTATTTCCTCATTTGCCAGTTTTAAAAGAAAAATATGGGAATTTTTGGTGTTGCATATTTTTTCCATGGTGGGCTGATAGTATAAGTTTTATTTATTTATTTATTTAGTATTTTATAAACATTCATCAAGATTATTGCTTTTCTTGCTACAGTGGAGGGGACTGTCATGGGTGCAACTGGCTGAGGGCCTGCTTCATGGGCAGTAAAGGGATTTACCAAGGCAGTTGTAGGTAAAGAAAGGCATATTTTTTAGAGAATACCCATTGTGTTTTTTTCTCAATCACCTGGGAGGAACCATCTATTGTCCTGTCCTGAAGGGAGTTCCTCCTAGGTCTGGTTGGATCTTTGTATGGTAATTAAGATTGAAATCCCTTGTTGGGAAATCTGCTGGGTTAATGGAATTTTCAGTGGTTAATGTTAAATTACCTTTCTCTAACAGAATAGCCCCATACTTTAAGATTTTTGAGTTAGTAAGCTACCTTTTTGCTTTTTTGACTTAGGATAGTTCTGAACTGGTGAGGTTTGCTCACAATGAGGTTTCCTCTAAAGGCTAATTTTCTACTTTCTTCTGTTAGCAAAGCAGTTGCCACTACAGATTGAATGCATTTGGGCCAACTGCAGGTTCCTGGGTTAAGGATTTTTGATACGAAGGCTACTGGTTGTCAGTGGCCTCAGAGCTTTCGGGCTACGCCCTTATTTACACTGACAACAAAGTGGTATTGGAGTGTTATAGGGCCAGGGAGAAAACCTTCAGTTATCAATTATAGGTTTAAATTTACCCTGGCTTTTAAAGAAATAGGTTACACTGTTTTTCTTTACTCCTTCTATCTTTCTCTTTCTCTCTTACTTTCTCCTTTCTGTCTTTGTAGATGGATTTTTGGAAACACAGTGGAAGGACGTTCACTCGTTGCCCCCATTTGCCACTACAGGAATATGTGCCTCCCTTTTATTTACTCTATTTGCTTTCATCCTGATTTATTATGTTGTTGTAGACCCAGTTCCAGTTGTTAAAGTACTGGGTTATCAGTTCTAAGGCCCTGGCAAGGGTGCTGGGGAACAGGTCCCACATAACTGCCCATGTCGAGAGCTCTATGCTTAAATTGGGAGGGACACCAGGGACAGGACTCCCTGGGTTCATAGTTTAAGGGCCTAAGGACGCAGTGTAGAGCTTCCTTATATCCCTTTGGAGATGTAACCTGCTCTAATACTTGGGAGAGGAAGTGAAAGCCTGAAGCATTAGTATCTAGGAGGCAGGGATCAGAGGAAATAGATTCAGAGGTAAGGAGAATTTTGAGGCTACACTTTCAAGAAATTCATGGTCAGGACCCAGGAGGTATGGGTCAGAAGGAAAGGTAGGGGTGCACGCATGGGCAACTGTTGAGTAGAGACTTCTGGCTGCGCCATAATCTCAACTGGCTAATGCCGGGAGTTCAGGACAACAGCTTTCTGCTTCTAATCGGCCCTTAGCTTCCCCAAGAAAATTGAAAGTGGAAGCTGGTTCTAGGCAGATCAGGCTTCCAACCCAGAAGGGTTGGGGGTTGTTAGAAAGCCCTCTCCCAGACAGCCTCACACCTGAGTCTTAAGTCCAGCAGCCACGCTAATCATTTTTAACTGGCAGACAGGTGCCTGGTATTTTCCTCCAATTCTAAGGAAGGATAGGACAGGATAGCAAGCAAAAGTGGTCCAATATTATTCACTGCTTTGGAAGTCCCTTTGTGGTCGCCAAAATGTTACGGGGTGTGGGGGTCCTTGTTCTTAGAGCTCCCAAGATGGTGGTGCTGCTCTCAATATGGCAGCAAGCCTCTTGTTCTCTGACCTGGGGTTCTTGGCCTCACAGATTCCAAGGAATGGAATCTTGGGCCATGTGGTGAGTGTTATAGCTCTCTTAGAAGCCATGGGTCATGGAAGAGAACCGTGGAACCCAGCGACTAGTGTTCAGCTCGATTAGGATGAACCCAGGCACTTAGCCATGCAGGAACAATGGCGAGCCTTTAGCCCAATAGGGGGCAGCAATGGGTGCCTCGCTGGATCAGGAGTGCAGCGGACACCCTGCCAGATCCAGAGGGGTGGAAGTCAGGGTCTGCGATGGCGGCAAACAGCAGTGGTGGATGGCAAGCAAAAGCTCAGCTCGAGCCGTAACAAACACGGACCAGAAGAGTGTGCAGTTGCAAGATTTAATAAAGTGAAAACAGAACTCCCATAAAATGGGAGGAGACCCAAAGGGGGTTGCCCCCTCTTTCTTAAAAAAAAAAGTTATTTTATTTTTGGACAAGAATTTGCCACACGATATATTTTCTCATATAAAATTTCTTTTCTTTATAACCTTCCTTACGAAAAATACCTCTTTGCCTTTATAACCTTATTTATGTCTCCCTTATTTCCTGGTTCCTTTTACCTTGTTTTATATATAACCTTTAAATAACCTTTGAATTAGACAAAAACTATTTTCCTTTTGTTAGGAAGTTAAGATTTGTACTGCATGTTGCTGAGCGAGTTCTGTGAAGGGGAAGCAAATGAGGAGGTTTTCTGCATACTGTAGAAGTTATTCTCCCACAAGAGATTATTCAGTTAGATTTTTACTAGGGCTTGTCTGAATAAGTGTGGGCTATTTTAAACCCTTGAAGTAGGGCTGTTTAGGTTGAAATTATTCGTTAAAAATTTAGGTAGTTTTCCCAGGAGAAACAGGGCTATTAGAGGGAGAGATGAATTCAGAGGTTGGGTAAATATTAAGCAGGCACCTATCTTGGAAAGCATATTTTTGCCCTAGCAGGGTTTGAGGTATTTAGTTATCAGAAACTGGTGGGAGAATGGTCATTGGTCCCTTAAGTAATATAAAGGGATGTGAATTTTTTCTTTTGGAGGGAGGTGATGCCATTTGCCTTCATTACCCAACAGGATTTGGAGGAGAGTTGCTCAGGGAAGATTGGTACAGAGTAGGCATTGTTTGAACTCAAAACGGAAATTTATAATTTCATTTGTCCTCTCCAGAGTGCCTTTGGCTTTGTCCTGTTGATGACAGTGTCTGATTTGAAAGCCAGCTGGAGCAGAGAGCCTCTTCAGCTCAAGACCATCAGGGGTTGGGATTCTGTCCCAGAGACCCTTTAGCCCTCAGGGCAGTCCCGTTTCCAGTGGCCAAGCTTGTGGCAGAGTCGGGGGGATACCGTGTGGGGCTTTTTCCCATTTATTTCATTAAGGCAGTTTACCTTTCAGTGGCCTGGCCTTCTGCACCAGTAGCAGTTACCTGGAGGAGTGTCCTTAGAGCAATCTGGAGGGGACTGAGGGCTTGTGAAGCAGCCAGTGTTAGAGCCTGCCTCTCGTCCTTGTGTTTTTCTTTCTCCTTAGCCCTGTCCTCTTTATTCTGCTCTTAGTTATAAAAGACTGAGGAGGCTAATTTGAGGATTTTTCTGCATAGGGGTCGTGCTATATTTTACAAGAAAATTATGTTTCCTTTCGAGAGCCTGAGAATTTATCCCAATGCTTTCAAATGCAACCCAGAGGTGAATCTGAAGGAATAGACAGGGTTTGTCTCATGGTAGGACTGGAAAATGATGAGCTGCTGGGGACTAATTTCCACTGGGGACACAAACCACATTTTCTCTCGGGGCATAGTGCTAAGGAAGAAGGTTCCATTCATGTTCACTGAGGCACTTGAGTGCACTTTCTAAAGGGGCGTCCCATGGTTCTCATTAGAAAAGACCTCTTGGGCCGGGTGCGGTGGCTCATGCCTGTAATCCCAGCACTTTGGGAGGCCGAGGCGGGCGGATCACGAGGTCAGGAGATCGAGACCATCCTGGCTAACACGGTGAAACCCCGTCTCTACTAAAAATACAAAAAATTAGCCAGGCGCAGTGGCGGGCGCCTGTAGTCCTAGCTACTCGGGAAGCTGAGGCAGGAGAATGGTGTGAACCCAGGAGGCAGAGCTTGCAGTGAGCCGAGATCGCGCCACTGCACTCCAAACTGGGTGACAGAGCGAGACTCCGTCTCAAAAAAACAAAAAAGAAAAAAAAAGAAAAAGAAAAGACCTCTTGATTCTGGGGCGCCACTGCACTCCAAACTGGGTGACAGAGCGAGACTCCGTCTCAAAAAAACAAAAAAGAAAAAAAAGAAAAAGAAAAAGAAAAAGAAAAGACCTCTTGATTCTGGGGCCGTATGCTGAATGGCCAGTCCATGTAAGCAGTTACACTGAGTGATCAGCCCAGGTATGAGGAAAAAGGGTAAAGAAAGAACTCAGCCTGGTGCCAGCCTAGGAGAGCAGGTGGGTAAGGGAAGACTCACTGTTGTGAGGCCACTTGAAATCACCTGATTTGGGAACATCTGGAGAAGGAGGTCTGGCTGTCTTTACAGGAGAAATTAGAGTGAGAAAGAGGAGGTCTGGGTTCCCCAAACTTGTGTGCCAGTTGCAACACAGAGAAGGACTGGGGACTTTTTTGCCAGAAAGGATAGGAGAGGGCCTTCCTCCCTTCCAAGCAAGGAAGTTAAACCTGCTCACCCTCTGGCCTTTATGGGTCCATATTGAGATCACAGATGCAACTATGAGCATCCATCAAATTGAACATTGCTCACTACCTGGGTGATGGGTTCAATCATACCCCAAACCTCAGCATCACACTGTACACCATGTATCAAACCTCCACATGTACCCCCGAATTGAAAATAAAAGATGAAATTTAATAAATAAATAAGAAATAAAACAAAGAACAGAAGACAAAGTTATAAAAATAAAAGAACAACCTGGGATTTCAGTTACAGAGTGACATAGCGGAGAAAACTCTCTTAAAAGAAAGCATACATTTAGTTTATATTTATAAATACATATATTGAGATCCTAAAAAATTCAAGGAACTACCACTATAAAAATAAGATCTAGTCCCTACTCTCAAGGTGCTTACAGATAGTAATACATGTATTTATACTTGCTTTTTGTTTTGTTTTGTTTTTTTAACAGTCTTTCTCTTTTGCCCAGGATGGAGTGCAGTGGCGCCATCTTGGCTCACTGCAACCTCCACCTCCCAGGTTCAAGCGATTCTCCTGCCTCAGTCTCCTGAGTAGCTGGGATTGCAGGTGTGTGCCACCACACCTGGCTAATTTTTTGTATTTTTAGTAGAGATGGGGTTTCACCATGTTGGCCAGGCTGGTCTTGAATTCTTTGCCTCAAGTGATCTGCCCACTTCAGCCTCTCAAAGTGCTGGGATTGCAGTCATGAGCCACTGTGCCTGGCCTGTATTTGAAGTACCTATTTGAAAATGTGTTTCAAACATGTGTGTTCTCATGTATTGAGATCATTACTACGGCTATCAGGAAGGTTTTTTGTAGTTTCATATTTTGCTTGAGAAATACTAAGATAAAGCCTAAAATGTTTATGTCATATATGTCATAAATATAACACCAATTGTGGAATGCACCACAATGTCAGCATTGTCCTCTGACTTGACATGAACTTAAACTTGTAATGTGACCTTGGAAATAATGGAGGTCAATATATAAATATTCCTACAAATCATTAAGGAAAATGCTAACAACCCAGCAAAAATGGACAAAAGATATAAATAAAAAGTTCACAAGAAAGAAAATGCAAATGGTTCTTAATGTCTTAAAACAATCTCAATATCACTCAGAGTACAAATACAAATTAAAACTACTATAAGATACAATTTTCACTTATCAGGCTGGCAAAGGCAATTTTCGTCCCTGTCTATTCAAAGTAACACCATTTTCTTTATTAGTTCCAGTGGGCAAGTAAGAGCAAGGAGTCCACATAGCGTTGGCCAACCAAAGTGATGAAAGGAAGGCACATTTTTAAAAATTCATAGATCCAAATCCACGAAAAAAATTCTCAGTGTATTAGGCCATAGAATTTATTAAAAAAAAACTTACTCTCATTTATTATTTATTATGTGTGGAATACTGTTATGTGCTTTACATATGTTGCCTCATTTAATCCTCATTAAAAATCTATAATTGTGCATTTTTCAAAGAAGGAATTTGAGATTCTGAAAGTTTATTAGACAGTTTAAATAATTTTTTCAATATTATAATAAAGTGTTGTCTGATTCCAAAAACCCTGCTCTTAACTATCACTCTATACTACACCCAGAAAAATGAATATTGATGCTATTATTCTAACACAGGTCAATAAAAAAAACTTTCAGAGAGACTTTGTTCAGCTGCTAAAGCTTTTCTATTAGACATTTCTGAGGCATAATATACTCACTATTTTAATTTTCTTTTTGCCTCTAATAATAGTTACAACCTTAGCTAGCTAAAAAGTATACTTAAATAGGACAAAGCATTGAAAATGATAGGACTTTTGATAGTATGAAGAGTGAAATGTGTTTCTTGTAGCCAACATGTTGTTAGGTCTTGGTTTTTGTTTTTCATCCATTCAGCCATTTTGTCTTTTGATTGGAGAATTTAGTCCATTTATATTCAATGTTATTATAGATAAGTAAGAACTTACTCCTGCCATTTTGTTATTTGTTTTCTAGTTGTTTTGTGGTCTTCTCTGCCTTCCTTCCTTCCTGTCTTCCTTTTTGTGAAGATGATTTTCTCTGGCAGTGTTTTACTTTCTTGCTTTTTTTTTCTGTGTCCATTGTAGGCTTTTTGAGGTTATCATGAGACTTGCAAATAACATCTTATAACCCATTATTTTAAACTGATGATGACTTAACATTGATTTCAAAAACAACCACACTATGAAACAAGCAAAGAGAAAACTAATAACTCTACACTTTAACTTCTTTTTAACTGTTTCTATTTACATAATAGTTTTCTATTTTTGTCATGTAAAGTTGTTGTAGTTATCACTTTTAGTAGTTTTTCCTTTTAGCCTTTCTATTCAAGATACGAGCCGTTTACACATTACAATGACAGTGTTATAATATTCTCTGTGCATATACTATTACCAGTGAGTTTTATAACTTTGGATGGTTTCTTATTCCTAGTTGACACCTTTTCTTTCAGGTTGAAGAACTCCCTTTAGCATTTCTTGTAGGCCAGGTCTAGCATGGATAATATCTCTCAGCTTTTGTCTTGGAAAGTCTTTATTTCGCTGTGAACCCTGAAAATCAGAGACAGGTCCCAGTTAATTTAGAAAGTTTATTTTGGCAAGGTTGAGGACATGCACCCATGACAGTCTGAGGAGGTCCCAATGACATGTGCCCAAGGTGGTCAGAGCATAGTTTGGTTTTAAACATTTTAGGGACACATGAGACATCAATCAATATATGTAAGATGAACATTGGTTCATTCTGGAAAGGTGAGACAACTTGAAGTGGGAGGGGGCTTCCAGGTCATAGGTAGATAAGATACAAATGGTTTCATTCTTTTGAGTTTCTGATTAGCCTCTCCAAAGGAGGCAATCAGTTATGCATTTATCTCAATGAGCAGAGGGGTGACTTTGAATAGAATGGGAGGCAGGTTTGCCCTAAGCAATTCCCAGCTTGACTTTTCACTTTAGCTTATTGATTTTGGGGCCCAATGTATTTTCCTTTCACATTTCTCCCCCTTTTCTTTTTTAAACTCTTTTGGAGAAAGCATTTGAGAAGAAATTGAGTCTCTGGCCTCAAGTTTTCTCTGATCTCTCATAGCTAGGATGGCTTATTCATAGACAGGTCAGTTCTGAGTTATTAGGAAAGCTCATTTTTAGAAGTTTGTGAAGTTTCATGTCCTGTGAAGAGAAAATAGGGTGAGGAAGGGAGAAAAACAACAACAAACAAAGAACAACCCTAGAAAATCTATTAGGCCACATTATTCTGAAGTACATACATCATTAGGTAGGTATGAAAGTGGCTTATGTATGTAAATAGGTTGCTGTTATTTTCTTCTGAGGTTTAAGTTGTCTAGCTTCAGTTTGCAGGGCTTTATGAAAGCACAGCTTAGTTTTCAGTGACTCCAAATTAGGAAAAATGAGGAAAAAAAGAAGAAAAAATGGAAAACATTATTTTGAAGACTTGTAGCCAAGAAAAATTAGAATTTGGTCCAAATTGTGGAAAATAATAAAAATTGAAAAACATTAGGCAAGACTAGAATCTAACAATAGGTGTACTATAATTTTTGAAAGATAGTTTTTCTCTCCCCAATTCCCCATTTTTACTAAAGACAAATTCTGGTAGGACTGGTTTGTTTTATTATGCTTGGCCTAATTATTTGTATCCCAGATAAGACTTTTAAGAGCTGAGCCCAGCTATGGATTTGTGTCATCAAATACCTATGAGTTGGGTGATCCTCTCCCCTTGAGATTCCAAGATAAACTTGGGGCTCCTGGACCTGCCAGAAACTGACATTTTTACTTGCCACAGATCAGGAACCCTGTACAGGGACTGTGTAGACAAAGGTATGAAGCCATTTTTTCCAAGGGGCTTTTCTTGGCTCCGTAAGTTAAGTTTGATTGCTTAAAGAAAAGCATTCCAGTTAAAGCCTTAGTAAAATAACCAGTTTCTCTAATTGTGTCCTGTTATAAATGAAAACAGATTTTTATTACACTTATGCAAATAACTGTATTGTCATAAGTTAAGAATACTTACAACTAGTTTCCAAATTCTGGGGAAGTCAGGTAGAGAGAAACAAAAATGTTCCAAATTTTGTTCATAGGAGTGTAATTTACTCAATTGTTCAAAGCTATAAATAGCTTAAAAGAAAAATTTTCTTGACTCTGAAAAACAAAACAGAGGATCAGTAACATTTTAAGCAAAAAGTTAAAAAGATTACTTCAGACTTCTATTAGTTTAGTCCATACAGTTACTTCCTATTCTGCTTGATAAGTCATGAACATTTCAGCTCTCCATGAGTCCTGAGAGTTTTTTCTCTATTCTGATGTGACAGTTTCCAAAGTTATCAGAAACCTACATTAGGAAACCTGTTAGAGTTTTGTAGCAGATTATAAAACTACCTTCTAAAAAGGACCAAAACGAGACAACAATTGCTCGTGGATGACAAAAGTTTTATGACAGCTATAGTCAAAGACACAATTGACAAGGAAATTTGTTACCTCTGTGGCACACAATAATTTTACATAACAATTATAATTATTACTGATAACATACATTGTCATATCAGAATTATACGAGTTTCCCATAATTTTGGAACATATACCAGTAACATATTTATACAAATATAGCCCAAAGAAAACTAAACATCATTTTATATTTGACAATGCTTCCTGTATAATTTTTATAGCAAAGTAGCCAAATATGTCATTTTTTGACTTTAGGAAACCTATTAATAATATCTTAAAGGATTAAATAGGTTAGAAAAAGACATAATTTATAAGTTGATTTTGAAAAGTTTGTCAAATATGAAAGGTTTAGACACTTGATATTACAAAATAGGATCACAGGTCATTGTAAAATAAGTCATTCATTTAACCAAAATGATAAGGATTTTTTTTTTTTTAAAAAAAGCAAAAACCTTCATTCATTGAGAGAGGAGACTTAATTTTCCAAACAATAAGGCCTAATAGAAACAGCATGAAGCCAATTAAATTTGTTTTCCAAAATTTTATAAACAATCTGTAAAATTTTCCTCTTGATTATAAGTTTTATAAGTCCTTATAACCTTTATTAAGGAGTTGGTTAATGCTTCAAGAAAACCTTGTTAATCTGACACAGGGTCCCATATGCTGGTCTTGCATCAGTGTGCCTTTGACATTAATTACTAATTTATAGAGAAACTGAACTTTATCTCTCAAAATTGACCCTTACAATCTCATATGCCCACCTCTTCCACAATAGTCCCTGGGCCTTGAGGAGTCGAATAGCTTTAGTTTCTGGCCCTATGTCTCAGGAATGCAGTTTATCTTGATTGACATCTTCTACTGGGCCTGAAGTTGAGGCTTTAATTGTCAATGTTTAAAATTTAGCAGGACTTGGTGTTCTTTTTAAACCCAGGGGTCAAAGCCCTGTAACTCAATGTCACAAGCACTTTAAAATCACATACAGGAAGATACAGCCTTAATTTTAAAATTTAATTAATTAATTAATTTATTTGAGACAGTATCTCACTCTGTCACCCAGGCTGGAGTGCAATGGCATGCATGGCAATGGCATGGCTCACTGTAACCTCCGCCTCCTGGGTCAAGCGATTCTCCTGTCTCAACCTGCCAAGTAGCTGGGATTGCAGGCAACTGCTATCATGCCAGGCTAATTTTTGTATTTTTATAGAGACAGTGCTTCACCATGTTTGCCAGGCTGGTCTCGATATCCTGACCTCAAGTGATCTGCCCACCTCAGCCTCCCAAAGTGCTGGGATTAGAGGCATGAACCCCATGCCCAGCCCAAAAATATAATAATAATAATCTCAGTTTTTCCTGAGCAAACCAACCTTAGTAATAATGGCATAGAAATTATTTTGATAAAACATAAAATCTGTTTGACCAGTTACAAACAGGCAAAAGAAAAGACTTTCTGCAGTGCACAGAATATTATGTTGGAAGAAAACATTGCTTTAGACCTTTAAGAAAGCATTGTTAGCATCAGGCCACAAAAACAGAACCCAAGGAGGAAAAAAAACTTATCTAAGCTGAAAATAAGTTGAAGGGGAGAGTTACTATTTCACACCTTTCAAAAGGGGAGAGAAAACCAAAACTGGTGAGATGCAATAAAAGTTGAACTTTGGGTTAAAATAAAAAAAATTAGAATCTCTTATAATTCATTAACAGTAAATCAACCCCTTAAGAAAATGTCATTGTTCTAACCAATTCCTTAGTGTTTTTCTTTACATCAAACCCAATCTCTAGAAAGACCATTATAATTTCCCTTTAATCATAGACAACTTGATCATGTGAAAGTTTTTGGTTTTTAAAAATTAATCCTCTTATTGTGACTTACACAGACTATTCACAACATGATAGGACATTCTGGTTTGTCCTGACCATCCCTCATTCTAAAACAACTAGTTATTTTATGCTAGGACTAAATTTACCATATAATATTCTTTCTCATGTGAAATTATTTCTCTTTAAGCTCTCTTACCAAAAAAAAACCTCTTAATTTTTATAACTTTCTTTACATCTCTTTTATTACCTGGTTCCTTTTACCTTGTTTTATATATGACCTTTAAATAAGCTTTGAATTAGAAAAAAATTGTTTACCTTTTTTAATAGGACACACCTTTTTTTTTTTTTTTAGAAAGAATGTTTTCCTACAAATATATTTGTATTGGAAAATACCCATATAAGGAACTATCTATTATTTAATTTAATATAATTTTCAGAGTCTAAATTATGATGAGTTTGTCTACAAGTATTTATTTTATTACCTTTACCTAATTATTTTATTTTAATCATTTACCTAGATTGTTTATAAAAACTGTGATTGTCATTATTTAAAATTATCGAACCACCATTGCAAAAATTATAAATGAGACAGTGAAAAAGATTTGACCTAACTGACTCCATCTTGCTTCTAACCTCCAAGCTGTCCTTGTTCATTCCTGGGCATAGGCCAAACTAACTATGGCAGGAACTTAGTTTATAATTTAGCTTTGAAACAAAGATGATAACAGTCCTTTCCCAAAACAACCCTTACTGCTGATGGACTAGACCACCTAAAGCCACAGGATTAGAAGTTATGGTAATCTTACTAAATTCCAGATGTAGCTGTTTTTATTAAACTGATATCAATGTCTTATTTATTAAAGATTACACAAGCAAAGATCATTCTGTCTTGGGCTGGGTTTATAGTTTTGTAACCCCTATGCCAAATTTTGACACCTTATAGTAATTGGCAGGAATAAGTATGAAATTGCTTGATTAATAAATGCAAACAAAAATGTATGCTGGCCATTCTTAAGATGTTTCCAATATTCCTTTACCAATAATTTTTTTTTTTTGAGGCAGAGTTTCACTCTTGTTTCCCAGGCTGGAGTGCAATGGTGTAATCTCGGCTCACCACAACCTCTGCCTCCTGAGTTCAAACGATTCTCCTGCATCAGCCTCCCAAGTAGCTGGGATTACAGGCATGCACCACCATGCCCGTCTACTTTTGTATTTTTAGTAGAGATGGGGTTCCTCCATGTTGGTCAGGCTGGTCTCGAACTCCCAACCTCAGGTGATCCACCCACCTCAGCCTCTCAAAGTGCTAGGATTACAGGTGTGAGCCACCGTGTCCTGCCACCAATAATTTTAAAGCTAGATTATTTATTACAAATTTTACTTAAGTTACGTAAATGTGTAAAAGCATTTGACTAGTCTTTTTCTTTTCTGATAAAGCATTTGATTCAAGTGCTTTTATTTTCCTAAGCTTATTTATTACAAATTTTACTTAAGTTACGTAAATGTGAAAAAGCATTTGATTAGTCTTTTTTCCCGATAAAGCATTTCATTCAAGTGCTTTTATTTTAAGCCAATTAATTAGAGCTCTTTTACACATTTTCAGTAGTAAAACATTGTGTACACAATGCATAAATACATAGATGTATTTGGCATGCCAATAGAACTACATCCTATACATTTATAAAATTCTTTTTTTCCCTATATTTCAGATTCTTGATAAGCTGTTTCCCAATCCTAGGCAGTTGTCAGCTAAATAGCCTTAAATTTCCATATTAAAGGAAACAACTCAAGTGAAAATCAAATGGTAACATTTACATCATAAGGAGAAAAAGTCTAGTGGTGCTAGAGAGGGATTAAAGATGGATGCCAAATCAAATATAAAATATACAAATCTATCATAGGATTGTATAAAAAGACCAATTTTATTTAGATAGGGACTACTTATATTTTAACTGTGTCTCTGAGCTCTGGGCAGAGCCCACACTGAATCCTGGGTCACCAAAAAGGGAGAATAATTTTGAGGTTAGACCACACGATGCTTTTACAGTGCACTTAAAAAAGTTTTTTTAAAAACGAAGTCATTTCTAAGTGTCTAAACTATAAACTACACCTTTTCTTAAAAATCCAAGAGTAACCCCTGTTGCAATAACTATTTTAGCAAGAACAAACAAAAAAGTAAGTAACACAATACAAAAGTAAGCAGGGGTTTGCGGGCAAGATGACCAAATAGAAACACCTCCAGTCTGTAGCTCCCAGTGAAATCAATGCAGAAGGTGGGTGATTTCTGGATTTCCAACTGAGGTACCCAGCTCATCTCAATGGGACTGGTTAGACAGTGTGTGCAGCCCACAGAGGGCGAGCTGAAGAAGAGTGGGGCGTCACCTCACCCGGGAAGCACAAGGGGTCAGGGAACTCCCTCCCCTAGCCAAGGGAAGCTGTGAGGGACTGGGCCTTGAGGAATGGTGCACTCTGGCCCAGACACTACACTTTTCCCATAGTCTTCACAGCCTGCAGACCAGGAAATTCCTTTGGGGACCTACGCCACCAGGGCCCTGGGTTTCAAGCACAAAACTGGGTGGCTGTTTGGGCAGACACCAAGCTAGCTGTAGAAGTTTTTTTTTTTTTTCATGCCACAGTGGCACCTGAAATGCCAGCAAGACAGAACTGTTCATCCCCTGGAAAGAGGGCTGAAACCAGGGAGCCAAGTAGTCTAGCTCAGCAGATCCCACCACTACGGAGTCCAGCAAGCTAAGATCCATCGGCTTGAAATTCTCACTGCCAGCACAGCAGTCTGAAGTCGACCTTGGACACTTGAGCTTGGTGGAGAGAGGGGTGTCCGCCATTACTAAGGCTTGAGTAGGTGGTTTTTACCTCACAGTGTAAAGAAAGCCGCTGGGAAGTTCAAACTACTTGGAGCCCACTGCAGCTTGGCAAAGCTGCTGTAGCCAGTCTGCCTCTCTAGATTCCTCTGTTCTGGGAAGGGCATCTGTGAAAGAAAGGCAGCAGCCACAGTCAGGGGCTTATAGATAAAACTGCCATCTCCCTAGGACAGAGCACCTGGTGGAAGGGGTGGCTGTGGGCACAGCTTCAGCAGACTCAACCATTCTTGCCTGCCAGCTCTGAAGAGAGCAACGGATCTCCCAGCACAGAGCTCAAGCTCTGCTAAGGGACAGACTGCCACCTCAAGTGGGCCCCTGACCCCCCTGCCTCCTGACTGGGAGACTCCTCCTAGCAGGGGTCGACAGACACCTCATACAGGAGAGTTCCAGCTGGCATTGGGCAGGTGCCCGTCTGGGATGAAGCTTCCAGAGGAAGGAATAGGCAGCAATCATTGCCGTTCTGCAGCCTCTGCTGGTGATACCCAAGCAAACAGGGTCTGGAGTGGACCTCCAGCAAGTGCCAGCAGACCTACAGCAGAGGGGCATGACTGTTAGAAGGAAAACTAACAAACAGAAAGGAATAGCATCAACATCAACAAAAAGGGACGTCCACTCAGAAACCACATCGAAGACCAAAGGTAGATAAATCCATGAAGATGAGGAAAAACCAGCGCAAAAATGCTGAAAGTTCCAAAAACCAGAATGCCTCTTCTCCTCCAAAGGATCACAACTCCTTACCAGCAAGGCAACAAAACTGGACAGAGAATGGATTTGATGAATTGACAGAAGTAGGCTTCAGAAGATGGGTAATAACAGACTCCTCCAAGCTAAAGGAGCATGTTCTAACCCAATGCAAGGAAGCTAAGAACCTTAAAAAAGGTTAGAGGAATTGCTAACTGTTGGTAGAAGAGCTGATGCAAGACGGGCTTGTCTGTCATTATGTAAAAGAGTCTTGGAACATGTCCTGGGTCCAGGGTCTAAACCCCCTCGTGGCCTTTGGAACACCAAGCTCTGTGCCAAAGGGTGGAAGGCTGCCCTGCTGCACCACAATCTAAGCACAGGGAATACAACCCCTTGTGGCGTGGATGGAATCCAAGGCTCAGGGCATAAAACCCCTTGTGGCCTCTGGAATGTGCAAAGACTTGTTGGTTCCTTGCTTCTTGCTCCCCCAGGCTTGTAAACATGTTCTCCATTATCTCAGGTAGCAGAGCATATTACATATGCATCAATGAAAATGCTAAACCATAACAGCTACACTTGATGCACTGCTACCTTTCTACCCCCAAGTCCTCACATTCTCACCTGTTTACCCCCACATCTGCACGTACTTACCACCTGCTTCTTTATTTGGTCACCAATAAATAGTGTGGGCTTCCAGAGCTCGGGGCCTTTGCAGCCTCCATACTAGCATTGGCCCCCTGAACACACTTTATGTACTCTTAACTTGTCTTGTCTTATTCCCTTGACTCTGCTGGATTTTGTAGCCCCCACGGCCTGGTGTTGGGTCTGATCACCCCAACACTAATGATAATAACCAGTTTAGAGAAAAACAGAAATGACCAAATAGAGCTGAAAAACACAGCATGAGAACTTTGTGAAGCATACACAAGTATCAGTAGCCACATTGATCAAGTGGAGGAAAAGATATCAGAGATTGAAGATCAACTTAATGAAATATAGCATGAAGACAAGATTAGAGAAAAAAAATGAAAAAGAATGAACAAAGCCTCCAAGAAATATGGGACTATGTGAAGAAAACCAAACCTACATTTGTTTGGTGTACCTGAAAGTGACGGGGAGAATGGAACCAAGTTGGAAAACAATCTTCAGGATTGCAAGACAGGCCAACATTCAAATTCAGGAAACATAGAGAACACCACAAAAATAATTCTCAAGAAGAGCAACCCAAAGACACATAATCATCAAATTCACCAAGGTTGAAATGATGGAAAAAATGTTAAGGGCAGCCAGAGAGAAAGGTCAGGTTACCCATAAAAGGGAAGCCCATCAGACTAGTAGCAAATTTCTTTGCAGAAACCCTACTAGCCAGAAGAAAGTGGGGACCAATATTCAACATTCTTAAAGAAAAGAATTTTCAACCCAGAATTTCATATCCAGCCAAACTAAGCTTCATAAGTGAAGGAGAAATGAAATCCTTTACAGACAAGCAAATGCTGAGGGATTTTGTTACCACCAGGCCTGCCTTACAAGAGCTCCTGAAGGAAGCACCAAATATGGAAAGGAAAAACCAGTACCAGCCACTGCAAAAACATAGCAAAATGTAAAGACCATCAAAACTATGAAGAAACTGCATCAACTAATGGGCAAAATAACCAGCTAGCATAGTGACAGGATCAAATTCACACATAACAATATTAACCTTAAATGTAAAAGGGATATATGCCCCAATTAAAAGGCACAGACTGGCAAATTGGAAAAAGAGTCAAGATCCATTGGTATGCTGCATTCAGGAGATGCATCTCACGTACAAAGACACACTTAGGCTAAAAATAAAGGGATGGAACAATATTTACCAAGCAAATGGAAAGCAAAAAAAAAAAAAAAAAAAAAGCAGAGGTTACAATACTAGTCATTGATAAAACAGAATTTAAACCAACAAAGATCAAAAAAGACAAAGGCCATTACATCATGGTAAAGGGATCAATTCAACAAGAAGAGCTAACCGTTCTAAATATATATGCACCCGATACAGGAGCACCCAGATTCATAAAGCAAGTTCTTAGAGACCTACAAAGAGACTTAGACTCTCACACAATAATAATGGGAGACTTTAACACCCTACTACCAATATTAGACAGATCAATGAGACAGAAAATTAACAAGGATATTCAGGACTTGAACTCAGCTCTGGACCAAGCAGACCTAATAGACTTCTACAGAACTCTCCACCCCAAATCAACAGAATATACATTCTTCTCAGAACCACATGGCACTTATTCTAAGATTGACCACATAATTGGAAGCAAAACACTCCTCAGCAAATGCAAAAGAATGGAAATTATAACAAACAGCCTCTCAGACAACAGTGCAATCAAATTAGAACTCAGGATTAAGAAACTCACTCAAAACTGCACAATTACATGGAAACTGAACAACCTGCTGCTGAATGACTACTGGGTAAATAACAAAATTAAGGCAGAAAAAATTAATTCTTTGAAACCAATGAGAACAAAGACACTACATACAGAATCTCTGGGACACAGCTAAAGCAGTGTTTAGAGGGAAATTTATACCACTAAATGCCCACATCAGAAAGTGGGAAAGATCTAAAATTGACACCCTAACATCACAATTAAAAGAACTAGAGAAGCAAGAGCAAACAAATTCAAAAGCTAGCAGAAGACAAGAAATAACTAAGAGCAGAGCAGAACTGAAGAAGATAGAGACACAAAAAACGCTTCAAAAAATCAATGAATCCAGGAGCTGGTTTTTGAAAAGATCAACAAAATTGATAGACCACTAGCCAGACTAATAAAGAAGGAAAGAGAGAAGAATCAAACAGACACAATAAAAAATGTTAAAGGGGATATCACCACTGATCCCACAGAAATACAAACTACCATTAAAGAATAATATAAACACTTCTATGCAAATAAAGTAGAAAATCTAGAAGAAATGGATAAATTCCTGGACACATACACCCTCCCAAGACTAAACCAGGAATAAATTGAATCCCTGAATGGACAAATAACAAGTTCTGAAATTGAGGAAGTAATTAATATCCTACCAACCAAAAAAGCCCAGGGCCAGGTGGATTCACAGCCGAATTCTACCAGAGGTACATAGAGGAGCTGGTACCATTCCTTCTGAAACTATTCCAAACAATGGAAAAAGAGGGATTCCTCATAACTCATTTTATGAGGCCAGCATCATCCTGATACAAAAACTTGGCAGAGACACAACAAAAAAAGAAAATTTCAGGTCAATATCCCTGATGAACATCAATGCAAAAATCCTCAATAAAATACTGGCAAATTGATTCCAGCAGCACTTGAAAAAGCTTATCTACCATGACCAAATCAGCTTCATCCCTGGGATGCAAGGCTGGTTCAACATATGCAAATCAATAAACATAATCCATCACATAAACAGAACCAATGACAAAAACCACATGATTGTCTCAATAGATGCAGAAAAGGCCTTTGATAAAATTCAACTCCCCTTTATGATAAAAACTCTCAATAAACTAGGTATTGATGGAACATATCTCAAAATAATAAGAGCTATTTGACAAACCCACAGCCAATATCATACTGAATGGGCAAAAGCTGGAAGCATTCCCTTTGAAAACCAGCACAAGATAAAGATGCCCTCTCTTGCCACTCATATTCAACATAATATTGGGAGTTCTGGCCAGGGCAATCAGGCAAGAGAAAGAAATAAAGAGTTTTCAAGTAGGAAGAGAGGAAGTCAAATTATCTCTGTTTGCAGCTGACATAATTGTATATTTAGAAAACCCCATTGTCTCAGCCCGAAAACTTATTAAGCTGTAAGCAAGTTTGGCAAAGTCTCAGGATACAAAATCCATGTGCAAAAATTACAAGCATTCCTATACACCAATAATAGAGAGCCGAATCATGAGTAAATTTCCATTCACAATTGCTACAAAGAGAATAAAATACCTAGGAATACAACTTACCATGGTTGTAAAGGACCTCTTAAAGGAGAACTACAAATCACTGCTCAAGGAAATAAGAGAGGATATAAACAAATGGAAAAACATTCCATGCTCATGGATAGGAAGAATCAATATCATGAAAGTGGCCATACTGCCCAAAGTAATGTATAGATTCAATGCTATCCCCATCAAACTACCATTGACTTTCTTCACAGATTTACAAAAAACGGCTGGGTGCGGTGGCTCACCCCTGTAATCCCAGCACTTTGGGAGGCCAAGGCGGGCAGATTATGAGGTCAGGGGTTCAAGATCAGTCTGGCCAACATAGTGAAACTGTGTCTCTACTAAAAATACAAAAAAATTAGCCGGATATGGTGGTGTGCACCTGTAATGCCAGCTACTTGGGAGGCTGAGGCAAGAGAATCTCATGAACCTGGGAGGTGGAGGTTGCAGTGAGCTGAGATCATGCCAGCTCACTCCAGCCCGGGTGACAGTGTGAGACTCTGTCTCAAAAAAAAAAAAAGAATTAGAAAAAACTACTTTAAATTTCATATGGAACCAAAAAAGAGCACGCATAGCCAAGACAATCCTAAGCCAAAAGAACAAAGCTGGAGGCATCACGCTGCCTGACTTCAAACTATACTACAAGGCTACAGTAACCAAAACAGCATGGTACTGGTACCAAAACAGATATATAGACCAATGGAACAGAACAGAGGCCTCAGAAATAATGCCACACATGTACAACCATCTGATCTTTGACAAACCTGAGAAAAACAAGCAATGGGGAAAGGATTCCCTGTTTAATAAGTGGTGTTGGGAAAACTGGCTAGCCATATGCAGAAAACTGAAACTGGACCCCTTCCTTACACCTTATACAAAAATTAACTCAAGATGGATTAAAGACTTAAATGTAAGACCTAAAAACCATAAAAACCCTAGAAGAAAACCTAGGCAATACCATTCAGGACACAGGCATGGGCAAAGACTTCATGACTACAACACCAAAAGCAATTGCAACAAAAGCCAAAATTGACAAATGGAATCTGATTAAAGTAAAGAGCTTCTGCACAGCAAAAGCGGATCACCAGGTCAGGCGCTCCAGGTCAGGCAGGTGGATCACCAGGTCAGGGTGGATCTCCAGGTCAGGACGGCGGATCACCAGGTCAGGAGCTCAAGACCATCCTAGCTAACAAAATGAAACCCCGTCTCTACTAAAAATACCAAAAATTAGCTGGGTGTGGTGGCATGCACCTGTAGTTCCAGCCACTTGGGAGGCTGAGGCAGGAGAATCACTTGAACCCGGGAGATGGAGATTGCAGTGAGCTGAGATCGCGCCATTGCACTACAACCTAGGCAACAAGAGAGAGACTCTGTCTCAACAACAACAACAAAAAAAGTCCAGTCAACTGAGAAAGAAAAACTTTTGCTTAAAAAAAAAAAAAAAAAAAAAAAAAAAAAAAAAAAGATGAGGTCCTAGGAGAAAAACAAAAACAAAACATGAAGGCCTTTTAAATACAAACACACAAATATGTGCACACACACACACACACACCTTGGATGTTTGCTTTTAATTAAGCTTTTAACCATTGAGCTCCTTCGAAAAGATGTTTTTTAATCTCATTACCATATTTCAGCTAGAACAAATTGCTGCTATGTCAGATGTACAGCCATTGCTCTTCAGTTTGGCCTGGCTAGCAAACAGATGGCCTTGTTATGTAAATAAAGCCCCTTAGCAGTCAAAATAAAAATTTTTTTCCTCTCTTTTTATCCTTTTGCTGGCCATTTTTCTACTCCCACCACACTATCCTTTTTTGTGTGTGTTTGGGAATTTAGCCACCTCAGAGGCCTCTTTCCTCATAATTTGGAACTTCCTTTGGGTTTGATCTGGTTGGATAGAGTTGATCAAACCCAATGGGAAAAAGACCGAAACAACAACAGAAACAGAAACAAACAACAATAAGAAAAAATGTTAAGCAAAACAAATGATTGCACAACTTACATGATTACTGAGTGTTCTAATGGTAAGGAGAAATTAAGACCAGCTGGTTGTTAATCTTAGCTTTATCCAAGACAAACCTCAATTCGGTTACTTACCGAGGGATGGATTTCAGGCTGAAGACTCTCTCTACCATCCTAGAAGCAGGAAAAACAAACAAACAAACAAACAAAAAAACCAAAAGAAAACCTCATCTCCCCTTTGGAAGTGAGCTCAAACTTCATAAAGGAGTTACCTGCCTTCCATGACCATGGAAGAGAAAAAAAAAAAAGAATTGTACAGCAAAATAAACTTTAGATTTCAACCAAATTTTGGGAGATCAGGAATTCTCTGGAGCAGGTGCTCTCAGACCTCAGCAAATTATCCTATTGGTTTGAGCCATAAAGTTAGCTCATGTTGGTACCAAGCACCAGTAGGGGATTTGTCAATAGTCAGGGGAACCTCCACTCAGAATCCCTTCATGGTTACCAAAATGCAAACTCTAAAAAGTCAAGACAAGTCTCAGTTAATTTAGAAAGTTAATTTTGCCGAGGTTGATGACGTGCCCATGACACAGCCTCAGGAGGTCCTGACAACATGCGCCCAAACTGGTCAGAGCATAGTCTGGTTTTATACATTTTAGGGACACATGAGACATCAATCAACATATATGAGATGAACATTGGTTCGGTCTGGAAAGGCAGGACAACTGAAAGCTGGAAGGGGGCTACCAGGTCATAGGTAGATAAGAGACAAATGTTTGCATTCTTTTGAGTTTCTAATTAGCCTCTCCAAAGGAGGCAATCAGATATGCTTTTTTTTTTGAGACGGAGTCTGGAGGCTGGGTGCAGTGGAGCGATCTTGGCTCACTGCAAGCTCCACCTCCTGGGTTCATGCCATTCTCCTCCCTCAGCCTCCCGAGTAGCTGGGATTACAGGTGGCCGCCACTACGCCTGGCTAATTTTTTATATTTTTAGTAGAGACGGGGTTTCACCGTGTTAGCCAGGATAGTCTCGATCTCCTGACCTTGTGATCTGCCTGCCTCGGCCTCCCAAAGTGCTGGGATTACAGGCGTGAGCCACCGCCCCCTGCCCAGATATGCATTTATCTCAGTAAGTAGAGGGGTGACTTTGAATAGAATGGGAGGCAGGTTTGCCCTAAGCGTTTCCCAGCTTGACTTTTCACTTTAGCTTAGTGATTGTAGGGGCACAAGATATTTTTCTTTCACATTTCCTTCATGTTTGAAAGATATTTTCACCAGACATACTATTCTAGGGTAAAAGTTTTTTTTTCCTTCAGCACTTTAAATATGTCATACCACTCTCTCCTGGCCTGTAAGGTTTCAACTAAGAAGTTTGCAGCCACGTGTATTGGAGCTCCTTTGCATGTTGTTTCTTTTGTCTTCCTGCTTTTGGGATCCTTTCTTTACCCTTGGACTTTGAGAATTTGATTATTATGTGTCTTGAGTTAGTCTTATTTGGTTTAAATCTGCTTTGTGTTCTATAACCTTCTTATACTTGAATATTGATATATTTTTGTAGGTTTGTAAGTAATTAAGCTCTCTGTTATTAACCCTTTGAATAAACTTTTTACCCTGATCTGTCTCCTCTTTAAGGCCAGTGAGTCGTAGATTTGCCCTTTGGAGGCTGTTTTCTAGATCTTGTATGTGTGCTTCAAATTTTTATAATTTTTTTTTTGTCTCCTCTGACTGTGTATTTTCAAATAGTCTGTCTCTAAGCTTGCTAATTCTTTCTTCTGCTTGATCAGTTCTGCTGTTGAGAGACCGATGCATTCTTCAGCATTACAACTGACCTTTTCAGCTCCAGAATTTCTGCTTGAATTTTTAAATTATTTCAATCTCTTTGTTAAATTTATATAATATGATTCTGAATTCCTTCTCTATGCTATCTTGAATGTCACTGAGCTTTCTCAAAACAGCTATATTAAATTCTGCCTGAAAGGTCACATGTCTCTGTCTCTCCAGGATTGGTCATGGGTGCCTAATTTAGTTGGTTTGGTGAGACCATGTTTTCCTGGATGGTCTTGATTCTGTGGATGTTTTTCAATATCTGGGCATTGAAGACTTTGGTATTTATTGTAGTCTTTGCAGTCTGGGTTTGTTTGTACCTGTCTTTCTTGGGAAGGCTTTCCAAGTGTTCAAAGGAAATTAAGTATTGTGATCTAATTGTCTGGTCACTGCAGCAATATCTGCATTAGGGGGCACCCCAAACCTAGTAACACTGTGGTTCTTGCAGACTCATAGAAGTACCACCTTGCTGGTCTTAGGTAAGATTCAAAAGAATTCCCTGGATTAGTAGTCAGAGACTCTTATTCTTATCCTTTACTTTCCCCCAAACAAATGGATCCCTCGCTCCATGCTGAGTTGCCCGTAGCTGGGGGAGGGGTGACACAAGCACTCCTGTGGCCACCACCACTGGGACTGTGCTTGGTCAGACCCAGTGTCAGCACAGCACTGGGTCTTGCCCAAGGTCCGCAATAAACACTGCCTAGCTACTGCCAATGTTCACTCAAAGTTCATTCATCAGGTGGCAAATCCGGCCAGGCTTATGTCCTTCCCTTCAGGGTGGTGAGCACTCCCTTGGCCCGGGGTGGGTCCAGAAATGCTGTCCAGGGGCCAGGGCCTGCAGTCAGGATCCTTAGGAATCTCCTTGCTGCTCTATCTATTCTCCTGCAGCTGAGCTGGCACCAAAGCCACAGGAGAAAGTCCTTCCCACTCTTCCCTCTCCTTTCTTCAAGCAGAGGAGTCTCTCTTCATGGCCACCACCATGCCAAGCTGTGGCAAGCACTGCCTGGCTGCACAAAAGGCTCAAGAGCTCTTCAATCAGCTTGTGGTAAATGCTACCAGGCCTGGGTCTCTCCCTTCAGGGCTGTGGACTACCCTCTGGCATAGGGTGGGTGTGGAAATGCCATCCAGAAATCGAGAACCCCAGGAACCTGCTTGGTTCTCCACCTCACTGTGACCAAGCTGGTACCCAAGCAGCAAAACAAAGCCCCCTTTACTCTTCCCTCCCCTTTCCTCAAGCAGAAGGAGTTTCTCCCGGTGGCCACCACAGCTGGAGAGGTGATGGGTCACACCTGAAGTCGGCATGGCACAGTCTTACCCAAGGCCGGAGGCAGGTACTGCCTGGTTACCGCTGATGTTTATTCAAGGCCCACTTTAATCAGCAGGTGATGAATCCTGCAGAACTGGGTCCTTCCCTTCAAGGCAGAGGGTTCCCTTCTGGCCCAGGGTATGAACAAATTTTGATGACATTTTGCCTTGTGCCTGGCATGTGAAGACGTGAGCACTTACACATTGCTAACTGAAGTGAAAATTGGTATAGCCTGTGTGCAAAGTTTTCTGGGGAGTACTTATTAAAATAAAAAAAATGCACATGTAAAGATTTCTACTTCAGGTCAAGAAGGAATATCTGGTACTCTATTTACCTTCACATCTTAGCTATAAATCTGAATCAAATATATAAAACAATAATTTTCAAGGCACTGACCATCAGGCAGCAAAGAACAGTGATCTGGAAGACACAGGAAACAAGAAAGGTAAATCCTTTGAGTGTCCCAGCTCACTGCATGAAAACAGAGTACGTGCTTGACACAGGAAGGAGAAACCCAGACAGAGCCCAGTGGTCTCCTTGAGTTGAGGAATGTTGGAATTTGTGGAGGCAAAAGTAGGTAGAATTTGCAGGCCAGGTACCAGAGAGAAGGAAGTAGAGAGAGAGACAGCCTAGAGATTTGCAGCGGATTCCCAAGTTTAACTGAGTCCTGATCAGTGCAAACATGTGAGGAAGTCCTGAGTAGAGGAAAGAATCATGATCATTTTAGAAATGTGTCCTCTGATGCATGTGCATCCAGGGGCACACAGTATGGTTGTGCTCATCGCTTGAGTGCCTTTGGCCAAGGAGCTGAAATCCAGTCTGGGCTCTCTTTTCTAGCTGCATATCCTGTCCCTGAGGCAGGGATGTAAAGAGCTTAGAGAAAGTAACCTTTCTAAAATTCACACAAAGATGCTATCTACCCACCAAACTGTGAGAATACAAGATTACTTCTGCTCAGATCGGGCACCTTTCTCCAATTTTCACAAAGACTGGTCACCCTATCACATATTTCAGCCCACCTTGGATCTCAGCCACATTGCGGTGGACAGTTTCACGGTTGCTCAGGCTCACATCAGCTGACAGTAGTCTTTCTTGAGCTTTCCCTAGGGTGAAATTCAGTGTGGAAGTGTGGGAGAACTAATGCATCTAGGAGCAACCTGGATAAATGCTTCAGTCTTTTGTCCTTCGCTGAACAATTTTGGGGTGTTGTATATAGTTCTTGGGGGTTCCAGACAACTTCTAAAACCCACCTTCTTCTTGGCTTCTCCTTCCTTGCTTTCTCACTGTCCCTACTCCTTCACTCCTGTTTCCTGGAATCACCTCTCAATAAACTAACTGTACTTAAGTCCTTGTTTCAGTGTCTGCAGGGCAGGAAGTGGAGTGAAGGATTACTCAACACAGCACTGAGGGACTAGCAGTGGCCTTGCTTTCATGTGGGCAAAATGATACATCACAGTGTCATTCACAATAGCAAAAGGTGGTCATCAATAGGTGACTAGTTAAATAGATGTGGTCCATCCATGCAGTGGAATACTGTGCAACTTTAAAAGGTGGGCAAGTCCTCTATGGGCTGGTATAAAAAAAGCTCCAAGATATATTATTTGAAAAAAATCCAGAAAATTTATATAGTATATATTGTGTAAAATAGGGAGATATATAATACATATTACCTTGTATATGCATGAAGAAACTTTGGAAAGATACATAAATCATTAGCTGTTATAATTCATTTTTGTGGGGAACTGGGCATATTGGGGGGTGGTGAGAGGAAGACAATTTTTTATATAGATATACATATGCAAACATATAAAACATATATATAGCATGATACCATTCTAAAATTTACGTATGTGGATATAATATCCTTCCTTAACCCTACATTTCTTTCCTACACTACCCTCCTTCCTCCCTTTCATAGACAAAGCTCATGAAAGGGCTTCATTTGCTTTTCTAATGTGGTATACTCTTTTTTTTTTTTGAGTCAGAGTCTCACTCTGTTGCCCAGGCTGGAGTGCAGTGGCACAATCTCGGCTCACTGCAGCCTCCATCTCCCCAGTTCAAGAAATTCTGTGCCTCAGCCTCTTGAGTAGCTGGGACTACAGGTGTCCACCACCGCACCCAGCTAATTTTTGTATTTTTAATAGAGACAGGGTTTCACCATGTTGGCCAGGCTGGTCTCGAACTCCTGACTTCAGGTGATCTGCCTGCTTCGGCCTCCCAAAGTGCTGGGATTACAGGTGTGAGCCACCGCGTCTGGCCAACTCTTTTTTTTTTTGCGGGGTTGGGACAAGGTCTCACTCTGTTGCCCAGGCTGGAGTACAGTGGCACAATCAGATCTCACTGTAACTTTTAACTCCTGGGCTCAAGAAATCCTCCCATCTCAGCCTCCTGAGTAGCTGGGATTACAGGTGTACACCACTGCACCTGGCTATTTTGTAAAAATTATTTTTAGTAGAGATGGGTTGCGCTATGTTGCCCAAGCTGGTCTTGAACTCCCAGGTTCAAGTGATCCTCTTGCCCCTGCCTCCCGAGTAGCTAGGACTATAGGCATGTGCTATCATGCCTGGCTAAGTTTCAGAACAGTATAATATAGTATGCTCCCATTTCTAAATTTAAAAATGGTATGTATCTAATTTATGTATACACAACTGTTATCGGCATTTGTCTGTGATTGAATTGAATTATGAGAGGCTCTCACTTTCTAAGTAATATTTTCTATAATAACTGATTTTTTTTTAATAGACCCAAAGCTGAGCTGCCACTAAGCTTTGAAGCTTATTTATCATCTCACATTCTATAGGTCAGAAGTCTGCATTAGGCTCAACTGCATTCTCCCTTTGGGGTCTCACAAGTCTAAAATCAAACAATTAACCATGGTCGTACTCTTATCTGTAGTGTATAGTACTATTCCAAGCTCGTTCAATGTGGAAGAATTCAATCCCTTGGGGTTGTAGGAATGGGGTTCTGGCTTTCCTTCTGGCTGTCAACTGAGGCCATTCTCAGCTTCTAAGGCCTGCCTGCCATTCCCTGCCATGTGGCTCTTTATATAACATGGACTTTGCTTCTTTAAGACTAGCAGGGGTGTTTGCTGCAGCTTAAGATCTCTCTGCTTTCTTCCAGCTCTGTTGGACCTTCTTTCAAAAAGGTCTTGTCTGATCTACTCAGATTCATGCAAGGTGATTTCCATCTTGATGAACTCAAAGTCAACTGCTTAGGAATCTTAATTACATTGGAAAAATTAATTGTGACATATTATGATCACATTGTCATGGAGTATCCCATAATATTCACAGATTCTTCTTGCACTTAAAGCTTTATACAAATCATGTATGTTAGAGGGCAGAAACATTGGGATCATCTCAGAATTCTGCCGTTCATAGTTTATCCTCTGTCTGTTCCTAGTGCTTTACTTCCCTCTCAGATCAGGTCTCCAGTCACCAGACCTGAAGTTTTTCATGTTACATGGAATAAGGACTATGTTCATAGGTTATTTTGTTCCTACCTACTGGGATCAACTAACCATCATCAAAGGTTCTTGTAGGTCAGAACATTTTGATACCACTTCCTCCCTGATGCACAGATAGTGAACACCTGTGTGTGACTATTAAGTGCTGCCACGTGACCTGTGCTACTCTGGGATCCATTATCCTCATTGAATCAAGAAACCAATCTCAACAGTACCATCTTCTATCTTTCTAACTGACCTACAAAGGATAACACCTCCTTTTCTGTGATGCTTGTGCTCCCTTCACTAATCTACTTCTCAGTGCCTTATTAAATTGCATATCCTCTGGGTCCTCTCAGTGGATGAAGAGGGAAAAGGCAGGGATTAATTTTGCACATGATAATTTACTTCAACAAATTTCTCCAATCCTTTGAATGCTTTCACTTACATTATCTCAGGGAAGTTCCAGCATCTCAACCTCATTAAATGTAGGCCAGACTTGAGTTGAAATTTTAGTCAACAAATCCAGTGAACTGTTAAAGCAACTTGTAGTAGTATGAGCTAATTTATTAAATCCAGAATCAATGGTCAGTACACCAATATCAATATAGTTAGCCTTACCCAGTGTTACATTTTGTTCTTGTCAAATGCTCTTAGAACTCATTCACATACATATTCACTGGGTTTCTGCCAACATAAAACAGTAAAATTTTGCAATTACTTTGGAGAGTGAGCTGTTTCTTCTTGTGTCAAGCTTTCAATTTGTCTTCCCGATACAATCTGAAATCTAACGCCAGGGTGGGTCTTGTGGCAACAAGTAGTGGGAGCAGATCTTGAGGAGAATGGACATCTCTTGCCAGGCAACTGCTTCAGATAGAATTATTATTACAGGTTATTCAAGCAAGGAAATGAACGTCTACTCAAAGGACAGCAAGCTGAGAGGCTGTGGATTAATAATAGTTGTATAATTTCATATATCAGAACTGAAAAAGCCAAGAATAAAGTTATTTTTATTTTACTTAACTTTTTAAGAGACAGGATCTTGCTTTGTTCCCCAGACTAGAGTGCAGTGGTTTATCATAGCTTACTGCAGCCTTGACCTTCTGGGCTCAAGCGATCCTCCCACCACAGCCTCCTAAGTAGCTAGGACTACAGGCATGCACAACCATGCTGGACTAATTTTTACATTTTTTTGTAGAGATGGGATCTTGCTATGTTGTTCAAGCTGGTCTCGAACTCCTAGACTCAAGCGATCCTCTCGTGTGATCCACAGTGCCCAGGCCAATAAGGTTTTAGTAGTGAGTCAGTAACTTACCAGAATGGCTCAAGGTTTCAAGAACCAGACAGGGTATTCCTATTTTTTTTTTGTTGTTGTTTGTTTTGGTTTATCCTAGGGTGCAAACTCTTTCCCTGAATGTAAAACATTCTGTCCACACTTTTCCATGATGGAAGCAGGACAGTGTCCATGTTGCTTCCAAAAGACAAAATTTTTTGACATTTTTATTGTTAACATGCAGCTCAGGAGAACCTACTATTCTTTAGTTTTCTTCCTCTTATTTACCTTCTTTCTCAACAAAACAAACAAAAAAGGATTCTTGTTTGTTGGTAAAAAAGCTAATGCTATCTAAATAATAAAGGAAAGAAAGCAGTAGTGCCATGGAAAGAGGGAAAATAAAATGTATTCAGAGCTAAGCGTGAAGAAAGTGTTTGGATATTAAGTGTGTGGGAAGTTCTGAACTTTCTCACGAGGCAAGAAATTCCAGAGAGGAGAGAGTTAACAGTCAATATGCATTATGCATTGGGTCCTATAATTTTCTTCAAGCATCTGGAGCAAATAATGGAATCTCTTATTAATTATGTTTGGGTACTTAAGTGGCTTTTTAAATGTGTGACTCTGGGTTTATACTAGATGATATGGGCCCCTGGATATTTTTAGAGTTGCACAATTTTCCTTCATTCACAGGTGTGTTAACTCTAAGCTGGGTTTTCACTTACTTAGACTATTTGTATTCCTGCCTGTAATTTTCCAAGACAGATTATTGCACATTCACCTGTTATAACTACAGACTGTCACTTCTCATATGAATTACAGCTCTTTGGAAATTAGCAAAATGGCTTTGCAAACAATGTCTTAGGTGAGGCAGGCAGGGCAGCTGGTAGCTACTCTGATGACGCCACTACAATTATATTGTGACCTCTGCTTCAGGTTCTTTCTCAATGCTGCAGTCAAGGTGTCAGCTGGGTTTAGTCATTCCGACGCTTGGCTGGGAGCAGCTACTTCCAAGCACACTTGTGGTTGTTGGTGAGATTTGAGTTATCTCCAACTGTTGGTTTGAGGCCTCAGTTTCCCAGAACTGTTGGCAGGAGGCTTCCCTCAATTCCTTGTCATATGGGCGTCTCCATAGAGCATTTCACAATGTGACACTGATGTTATCAAAGTGAGCCAACCAAGAGAGCAAGAGATAGTGCTGGCAGGATAGAAGTCTAATCATGAAAATGACATACCTTTGCTTTTGCCATATCTTATCCATAGAAACAAGTCACACTCAAGGAGGTTCAGCCCATACTCAAAGGGAGGACATTTATGAGTACCAGGAGTTGGGGATTATTGAGGGTCATCTTTTTTTTTTTTGAGACAAGGTCTTGCTCTGTTGCTCAGGCTGGAGTGTAGTGGCATGATCACAGCTCACTGCAGCCTGAACCCCCCAGGCTCAAGTGATTCTCCCACCTCAGCCTCCCAAATAGCTCCGACTACAGGCATGTGCCACCATGCCTAGCTACTATTTTAATTTTTTGTAGAGAGAAGTTCTCACTATATCGCTAGGACTGTTCTCAAACTCCTGGGCTCAAGCAACCCTCCTGCCTCGGCCTCCCAAAGTGCTGGGATTACAGGCATGAGTCACCATGTCTGGCTGTTGAGGGTCATCTTAAAAGTCTGCCTGCCACAGTGGGTGTGGAGGAAGAGCACAAAGAAGAGGCCATTAATGAGTAGGGAGGAGCCCAGGGAATTGCAGTTGTTAATGATGCTTTTTGTCATGTGTCAGTGGTAACTGATAGAAATTTTTACTGATTATAGATAATAATGAACTGATGGAGTAAGAAAAGGAAATCTAAATATCAGGTTGCATCTCACAAAAATAATATTGATCCCTAGAACTTATGTGAATTACTCCCATTGATGCCTAATTATGAAGATGCCTAAAAATGAGTGTAATTATAATTTAGATGTGACAAATACTTTCATTATAGGTGTTATTTTATTGCCACCATATCTGTGGATGTCAATAATGAGACCGTTTCTAGAATTGTAAGGCTCTGCTTATCTAATTTGCTGTATAACATAAAGCCACATTTCTTTTAACATTCAAAAAGTTCTCTCTCACTGTAGTTCTTCACAATGTCCAACAGCCTATCCAAATAAATAAATAATTGGATAATTATTATCCCAGAAGGTATACCCAGTAAAATTCTGATTTCCATTTCCTTATAAGGAGAAAATCAGAAATTTGGATTAGTCTTCTATGGCTTCTGTTTTTATTTATGCTCTAGGAAACCTCTCCCATGATTAGTTTATAAAAATTTTTTCTATATTTTCTTCTAACATATTTACAGTATTATTTTAAAAGCTTTTGCATATGAATGTAACTTGTGTGCATATATATTAGATGAAATAGATCTGTTGGGGAGGTGAGATAAGTACTTTTCTTTATTCCTGATATGTCCTTCCCCGTGTAGATGGCTTTGCTAGTATAATGCTCCCGACTCTTTCTGTCCCTCCTTTGCTCTTTTCCACAAAAGAAGGGATGACCTAATAGATTGGCAGGATTGGGAAGCAAAAACTGGCCATGATCAGCTCAGCAACACCCTCTGCCTCTTGAAAGGAAGCTGTCCATTAGAAGCATAAATTCTGCCCTTCCCTTTTCCTCCATTCATATGTTGATTGGAGGGTGGGGTAAATGTGGAGGGGTTGAGGGGGAAGGGCGCTACAGTATTCCAGTGCTGACTGGAAAGTTCTTTTAATTCTTGAATTCTGTATTTGGAATTCTATTTCTATGACTTGGGGCAAGCTGCTTAACTTCTCTGAACCTCTTTCCTCATCTGTAAAATCAGATGATTTACCTAGCAGGATTATTGTAAGGTTGAGTATATGTAAAGCAACTGGCATATTTGTGGTCAATAAATAGTGTTGTTTGTAGCAGTATCTTAGAATATTCCTGCTAAATATCTTCATAATTTTATATAATCTGGCTGTTTGACAGCTTTCAACAAATGACACCTCTCCTCTGCTTCAACTTCTTCAAGACTTTCCACACAGTGGGAGCCCCAGAGTGTGAGTATAAGCTGTGTTTATCTTGCAGGTTCAAGCAAATCCTACTGTGGTGGGGCAGAGGACCTTGAGAAATTGAAGTTCTTGGAAAATAACTCATCTTCAACCTAAGGGATTAGGGCACCTGAGCTTCGTCTGAAAAGATTGAGCCTGCTGGATTGATCAGCAATTTCCACATCAGCAGGAAATGTGCTGACCTTACTTTTTCTAAGCATTTGCAGAAAACTGGTGAAGAAAAAAAAAGTGTGCTACTTTACCTTCAATACCACTCTCAAATCTATGAAATATAACAAGGGTGAAGTGACAGTTGGGGGTTGTCAAAGACAGAGGATATGCCAAACTGTGGTTGGGGGAGATCTATGCAGTCAACACCAAGAGCCTGAGAAGGCCTCAGAAATCTAGCGTGGAGCCCACGCAGTGACAGGCAACGTCAAACAGTGGCCTAGGATCCTTCAGCCAACAGCAGAGACAGATAAAGAGAACAGTGAGGTTTGCAAGGATTGCCGGCCGCCAGAAGTGTGAAGATGCCAGGAAGGTCCTGCCCAGAGTCCCAGAGCCTGCATTGTCCTCACAACCCCTGATTCTGGACTTCTGGTGCCTCCAGAACTCGGGGAGAGTAAATGTCTGTTGTTAAGCCACCGTCTGTGGCACTGTGTCAAAGGATACCAATGACTTCCTTTATTATTTCAAAGGGATTTTAACTGATGGTGAGGGGGTATCGTTCACACAATTTGCCAGAAGGAGCTAAGTGGAAGACTCCTGCTTGGCTGTGCTCCTAGCTGGTGTGACTTGGAGAAGGTGAGTTCCACCATTAGCAGGCACCAGATAAACATACAAGTACAAATAAGCACATCACTGCCACTTCCTTTATCATGCAATAAATCTGACCTGTGAACTTCACACAAACTGTACAAATCTATGGTGCAATGGCAACTTGGACACCTGCCTTCATTTTGATCTGGAAAATGTTGAAATTAAAAAATATACATTGCTTATTCTCTTAATCAGCTTTTCCATTTTTAGGCCACAGTCTCCTAAATTGATGATAAAAATTAATAAAATGATGATTTTTCCATGATGGTAAAATCATTATGGAATGCTTGCTAAAAATTCAAATTGTTGAGCATTTCTCCTGAGTGATTAGTTCTTGTTAGTTGACATATCAGAACTAATTATACATTTTTAAGTGCTTTACCAAAATACGAAAGTTGGTGCCTTAACTGGGGTGGGTCATGCAAGCTGCACTGATAGAAGGCACCAGGAACCCACTGAAAGGACTCAAGAAAAATACCATTTCTCTCTACCTCCCTCTCTCAAAGACTCAAAATTACCTTCACTTGTGTGAAATCTTAACATGGAAAGATGGGGAGAGGGAATGTCTCTCACCCTTCTTTGTCTCACGACAGGATTGTTCACTATTTTCTACATCTTTTCTTGGCTAATGTATCAAAAAGCTACTTGGCATTTCTGCATTGGTTCCTTAAATTCCCATTTCTTTCAAACTCCGGACACTTGATTGTCACAGCACCTCTCCTTAAATAGAGGGATATATATTATGGTGTCTATGAGTAGATTTAAGCCAGAACAAATAGAAACTGAATCTGCATTATCATCAGGATCTATTGCTCAAACCAAAAAGTTCCTGATGTATTTAATTTGACCAAGATCCATTTTAAAGCAGTGGTACCCAAAACTTGGTTGAGAAGACCAACAAATAAACCCCAATTCTTCCTATCTTTACCCTACCATCTCCTACAGAAAAATCTTTGTCCTGTATCTAATGGTGTCTGTATCCCTGGTGAGTAGAGGTAGGGGCCTATTTGGGTCATGCTTAAGTTAACAGGACTTAAATGTTCTCTAACTTTAGTTGTGCCCAAGAATATGTGGGGAGAATTGTTTAATATGTAGATTCCTGCATCACACCCCAGATGTTGATTTAGTAGGTCTAGGAAGAGGCCTGAGTTATTTGAATTTGTAACAGAGCGTCCCCAGTGATTTTTGTGCGTAGGATCTCACTTAGAGAAATAGTGGCATGCAAATCTGTAGGTAGATGGCTTAGTTCATTTTCTGTCTTTATAACAGAATGGCTGAGACCAGGTAATTTATAAAGAAGAGAAGTTAATTTGGTTTGCAATTCTGGAGGCTGAGAAGTCCAAGGGCATGGCAGCAGCTTCTGGCAAGGGCTTTCATACTGCATCATAACATGGTAGAAAAGCAGAAGAGCAGGCAAGCATATGGGAAAGAGGAGAGTCAAAGCAGGCAATGTGACCTGCTTTATGAAAACTCACTCTTAAGACCTAACCCTGTCCTGTGAGAACTTCATGAATCCCTTTATGAGAGCGGAACCCTCAAACACCTCCCATGAGGCTACAACTTCCAACACTGCCACATTGAAGAATTAAGTTTCCAATGCATGAACACTCTGGGGACACACTCAGACCATGACAGGAGATAAGCAAAAGACCACATGAGAGTTTTAGGAACATAATTCTGAATGCAGAGTGAGAAAGATTGGAATTGAGAAGACTTTGGGGCTGGTGTGGCTCATACCTGTAATCCCAACATTTTAGGAGTCTGAGGTAGGTGGATCATTTGAGGTCAGGGGTTCGAGACCAGCCTGGCCAACATGGTGAAACCCCGCCTCTACTAAAAATATAAAAATTAGTCAGGCGTGGTGGCAGGTGCCTGTAGTCCCAGCTACTCGGGAGGCTGAGGCAAGAGAATCACTTAAACCTGGGAAGTGGAGGGTGCAGGTGGGCTGAGATCGTGCCACTGCACTCCAACTTGGGGGACAGAGCAAGATTCTGTCTCAAAAAACAAACAAACAAAAAACAACAACAACAAAAAAGAAGACTTTGGGGCCTGGCACCATGGCTCATACCTGTAAGCCCAACACTTTGGGAGGCTGAGACAGGAGGATTGCTTGAGTCCAGGAGTTTGAGACCAGCCAAGGCAACAAAGAGAGATCAAGGCAACAGAGTTAGATCCCATCTCTACAAAAAATGAAAAAGTCAGCCAGTGTGGTGGTGAGTGCCTGTGGTCTCAACTACATGGGAGGCTGGGGCAGGAGGATCACTTGAGCCCAGGAGGTTGAGGCTGCAGTGAGCCATGTTCACACCATTGCACCCCAGCCTGGGCAAAAGAGCAAGACCCTGTCTCAAAAAAACAAGATGAAGAAGATGATGACTTTGGAAAGCCATTGCAGTATGGTTTCAAACTTTTGCTCACGACCAACTGTAAGAAAGTATACTTTATATTTTAGTAATACACACACATAAAAACTGAAGCAATAAGCTTTCTCAAACAGCATTTTTATATTATTAGATGCATTCTGCATTTCTATTCTTTCCTTTTTCTTTTTTTAATTTTCATTTTTATTTTTATTGATCATTCTTGGGTGTTTCTCACAGAGGGGGATTTGGTAGGGTCATAGGACAATAGTGGAGGGAAGGTCAGCAGATAAACAAGTGAACAAAGGTCTCTGGTTTTCCTAGGCAGAGGACCCTGCGGCCTACCGCAGTGTTTGTGTCCCTGGGTACTTGAGATTAGGGAGTGGTGATGACTCTTAACGAGCATGCTGCCTTCAAGCATCTGTTTAACAAAGCACATCTTGCACCGCCCTTAATCCATTTAACCCTGAGTGGACACAGCACATGTTTCACAGAGCACAGGGTTGGGGGGTAAGGTCACAGATCAACAGGATCCCAAGGCAGAAGAATTTTTCTTAGTACAGAACAAAATGAAAAGTCTCCCATGTCTACTTCTTTCCACACAGACACGGCAACCATCCGATTTCTCAATCTTTTCCCCACCTTTCCCCGCTTTCTATTCCACAAAACCACCATTGTCATCATGGCCCGTTCTCAGTGAGCTGTTGGGCACACCTCCCAGACGGGGTGGTGGCCGGGCAGAGGGGCTCCTCACTTCCCAGTAGGGGCGGCCGGGCAGAGGCGCCCCTCACCTCCGGGACGGGGCGGCTGGCCGGGCGAGGGGCTGACCCCCCCACCTCCCTCCAGGACGGGGCGGCTGGCCGGGCGGGGGGCTGACCCCCCCACCTCCCTCCCGGATGGGGCGGCTGGCCGGGTGGGGGGCTGACCACCCCACCTCCCTCCCGGACAGGGTGGCTGGCCGGGCAGAGGGGCTCCTCACTTCCCAGTAGGGGCGGCCGGGCAGAGGCGCCCCTCACCTCCCGGACGGGGCGGCTGGCCGGGCGGGGGGCTGACCCCCCCACCTCCCTCCCGGACGGGGCGGCTGGCTGGGCGGGGGGCTGACCCCCCACCTCCCTCCCGGATGGGGCGGCTGGCCGGGCAGAGGGGCTCCTCACTTCCCAGTAGGGGCGGCCGGGCAGAGGCGCCCCTCACCTCCCGGACGGGCGGCTGGCCGGGCGGGGGGCTGGCCCCCCCTACCTCCCTCCCGGACGGGGCGGCTGGCCGGGCAGAGGGGCTCCTCACTTCCCAGTAGGGGCGGCCAGGCAGGGGCGGCCAGGCAGAGGCGCCCCTCACCTCCCGGACGAGGCGGCTGGCCAGGCGGGGGGCTGACCCCCCCACCTCCCTCCCGGACGAGGCGGCTGGCCGGGCGGGGGGCTGACCCCACCACCTCCCTCCCAGACGGGGCGGCTGGCCGGGCAGAGGGGCTCCTCACTTCCCAGTAGGGGCGGCCGGGCAGAGGCGCCCCTCACCTCCCAGACGAGGCGGCTGGCCGGGCAGGGGGCTGACCCCCCAACCTCTCTCCCGGACGGGGATGCTGGCCGGGCGGGGGGCTGACCCCCCCACCTCCCTCCCAGATGGGGCGGCTGGCCAGGCAGAGGGGCTCCTCACTTCCCAGTAGGGGCGGCCGGGCAGAGGCGCCCCTCACCTCCCGGATGGGGCGGCTGGCCGGGCGGAGGGCTGACCCCCCACCTCCCTCCCGGACGGGGCGGCTGGCCGGGCGGGGGGCTGACCCCCCACCTCCCTCCCGGACGAGGCGGCTGGCCGGGCGGGGGGCTGACCCCCCCACCTCCCTCCCGGACGAGGCGGCTGGCCGGGCGGGGGGCTGACCCCCCCACCTCCCTCCCGGACGGGGCGGCTGGCCTGGCGGGGGCTGACCCCCACCTCCCTTCCGGACGGGGCGGCTGCCGGGCGGAGACGGTCCTCACTTCCCAGACGGGGTGGCTGCCGGGCGGAGGGGCTCCTCACTTCTCAGACGGGGCAGCTGCCGGGCGGAGGGGCTCCTCACTTCTCAGACGGGGCGGTTGCCGGGCAGAGGGTCTCCTCCCTTCTCAGATGGGGCGGCTGGGCAGAGACGCTCCTCACCTCCCAGACGAGGTCACGGCCGGGCAGAGGCGCTCCTCACATCCCAGACGGGGCGGCGGGGCAAAGGCGCTCCCCACATCTCAGACGATGGGCGGCCGGGCAGAGATGCTCCTCACTTCCTAGATGGGATGGCGGCCGGGAAGAGGCGCTCCTCACTTCCTAGATGGGATGGTGGCTGGGCAGAGACTCTCCTCACTTTCCAGACTGGGCAGCCAGGCAGAGGGGCTCCTCACATCCCAGACGATGGGCGGCCAGGCAGAGACGCTCCTCACTTCCTAGACGGGGTGGCGGCCGGGCAGAGGCTGCACTCTGGGCACTTTGGGAGGCCAAGGCAGGCGGCTGGGAGGTGGAGGTTGTAGCCAGCCGAGATCACGCCACTGCACTCCAACCTGGGCACCATTGAGCACTGAGTGAACCAGACACCGTCTGCAATCCCGGCACCTCGGAAGGCCGAGGCTGGTGGATCGCTCGCGGTTAGGAGCTGGGGACCAGCCCGGCCAACACGGTGAAACCCCGTCTCCACCAAAAAAATACGAAAACCAGTCAGGCGTGGCGGCACGCGCCTGCAATCGCAGGCACTCGGCAGGCTGAGGCAGGAGATTCAGGCAGGGAGGTTGCAGTGAGCGGAGATGGCAGCAGTACAGTCCAGCTTCGGCTTGGCATCAGAGGGAGACCGTGGAAAGAGAGGGAGAGGGAGAGGGAGACCGTGGGGAGAGGGAGACCGTGGGGAGAGGGAGACCGTGGGGAGGGGGAGAGGGAGACCGTGGGGAGAGGGAGACCGTGGGGAGAGGGAGACCGTGGGGAGGGGGAGAGGGAGACCGTGGGGAGAGGGAGAGGGAGAGGGAGAGGGAGACGGAGAGGGAGACGGAGACGGAGACGGAGACCGTGGGGAGAGGGAGACCTTGGGGAGAGGGAGAGGGAGAGGGCCATTTCTATTCTTTTCTATTTTCAGCAGTTGCTCCACCATATGGAACTTTGTCTTGTAAGGCAGTTTTGCTTGATGTCTTTACAAGTTCATGTGACCCAGACTACTTGAGCTTTTATCAGACTTTACCAAGGACCTTTATATTTAACTTTTATTGAATTGGACAATACTCATCTTAGTTTAGCAGCTGTTCTGAAATTGGCCCACCATTCTGTCCAGTGAATATTTCTTGGCTATTTTATAGCTTTCCTGTTCTCAGGGCTACTAGAAATTCCATTGTTTTCCTCTTTTTCCCCCTACATACACCCTGAGACCAGACAGGTCTGTGGTTGTGCCTATCTTCACCAACTTGTGTTTTGAGGTTTGTAGAGAGACCTTGTCACCTGGCTGTGTTGCAAATGTTGCCAATGAGTTTTTGGTTTTAACATCTACTTTCTCTGTTTTTATGTAGAGACTGAAAAACTGTGCTACTGTCACTGCTATCACCTTGTTTTTCTCTATTATATTACCACAATCTATGTATTTTTTAGCCTATATATGTGTATAATTTTTTTTTTTTTTGAGACAAGATCTCACTCTGTCGCCTGGGCTGGGGTGCACCAGTGCAATCTTGGCTCACTACAACCTCTGCCTCCCGGGTTCAAGTGTTCTCATGCCTCAGTCTCCCAAGTAGCTGGGATTACAGGTGTGCACCACTGTGCCTGGCTAATTTTTGTATTTTTAGTAGAGATGGGGTTTCACTATGTTGGCCAGGCTGGTCTCGAACTCCTGACCTCAGGTGATCTGCCTGCCTTGGCCTCCCAAAGTGCTGGGATTATAGGTGTGAGCCACCGGTGGCTCCCAGCCTAGGCAATATATTTTGAGTAGCTCTGTCTTTTTTTTTTCTGAAGGTTATATAAATGGGTATGTTCTTCCATACCTTCCTTTTGGCTGAACTTTATGTTTTCAAGTCACTTATATTGATACAACTGTAGTTCATTTATTTTAGCTGTTGTATTATATTAACATATCACAATTTATTATTTATTCTTCTGTTAATACACTTTTTTCCACTTTTTTTTTAATAAAAAAGGCTCTGGTGAATATACTGAACTTGTCTCCTAATGTGCCTGTGTAAAAGCTTCCAAGGGAATATATCTAGGTATATGTAAATGTGGAATGATGTTACTTTTAATTTCAATTTACATTTTACTCATTGAAAATAAAGTTGAACACCCTCTCGTGTATTTACCCACTATTCATACTTCCTCTTGTGAGAAATGCCTGTTCATAATCTTTGCCCATTTTTTTATTGGATTGTTTGATTTCTTACTGATTTAGAAGAGTTCTTTATATAACCTAAATATTAATTTCCTGGTCATATGTCCTGCAATATTTTCTGCCGGTTTATGCATTGCCCTTTTTACTCTCTCCTTGCCTTTTCAAAGAACACAATTCTTGCTGGGCGTGGTGGCTCACTCCTGTAATCCCAGAAATTTGGGAGACGGAGGTGGGCGGATCACTTGAGGTCAGGAGTTTGAAACCAGCCTGGTCAACATGGCAAAACCCTGTCTCTACTAAAAATACAAAAATTAGCTGGGTGTGGTGGCACACGCCTGTAATCCCAGCTACTTGGGAGGCTGAGGCACGAGAATTGCTGGAACTCAGTGGACACAGGCTGCAGTGAGATCATGCCATTGCACTCCAGCCTAGGTGACAGAGAGAGACTCCATCTCAAACAACAACAACAATAACAAATAACACAATTCTTAATTTCTATGGAGCAAAGTTTATCAATCATTTCTTCATGAATTTTGTTTTTTGTGTCTTGTTTATGAACCTTCTCTATCTTGCGATTATATAAAGATATTTTGTATTTTCTTCCAAATTTTTAAAAATTTGGCTTTTTCATTGACCCATCTGGAATTGAGTTTGTGTCAGTTTGAGGTATGGATCCAGAATCAATTTTTCATACACAAATAACTAATGGTTCCAACATTGTGTCTTAAATATTTCCTACTTTCCCTATTGATCTACATTGCCAAGCATTTTCATACATGCATAGATCTGTTTACGGGGTCCCCATTACCTTTCAGTGAGCTATCTGTCTACCACTGATCCAGTATATCATGATATTTTAACCAACAGAGCTTTAAAATATATTTTAATATCTGATAGGACAAGTCCTCCCTTCCCCTAACTCACATTTGCTGACTCCCCAACATACTGCCTCAAAAATTCCTCAGTAATGTTCTATGTTCTCCTGTCATAAGCCAAATTGGAACAACATAGTCCTAGATTGCAAGACTGGGTTTACCTAACTTGTGTGGATCTCAGCCCAGCACCACATGTTGATAGCCATAAACAGGTATTTGTTTCATAGGTGTGCATGGGAATGCTAATACTATTACCTAGGTTTCCTGGATTTTCTTCTATGGGGAAAACATTTTCATAAATGTTAATTGATCATGGAGAACTGCCCATGAAAATTGCAAGGAAATGATTAATCATATCTAATTTGTAGATAGAGAAATTGAGGCACAGAGAGATTAAAGTGTCTATGCTAATAGGGTTAAAAAGTAATGAGGCTAAAGAGCCCAGGATGCCTGACTCTCAGGCCATCCCCTTCTTATAACTGGATAATGTTGAGAGAGTCTCCACCTATGTTGTAAAGGTCAGAATGCTAACTAATTTTAGGAATGTGTTACCAGCTTTCTAGGAAAAGGGCTGCTTTTGTTAGGACTCAAGTTTTGGTGGGAATAAGAGAGGTTGCAGTCATAGTTTCTTTATCTACTTCTACAGACAGAAGTTAGGAGCTTCTTTCTCTCAGTCATCAGCTATCAGCCATCATCTACCTAGGATCAGAACCTCCAGTGAAAGTGAGATGAGATAGGTAATGCAGCAAGTCAAAGGGAAAGATGGCAAAGATCTTTGGGGGAGCAGGCTTGAATGATGAAGGGAAACCTACTTTTGGTTAGGCGAGCAATGACTGAGCTGCAGTTATCTTAGGATAAGAACTCTGGATTCTATAAATCTATCTGTCCCAATGATTTTGCTTTATTCTTTTCTTCTTTTGCTCCCTCCCTAGCCCACCACTCCTGCTCTCTCTCCTCTGTTACTCTCTGCTTCTATGCCTAGAGACTTCTGTTTCTGAAAGATGCCATTCTACGCAAATTCTTCCTTTTTGCTTTTGGAGGTTTTCACACTGTGCTGGTACTCTTGCTTCAGATCTTTCCTGAGGTTCTTCGTGATAATGCCCATTATGTAATGTAGTAACAACTCTTGTCTATGTTTATAGCAGGCTAAATGAGGAAATGCTGGCTGTACTTTATCTTAAGTGTCTACATACACACCCATGCATGTAACAAATTAATCACAGGAGAGATTTTGTTTGAAGACTTATGGCTTTTTTTTTGCTAAGTCAAATTTGCCATCTATATGGTTGATCCTTATGTAGGAAAAAGTTTGTCTTGTCCTGTCTCTAAATACCCACTAGATGTTGCTAAAGGGCTGGGGGGAAAAAAGAATCTTAGTTTTCATTCAAGACTTCTGAGTTACTGAATTTCAGAGTTCAAGGGACCCTTAGAGACGTGGGAAATGTTAAGGATAAACATGGGAAGTATATCTTCAAAAGATAGGAAGGAAGTAATACTGACTAAGGAATACTGAATGTTTAAAGGCAATGTTAGTGGCTGGGCATGGTAGCTCATGCCTGTAATCCCAGCACTTTGGGAGGCCGAAGCAGGTGGATCACATGAGGTCAGGAGTTCGGGAGCAGCCAGGACAACATGGTGAAACCCTGTCTCTACCAAAAATACAAAAATTAGCCGGGCATGGTGGCACATGCCTGTAATCCCAGCTATTCGGGAGGCTGAGGCAGGGGGAATCGCTTGAACACAGGAGGTGGAGGTTGCGGTGAGCTGAGATTGTGCCGCTGCACTCCAGCCTGGGCCACAGAGCGAGACTCTGACTAAAGAAATTAAATAAATAAATAAATAAAAGCAATGTTGGCATAGTTGAAATTTGTGCATTAGCGTTTTGACACCTACTTGTCAACTAGATAGCAATGTCATATCTTTAGAGATTAGCCCTCCCACAGCACGAAACTAGACAGAAGGTTCAGATCAAATTTCAAAAAACTGTGCAAACATTCTAGACATTATAAAAAATCACCATCTTTTGATCATGAAAGTACTGCATTAATATTAAAGCAATTAGGGAAACGTAGGTAATAATTTTATTATTATTATTATTTTGAGACAGAGTTGTGCTCTGTCATGCAGGCTGGAGTGCAGTGGCTCGATCTCGGCTCACTGCAACTTTGCCTCCCAGGTTCAAGCAATTCTGCTGCTTCGGCCTCCTGAGTAGCTGGGATTACAGGTGTGCATCACCATGCCCAGCTAATTTTTTGTATTTTTAGTAGAGTTGGGGTTTTGCCATGTTGGCCATGCTGGTCTCAAACTCCTGACCTCAAGTGATCTGGCCACTTCAGCCTCCCAAAGTGCTAGGATTACAAGTGTGAGCCACCATGCCCGGCTCATGGGAAATGTAGAAAATTACAATGTAGAACCCCACCACTCAGGGTGACTATATAATATACTACATAATTAATACTAATATACTGTATATAATTAGTGTATACTATATAAATTAACATATTGTGTATTAGTATTAATTATGTCATATATTACATACAGTTATATACTTTACAATTGACATACATAATAACATATTAATTATATATTATATGTATATCTTCATCCTGTGGAAGCAATGAAGAATAATAACAAAAAAATCCATCTGTGATGCACAAAACAACTCAAGACAGGGGGCATTACTAATGTTTTTGAGTCCCCTGAGACTTCTTCCCCATACCATTTATCTGCCTCTCCCAAGAAGTAATTGCTACTCTAAATTTTGTTTATAATTTATTCCTTTTATTTCAAGTTTTACTACAAATAATTGGGTCCTAAATAACATATTATTTAGTTTTTCATTTTTAAACTTTGTAAGAATGGTTTCTAAAATTCATTCATGTTGATATCTTCACTCATTTTCTCAGTCATAAGATACCCTGTCATGTAAAGTACTGCAATTTATCTGTCCATTCTCTTCTTGATGAATATTTAGATCTATTCCCTCCATGTAATGACAATTGGGCTGTGTCTACTTCTTGGCTATTATAAAAAATGTTAGGCATGTGTCCTGGTGTCCTGTAGGGATTTTTCTAGGAGTGGAATTACTAGGTTGTAGGATGCATGTTCAATTTAGGAAATGCTGCCTAACTGCTTCCACAGTGCTCGTATCTCTTTATATTCCTGCTAGTGGTATGTAAGAGTTCCTGTTGCTCTGTGACCCAACCAGCACTTTGTGTTCTTGGACTTTTAAATTATTGTCAATCTGCTAATTATGAAATTGCATCTTATTATGGTGTTAATTTGCATTTCTATGATTTCATCTTTTATTTGTTTATTTTTGAGATGGAGTCTCACTCTGTCGCCCAGGTTGGAGTGCAGTGGCACAATCTCTGCTCATCGCATCCTCCGCCTCCTGAGTTCAAGCGATTGTTGTGCCTCAGCCTCCCGAGTAGGTGGGATTACAGGCATGCACCACTATGCCTGGCTAATTTTTGTATTTTTAGTAGAGATGGGGTTTTGCTATGTTGACCAGGCTGGTCCCGAACCCCCGACCTCAGGTGATCCATCTGCCTCAGCCTCCCAAAGTGCTGGGATTATAGGTGTGAGCCACTGCACCCAGCCGATTTCACCTTTTAATATGGTATTAGTCATATGTGTCTTTTTTTCTTTGAAATGCCTATTTAAGGCTTTTGCCCAATTTTTACTGGGTTGTTCATCTTTTTCTTACTGATGTTGATGTACAGATATTCTTTTTTTTTTTTTTTTTTAGGCAGCGTCTCACTCTCACTCAAGCTGGAGTGTAGTGGCAAAATCATGGCTCACTGCAGCCTCAACCTTCCTGGCTCATGCGATCCTCCCACCTTAGCCTCCCAAATAGCTGGGACTACAGGTATGCACCACTATCCCCAGCTAATTTTTTGTAATTTTTGTAGAGACGGGATCTTACTGTGTTGCTCAGGCTGGTCTGGAACTCCTGGGCGCAAGCAGTCCACCTGCCTTGGCCTCACAAAGTGCTGGGATTACAGGCATGAGCCATCCCGCCTGGCTCTGATCATAAATGGCAGGATGGTAGAGCAAAGAGAATGATCAGTGTGCACTACCAGAATTTATTCAGTCAACAAGTATTCCTTACAAGTTACATAGGAGATATGCTCAAGTGAGAACCAGCCTGGTTAAATCCTGTTCATAGGGCAGTTTAAAGGGTGAATAGCTCTCAGTAGGGAAGATGGAGATGGACTTTGTGTTCTGTATTCCAAGGATGAAATAAAGAATCTTTGAGGCCGGGCAAGGCGGCTCATGCCTGTAATCCCAGCACTTTGGGAGGGTGAGGTGGGCGGATCGCTTGAGGCCAGGAGTTCGAGACCAGCCTGGCCAACATGGTGAAACCCCGTCTCTACTAAAAATACAAAAATTAGCCGGGCGTGGTGGCTCGTGCCTGTAATCCCAGCTACTCGGGAGGCTGAGGCAGGAGATTCACATGAATCCAGGAGGCGGAGGTTGTGGTGAGCTGAGATTGTGCCATTTCACTCCAGCCTGGGCAACAAGAGTGAAACTATGTCTCAAAGGAAAAAAAAGATGAATTTACATTCTCCCACATCAGGTGAACTGAATGTGAAGGATTACCTACCAGTGGTGGATCAGGTCTCTAAAGGCATTACAGAATTCCTTATGATAGAGTCAGCTTTAAACCAATGCCAGACTCAGAGGGTGCAAAACTGCCTTAGAACAATACTACTCAGCTGTGTGCTGGTAAATGTTTAACAACCAGGGGAAGTTGTTAAACAAAAAAATTATTCGGTGACACGTGTTATAGCACAGTAAGGAAGACTTTGTTCAGGACCACTGCAATAAGGTCTCGTAGTGGGGGCAGAGATTGGGCTCAACCCCAGAACACAGCATAGGCAAGTGGGCATTTATAGCCAAGGAGCAGGGTGGGGTCAGTGGATTGAAAATTGCTAAGAGGTAAAACATCAAGGGTAAGATTCTGGCCAAGCCAACCTAACAATATTTTTGCTAAAGACAGGCCAGTGTGATCATACCTCACCTGGGGGATAGTGGAGGATGAGGAACCTCATCAGATATCAAGGGTGATCAGATATTAAGACTGAAAAGTTCTTGCTAAACTGACTTAGCAGGGCTCTTTGCTAAAACTGGATTTTACGATGTCTCTCTAAGATGGACCTAGGGGAAAGCTCAGGAGCCTGACTAAACTTTGGCTAAGCAAAGAATCTTTGTTAGGAGGAAAACCCTGATTTGTAAGATTTTTGTGGTGTAAATATTCTAAAATTCTTTCCTTACAGTATTATTTGTTTCTTTCCTGGCTCTCCTCCTCTTCTGACCCCAGAGTAAAATGTAGCAAAATAATTAGGAAGTGATGAGTTTTTAGTATTTATTGCATTTATTTTAAATACAAGTTATTTAATTATAATTTTATATACATTAATGGCTATATGTAATAATTGAATTGCAAATTCCTGAAAGTTTAGCAATTAGTTCTTATCAGCTAGTAGGAGCTGGTTCCAGTATACAACTGACACTACTCTAGTAAGAACTTTTCTGCCTCCTCTCTCCATCTTTCTGTCCTCCCCATACTCCAATACTAGAAGGGTCAGACTTTGTGATTAGCTAAAAGGAGAAGAACCAGGAAAGAAGAAATAATATGTAGAATAAGTTTTAGCAGTCTCAGTTCTCTGAGAGCCCTACTTGAAGGAGAGTGAGTTAGTCCTTCATTCAACAATATAGACATTATATTAGAGAACCATGTAAAAGGTTGACAGTTGGAGGAGGGCAGTAAGAAAGAAAGACAAGGTAAAACGTAGGTTGATGGCCGGGCCCGGTGGCCCACAGCTGTAATCCCAGCACTTTGGGAGGCCGAGGAAGGCGGATCACTTGAGGTCAGGAGTTCAAGAACAGCCCGGCCAACATGGTGAAACTCTGTCTATACTAAAAATACAAAAATTAGCTGGGAGTGGTGGTGCATGCCTGTAATCCCAGCTACTTGGGAGGCTAAGGCAGGAGAATCACTTGAACCCAGGAGGCAGAGGTTGCAGTGAGCTGAGATTGTGCCACTGCACTCCAGCCTGGGCCACAGAGTGAGATTCTGTTTAAAAAATAAAAAAAGAAAAGAAAAAAAAGAATGTTGAAGGAGAAAGGAGACAAAACAAAATAATGCCCACTCTACTTGGGCTTATGTTAGCTGTGATTGCATTGCCTGTGCATAACCCACCTCAGTTACTGCAGACAGCATTGGCTGACTACTGCTTCGCTGCTTGTATAATGATTAACTAGGACTCAACTTTGAACTGCCATAAAGAAATCACATTCTTCTTCTCTTTGCTAGGATGCACTTCCAAATGTTGAGCTAGCTTTGGTTTTATGTCATTCAGTGCCTGTGCCATGGTGGTTAATCTTTATACCTAGCGTGGCCTTTCTCTCTTCTCTGTCTAGAAAACTACTCCTTCAATCTTCCCTCATCTTGTTTAATGCTTTCCTTGACTGAGCCACATCTCCGCTTTCATAATCATTTTCTACCACGTGATGTTTTAAACTAAAGAACACACATTCACATTTTTTCCTAATGCAGATGATATGAGATGAGACTGACATCCACAATATAGTCTAATTATATTTTATCAATAATTAACTCTGACAGCTGTCATCCATCAGGAAACATGCGTAATTGTTTTTAAAGTAAGTGGAGGCATTAAGTCAATTAAATGAGGAAAGGCTAATTTTTTTTTTAATACTTTAAGTTCTGGGATATATGTGCAGAAAATGCAAGTTTGTTACATAGGTATACATGTGCCATGGTGGTTTGCTGCACCCATCAACCTGTCTTCTACATTAGGCATTTCTCCTAATGCTATCCTTTCCCCTAGCCCCCAACCCCCCAACAGGTGCCGGTGTGTGATGTTCCGCTCCCTGTGTCCATGTGTTCTCATTGTTCAACTCCCACTTATGAGTGAGAACATGCGGTGTTTGGTTTTCTGTTCCTCTGTTAGTTTGCTGAGAATGATGGTTTCCAGCTTCATCCATGTCCCTGCAAAGGACGTAAACTCAACTTTTTTTTATGGCTGCATAGTATTCCATGGTGTCTATGTGCCACATTTTCTCTATCTACTCTATCATTGATGGGCATTTGGGTTGTTCCAGGTCTTTGCTATTGTGAACAGTGCTGCAATAAACATACATGTACATGTGTCTTTATAGTAGAATAATTTATAATCCTTTGGGTATATACCCAGTAATGGGATAGCTGGGTCAAATGGTATTTCTGGTTCTAGATCCTTGAGGAATCACCACACTGTCTTCCACAATGGTTGAACTAATTTACACTCCCACCAACAGTGTAAAAGCATTCCTATTTCTCTACATCCTCTCCAGCATCTGTTGTTTCCTGACTTTTTAATGATCGCCATTCTAACTGGCGTGAGATGGTATCTCATTGTGGTTTTGATTTGCATTTCTCTAATGACCAGTGATGATGAGCTTTTTTAAATATGTTTGTTGGCTGCATAAATGCCTTCTTTTGAGAAGTGTCTGTTCATATACTTTGCCCACTTTTTGATGGGGTTGTTTGTTTTTTTCTTGTAAATTTGTTTAAGTTCTTTCTTGATTCTGGATATTAGCCCTTTGTCAGATGGATAGATTGCAAAAGTTTTCTCCCATTCTGTAGGTTTTCAGTTCACTCTGATAATAGTTTTTTTGCTGTGCAGAAGCTCTTTAGTTTAATCAGATTCCATTTGTGAATTTTGGCTTTTGTTGCAATTGCTTTTAGTGTTGTAGTCATGAAGTCTTTGCCCATGCCTATGCCCTGAATGGTATTGCCTAGGTTTTCTTCTGGGTTTTATGGTTTTTAGGTCTTACATTTAAGTCTTTAATCCATCTTGAGTTAATTTTTGCATAAGGTGTAAGGAAGGGGTCCAGTTTCAGTTTTCTGCATATGGCCAGCCAGTTTTCCCAACTCCATTTATTAAATAGGGGCTCCTTTCCCCATTGCTTGTATTTGTCAGGTTTGTCAAAGATCAGATAGTTGTACATGTGTGGCATTATTTCTGAGGCCTCTGTTCTGTTCCACTGGTCTATATATCTGTTTTGGTACCAGTATCATGCTGTTTTGGTTACTGTAGCCTTGTAGCATAGTTTGAAGTCAGGCAGTGTGATGCCTCCAGCTTTGTTCTTTTTGCTTAGGATTGTCTTGGCTATACTAGCTCTTTTTTGGTTGCATAAGAAATTTAAAGTAGTTTTTTCTAATTCTGTAGAGAAAGTCAATGGTAACTTGATGGGAATAGCATTGAATCTATAAATTACTTTGGGCAGTATGGCCATTTTCATGATATTGATTCTTCCTATCCATGAGCACGGAATGTTTTTCCTTTTATTTATGTCTTCTCTTATTTCCTTGAGCAGTGGTTTGTAGTTCTCCTTGAAGAGGTCCTTCATGTCCCTTGTAAGCTGTATTCCTAGGTATTTTATTCTCTTTGTAGCAATTGTGAATGGCAATTTACTCATGATTTGGCTCTCTGTTTGTCTATCATTGGTGTATAGAAATGCTTGTGATGTTTTGCACATTAATTTTCTATCCTGTGACTTTGCTGAAGTTGCTTATCAGCTTAAGGAGTTTTTGGGATGAGAAGATGGGGTTTTCAAAATATACAATCTTGTCATCTGCAAACAGAGAAAGTTTGGCTTCTTCCCTTCCTATTTGAATACTCTTTATTTCTTTATCTTGCCTGATTGCCCTGGCCAGAACTTCCAATACTATGTTGAATATGAGTGGTGAGAGAGGGCATCCTTGTCTCGTGCTGGTTTTCAAAGGGAATGCTTCCAGCTTTTGCCCATTCAGTATGATATTGGCTGTGGGTTTGTCATAAATAGCTCTTATTATTTTGAGATACACTCCATCAATACCTAGTTTATTGAGAGTTTTTAGCATGAAGGCTGTTGAATTTTATCGGAGGCCTTTCTGCATCTATTGAGATAATCATGTGATTTTTGTCATTGTTTCTGTTTATGTGATGAATTACGTTTATTGATTTGTGTATGTTGAACCTGCCTTGCATCCCAGGGATGAAGCCAACTTGATCGTGGTGGATAAGATTTCTGATGTGCTGATGGATTCGGTTTGACAGTATTTTACTGAGGATTTTCACATCGATCTTCATCAGGGATATTGACCTGAAATTTTCTTTTTTTGTTGTGTCTCTGCCAGCTTTTGGTATCAGGATGATGCTGGCCTTATACAATGAGTTAGGGAGGAGTCCCTCTTTTTCTATTGTTTGGAATAGTTTCAGAAGTAATGGTACCACCTTCTCTTTGTATCTCTGGTAGAATTCAGCTGTGAATCTGTCTGGTCCTGGGCTTTTTTTGGTTGGTAGGCTATTAATTACTGCCTCAATTTTAGAACTTGTTGTTGGTCTATTCAGGGATTCAACTTCTTCCTGATTTAGTCTTGGGAGGGTGTATGTGTCCAGGAATTTATCCATTTCTTCTAGATTTTGTAGTTTATTTGTGTAGAAGTGTTTATAGTATTCACTGATGGTAGTTTGTATTTCTGTGGGATCAGTGGTGATATCCCCTTTAACATTTTTTGTTGTGTCTATTTGATTCTTCTCTCTTTTCTTCTTTATTAGTCTGGCTAGTGGTCTATCTATTTTAATGTTTAATATTTTGTTAATCTTTTCAAAAAACCAGCTCCTGGATTCATTAATTTTTTGGAGTGTTTTTCCTGTCTCTATCTCCTTCAGTTCTTTTCTGATCTTAGTTATTTCTTGTCTTCTGCTAGCCTTTGAATTTGTTTGCTCTTGCTTCTCTAGTTCTTTTAACTGTGATGTTAGGGTGTTGGTTTTAGACCTTTTCCACTTTCTCCTGTGGGCACTTAGCACTATAAATTTCCCTCTAAACACTGCTTTAGCTGTGTCCCAGAGACTCTGGTACATTGTGTCTTTGTTCTCATTGGTTTCAAAGAACTTATTTATTTCTGCCTTAATTTTGTTATTTACCCAGTAGTCATTCAGGAGCAGGTTGTTCAGATTCCATATAGGTGTGTGGTTTTGAGTGAGTTTCTTAATCCTGAGTTCTAATTTGATTGCACCTCAGTCTGAGAGACTGTTTGTTATGAGTTCCATTCTTTTGCATTTGCTGAGGAGTGTTTTACTTCCAATTATGTGGTTAATTTTAGAATAAGTGCAATGTGGTGTTAAGAAGAATGTATCTTCTGTTGATTTGAGGTGGAGAGTTCTGTAGATGTCATTAGGTCTGCTTGGTCCAGAGCTGAGTTCAAGTCCTGAATATCCTTGATAATTTTCTGTCTCATTGATCTGTCTAATATTGATAGTGGGGTGTTAAAGTCTCCCACTGTTATTGTGTGGGAGTCTAAGTCTATCTGTAGGTCTTTAAGAACTTGCTTTATGAATCTGGGTGCTCCTGTAATGGGTGCATATATATTTAGGATAGTTAGCTCTTCTTTTTGCACTAATCCCTTTACCATTATGTAATGTCCTTCTTTGTCTTTTTTGATCTTTGTTGGTTTAAAGTCTGTTTTTTTTTTCAGAGACTAGGATTGCACCCCCTGCTTTTTTTTTTTCTTTCCATTTGCTTGGTAAATATTGCTCCATCCCTTTATTTTGAGCCTATGTGTGTCTTTGCACTCATATGGATCTCCTGAATACAGCACACCAATGGGTCTTTACCCTTTATCCAATTTGCCAGTCAGTGTCTTAATTGGGGCATATATCCCTTTTACATTTAGGGTTAATATTGTTATGTGTGAATTTGATCCTGTCATTATGATGCTAGCTGGTTATTTTGCACATTAGTTAATGCAGTTTCTTCGTCGTGTCAATGGTCTTTACATTTTGCTATGTTTTTGCAGTGGCTGGTACTGGTTTTTCCTTTCCATATTTAATGCTTCCTTCAGGGGCTCTTGTAAGGCAGGCCTGGTTACCACCACAAAATCCCTCAGCTTTGCTTGTCTGTAAAGGATTTTATTTCTCCTTTGCTTATGAAGGTTAGTTTGGCTGGATATGAAATTCTGGGTTGAAAATTCTTTTCTTTAAGAATGTCGAAGAAGAGCCAAGATGGCCGAATAGGAATAGCTCTGATCTACAGCTCCCAGCGTGAGCAACAGAGAAGATGGGTGATTTCTGCATTTTCAACTGAGGTACTGGGTTCATATCACTGGGGAGTGCCAGACAGTAGGTGAAGGACAGTGGGTGCAGCGCACCGTGTGCGAGCCGAAGCAGGGCGAGGCATTGCCTCACCCAGGAAGCACAAGGGGTCAGGGAATTCCCTTTCCTAGTCAAAGAAAGTGGTGACAGACGGCACCTGGAAAATCAGGTCACTCCCACCCTAATACTGCGCTTTTCCAACGGCTTAAAAAACGGCACACCAGGAGATTACATCCTGCACCTGGATCAGAGGATCATACGCCCACAGAGTCTCACCCATTGCTAGCACAGCAGTTTGAGATCAAACTGCAAGGTGGCAGCAAGGCTGGGGGAAGGGCGCCCGCCATTGCTGAGTTAGTTGTTTGATTAGGTAAACAAACTGGCTGGGAAGCTCGAACTCGGTGGAGCCCACCACAGCTCAAGGAAGCCTGCCTGCCTCTGTAGGCTCCACCTATGGGGGCAGGGCACAGACAAACAAAAAGGCAGCAGTAACCTCTGCAGATTTAAATGTCCCTCTCTGACAGCTTTGAAGAGAATAGTGGTTCTCCCAGCACGCAGCTGGAGATCTGAGAATGGGCAGACTGCCTCCTCAAGTGGGTCCCTGACTCCCAAGTAGCCTAACTGGGAGGCACCCCCCAGTAGGGGCGGACTGACACCTCACATGGCCAGGTACTCCTCTGAGACAAAACTTCCAGAGGAATGATCAGGCAGCAGCATTTACGGTTCACCAATATCCGTGTTCTGCAGCCACCGCTGCTGATACCCAGGCAAACAGGGTCTGGAGTGAACCTCTAGCAAACTCCAACAGACCTGCAGCTGAGGGTCCTGTCTGTTAGAAGGAAAACTAATAAACAGAAAGGACATCCACACCAAAAACCCATCTGTACATCACCATCATCAAAGACCAAAGGTAGATAAAACCACAAAGATGGGAAAAAAACAGAGCAGAAAAACTGGAAACTCTAAAAATCAGAGCACCTCTCCTCCTCCAAAGGAACGCAGCTCCTCACCAGCAATGGAACAAAACTGGATGGAGAATGACTTTGACGAGTTGAGAGAAGAAGGCTTCAGACAATCAAACTACTCTGAGTTATCGGAGGAAATTCGAACCAATGGCAAAGAAGTTAAAAACTTTGAAAAAAATTAGATGAATGGATAACTAGAATAACCAATGCAGAGAAGTCCTTAAAGGACCTGATGGAGCTGAAAAACAAGGCACGAGAGCTATGTGATGAAGGCAGAAGCCTCAGTAGCTGATGCAATCAATTGGAAGAAAGGGTATCAGTGATGGAAGATGAAATGAATGAAATGAAGCGAGAAGAGAAGTTTAGAGAAAAAAGAATAAAAAGAAACGAAGAAAGCCTCCAAGAAATATGGGACTATGTGAAAAGACCAAATCTACGTCTGATTGGTGTACCTGAAAGTGACGGGGAGAATGGAACCAAGTTGGAAAATACTCTGCAGGATATTATCTAGGAGAACTTCCCCAATCTAGCAAGGCAGGCCAACATTCAAATTCAGGAAATACAGAGAACGCCACAAAGATACTTCTCGAGAAGAGCAACTCCAAGACACATCATTGTCAGATTCACCAAAGGTGAAATGAATGAAAAAATGTTAAGGGCAGCCACAGAGAAAGGTTGGGTTACCCACAGAGGGAAGCCCATCAGACTAACAGCTGATCTCTCAGCAGAAACTCTACAAGCCAGAAGAGAGTGGGTACCAATATTCAACATTCTTAAAGAAAAGAATTTTCAACCCAGAATTTCATATCCAGCCAAACTAAGCTTCATGAGTGAAGGAGAAATAAAATACTTTACAGACAAGCAAATGCTGAGAGATTTTGTCACCACCAGGCCTGCCTTAAAAGAGCTCCTGAAGGAAGCACTAAATATGGAAAGGAACAACCGGTACCACCCACTGCAAAAACATGCCAAACTGTAAAGACCATCAAGGCTAAGAAGAAACTGCATCAACTAACGAGCAAAATCACCAGCTAACATCATAATGACAGGATCAAATTCACACATAACAATATTAATTTTAAATGTAAATGGGCTAAATGCTCCAATTAAAAGACACAGACTGGCAAATTGGATAAAGAGTCAAGACCCATCAGTGTGCTGTATTCAGGAAACCCATCTCACGTGCGGAGACACACATAGGCTCAAAATAGAGGGATGGAGGAAGATCTACCAAGCAAATGGAAAACAAAAAAAGGCAGGGGTTGCAATCCTAGTCTCTGATAAAACAGACTTTAAACCAACAAAGACCAAAAGAGACAAAGAAGGCCATTACATAATGGTAAAGGGATCAATTCAACAAGAAGAGCTAACTATGCTAAATATATATGCACCCAATACAGGAGCACCCAAATTCATAAAGCAACTCCTTAGTGACCTAAAAAGAGACTTAGACTCCCACACAATAATAATGGGAGACTTTAACACCCCACTGTCAACATTAGAAAGATCAATGAGACAGAAAGTTAACAAGGATACCCAGGAATTGAACTCAGCTCTGCACCAAGCAGACCTAATAGACATCTACAGAACTCTCCACCCCAAATCAACAGAATGTACATTCTTTTCAGCACCACACCACACCTACTCCAAAATTGACCACATACTTGGAAGTAAAGCACTCCTCAGCAGATGTAAAAGAACGGAAATTATAACAAACTGTCTCTCAGACCACAGTGCAATCAAACTAGAACTCAGGATTAAGAAACTCACTCAAAACCGCTCAACTACATGGAAACTGAACAACCTGCTCCTGAATGACTACTGGGTAAATAATGAAATGAAGGCAGAAATAAAGATGTTCTTTGAAACCAATGAGAACAAAGACACAACATACCAGAATCTCTGGGACACATTCAAAGTAGTGTGTAGAGGGAAATTTATAGCACTAAATGCCCACAAAAGAAAGCAGGAAAGATCTAAAATTGACACCCAAACATCACAATTAAAAGAACTAGAAAAGGAAGAGCAAACACATTCAAAAGCTAGCAGAAGGCAAGAAATAACTAAGATCAGAGCAGAACTGAAGGAAATAGAGACACAAAAAATCCTTCAAAAAATTAATGAATCCAGGAGCTGGTTTTTTTGAAAAGATCAACAAAATTGATAGACTGCTAGCAAAACTAATAAAGAAGAAAAGAGAGAAGAATCAAATAAATGCAATAAAAAATGATAAAGGGGATATCACCACCAATCCCACAGAAATACAAACTACCATCAGAGAATACTATAAACACTTCTACGCAAATAAACTAGAAAATCTAGAGGAAATGGATAAATTCCTCGACACATACACCCTCCCAAGACTAAACCAGGAAGAAGTTGAATCTCTGAAAAGACCAATAACAGGCTCTGAAATTGAGGCAATAATCAATGACCTACCAACCAAAAAAGGTCCAGGACCAGATGGATTCACAGCCGAATTCTACCAGAGGAACAAAGAGGAGCTGGTACCATTCTTTCTGAAACTATTCCAATCAATAGAAAAAGAGGGAATCCCCCCTAACTCATTTTATGAGGCCAGCATCATCCTGATACCAAAGCCAGGCAGAGACACAACCAAAAAAGAGAATTTTAGACCAATATCCTTGATGAACATTGATGCAAAAATCCTCAATAAAATACTGGCAAACCAAATCCAGCAGCACATCAAAAAGCTTATGCAAGATGATCAAGTGGGCTTCATCCCTGGGATGCAAGGCTGGTTCAACATATGCAAATCAATAAATGTAATCTGTCATATAAACAGAACCAAAGACAAAAACCACATGATTGTCTCTATAGATGCAGAAAAGGCCTTTGACAAAATTCAACAACCTTCATGCTAAAAACTCTCAATAAATTAGGTATTGATGGGACATATCTCAAAATAATAAGACCTATCTATGACAAACCCACAGCCAATAACATACTGAATGGACAAAAACTGGAAGCATTCCCTTTGAAAACTGGCACAAGACAGGGATGCCCTCTCTCACCACTCCTATTCAACATAGTGTTGGAAGTTCTGGCCAGGGCAATCCGGCAGGAGAAAGAAATAAAGTGTATTGAATTAGGAAAAGAAGAAGTCAAATTGTCCCTGTTTTCAGATGACATGATTGTATATCTAGAAAACCCCATTGTCTCAGCCCAAAATCTCCTCAAGCTGATAAGCAACTTCAGCAAAGTCTCAGGATACAAAATCAATGTACAAAAATCACAAGCATTCTTATACACCAATAACAGACAAACAGAGAGCCAAATCATGAGTGAACTCCCATTCACAATAGCTTCAAAGAGAATAAAATAGCTAGGAATCCAACTTACAAGGGATGTGAAGGACGTCTTCAAGGAGAGCTACAAACCACTGCTCAATGAAATAAAAGAGGATACAAACAAATGGAAGAACATTCCATGCTCATGGGTAGGAAGAATCCATATCATGAAAATGGCCATACTGCCCAAGGTAATTTACAGATTCAATGCCATCCCCATCAAGCTACCAATGACTTTCTTCACAGAATTGGAAAAAACTACTTGAAAGTTCATATGGAACCAAAAAAGAGCCTGCATCGCCAAGTCAATCCTAAGCCAAAAGAACAAAGCTGGAGGCATCACGCTACCTGACTTCAAACTATGCTACAAGGCTACAGTAACCAAAACAGCATGGTATTGGTACCAAAACAGAGATATAGAGCAATGGAACAGAACAGAGCCCTCAGAAATAATGCCGCATATCTACAACTATCTGATCTTTGACAAACCAGACAAAAACAAGCAATGGGGAAAGGATTCCCTATTTAATAAATGGTGCTGGGAAAACTGGCTAGCCATATGTAGAAAGCTGAAACTGGATCCCTTCCTTACACCTTATACAAAAAATAATTCAAGATGGATTAAAGACTTACATGTTAGACCTAAAACCATAAAAACCCTAGAAGAAAACCTAGGCAATACCATTCAGGACTTGGGCATGGGCAAGGACTTCATGTCTAAAACACCAAAAGCAATGGCAACAAAAGCCAAAATAGACAAATGGGATCTAATTAAACTAAAGAGCTTCTGCACAGGAAAAGAAACTACCAACGGAGTGAACAGGCAACCTACAGAATGGGAGAAAATTTTTGCAACCTACTCATCTGACAAAGGGCTAATATCCAGAATCTACAATGAACTCAAACAAATTTACAAGAAAAAAAACAACCCCATCAAAAAGTGGGCAAAGGATATGAACAGACACTTCTCAAAAGAAGACATTTATGCAGCCAAAAAACACATGAAAAAATGCTCACCATCACTGGCCATCAGAGAAATGAAAATCGAAACCACAGTGAGATACCATCTCACACCAGTTAGAATGGCAATCATTAAAAAGTCAGGAAGCAACAGGTGCTGGAGAGGATGTGGAGAAATAGGAACACCTTTACACTGTTGGTGGGACTGTAAACTAGTTCAACCATTGTGGAAGTCAGTGTGGCGATTTCTCAGCGATCTAGAACTAGAAATACCATTTGACCCAGCCATCCCGTTACTGGGTATATACCCAAAGGATTATAAATCATGCTGCTATAAAGACACATGCACATGTATATTTATTGTGGCACTATTCACAATAGCAAAGACTTGGAACCAACTTAAATGTCCAACAACGATAGACTGGATTAAGAAAATGTGGCACATATACACCATGGATACTATGCAGCCATAAAAAATGATGAGTTCATGTCCTTTGTAGGGACATGGATGAAACTGGAAACCATCATTCTCAGCAAACTATCGCAAGGGCAAAAAACCAAACACCGCATGTTCTCACTCATAGGTGGGAATTGAACAATGAGAACACATGGACACAGGAAGGGGAACATCACACACTGGGGACTGTTGTGGGGTGGGGGGAGAGGGGAGGGGTAGCATTTGGAGATATACCTAATGTTAAATGACGAGGTAATGGGTGCAGCACACCAACACGGCACATGTATACATATGTAACAAGCCTGCATGTTGTGCACATGTTCCCTAAAACTTAAAGTATAATAATAATAAAATTAAAAAAAAAAAGAATGTCAAATATTGGTTTCCACTCTCTTCTGGCTTGTAGGGTTTCTGCAGAGAGATCTGCTATTAGTCTGATAGGCTTCCCTTTGCTGGTAACCTGACCTTTCTCTCTGGCTGCCCATAAAATTTTTCCTGTCATTTCAACCTGGTGAATCCAATGATTATGTATCTTTGAGTTGCTCTTCTTGAGGAATATCTTTGTGGTGTTCTCTGTATTTCCTGAATTTGAATGTTGGCCTGTCTTGCTCGGTTGGGGTAGATCTCCTGGATAATATCCTGAAGTGTGTTTTCCAACTTGGTTCCATTCTCCCCGTCACTTTCAGGCACACCAATCAAACATAGGTTTGGTCTTTTCACATAGTCCCATATTTCTTGGAGGCTTTGTTCATTCCTTTTCATTCTTTTTTTCTAATCTTGTCTTCATGCTTTATTTCATTAAGTTGATCTTCAACCTCTGATATCCTTTTTCCACTTGATTGATGTGGCTATTGATACTTGTGTATACTTCACAAAGTTCTCGTGCTGTGTTTTTCAGCTCCATCAGGTCATTTATGGTTTTCTCTAAAGTGGTTATTCTCATTAGCAGTTCCTATATCCTTTTATCAAGGTCCTTAGCTTCCTTGCATTGAGTTAGAACATAGTCCTTTAGCTCAGAGGAATTTGTTATTACCCACCTTCTGAAGCCTGCTTCTGTCAATTCATCAAACTCATTCTCCATCCAGTTTTGTTCCCTTGCTGGCGAGGAGTTGTGATCATTTGGAGGAGAAGAGGTATTCTGATTTTGGAATTTTCAGCATTTTTGCACTGGTTTTTCCTCATCTTTGTGGATTTATCTACCTTTGATCTTTGATGTTGGTGACCTTTGGATGGGGTTTTTGTATAGCCATCCTTTTTGTTGATGTTGATGCTATTCCTGTTTGTTAGCTTTCCTTCTAACAGTCAGACCCCTCTGCTGCAGGTCTGCTGGAGTTTGCTGGAGGTCCACTCCAGACCCTGTTTGTCTGGGTATCACCAGCAGAGGTTGCAGAACAGCAAAGATTGCTGCCTGCTCCTTCCTCTGGAAGCTTTGTCCCAGACGGGCACCTGCCAGATGCCAGTCGGAGCTCTCCTGTATGAGGTGTCTGTCAACCCCTGTTGGGAGGTGTCTCCCAGTCAGGAGGCAGGGGAGTCAGGGACCCACTTGAGGAGGCAGTCTGTCCCTTAGCAGAGCTTGATTGCTGTGCTGGGAGATTTGCTGCTCTCTTCAGAGCCGGCAGGCAGGAACATTAAAGTCTGCTGAAGCTGCGCCTACAGCCACCCCTTTTTCCAGGTGCTCTGTCCCAGGGAGATGGGAGTTTTATCTATAAGCTCCTGACTGGGGCTGCTGCCTTTTTTTTCAGAGACGCCCTGCCCACAGAGTGGGGATCTAGAGAGCAGTCTGGCTACAGAGGCTTTGCCAAGCTGGATGGGTTCTGCCCAGTTTGAACTTACACTGCATGGGGAAAACTCCTCCTCCAGCCTCAGTAATGGCAGATGCCCCTCCCCTCACTAAGCTGGAGCATTTCAGGTCAACTTCAGACTGTTGTGCTGGCAGTGAGAATTTCAAGCCAGTGGATCTTAGCTTGCTGGGTTCCATGGGGTGGGCTCCGCTGAGACAGACCACTTGGCTCCCTGGCTTCAGCTCCCTTTCAAGGGGAGTGAACGGTTCTGTCTCGCTGGCATTCCAGGTGCCACTGGAGTATGAAAAAACACTCCTGCAGCTAGCTCAGTGTCTGCCCAAATGGCTGCCCAGTTTTGTGCTTGAAACCCAGAGCCCTGGTGGTATAGGCACCCAAGGGTATCTCCTGTCTGTAGGTTGCAAAGACTGTGGGAAAAAAGTAGTATCTGGGCTGAATAGCACCATCCCTCAAGGCACAGTCCCTCACGGCTTCCCTTGGCTACGGGAGGGAGTTCCCTGACCCTTCGTGCTTTCCAGGAGAGGCGACGCCCCACCCTGCTTCTGCTCACCCTCCATGGGCTGCACCCACTGTCTAACCAGTCACAATGAGATGAGCCGGGTACCTCATTTAGAAATGCAGAAATCACCCTCCTGTTGCGTTGATCTCACTGGGAGCTGCAGACTGGAGCTGTTCTTATTTGGCCATCTTGCCAGCTGCCCAAGGCTAATCTTTTTAACCCAAGGTGTTGTAACAACTGGATATCCATATGGGAAAAAAATAACTTTGTTCTTTACCTCATTACATACACAAAAAAACTGAGATAAATAAAACTCAATGTAAAGTTAGAACCCTACTGCTTCCAGGAGAAAACAAAAGAGAATAAGAGAATATCTTCATGACTTTGGCTTAAGCAAAGATTTCTAACCCAAGACACAAAAAACACTATACTGGGTTTGATAGTATCCCCCCAAAACTTATTTCCTTTGCAAAGCCTCTGAATATGACTGTATTTGGCCAGGTGCAGTGGCTCATGCCTGTAGTCCCAGAACTTTGGGAGGCCAAGGCAGGGGGAATCACCTGAGGTCAGGAGTTCGAGACCAGTCTGGCTAACATGGCAAAACACTATCTCTACTAAAAATTCAAAAATTAGCTGGGTGTGGTGGCAGGTGCCTGTAATCCCAGCTACTTGGGAGGCTGTGGCAGGAGAATCACTTGAACTTGGGAGGCAGAGGTTGCAGTGACCTGAGATTGTGCTACTGCACTCCAGCCTGGGTGACAGAGCAAGACTCTGTCCTGACCAAAAAAAAAAAAAAAAAAAAAAGCTGGGCGCGGTGGCTCACGCCTGTAATCCAAGCACATTGGGAGGCCGAGGTGGGTGGATCACCTGAGGTCGGGAGTTCGAAACTAGCCTGACCATCATGGAGAAACCCTGCCTCTACTAAAAATACAAAACTAGCTGGGCATGGTGGCACATGCCTGTAATCCCAGCTACTCAGGAGGCTGAGGCAGGAGAATCGCTTGAACCCGGGAGGCAGAGGTTGCGGTAAGCTGAGATCATGCCACTGCACTCCAGTCTGGGCAACAAGAGCGAACCTCCATCTCAAAAAAAAAAAAAAAAGAATGTGACTCTATTTGGAAATATAGTCATTGCAGTTGTAATTAGTTAAGGTGAGTTTATAGTGGAGTAAGGTGGACCCTAATCCAATATGATTGGTGTCCTTATAAGAAAAGAAGAGACCCAGAGACAAAAACGCACTAGAACACCAGGTGATGATGAAGGCAGGGATTGGAGTGATGCATCTACAAGCCAAGGAATGCCATGAATTGTGGCCAAGGTCAGAAACTAAGAGAAAGGCATGGAACAGATTGTCCTCTAGAACCTTCAGAAAGAGCATGGCCCCATCCACATCTTGATTTTAGATTGCTGGCCTCCAGAATGGTGAGAAAACAAATGTCTGTTGTTGCCGGGCGCGGTGGCTCATGCCTGTAATCCCAGCACTTCAGGAGGCCAAGGCAGGTGGATCACAGGTCAGGAGACCGAGACTATCCTGGCCAACATGGTGAAACCCTGCCTGTACTAAAAATAGAAAAATTAGTTGGGCATGGTGGCAGACACCTGTAATCCCAGCTACTCTGGAGGCTGAGGCAGGAGAATTGCTTGAACCCGGGAGGCGGAGGTTGCAGTAAGCCGAGATTGCACCACTGCATTCTAGCCTGGTGACAGAGCGAAACTCTTTCTTAAAAGACAAATACGTAAATAAATAAAAAATAAGTATCTGTTGTTTTAAGCCATCCAGTTTGTGGCAATTTGTTAATGACAGCCTTAGGAAACTAATACCAGCACTAATCATAAAAGAAAAAAACTGATAAATTGGACAGTATCCTAATTAAAACCTTTTACTCATCAAAAGACACTTATATTAAGAGGCCAGGTGTGGTGGCACACGTAATTCCAGTACTTTGGGAGTCCTAGATGGGCAGATTGCTGAAGCCCAGGAATTCCAAATCAGCCTGGTCAACATGACAAAACCCTGTCTCTACAAAAAATACAAAAATTAGCCAGGCATGGTGGTGTGTGCCTGTAGTCTCAGCCACTTGGAAGGGTATGGGGGGCTGAGGTGGAAGGATCACTTGAGCCCAGGAAGTGGAGGCTGCAGTGAGTCGTGTTCATGCCACTGCACTCCAGCAGCCTGGGTGACAAAGGGAGACCTCATCTCTTAAAAAAAAAAAATAGACAAGCCAGAGACTAATAAAAAAAATTCATGATACAGATATTTGACAAAGGCCTCTCATATCCAGAATATGTAAAGGAATGTTAGAAATCGATAATAAAAATACAAACAGCCCAATGGAAAAGTGTGCAATAAATTTGAATAGACACTTCACGAAAGGTATATAGACAGCCAACAAGCACACAAAAATTTGCTAGTATTATTAGGCATGAGGGAAATGCAAATTAATACCACAGTGAGATACTATTTCATATCCATTGAAATGGCTGGCACATAAAAGATTGACAATACAAATGCTCGTGAAGATATGACGCAAAGGGAACTTTCATACATTGCTGTTGGGAGTCGTCCTCTCTTTGGAGAACTACACGGCAGCTTTTTAATAAAGTTAAACATATACCTACTATATGACCAGGAATTTTGCTCATCAGGTATTTATGTACCCAAAGAGAAATGAAAACATACACCCACAAAAAGATTTCAACAGGAATGTTCATAGCAATCTTATTCATTACAGTGTCCAAACTGAAAATAACATATATGTCCATTAACAAGAGAATGCACTGAACAAATTTGGTCTATTTGCATAATATAACAATACTCAGCAATAAAAAGGAATGACCTGGTGCAAACAATGTTGGCGAATCTTGAAAACATAAAACTAAGTAAAAGAAGCCAGTTTAAAAAAATACGTACAGTGTGATTCCATTTGTATGAAAAACTATCATTTGCAGGTGGATTTTGAGGAAAGGGCAGGAGTGATGGAAATATTCTTGATCTTGTTTTAAGTACTTAGGTGGTTACCTGAGTGTGTGTGTGTCTGTGTGTGTGTGTGTGTACATACACATGCACGAAGAGAGAGAGAGAGTCAAAAATCATTGAACTGCATTTTTTTACTATGTGAAGATTCTGATTAACCTCTTGTCACTGGGATTTTTTGTGGGTATAGCTGGTATTTTTTTTCTACAGTGGCAGACCTACTAATACATTAGTCTAAACCTGTTTATATGGCTGTTTCGGTTCTACACAAAGAAGATCCCATTATCATGTATTTATTTGGCAATATTATCAGTCCAGAAATTATTAAAATTTCTCTTTTTATTATGTCTTATTTATGTAAATTATACTTTTAAGATTCAAGCTATTGCTTGTGTATTACCTTTTTTTCCCACCTACAACTCCCATTCTCTTCCTTTAGAGTTGAGTATGCTGTTAAACAAAATAAATGTAGAAATATAGAATGGCTCAGAAAACACATTGAAGTGAAAATACAAGATTTGTGCATTTCATTGTATGTCAATTATACCTCAATAAAAAGAAGAAATAAAAATTTGTGGTGTTCTGCAGTATCAGGATCAGGTGGTGTCTTGGTATGTGTGGAGGGCTTTATTTATATCTTCGTATCTCTTTAACCTTCCTAAACAACCACAAATAAACATAGAATCTAAGATAAAGCCACAAATATTCCATGTAAGCAGCTAAGTGAAAACCGTGTTTGCTATTCAAATGCAAGCTTTGGTGAAGTTTCAGAGCCCTCACTTCCAAGCAGATTTCATCCTTAAGCCTTTCCTGTATGAAATTCCAGAGCTGTCGTTGTTGTGCTCTTTGCTTTATTCTGCAAACAAGGTAACATGGGCAGCTACACATGTCCTAATATACAGCCGTATTTCATTCTTTATAATGACAGCAGAGTATTTCACTGCATAATCCCCTAATGATGAACACTTAGTTTGTTTCCAACTTTTCAAAATTACAGTTGGTGCAAGCATATCAGTAATATAGGAATAAATTCCTAAAAGTGGAAAGGCTATCTCTAGGGGTATATACATGTAAAACTTTTTTTTTTTTTTAAGAGAGTCTCTTTCTGTTGCCCAGGCTGGAGTACAGTGGTGCAATCTTGGCTCACTGCAACCTCTGCCTCCCAGGTTCAAGCGATTCTCCTGCCTTAGCCTCCCAAGTAGCTGGGACTACAGGCATGTGCCACCACACCCTGCTAATTTTTGTATTTTTAATAGAGACAGGTTTTCACCAAGCTGGCCAGGCTGGTCTTAAACTCCTGACCGCAAATGATCCACCTGACTAGGCCTCCCAAAGTGCTGGGATTAAAGATATGAGCCACCGTGCCCAGCCCATGTGAAACATTTTCATAGATGTTGCCAAACTGGTCTCCAAAAAAGATTGAACTCATCTCCCTCCAAGAGTATATGAGAACACCTATTTTCCCCGATCATTGCCAGTGCTGAGCATTATCAGTCTTTTTTTAAATCTTTGCCAGACTAATAGATAAAATAAACCAACAAACGTGTCATTGGCTGTTTTAATGTATATTTCTTTAATTATGAGTTAGGTTAAGCATGGTTTAAAATCCAATGTTTTAATCAGTTACTATCACAGAAAAAGACCAGATGTGGGGAGGAATAGAAATGGAAAGACATTGAAATATAGACTTTTTAGCATTCGGGCCATCAGTGAGTATCACTTGTCTGGACAAGCAGGCAAGGAGGAAGCTGTCAAACTTGTTAAACTAGTTGACAAAATCAATGTCATGTTCTCTAGGCTGTTGCATTTGAGTCTGTAATTCTTTTTGACAGTCTGTCATGGCCTTATTACTTTGATTGCCAATTCTTGATGCCAACATTACATTGTGTTTATAAGGGGAAAGTAATCTAAGAATCCTTACAAAACCCTGATGATATATAATAATAGTTTAATGCCTGTGTTCCAATATTGTTTTTTTCACATCATGATAAATTATACAATGTTGTAAGGTATTTCTTCTGAGACAGAAGATCAGTGTATAGCTATTGCCCCTTTCTGCTTCTGAAGAAACATTATTTACAGTCTAATAGACTAAACAATGAATAACTGTAATAGTAGAGACCACATAGAATAGCAACATCTGGTAGGCATCCTGGAGTAATGGGTGGGGAGGGTCGTTATAATTTACCTCTAGGTGTGTCTAGTCCTCTGATTCTCCTTTGTGAAATGCCAAGTGTTTTTTCAATCATCCTCTGCTGATTTTATGGGCTTCATTATAATATATCTTTTAATCAATTGCCAGAATAACAGATACCATTAGTGATTCTTCAGAGGTTTTTCATCTTGGAAATACTAATTATATTAGGCTATCATCTGAAATTTCACAGTACTGAAACCACCTTTGCAAAATTATAACTTAGGAAATTAAGACAGTGAAAGAAATCTGACCTAATCAACTCCGTCTTGCTTCTAACCTTTAAGCTGTCCTTGTTCATTCCTGGGTGTAGGCCAAACTAACTTTGGGAAGGAGTTCAGTTCATGGTTTGACTGAAACAAAATTGAAAATACCCCTTTCCCGAAAAGACCCCCTTCTTGCCTGGGATCAGTCTGTCTTTTCAGGACTAACAAGTTAGCTATAAGATTAGAAATTACAATTTGGGGGTCATGCAGCCTCTGGCTCCAAGAGTCTGAATCTCCCCAAATTGCTTCTGGGGATAACATCACTACTGTAAAACCTAAAATCAGTGCCCAAGATATTTTGCAGTCCCTGAGCTTGATGGATCAGCTGACACCACCCAGACTGATAATCTGGCTCAACCAGTTCTGCCATCCACCCAGGAACAGAAGACAGCAAGAAAACCTAACTTCCACCCCCTATGATTCCATCTCCAACCTGACCACTCAGCACTCCCCACTTCCCAAGCCCCTACCCACCAAATTATCTTTAAACACTCTGATCCCCAAATGCTCGGCAAGACTGATTTCAGTAATAACAAACTTCGGTCTCCTGCATAGCCGGCTCTGCGTGAATTACTCTTTCTTCATTGCAATTTCCCTGTCTTGATAAATTGGCTCTGTCTAGGCAGCAGGCAAGGAGAACCCATTGGGTGGTTACAGTACTTTCAACTTTCTGAAGTGTTTTATGTCTATTTTATGCCATTTTAAAGTGAAATTGAACTTATTAAATTCTGCACTAAGAAGGGACAGCCTATAGGAGTTGTGGGTGGCATATCCCCACACATATGAATCAGCTATAATGATCGCTAAAAAACAAATTTAGGGCTGGGTGTGGTAGCTTACCCCTGTAGTCCCAGCACTTTGGGAGGCTGAGACGGGCAGATCACCTGAGGTCAGGAGTTCGAGATCAGCCTGGCCAACATGGCGAAGCCCCGTCTCTACTAAAAAAATACAAAAATTAGCCAGGTGTGGTGGCACATGCCTGTAATCCCAGCTATGAAGGAGGCTGATGCAGAAGAATTACTTCAACCCGGGAGGCGGAGGTTGCAGTGAGCCGAAATCGCATCACTGTGCTCCAGCCTTGGCAACAAAAGTGGAACTCCGTCTCATAAATAAATAAATAAATAAATAAATAAACAAACAAATTTAGGTACTAAACCAACACTTAATCATGTGCAAACTTGCCTTTGTGTGCTCCATTATTTTGCAGTTTTTGAGAAAAGATTTCACATATCCTGATTTTTCAGTTACATACTTATTCCCATCCATTAAAAAAGTTTACATGACAGCTTTAATTTGTGCCAAACATGTGAATTGCTTGGGTTAATGGATTAGTAACTTATTTTTGTTTAAAAAAAAGTCTAAGTCTTTGAGAAAATGATTCTTTTGGAAAGTGTATTTTTTTTTTTTTTTTTTTTTTTTGACACAGGATCTCACTTTGTCACCCAGGCTGGAGTGCAGTGGTGCAATCATAGCTCACTGCAACTCCTGAGCTCAAGGGATCCTCCTGCTTCAACCTCCCGAGTACCTGGGTCAAATGTGCGCCACCACTTCTGGCTAATTTATTTTTATTTTTGTAGAGATGGGGGTCTCTCTATGTTGCCCAGGCTCCTCGGCTCAAGTGATCCTCCCATCTCTGCCTCCCGAAGTGCTGGGATTACAAACATGAACCATTGTGCCCTGTCGGGAAAGTGTATTTTAAAATACTTATCATGGAATACTTGGTGAAATACTTCATATAGTTTTATTTTGGGGAGAAATATTACTAAGGTGAAAGTGGCTGCTGGATTTAGTCTCTTAGAGATTCATATTGTGTTATGATAAATCAAATCTTCCATGAAAGTCTCATCTCTTACAGTTCTAGGATCCAAAGTAACCTGGATAGGAAATAAATAATATGAAGCTATAGGCAGCGAAGAATCTTAATTATAAAAGCAAAATATATTGTGTAATCACAAAATAATGAGCCTTCTTTTTCTTTTTAAACATCAAAAAAAAATTTTAAATTCACCTTTACAACAATAATTCCCCAAGAGGACATTTTTCTTGTAAGATTATAGCCCAAATGGAGTAGACCAAGTAAAATTTAATTACATTTCTTAAAAATTATGGCCAGGCGTGGTGGCTGAAGCTTGTAATCCCAGCACTATGGGAGGCCGAGGTGGGTGAATCACCTGAGGTCAGGAGTTCGAGGCCAGCCTGACCAACATGGAGAAACCCCGTCTCTACTAAAAATACAAAATTAGCCGGGTGAGGTGGCACATATCTGTAATCCCAGCTCCTTGGGAGGCTGAGGCAGGAGAATCACTTGAACCCGGGAGGTGGGAGGTTGCAGCGAGCCAAGATCGCGCCATAGCACTCCAGCCTGGACGACAAGAGCGAAACTCCGTCTCAAAAAAAAATTTTTTTTCCCCCTCATTAACTATGGTTATTCTGAATATAAAGTGTATAGGAGAGGCAGGATAAAGTCTTTTTATCGTTATTAATTTTAGAATAATAAATGGTGTCTAGCAACCTCCAAAAGTAGCCAATTATTATTTTTTAATAATAATGTTTACAGATTTTTACATACTCGGCGATGTTTTAATCTATTTGAAAATTCAAACTAATTCAAAAGAAAGCTGAGCTCTATTTCCTTTGAAACACAGTTGCAGTACCTGATTCCTGCCATTCCTGAAATACCTGGGAAACCTCTCCTTGGTTCAATTACATGACTCAACTCACCCTGCTTAAACCAGTATGAATTGTACTGCAGCCTAGATTTCCTAAAACAGATCTTCTGTTCATTTTTCCACCTCTGTCCTGCACTGAAACTTTGGATTTCATAAAAACAAACAAAAAAAGGTTTATTTAAAATCACACTGGCATTTATGAGGCTCATCTCTGCCATTTCTTTTTCATTCTTTGAATCTTAGCAACTCTCTTAAATAAAAGGAGAACAGATGATGCAAAAATAACTGACTTTTTCCCGCCAAAAGAGAAAGCATTTTTAAAAAGAATGTGAATTTCAGGCCCAGAAGAATGTGAATTTATCTATAGCAGATCCTCGAATAACATTTATTTCAATGGTGTTTCAACACTGATGAGGGAAGAAAATTATTATACTTCCCAGCCAGGGCCACTGTGTATGTGGAGTTTGCATGTTCTCCCTATGTCAGCATGTTTCCTCCAGGTATTCTGGTTTCCTCTCACATCCCAAAGATGTGTATGTTAGGCTCATTGACTTATCTAACTGGTCTCAGAATGAGTGTGTGTGTGTGAGTGAGCACGCTCTTCAATGAAATGGCCTCCTGTGCTGGGTTGGCTCCTGCCTTGAGCCCTGAGCTGCCAGGATAGGCTCCAGCCACTCTCAACCCTGAACTGGAATGACTAGGTAAATAATTATCTTATTTGTTTTTATTAGTCTTTCTTAAATATATATATTTTTATTAATCTTTCTTAAATATATATGACATTTCTTATATATATTTATTAAATATATATTAAATATATTAAGAAATATCTTAAATATATATCTTAGATATTTATTATATATATTAAATATATTAAGAAATATCTTAAATATATATCTTAGATATTTATTAAATATATTAAATATTTATTATTAAATATATATTTAATAAATATCTGATATATATTTAAGATATTTCTTAAATATATATATTTAATAAATATATATATAGCTCACGTTTATTTCAATGTTTAATAGTAAAGGTGTTTTGGTGTTTATTTACAAGTTTGGTAATGTTTTTGTGACCAGAAATATGTTGTAAGAACTTAACTCTCATATATATCAATTAGACAATGGTAAAATTGGTTTCCTTGTAAGTCATTTTGTTTTAGGTTGCAGTTTCCAAGACCCTACCGACAGACATTAAGTGAGGACTTATTGCACTTAGCTTGTTACCAGCTGTTTGGAGCAAGTACTGTTACTAGTGGAGTCATCTTTCCCTCTGGGGCAAATGGAGCCACTCACCACCATTTACTGGGTATGCATCCCCCAATTCCTGTGAAAGCAGAGTTGGATAATTAAAAGAATGGGTGAAGTGGGCATAGTGGCATGAGATTGTAGTTCCGGCTATTTGGGAGGGTGAGGTGGGAGGACAGCTTGAGCCCAGGAGTTGGAGATTAGCTTGGGCAACACAGAAGAATGCGCTAATGAATTAATTAAACAGTGGGTGAGCAGGAAAGGTGATAGGAATTTAGGTCTGATTTAGACACGGAGGGTATAAATGGACTACTGTTAAAAAAAATAAAAAAGAGGTCTAGTTCTTTGCATATTTATTATTGCTCTGCCTAATTTACAGAGTTGAGGCGAGGAATTTTATTTAAGTAAGTTACTTATTCAAGTAAGTTTATTTTTTTATTTTTTGAGACATGGTATGACTCTGTTGCTCAGGCTGGAGTGCGTTTGCTCAATCATAGCTCATTATAACCTCAAACTCCTGGGCTCAAGCGATCCTCCCGCCTCAACCTGAGTAGCTGGGACTACAGGCCCATGCTACCATGCCCTGCTAATTAAAAACAAATTTTTTGCAGAGATAGGGGTCTCACCATGTTGCCCAGGCTGGTCTTGAACTTCTGGTCTCAAGCAATCCTCCTGCCTCGGCCTCCAATGCATTGAGGTTACAGGTAGAGCCACCACCCCCAGCCTCAAGTTAAGTTTAGAAGATAATCACCAATCAAGCATTTTAAATAGCAGTGGCTTGAATATACATAGTAAAAACACAAAATAATAATAATGATAATAATGGCAAAGCTACTCCATATAGTGAAAAGGGCAATGAATTGGGAAGTCAGAAATCTCTAGCTCCATCCATTTATGACAAAACTTAGACTTTATATGTGCTAGATGCTGGAGACTCCAAGGTGAATACTAAACACTTGCTATGGGAAAACAACTTGGTCTTTTCTTGAATCTTCTTCTCACTTGGCAAGTGGAAGCTCACTTGGCTTTGTTTTGAATTAGTTTGAATTAAAAATGTTCAACTAGACTGAAACACATCAAATATATAAAATTCTAGTACTTCATTAAAACGCAATTGACTACTTTTGGAGGTTGCTAGGCATTACTATTATTATAAAAATTGATAAAAGAGGAAAAAATAAAGCATTTATCCTGCCTTTCCTGCATAATCTGTATTTCAGGTAACCAAAGCGTTGTTGAGAGAAAAAAAAAATGCAAAATACATCACTGAGATTAGTTGATGAGCTAAAACTTCTGATAAACGTATCTGTTTTGTCTACCTCAGAGGACACTTGAGGAGAGGCTGTCAAGGGATTAAAGGGAAAGGAAGCACTTGGTGGGCTGCAAAAACTCTCTTTAGGTCTAAGGTCGCATTCTGGCTCCAGAATGCCAGGGCTGCTGGGGCGGGCAGGAGCTGACAGCTCTTCCCGTATCTGGGGCTCACAAGCATCAGGTGCATGGCAGGTCACCCTCCCGGCCAAGGGTGTTAAGCAGGCTCGGTCTGAGTTCTGGGTGCGCCACGCCTGCCTTTCTGGTCTCTGCAGCAGCAACCCCAGCACCCTCAAAGCCTAGCGACCGAGAATGAGAAACCGTGAAAAAAACACGCAGCGGCAGGCCACGCCCAGAGTAGGCCTGCGCGCGCGCGCGCGGCCTCCCACTTCCGGCCACGGGAGCTGGGGGCGGGGCCGAGCGCTGCGCAGGGCTCCGTCGTGTGGCGAGCGGCTGCCCCCTGTCTGCGACGAGCGGCGGGACCCGCGGGCCGCCTCGCAGACTGCTACCCCGCCGCGCTCGCGGCCGCCTGCGTCCTCCTCAGCAGCCCTGCGACAAGTCCCGGCTCCTGCTGCGATTATATTATTTTTATTTTTAATTCACAATTTCCCCTGGCCCTCAAAGCGTTTTTTTGTTTGCGGGCAAGAGGGAGTTAGAGGAGGGTAAAAAAGACTTTGAATGTGAGGCAAAGATGGAGGAAGGCGTCCAGGCCCCAGACTGGGACAGTGATGAAACTGTGATAGAGGGTTCAGTGACGGAGAGCGACCTGGAAGAAAAGGAGCTGCCCTGGAGAAGGTGACCATCATTAGGGCCACAGTGCCTGAACCCTCGCGCCAGGGCGGCCCAGGTGCCCTCTGAGGGGGTCAGAGTTTTGAGTGGAGATCGTGACCAGAACATGTGCTTGTGGGCAGGATCAGAGCCTTGTGGGGCAGCCGTGCCTGAGCTGAGAGCTTGTAAATAAGCAAACACAGTCTGTTCCCACCTACCCCCAACCAGCTAGGGATAAAATGAGGTTTGTACTAGGTGGCTTTATAGCATTTTTCAAAAGGCTTTCCTTTTGGGGGCTTTAAGTCTTTTTGCACAAGCAAAAAAGATCTTGGGTCTGAACTTAACTGCATTTTGTTTCAGGAGACTTCATTTTGCTTCAAGAGACTCGTAGCTCAGTTCTAGGAAAATGGGTAACAGTTTCTCTCAAGAAAAGAATGTGTGATGGGGAAACTGGTCCCTGCCAAACTGGAAACGAATAGTTTTATACGAATCCAAAAAAGTCGGTATTTCAGGTTATCGAAACCTTTCTCTAACATATTCTCTGTGCTAGACACAGGGAAAAGAGGGCAGGGATGAGGCCACTAGGTCTGCTTCATATGTGCTCAGGGCTGTGTCTGGGACTTAAGTTGGATCGTACACAGAATTAGGTCATTCTCCTTTCCCTCTCTCTCTTCTCCAGGATTCTCCTGCCCCCTTTCCTCATCATACCCACTTGCCAGTTCATATGATCAGAAAGACAGGTTTCTTTGAGTGTTAGCCTTTTCACTATACAGCAGTTCCTTACAAGGGGGACAGCCTTTAGCACAGAGTTAAGAAAAGAGAGAAAAAAGGGGGATTCTGTCCACACTTTTCAGGCAATACCGATCCCTTTTCCCAGTTCCTCTGGTAGACACTTTCTCTTGAGTTTTATGTTCCCCAGTTGCCATGGTTGGTGTCTGCTCTGAGGCTAGGGCCAGCCTTGGGGCAGGGCTGGGAGGTGAGAGAGAAAGCAACATAAAGCCCTGGGCTTTGTCCTATACCTTCTGGCATGCAGGGGTCATTTTCCTTGGTCTTCTGGATAAAAATAGGTTTACTGTCTGTGCCCACTGGATGGTTCAAAGCTGAAAGACAAAAAAGAACCAAAAAACCGAAAACAAACTGAAACTCGTCAATAAATGGGTTGTTATTAAGATTTCAACTTCAGTCCCCAATCTACCTGCTATTGTTTACTTTTCAAGGTTCTCGAGTAGTTTTTAAAAAATATTCATTCGGAGTTTTTGGTTGTAATGAGAAACAGGCAGAGGTTGCTATGAGCCAAAATGACTCCACTGCACTCCAGCCTGGGCGACAGAGTGAGACTCTATCTCAAAAAAAAAAAAAAAAAAAAAAGTACCAGCAAGACTTTCTGTTGAACTAGACAACTGATTCCAAAGTTTATATCGTAAAATAAATAAGAGCAATTAGGAAAAGTCTGAAAAATAAGAACAATAAGGAGGTAATGACCTATAGGATATTAAAATATTTTCTGATATAAAATATTTTAAATATGATACTGGCACATAAAGTGACAGATCAATAAACAGCATAAAAACCCCCAAAATAGAATCACATACATATGGGAATTTAGTGTATTACAGAGGTGGCATCTCAAACCAGCGAGGAAATGATGGGATTTTTCAAAAAATGATATTGGGATGATGAAGGATGTATGTAGAAAATAGTTTAGTTGAATCCATATTTCACACTGTACTCCAAAAAAATTCCATATGAATCAAAGATGTAAATGTTAAAAAAAAACCAAAAAGTATTACAAGAAGCCAAAAAGGGATTCTTTTATAACTGTAGAGGAAGAAAGATATAATTATAATACAAAACTCAAAAAATTTCAATTATCAAGATTACAAACACATATACTCTTTGACACAGTGCTTCTGTTTTTAGAAAATAGTGTTACCTCTGTCTTCCAACATATATACACTTAGAAAATATCTCTGAAAGAATTACAAAACAATCAAACACCTTGGTTGCCTGTGGGAAAGAAAGCTTATATTTGAGGGGACAGAGAGATATTTTACTACATACCCTATTATATTGTTTGTTTTGGAGACTGGATCTTACACTATTGTCCAGTCTGGAATGCAATAGTGCAGTCATAGCTCACTGAAGCCTCTAACTCCTAGGCTGAAGTGATCTTCCTGCCTCAGCTCCCTGAGTAGTGAGGACTATGAGCATGAGTAATCAGGGCTAGTCTATACTGGTTTTTGAATTTTGAACCATATAAATATATTGTCTATTCAGGAACACTATAGGAAACATGAGCAATAAAAAGAAGCATGAATGAGATAGAAATCTGACCTAATTCTACTTGTATTAAGACTTTGGTATATTTTCTTCCAGCTTTCTATGTAGGCTTTTGTGTGTGCACCTATAATTCTTTTACAAAGTTTGAATCAATTTGTACAAGTTTACAGTTTTCGCTTAACATTATTTTTAAACATTTGCAATGTCATTAAAATTCTTCCCTAAATTATTGATAGTTTTCTGTCATAAAGGGATAATTTGTTGAAGCATTATATGATTTTAAAACAAAACATTTAGTTTGTTTTTAATTTTTTGTTATTGCAAATAACTCTGAGATAATTTCCTTAAGCATAAATTGTTGGGGTTTTTAAAAATAATTTCCTTAGGAAAGAATCTGGACTATTTTTTTTTTTGAGACGGAGTCTCATTCTATCACCCAGGCTGGAGTGCAGTAGCATGATCTCAGCTCACGGCAGCTTCCATCCACCCAGGTTCAAGCCATTCTCTTGCCTGGGTCTGCTGAGTAGCTGGGACTACAGGCGCATACCACCATGCCCAGCTAATTTTTGTATTTTTAGTATAGATGGGGTTTCACCATGATGGCCAGGCTGGTCTCGAACTCCTGACTTCAAGTGATCTCCCCACTTCAGCCTCCCAAAGTGCTGGGATTACAGGCATGAGTCACTGTGCCCGGCCCTTATTGGTACTTTTATTGGCATAATGTTAAATTTTTACGTTTACATATTAGAATATTAACATATTTATATTAGTTTTTTATTTTTAATTAAGATTTTAGTAGGGGCAGAAATTCTGCCTTTCTCCTCATAGGGCCCTGGTTAAGCCTAAGAATTAAATATGAAATAGATTAAATACTTTAAATATTAAAACTTATGTAAATTTAAAATAAGTTTTATGGGACACAGGAGTCCTCATAAGGAAATGAAGACCCAAAGAAATGGCAAAACCTGGTTGGGCATGGTAGCTGATGCCTGTTATCCCAGTGCTTTGGGAGGCTGAGGTGGGCAGATCACTTGAGGTCAGGAGTTCGAGACCAGCCTGGCCAACAAGGTGAAATCCTGTCTCTATTAAAAATACAAAAATTAACCGGGCATGGTGGCATGCACCTGTAGTCCCAGCTACTCAGGAGGCTGAGGCAGGAGAATCGCTTGAACCTGGAAGGCGGAGGTTGCAGTAAGCTGCGATTATATCACTGCACTCCAGCCTGGACAACACAGCAAGACTCCCATCTCAAAAAAAAAAAAGGAAAAGAAAAAATTAAAAAAAGAAATGGTAGAACCTATGTGCTTTTGTATTGGGTTAAACAAAGAGAGGCAGTTGTGGAAAAGTAACTAAATTATGTAGGGAGGCTAAAGGAAGACAAGAATTATTTTAACAAGATCTGTTTGTACAGAATTCTCTTGGCTATTGAGAAATGTTTCTTTTCTCCTTCTACAGGGAGGGCATCTTTTACATAGGAGTTTTTATCTCCTGTTTTCAAGAAGGAAAAGGGAAGCATCTGCTGTTTTTCAAGTTGCCTTTAGCTCAGAGTAATCCGTATGTCACAGTGGCTTATTTTGGGGTGGCATATTCTGTCACCCTTCAAGGAGGAATTTACATAAAGTTCACCTTTTTAAGAGTATGGTTCTGAGTTTTGACAAACATAATTGTGTAACTACTATCACAATCAAGATATAGAATAGTGTCATTATCCCCCAAAATTCTTCCATACCCCTTTTGTGTTATTTTTAAATTAAAAAAAAAAAACACACAAAATTTGGTTGGGTGCAGTCGCTCACAGCTGTAATCCCAGCATTTAGGGAGGTCGAGACCTGAAGGTCAGGAGTTCGAGACTAGCCTGGCCAACATGGTAAAACCCTGTGTCTACTAAAAATACAAGAATTAGCTGGGCCTGATGGCAGGCACTTGTAATCTCAGCTACTTGGGAGGCTGAGGCAGGAGGATCACTTGAACCTGGGCGGTGGAGGTTGTAGTGAGCTGAGATGGTGCCACTTCATTCCAGCCTGGGTGACAGAGTGACTGTGTCTGAAAAGAAAAAAACAAACAAACAAAAAACCTCACAACATTTTAAGAGATAAACTTACCCTTTTAGGGACATTAATAGATAATTTTACTTTTTGGAGGAACATCAGTAGATGGTTTACTTCTTGGAAAAATGCACTATAGCTATGGTATAATTCATATTCTAATAATGCATTTTTGATCCTTAGTAATGGTCAGTAGAAAAGAGCCAAGAAAATGCTTTTCTTCTTATAGCAGGAGCCTGTACTCACTCTCACAGAGGGTGTGTTATAATAGAAAAGTTAAGGATTAGAGTCCTTTTCATTGCCAACTTTTCTGATGCTGAGAACTATTAGAAAGTTGTGTGTGTGTGTGTGTGTGTGTGTGTGTGTGTGTGTGTGTGTTTTGAGACAGTGTCTCACTTTGTCACTTAGGCTGGAGTGCAATGGCCTGATCATAGCTCACTGCAGCCTTGAACTGGCCTCAAGCCATCTTCCTGCTTCAGCCTCCTGAGTAGCTGGGATTACTCAGCTACTCAGTGAGTGATAGTACCTGGCTTAATTTTTCATTTTTCATAAACAGCCATCCTAATGAGTATGAAGTGGTATCTTCGTGGTTTTGATTTGCATTTCCCCTATGATTAGTGATGATGAACATCTTTTCGTTTCGTGTACTTGTTGGCTATTTGTATTTCGTTTTTGCAGAAATGTCTATTCAAGTCTTTTGTCCATTTTCTGCTCATTTAAATAGAAAAGATAAATATTTTAGTTTGCCTAATAGCATACTCATGGCATATCATGCTTATTTTCATAGCTCTGTATCCCTTACTAGATTTGGAGCTTCTTGGGGGCAAGGACTGTGTGTCTTCTCTCTTTGTTAACGTGATGTTCCCTTGAACATAGTAAGAAGTAAATCCAAAAATTAAAGGAATTCTGGGCCAGGTGTGGTGGCTCATTCCTGTAATCCCAGCACTTTGGGAGGTCAAGGCAGGATCATTTAAGTTCAGGAGTTCAAGACCAGCCTGGGCAAAGTGATAAGACCCTGGCTCTAAAAAAAAAAAAATTAATTAAAAAAATAGCCAGGCATGGTGGTGCACACCTGTAGTCCCAGCTACTTGGGAGGCTGAGGCAGGAGGATCTCTTGAGCCCAGAGTTTGAAGTGAGCCAAGTTCATGCCACTGCACTACAGCTTGGGTGACAGAGAGAGACTGTGTCTCAAAATAAATAAATAAATAAAGGAATTCTGTCAGTGCATACTATGAAAATATATACTCAGATATAATCCTGGGATATTAATTTCAAGTTCTCTGGTATAGAGAAATGTGAAGGGAAAAAACCCACCAGCACTGGTCCCTCAAATGATCTCATTTTATCTCTTTTCAAAAAGTTATTAAGGTTTATTAGACTAGAGACAACGATATTTGTCCCTTACTCCCAAATATTAAAAAATAATAACAGAATATTTGTAAAATTAACATGATGAGTCTTTATTTTTCATCTTGGATGTGTTTTCAATCAAAATGTACATTTCTGAATAACACTTTGAAATAGAAACATTAATAGTGGTATAACTAAGAATTTTAGCAAGTTTTGGTATAATAAAAATGATGGGTAAAATGTTAGTCTTTGTTTAAGACACATTAACAACTTGTGCCTTCCCTTTTGGTATTTGAAAGGTTGCTGTTTGATCAAGACGCATCTCTTAAATCTGAGTTCAGTCTGCATCCTGATACAAGAGGAATGTGCAAAGGTGAGAATGATTCTTTTCATTAAGTAGTCCCTTTAGTTTCCCAGTTAGTCCCCATTTAATGTCATTGATAGGTTCTTGGAAACTGAGACTTTAAGCAAAATGAATTATAAGGAAACCAATTTTACCATAAGCTAATTTGTATAAATAACAGTTAAGTTTTTATAGCATATTTCTGGTCACAAGAACATCACCGAACTTCTAAATAAATGCCAAAACACTTCTGATAGTAAACATTGAAATAAATGTGAGCTATACATACATTCAAGAAAGATTAATACAAACAAGTAACATAATTGTTAACCCAGTTATTCCACTTCAGGGTTGAGTGTGACCAAAGCCTATCCTGGCAGCTCAGGGCTCAAGGCAGGAACCAACCCCGGACTGGAGGCCAGTCCATTGAAGAGCCCGTGCTCAGGGCTCAAGGCAGGAACCAACCCCGGACTGGAGGCCAGTCCATTGAAGAACGTGCACACACGCGCGCACACACACACACAGACACACAGATACACACACGCACTTGTATTGGGACCATTTAGACATGCCAGTGAACCTAACAGGCACATCTTTGGGATGTGGGAGGAAACTGGAGTACCTGCAGGAAACCCATGCAAACATGGGGAGAACATACAAATTCCACAGAGAGTGGCCCTTGCTGGGAATTGATGTTTTTTTTGTTTTTTTTTTTTTTTTTTTTTTTGAGACAGAGTCTCACTCTGTCGCCCAGGCTGGAGTGCAGTGGCACAATCTCAGCTCACTGCAACCTCCGCCTCCCCAGGTCAAGCGATTCTTCTGCCTCAGCCTCGCGAGTAGCTGGGACTATGTGCACGCACCACTACACCCAACTGAATTTTGTATTTTTAGTAGAGACGGGGTTTCACCATATTGGCCAGGCTGGTCTTGAACTCCTGACCTCGTGATCTGCCCACCTTGGTCCTCCAAAGTGCTGGGATTACAGGTATGAGTTGATTTTTTAAAATCAATGTTGACATGAAGTTATTCAAGGACCTGCTGATTACCATTTCATTAACTTCTCTTTTCATCCTGTCTTGTTCCTTAATTTTACACAGACTTAGTTTATTAGGGTCTGTTAGACTAGCGACAGCACTGGGGATCATAGCTTCCAGAAGATGCTTAAGATTCCTAGAAAGGGCAACGGAGGTATTGAAGTGCCACCCATATAGCCTTTTTCCTCTTCCAAATCTCTAGCCTAGCCCTAGAACCCGTCTATTTGTAAAAGTAAATAATACTTTTTAATAACCAGTCTTATTTTTCCAGATTAAAATTAGGGCATACACATCCTTAGTAAATATGCATTGTAAACGTGCCTTTCTTCTACCAATTCACCAAACATCCTGAGGCCACTTCTAGGTTGATTTAAACATTTCTAGAAAAATCTATCACTGATAGTCACTGTTCAGAAAGAACCAATTCTGCAGTAGTTGTTTAAATGGTAGGTTGTTTCTCTTTATGATTTCTTCCTGTGAGCCTTTAAAAAAATCTTTTTTTGGAGGATGTCTGGAAATAAGTGTGAAATAGAAAAAAAAATTCCTAAACACCCACGAAGGTTTTCTAACTTTTGTGTATTTATGGTTCACAGTCTTTTCACTGTACATCATCTCACCTGATACCTAAGTGGGAAGTTACAGTTTCATCTTGGAATGCATTTTCTCACATGTAATTGGAAGGGACAGTGTGTAATATTGATCTCCAGGATGCCTTCTTATGATATATAAAGTACCACTAGAAAGGAGTTAGAGGTCTGTTTCAATATTCCAACCAAGTTTTTTTATTTTCTTTTCCAAATGGATAAATCTTTACTATGTCGCTGGTTATTAAAAATATTAAAATATAAAATTATATCATGTAGAAAATGAAAGGTCATGTTCCTTACTCTTCCCTATAATTCTACTCCCAATGATTGCCAGTCTTTAGTATTTATATATCCTTCTAATCTTTTGTATGCCACTATAAATATCTTTTTTTCATAATTGGTATCATATTCTACATTTTTTTCCTTGTCTATATTTATTTACTTCAACCTTTTGTTTATTTACTTTCATGTTAAAGAAGTTTATTTAAGCCCAAGATCCATGATTCAAAAGGAAAACTACCTAGCAATCATTTTTTAGACTCATTTATTTCTACTAAATGACAGATTGTTCTACATTCAACAGCTACATACAAAAAAAGTTATAAAATTGTCCTTGGTTTTGCAACGATAAATGAAAAACATTAAAATTCTCCAGTCAAACAAGGCATGCAAGGATTTTTATGTTGTTATTTTTTGTGTTAAAATAGAGCAAAATAACTTACTGAATTATAAAGGTAAGAGCTGAGTGAGCATGCTACTAATGGAGAAAGTGGGTATTTTCACAGAACCAGGGTTTTTTTCCCATCCCAACTTCATTTGATGTCAATCAAAACCTTTCAATGGCCATATAGTAAAACAAAAGAATGCAATATGTTTGTGTACATACACTAGTTACTTTATGTGCAGTAAAGCAGCGGTCCCCAACCTTTTTGGCACCAGGGACCAGTTTCATGGAAGATAATTTTTCCCAGGATGGCGGTTGGGGGTATGGTTTCAGGATGAAACTGTTCCATCTCAGGTCATCAGGCATTAGAGTCTTATAAGGAGTGTGCAACCTTGATCCCTCACATGTGCAGTTAACAGTAGGGTTTGCACTCCTATGAGAATCTGATGCTGCTGCTGATCAGACAGGAGGTGGAGCTCAGGTGATAATGCTGGCTTGCCTGCTGCTTACCTTCTGCGGTGCAGCCTGGTTCATAACAGGCCACGGATGGGTACTGGTCCGTGGTCCAGGGATTGGGGACCTCTGCAGTAAAGGAATAGAGAAGGGAAAATGAAAGAATAAAGAAAACTATGCTATATTAGGATATGGTAGAATGAAATTGTTTTCTAGTTGAGAATGTATTTCTGGTCTGTAAAAATGGAGTTACGGAGTCAAGTAGCAGGTTTTCTTTCTTTTTTTAATTTTTAATTTTTAAATTTGTGGGTACATAGTAGGTGTATATATTTATGGGGTATATGAGATATTTAGGCATGATAATCACATCAGGGTAAATGGGATATCCATCACTTTAAGCATTTATCCTTTATGTTTCAAACAATCCAATTATATTTTATTATTTTACAATGTACAATTAATTAATTTTGACTATACTCACTCTGTTGTGCTAGCAAACAGTAGGTCTTATTCATTCTTTCTATTTTTTTGTGCCCATTAACCATCCCTACATCCTTCTCAGCCCGCAATATTTTTCCCAGTCTCTGGTAACCATCCTTCTACTCCTTATCTCCATGAGTTCAATTGTTGTGATTTTGGCTCCCACAAATAAATGAGAACATGTGAAGTTTGTATTTTTGTTCCTGGCTTATTTCACTTATGACCTGCAGTTCCATCCATGTTGCAAATGACAGAATCTCATTCTTTTTCATGGCTGAATAGTACTCCACTGTGTATATATATCACATTTCCTTTATCCATTCATCTGTTGATGGACACTTAGGTTGCTTGCAAATCTTGGTTATTGTGGATAGTGCTAAAAAAAAAACCGTGGGAGTGCAGATATCTCTTTGATATACCAATTTTCTTTCTTTTGGAAAGGAAAATCCCAAATACCTAGGAGTGGGATTGCTGGATTGTATGGTAGCTGTATTTCTTTTTCTGTGAGGGATTGCCAAACTATTCTCCACAGTGATTGTACTAATTTACATTCCCACCAACAGTGTGTGATGGTTCACTTTTCTCCACATCTTCACCAGCATTTGTTATTGCCTGTTGTTTGCATAAAGGCCATTTGTAACTGGAGTCAGATGATATTTCATTGTAGTTTTGATTTGTATTTCTCCAATGATCCATGATGTTGAGTACCTTTTCATATATCTGTTTGCCATTTGTATGTCTTCTTTTGAGACATGTGTGTTCAGATCTTTTGCCCATTTTAAAATCTGATTATTATATTTTTTTTCCTATAAAGTTGTTCGAGCTCCTTAGGTATTCTGGCTATTAATTCCTTGTCACATGGATAGTTTGCAAATACTTTCTACCATTCTGTGGTATCAGGGTAATACTGTCCACCACTGGGACAGACCTAAAGTACTCCTGTGGCTACCACCACTGGGACAGACGTGGAGTACCCCTATAGCCACCACCACTGGGTCAGACCTGAACCCAGCACGGTACTGAGTCTTGCCCAAGGCCTGCTGTAGCCATTACCTGGCTACCACCTATGTTCACTACAGCTCTACAATCAGCAGGTAACAAAACCAGCCAGGCTTGTGTCCTTCCCTTCAGTACAGTGAGCTCCCCAAATCCTCGGGCAGGTCTAGAGATGTTGTCTGGGAGCCAGAGATGGGAATCAAAAACCTTAGAAATTTACGTGGTATTCTATTCTACTGTGGCTGAGCTGGCACTCAAACCATGAGACACAGTCCTTCCCACCGTTCCTTCCCGTTTCCATAGGTAGGAGAGCCTCACCCCATGGCCATCACTACCATAGGCCCAAGAGGAATACTGCCAGGCTACTGCCAGTGTTCACTTAATGCCCTAGGGCTCTTCAGTCAGCTTGTGGTGAATGCTATCAGGTCTGGAACCCACCCTTCAGAGCAGTGGGCTCCCCTGTGGCCCAGGGCAGGTCCAGAAATGCTGTTCAAGGCCTTATTGAATCAGTGATCCCAAAAGGCTGCCTGGTGCTCTACCCATTGTGGCTGAACTCACACCTAAGGTGTAAGACAAAGTCCCCTTTACTTTTCCCTCTACCTTTCTCAAGCAGAAGGCCTTCTGCACCTTTCTCACCATAGCCACCACAGCTGTCAATGTGCTGGGTCTGACATGAAACCACATGTGAGAATCTTAGGTTTTCTTTTAAGTAGACACCTCCTATCTGCTCTTGGAACACATCACTTGTATCTTCATCCACCATTTGTGTTTGTGTTATTGGTTGCCTGTCAAATTGGAATCTGATCTGTCTCATTGACAAACCCTGTCATTCACAATAGGCTTTCATTAGTTTACTAAGTGGTGTATGACTCCTAATCCTAAACTGTACTGTATGACCATCCTGCCTACTATTTTCAAATTAATATGGTCATTGTTCTTAGTATTGACTCCTTGGTCAACAAAAAGTCCTTGGGGATTTTGTTGACCACTGCGGTCATCGGAGTCTCTCCAGCTGCTGGTATACAAAAGAGATACTAGGTCCACGTTGGAGTCTACCTCATCCTTTTACATTGCTATGTATTATTCCATTGTATGAATGTACCCTATTTAATGAATTAATGATACTTAATGTTTTTCAATACTATTACAAAATATGAAAATATTAATACTTATACCTTTGCCTGCTTTTCTGATTTTTTCCTTAGAATAACTATCTAAAACTTTGTGCTCAGCTCTTGACATATATTTCCCCCAAAAAAGATGTCTCCTTCTCCCTACAACCAACGCAGCAAATAATTCAGTCTGTGTCAAATAAAAAGTATCTGATTTAGTTTGCATTTTCAAGGAATACCAGTGTTAGGCCTATTTTAATATAGATAATTCATAATTATTTTTTGTGTCTGAATTGCCTGCATCTGTCTCCAAATTATTTTCATTTTATTATTGATTTGTAAGAGCATTTTCTATATTAAAGATAGCAAATCTTTGTCATATATATTGTGAATAGTTTTACCCAGTTTTCTGGTTATCTTTTAATATTATTCATGATATATTTTGCAGTGAAGAAATTTTAAGTTTTTGTGTAGTAAAAGCTGTTGGTCTTCTCTTTTAGGGTTTCTTCTTTCTCTATCAGACTTAGAAATACTTCAGTGACCTCAAAACCATAAAGATACATTTTTAATCTTTATTTCCATTGATTATATTTATAGCTTTTATATTTTTAATGTTTGGAATATTTTGGCATATGGGAAAGGTAGGGCTCAAACTTTATTTTTTTGAAATGGTTAACCAATTTTCCTAATATCATTTATTGAATAATCCATCTTGTTGCCCCGGTTTAAAATACCATTGTCATATATTAAATTTCCATATATATGTGTGTGTGTATGTCCATTTTCTACTCATTGTTTTGTTTCATTGACCTATTAGACTATTTCTGTGACTTTTTCATCACTACATTATTTTATCATCCTTAGCTTTAGTATAATATATTTCTATGTATGGTAGGGAAGATATCCTGTTATACAGAGTAATTGGCCACAGCATTCATCCTAAGTTTCTTTGGTACAAACAGCAAGCTCAATGCAGTATGACACTTTAATCACAGTGTTCTTCCAATTTACCTTCTTCCAACTTTTGTTAGTGGGATTTTCTCTGAACTGGGTGGTTTTCTGGAATTCTAATGGAAGAAATGTGTGTATATATATATATATATACATATATATATATATATATATATATATATATAATTATTTCTGAGAGATCTCTTCCTTTTCCTGTGTTGTGTGATAAGCTGTGTCTTAGTCAGTTGGGGCTGCTATAACAAAACTATAGACTGGATGGTTTGATCTATAGATATTTATTTTTCACAGTTCTGGAGGATGAGAAATCCAAAATCAAGGTGCTGGCAGATTGGTTCTAGGTGAGGACCCTCTTCCTGGATTGTGCGGATGGCTGCTACATTGCTGTGTGCTCACGTGACCTCCTCTTTGTGCTCAGGGAGAGAGAGCTCTGGTTTTTCTCTCTCTTTTTATAAGGATATTAATCTCAGGAGGGATTATGAGGGCTTCACCCTCAATACCTCATCTAAACCCAACTACCTCCCAAAGATCTTACCTTCTAATATCATCACATTGGCGGTTAGGGCATCAGCATATGAATTTGGCTGGGGCGGGTGTGCACAGACATTCAGTCGATAACAAGCTGTTTACTACTGTTTGGGTTTCCTTGAATCCATTCCCATCTTTTGATCTATAGGGGGTATATTTCTATATTCCTTTCCTTTCCATTGTTGCTTCAGATTTTCAAAAACCAAAAATCTAGTAATTTCTTTGCATATTTTTCTATGAACTTGGAAGGTTAAAAAATATGGGCTCAGTTTGCCATTTTGGAAACAAAAACTGTGGCTTTTTTGGACTATGTACTAGTATTATGAGTTTCAAAAAAACAATCTAAAATGAATTTAAAAAGGAATTTTTAAATTATTCTAGTGGTGTTTAAGTCTATGTACTTTCTATGCATATTGATTGCCTTTATTCATCCTGAGACAAATAAATATCAAGTATTATTTCATTCAGTGTAGTATATGTGTTTCCTCTTAATAATTGAAAAATATTAACACATAAAAGTGGCAGTTAAGAAATTGTAATATGCCACAAACATATGAAAAAAAGCTCAACATCACTGATCATCAGAGAAATGCAAATTAAAACCACAAGGAGATACCATCTCATGCCTGTCAGAATGGTGATTATTAAAAAGTCAGGAAACAATAGATGCTGTCAAGGCTGTGAAGAAATAGGAATGCTTTTACACTGTTGGTGCGAATGTAAATTAGTTCAACCATTGTGGAAGACAGTACAGGGATTCCTCAAGTATCTAGAACTAGAAATACCATTTGACCCAGCAATCCCATTACTGGGTATAAACCCAAAGGATTATAAGTCATTGTACTATAAAGACACATGCACATGTATGTTTACTGCAGCACTATTTACAATAGCAAAGACATGGAACCAGCCCAAATGCCTATCAATGGATAAAGAAAGTATGGTACATATACACCATGAAATACTATGCAGCCACAAAAAGGAATGAGATCATGTCCTTTGCAGGGACATGGATGAAGCTGGAAGCCATCATCCTCAGCAAACTAACACAGGAACAGAAAACCAAACACTGCATGTTCTCACTCATAAACAGGAGTTGAACGTTGAGAACACATGGACACAGAGAGAGGAACAACACACACCAGGGCCTGTTGGGGGTTGGGGGGTGAGGGGAGAGAACTTAGAGGACGCATCAATAGGTGCAGCAAACCACCATGGCACACGTATACCTATGTAACAAACCTGCACGTTCTGCACATATATCTCGTTTTTTTTTAGAAGAAATGAAAAAAGAAATAATATACTAGATGATTCTTGATAACATTTTGCATGCGTATAAAATTATTGGGCCATTATCAAAGCAGAGCAATAAAACTGTTGTAAATGATTTATGATTATGTTTCACTCTAGGCATGCCTTCTCCTGAGATTCAACTTGGATTTAAGCTCAGAGAGGATCTGCAAGAGCAAATGAATAAAAATAAGATGATGCCTGTTCTTAGCGAGGATACAATATTACAGGTGTGTAGCATGTTGATTGAATACATACTCATTAAAAATTGGAAATGCTATCGCTCAGAGTGGCAAATTACTAATGATAATTCTTTTTGTCTATATTTTGCTTCTTTCCTCTTTTCTTATTAATTTTTACCTCTTTCTTAACTAGTCATTCTATTTCTTTGTTGCAACTTTGATGAAAACAATTGTTTTAGAAGGGAGAATTTAAAATACAGTTGATCCTTGAACAATTTGGGAGTTAGGGATGCTGACCCTCTGTGCAGTGAAAAATCCACATGCAACTTTTGACTCTCCCAAAACTTAACTACTTATAGCCTACTGTTGACTGGAAGCCTTATTGATAGTCAATACATATTCTTTTATATGTATTATATACTGTATTGTTACAACACAGTAAGATAGAGAAAAGAAAATGTTAAGAAGATCATAAAGAGGAGAAAACATATTTACTATTCATTAAGTGCAAGTGGGTCATCATAAAGATCTTCATCCTATTGTCTTCACATTGAGTAGACTGGGGAAGAAAAAGAGAGAAAGAGGAGGGGTTGGTTTTGCTTTCCCAGGGGCGGCAGGGGTTGAAAAAAATTCATGTATAAGTGAACCAACACAGTTCAAGCCTGTGTTGTTCAAAAGTGAACTGTGTTTTCTTTTGTCCACTCTTACACCTCTTATGTTTTTCACCCTTTGGTAGAGATGCAGATATGAGAGGAACAGAGGTTAAAATAGGATGTAATAATTATGATTTTCATCTCCATTTTATATTAGGGATTCTTCTTAAACTTGTGAAGAAGATATAGCCTGTATGGTATAATTTGAGATATAGGCCACTGAAAAGACACTTCCGTTGTCTTATGTGTGTGAGTGTATGTATATGTATGTGCCTGCACACACACACACAAAGAATTTTTACTTTTTTTGTCTTTTAAAATATGATTTTGACATTTATGTCATTTCAAACTGCATGTAGATTTCTGAGAATCAATTTTTTTGGTGTACAGATTATTATCACCTGGGTACTAAGCATAGTACCCCACAGGTTTTTTTTTTCTGAACCTTTTCCTTCTCCCATCATTCTCCCTCAAGTAAGCTCCAGTATCTGTTTTTCCCCTCCTTCTGTCCATGTGTTCTCATGATTTAGCTCCTACTTGTAGGTGAGAACATGCGTTATTTGGTTTTCTGTTTCTGCATTAGTTTGCTAAGGATAATGGCCTCCAGTTCCATCCATGTTGCTGCAAAGGACATGATCTCATTCTTTTTTATGGCTGCATAGTATTCCACCACGTGCCACCATGCCTGGGTAATTTTTGTATTTTTAGTGGAGACAGGGTTTTGCCATGTTGGCCAGGCTGGTCTCAAACTCCTGACTGCAAGGGATCTGCCCACTTTGACCTCCCAAAGTGCTGGGGTTACAAGCATAAGCCACTGCACCTGGCCTGTTATTCTTTAACTTTTAATAGCCATTTTGACTGGTGTGAGCTGGTATCTCATTGATTTGCATTTCCTGAATGATTAGTGACATTGAGCATTTTTTTGGATGCTTGTTGGCCACGTATATGTCTTCTTGTGTAAAGTGTCTGTTCATGTCTTTTGCCCACTTTTTTTTTTTTTTGAGACGGAGTTTTGCTCTTGTTGTCCAGTCTGGCGTGCAATGACATGATCACAGCTCACTGTAGTGTCTGCCTCCCAGGTTCAAGTGATTCTCCTGCCTCAGCCTCCCGAGTAGCTGGAATTACAGGCATGCACCATCATGCTCGGCTAATTTTTTTGTATTTTTAGTAGAGACAGGGCTTCTCTGTGTTGGTTCGGCTGGTCTCGAACTTTCGACCTCAGGTGATCCACCCGCCTCAGCCTCCAAAGTGCTGGGATTACAGGTGTGAGCCACCGTTCCCGGCCATTGCCCACTTTTTAATGGAGTTGCTTTTTGCCTGTACATTTTTGTAAGTTCCTTGTAGATTCTGTATATTAGACCTTTGTCAGATGTATAATTTGCAAACGTTTTCTCCCATTCCATAGGTTGCCTGTTAAATGTTTTCTACCATTCTGTAGGTTGCCTGTTTACTCTGTTGATAGTTTCTTTTGCTGTGCAGAAGCTGTTTGGTTTAATTAGGTCCCATTTGTCAGTTTTTGTTTTTCTTGTGATTGCTTTTGGAATTTTCCTCATCAAATCTTTGCCAGTTTCCATGTCCAAAATGGTATTTCCTAGGTTATCTTTCAGGGTTTCTATAGTTTTACGTTTTATATTTAGATCTTTAATCCATCTTGAGTTGATTTTTATATACGGTATAAGAAAGGGGTCCAGTTTCAACCTTCTGTATATAGCTAGCCAGTTATCCCAGCACCATTTATTGAATAAGGAGTTCTTTCCTCATTGCTTGTTTTTGTCAGCTTTGCCAAAGATCAGATGGTCATAGATGTGTAGCTGTATTTCTGGGCATTCTCTTCTGTTCCATTTGTTTATGTGTCTATTTTTGTACCAGTACCATGCTGATTTGGTTACTGTAGCTTTGTACAGTTTGAAGACAGGCAATGTGATTCCTCCAGCTTTTTCTTTTGCTTAGGATTGCCTTGGCTATTCGGGATCTTTTCTGGTTCCCTATGAATTTTAGAATAGTTTTTTTCTGGTTCTGTGAAGGATGTCATAGCATTGTATCTGTAAATTGCTTTGGTTGATATGCCCATTTTAACGATATTGAGTCTTCCTATTCATGAGTATGGAATGTTCTTCTATTTGTGTCACCTATGATTTCTTTGAGCAGTGTTTTATAATTATCATTGTAGAGATCTTTCACCTCCCTAGTTAGCTGGATTCCTACTTTTTTTGTTTGTTGCTTGTTTGTTTGTTTTTGGTGTTGTTGTTTTGGCAATTGTGAATGGGACTGTGTTACTTTTGGCTGTCAGTTTGGCTGCTTTTGGTGTATAGGAATGCTACTGATTTTTGTACATCAATTTTGTGTTCTGAAACTTTGCTGAAGTTGCTTATCAGCTCAAGGAGCTTTTGGGCAGAGACTATGGGGTTTTCTAGATATAGAAGCATGTCATTTGCAAACAGGGATAGTTTGACTTCCTCTCTTTTTATTTGGATGCCTTTTATTTCTTTCTCTTACCTGACTGCTCTGGCCAGGACTTCCAATATTATGTTGAATAGGAGTGGTGAGAGAGGGCATCCTTATTTTGTTCTGGTTTTCAAGGGGAATGCTTCCAAGTTTTGCCCATTCAGTATGATGTTTGGTGGTGGCTGTGGCTTTGTCATAGGTGGCTCTTATTATTTTGGAGTTGTTCCTTCAATGCCTAGGTAATTGAGGGTTTTTAACATGAAGGGATTTGAATTTGATTGAAAGCCTTTTCTGCATCTGTTGGGATAATCATGTGGTTTTTGTCTTTTATTTCTGTTTGATGAATCACATTTATTGATTTGAATATGTTTGAATATGTTTGATGAATCACATTTATTGATTTGAATACGTTGAAGCATTCCAGAGATAAGGCCTGCTTGATCCTGGTGAATTAGCTTTTTGTTGTGCGAATTCACATTTGGTTTGTTAGTATTTTGTTGAGGATTTTGATGAGCATATATATTCATCAAGGATATTGGCCTGAAGTTTTCTTTTTTTTGTTGTGACTCTGACAGGTTTTAGTGTCAGGATTATGCTAGCCTCCTAGAATGAGTTGGGGATGAGTCTCTCCTCCTCAATTTTTTGTAATAACTTCAGTAGAAATGGCACCAGCTCTTCTTTGTACATCTGTTATAATTCAGCTGTGAATCTCTCTGGTCCTGGGCTTTTTTTAGTTGGTAGGCTGTTTATTACTGATTTAATTTCAGAGCTCATTATTGGTCTGTTTAAGTATTCAATTTCTTCCTGATTCAGTTTTGGAAGGATGTATACGTCCAGGAATTTATCCATTTCTTCTGGAATTTTAGATTTATGTGCATAGAGGTGTTGATAGTTGTCTCTGATGGCTGTTTGCATTTTTGTGGGGTCAGTGGTAACATCTCCTTTGCCATTTCTAACTGTGTTTATTTGGATCTTCTCTCTTTTCTTCCTTATTAGTCTACCTAGAATTCTATCTGTCCTATTAATTTTTTCCAAAAAACCAACTTCTGGATTTGTTGATCTTTTGTAAGGTTTTCATGTTTCTGTCTCCTTCAGTTCAGCTCTGATTTTTGGATATTTCTTCTCTTCTACCAGCTTTGAGGTTGCTTTACTCTTGCTTCTCCAGTTCTTCTAGTTGTATGTTTAGTTGTTAATTTGAGAAATAAGATCCTTTTGAGACAAGCAAATGCTCAGGGAATTCATTACCACCAGAACTTCCTTACAAGAGCTCCTAAAAGAAGCCCTAAATATGGAAAGGAAAGATTGTTACCAGCCACTACAAAAACACACTTAAGTACACAGACCAGTGACAGTATAAAGCAACCACACAAACAGATCTGCATAATAACCAGCTAACAACATGATGACAGGATCAAATCCACACATATCAATACTAATGTTGAATATGAATGAACTTAATGTCCCCATTAAAAGACACAGAGTGGCAAGTGGGATAAAGAGGTAAGACCCAGAGGTATGCTGTCTTCAAGAGACCCATCTCACATACAGTGATACCCATAGGCTCAAAATAAAAGGTTGGAGAAAAATCCACCAAGCAAATAGAAAACAGAAAAAAGCAGGTGATGCAATCCTAATTTCAGACAAAACAGCCTTTAAGCAACAAAGATCAAAAAAGACAAAGAGGGGCATTCCCTTCCCTAGTCCATAGCAAGAAAAAGAAGGGCATTACTTAATGGTAAAGGGTTCCATTCAACAAGAAGACTTAACTGTCCTAAATCTGTATGCACCCAACTCAGGTGCACCCATATTCATAAAGCAAGTTCTTAGAGACCTAAGAAGAGACTTGGACTCCCACACCATAATACTGGGAGACTTCAACACCACACCAACAGTATTAGATGATTGAGGCAGAAAATTAACAAAGAGATTCAGGACCTGAACTCAACACTTGACCAAATGGACCTAGTAGACATCTACAGGACTCTCCACCCGAAGACAACAGAATATACATTCTTTTCATTGCCACATGGCACATATTCTAAAATTTACCCTGCAATCGGACATGAAACAATTTTCATCAAACTCAAAAAACTGAAATCATACCACCCACACTCTTGGACCACAGCTCAATAAAAATAGAAGTCAAGGCCAAGAAAATTGCTCAAAAACCATAATATTACACAGAAATTAAACAACTTTCTCCTGAATGACTTTTGGGTAAATAATGAAATTAAGGCAGAAATCAAGACATTCTTTGAAATTAATGAGAGCAAAGACACAACATACCAGAATCTCTGGGGCACAGCTAAGGAGTGTTAAGAAAGAGATTTATAGCACTGAACACCCACATCAAAAAGTTAGAAAGATCTCAATTTTTTTTTAAAGTAAATGTCATGGGGAAAAGTAAGGGATGATTCTGTTAGCACCTTGGCATAAGTAAGTTAGCTAACCAGAGATAAGGAATGGAAGGAAAGATACATACATTTTAGTAGCAGAAACTGACAGCATTTCCCAAAAGTTAATGTGAAGGTCTACTTAATATCATACTTAGGAAAGTGTATCAAATAAATGATCTCTGATAAAAAGCAAAACATTTAACACCAAATATCTTTCCTTGAAATTGAGAGATCTATATTTGCCTTCTAATAACTCATTTAAAAATTAATTTTGTAACTTCTGAGTTCAGAAAAAGTAATATTTATTTCCTCTGGCTTCAGTAATTGTGAAATAGGAGGTAATAATTATTTTTCTTTCAATTTATTTCAGAAACATTTGCTATGTGATTGTTGTACCAGGAACTGTATTGTACCTCAGAACATGGTTTAAAAAGTAAGATTTTCAGACCCATTTGGGTAGCTTTTTAAATATATGGATTCTCAGACCCATACTTGGGTGGAACCTGGGAATGTTCAGTTTTCAAAAGCCTTCCAATTAATTTCTAATATTCAGTCAGCTTGGAACAATTGCCTTAGAGGACTTGAAGAGTTAACAAATGTATTCTTCAAAACTTTATCATCAGATAGTAAACTAGCCATCTGCTGAGTATGGGCTTGTTATAAAATTAGATTAAGAAGGATAAGTGAAGTATTGGATATTTGGTTCTTTTTAAAAAACTTTCATTGGAAAAATAGATACCTCCTTTAACTTTCTTTTATATCCTACTTTTGTCTACAGTAAAAGGCAATGTAATCCCAGTATGTGAACATCTGTAGCAAATTTTAATTAATACTATTTTCTAAATTGATAAATGTTGCTTCTTTCATTGTTTTATCCTATGAAAATAAACCTTTTGAAATTTAACTATATGAGAGAAACTGATTTTATCAGATAAAGAAATTGAGATATGAAAAGGTACTTTCTCAGAGTTTTTTTTTTAATTTGTTGTTTTGCAACTGGAATTAGATTTCTAAGTAAATTCTAAATAATTATGAAACAGGTTTCTAAATAAATTCTTCCCAGATTCACAGATACCAATATTGATATTTCAACTTTAAAGAATACTATTTTAGAAATGATGAGCTATTTTAAATAAGAACAAACAATGAAGAAATAGAAGATCTTTGATTTGATGTATGTCATATTAATTTTTTAAAATGTAGGCATCAATCTTTAAAAATATTTCATACTCCTCATTTTTGTTGGGTCTTATAAAATACCTTTTCTAGTTCTTTACATGTATGCTATATGGCAAGCAGTTTTAAAACTTTACATGAATAGATTTTGGTTTGTGTGGAGAGTTTAGTGATATGCCTGGAGAGATAATGGAGACATGGGTATGTCAAAATTAGGGGGGCATGATGGTTCATTTTATGTGTCAACTTGGCTGGGTCACAGAATGTTCAGATAGTTGGTCAAACATTATTCTGGATATTCTGTGAGTGTTTTTGAATGAAATTAACATTAAAGTCAGTGGACCTGAGTAAAGCAGACTGCCCTCCATCATGTGGGTAGGCCTCATCTAATCAGTTGAAGACCTGAATAGAACAAAAAGACCTGCCTCTCCCCGCAAGAGAGAATTCTACAGCAGACTGTCTTTAGATTTTATCAGCACCATTAGCTCTCCCGGATGATTTCCTGCTGGCCTTTAAACTCCATCTGTACTATTGCCTGTTCTGGTTCTCTGCCTGTTGACCTTTAGACTGGAACTATACCATTGGCTGGCTGTGTCTCGAGCCCGACAGGTCACACTGCATATTTGCACTTGCCAGTTTCCATAATTGTGGGAGCCAATTCCTTATAATAAATCTCTTTCTACATATGTACACATCCCATTGGTTCTGTTTCTCTGGAGGATCCTGACTAATACAGTGGGCATCACTGGTCTCATAGTCAGTTTTTGGTCATCTAGAAGATACTTGTTGACAGGGAGTAAAGATTAATTGAATTGTACAATTATTACCAGTAGGCCGCTTCTTCTGCCTCAGGACTATTTATCTGAGAGTTGTGAATACAACTTGAATCTCACTTTCCTTTTCCCTTTTGCAGCCTCCATCTTCTATCTTTATCAAGATTCAGAGAGAGAATCAGTTAAAATGAGCATTAAAGAGAACCTTGAAGGGGAAATAAATAACCACAGGCTTGTTTGATGTGTGTGTAATGGAAGAAGGATCAGGGCTGGCAAGGCCAGAGCTCATGGAGAGATTATGCACTGCATGGTCTTTTAAAGCCCCCGTGGGCAGGTAGCATTCTCTCTTACTAGCTGCCTCACTGAGTAATAAATTGCTGGGCTACTCAAATACAATGTGATTTTTCTAAAGTTAGGTACCCCTGATGCTACTGAGCTGATCACTACTGCCAATGGTATACTTTTCCTGGCTCTTTAATTCATCCTAACTTGCTTCCTAAAATTGCTGTCTCTGTTCAGAAGTTGCAATGACTTAGGAATATTTCTGGGAAGAAGTAGGATGAAAATGGGGCTTTAGCACCTAACTTAGCTAGAGTAAAGACAATTCTCATTCAGTGGTTAAATCACTGTGTATTTAAATTGTGTTTAGATCCTAGTGAGTGGATGTCAACATTTAAGAATACTGAAGCAGTACACAGATGGTACCATATGTCCAGAGGGAACGCTCTAAAAGGCAATTGTATGGATATTTGAAAATATTTTTAAATATCTATATACATGACCAAGTTTGGGTACCTCACTCTGAAAGAAAGATATCTTAAGCAAATGTTGTTAGCAATTCATCCAGGTACTTCAAACGCTTATTGAATACCAGTAACTACTATTCTGGTCTACCAAATGTGAAGGTAGTTTGTGTGAGACATTCAGTGTGTCATGGAGAGCCAGGATTGGTTGGGCTGATCCGGCAAGCCAGACTTCTTCCACTCCACTCCCAGTTATCCATGAATCAGTGAAAGAGAATGTTCTCAGATAGCAGGAGATTGCTTTTTTGGTTGAGGATATAGAAATAGATTTGCTTCTTTTCTAGATCCTCTAAATTAACACAATTAACCTCTCTTACCTCTCACATCCTAGCTCCAAAACAAAAAAAACAACAAGAAAACTCTACGGTTTAATGGCCTTGTCAAAATGCAGTGGGGTAAAGACAGGGGAAGGTTCAGTCACATGTATTAAAAAGATAGATGCCAATTTGTGTTTCTTATGAAAAAATTGATTGACATGTATTCTTGCATATTGTTCATTAACAAATTAACAGCTCCAGCCCCCACTTGTATTCAATGGCATTAGCTCTTGGTTGGTAGTTCTGTCTATAGAGGAGGAAATAAATCAGCTGTCAGGAGCAACCTTCCTTCCTACTTGCTTTCTTACCTTTTGCATTTACCTTTTGCACTTTTGGAGGCCAACATGGGCAGATAGCTTGAGCCCAGGAGTTCCGTGTAGAACCTTAAGTAGGTACAGTCAAGTGAATAATTAGTCCTCAACAGGAAAAGTCACTGGTCCTTTAGTAAGATAAATGAAAATTACAAATATTTGAAAAATTACTTTGCAGAGACACAGAAATATCTTGTAAGTGTGTAGGTATACCCTGTTTAATTAATTCTTGGGAGTTTCTGGGTTTGTCTCTCGACATTTCTTATCTTTGGCCTCTGAGCTCTGTAAAGCCTGCTTGGGAAGTATATATGTGTGAAACTAATGTAACTTTGGGGTGTTTAGGGATGCATTATCAGTATATAATACTGAGCATTAATTGGAGAAGGTTGAGGTTATCACATTGCTTTATTTGTGTTTTTTGATATGATTTGCATGTTGTTCATTAACGAATTAACATCTCCAGCCCCCACCTGTATTCAGTGGCATTAGCTCTGTATTGTATTAGTGTAATCATGAAAATGCTTGCAAGTTCAGCCTAATGGCTTTATTTTCAGAGAGCTTTATAATTTATCATAGAAACAAACATAAAGGGCCCCTAAAGAGAAGTCTTTTTCTAAAGCTCTTAGATGCTGACAACATATTAAAGGTAAAGATTCCTTTTAAAGTGACAAAAGCCAGTAGGTTGTGAACTCTTAAAATGGAAGCATGTTATCAGTGTATTTTATCTTTTTCGAAAGGGACACAACAACTTCAGATTTTCTGATATGTATTAAGAATTAGGCAGAATCAGTTTTGAGTTGGGGTCTCTGTCACCCAGGCTGGGGTGCAGTGGTGCCATCACAGCTCACTGCAGCCTTGACCTCCCTGGGTTCAGGTGATCCTCCCACCTCAGCCTCCTAGGTAGTTGGAACTATAGGCATGGGCAACCATGCCTGGCTAATTTGTTGTTGTTGTTGTTGTTGTTTTTGTTTTTGTAGAAACTGGGTTTTGCCATGTTTCCTAGGCTGGTCTCCAACTCCTGGGCTCAAGCTATCTGCCTATGTTGACCTCCCAAAGTGCCAGGATTACAGGTGTGACCCACTGTGCCCTGCCCAGTTTAGTATTTAACACTGTAACACAGAGGTCATATAATTTCTGGTCCTTAGGGGAAATATTAAAACTTAGAACTGGACAAGAATGGCTGTTCAGAATCATCACATATTAATGAAGAGGAAAAAACTAGGAATAAAAAAAAGAGCACTTCTCTTTCTCTTCACTTAAGTTCTACTTTTTTGTGTATGTATGGAAAGGAGTTATGATAAAGACAGAAGAGCCAAAACTATAAAACTCTTAGAAGAAAACGTTGGAGAAGAGTATCGTGACATTGGATCTGGCAATGATTTCTTAGTTATCACACCAAAAGCACAGGCAACAAAAGAAAAAATAGATAAGTTAGATTACATGAAAATTAAAAACTTTTGAGCGTCAAAGGACACCACCAACAGAGTATAAAAGCATCTTATGGAATGGGAGAAAATATTTGCAAATCATGTATGGTTTACAGAATATATAAAGAGTTCTTACAACTCCACAGCAGAAAAAAAAACAACTGAATTAAAAAATGAGTAAAGGGCTCAAATAGACATTTCACCAAAGAAGATATAAAAATGGCCAATGAACAGATGCTCAATATCACTAATCATTAGGGAAATGCAAATCAAAATCACAATGAAATACCACTTTACACTCATTATGATGACTATTATTTAAAAAAAATACCCAAAATAACAAGTGTTGGCAAGAATGTAGAGAAATTGGAACCCTTGTACATAGCAGATGGAAATGTAAAATGATGCAACTGCTGTGGAAAATGGTGTGGCTATTCCTTAAAAAAGTTAAACATAGAATCACCTTAATGATTTAGCAATTTCACTTCTGATTGTATATGCCGAAGAAGTGAAAGCAGGGACTTGAATAGATATATTTGTACACACATGTTCATGGCAGCATTATTCTCCATAGCCAAAAAAGGTGGAAGCACTGCAAGTGTCCATCAATAGATGAATAAACCAAATGTGGTACATACATACAGTAGAATATTATTCAGTCTTAAAATGGAAGAAAATGCAGATACATGCCACAACATAGATAAACCTTGAATACTAAGTGAAATAAACTAGTCACAGAATGATTAAAATTTTGTATCTCTTATATGATGTTTCTAGAGTAGTAAATCAATAAAGACAGAAAGCAGAATGGTGGCTGCCATGGGTTGTGGAGAGGGGAGTGGGGAGTTAGTGTTTAATGAGCATGGAGTTTCACTTTGGGAAAATGAAAAAGTTCTGGAAGTTCATGATGGTCTTGGTTGTACAACAGTGTGAGTATACTTAATGCCAGAGAACTGTACACTTAAAAATGTACAGATAGTAAATAGATAGTAAATTTTATGTGTATTTTACCACCATAAAAAGAAGCTAAGAAAGAATAACACAAAAATTACTTTAAATGTTAATTTTTTTAGCTTGTTGCATTGAATTAACACTTATCAGTTGGAAAAAACTTTTTTTTTTCCTAGCAGTCTCAAGATGAAACAGAACGAAATCAAGCTCTGTTACAGTAAGTATACTAATTTTTGGCTTCATTATGTTGTAGGTATTTTTGTCATTTTGCACATCTAAGATGAATATTCATTTTTAAGAGTTTTAGAATTATTGTATATTTTTGAATAATTGCCCATTTTGTAGCAAAAGTATATGTTATTTTACATACATTCTAGATAAGTTTTATTTCATAAGAAGCATTGAATCAGATTAACTTGGTTCTCTATTATTTTAAAAGCGAATTTAAAGCATAGCTTGAAGGTGCAAATTTATGAAGGGGCTGCAAATAAATAAAAGCATGGCATGAAGGAAGAATTTGTAAAACTTATTGAAATTAGACTTTATAAACTTATTATACCTTAAGAAACTCGGCCAGGCATAGTGGCTAACGCCTGTAATCCTAGCACTCTGGGAGGCTAAGGTAGGCAGATTACCTGAGGTCGGGAGTTCCAGACCAGTCTGGCCAACATGGTGAAACCCCATCTCTAATAAAAAATACAAAATTAGCCGGGCGTGTTGGTGGGCGTCTGTAATCTCAGCTATTCAGGAGGCTGAAGCATGAGAATTGCTTGAGCCTGGGAAGCGGAGGTTGCAATGAGCTGAGATCATGCCACTGCACTCCAGCCTGGGCAACAGAGTAAGACTCTGTCTCGAAAGCAAGAAAGAAAGCAAGAAAGCAAGAAGGCAGGAAGGAAGGAAGGAAGGAAAGAAACTGTCCTTTCAGTTCTTTTAAAACAATGATTCTCAAAGTATGGTCTGTGAACACTTTGGGAATCCATGAGATTCTTTTAGAGGGTCTGTGAGGTCAAAACTATTTTCATAATAATACTAACACATTAGTTGCCTATTTCATGGTATTTACATTTGCACAATAGTGCTAAAGTAATGGTGGGTAAAATGCTGGAGTCTTAACAGGAACCAAGGCAGTGGCACCAAAGAATATTAGTAGTCATTGTGTTTTTTCACTGATGTGTGCTGTCAGTTACATAAATAAAAAGAAGCCAGTTTCACTTAACACAATTTGTGTTTGATAAGGCAGGAAAATTATTAATTTTAGTAAGTCTCCACCTTTGAGTATATATATTTTTAATATTCTGTGTGATGAAATAGAAAGTATGCTTAAAGCATTTCTGTGCATACTGCTATGTGATATTTATCTTTTTTTTTGAACCATAGTCTCAGTCTGTCACCCAGGCTGGAGTGCAGTGGTGTGATCTCGGGTCACTGCAACCTCTGTCTGCCAGATTCAAGCAATTCTTGTGCCTCAGCCTCCCAAGTAGCTGGGACTACAGGTGTGTGCCACCTTGTCTGGCTAATTTTTGTATTTTTAGTAGAGACAGGGTTTTGCCATGTTGGCCATGCTGGTCTTGAACTCCTGGCCTCAAGTGATCCACCTGCCTGGGCCTCCCAAAGTGCTGGGATTACAGGCATGAGCCACCGTGTGCAGCCATGATGTTTATCTTGAGTAAAACACCTGTGCACTTGTTTGAGTTGTAAGCATTGGAAGAAAACTGGTTTCACCTTTTTTTTTTAACTTGAGAGGTGATTTTTTGATATTTTATAATAAAATATGTCAACATTAGGAAAACATACATAACTCAGTGCATAAGTATTTTCTAAAAGACCAATGCATGATGTTACAAAATCATGTAAAGGTAAAAGACTCATTCAAAAGTGCAAGATAGACTATGAGTTTTAATGTAATAGAATGCAAAAAGTTCATTAATTTTGTTTGAGTTTCCTACATTTCCCTTTTAGGAAAGTATTGTTGATTAAATAATTTTGCTGTAATATTGAAAAAGAATATTTTAGGGGTAGAGGGGGAAAGCGTCCTCTACCCTCAATGAAGGTTTGCTGAAAATGAACAGACAAAAAGAAAGATTTATAGAATAAAAATGCATATAAAGTTTATTTAATGTACATGGGGGAAAATCACAGGAGTGTGGTTACCCAATAACCCAGTGAGGTCCAGATGTTTATATACCATTCTTCATAGGGGAAGAGGAGATGGAGGATATAGCAGTAAATGATTTTCAGGGGAAATGAATATGCCCAAAAAACAATGGCCTGGGACAAGTTCCTCTAAGTTTTGGGGAATTGATGGGAAGATGAGAGACAGAACTTCACTCTGAACAAAGGTTGTCTTAGGCAGATAAAGTCTTGGGTAGTCTCTTGGAGCTGCTGTCAGAAGAATAGATAAAGAATTTGTCTGGACATAGTGTCCTGTCACCTGGCCTTAGAGACTTTTAGTCTTTTCTCTGATGGTTAATCTTTCCTGGTTGTTTAATGAGATTCCTAGGGAGGGGATTTTAAGACCATTTTATTTTATTTTTTCAAGAAGCTTTCTCAGTCAGATAAGGAAATTCTGGAGAGAGTCCCTTCAGGTGCTTCAAGAAAAAAAGATCAGAGAAATGGGGTGGGGGGTGAGGGGAAAGCTCAGATGGAGACCTTGGTTCTGAAGCTTATTTCTCAGGCCTTTCAATTTTCTTTAATTCAGAGTACGCAGCTTGCCATAGCGTCGTATTTTGGGGTATTATTTTCTGTACCCAAGCAATATTCACAATTATCCAAAAAGGCTATTAAAATACTCCTCCCTTTTCCAACCCCATATCTGTGTGAAGCCAGATTTTTGTTATATACTTCAAATAAAATTATATATGGCAACAGATTGAATGCAGTAGCAGATATAGGATGATAGTCATCTTTCATTAAGCCACACATTAAAGAGATTATTAAAAATGTCAAAAATTGCAACTTCTCTCGCTAATTTTTTTCATTTTGGAAAAGATAATTTTTCATAAAAATATATTAATATGTTCCTGGATTATTGCTGTCATTTAAAAATTTATACATATTTAGTTTTGTTCTTCATTTTAGTTTCTAATATGTAGATATAAATAAGTGTAAGACACCAATAATTTTTAAGAGTATAAAGGAGTCTGAAGATCAAAAAGTTTGAAAACTTCTATTGTTGTAAAATAACCCTTTTGCCCCAGCTACCAACATTATAAGTTCATTTAAAGAAATAAAAAAAGAAAAGACTAAGGAAGACTAATATAGCATCCATATTCTCTCTGCCTAGAGAACCATTTGTTAACATTTTGGTACGTTTTACTTTAGGCTTTATTTATATTTTTGTTTTTGTTCATACTTTCTACAAAATTGGGATCATCTTGCAGATAGTTTTGTATCCTGTTTTTAAATTTTAAGTAATAGTTTATCAAAGTTATTTTCTTGTGTCATAATGTTTTTAAAAATGTGAATTTTGATGACCTTATAATACCTTATTGTATTACTGACTTTACTATAATTCATTTAATTATTCCTCTACTACTGGACATTTAGGTTGTTTGTAGTCTTACCTAACATAAATATTTGTAATAATTTAGATGAAGCTTTGCTCTATTTTCAGACTATGTCTTAAATACTCTTGCAATTAAGGGAAAAAATTCTGTTAAACTATGGTTTTATTTTGCTTTCAGCTTGTTCTTAAAAAATCACACTTTAGGAAAAAAATCAGCATTCTTTTCTATTTGCTTCAAAAATTATCATTCTACATGAATAGCTTCATTTTTATCTGAAGACAGCTTATACTGATCACTTCTGTTTTTGGATAGGAGAGAATGCTTAATTTATTACTCTTGCATAGGACTCCAGTAGCTGTGCCTACTGCATTAAAAACTGCTCTTAAAACAGCTGAAATGAGAGGCTTTTTTTTTAAAGGAAGGTATCTTGATTACATTTATGCAGTAAATTAGGCTGAGAAAAAATACAGTTAGCTGATTGCCTTTCTTTAATCAGCTTTTAATTATCACAGGGCAGATGATGAAAATTGCAGATTAGGCATGACCCTTATTTTGCTTTTAACTTCCTCCCTTCGGTATTCCCTACCTTTTCTTTGCCTGCTGTGAAATACAAGAATGATAAGTAATGCCTGGAGAAATTTATCATTAATGACTCTCACTTACATCTAAAACTAATGACAAACTATCAGTGTGTTTGATGATGTAGATAGAAAAACTACGTATTTCAGGACCATTTTCTCCCTGACCTTCCTGCCCCTATTTGGCAAACAGTCACCTCCAAAGTCACCTTCAGACCTAAATGTAGTTTAGCTTGTATACACTCCTCAGGTCATTTATTATTTTTTCAGCTCTCTCCTTCATTTGTGCAGTTACTTGAAATGAAAATGTTAACAAATTGGTAATAATTGTAAAAATAATTGGAATGATATAGCAAAAAATTATCCTATTTGGAAAGCCCTTTAAGTGAAAAAGAAAAATTAAATTGTATTTGAATGAGAAACACTATTTTTTCTTCCATTTTAAAATTTATTTTTATTAATTGATTTTTTAGGACTAGAAAAAACTGTTCAATGTTCATTGGGTCGTTTCGCCAGTCTGGACTTTCATTGAACCACCAAAATATTGAAGGTATGTTTTCATGGTAGAGTCATATAAAGGAAATTAGTCTTTGCCTAAAAATAGAAGACTTAGTTAGATATACATTTATTTACAACTAGGCTGGTCAACCATATATATATATATATATATATATATATATATATATATATATATATATATATATATATATATTTTTTTTTTTTTTTTTTTTTTTTTTTTTTTTTGGTAGAGATGTGGTCTTGCTATGTTGCTCAGATTAGCTTTGACCTCCTGGGCTCAGGCAAATTATCCTGCCTTAGCCTCCCGAGTAGTTGGGACTACAGGCATGCTCTACTGAGCCTGGCTTACTATATGTTTATAAATATGAAATCAGTGTTGCTATTGACTTGGGGCATGCTTCATAGAATTACCTATGGGAGTAGCAGCTCAGATGCCATTAGTATCTGCTACTCAAAATGTGATTTGGGGGCTGAAATTTGAAAACAAAGTTTGTTTCCTATGTTCATAAGATTTTTAATAAGAATTTCATGTCTTTCTTGACTGGCAGTCACACAGGCCAGTTTTGCCTTGGTTTGAGCTGTATTAGAGGATAGCTGTCTATCTCTTTGCAGTGTCTACCAATGATTCCTCCAGAGTGAATGTCAGGTATATTGTGTCACAATGTAGTAAATATTTATAGTGTTTAATGATACCTAGTATTATAAGAAAAGGATACAAGGACATGGTATCATTTTGGAAAGATAAATTTAAAAAGCTCTGTCTTCTCTTGCTCTGTTGCTACAACAAAGCAGTACCACTTTTGCCCACCACCAGCTCTTACGTATACTTTAACTGTCTAGAGTTTGGTCTTTAATATTGTTTATTCTTTTAACAAATACTTATTAAGCCTACTAAATACCAAGTATGTGGGTGCTAAGGGTGTGAATGCTAAATAAACCAGGGATTCTTAAAGGGTAGCTGATCACTTTTGGAGCATGACAATATCAGGATGAGCCTGAACATACAATTATTACTGAAAAGCAAGGATGCTTTCAAGGATGTCTGGGGCCAGTGCTGGAGGATAAATGGTTAGCTCAATGGTGCTGTGGCCAAACTGTGATAAACTGGCCAAACTGATAAATTAAGTAGGGATAAAAACCCAGGAATTTAGAGTTCATGCAAATAAGTTTGTGAAAAGACCATGAGTTCATAATGATACTCAAAAAATGTTAGGAGTGTACAAAAGATTGTCTCAATACAAAAAGAAAAACAACTACAGCAGGATGTTTAAGGATGGGCTGGATGTGGTGGCTCACACCTGTAATCCCAGCACTTTGGGAGGCTGAGCCAGGGTGATTGCTTGAGCCTAAGAGTTCGAGACCAGCCTGGGAAACACAGCAAGACCCCCATCGCTACACACACACAAAATTATCCAGGCTATGGTGGTTCATGCCTATAGTCTCAGCTGCGCTGAGGCGGGAGGACAGCTTGAGCCCAGGAGGTTCAGGCTGCATGAGCCATGTTTCCAGCCCGGGTGACAGAGTGAGACCCTATCTCAAAAAAGAAAGTTTTAATAACTAAGAATTGGGGGCCTGTTAATATCTGTGCATTTTCTTAATTAAATACATGTCTATTTATAAAACATAGGATATTTTTGTTTATCACTGTTTAAGTAGGGAAAGAGTCAAGGAGTCCTGGAAAAAGTAAGAATTGTACCAAGGAAAGGAAGGCCCATCACACAGTACCAGCAGTGACACATAAAACATATAAAGTGGGGTCTGTGTCCCCAGATGACAAATTAACCTGATATCCAATTAAGGAGACTTTTCTGCAGAGACTAGATCCTTATCTCTTAGTAAATAAAAGCCTTAGATGGCCCTGCCTATCATGATAAGATACTAAATGGCAGGAATAAGTTTCTAGTAACACTACATAACATATCAGCACATAATAAATGACAAGAGAAAAGCTTTTGTAACACCAACCAAGTAAAACTTAAAGCATTCTCGGACAAAACATTAGATTACAAAAAATAACCTTTGTGAAGTTTAAGGTATTTATTTATAAGTAAAGCCAGATAATTGGCTGGTCAGGTTGGAATAATCTTGAGAGAAATAATCTCATGCCCCAACAAAAAAGCAGGTAATCTGTAACCCTGGGAAGGTATCAGAATAAGAATTACTTTAATCTTAAAAAGGTATAAGAACAAGTATAGAAATAAAGAAGAATGAATTACAACAATGATACTGTTATTTTAGAATTAGTTTAAGAGCAGTAGTCTTTTATATATTTGAAATGGTAAAAAATTATTTCAAATTTTTAGTTTAAATTGTTTAAGGAAATTTAAGTTTGTTATCAATGTTTAAATGTTAAATAGTAATTTTCAAGTTTTCATGTCTTAGATATAGAAGTTTAGTAAATTGACCATTAAACAAATGTAAGCGCAAGGGGTAATTAATGTTCCTCTTTAAATATAAAAGACTTTCTGATTTTAAAAAAGTTTAATAAATATCAAATGGCCTAATATAATTCAGACTATGCAAAACGTGATCTCCAAATTTAGTAAAAACCTATTTAGCACTTTTTACAAGATGTAGTTATGGATTAAACAAAAAGAGTCATGTTTATAAAGCTATAATGATGTCATCTTAGAGGTTGAAGTCTTTTTGTGTGTGTGTATGAGGATGTATTGAACAATTTGAGACAGAGGTGTCATGGATAATATCATGCCCTGGGCATTCCTTTTTCTTCTTTGGGTATTTTCTTTTCTTTTCTTTTCTTTTCTTTTTTTTTTTTTTTGAGATGGATCCTCTCTCTTTCGCCCAGGCTGGAGTGCAGTGGCGCAATCTCTGCTCACTGCAACCTCCACCTCCCGGGTTCAACCAATTCTCCTGTCTCAGCCTCCTGAGTAGCTGGGATTATAGGCACGTGCCACCAGGCCTGGCTAATTTTTGTATTTTTTTAGAGACAGGGTTTCACCATGTTGGCTAGGCTAGTCTTAAACTCGTGACCTCATGTGATCCACCCACCTGGGTCTCCCAAAGTGCTGGGATTACAGGTGTAAGCCACCGCGCCCGGCCTCCCCTTTGGGTTTTGACTATAACAGGTGTCATCAATACTTACACAAAAATGTATTTTTATTTTTCTCATACCCAATTCTAGTATTTATTTTAAAACAGGGTTCCACTATGTCCTATAGTCCCATAACTCCAACCTCCTGCCCATTTGGCCTCCTGAGTGCCAGCCATTAATGCCTTGTTATGCCATTGGCATCTGTGCACTGTTGTCACCACTCTCCTCGAACTTCTGAGTCACAAGTCTCATAGGCTGTTCCTTCAAAAGTGCCACATGGCCAGGTGAGGTAGTGCATGCCTATAGTCCCAGCTACTAGGGAGGCTGAGTTGGGGGGATCCCTTGGGCCCAGGAATTTGAAGTGGCAATTGGCTATGATTGTGCCACTGCATTACAGCCTGGGTGACAAAGCAAGACCCCCATCTCTAAAAAATAAAAAATAAAAAGTAGTGCCACATGCACCAGGATTATTGCTTTGTGTGTTTCTTGCTGCCCTAAAGCTGCTGTGACTAGAGATCCTTAGAATTGGTAGTTCTCTTCCATTCTGGCACTTCATTGAAGCTCTCTCTTGCCTTTACTCCTTTCAGAGTATTCAGAACAAGAAGCTCATTTTATTATAATTCCAGACTATAGGTTAAATCACGTACAAGTAAATTATTAAATTGTTAGCTTTTATAGTTGACTGTGTTCTAATACAGACCTCTGTCCCAATTCAAAGGGTAAATTCTAATCAAATTGTAGAAAGATAAAGATAAGCAAACTGCCTTAAGCAAATATAATAGCTTTGGCCTTAAAACACCTGTGTATAAGTTAAATTTTGTGTATAAGTTAAACCAGGCTTCTCTGGCCATTTTCTTTGAATTTGATGCTTTAGAATTATTTCTCATGTATACCATTATATTTTGCCTCTCTAAAGTGAAAGTGGAAAATTTGAAAATTCTTTTAATGATTTATTAAAGGATAGACAAAAATTCAAGAATTCTTTATGTATTTGTAAAAACTTTAAAGTAAAATTTGTAGTTAGAAAAGATAATTCCTTCTAAATGTGTTGGTTTTTAATATAGTAATCAAATTACTGTAAAATATTTTATTAAGTTTTTAAAATAGTACCTGTTGGCATAAAAGAATGATCATTTCGTCAACGAGAAGAGTCCAACTCTGTAAAATATTTGAAGAGATTTATTCTGAGCCAAATATGAGTGACCATGGCCTGTGGCACAGCCGTCAGGAAACTCTGAGAACATGTGCCCAAGGTGGTCAGGGCACAGCCTAGTTTTATACATTTTAGGGAGACATGAGACATCAATCAATATGTGTAAGATGAAGTACATTGGTTTTGTCTGGAAAGGTGGGACAAACCAGAAGCAAGGTGTGGCCTGGGGGCTTCCAGTTTATAGGTGGATTCAAAGATTTTCTGATTGGCAATTGGTTGAAAGAGTTATTATCTAAAGACCTGGAATCAATAGAAAGGAATCGCTGGGTTATGATGATAAGGGGTTGTGGAGACCAAAGTTTTATCATGCAGATGAAGCTTACAGATAGCAGGGTTCAGACAGAGCAGATTATAAATTTTTTTAAACAGACTTAAGATCTGTGTTGATGTTAACACTGGATGGCTTTTCCTCAATTCCAGAAGGGAGGAGGGTGTAATGAGGCGTGTGTGACCCTTTCTTCCCTTCAAGGCCTGAACCAACTTTGGTATGCCCATGGCCAAGAGGGGTCCATTCAGATGATTGGGAGCCTTAGAATTTTATTTTTTTGCTTTATAGTTTTGAAGATGAAGTTGTTAAAGACAACATGGGAGAAAATGTCTATAAGAGTTGTTTCTTATGATTCGGAGAAGGAAGAAAAGTGAAATCTCTTTTTCTGTTTTTGAATTCTAATCCCCCAAAGATGTGAAATTTTATTTAAAAAAACCTCTCCTTCCAAAGGTAGTTGAAGATGTATCTATTATTTTAAAATGTTTCTTTCATTGGTATTAAAATTTTAAGCAAGTAGAGATATAAAATGTTAAGTAAGATACACACAATGAAATATGTCATCACTTGTTGACAGGAATAATTCTAAACCAAGGATAAGAAATTATTTATTCTTATGACTTTTTGCTTATCATGCTGTGAGCAAGTAATACGCCATGATTTTAGCCCTCCTAACTGATTTTCATAGCTTTTTATCATTAAATTGCAAAGATGAAGCGAGGGAAAAAAACAGGTTTATTATTATTATCTTTTAGGATGTGAAGCTCAGCAAGAATATTTATGCTTCTTTTTCCCCCTGAAAAACCTGTCTTGCTTATGAGGATGCATTTTGAGGTTCAGCAGATAATTACTTGCTTTTACTTTAGCTATGTAGACATTACCTAATCAAAAGAAACCAAAAGAATGACTCAGATATATGCTTGAAATTCCAGTGAGTTCTGAATTCCTACTCAGGTGTGTCAGAATATTTGGGTCTTTTTTTCTTTTCTTTTTTTTTTTTGAGGCGAAGTCTTGCTCTATTGCCCAGGCTGGAGTGCAGTGGTGTAATCGCGGCTCACTGCAACCTCTGCCTCCCAGGTTCAAGCAATTCTCATGCCTCAGCCTCCCGAGTAGCTGGGATTACAGGTGTGTGCCACCATGCTGGCTAATTTTTGTATTTTTAGTAGAGACAGGATTTCACCTTGTTGGCCAGGCTGGTCTCAAACTCCTGACCTCAAGTGATCTGCCCACCTTGGCTTCCCAAAGTGCTGGGATTACAGGCGTGAGCCACTGTGCCTGGCCAGAATACTTGGGTCTTGATGATGAAAGTAAATGGGCTGGGTGTGGTGGCTCACACCTGTAATCCTAGCACTTTGGGAGGCCAAGGCAAGTGGATCACTTGAAGTCAGGGGTTTGAGACCAGCCTGGCCAACATGGTGAAACCCTGCCTCTACTAAAAATACAAAAATTAGCTGGGCATGGTGGTGCATGCCTGTAATCCCAGCTACTCAAGAGGCTGAGGCAGGAGAATCACTTGAACTCAGAGGCAGAGGTTGCTGTGAGCCAAGATCGTGCCACTGCACTCCAGCCTGGCCTGCAGAGCGAGACTCCATCTCAAAAGAAAAAAAAAAAAAAGAAAGAAAGAATGTAAAAGGAACAGTGGAGGAGAACTATCTTTTTTCCAGATCCTCCTTTGACCTAACTTGGGTGTGAATTGCTGTTTGCCAGCTTGGCTCAGAGGGGGCAGGGTGAGAGTAGATAGTGAATTTGCAGTCACAGAGGCAATGCAGCAATCCTCCATAGTGTCTAGGATGACCCTCTGTCCTTTTGACCCCTATAAGGGGCATTTCTTTTCATGCCTAACTCCAGACAGCATGAGTTCATTTAAGCTCTAAGTACCTGTAGTAGAAGAGATAATGACACTGAGAAAGTAGATAGTCTTTTTCCTATGTAGTTACAAATGCTGTACTTAGTATAATTCAGCCAAAATAGAGTTCTTGGTTTTTAGCTAAAATAATTCCAAATAGTTACAATTTTTTTGGAGCTATATAAAATATTTTTTAAGAAATGCAAGAATTTTATAATTTCATTTCCAAAATAATACTTTTATACTAATAAATTTATGTAATATTAATAAAATATATGATGTGTCACTTGACTGAGGGAGTTTAAGTTATATGATTATGAAATGTCAACTGAGAAGGTATGTTTTTAGTGCTTCCATAAAACTGGAATGAAAACACATTGTTTTTTTCTAGGGCCAGAGGCTGAAAGTCCTGAAGTTTTGCCACACATAGAAAAGGTTGGTCTGTATAACAGAAATTAACTATGTAGACTGTGAGTTTAGATTTTTTAAAAAATTATGTCGATTAAAGTATCAAGCTCATTTAGACCCTCACCCTCATCTACTAAACCATTTCGGTAGATAAAAATCTATTCTTGTCTAATCACCTCTTTCATGTTTATTCTTCCTTATTGCTAATGAAAGTGTTTTCTTGATCTGTGTCTCTTATCCAGTACTGTTAAGTCTCTTACTTTTTATCTAGAGTAGAAATACATAACTTGTTATCAAACTGTTTCTGAGATAATGTAGCAAAGTTCCTTCCTGCTTTGGATTTGCTTTTTACTTGGTGCTATGGAGAATCAGAGGACTATAGGACTGGCTCTGCTTACAATGAACTCACGCTTTCCTCAGGGATGCTAGGCAATCAAAGACCTCCCCAGTGAGATAAAGTCTCACTTTGTTGCCCAGGCTGGAGTACAGTTGTGCGATCATAACTCACTGCCACCTGGAACTCCTGGGCTCAAGAGATCCTCTCACCTCAGCTTCCCCAGTAGCTAGGACTGTAGGCCCATACTGCCACACCCAGCTGATTTTTTTCTTTTAATTTTTTTGTAGACCCTGGGTCTTGGCATCTCACCCAGGTTGTCCCTGTAGCTTACTTTATCTCAGCCACACCTTACACTTTCCTGCCTTCATGCTTTTGCTCAAATCAGGAGCCAGAAGATGGGAAATAACATAAAATTTGGAAACCAGATAGGTCTGGGTTCCAAGGATAACTGTTTATATCTGTAAGATAGGGGCAGCGATAGCTGTTTTACAGGTATTGTGAGGACCGAGCAATGATGGTTCATGATGTCTGGCACCTAGTTGGTGCTTAGTAAATGTGTGTTCCTCCATTCTTTCACTCCACAAATCTTTAATTTCTGGCTCAAGTACCTGTTCTTCTGTGGATCTATTTCAGATAATTCTGGCGATCTTGACCAAAGTAATTGCTCCCTCTCTAGCACTCATTATTTACTAACTATATCATTATTTCCAAATCACTTGTACTCTATAATATTAATAGATCTTCTGAGGAGAAGGATTTTTTTGGACAAAAATGTTTGGAGAACACTGTGTCCTAAAGTTCCCCAATGCACATGGTTTGGAAAGTCCTGTCACAAAGTAACTTGTTTAACTTTGCTCAACCAAGTATTTTTCAAAGAATCATGAAAGCCCTCCACTGCCTCCATTTTTTTCTTCCCCAGAAAACTCATTTTTGCAAGACACTAGGCTTTGTATGTTATCAAGCAAATGGGCCTGCTGCCTGATGTGCATAGAAGCCAGTGCTGTGGCATTGGCTTTTGAGGGAAAAAAAGGCTTTATTGTGAGACAGGCCAGCAAGGAGACAGGAGAGGCAGCTCAAATTTGTGTCCTCTATTTAGGGTCTGGAACAGGTTTAAGGGGGCAGAAGGTAAGGGAAAGGACTTAGGAATGTTGGCTTGGCAGAGTCTGATTAGAAGACCTCGAATTTGACCATTTACGGTAAGGTATATTTAGGCAGATTTTAACACCAAATCTTTCTGACTAGCAGACCTGTTTCTTCAGAAAGAGTACCAGTGGTCAGGTTCCAGTCATTTCTCAGTCTTCTTGGTTCAGGAGGAGGGGAAGTCATTTTTCTGTCTTCTTGGTTCAAGGTTCTGGCTGCGTTACATGACTTGCAGTTTTCGCTGTGTTATACCTGCAAGATGACTTGACATTCTGTTACCAACAAAGTACGGCCAATTTGGGCTGGTTCTGTGGTTATAAATGCAACTGCTTGATATACACTAGTTTATGCCATTCATTTGATTTCATAAGTGTTCTATGACATTATTTGTATTCTGTTTAATGTCCTAGGTATTTATGTCTTGAATCTTAAGTTAGAAATAAATTGCTTTAAGACAGAGCCCAATGTATATACTTTATTATACCTGGTGCGAGGACTTCAAATAGTGGAGAGGCCTTGAACTGAGACTTAGAGAGTGAGTAGGATCTGGTTCTTGAATTTCTTGCATATTCCTTTTATCTTTCTGAGAAAATTATAGTTAGCATTGCTAACAAATAAATATGTTTTCTTAAGTGCTGTATGCTATTAATATATACAAAGTACATAAAGGTGGCAGGTAGAAAAGGACAGGAGGAAGAATAAAGTGGTTTTGCTTCTCTCACTCATACCAGATTAGAATATTAGAAGGCTTACAAATTACAGCACATCCTGTCAAAGGTATGGTGGATTTGATTTTTGGAAAAAACCAAAGTCATTGAAACCCATTCTGGTATTTAAGGCCGATAAAAAGTATTTAGTGTTTGAAAATTTTTCAGTGCCTTTAAAGCACATTATTTTCTTGAATGGCTTATAAACTCATTCTGAAAGCAATTTCAAAAGAGGGATTCTAACAGTATTTTGAGTATTAGAAACATTGTGAGGCTGGGCATGGTGGCTCATGCGTGTAATCCCTGTACTTTGGGAGGCCGAAGCAGGCAGATCACCTGAGGTCAGGAGATTGAGACCAGCTGGACCAACATGGTGAAACCCCATCTCTCCTAAAAGTACAAAAAATTAACAGGGCATGGTGGCAGGCTCCTGTAATCCCAGCTACTCAAGAGGCTGAGGCAGGAGAATCACTTGAATCCTGGAGGCAGAGGTTGCAGTGAGCTGAGATGGCACCACTGCACTCCAGCCTGGGTGACAGAGTGAGACCTCATCTCAAAAAAAAGAAAAAAAAGGAAAGAAAAGAAAAAAAGAAACATTGTGAGAACAGGTATAACCTATTAAGGTGATGTCTTAGAGAAATAATAGTCATTTAGAAATGTTAAGTTTAGTGGGTTTTTTTGCTTAAAATAACCACAACTCAGAGCCATTCATTCACAGCTAGGGCTTGTAATATTTATACATAACTGTACCCTCATTTCTCCACCTTTTCCCTCTGACCTCTTGTCCTTTGGCCTCTTTACTCCACATTTACTTATTCCTACAAAGGTGGGGGAACAAAAAGAAGGTGAAATTTTATTCCTAGTTAATAATTTTATAAATCAAATAGGACATTTTGGCAAGAAAGAATTTTATAACCATTAATGGCTATGAAGCTTTGGGATCATCTGTTAATTTAACTATCCATGCCATCTCTGCTTCTTCTGTTAGCACAGATAATTTAAACTTAGGTGAATAATTTGCCATCCGTAATTATGGTCCAGCCAGTTATGCTCTTGGTCTATTATTAAATGTTTAACCATGTTTTCAGTAATTAGCGATTTGGTATAGGAAAGCAATAAAGAGTATTCCCTTTATTTATGGAAGGGAAGGAAAGTTGATGATAAATTTTGAGGGTAGCTTACAAACAAGATAAACTATAAAACTATAAAGTTTTCATTTTAAATACTTTATTGTATATGCTGTAATGATGTAATTTCTATTTGTAATACACAGGAACTAAGTGAAGGCAGAGATTCTCCTGAAGTTAGCCTTCTCTCAGGCACTGCTATTACAGTATCTGATACAGTTGCTGTAAAGGAGACATCATTAGTAGAGCCAGAGAAGATTTTAGCAGCACCAAATACATTTTTTGAGCCTAGAAAGGAAGTCACAATGACCATGACTTCTGAAGAAACTAAGGATGAAGAAAGCTCTCTTGAAACCTTTGTGTCTGCCTTAGAAAGTTTACTTACATCACCAGAAAGCACCCAGGAGGAAAGATTGTTTGAATTAGTAAGTGATTTTGATCGTAAAGAATTGATGAACCCATTGAGTGACTCTCTTAGTTCCATATCAATACCTTTGAATTCCTGGTCGGCATGTCATAGAGATTTACTAGAAGATGCAAAAGATGATGCATTGCCAGCTGAGTTATTGGAAGCCCTGAACACATTGTCAGAAGCCAAGGTGGAAACCATCTGTCACAGAAAAGAGGGAGGTAGCAGTCTCATTGCCAGAAATGAATGTTTAGAAGTGGAGTTCAATACGTCTCAGACCAATGAAGATTGTACACAAATAGCAGAGGTGAATTTTGAATTTCTTTGTTCTACTCCACCATTTGAACATGGTTCCAAGTTAGCTGAGCTATAGGACAAGCATCTTTCAGTGGAGCAAGTAGCTGAAAATATGAGTCTATGATTTTGCCTTTTAAACTTCAACAAGTTTTCATTGTGTTAAAATCAAATCTACCCAAATATCAACACCGAGAAGATACTTTGTGACTTGGAAGCATAGAGTGATCTTTTTAGAAGTTCCTAGGATAGAGTTTTCGAGGAGTTAGGAAATGAAAATAGAAAGATTTCTTCTCAACAGGGCTGAGAAGACATATCTTTAGATTGCTTATATGTAGGAAGGAAAGAATTCTTTACTAAAATTTTCTCTGTTAGCTCAGAAAATCACTATGTCTACCTGGGTGCAGAGTACTGATGGGATACCCCACATTAATTTACATTTTGACATAGAATATATGCAGTTGGGATGCCAGGGGAGGGAAAAAATATGCCTAGCTTAAGCAGAATTTTGACTTCTATGTCTGAGAATACTATCAGGTGGCATAGCTCTTGGGGTTTAGAATTCTTGTAGTATTATGCCTGGAGGCTCTGTAGTGGCCTATCACTCACAAAGTCCCTTTGTCATATTGACAGTTTCTTTGTTTTTAAAAATAATCTTTATTTTTTCCCCTGATTATAATAATAATGCATCCTCATTATAAAACACATTTTAAACCTTACAGAATTACATAATAATATGGTAACAAATATCCTCCACAGTTTCACTCTTTAGAGGTAATCACTGTTAACAGTTTGGTGTATCTCTCTCCAATTATTTCCATCATATTCTATATTAGTTCATTTTATACTAATGGGATTATATTATATATAATGCCTTCCAACTTATTTTTTAAATTTAATAATGTGTTTTGTTTATCTTTCAATGTCAGCAAATGTAGCACTACTTAAATCTTTTAATTTGCTGAATAGTATTCCACTGTGTGAATATATTGTAATTTATTTAATCAATTCACTAATGATGGTCATTTGGATTGTTTTCTTTCTTTTCTTTTTATCTTCCGATTACCAAAATGTTTCTGTGAACATCCTTGTGAAGATTTATGTAACAAAATGCTGAGCTCGTGTTGCAGCATACATACCTGGGACAATACTGCATGAAGTTCTGTTTAACAAATCTCAAAACTGACATAGGATTTTTTAAAAACCAGAAAAAGAGAAACTAATTATGGAGATAGGGCATGAAGATTAAAATTGCAGTGTTCTAATATGAAAAGAGGGAATATGAGTAAAGTGTAGGAAATTATGATTGGTATTAATACAGTGAATATGAATTTAGCAAGTCTTCGAAAGGAAAAAAAATAAACCCTCTTAAGTAGAAAGGAGACTTACTTAGAAGAGATCAAATAATATACTCATTTACTCAGCTGTAATAAAAATATGGAGCTTGTTACCTTGAGAAGCTTTGCAAGACGGATATGTAAGTAAGCTGAAGAAAGGTTTAGATGATACGTATAAAGAATACATATGTTCATGGAAGTTAAATCTATAATGAATTATTAAGGGAAAGAACAATTCCTGATACACTGTTAACCTTTTAAAATCAATGTAATGGAGGTTATGTACTATCTTGTTCCACAAAATATCACTTGCTGCTGCTGTCAGATAATAAAACCCTAGGCTGAATAGTCCATTGATCTAGCCTAGTGTGACATTTCTAATGTTTTTGTAGATCTCTCATCATTCTACATTCCAAATTTCTTGCAAAATTAAAACTCCTAGAGTGACCATAGATTTGCCTTTGAATTTTCAAGATAAATATTGATCAAAATCATTTTTACTTATGCTCTTAAGCTTTTAAATCTGCATTGTCCTTTATTACATTAATTATTATTAAATCTTTCATTATGTCCACATATGTCTATGAATTCTTGTACTTGGATCCTATAATAGGCATTTTAATTTAAGCAAAGGTCAAGACAAAATTTAACTTCTTATAGTTTTAATTTTTTTGCAGTGTTGTAATTTTTTGTGGATGTATTTACGTATTTGCAGACTCTGCAAGACCCAAATCCATCTGGATTGCAAACTTTGGCTCATCAAAATATCACTTCTTGTGAGCCACTAAGTAATAAGAGAAATTCAAATTCAGTGACAAATAGCTCTGATCAGGAAACTGCGTGTGTGTTGAGGAGATCATCCAGACTAGAAAAACTGAAAGTAAGCAGAGATGCAAAGTACTCAGATCACATGTATAAGATGCCAGAAAAGATTTTACCAAAAATCCTTGGCTGTGAGGACCTAACAAATAATAACTCTTCAGCTCAGAATTTCAGGTATGCAATGAAATTATGTCTTTATCTCCAGGTATGCTATAGACATTATAGATAATTATATGCTTGGGGACATCAGGGTCAGTATACAGTTAACACAGGGGAAAGAGCTTTATTTTTTATATTATTGCTTTTTTATTTTGCAGTTTTTGATCAGTGCCATACCACAGAGCAAGGCTTTTTCCTCGCAAAGAGCCTGCATCTTTTTCTCTAGAGGGTGAATAGAGTGGATAGTGGCATGCCAACTTGGGGAGTAAAGAGCAGGAGATTAAGAATACTCACACTTGTAGATGACTAATCCTAAAGAAGAGAAACCCACAGGTCGCGCAAAGAGAGGGCTAGAAGCTGTGATGACTGGCATGCCTGCTGCAGAATTACCTGCAGGAGCCATCTCCGTATTTAAAACTGCCACGCCACTTGAGAACAGCTCAGTAAAATACCCTGGAGTTTTAATATTGTATTCAAAAATTGGTATAATTCTCTGTGAATGTTTGCAAAAACCGTTATAGCCATTTAAAAAATACGTTGTTTTTCAAGAATGCAGGATCCGGCTTTAATGATTGATGGTAAAGAGAAGAATATGCATTCAGCAAGGTTCAAGAATGGAAAACAGATCAGGAAAAATGAACAATTTTCAGGAAAAAAAGGTGATGCATATTTTGAGTATTTTTCTATTTCTTTTACAAAAACAGAATTGGTAGAAAGGATTCAGAGATTATCTTTCTCAACTTTCTAATTTTGCTGATGAGGAAACTGAATTTCAGATAGGTTAAGGGTTTTTCCCAGAACCATACAGCTCATTATTAGCATAATTGAGAATTGATCCTGAACTTCTGACTCATAGATTAGTACTTTTTTCTGTAGTTCTGCTTTGGAAAGAGTAGTTACAGACCTCTTTTTAAATTTACATGTGTGACTAACCTAGCATATGGCTATGAAAAAGCATATCAGGAGGAATAAAGGAAAGGACAAGGCACAATTGTTATTATTCTTAGATCTTATTTCTGTGTTCCTATAACATCCAAAAGATTGAACTAAAAAACTCTCAGAAGCAATAAGAGAATCTAGAAACATTGTTTAAAAAATAATAGATAGTAGAACAATTGGCAAAACTGAAATATGGGTTGTAGATGAAAAAATAATATTGTATCAGAGGTAAGTTTTCTGAATTTGATAATAATACTGCAGCGATATAAGCGTACATCTTTGTCCTTAGAAATATACATTAAAGTATTAGTAAGTAAAAGGGCATGATGTATAAAAGTTACTTTTTATGTATACATGTGTCTGGATGCATACGTATTTAGAAGAAAGAATGGTTTAAAGTCAATGGCAAAATATTAACAAGGGGTGAGTCTTTTGTTCTATTTTTACAACTTTTCTGTAAGTCTGAGATTATTTCAAAAGAAAAAGTTTTAAAAATGCGATAAGCTGGAGTCAACAATTAATGCCTTTCACATATATGTATGTATTAACTTGTTAGAAAGTGTAAAAGACTATCTCATTTATAATTGTTCCAAAAAGAAAATACTTTTATAACTAATAAGAAACGTATCATACTTATAAGAAGAAAGTTTAAAAATTCTACTGTGAGATGTAAAAAATACTTGAATAAATGGAAAGAAGAACCTTGTTCTTGACTAGAAAGATTCAGCATTGTAAGAAGGTTATCCCTAAATTATTCTAGAAATGCATGAGATCTCATCAAAAACAGATTTTTATTTATTTGCTAATTTTTTGTTTTATTTTGTACTGTTTTACAGTGATAGAGAGTAGCTATGAGAAAATTTCAAAGTAATACTAAATATCACCTAGAAAAGTAAATATGAGAGACTAGCCAAGAAAATTCTGAAAAATAAAAGCAAAAAGTTAGAGTGGCAGGACCTTTTCTCCATAGTATGAGAGCATATTAGAAAGCTACAGAAATTAAAGTTATTTGACACTGGAGCAGGAATAGACAGATAAATCAGTGAAACAGAATAGAGAGTTTAGATGTAGAAGCCAGCTACAGTGAGATACGGGAAAGATATGTAATACAGATGGCATCTCAAATTGTGGTGAAAAGAAAGACTAAGCAATAAGTAGTGGAAAACACAAACAAAATTGGATTTCCATAACATTCCTTACACTAACTTTAATTTCAGATTGATCAAAGATTTAAATGAAAAATAAAAGTTGTAGAAGAAAGCGTAAGTGAATCTTTCTGTAACCTTGGTGTGGAGAAAGTCTTTTTAAATCCTCTTGGTTTCTGAGTTTAAAATCATAAAATTAACTACATACCTTTAAAAGAATGATAAAAATTCTTTTAAAGAATGATAAAATTAACTACATACATTTAAAAAAATTGTATGGAAATATACACTAAAGAAGAATCAAATATCAAATAGCTAAGAAATATTAGCATCATTTGACAAGGGTTTAATTGCATTAGTATGCAAAAAACTCTAATGAAACAGTAAGGATAAAGAACAGGGGTGTATGTCATGGCCTTAATGGTGGTGATGGTTTCATGGGTATATACTTGTCCCCAAGTATATTGAATTGTATACATTAAATAAGTATCCCTTTTTACATGTCAGATAATAATAATAACAATAATTAATTAAAAATTTTTAAACTGGGGGAAAAAAGTAAAAAGAACATGAATAGATAAGGAACATGAACAAGCAGTTCACAGAAAAAAAAATACACACACACACACACACATATATAAGCACCTCAATCCAGTCTTATTGGTCTAGGACTTCAAGTTTGAGTTTTGGGAGGACACCATTCAGTCTGTAACACCTTCAGAGGTGAATTCTACAAAATATATAAGGGGGAAATAATACCAGTTCACCACACAATTTTTCCAAAAAATTAAAGATGAGGAAACACTTCTCAACTCATTTTAATGAGGTCATCATTAAACTGATACCAAAATCAAAGACATTATAAGAACAGAAAATTAGACTAAGTATCCTTCATGAATATAGATGCAAAAATTCTAAACAGGCCACGTGCAGTGGCTCATGCCTAGAGTCGCAGTACTTTGGGAGGCTGAAGTGGGTGGATCGCTTGAGCCCAGAAGTTTGAGATCAGCTTAAGCAACATGGCGAAACCCTGTCTCTATGAAAAATGCAAAAAATTAGCTGGGCATGGTGGTATGTGCCTGTAGTCCCAGCTACTCGGGAGGCTGAGGTGGGAGAATTACCTGAGCCTGGGAAGTTGAGGCTGCAATGAGCCGTGATTGCACCACTGCACTCCATCCTGGGCAATACCCTGGAGAAGAATATGGAGAGCAAGACCCTGTCTCAAAAAAAAAAAAAATTCTAAACAAAACTTGAGCATATCAAATCCAACATTATATAATACATCATGACTAAGTGGTGTTTATCCTAGGAATTCAAGATTGGTTTTACACTTGAAGACCAATCGCTGTAATTCATTGTATTAACAAGCTAAAAAAGAGGAACCATATGATCATCTCAATAAATGCATAGAAAGCATTTGACAACATCTAACACATTTGTTCCTGGTGAAAATTCTCAGCAAACTAGGAATTCAACCTGACAATGGACATCTACAGAAATCATACAGCTTTATACTTAATTGTGAAAGATTAAATGCTTTCCCCCTAAGATCAGAAAATTACATAATTATAATATAACAAGTACAACTGGCACAGGCAGATTTGGAAGTAAAGACTGCTCTGATTATGGTAAGCATGCAATTTGTCTAGTGGGAAAAGAATGCTTTGTAGTCTGGTATACAAGAATGTAGACTCAAAGTTCAGCAGTTGGGTTTGTTATACAGTGGGACTGAATCAAGGGAGTCAAACGGCAAGGCAGTTGATATGTCGTCCATTAAGAAAGCTGCTGCAGTACTCAGTTACCTTTGTAAGGTTTTAGGATGGGGCAGGATAGCTAGATACAAACTGGAAAAGCTATCATCAAGCTACTCTGAAATTCAGAAAATCCAGATGAGTATTGCCCTCCAAACTGACAGGATTTGAAACATGTAAATGAGGAGCTTCAGTATTTTAGGAGGCACAGTGGAGAATTGATACTTGATATACATTATCTGGAAAAGTATTTTAATCGTGCATTTCTGGCTTAGTAAATAAAAACAATTGCAAGGATCAAGGCTGTGGTTCTCTGCTTAATTTCATTAATTTATTTTTAGCCAAGAAGGAGAATTTTGCATTCCCTTTTCCAGTCTCACTGGGATTAGTTTTTGTATCTTATATGCCTCTGAGATTTTCTCCTCATGGTTTTATAAGACATTTGGTAATATAACATTTTATTAAATTTGATAATATATTATTCTAGGTTTAAATAATCCTTTTCACCAGAACTTTTAAGAAGATTATCTGTTAGTCTTTTCATATATGCACCTTTCATGGGTTTTCAATCAACACACACTGTTTATCATGATTTATAGTTTACTTCAAATATTTTAAGACTAGTGGCATTTGTCTCTTTTTCCTTTTTGTATGTAGATAATATTATAGTTGGGTTAATGGATGAATATTCTCATAATATACTTCACTTCTACACTATTGACTGAGTTAATCCTGTTACCTATGTTCGTGAAGTTTGTAGTTTGAAATATGTGGTTTGTAATCCGTATTCCTTCTGATATTCAAATAATGATTTTTTTCTTTTGTTCATTCCCTCATTTCAGAAAAAATGAAGGTGAACAAAATATCTCTTCATAGCATTAACCGGAGAAACATTTTTGGAGAGAACTTAGTATATAAGGCTGCTCTACACGATGATGCTGATCTTGTTCATCATTGTATAAAAAAAGGTGGAAATGTTAATCAGCCAAGTTATGCTGGTAAGTTAGGATTACCACCCACAGTTACCTTAAGAGTGGTTTGTAGTTTCAGCTGAATCACTCTTAGGAAAGTATAGCAAAGTGAGCCTAAGGTAAGTTCCAAACAGAAGGCTTTCAGATCATTTTCCTGTTGAAGTAGCTCATCACCATTATCTTTCAGGGAAGAGGGCAGGGTGAGAAGACTGGGTGGCAGGAGAAGAGCATTATGTTTCTCCTTCAAAGATTATGCCAGGTGGGTTATGTGCAGTGGCATCCAGAAGGTACCTGGGGCTGGCTTTGCATGGTCATTGTTACTATGAGACTCAGCCTTGAATGAAGGAGAAATGATGTCAAACACTGGAAGAAGCTGATGGTGCACTGAGCTGTAGGGGAAAATTTATGATGAAATGGTAGATGTACAGCAGGAGCAGTGGCCAGGGAAATGGAAAAAATACAGTATGAAGTACAGAGGTTGGGACAGGGAGCTCAGAAAGTGCAGTATTTCTGCAAGGCTGGGTCACTGGTACAATGTTCCCTGTGGGTAGAATGTGACATGTTGTGCTAGAGAAGAGTGATTCCTTAAAGGTACTTAAGTACTTAATACACTGAACAATACTTGGACAGCCTGGATGGTGCTTTTGGGTGTCCATACTTTTCATGTTGTTTCTAAACTTGCTCAGTTTAGAAACATTGCAAAGAGTCTTATGGTGCACAGAGATGGCACAGTAAAATCCAGGGACAAGCAAGTGATTTCAAGTGCACCCCCAGTACTTTACCTTAGCAAAGCCTGGGTTTATACTATAATCAGGATTTTAACAGGATATTATTTTAAATGTCATACCCAGGTTATAGCCCTGTTATAACCCTCAACCTTGTATTCTTATTTGCCAGCCACAGCACTTACTCTCTTGATTTCAAGAGATATGCGGTTCTTTCTGTTGGTATTCTTTGTCTGCCCATTGAGTTCAAGAGTAGCCCTATATGCAGCCAATTTTGACTTTATGGATTTCTCAAGCCTCTCTTAACATGTTTCTTTGTATTAGCCTTTTTTTTTTAATGTGCCAGTGTTAACATTCTCAGTGGCTGTTCCCTTCTTGTCTTCAGCCAGTTAATATATACCTTTTCCTCATTGTCTCAGGTACTTCTGTGACCTTCATGAATTCTTTATCCCTATCATATTTTCCTGCATTTTGAACTCACTTGTTCTCTACTTTTCCTTCTTACTTTGCATCTTAGCTCTATCTTTATTTCTGGCTACCACATCCCACAGAATTACAGAGGACAGTGTTTCCACAGAGTTTCCATTTTCAATAGAATCACCTGCAATGTTTGTTTAAAATGCAACCATCATTTCACCTCCCAAAACACACACACACACACACACACACACACACACACACACAAAACAGAATCACCGGCAATGTTTGTTTAAAATGCAACCATCATTTTGCCTCCCAAAACACACACACACACACACACACACACACACACTCTGTGTCTCATACACACACACACTCACTCTCTCAGCTATATGACCTCTATCGTGTTAGTTCAATGTAGTGAGCGTTTACAGTATGCCTTCTATGTACCAGATGCTGTGAAAACAAAAAGATTAATAATCTCTAGTAGGAAGATTTAAGTATACTTATTTTGTGGTACAATTTAAAAAAAGGCCCACTGCCCTGTGAGAAATGAACAAAATGTAATAGTGGACCAATGGTCTTTTATATGTAACATTTTGAATTTTATAAGTCCTCATTTACGTTTTATGATATTTTTGTCTTTGATTAAAAAACAAATTGCAGGGAGCTCAGAAAGAGCAATAATTCTTTTTCCAAAAGCAAAGGTGACAGCCATGAAGTAGGCTAAAAAAAACTCTGAATACTCAAAATAGATCACATTTTAAATTTTTGCCAAAAACCTCTGAGAACAATGCCTTGAGCTTTATTTTATGCAGAACTCTTTCTGATTCCTATACCTGTAACACATTGGAACTGAAAAAGAAAGGTTGGCCCAGACCAGGGTATTAATGATAGCCTGAAGTTTAAGTCAATAACAAAGCAAGAAATAGATAACATAAAATATGAGAGACAAAACTGTTTAGGACTATGTAATGTAGAAAGGAGTGCGCTTTATACTTCTGTGAGTGTTAACGGTGGCTACATTACAGCATATAACAAATTTTAGTGTAATCATAAATCTTTTTTAAAAATGTGTTATATTCTCTTTGAAGGAAATTTATAACTATATTCATTTTTTAAGGAGATTTCCTCCAATTTCTTTTTTTAAATAAGTTTTTTTGGGGATCTCCCAACCTGCAGATTTGGGAGGTAATAAAAGATCTGTTGTAGAATGTGTTCCATCTTTATTTTGGAGGGGTGGTTTTACAATGCTGAAGGCATAATCCTTAGGGAAAGGAAAATTCTCTGTTACATTTGATTTCTTTCTGTAATCTGTAGCGATTTCTGTGGTCTTCAGTGGCTTTCTCTGCAGAATAAAGCACCTTCTGGCTTTATTGACACTGGGAACTTCTTTCAGCCCTGAAACTGATAATTCTTCTCTACTGAGTCATCCTTTTTTAAGTCTCACTTCAGGTAGCAGTCATTGTTTTTCCTGGAATTGGACACCATTTTTTACTTTTAATGGATACATAATTATTATATAACAAATAACTATAATTATATGTATAATATATAGTGTATTATAAACATACATAATTATACATATTTATGGGGAACAATGTGTTTTTTTAATACATGTATATGTTGTGTAATGATCAAATCAGAGTAATTAGCATATCTAACACCTTAAACATGTATCATTTCTTTATGTTAGGAACATTTAAAAATCCCCTTTTCTATTTCAAGACATGCAATACCTCTTTGCTGACTCTAGTCACCCAACTCTTCAATAGGACACCATCACTTATTCTTCATTTCTTTTGTGTGTGTGTGTGTGAGATGGAATCTCACTTTGTTGCCAGGCTAGAGTGCAGTGGCGTGATCTTGGCTCACTGCAACCTCCGCATCCCAGATTCAAGCGATTCTCCTTTCTCAGCCACCTGAGTAGCTGGGATTACAGGCGCCCGCCACCATGCCCAACTAATTTTTGTACTTTTAGTAGAGACAGGGTTTCACCATGTTGGCCAGGATGGTCTCGATCTCCTGACCTTGTGATCCACCTGCCTCAGCCTCCCAAAGTTCTGGGATTACAGGTGTGAGCCGCTGCACCTTTCTGTTCTTCATTTCTAATTGCAACTTTGTACCCATTGACCGTCTCTTCCTAATTTTTCCCCTCCCACTACTCTCCTCAGTCTGTAGTAACCACTATTCTATTCACTGTTTCTTAGGATCAACTTTTTAGATTCTGCATATGAGTAAGAACATGCAGTATGTGTCTTCCTGTGCATATCTTATTTCACTTAACATGATGTCCCCCAGGTTCTTCCATGTTGTTGCAAATGAAAGAATTTTATTCTTTTTTTATGGCTGAATAGTATTCCATTGTATACATATACCACATTTGCTTTATCCATTCTTCTGTTGATGGACACTTAGGTTGAGTCCATATCTTGGCTATTGTGAATAGTGCTACAGTGAGCATGGGAATTTAGATATATCTTTGACATACTGATTTCATTTCCTTTGGATATATACCAAGTAGTAGGATTGCTGGTTATGGTAGTTCTATTTTTAATTTTTTGAGGAATCTCCATATTGTTTTTCATAATGGCTGTACTAATTTACATTCCCACCAAAAGCGTAAAGGTTCTCTTTTCTCCACATCCTCATCAACACTTATCTTTTGTCTTTTTAATAATAGCCATTCTGAGTGGAATGAGGTGATACATTATTGTGGTTTTGATTTGCTTTTCCCTGGTAGTCAGTGATGTTGAGCACTTTTTTTGTATACCTGTTGGTCTTTTGCTCATTTTTAAATGGAATTATTATTATTATTATTTTTTGGCTATTGAGTTGTTTGAGTTTCTTACATATTCTGCATATTAACCCCTTGTCAGATGCATGGTTTGCAAATATTTTCTCCCATTCTATAAGTTGTCTCTTGACTCTGTTGATTGTTTTCTGTGCTGTGCAGAAGGTTTTTAGTTTGATGTAATCTCATTTGTCTGTTTTTTAATTTTGTTGCCTGTGCTTTTAAGGTCTTATCTAAAAAAGTATTGCCTAGTGTCATGAAGCATTTTTCCTATGTTTTCTTCTAGTAGTTTCAGTTTCAGTATTTACATTTAAGTTTTTAGTCCACTTTGAGTTGAATTTTGTATGTGTTGAAAATAAGGATCCAGTTTTATTCTTCTGCATGTGGATATCCATTTTTTCCAGCACCATTTATTGAAGAGGCTGTTTTTTCCCCAGTGTGTATTTTTGGCACCTTTGTTGAAAAGCAGTTGGCTGTAGATGCGTGGATTTATGTCTGGGCTTTGTATTCTGTTATATTGGTCTGTGTGTCTATTTTTATGTCAATATGATGATCTTCTCATTAATAGAGCTAAGTAAGGTAATATGCCTCTAGCTTTGTTTTTTAAAAATTTTTTGCTCAAGGTTGCTTTGGCTGTTTGGGGGTCTTTTGTGGTTCTACATGAATTTTAGGGATTTTTTTTATTCCTGTGATGAATGTCATTGGTATTTTGATAGAGATTGCATTGAATCTATAGATCATATTGAATCTGTAGATTATTGTGACAGAATTAATTATTCCAATCCATGAACATGGGATACACTTATATTTATATGTGTCCTCTTCAATCTGTTTCATCAATGTTTTGTAGTTTTCAGTGTGGAGATCTTTCACCTTCATCTTAAATTTATTCCTAGGTATTTTATTTTTTGGTAGCTATAATAATTAGGTTTGTTTTCTTGAATTCTTTTTCTGTATAGTTCACTATTTAGCATATAGAAACACTGCTTTCTGTATGTTGATTTTGTATCCTGAAAGCTTATTGACTTTATTAGTTCTTACAGTTTTTTAGTGAAGTCTTTAGGGCTTTCTATATATAAGACCATATCATCCACAACCAGGGACAATTTGACTTCCTCCTTTCCCATTTGGACACCTTTTATTTTTTTCTTTTGCCTAATTTCTCTCACTAGGATTTCCAGTATAATACTAACTAGAAGTGGTGAAAGTGGACATTCTTGTCTTTTTCCAGATCTTAAAGGAAAAACTTTCAACTTTTCCCTGTTTCATATGAAGGTAGCTATGGGTAAAAATAAAGCCCATATATGGGATTTATTGTGTTGACGTACATACCTACTGTACCTAATTTGTTGAGAATTTTTATCATGAAGGGATGTTGAATTCTATCAAATGCTTTTTCTGCATCTTTTGAAATGATCATATGGTTTTTGTCTTTCTTTCTGTTAATGTGATATATCACGTTTATTGGTTTGTGCATGTTAAATCACTCTTGTATCCCTGGGATGAATCCCAATTGATCATAATGAATAATCTTTTTAATGTACTGTTGAATTCAGTTTGCTTGTATTTTGTTGAAGATTTTGCCCCTGTGTTCATCAGGGGTATTGGGGATTCATTTTTAAGCACCTCCTCCCCCTGACCCATCATTGACTTTGGATCACTCACACTTGTATCTTGTTTTCTTTGGGAATTTTCTTCAGTAACTTTAAAATAGGATACTGGCTTTTCCTTGGAAGCCATATGTTTACTTTTATATTTACCTTATCTTTCAGGCATTCAGGGCTCAAGGAGAAAAGTAATATTTGGTTGTGGTTATTTTCTCATTTCTATAGTAGACATTTTAGTCTTTTTTTTTTTTTTTAAGTTGGACTCTCACTCTTGTCACCCAGGCTGGAGTGCAATGGCGCTATCTCGGCTCACTGAAACCTTCCCCTCCCAGGTTCAAGAGATTCTCCTGCCTCAGCCTCCCGAATAGCTGGGATTACAGGCGCTTGCCACCACGCCTGGCTAATTTTTGTATTTTTAGTAGAGATGGGGTTTTACCATGTTGGCCAGGCTGGTCTTGAATTCCTGACTTCAGGTGATCTGCCTTTCTCGGCCTCCCAAAGTGCTGGGATTATAGGCATAAGCCACCTCTCCTGGCCCATTTTCATCTTCTTTAGGAAACTAATTTTTATTGTAGTTTGAGCAAAATCTAGACAAGGAAAGGAAGTTTTCTAGAAGGAAAATCATCATCTGCATTCCAAAGTTAACGACTTTTGAGTTTCTGATACTTAATTTTTCATCCCATCTAACTGGGACCTGTGATAGATAATCAAGTTAACCAATGTACATATTGGTAAGCAAATTTTCACAGGTTCCAGAACCTAAACAGCAATGAATTCATACCTTCTATAAGAAACAATATTTGGGGGAAATCGTTTTTGTATATACATTTTAAAAATAGGTAGTTTTAAAATATTCAAAAAGTTCACATGACCTATTTATTTATCCATATACCTACTATCTAGATTCTACATATTTATTTTATCAGATATCTATCCATCTTGAAATCTCTCTGTCCATCCATCAATCCATCTTTATTTTGGTGCATTTCAGAGAAATTATAGACAACAGTGTGTTTTATTTTTTTTATTTTTTATTTTTTTTGAGTCTACCATGTTCAACATGTGGCTTCTTTTTTTTTATCATTACTATTATACTTTTAAGTTTTAGGGTACATGTGCACAATGTGCAGGTTTGTTACATATGTATACCTGTGCCACGTTGGTGTGCTGCACCCATTAACTCGTCATTTAACATTAGGTATATCTCCTAAAGCTATCCCTCCCCCCTCCCCCGACCCCACAACAGTCCCCAGTGTGTGATGTTCCCCTTCCTGTGTCCATGTGTTCTCATTGTTCAATTCCCACCTATGAGTGAGAACATGCGGTGTTTGGTTTTTTGTCCTTGCGATAGTTTGCTGAGAATGATGGTTTCCAGCTTCATCCGCGTCCCTACAAAGGACATGAACTCATCATTTTTATGGCTGCATAGTATTCCATGGTGTATATGTGCCACATTTTCTTAATCCAATCTATTGTTGTTGGACATTTAGGTTGGTTCCAAGTCTTTGCTATTGTGAATAGTGCCGCAATAAACGTACGTGTGCATGTGTCTTTATAGCAGCATGATTTATAATCCTTTGGGTATATACCCAGTAATGGGATGGCTGGGTCAAATGGTATTTCTAGTTCTAGATCCCTGAGGAATCGCCACACCGACTTCCACAATGGTTGAACTAGTTTACAGTCCCACCAACAGTATAAAAGTGTTCCTATTTCTCCACATCCTCTCCAGCACCTGTTGTTTCCTGACTTTTTAATGATCACCATTCTAACTGGGGTGAGATGGCATCTCACTGTGGTTTTGATTTGTATTTCTCTGATGGCCAGTGATGATGAGCATTTTTTCATGTGTTTTTTGGCTGCATAAATGTCTTCTTTTGAGAAGTGTCTATTCATATCCTTTGCCCACTTTTTGATGGGGTTGCTTGTTTTTTTTTTTTGTAAATTTGTTTGAGTTCATTGTAGATTCTGGATATTAGCCCTTTGTCAGATGAGTAGGTTGCAAAAATTTTCTCCCATTTTGTAGGTTGCCTGTTCACTCTGATGGTGGTTTCTTTTGCTGTGCAGAAGCTCTTTAGTTTAATCAAATCCCATTTGTCAGTTTTGGCTTCTGTTGCCATTGCTTTTGGTGTTTAGACATGAAGTCCTTGCCCATGCCTATGTCCTGAATGGTATTGCCTAGGTTTTCTTCTAGGGTTTTTATGGTTTTAGGTCTAACATGTAAGTCTTCAATCCATCTTGAATTAATTTTTGTATAGGTGTAAGGAAGGGATCCAGTTTCAGCTTTCTACATATGGCTAGCCAGTTTTCCCAGCACCATTTATTAAATAGGGAATCCTTTCCCCATTTCTTATTTTTGTCAGGTTTGTCAAAGATCAGATAGTTGTAGATATGCGGCATTACTTCTGAGGGCTCTGTTCTGTTCCATTTGTCTATATCTCTGTTTTGGTACCAGTACCATGCTGTTTTGGTTACTGTAGCCTTGTAGTATACTTTGAACTCAGGTAGCATGATGCCTCCAGCTTTGTTCTTTTGGCTCAGGATTGACTTGGCGATGCGGGCTCTTTTTTGGTTCCATATGAACTTTAAAGTAGTTTTTTCCAATTCTGTGAAGAAAGTCATTGGTAGCTTGATGGGGATGGCATTAAATCTGTAAATTACCTTGGGCAGTATGGCCATTTTCACGATATTGATTCTTCCTACCCATGAGCATGGAATGTTCTTCCATGTGTTTGTATCCTCTTTCATTTCATTGAGCAGTGGTTTGTAGTTCTCCTTGAAGAGGTCCTTCACATCCCTTGTAAGTTGGATTTCTAGGTATTTTATTCTCTTTGAAGCAATTTTGAATGGGAGTTCACTCATGATTTGGCTCTCTGTTTGTCTGTTATAGGTGTATAAGAATGCTTGTGATTTTTGCCCATTGATTTTGTATCCTGAGACTTTGCTGAAGTTGCTTAACAGCTTAAGGAGATTTTGGGCTGAGACAATGGGGTTTTCTATATATACAATCATGTCATCTGAAAACAGGGACAATTTGACTTCTTCTTTTCCTAATTGAATGCCCTTTATTTCCTTCTCCTGCCTGATTGCCCTGGCCAGAACTTCCAAAAGTATGTTGAATAGGAGTGGTGAGAGAGGGCATCCCTGTCTTGTGCCCATTTTCAAGGAGAATGCTTCTAGTTTTTGTCCATTCAGTATGATATTGGCTGTGGGTTTGTCATAGATAGCTCTTATAATTTTGAGATATGTCCCATCAATACCTAATTTATTGAGAGTTTTTAACATGAAGGGTTGTTGAATTTTGTCAAAGGCCTTTTCTGCATCTATTGAGATAATCGTGGTTTTTGTCTTTGGTTCTGTTTATATGATGGATTACGTTTATTGATTTTCATATGTTGAACCAGCCTTGCATCCCAGTGATGAAGCCCACTTGATCATAGTGGATAAACTTTTTGATGTGCTGTTGGATTCGGTTTGCCAGTATTTTATTGAGGATTTTTGCATCAATGTTCATCAAGGATATTGGTCTAAAATTCTCTTTTTTTGTTGTGTCTCTGCCAGGCTTTGGCATCAGGATGATGCTGGCCTCATCAAATGAGTTAGGGAGGATTCCCTCTTTTTCTATTGATTGGAATAGTTTCAGAAGGAATGGTACCAGCTCCTCCTTGTACCTCTGGTAGAATTCAGCTGTGAATCCATCTGGTCCTGGACTTTTTTTGGTTGGTAAGCTATTAATTATTGCCTCAATTTCAGAGCCTGTTATTGGTCTATTCAGAGATTCAACTTCTTCCTGGTTTAGTCTTGGGAGGGTGTATGTGTCGAGGAATTTATCCATTTCTTCTAGATTTTCTAGTTTATTTGCATAGAGGTGTTTATAGTATTCTCTGATGGTAGTTTGTATTTCTGTGGGATCGGTGGTGATATCCCCTTTGTCATTTTTTATTGCGTCTATTTGATTCTTCTCTCTTTTCTTCTTTATTAGTCTTGCCAGAGGTCTATCAATTTTGTTGATCTTTTCAAAAAACCAGCTCCTGGATTCATTAATTTTTGAAGCGTTTTTTGTGTCTCTATTTCCTTCAGTTCTGCTCTGATCTTAGTTATTTCTTGCCTTCTGCTAGCTTTTGAATGTGTTTGCTCTTGCTTCTCTAGTTCTTTGAATTGTGAAGTTAGGGTGTCAATTTTAGATGTTTCCTGCTTTCTCTTGTGGGCATTTAGTGCTATAAATTTCCCTCTACACACTGCTTTGAATGTGTCCCAGAGATTCTGGTATGTTGTGTCTTTGTTCTCGTTGGTTTCAAAGAACATCTTTATTTTTGCCTTCATTTCATTATGTACCCAGTAGTCATTCAGGAGCAGGTTGTTCAGTTTCCATGTAGTCGAGCAGTTTTGAGTGAGTTTCTTAATCCTGAGTTCTAGTTTGATTACACTGTGGTCTGAGAGACAGTTTGTTATAATTTCCATTCTTTTACATCTGCTGAGGAGTGCTTTACTTCCAACTATGTGGTCAATTTTGGAATAGGTGTGGTGTGGTGCTGAAAAGAATGTATATTCTAATGATTTGGGGTGGAGAGTTCTGTAGATGTCTATTGGGTCTGCTTGGTGCAGAGCTGAGTTCAATTCCTGGATATCCTTGTTAACTTTCTGTCTCATTGATCTGTCTAATGTTGACAGTGGGGTGTTAAAGTCTCCCATTATTAATGTGTGGGAGTCTAAGTCTCTTTGTAGGTCACTAAGGAATTGCTTTATGAATCTGGGTGCTCCTGTATTGGGTGCATATATATTTAGGACAGTTAGCTCTTCTTGTTGAATTGATCACTTTACCATGATGTAATGGCCTTCTTTGTCTCTTTTGATCTTTGTTGGTTTAAAGTCTGTTTTATCTGAGACTCAGATTGCAACCCCTGCCTTTTTTTGTCTTCCATTTGCTTGGTAGATCTTCCTCCATCCCTTTATTTTGAGCCTATGTGTGTCTCTGCACGTGAGATGGATTTCCTGAATACAGCACACGGATGGGTCTTGACTCTTTATCCAGTTTGCCAGTCTGCGCCTTTTAATTGGAGCATTTAGCCCATTTACATTTAAGGTTAATATTGTTATGTCTGAATTTGATCCTGTTATTATGATGTTAGCTGGTTATTTTGCTCGTTAGTTGATGCAGTTTCTTCCTAGCATCGACGGTCTTTACAATTTGGCATGTTTTTGTAGTGGCTGGTACCAGTTGTTCCTTTCCATGTTTAGTGCTTCCTTCAGGAGCTCTTTTAGGGCAGGCCTGGTGGTGACAAAATCTCTCAGCATTTGCTTGTCTGTAAAGTATTTTATTTCTCCTTCACTTAGGAAGCTTAGTTTGGCTGGATATGAAATTTTGGTTTGAAAATTCTTTTCTTTAAGAATGTTGAATATTGGCCCCCACTCTCTTCTGGCTTGTAGAGTTTCTGCCAAGAGATCCACTGTTAGTCTGATGGGCTTCCCTTTGTTGGTAACTCGACCTTTCTCTGTGGCTGCCCTTAACATTTTTTCCTTCATTTCAACTTTGGTGAATCTGACAATGATGTGTCTTGGAGTTGCTCTTCTCGAGGAGTATCTTTGTGGCGTTCTCTGTATTTCCTGAATTTGAATGTTGGCCCACCTTGCTAGATTGGGGAAGTTCTCCTGGATAATATCCTGCAGAGTGTTTTCCAACTTGGTTCCATTCTCCCTGTCACTTTCAGGTACGGCAATTAGACGTAGATTTGGTCTTTTCACATAGTCCCATATTTCTTGGAGGCTTTGTTCATTTCTTTTTATTCTTTTTTCTCTAAACTTTTCTTCACACTTCATTTCATTCATTTCGTCTTCCATCGCTGATACCCTTTCTTCCAACTGATCGCATCGATTACTGAGGCTTGTGCATTTGTCACGTAGTTCTCGTGCCGTGGTTTCCAGCTCCATTAGGTCCTTTAAGGACTTCTCTGCATTGATTATTCTAGTTATCCATTCGTCTAATTTTTTTTCATAGTTTTTAACTTCTTTGCCATTGGTTTGCACTTCCTCCTTTAGCTCGGAGTAGTTTGATCTTCTGAAGCCTTCCTCTCTCAACTCGTCAAAGTCATTCTCCATCCAGCTTTGTTCCATTGCTGGTGAGGAGCTGCGTTCCTTTAGAGGAGGAGAGGCACTCTGATTTTTAGAGTTTCCGGTTTTTCTGCTCTGTTTTTTCCCCATCTTTGTGGTTTTATCTACCTTTTGTCTTTGATGATGGTGACGTACAGACGGGTTTTTGGTGTGGATGTCCTTTCTTTTTGTTAGTTTTCCTTCTAACAGTCAGGAACCTCAGCTGCAGGTCTGTTGGAGTTTACTGGAGGTCCACTCCAGACCCTGCTTGTCTGGGTATCAGCAGCAGTGGCTGCAGAAGAGCGGATATTGGTGAACCACAAATGCTGCTGCCTGATTGTTCCTCTGGAAGTTTTGTCTCAGAGGAGTACCCGGCCATGTGAGGTGTCAGTCCACCCCTACTTGGGGGTGCCTGCCAGTTAGGCTACTCGGGGGTCAGGGACCCACTTGAAGAGGCAGTCTGCTCTTTCTCAGATCTCAAGCTGCATGCTGGGAGAACCACTACTCTCTTCAAAGCTGTCAGACAGGGACATTTAAGTCTGCAGAGGTTATGGCTGTCTTTTGTTTGTCTGTGCCCTGTCCCCAGAGGTAGAGCCTACAGAGGCAGGCAGGCGTCCTTGAGCTGTGGTGGGCTCCACCCAGTTCGAGCTTCCTGGCCGCTTTGTTAACCTACTCAAGCCTGAGCAATGGCAGGCGCCCCTCCCCCAGCCTCACTGCCACCTTGCAGTTTGATCTCAGACTGCTGTGCTAGTAATGAGTGAAGCTCCGTGGGCATAGGACCCTCTGAGCCATGTGCGGGATATAATCTCCTGGTGTGCTGTTTGTTAAGCCTGTTGGAAAAGCGCAGTATTAGGGTGGGAGTGACCCAATTTTCCAGGTGCCGTCTGTCACCCTTTTCTTTGACTAGGAAATGGAATTCCCTGACCCCTTGCGCTTCCCGGGTGTGGCGATGCCTCACCCTGCTTCGGCTCACACATGGTGCACTACACCCACTGTCCTGCACCCACTATCCGGCACTCCACAGTGAGATGAACTCGGTACCGCAGTTGGAAATGCAGAAATCACCCGTCTTCTGCATCGCTCACGCTGGGAGCTGTAGACTGGAGCTGTTCCTGTTCGGCCATCTTGGCTCCACCCCAACCAACAGTGTGTTTTATCACTAAACACCCCAGCATGAATATTATTAGAGTTCAGGGGTGTGTGTGAATGTGTGTGTGTGTGTGTGTGTGTGTGTGTGTGTTTTCTGAGGTAACATTTTCATATAGTGAACTACAAATCTTAAATATGCCATTTGATGAATGTTGACAGATACACTATCCCAGAAAGTTCCCTCATGCCTCTCTCAGTCATTCCTCACTCTCAAGATGCCACTACTGTTCTGATATTTTTCACTCTATATTAGTTTTGCCTCTTTCAATATTTCAGCATATTTCACGATTAAACATGATTTTAACTATAGGTTTTTATAGATGCTCTTTATCAGATTGAGGAGTCTATTCTTTTTTTAATATACTTGAAGCTCTAGGGTACATGTGCACAACATGCAGGTTTGTTACATAGGTATACATGTGCCATGTTGGTGTGCTGCACCCTTTAACTTGTCATTTACATTAGGTATTTCTCCTAATGCTATCCCTCCCCCAGGCAACTGCCCGACCCGACAGGCCTCAGTGTGTGATGTTCCCCGCCCTGTGTTCAAGTGTTCTCATTGTTCAATTCCCACCTATGAGTGAGAACATGCGGTGTTTGGTTTTCTGTCCTTGTGATAGTTTGCTCAGAATGATGGTTTCCAGCTTCATTCATGTCCCTGCAAAGGACATGAACTCATCCTTTTTTATGGCTGCATAGTATTCCATGGTGTATATGTGCCACATTTTCTTAATCCAATCTATCACTGATGGGCATTTGGGTTAGTTCCAAGTCTTTGCTATTGTGAATAGTGCCACAAAAAACATACATGTGCATGTGTCTTTATAGTAGCATGATTTACAATCCTTTGGGTGTATACCCAGTAATGGGATGGCTGCGTCAAATGGTATTTCTAGTTCTAGATCCTTGAGGAATCACCACACTGTCTTGCAAAATGGTTGAACTAATTTACACTCCCACCAACAGTGTAAAAGCGTTCCTATTTCTCCACATCCTCTCCAGCATCTGTTGTTTCCTGACTTTTTAATGATCGCATTCTAACTGGCATGAGATGGTATCTCTTTGTGGTTTTGATTTGCATTTCTCTGATGATCAGTGATGATGAGCATTTTTTCATGTGTCTGTTGGCTGCATAAATATCTTCTTTTGAGAAGTGTCTGTTCATATCCTTCACCCACTTTTTGTTGGGGTTGTTTTTTCTTGTAAATTTATCTAAGTTCCTTGTAGATTCTGGATATTACCCCTTTGTCAGATGGGTAGAGTGCAAAAATGTTCTCCCATTCTGTAGGTTGCCTGTTCACTGTTCACTCTGATGGTAGTTTCTTTTCCTGTGGAGAAGCTCTTTAGTTTAATTAGATCCATTTGTCTATTTTGGCTTTTGTTGCCATTGCTTTTGGTGTTGTCGTCATGAAGTTTTGCCAATGCCTATGTCCTGAATGGTATTGCCTAGGTTTTCTTCTAGGGTTTTTATGGTTTTAGGTCTAACATTTAAGTCTTTAATCCATCTTGAATTAATTTTTGTATAAGGTGTAAGGAAGGGATCCAGTTTCAGCTTTCTATATATGGCTAGCCAGTTTTCCCAGCACCATTTACTAAATAGGGAATCGTTTCCCCATTTCTTGTTTTTGTCAGGTTTGTCAAAGATCAGATGGTGGTAGATGTGTGCTGTTATTTCTGAGGTCTCTGTTCTGTTCTGTGGGTCTATATATCTGTTTTGGTACGAGTACCATGCTGTTTTGATTACTGTAACCTTGTAGTATAGTTTGAAGTCAGGTAGCATGATGCCTCCAGCTTTGTTTTTTTTGCTTAGGATTGTCTTGGCTATGCAGGCTATTTTTTGGTTCCATATGAACTTTAAAGTAGTTTTTTCCAATTCTGTGAAGAGTCATTGGTAGCTTGGTGGGGATGGCATTCAATCTATAAATTACCTTGGGCAGTATGGCCATTTTCATCATATTGATTTGTCGTATCCATGAGCATGGAATGTTCTTCCATTTGTTTGTCTCCTCTTATTTCATTGAGCAGTGGTTTATAGTTCTCCTTGAAGAGGTCCTTCACATCCCTTGTAAGTTGGATTCCTAGCTATTTTATTCTCTTTGTAGCAATTGTGAATGGGAGTTCACTCGTGACTTGGCTCTCTGTTTGTCTGTTATTGGTGTATAGGAATGCTTGTGATTTTTGCACATTGATTTTGTATCCTGAGACTTTGCTGAAGTTGCTTATCAGCTTAAGGAGATTTTGGGCTGAGACCATGGGGTTTTCTAAATATAAAGTGATGTCATCTGCAACAGGGACAATTTGACCTCCTCTTTTCCTAATTGAATCCTCTTTATTTCTTTCTCTTGCCTGATTGCCCTGGCCAGGATTTCCAACACTATGTTGAATAGGAGTTGAGAGAGGGTATCCTTATCATGTGCTGGTTTACAAAGGGAATGCTTCCAGTTTTTGCCCATTCAGTATGATATTGGCTGTGGGTTTGTCGTAAATCGCTCCTATTTTGAGATACGTCCCATCAATACCTAGTTTATTGAGAGTTTTTAGCATGAAGGGCTGTTGAATTTTTTTGAAGGCCTTTTCTGCATCTATTGAAATAATCATGGGGTTTGTGTCAGTGGTTCTGTTTATGTGATGGATTACATTTATTGATTTGCATATGTTGAACCAGCTTTGCATCCCAGTGATGAAGCACACTTGATCATGGTGGATAAGCTTTTTGATGTGCTGCTGGATTCGGTTTGCCAGTATTTTATTGAGGATTTTTGCATCAATGTTCATCAGGGATATTGGTCTAAAATTCTCTTTTTTTGTTGTGTCTCTGCCAGGCTTTGGTATCAGGATGATGTTGGCCTCATAAAATAAGTTAGGGAAGATTCCCTTTTTTTCTGTTGATTGGAATAGTTTCAGAAGGAATGGTACCAGCTCCTCTTTGTACCTCTGTTAGAATTCGGCTGTGAATCTGTCTGGTCCTGGACTTTTTTTGGTTGGTAGGCTATTAATTATTGCTCAGTTTCAGAGCCTGTTATTGGTCTATTCAGAGATTCAACTTCTTCCTGGTTTAGTCTTGGGAGGGTGTATGTGTCGAGGAATTTATACATTTCTTCTAGATTTTCTAGTTGATTTGCGTAGAGGTGTTTATAGTATTCTCTGATGGCAGTTTGTGTTTCTGTGGGATCGGTGGTGATATCCCCTTTATCATTTTTTATTGCATCTATTTGATTCATCTCTCTTTTCTTCTTTATCAGTCTTGCTAGAGGTGTATCAATTTTGTTGATCTTTTCAAAAAACCAGCTCCTGGATTCATTGATTTTTTTAAGTTTTTTTTGTGTCTCTATCAAGGAGCCTATTCTTAATTTACAGAGTTTTTTTTTTTTTAAATAGAGTTTATGCTAGCTTTTCTCATGTACTTTTCATACATCTATTGATATGACCATATAATTTTTCTCTCTTATTTCACTACTGTGGTGAATTAGCTTTATTGATTTTCAAATGTTAAACCAACCTTACATTCTTAGAATAAACTGTATCTGGTCATGATGTATCATTCTTTTTATATATGGCTGGATTCGATTTGCTATAATAAGGGTTTTTGCATCTATGTTCATGAGTAACATTGGCCTATAATTTTGGGGGAGAGATAATTCTTTTGTCTGTGATTTTTTTGAGGGGGATAATGCTTTTTTCTGGATCCTTTTGATCAAGATTTGCTAATATTTTGTTAAGGATTTTAAAAAATCTATCTTTATAGATTTATAATTATCAGTGTATAATATTTTTATAATGCCTTTGGTTTTGGTATCAGGGTTATGCCAGCCTCATAAGTTAAGAAGTCTTCTCACCTCTTCTATTTTCTGAATGAATTTGTCTAACATTTAAGTTTTTTTTTTTTCTTTCTTAAATGTTTGACAGAATTAGGAGTGAAACCATCTGGGCCTATAGTTTTATTTGTGGGAGAGTTTTGATAATAAATTCATTAATAGGTATAGGCTATTCAGATTTTCTGTTCCATCTTATGTCTGTTTTGGTAAGTTGTGGTTTTTTTTTAGTTGTATTATTCAATTTTATTGATTTTTTTCAAGAATCGATTTATGGCTCTTTTAGTTGTCTTTGTTATTTGTTTTATACTTTATTGATTTCTGTTCTTTTTCTGCCTTCTACTTATTTTTGTTTTCTTTGTTCTTTTAGCTTTAATAAGGTAGAAAATGAGGTCACTGATTTTGTACCTTTTTGCCTAATATAAGCATTTAAAGCTTTAATTTACCTCTAAGAACTACTTTAATAGTTGCATCTCACAGATTTTTATATGTTTTATTTTCATTGTAATTCAGTTTGAAATATTTTTAATTTCTCATATGCTTTCTTCTTTGATCCAGTGATTATATTAGAAGTTGTTTAATTTTAAAATGTTTGGGGATTCTCTAGATACCTTTCTGTTATTGATTTCTAATTTGACTAAAAAGAACATAAAGGATACATTTTACATGATTTTGACCTTTTTGCATTTATTGAGAATTGATTATTGCATAATATATTATCTCCTTTGTTGAATATCCCAGGTGCACTTGAATGTTTATTCTTTAGTTGGATGTAATGTTTTATAAATTTCAGCTAGGTAAAGGTGTTGATAATGTTGTTCAGCTGTTCTATATCTTTATTGATTTTATGTCTCATTGATCCATTTTTTTTTAGAGAGATGTTAAAATCCTCATAAATGTGATTGTGGAATTGTCTGTTTCTTTCTTTGATTCTGGCAGTTTTTGCTCCTTATATTTTGAAGCTCTGTTATTAGATACATAACGTTATGATTGTCATGTCTTGTGATAAATTAGCTCTTTCATCACCATGAAATGTCTGTCTTTATTGCTTGGTAATATACTTTATCTTGAACTCTACTATATATAATATTAATATAGACATCTAGCCTTCTTATGTTTACTGCTTATTTACGATATGTTTTTCTATCCTTTTACTGTATCTTTTTCTATCCTTTTATTTTCAACCTATCTGTGTCTTTATATTTAAAGCATGTTTCTTAAGAAGGGAACAGTAGACACTGGGGACTACTTATGGGAGGAGGAAGGGAGTGGGGCATGGGTTGAAAAACTATCTATTGGGTACTATGCACACTACCTGGGTGATGGGATCATTTGTACACCAAACCTCAGTGACACACAATTTACCCATTTAAAAAATCTGCACATGTACAACCTTAACCTAAAAGAAAAGTTGGAACAAAAATAAACTATGTTTCTTGTAAACAGCAGACAGTTTTGCTTTTTTTATTCATTCAGACAGTCTTACCTTTTAATTGAAAATTAGCATGATTAGTCAATTTACATTTAACATAAATGGTTGGATTTAGGTCTGCCATTTTACTAATTGTTTTCTATGTGCTTAATCTGTATTTTGTTTCTTTCTTTGTCTTTGCAGTATTTTTTCATAGTTACTCTAGGGATTAAGTGTACACCTCTAATGTTTCACAGTTATCTTTGAATTAATATTATAATACTTCATATGAAATATGAGGACATTGAATACATATAGTCCATTTATTCCCCCATATCCGTTGTGCTATAGCTATCATATATATCTACAGACATAAATTTTATAACTTTTGCTTTAAACAAGCCATATTCATTTTAAGGAAATTTATAGGGAAAAAACCTTGTTAACTATATATTTACCATTTTGGGGTCTCTTCATTTCTTCGTCAAAACTCAGTAATAATACTATAGGAGAAACTTCTTCCCTGAGGCAGTGGTTCTCAACTGGAGTGCTTTTGCTCCCACCCCCTCCCCAGGGGACTTTTGGCAGTTTCTGGAAACATGTTTAGTTGTTAGAACTAGGATAGGAGTTTCTACTATCATCTGGTGGGTTGAGGCCAGGGATGCTGGTAAACATTCTGTGATACTCATAAAAACTAAGAAACATAAGCTGAGATTCGTAATCCCTATTTTATGATGAGTGTTCTGAGAAGAGCTAGTGAAAGTCTCTTTTGACGTGCAACTTTAAAGTTTTCTTACATCTGTCATATGATTTACTGGAATTTAATAAATATCTGTAACTTATACCATTGTCCTTGGCCAACAAAGAAAAAGAATATTTGCCTGTATGACTGGTTTTCTTGGAGCAGTTTGTGGTTTGTTAAACTACTATAAATAGCTTTTTGTAAAGAAGGAGAAAAAATGAATATATCCTTTTGAACTGAGTGATATGTAGTCCAGCCAGCTGGATACTTTAATGGAAGTACCTTGAACTAGAAATAAAGCTTTTCTCCCCTCATCTCTGCAGAAAAGCAGCCTGCAACCAGCATTCACTTTGAGTTGATAATGACTCCTGCACAGCCTATTTATTTGGAGAGGTCAAGATTACTTTCAAATATTTTGTTTCTTTTCACATTTTTGCACAGCAGAGTTGAGGGGTAGGAGTTTGATTTGTCCTTCAGGTTTATTGAACCTACCAAATAATACAGTGTGCTTTCAGGTGATACTATCTTGACTCATATAATCAAAATATTTTTGAAGAAAGAACTTAGAATCAAAGTTGTTTTTTAAGGGCAAGCACAAAACATTATTAAGATGCCAAATGTAAACAAATGCCGTATCTTTTTGTATGATAGGTTGGACAGCACTTCATGAAGCTAGTGTAGGAGGATTTTATCGGACAGCAAGTGAACTATTAAAAGGTGGAGCAGATGTAAATATCAAAGGATTATACCAGATTACTCCCCTACATGATGCAGTGATGAATGGACATTATAAGGTACTGTGATGCTTTTATTTGCAGAACAAATACTATATTTTGCAAATATTAAATATCTCTGGGACCACACAATAGAAAAACATACAGAAATTTTAGTTTAATTTCATTCTGCTAATGAATACTTAGAATTTATAATGAAATTTTACTGTGTGATGGGTTTGTTGTGTGTAATATGATAGGTGTCATTTTACATGTTACTTTTAATAACCATATAGAGCTTTTTGGTTACATAGTATTTTTTTTCAACTTGTTTTCCTTTAAAACTCCTTTAATATGGTGCTTTATAGGGTTTAGAAGAATGTTTCCTTCTTATAGAGTGTTACGCAGTTATGTCCAGTCCTGATAGGAGGTTTACAGCTTTATGGAGTCTGGTGTCACTTTCATAATCAGCCTGAGGCAGGATAATGTTTCTGATCAGTTCAGCTTAATGATCAGCCAGGATATATCAGCAGGTTAAAATATCAGACTACTATAATTGCATACCAGTTGGTTAATAGTAACTGCAATAAATGGTAACATTAAGATTATGAATTCTAGTATACATGGTTTATCTCAGAAACCATATTTATTTTAGCTTACTACACATTTTTTCTGGCCCTGGGACAACATTGCAAGGCTGAGGCACTTGCTGAAGATATCTTGTTATTCATTTCAGTTACTGAAAGTTGCCTCTGGGTTTAAAAACTTCTAGGATGGGAAAGGGTATTAACTATCTGGGATTAAGAAGATTTGTTCTGCCTATTTACAGAAGAAATGCCTAACACAGGCAGAGGCGGAGAAGGCTGCTGGGAGCCATGGGAATAGACAGGGCATATTCCTTCATAGTATGAAACAGTACTTCAGAAGGGTTTAGGCAGTTTTTTTTGTTGTTTGTTTTTCATTGTTTGTTTGCTTGTTTGATAATGTATATCTTGGTGATGGGTGGTCATTTTTGCATATAGTTTAGAGGACTAGGAGGAGAGAATTCTTCCCAGGATCCAGTTTAATGGCCAGAAGAATGCAGGCTTGGACATGTGACAGTGTGAATCCTTTCTCTGTCAGAAGCAGAGAAACCTCACGCCAAAGCACTTCTTCTGTCTAACACCATAGCCCATTTGCTCCCTCACTTCCCAGAGCTGACCTATACTGATCAAGAGTCTTTTCTTCCTTTGAGTAAAGTGAGCCCTGAGCATTTTAATTTTTCTTCTTTTCTTTCCTATTTGTTCCTTTGCCCCACTTCGAACTTGGCTCTAATCCATTTCTGCCTCACAGTCTAGCATTGGCTGTCTCCTATTTGGCCTTTGCATATATGAAATAATCTCTGGTTCCTTCAATGATGTTAAAGGAACCAAAGACACAGGCCTCTATTCCCAGAATCCAGTTTCCCCACTTACTGCATTCCCTCTTGCAATCCTCCAATCTGCCTGTGGTTCATATGCTCTTGGCACCATGGCATATCCTGACTAGTGGTGAGAGAAGAGAATGACAAGACAGGAGTGGAAGTCTAGAGAAAAGTCATGAAAATTAAAAGTTGAAACCAGTAGTTGGTGTGATGTCAGGCAAAGATGATCAGAGAAATGGCCTAGGCCCTGGGTATTGGATTGCTGAAATGCCTTTGGTGTCACAGGAGTAAAGATGTAAAACAGGGAAGCCTTGGGAACCCAATGCTGGTCCTACTACCTGGGGAGTGTGAGCTTCTTTAAGCATTCTGGAGTGTTGAAGGAACTAGAATATATTATCTTACAGGTCTTAATTGTTTTATGGGAGAGATACTAAAAGATAATATCCTATTTTCTAAAAGTGAAAAAGCAGTAAAAAAAAAAAATCCACATCTTACCATTCCATTAATTTGAAATATCCGTAATAGTCAAATCTATAGAGACAGATTAGAGATGGGGGGTCTAGAGGGTGGGGAATGGTGAGTGACAACTAATGGTTAAAGGGTTTCTTTTAGGGGGAATGAAAATGTTCCAAAATTAGATTGTGGTGAGGGTTATACAACCCTTTTAATATACTAAAAAACAATGAATTATATTCTTTAAATAGGTAGACTGTGTGGCATGTGAATTACATCTTAATAAAACTGTTAATAAATACATTTTTTAAAGAGTGGAAAAGTTAGAATTTGAGAATTACAAATGATCAGCTCAATGTTGTTCCTTAGAAAATGTGCAAAAAGTTATTAAATATATGGTTGGAAGACATAGGCAAGAATGTAGTGCTCTTTGGGAATCATAGGCATCACTAAGAACAAGTCATGCCAGACTAACCTTTATTTCTCTTTTATTAGGTTTACCTTGTTAGTAGGTAAAGGTAATGGCATTGAAATAAGCTATCAAAACTTTAACAAAGTTTTTATTTGAAGTATCCTGTAATCTGTGAGTGTATGGGATGTTGAAATGAAGGGGTTTGTTGGCATTGATTTGGGGATTCACATATATTGAAAGAATAGGCCTCAGACATGGTGATTATTCATTTTATGTGTGTCTACAGTGAACCCTTTTTTGTTTTTGTTTTTGTTTTTGTTTTAGACAAGAGTTTCCCCCTATCACCCAGGCTGGAGTGTAGTGGCGTGATCTCGGTTCACTGCCACCTCTGCCTCCTAGGCTCAAGCGCTTCTTGTGCCTCAGCCTCTTGAGTAGCTGGGATTGCAGGCATGTATCACCATGCTCAGCTAAGTTTTTGTATTTTTAGTAGAGATGGGGTTTCACCAGTTTGACCAAGCTGGTCTTGAGCTCCTGGCCTCAAGTGATCCGCCCGCCTAGGCCTCCCAAAGTGCTGGGATTACAGGCAGGAGCTGCCACACCTGGCCTTGCAGTAAACTCTCTTGTGAAAATTGATTATACATTATATTATGTGGTAGAACTCTGGACTGTTTGGCTAGAACATGAACTGATTTTGTTATTGGAGTATTTTAAAGAAATCCCAGACATAATACTATTTTACCCATAAATACTTGAGCCCAAACCTCTAAAAGATAAGAAAAAGTTTTTCATACTCGCGATATCATTTCACCTAATAAAAGTTAAGTTTCTTTATACCATTTAACATCCAGTCTATATTCAGATTTCTGAGGTTATCTAAAATATGTGTTTTTATAGAAAGTTTTAATTTGAATTAGAATACATTAAGCCTCATACATCATATGTGTTTGTTATGTATCTTAAATATGTTTTAATCTACAACAGTCCTTTCTATATTTTAGGATTTTTATGTCTCCTATTTGTTGAAAAAAGTGGCTTATTTGTCCTATAGAATTTCCCAAATTCTGGTTTTGGCTCATTTTATCTTTGTGGTATTGTTTAGCTTATTTCTTCACATATTTTCTGTAAATTGTTATGTTTTGATGGAAAATCTACTTAGAGACCACAGTCTGGATGCAAGGTATGCTCATTGCTATTGGATGTTATTGCTTTTAGGCGTTTTCAGTGAACTATATCCTTTTAGAAGGAAAAAAAATCATGAGTTTATGCTGATATTTTCATTTCAGACTTCATAGCATAGATTTATGCTTAACTTTCGTTCTCTACCTACTCGTATGTCTTTTTTTAAGCTAAACATTTGTTTCTTAATACAGTAATTGAATTATTTCTTTATCATCTAATATACTTACAATATTACTACTAACAATGCCAGTATTACTATTAACAGTGAAACTACTAATGATGTTTATTTTGGTAGTTCTTTTTCTTAAAGTATATGCTATTAGGGATGAAGAGTCAGAATACTGTCTTTTGAAGTACAAGTTGAATATTCTTTATTTGCAATGCTTGGGACAAGCAGTGTTTAGGATTTTGAATTTTTTTTGGATTTTGGAGTATTTGGACTTTAAACCTTTATGATCACATGGTCCATACCATGGAAGTGGGTACAAAAAATTACAACTCTGAAAGCATAAGACATTGAATCACAACAAAGGACACAATCTAATTGTAAAAGCTATAAAATGTCTTGGAGAGAAAAATGCCATACATATCACAGGGACAATAACAGTCAAATCCCTTAAAAATTATTAAGACACAGCAACCTAAAAATTCTACCTTTCAAACTACTTTACATTGGGAATTTAAGGCCAGCTAGGGAAATTGAAAGCAATGGTAGATACGATTAAATCTATAATTCATATACAAGCCATATACAAGCAAAACATAAAGAATTTATGCCTGGATATTTACATTTTGTTCAGCAAAGAAAATACAGAATGCATTGGTTTCTTTCAGGAAAAATAGTTTTATAAGGAGGTTGCTATAAGAGCTGTGGTGTTTATCTCTGGATGTTTTGTGTCAAATTCAGGATCAAGGAGCATGAGAAAAAGGTACGGAGGAAGGGAAAAGGCAGAAGCTAGAGCCTCACTCTTCTGGAAATCCAGTTGGTGATCCCAAGGGAGTGAATACATTACTTTGGCAGTAACTAATACTTTGGCAGTCCTTTCGCCAACTATCTACACTTACCAATTCCTCTGTAGCCCAATACTTGGAATTCTGACGCCTGCTTATGTACTCTCTACCTTTAAAAAGCTCTCTCCTCACCAAAGAGTAATAAATGACTTTCAGTGAGTGTCCACCTACTTTAAACCTACATTTAGGTTCTGTATTAGTTATCTGTTGCTACCTAACAAATTACCACAAAACTTAAAATAATAATAAACATTTATCATGTTGCAGTATCTGTGAGTCAGGAATTTCAGAGTGGCATAGGTGAGTTGGTTCTGTCTAAGGGTCTCTCATGAGGTTGTAGTCAAGATGTTGACTGGGAACACAATCAACAAAAAGTTTGGGGTTGGAAGATCTGTTTCTAAGGTGGCTCACTGACATAGCTACAGGCAGGAGCCATGTTCATTGCCACATGGACCCCTCCATAGAGCTGCTTGAATGTCCTCACAGTATGACAACTGGCATCCCCCAGGGTTAATGAATCAAGATTGAGAACAAGGAGGAAGCCACAATACTTTTTAACCTAGCCTTAGAAGTCACATACTGTCATTTCTGCCATATACTATTTGTTAAAAGCAAGCCACTAAAACTCCAGCCTGTACTCTTGAGGAGGGAAATTAGGCTCTACCTTTGGAGGCAGGAATGTTAAATTTACAGACATATTTTAAAGCCACCAGGGGTTCTTAACTGGAACAAGAAGAGAAATTTCAGTAAGTGGCTAGCATCACAGTCATCACTTATTTAGCTTAAACAGTAGGCCCCTTAAGGAAATACACTTCTACTTAAAGCTTGCCCATGGCTTTTCACCTTTGATCATACTATTGATTCAAGTACTTTCCTCCCTCTAGAATCAGCTGACTTTCTTACATAAGAAGTTAGTAGGATAGAGAATAAAATTCTTTCAAGTCCAGGTTGAGCATCCCTAACCGAAAAATCAGAAATCCAAAACTTTTTGAGTGTTGACATGATGCCATGAGTGAAAAATTTCACACCTGATTTCATATGATGATTGCAGTCAACACACTGGCACACAACATACAATTTATTCAGTCACCCTAAGAGAAAAAGACCCTCTTAGCTCCCTTCAGCTGCAATTCAGCTTTTCTGGACATGCCCAGATTCCTTCATGCAAGCACATCCACAAAGGGTAATAAAATAGCACACGTTCAGATCAGACACACCAACACCAGGTTCCCCACGTTGCCCCACATGGGGCCAAGACCTATGTGCATTACTCACTGTGGGTTTTTTGCTTATTTTCTGCTCTGTGGTATAAATATATTATTGAAAGTGTCAAAAAGGCCTGCATCATACCCATAGGGTAGTGCAAATATTCCAAAATCCAAAATTCTAAATACTGCTGGTCCCAAGCATTTCAAATAAAGAATATTAAACTTGTACTTCAAAAGACAGTATTCTTTCTCTTCATCCCTAATGGAATATACTCTAACAAAAAGAACTACCAAAATAAACATCGTTAGTAGTTTCATTGTTAATAGTAATACTGGCATTGTTAACAGTAATATTGTAAGTATATTAGATGATAAAGAAATAGGTAATTCAGTTACTGTATCAAGAAACAAATGTTTAGCTTAAAAAAAGACATACAGGTAGGTGGAGAACCAAAGTTAAGCATAAATCTATACAATGAAGTTGGAAATGAAAATATCAGTATGAACTCAAGATTTTTTTTTCCTTTCTAAAAGGATATATTTCACTGAAAATACCTAAAAGCAATAACATCCAATAGCAATGAGCATACCTAGCACCTGGGCTGTGGTATCTAAGTAGATTTTTCATTAAAACATAACATGAGAACAGTATGGGAGAAACTGCCCCCATGATTCAATTATCTCCCACCAGGTCCCTCCCACAGCACATGGGAATTATGGGAGTACAATTCAAGAGGAGATTTGGCTGGGGACATGGAGCCAAACCATGTAATTCCACCCCTGACCCCTCCTAAATCTCATGTCCTCACATTTCAAGACCAATGATGCCTTCCCAATAGTCCACCAAAGTCTTAACCCATTTCAGCATTAACTCAGAAGTCCACAGTCCGAAGTCTCATCTGAGACAAGACAAGTCCCTTCCACCTATAAGCCTGTAAAATCAAAAGCAAGTTAGTTACCTTGTAGATACAATGGGGGTACAGGCATTGGGTAAATACAGCCATTCCAAATGAGAGAAATTGGCCAAAATGAAGGGGCTACAGGCCCTATGCAAGTCCGAAATCCAGCGGGGCAGTCAAATCTTAAGGCTCCAAAATGATCTCCTTTGACTCCATGTCTCATATCCAGGTCATGCTGATACTAGAGGTGGGTTTCCATGGTCGTGGGCAGCTCTGCCTTTGTGGCTTTGCAGAGTACAGTCTCTGTCCTGGCTGCCTTCATGGGCTGGTGTTGAGTATCTCTGGCTTTTCTAGGCACATGGTGCAAACTGTCAGTGGATCTACCATTCTGGGGTCTGGAGGACAGTGGCTCTCTTCTCACAGCTCCACTAGGTAGTGCCCCAGTAGGGACTCTCTGTGAGGGCTCCAAGCCCACATTTCCCTTCAGCACTGCCCTAGCAGAGGTTCTCCATGAGGGCCCTGCCCTTGCAGCAAACTTTTGCCTGAGCATCCAGGCATTTCCATACGTCTTCTGAAATCTAGGCAGAGGTTCCCAAACCCCAATTCTTGACTTCTGTGTACTTGCAGGCTCAACACCACGTGGAAGCTGCCAAGGTTAGGGGCTTGAACCCTCTGAAGCCACAGCCCAAGCTCTACATAGGTCCCTTTCAGCCATGGCTGAAGCAGCTGGGACACAGGGCACCAAGTCCCTAGGTTGTACACAGCATCGGGACCCTGGCCCTGGCCCGGGCCCATGAAACCATTTTTTCCTCCTAGACCTCTGGGCCTGTGATGGGAGGGGCTGCTGTGAAGATCTCTGTCATGCCCTGGGGACATATTCCCTATTGTCTTGGGGATTAACATTCAGCTGTTTATTACTTATGCAAGTTTCTGCAGCTGACTTGAATTTCTCCTCAGAAAATGGGATTTTCTTTTCTATTGCCTTGTCAGGCTGCAAATTTTCCAAACTTTTATGCTCTGCTTCCTGTATAAAACTGAATGCCTTTAGCAGCACACAAGTCACCTCTTGAATGCTTTGCTGCTTAGAAATTTCTTCCACCAGACACCCTAAATAATCTCTCTCAAGTTCAAAGTTCCACAAATCTCTAGGGCAGGGGCAAAATGCTGCCAGTCTCTTTGCTAAAACATAACAAGAGTCACCTTTGCTCCAGTTACCAACAAGGTCCTCATCTCCATCTGAGACCACTTCAGCCTGGATTTCATTGTCCACATCATTATCAGCATTTTGGTCAAAGCCATTCAACAAGTCTCTAGGGAGTTCCAAACTTTCCCACCTTTTTCTGTCTTCTTCTGAGCCCTCCGAACTGTACCACCCTCTGCCTGTTAGCCAGTTCCAAAGTTGCTTCCACATTTTCAGGTATCTTTTCAGCAGCACCCCACTCTACTGGTACCAATTTACTGTTTTAGTTTGTTTTTACACTGTTGATAAAGACATACCCAAGACTGGGCAATTTACAGAAGAAAGAGGTTTAATGGACTTATAGTTCCATGTGGCTAGGGAGGCTTCACAATCATGGCATAAGGGGAAAAGCACTTCTTACATGGCAGCAGCAAGAGAGAGAATGAGAACCAAGAGAAATAGATTTCCCCTTATTAAGCCATCAGATATCATGAGACTTATTCATTACCATGAGAACACTGTTCATAGAGAAACCGCCCCCATGATTCAATTATCTCCCACTGCGTCCCTCCCGCAACATGTGGGGATTATGGTATTACAATTCAAGATGAGATTTGAGTGGGGACACAGAGCCAAACCAGACCACCACTCCAGGTCTCTTTTGCCATTTGCATGGTATGTCTTTTTCCATCCTTTGACTTTCATCTTGTTTGTTATCTTTGAATCCAATGTATGTCTCAGATAGTATATTTTTAAAAAGAATCACATCTTACCATCTCTGCCTTTTGATTAGGTTGTTTAATCCATTCATATTTAATGTTGTTATTGATATGGTTGGATTTAAACCTGCCATTTCCCTTTTTGTTTTCAGTCTATCTCATCTTTTTGTGTTTTTCCCACCTATACTGCTTTTCTTTTTACATTAAGTGAATATTTTCTGGTGTAACAATTTAATTCCTTTAATGATTTTTTTAGTATATTTTTGAGTTATGCTCTTAGTGGATGCTCTAGGGCTTCTTAAGTTATCAGAACTGACTTCATTCTTATGCTAACCTTTTTCCAGTGAGATATAGAAACATTGTTTCCGTATAACAAAATTATTTTTCCCTATTTTTGTTCTATTACTGTTATACATATTATGTTTGTATATTTTATAAATACAATATATTGTTACAAATATTACTTTATATGGTCTTAGGTCTCTTAAAGAAGCTGAGATAAGAAGAGCAAGTATTTATTTATAGAGTTTATTTTATTAAGCTTCCTATTTTACATTTCTGGCTCTGTGCATGTTTTCCTATAGATTCAAGTTACCAACTGGTATCATTGTTTTACTCCAATTCAGCTTTATTCTGATCTGCCTCTTTTGTGGTATTATTATCAAGTATATTACATTTATAAATGTTATAGGCCTTGTAATACAATATCATATTGTTTTATGCCATTGCTTTTTAAATCAGTTAAGGGAATAAAGGAAAATAAATATACAATCATATTATCTCCCATAATTATCTGTATAATTACCATTATTCATAGGCTTTTTCATGTGGATTTGAGTTATTGTCACTTGCTTTCAGCCCAGTTACCTTTAGTATTTCCTTTAAAGCAGGTCTTCTACCAATAAATTCTATCAGCTTTTTTTTTTTATCTGTGAATGTCTTTATTTTGCTTTCATTTATAGTTTTGCTAGATATAAGATTCTTGCTTGGCAGTTTTTTTTCCTTTCAGCATTTTGACTGTCTCATCCCATTGTCTCTGGACCTCATTGTTTCTAATAAGTGAGATACTAATTTTATTGGGGTTCTTATCTAAATGATAAGTTCTTTTTCCTTTGCTGCTTTCATGATTTTATCTTTGACTTTTAACATTTTGACTTTGATTATGTCTAGATATATATCCCTTTTGTTTATCTTTTTTGGAGTATGTTGTGCTTCTTAGATGTGTGCATTAATGCTTTGCATCAGATTTGGCAAGTTTTCAGCTATTATTTCTTTGAATATTTTTCTCTGCTGCTTTTTCTCTCTCCTGTCTTTCTGGAACTCCTGTAATGTGTATGTTGTTGTGCTTAATGGTGCCCTATATTTCTCTGATGTTCTATTCATTTTTCTTCATTCTTTTAAAAATCTGTTCTTCTGATTGTGTAATCTTTGTTAATCTGTCTCTCCAAATTCAGTGATTCTTTTTTTCTGTCAGCTTAAACTTCCTGTTGAGGCCTCTGGTGAATTTTTCTTTTCAGTTATTATACTTTTGAATTCCAGAATTTCCATTTGATTTTTTTAAAACTTTCTGTTTATTAATATTCTCTATTTTATAAATTATCAACATATTTTTTCTTAATTCTTTAAACATGGCTTTCATCAGCTCTTTGAACATATTTATAATAGCTGTTTTAGAGTGTTTTTTTGCACATATAGGCCCTCTCAAAGCAGTTCCTGTGGCTGCTTTTTATCCTGTGTATGGGTCATACTTTAGTGTTTCTTTTCATGTCTGTCTTTCTCTCCTTCTCACTATCTCTCTCTCTTTTGAGACAGAATCTCACTCTGTTGCCCAGGCTGGAGTGCAGTGATGTGATCATAGCTCACTGCAGCCTCGAATTTTTGGGAACAGGTGATCCTCCTGCCTTAGCTGCCTGAGTGGTTGGGACAATAGGCATGCACCACCACACCCAGCTTTTTAAAAAATTATTTTTACTTGTATTTTTTGTAGAGATGGAATCTTGCTTGTGTCACCTAGGCTGGTTTAGAACTGCTGGCCTCAAGTTATCTTCCTGCCTTGGCCTCCCAAAGCACTGGGACAGGCATGAGCCACTACATCCGGCCAAAACTGGACATTTAAGATAATGTATTATAGCAACTCTGGATCCTGAGTCCCCCAACCCACATGCCCAACTTGGGTTGCTTCTTTGTTTGATAAGTTGTGAAGTCTATTTCCCTCACAGTGTGCAGTCTTGTGACCCTGTTTGCAAAATTTTTTTCTTGTTTTTATCTTTATCCTGGTTTCCAACAGAATACCCTTGGTTCAAGACCATTTAGTGGTCAATTACTGATTGGTTAGAGGTTGTGTTTAACCTTCCTGAATCAGAAAGATTTTTACATTTTACTGTTGGATCTGGTGTGGCTTATAGACTATGTTCATTCTTCAGGGAGTTTTGAGTTTGGCCTACATTTAGCCAGGGACCAGTAACTCAGAAGTTTCTTCTCTAGCATCTCCTCAAAGGACATTGCCTTGGATATACACAACATTCTTCTGGGCCACCAAGATGGACTATAGTTTTAGCCAGGCTCTCTTTGACTATCTATTCGCTAATCTCCTAAGCTTCTGAGTAGTCTGCCTCTATTATATCACAGCCATCTGTTACTCTTCACTCATTGCTAACTCTCTGTTCTTGGTGTTTTCTTTTCTTTTGAAGGGTAGCATACATTTGCAGGTGAGTAGTTTCATTAACCTATTTACTGTCTCTAAAATCTTGGCAGTTCTTCATTTCATTCTCTCTCTTTCAGTCTAAGATGCAGTGTTTCTGCAGACAGAGCATTTTCAAAAAACCTTGTGAGTTTACCGTGTGTCACAGGGATTCATGCCATTAGACAACAGGGTCTTTCATAGATCAGGGATTCATGCCACTAGACAACAGGATCTTTCACAGATATTTCCACAGGCCCACCTATATTTCTGGCTTCTGCTAAGATGGTTGAATGGGTCCATGAGTCACATTCCTACTCTCTTCAGCATTAACAAAGGTTTTCCAGCTATGCCCTTGGCCTTCTCTACAAAGCACACTTTTCTTACAGGAATCTCCAACTTTTACCATCTTTTCCAATCTTGATGGACAGAATTTCCCAAATCATCAAGTTCTGGTTCCTTTTTGCCTAACAGTTCTTTCTTCAATTTATCTTTTTCTCCTCACATTTTACTATAATCCCCAAGAAGAAACCAGGTTGCACTCTCAGTGCTTAACTTGGAAATCACCTCAGCCAAACCTCTAAGTTTAGCATTTATAAGTTCTGCTTTCACACAACTTGCAGGACAAATCTAGGCTTTCTGGTACTGTATAGCAAGGAACGCCTTTCCTCCAGCTTCTAAAAACTTGTTCTATATTTCCTTCTGAGCCCTTGCAAATAATGCCTTTAATGCTCATTTTTTCACCAACATTGTGTTCATGATGATATATGCATTATCTAAGATGATACAGGTTCTCTCTAATATGCTCCTCCTAAGCCCTCCCTGGTAGGATCTTTAACATCCACATTTCTACCAGATGTCTGTTCAAGACAATCCAGGCTTTCCAGTTCCAAAGCCACGTCTACATTTTTAGGTATTTGTTACAATAGCACCCCACTTTCTGGTACCCAAATCTGTATAGGTTTCCTATGACAGCTATAACCCAGCACAAACTGGGTGGCTTAAAGCAACAGAAATTTATTCTCTCACAGCTCTACAGACTAGAAGTCCAAAATCAGAATCACTGGGCTAAAATCAAGATATCAGTGGGGCTTGACTCCCTCCAGAGGCTGTAGAGGATAATCTGTTACTTGCCTCTTTCAGCTTCCAGTGGCTGCCAGCCTTCCTTGATTTTGACTGCATCACTTCAACCTCTCCCTTGACTTTACCTCAGCTTTTCCTCTGTGTGTGCATGTGAAATCCTGCTCAGCCTCTTTCTTAAGGATGCTTGTGATGGTATTTAAGGCTCACTGAGATAATTGAAGATAAGCCACTAATCTCAAAATCCTTAACTTAATCATATTTGCAAAGGTCTTTTTTCCAAATAAAGTTGACATTTACAAGTTCTAGAGATGAAGACATGGATATCTTTTGGTGAGGGTGGATGAGGGGGCATTTTCAGCCTACCACGATAAGTGCGGAGGAACTTTGACTTTCCACTTAATACCTTTCTGTAATTTTTAACTTTTTTTGCAATGTGCAAATATTGCTTTTATGATTTTAAACATGAATTAACATTAATACACCAGAAGGACATGCACACATACATACACACACATCTCAGAGTACAAAGTGATTAAAAAGTAGTTTCAAAAGAGATGTGGTATACCCAAGACCACCTAGTTATTATCTCAAAAGAGAGATATATATCTTCTTTAAAAGCCTGGCACAGTGGCCAGGCACAGTGGCTCACACCTGTAATCTCAACACTTTGGGAGGCCGAGGTGAGTGGATCTCTTGAGGTTAGAAGTTCAAGACCAGCCTGGCCAACAAGGCGAAACCCCATCTCTACTAAAAATATAAAAATTAGCCAGGCGTGGTGATGCACACCTTTTCCCAGCTACCTGGGAGGCTGAGGCACAAGAATTGATTGAACCCGGGAGGCAGAGGTTGCAGTGAGCTAAGATCATGCCACTGCACTCCAGCCTGGGCAACAAGCAAGACTCTGTCTCAAAAAAAAAAAAGGCTGACATAATGTAAATTTGTGATAATCATTTTATTATAGGAAGATGAGGAAAGTGTACCTGCTGTGTCTGTGAATGGCACAAACTAGATAATATCAAAGGTAAGAGAGAAAGATTCAAACTACTTTAGTAGGCTAGGATGCTTTCTTATAAAAGGAAATATATATACGCTTTTAATTTTTAGGTACATACACTGGATAGAAATTTATATCCTTCCTCTCATTCCATACATTAACATGGAAATTTAGGCTTCTTTTAGTATAATGTTACTTAAAGCCTACTCACCATATCCTTCCTGCCCTACATTCATTCTTTTACTAAACAATACTTTTTAGTATTTACTTCACGTAAGATACTAAGATAGTCTCTGGGAATATGAAGACATATATCTGTAGTAAAAGCTTCGAAGCAACTTAAACATTCATTAATAGGGTACTGGTGAAATAAATTATAGTATGTTCACATAGTAAACTATTGCTTAGCTGCTGAAAAGAATGAGGAAGTGTAGTCTACACTGATATGGAACAGTTTCCAAGGACTTGTTAGGAGGGTGGAGGAAACAAGGCAAAATACAGAGTGTATATAATATATGACCATTTGTGTAAGAAAATATGTATACATACATATTATGTATATATACATACATACATACCTATTGGACTAGACTATTGCTGGAAAAATTCCAAATAAATTAACCACGGCTGACTCAGGAAAAAATAATAGAACAGGGGTAGAGGAGGGAAACTTATTTTGCATTGTATTTTTGTCTGAGCCTTCTGTATTTTGAACCATATTCATTAATTTCCTGTTGAAAAATAATAAATTATTTAAGAAAAAGATAGTCCCACCCTCAAGAAAGTTAGAGTACACTAGGAGAGACTGATATGAAAGAAATAAGTATAATATGGAGTATATTGGGCAGTAATATGTGTGTGAAAAGAAGGAGAAGTCGTTTTTCTCTGGGCAGCAGTGGATGGTGAGGCATTGGGGGAGCTCAGGGAGAGCTGTATAGAGGAGGTTGTTTGAGAAGTAGTAACAGTAGTAATAGATTGACCACTTTTTCACCAACAGTCTGAGGAGGAGCAGCGGCAGCACAGGTATAGACGGAAGACATAATTATCTCCTGGAACCTGTTAAAATTATATTTACTACTACAGAACCCAGTCCTAATTCTTGGTGTATTTGCTAACTTCATTTCACTAGCAGCTGAGCCACTGATGTTTCTACCTCAGCCTTTCTTGCCTCCTGCCTTTCTGCCTGCCTGCTTTCCCACCTTCCATCCCCCTTACCTCCTTCTCCCTTTCTTTTCTTCCCTCCTTCTTTCTTTTTCTCTTTCTCCCTTTCATTCTTCCTTTAGTCTTTTTTAATGATAAGAAACTCATGTATCAACAAATTAAAATTCAGTAGCAACTACATTAATTCTTTTTTTATTGGACAAGGATTTATAGATAAATCCAAACAGTATTTTCAAAAGAGATATTTGATGTTACTTAGAGTAGTCTGCTAGCACACATTCACAGTAATACACCCTCAATCTGGGTTCCCTTACATAAATAACCTTTTTCTAGGTGGCAGAGTTACTTCTTCTGAATGGAGCTGATCCATTATTTAGAAATGATGATGGAAAATGTGCTTTGGATGAGGCCAAGGATTTATGTATGAAGCGTCTCCTTGAGAGATATATCCCTAAACATCAAAAATGCCTTACATCAGGTAAGATTAAACTGCCCTGTAATAGCTATTTGTCACATCAGTGAAGTTACAGAAATTTAATTTAGAATTAAAGAAATTAAATTTATTTTTCTCATGAGTGTTGAGAAAATCCATCCAATAGTGTCTTTTCTTCATTCTGTTAATAAATCACACTGACTTGTTTGCAAATGCACATAGGACTCTAAAAGAAAAAAGAAAGGTAATACTTTTCTGCAGGTTGTACATTGCAAAGAGTTAAGAAACCTTTTATAAATTTGTTTCTTTTCCCCAAAATCCTTTGACTAAATAACATGATATGATCCCCTTTGGTTATATCCTTTTCAGTGAAAATGGCCAGGATTATTTATATTCATTCCCTAAGAATATTTTCTTATGGCTATACTTTTTCCCTCTCATCCACTGCTCTATTAAATTGAACAACAAAAGAACTTGATCTATAGTTTTCAATAAAAAATTATGTAAACATAATTTAAATACATGACATACTCTTTATACTCTCTAATACATTTGTTAGATTTTTTGGTAACAACTCTACATTCATCTGCTCAGGACTCTGCAATGGCTCTCCCTTTAATCTAGAAGAAAAGCCAGTATCCTTACAATAGCCTAGAAGTTCCTGTTATCAGCTGGCCACCCTACTGGTTAACCCCTTTTACCAGTACTTTCTACCACCATTACTCAACTTCAGTCATGCTGGCCTCCTTGCTTTTCCTCAGATATGCCTCCCCAAGTCTTAGTTCAAATGTCACCTTCTCAACGAGGCCTAGACCACCCTACTTAATACTGCAACTGCCCCCTTCTTACCTTCACTATATTAGTTATCTATCAGTATGTAACAACGAATCCTAATACTTAGCAGCTTAAAACAACAAACATGTTTTATCTCACACAGCTTCAGAGGGTCAGGATTCTGGGAGCAGTTTAACTGAGTGGTTCTAGATGAGAGTCACAGGTTGTAGTCATCTCAAGTTGCAACTAGGACAGGAAGATCCACTTTCAAATTCACAAATGATTGTTGGCAAAACTCAGATCATTGCTGGTTGTTGGCTGAAGGCTTTAGCTACTTGCCACATTAGCTTCTCCATAAGGCTGCTGACAACCTGGCAGCTATCTCAGAGCAGGTGACCTAAGAGGAAGAGAATGTACCTTAGACAAAAGCCAGTCTTTTCATAACCTAATCTTAAAAGTGATATGTCATCACTTTTGCCATATTCTGTTTGTTAGAAGTGAGTCACTGAGTCTGGCCCACACTCAAAGGTAGCAGAATTAAGCTCCACCTCTTAATATACATGGATATATTAAAAATATATCCATAGATTCACAAAAATCTATGCATATATTTTTAGAATCATTATACTCACTCTATTCCCTCTAACCCTGCTCTGCTTAGACATTCCCCATAGCACTTATTACCTAACACATTAGACAGTTGACTTATTTTTTATTTTCTGTCTTTTTCCTCCAGAATCTAAGCTCCATGAAGGAAAAGATCTTTGTTTTGTCTACTGATTAATATTAAAGTGACTTGTACGTAGTAGGCATTCAGCAAATATTTATTGAATAAATATTGTCAGTCCTCTGAAACAAAAACAAAAACAAATTCTTTCCATTCAAGAGATCCATATGTGCTTCATTCCCATTTATTAAACTGTATTTTAATGAAAAAAAATCCCCAACAGATATTTTCTCCCAAAGGCTTTTATATATTATTACCTTTAACAACAAAGGCTTCCACCTTTGCAGTTCCCCCTTTGTGTGCAGGAAAGTTTAATCTGAAAATCCTTCTCACCATGAAGTGAGTGGGCCTCCCTACATGTCCTGTAGTTCTCCCTTAATAGAACAAAACTTAGGCTGGCGGTGGAAACCTATCCTCTGCTAAAGCTCTGTGTCTTCCTGGGGACAAATAATACAGCTGTGGCTGTTGTCACTTCTTTGATACAAATATAAATTCAAAGTTCTTTGGTGGCAAGTAATCAACTTAAGGCTGAAAAGGGAGTTTCTTGACAGAACAACTCAAGAATTGAAGGAAAAGCTGAAGATCCAGACCTTGGAAAGGTCAAGAATAAAAGCAGCTCCAGGGATCTAGGCAGCAGGAACCAATGGTATCTCTCTTCAGAGAGCTGCCTATGAGGTTATGTGCTGGGCAGGCAAAACAACAGATGCTCTCTAACCCACCTCCACTGGAATTTATTTTCTATGAAGAGTCATTCATTCATTCATTCATTGTATCAGGGTTGCTATGTATCAAACACTAAATAGTGCCAAAGCCTGATAATACAAGATGAATAAGAAACAGGGATAGCCAGCAATTACGATGAAGAATGTGACAAAAGAATGCTCAGGCCCTATGAGAGTACATAAAAAAGACACATAACCCAGGCTCCTTCATGTCCAGGAGGATAACAGGACAGATATTACATATCTATCTTGGTTAATGATTAAGTGTCAACACAAACCCTTTGATAAGTCTATTAGAAAAGATCTTTTCCCGATCTAAATGGTTTTAAATGAAATTTAAAGTACATCTCTGTATTAGTTTGTTCTCATGCTGCTAATAGACATACCTGAGACTGGGTAACTTATAAAGGAAAGAGATTTAATTGACTCACAGTTCTGCAGGACTAGGGAGGCCTAAGGAAACTTACAATCATGGTGGAAGTGAAACAAACACGTCCTTCTTCACATGGCAGCAGCAAGGAGAAGTGCAGGGGAACAGCCCTTTATAAAACCATCAGATATTGTGAGACTTATTCACTATCAGGAGAACAGCATGAGAAAAACCTGCCCCCATGATTCAATTACCTCCCGCTGGGTTCCTCCCATGACACATGGGGATTATGGGAGATACAATTCAAGATAAGATTTGGAAGGGGACACAGCCAAACCATATCAATCTCCTTCCCAGCTGGGTTCTATTTAATATAAAACAGTTCTTCCAATTATTGTTAGGTGTGTCTGTTATTGAAAATTAGGTACAGTTGAGCAATCTAACAACCAGTCGTGAGAGTAGTTTTTCTTTAGGGTTAGTGGATCTATTTTATTATTTTATGGATACTTATTTTATAAATCATATACTTGATCAAGAAATGCAGTTGTCTGAATGCTATTGACAAGAACTAAGTCCTGGATCAAAATATTCTACTTTTATAGTAAAGAGAAAACTTCATTGATAATTGAAGGCTACCAGGAGGTAATTAATTAATGGTTCATTAGAGCAAAAAACTTCCTTCCAAGTAGCCAAATTGCATGAGAAGTGAGACAGACAGTAACTTGTTGAAGCCAGGTCTATACAAGCACATTAAGATAAATTATTAAAACAATCGTATTAACATTTTAAACTATATGGAAAATTGCAAATAAAATTCAGTTGGAGGCAAAAGTATATTTTTAAATTATTGCTTTGATAATCTGCTTAACTGCTTGACTTCTCTATTTTAAATAATTACAACATGCATTGTTTTGCTCTTCTGGGAATGCTTCCTACAGCATTCTAGTCTTTTCTCCAAATCCAGAATACCCTCTTCACCAGTGCCCACTTTAATCTATTCCTACCCAATGAAATTTCTTTCATGTAAAGGAATCCCAAACATTTCTCCATAGGACTAAGCTCCCACTCTTCCTTTGTGAGAGAATTTACTAAGATGGGTTGTGTTATCATGCTTCACCAGATGGTTTGAATATTTCTTAAGTTTAAACTTTCAAATTCCATGATTAATTATCAGCCTACTTTTCAATATGAATGCAAAATTAGGTTACTTAAGTAAAGAATATTTGTATGTAAATAGAGAATATTATTTCACTTAAATAAATAAAAACAGAGTATTCATTTTTAAGTTCCAGATGAAGAACTTTCAAGTATGGGAATGATGAATAAAGAACTTTCCTCATATAAAATATATTTGCTGCTTTTCTAGCTTAAAGTAAAATATATCTACTTTGATGTAGGACAAGGGTTCAGTCCTAACTTTATAGCCTCATAGGCTATAAAGCTTATAGGGTAAATTAACATTCCTAATTTTCTTATCTGTAAACTTGGGTTTATAATATCTCTGCATCTACCTGTATACCTATGGGATTGTTAATGTGAGGACTGAAGTTAATATATGTAAATATCTCAACACAGTACCCGGTACATTATGGGAACTCAGAGTGGCAGAGGGAAAATAATATAGCTATATCACTAAATATCACCACCTCAGAATTTATACCTGGGTATTAAGTTGGTTGTATTAGGGAATGTAAAGTCTTAAAACTCAGAGAAAATAAAGCCCTGTTCTTCCTTCCAGATTCTCTTAGGAACCATGTCCCTTGCAGGGTGGTTTCTGGAAAATACGATTTTTCTACTCTTTTATTTAAGATCAAAGGTTTGGAGAAGGTATAGTGTCCTTTTGCTCTTAGAAAATAATAATAACAATAATAATGGAGCACTTTCTCTATACCTAGGATTCATGTAAACACTTTACATGGATTATATAATTCAATCTTCACCATTCTGTGAGGTTGAAACTATTATTAGCTTTCATTTATGGGCATTTTATGGAGGCAGAGACATTAAGAAATTTGCTCAAGGTCAGCCAGCTGCTAAGCAGATGAGAATCAAGACTGAAACTCTGGATTGAGTCCCCAGAGACGGTGCTCCAAAGGAATAGCACCTTTTTGCTTGGTAAAAGGACATTATGTTTGACTTTTTCACCTGTATAATGTGAATGAATCAATGTCATACTTCATTATGCAGCTCATAATTTGATTGCTATCATGAAAGTTATCCCCAAGAAATAAATTAAATTGCTCTGTTTTTGAATTACATCCTCATTAAAATATTTTACATTTCTAGCTTATATTTAGGGAAATTTGTGTTATGTATCACATACAAGATGTTCATTCATTTATTCCTTCCTCTGTCAAATATTCTTTGAATATTTCCTGTGTGTAAGCCATTGTTCCTAGGTTTTTATCTTTTGTAGCCAAATGCATATATAGTTAACTTTAATGCTACTTTTATTACATAAAGGAGGCTATGAAGAGACACTAAAATACATTCCTTTTATTATCAACTCAGGCTTTTTAAAAATAATCTTTTTCCCCCTGTGCATTCACAAGACGGTTGGCCTTTTCCATCTGTGTATGTTTTACTTTAAAGAGAATGCAGCATTCAATTAGGACCTTATTAAGCAGGCATATTAGGAGATGATAATCTAATTAATTATAAAATAATTTTTCACCTTATAAAAGTAGCTTGCACACAGTTACATAATCTATTGAATAAAAAGGTCATATCTGGATATATCTGTGGGGAAAATAAATACTGAGTTTAGTGCCAATCTTTAGTATTAGTTATTCTGTTAGATCTGCTCTGCTTTCCCTATAGAAATATTTTAGCTCTCTTAAGATAGTATTTGATTTCTAATATGGAACTTATAGGAATGTTGTATGTGCCAATTTTAATATAAAATGTTTGCATAATTTCACTTATTCCACTTGGTTTTCTCGTGGCAAAGGACTGGTGGGTTTTAGAAGTCTAAAGTCTAAACACTAGAAGCTGTTTTCATTGATTTTCTCTTTTTGTTTACAGCTCAAAGGAGTAGCATTGACCCACTAGACATAGAGGATGTGTACCAACACAAGGTATATCTATGTTTAGTAATAAACATTTTTATAGGGATGTAACTTCTGGTTGTTTCATAGATTGTCAAAGGGAAGAGAAAGACTGCTGAAGCTTTAGTAATAATGACTTCACATTTGCTTTTAAGACACTAGAATAATTGCATGAGAATCAGAGGGTTCTGGGCTGTTAGTTTATGGCATATCTGGGCACGCTAATATATTGGTAACCATTTCCTTCCTCCTCCTCTTTATGGAGCTTAAGGTTTATCAACTATGTCTAATTTCCTGTGGCCTAAGCATAGTACAGGAAAGAGTCAAAGGTATTAGCCCATCCCTTCAAACTTTACATCGTGGGCAGTTACTCTTCATCTAGTACTTGAGTTGTGTGAATGAGAGGAAGCTGTGTTCCTGTTTTAATCTTAGCAGCCCATAATAATTTTTTCATACAGACCAGTTGAAGAGTATATCTGTCTTCCTGTTTTTAAGTCAATTTTTCTGCTTCCATCCCATAGTTCTCCCAGATACTAGAAGAAGAAACCCCTAATTCTAGCTCCACCTATATAACAATTGGGAGAGGAGAGTGTTTCTAAAGCATTTGTGTAAAGCTTCTTGTAAAGTTTATAGAGTCTGACTACTGGAATCTGCTTTCTTTGATTTTCTCTTGCTGTTTACAGCTCAAAGGAATAGCACCCATCCACTAGACACAAAAGATGTACACCAACACAGAGTTTCCTTGTAAAGGAAACTTTGATCTGATTAATTTAAAAGCATATAAAAATTAAGTAGATTAAAATTTATTATGTTTAATAAGATTAGTAGTGCTACAATACTGGCAAGAAGGAATTAAAATCTACAGTAGAAAGTAAAGATTAGTATACATACTGAGTCTAAATCTATTACATTTGCCTTTCTTCTATTAGTCTGCATTTCTGAAATATCAGGTTGGCTATATCCCAGCAGGATCTGTGGTTAGATTGAATTAGAAAATAATAGTTTGAATCAAATAATAGTTGATTTATCAATAATCCAGATTGAATTGATATAGTACTACCGCTGAAAATTAAAGCTAACTATGTATTTTTTTTCTATAGAAACCAAAGTTCAGTTCTAAAAGTCACATTTGGCATGTTTATAATGAAAATTCCAACAGACAGAAGCTGGAACATGTAAAAGTCAATAAAGGAAGCAAAGCGAGTTTATTTATAAATAAAGAAGATGTATATGAATATTACCAAAAAGATCCCAAAAACACAAAATTTGGTAAATCCAAGCATAAACAATCAACTCTTGACCAGATATACTCTACAGGACTCAGAAAGGGCAATCTCCATAACGTCAAAGATCCCAACACAAACGTACCAAAAGGTATAGGAAGAAGAAAAACACAACATAAAAGGACCCAAGTAGATGATGTAGACTGTAATCCAAGAAAGATACTAGCTGTCTCTCCTTCCAGGAGAATAAACAGATTGGTTACCTATCAGCAGCATATTCCAGAAACTCATAATGACCTTCCAGAAGAATTGTGTGAACCTTCCAGCTTAACTCTGTCAAGCCTGAGAAATGGATTAGATAGCAGTACTGAGGCTTGTTCAGTTTCCAAAGAGAAACACATCCAGAACCTGGATTTATCAGATAGTCAAGAAGTTCAATGCTTGGAATTAGAATCTGTTGACCAAACTGAAGCTGTTTCTTTCCCAGGGCTTTTATTACATAAAGAAATCAAGTTACCAGTTGTTACTACAGATAAGCAGCCTCACACTCTCCAGGAACAACACCATGTACTTTATAAATCTCATGAAAACAGTAACTTGGTCCCAAAAGATGAGAGATTTAACAAATGGGAAAATTCTTTCCTATCCTTTGTAAAGGAAAATTCTGATAATGATGATGATGATGATTGCTCTACCTCTGAGAAGGCTATAACATCTAAAAAGGTGTTGTGTTCTACAGGTGGCAAAAAACACTATAATTTTAAGGAGAATTTAACAAATAAAAAAGAAATGGGTTTCCAACAGTTTTTACTTTCTGAAGATCATCTTTCACAGGAAAATGAGTTAAAAGCAGTCAGCCTAACCACACTTCCAGAACAGGAAGCTGTTAATTTTTCTTATTCAGATAATGCAGTTATTTCTGAACATGTTGCAAATTATGAACAATGCATATTTGGACCTTCTTTTGATCACTCAAATGGCAATCCTGAGCAAAATTCCCTGGCTTGTATGAGAACACTTTTGACACATGAGGCTTCAAAGTTGACTAATCATGTGGAGCTATTCAAAAAGCCACAGGATTATATTCCCAGAGCACCAACTTTTTTAATGAATCAAACAGATACACATATTGTGGAAAAGATGGCAAAGAATTGTGACACTGAGAGGAATTACATTGACAGAGACCAAAAAATAATTTATTCAAATGAGCCTTTATCCATAGTTGCTCATTCTCAAGTAATAGAAACAACTAAAGTTGAAAAAAGGAGACAAAACCATCTAGAAAGTGAGACTATACACAATATAGATTCTCATTCCACTGACAATATGAGTAAAGAATTGGCCAACATCTCAAAACTTAGTCAAAGAGAAAAGAAGGAAATTTCTCACAAACCAGGTATTAGTAATATTGCTTAATCTGTACATATTTCCTATAGATTTACTTATTTTTATAGAAATTTCCAACTGAATTGTATTCAAACGATGGCCAAACTGAGAAGAATGAGGACATGTGGGCCATATTTTGAGATGCCACTAAACCTAGTAGTTAAGTAACAGTGATTACTTCGAAAGTCAAAACGATGTTATCAAAGACGGTTGCTAAGCTGATATTGACTGATGGTAATAAACAGTAGTTTTTTTTATAATTATTATTATACTTTAAGTTCTGGGATACATGTGTAGAACGTGCAGATTTGTTACATAGGTATATATGTGCCATGGTGGTTTGCTGCACCCATCAACCCATCATCTACCTTAGGTATTTCTTCTAATGCTATCCCACCAGTAGCCCCCCCACCCCATGACAGGCCCTGGTGTGTGATGTTCCCCTCACCATGTGTTCTCATTGTTCAATTCCCACTTATGAGTGAGAACATGTGGTGTCTGGTTTTCTGTTCCTGTGTTAGCTTGCTGAGAATGATGGTTTCCAGCTTCATTCATGTCCCTGAAAAGGACATGAACTCATCCCTTTTTATGGCTGCATAGTATTCCATGGTGTATATGTGCCACTTTTTTTTATCCAGTCTATCATTGATGGGCATTTGAGTTGGTTTCAGGTCTTTGGTATTGTGAACAGTGCCACAATAAACATACATGTACATGTGTCTTTATAGTAGAATGATTTATAAGCCTTTGGGTATATACCCAGTAATGGGATGGCTGCGTCAAATGGTATTTCTGGTTCTAGATCCTTGAGGAATCACTGTACTGTCTTCCATAATGGTTGAACTAATTTACACTCCCACCAACAGTGTAAAAGCATTCCTATTTCTCCACATCCTCTCTAGCATCTGTTGTTTCATGACTTTTTAATGATCGCCATTCTAACTGGCGTGAGATGGTGTCTCATTGTGGCTTTGATTTGCATTTCTCTAATGACCAGTGATGATGAGCTTTTTTTCATGTTTTTTGGCCACATAAATGTCTTCTTTTGAGAAGTGTCTGTTCATATCATTTGCCCACTTTTTGATGGGGTTATTTGTTTTTTTCTTGTAAATTTGTTCCTTGTAAATTCTGGATATTAGCCCTTTGTCAGATGGATAGATCGCAAAAATTTTCTTCCATTCAGTAGGTTGCCTGTTCACTCTGATGATAGTTTCTTTTGCTGTGCAGAAGCTCTTTAGTTTAATTAGATCCCATTTATCAATTTTGGCTTTTGTTGCCATTGCTTTTGGTGTTTTAGTCATGAAGTCTTTGCCCATGCCTATGTCCTGAATGGTATTGCCTAGGTTTTCTTCTAGGGTTTTTATGGTTTTAGGTCTTATGTTTAAGTCTTTAATCCATCTTGAGTTAATTTTTGTCCCCTGAGGGTAAGGAAGGGTTCCAGTTTCAGTTTTCTGCATATGGCTAGCCTGTTTTCCCAACACCATTTATTAAATAGGGAATCCTTTCCCCATTGATTGAATAAACAGTATTTCTATCACTCTTTCTGTTGCTTTTTAATATAGTATTTATTGAGCATCAGGAAACCTAACAACATTTTGATAGCAGGAAATTGTTAGGTCTATTCATTTCAACTATCTACTATATTCCCATCAGAGCTGCAACCAGCAAACTTTTTGTCTGTTACATAAAAACATTTTTAAAAGCTTCCATTTTCTTAAACAGTCCAGTGTGGAACAGAAACTTTAAAAAATTAGAAATTTTATTTTCTAATTGTATAACCAGGTAGGAGAACAACAACACTGATATTGTAAAATGTTTGTTTCAGATGAGGAATTAACTAATAACATCAGTGGAGATGAAATAACTATAAGAAATTGTGAGGAGATAAAAGAAAAAACGGAGTCAGAAATTCACATGCCTACTAATAGCCAAGAACACAAAACAGTTCAGAATTTCAGAAAAAGACAAAGTTTCTTAAAAACTACCTGCAACCTAGGTTTGTATTCCTATAATTGTATAGGTTAAAGTTTACAAAATCAAGCCCAGCAATTCACTCTACTTCAAGGAATTTCTAAACTTTCAGATATATTGTTTCTTTTTGTAGTTATTCACTGACTTATATGACTATTTCAGCAATATTTGTTGTTAAGGCATCACTTGATAATCCAATAATCTTTAAATATATTCATGTCATACTTCTTTCTATGACTTCTAGTTTATTATATTAGAGGAGATAAGGTAAACTGCAGACACAGCAAGAATATTCAGTGGGGACAGCAGGCGTGAAATGTATCAGATTCTTTAGATACTTCCATTCAGCCCTTTTAACATAAGGGAAATTAAAGAAACATAGCCATTAGTTTGTTTTGTGTCAGATGAGTGAACTATGTGTGTTTCACAGTACGGACAAGCTAAGCATCCTTTGATAGTTCTTGGAGATAGTTCTGTCATAAACAATAGGCTGGACCACTTCAGGTTAAACATTATTCACTGAATGTTGATTTACATACTGTCTGTTAAGAGGTAGGAAGGACACTGAATTAGGCATTCTCTATGAATATTCTTTCATTTTCCCCCTCTCATGTAAACTGAAATCCTTCTTATACATACCTCCTATAGTGGGTTGAATGCTGGCCCCCCAAAACATGCCCTGTCCTAATCCCTGTAGTTTGTGACTATTACCTTATATAGTAAAAGCATGCCTATTACCTTCTTTGCATATGTAATCAAGTTAAGAACCCTAAGATAAGGAGACCATCCTGGATTATCCAGGTGGGCCCTAAATCTAATTACTGTGTCCTTATGAGACAAACACAGGGAGATTTGAAACACACAGAAGAAATGATGAGATGAAGGCAAAGGAGCAATGTAGCCACAGCCAAGGAAGCCAAGCAATGCTGACAGCCATCAGAAGCTAGAAGAGGCACAGAAATATTCTCTCCTAGAGCTTCCAGAGGGAGTACAGCCCCGTTGACACTTTGATATTGATTTCTGGTTTCCAAACTATGAGAGAATACATTCTGTTGTTTTAAGTCACCCAGTTTGTGGTAATTTGTTACAGCTACCACAGGAAACTTCACACCTCTCTAGCAGCACTTAATCATATTTAAATGTAATTTTTAACATGTCTATTATTCCACCAGACTGTAAGCCACTTGAGCAGAGAATTGAACTGCTCCAGAGGTAAGAATTTTAGATAGTGACATCTGGGATTCCCTAAAACAATGGCAGGCTTACCTCCTGCTGATCACCCAACAGTGAATTCAACTATGCCCAAGTTCTGCCACATTCCCCTCACCCTCCACAGATTTCCAATTAGGATTTTAGTTTTCCTCACTAAAATATGAATGAACAGATAGTCAAGAATCGACAAGTATTTGCAGAAAACACCAATATGAAAGATATCAAAGTAAACTAAGCAGACCAAAGGAACCCAGAAGAAACAGAAACTATACAAGAATCAAGAAGCATCTAATATTTTTTCCAAAAAGGTATAGAAAAGAGGGAACAATAAGAGAACAATACAGAGCTTTTAGTTGTTGAAAACAGAAATTTAAATAAATAGATAATATATAGATATGTGCAGCAGGGTTACAAGGCAAAGCTTTACAAGTCTACTAAGGACAAAAAAAGAAAAAGCTGAAAATAGGAGAGAAAAGATAAGAACATTAAAGATCACTCCAGGAAATCCAGGGAGAATAGCGAGTGAACAGTAGAAGAAATCATTAAAGAAAGAATACAAGAAATGAGATAGGCATTTCCATATTGAAAGTACCACTTAGTGTCTAGTACAGTGAACAAGACACCTCACTGAAATTTTAGAACAGGAATAAAGAGAAGATCCTGAAAGCTTCCGAGAAGAAAAAACTGGTCACATAATGGAGAGAAATCTAAGTATTTAATAGCATTATACTTATTAATAGTAACATCAGATTCCAAACTACAGTGGAGTTTTTGAAGAGGTTTAGGATGAGTACTATTTGTTTCCTTTTGAATTTCTATCAGATTTTGTTATTTTATGTTTTTAGTCAAATGCTGTACAAACTTATGATGTTAGTAACATTGAGAAGTTTTTGAGTTTTTGCTCCAAAATGTATATTACATGGCTACCTTCTTTGCTACAAACACACCAGGAACAAGAATTTATACCATCCACAGTAAGAATTATTGGGAGAGTTTGTTGTTGTTGTTGTTTGAGACAGGGTCTTGTCTGTCACCCAGGCTACAGAGCAGTGGCACAATCACAGTTCACTGCAGCCTTGACCTCCCAGGCTCACATGATTCTCCCACCCCAGCATCCCTCAGTAACTGGGACTACATGCCACCACACCCCGCTAATTTTTTTTCTTTTCTTTTTTTGAAACGGAGTCTCGCTCTGTCACCCAGGCTGGAGTGCAGTGGCACGATCTCGACTCACTCACCCTGCTAATTTTTAAATTTTTTTAAGAAATGTCATCTCCCTATGTTGCCCAGGCTAGTCTCAAACTCCTGCTGCCTCAGCCTCCCAAAGTGCAAGGATTACAAGTGTGAGGCACTGTGCCCAGCTGGGAGAGATTTTTCTATTCAAACTTGCAGTCTGCAGGCCTGCAATCTGAGATATAATTTTCAAATATATTCTCTGTCTCTCATATGTATATATATACACACACACACACACACATAAGTTTTCAATTCTTCCAATAAAGAATTTTGGATTGCTAATCTCTAAAGAGCAATATGTTTTTGTCTGGGTGCCAGTGGAAGAGATATATGAGACTTATTCTTCCCTGTGATTCATATAACCCAAGAATCCATTTTTTAGAGAATGGTTCTCTAATCTTTTTATCTCTTGCCCTGAAACCATATGCATGGTTGATGACATTTAGGAAGTAGAGCAAGAAGATTGTCCCAAAGTTTAATGCAGTGATTCTCAAACCTTAGTTTGCATCAGAATTACCTGAAAAGCTTGTTAAAACACAGATTGCTGGGCCCTACCCTCAAAGAATCTGATTCAGTAGTTGTCTCTATTACACACTTATTGTCTCATACTTTCTGTAGGTCAGGAATCAGGCATGGCTTAGTTGGGACCTCTAACAGAATTGTTCGTAGGCAGCAAAGTGTTGGCCAGGACTGGGGTCTCATCTGAAGGCTCTACTAGGGAAGGATACACTTTCAAGCTCATGTGATTGTTGGCAGAATTCAATTTCTTGAGGATGGTTGGCTGAGGGCCTCAGTTCCTCACTGGTGATTGGCTGGTGGCCATCCTCAGTTTCTTGCTGGGTGGGCTTCTCCAACATGGCTACTTGCATCATCAAAACTTACAAGCTGAAGGCAATACAGCAAGTCTGCTAGCAGGACAGAAAATGTTACAATCTCTTTTAACTTAATCAGTTAAATGAAATACCCTCAATATGGAAATATTCTATTGGTTAGAAGCAAGCTATTCAAGAGAAGAAGAGTACACAAAGTCATAAATACCAGATGGTGAGGATCATTAGGAGCCATTTTAGTCTGTCCTCCAAAGTAAGTTTGGAGTGGACTGGGGAATTTGCATTTCTAACAAGTTTCCTCCATGGTGCCGATACCACTGATTTAACGAATATTTTCTGTTTCTTCACCCTATCCGTTTATTTTGCTTTGCATCTCAGTCTGAAGCTTCTCTAATGCAGTTCCTTCCTTCCTTCCTACCTTCCTTCCTTCCTTCCTTCCTTCCTTCCTTCCTTCCTTCCTTTCTTTCTCTCTCTCTCTTTCCTTCCTTCCTTCCTTCCTTCCTTCCTTCCTTCTTTCTTTCTTTTCTTTTCTTTTCTTTTTTTTGAGACGGAGTGTATCTCTGTTGCCCAGGCTGGAGTGCAGTGGTGCAGTCTTGGCTCAGGGCAACCTCCACCTTCCAGGTTCTAATGATTCTCCTCCCTCAGTCTCCAGAGTAGCTGTGATTACAGGCATCCACCACCATGCCCGGCTAAGTTTTGTATTTTTAGTAGAATGCTGGGATTACGGACATCAGCCACCGTGCCTGGCCCTGATGCAGTTTCTATAGAAAACAAACCTTCAGGTTCCTGGCTTTGGGTCGGAGATCTGGGATAAGAGAAGTGGTTGCTAGTCAGTTGAGGGTTGGGGAAGGAAACTTGGAGTCCCAACTTTTCTATGTAAAAGATCTTATATAAAAGATATTAACCAACTGCCCAGCGCCCACGCCCACTGTTCCACACACCTGCCTTCCATAGTGCCTCATTTCCCCAAGTGTGGAGTGCGTGAGTTCAGATTGGCTCTCTCTCTACAATTCCCTTTGCAGGCACTTGTGTTGGAGCATTCCCCATTCTGCCAAGTCAGTTCACTGTTCTCCATCATTGACTTTCTAATCCCCCCAAATGTGTTGAAGTCTTTGTCCTTTATTGTTTCCTCTTTCATTTTTTTAATATGGTACTTTAAAATTTCTTTTACTGTCATTTTAGCATGGTTTTGGCAGGAAATAGGGGGAAAACATGATCAGTTCATTACTTTTAGTTCCAACTTAAGTCTGTCTAACTTGTATTGCAAGGAAGAGATTTAAAAAACAAAATCTTTGGTTAATGATATTGTACAGCACATTTTGTGAAAGAAAAATGGAAAACCATAGGCCATAGTTTGTTACTTGGCACCTATGTGATCAGGAATACACCCATTGAGATACAGAATGGCTGTAGAAAGATGATTTTTTATAATATCTCAGTTATCTTGAGAAAAATATTATTCATTATTAAAGGACTACTGAGAATTAGATGAGTATAGATAGAACTGAAGCAAGTTAATTTGTTTTAATCAAGTGTTTGATAGAGTGATTAATCAACTGCTAGAATGAATACAAAGTAATGTGCTTAGATGCTTATTATTTCTTCAGAAATTATATATTAAAACAATAACAGCAATGATAACATTAATTGATATATGTTTCTGTGTAGTGTGGTATTTTGAGGAAGTTGTTATGTATTTTCTAAGATCCTTTATAACAATCAGCATTTGGCAGAAAATAAACCTCTTGTTTGGCAAATTTACAGGAATGAAAGCAGGTAGGATCAACAAGAGGAATGCCAGAGGGGAAAGCCAGCTTCATTTAGCTGTCAGAAGAGGAAATCTGCCCCTAGTGAAAGCCCTGATAGAATCTGGAGCAGATGTGAATCTAAATGATAATGCAGGTTTGGATCCTTTTAATTTAATTACCTTTATAATTTGAACTCACTGAAATACACATTTCAACACCTCCTGCCCCCTCCAATTTGTTCCTGGCTGATATGTAAGTGATAACTTTGAACAATCTTTTTTATATTATATTAGTGTTTAGTTGAATACTAAGATTTATCATTGTTAAAAGACCTTTTTCCTTTGAAACAGTTTTTAACATCCATTTGGGAGCATCAGAGAGGGTAGACAGAACGGGGAGTAAAGGGAGTTAGGCCTTTTCCTTGGAAGCCTCAAGTTTATCCTGTAACTTTGATGAGAATGCAGAATTTTCTCATTCTCCTATCCCTTCTTCTCTTTTCTCCTCCTTTTATACTGTTCCTTTTTCTCTCTTTATTTTTATTCTAAAACTATGAAAAATTTACCTAACATTTTGCTTAAGCACAAAAGAATCTTCTCTGAAGAATTCCACAGGGAAAAACTCAAAGGTTAATTAAACCAGGTGTCATTTTAAAGAGAAATGTGGCAATGCAAAGATACACATAGGAAAGTCAGACGTTTTAATATCTGAGTTGAAACAAATCAAAATGAGTAGTATTTACTCTCATTGTGTTTTGCATTCTGTGAGTCTTTTGCTTTGGCACTTATATCAACAAATATTTGTGATGAGACCAATTTGTTTCCAAAATTAAACATAAATTATAAGTCCATAGTTTTTTGTATTATTTCTTGTTCAATACTTAGTATATACATATGAATCAATATGGATATTGCATTAATGCAACAAAACCTTAGTAATACAGATATTACATGAGTATTGATTCGCATGAAGCAGGGTTTTTTTTTTTCTTTTTCTTTTTTTAGGTTGGACACCACTTCATGAGGCATCTAATGAAGGATCTATTGATATAATTGTAGAGTTATTAAAAGCTGGTGCTAAGGTTAATTGTGAAAATATAGATGGAATTCTGCCCTTACATGATGCTGTTGCAAACAATCATTTAAAGGTACAGTGCACATCACATTAAGATCTTACTACTTTTTCTTAGGAAATGAATGAAGAAAATGAAGATTTTTTAAACTGAGAACTAAAATGATTCAGTAAAACAAGTGATTTTTTTAAAACCTGCTTCAAATTACAAATGAAGATACAATAATATATATGGATTAGAAAATCTATGTATCCTAATGAATCATTTCTCCATTATTTCTTCATCACAAAATACATGCAAGTCAGAAGAGAGTAAAAGTAAACACAACCCATAAATCTAATACATTATATTTTTAATTGTCTAAGATAATTTGCTGTTGTGCACAGAAGAGTCTAATTATAGTGATGATATGTGTGACAGCTAGATTTTTTTAACTTAAAATTTCTCAGTGGGTTAGGGGTAAAAACAGGAATCATTTGTTTTCCGGGTGTTTGTTGCATCTTTTTCTCTTTTGTTTTTCTTTATCAAGCACCCGTTGTAAAAATATCACAAGAAAAGATTACGAGGATCATTATTTCAATGACACTGACTTTCAAATCTCGACCTTAAGATTCTTCAGATGTTTACACTCATCTTTCTGTTTGACAAAGCATAGGAGAAAACCCTTATTGTTATCCATAGACAATATAGACCAGTAATAATTTTTTCTATTGTTACTATTTGTTTTATAATAAAATATTTTTAATTAAAGTATCTACTTTTTTTATTATTATACTTTAAGTCCTAGGGTACATGTGCACAACGTGCATGTTTGTTACATAGGTATACATGTGCCATGTTGGTGTGCTGCACCCATCAACTCATCATTTACATTAGGTATATCTCCTAATGCTATCCCTCCCCCCTACCCCCACCCCATGACAGCCCTGGTGTGTGATGTTCCCCACCCTGTGTCCAAGTGTTCTCATTGATCAGTTCCCACCTAAGAGTGAGAACATGTGGTGTTTGGTTTTCTGTCCTTGTGATAATTTGCTCAGAATGATGGTTTCCAGATTCATCCATGTCCCTGCAAAGGACATGAACTCATCCTTTTTTATGGCTGCATAGTATTCCATGGTGTATATGTGCCACCTTTTCTTAATCCACTCTATCATTGATGGACATTTGGGTTGGTTCCAAGTCTTTGCTATTGTGAATAGTGCCACAATAAACGTACATGTGCATGTGTCTTTATAGCAGCATGATTTATAATCCTTTGGGCATATACCCAGTAATGGGATGGCTAGGTCAAATGGTATTTCTAGTTCTAGATCCTTGAGGAATCGCCACACTGTCTTCCACAATGGTTGAACTAGTTTACAGTCCCACCAATGGTGTAAAAGTGTTCCTATTTCTCCACACCCTCTCCAGCACCTGTTGTTTCCTGACTTTTTAATGATGGCCATTTTAACTGGTGTGAGATGGTAACTCATTGTGGTTTTGATTTTCATTTCTCTGATGGCCAGTGATGACGAGCTTTTTTTCATGTGTCTGTTGGCTGCATAAATGTCTTCTTTTGAGAAGTGTCTGTTCATATCCTTCACCCACTTTTTCATGGGGTTGTTTGATTTTTTCTTGTAAATTTGTTTAAGTTCTTTGTAGAGTCTGGATATTAGCCCTTTGTCAGATGGGTAGATTCTAAAAGTTTTCTCCCATTCTGTAGGTCACCTGTTCACTCTGATGGTAGTTTCTTTTGCTGTGCAGGAGCTCTTTAGTTTAATTAGATCCCATTTGTCAACTTTGGCTTTTGTTGCCATTGCTTTTGGTGATTTAGTCATGAAGTCCTTGCCCATGCCTATGTCCTGAATGGTATTGCCTAGGTTTTCTGCGGTTTTTATGGTTTTAGGTCTACATTTAAGTCTTTAATCCATCTTGAATTAATTTTTGTATAAGGTGTAAGGAAGGGATCCAGTTTCAGCTTTCTGCATATGGCTAGCCAGTTTTCCCAATACCATTTACTAAATAGGGAATCCTTTCCGCATTTCTTGTTTTTGTCAGGTTTGTCAAAGATCAGATCATTGTAGATGTGTGGTATTATTTCTGAGGGCTCTGTTCTGTTCCATTGGTCTATGTATCTGTTTTGGTGCCAGTACCATGCTGTTTTGGTTACTGTAGCCTTGTTGTATAGTTTGAAGGCAGGCAGCGTGATGCCTGCAGCTTTGTTCTTTTTGCTTAGGATTGTCTTGGCTATGCGGGCTCTTTTTTGGTTCCATATGAACTTTAAAGTAGTTTTTTCCAATTCTGTGAAGAAAGTCATTGGTAGCTTGATGGGGATGGCATTGAATCTATAAATTACCTTGGGCAGTATGGCCATTTTCACGATATTGATTCTTCCTATCCATGAGCATGGAATGTTCTTCCATTTGTTTGTGTCCTCTTTTATTTCGTTGAGCAGTGGTTTGTAGTTCTCCTTGAAGAGGCCCTTCACATCCCTTGTAAGTTGGATTCCTAGGTATTTTATTCTCTTGGAAGCAATTGTGAATGGGAGTTCACTCATGATTTGGCTCTCTGTTTGTCTGTTATTGGTGTATAGGAATGCCTGTGATTTTTGCACATTGATTTAGTATCCTGAGCCTTTGCTGAAGTTGCTTATCAGCTTAAGGAGATTTTGGGCTGAGACGATGGGTTTCCTAAATATACAATCATGTCATCTGCAAACAGGGACAATTTGACTTCCTCTTTTCCTAATTCAATACCCTTTATTTCTTTCTCCTACCTGATTGCCCTGGCCAGAACTTCCAAAAGTATGTTGAATAGGAGTGGTGAGAGAGGGCATCCCTGTCTTGTGCCAGTTTTCAAAGGGAATGCTTCCAGTTTTTGCCCATTCAGTATGATATTGGCTGTGGGTTTGTCATAAATAGCTCTTATTATTTTGAGATACGTCCCATCAATACCTAGTTTATTGAGAGTCTTTAGCATGAAGGCTGTTGACTTTTGTTGCAGGCCTTTTCTGCAACTGTTGAGATAATCATGGGGTTTTTGTCTTTGGTTCTGTTCATATGATTGATTACGTTTATTGATTTGCATATGTTGAACCAGCCTTGTATCCCAGGGATGAAGCCCACTTGATCACGGTGGATAAGCTTTTTGATGTGCTACTGGATTCGGTTTGCCAGTATTTTACTGAGGATTTTGCATTGGTGTTCATCAGGGATATTGGTCCAAAATTCTCTTTTTTTGTTGTGTAGAGACACAACAGGCTTTGGTATCAGGATGATGCTGGCCTCATCAAATGAGTTAGGGAGGATTCCCTCTTTTTCTATTGATTGGAATAGTTTCAGAAGGAATGGTACCAGCTCCTCTTCGTACCTCTGGTAGAATTTAGCTGTGAATCCGTCTGGTCCTGGACTTTTTTTGGTTGGTAGGCTATTAATTATTGCCTCAATTTCAGAGCCTGTTATTGGTCCATTCAGGGATTCAACTTCTTCCTGGTTTAGTCTTGGGAGGGTGTATGTGTCGAGGAATTTATCCATTTCTTCTAGATTTTCTTATTTATTTGCGTATAGGTGTTTATAGTATTCTCTGATGGTAGTTTGTATTTCTGTGGAATCGGTGGTGATATCACCTTTATCATTTTTATTGTGTCTATTTGATTCTTCTCTCTTTTCTTCTTTATTAGTTTTCCTAGTGGTATATCAATTTTGTTGATGCTTTCAAAAAACCAGCTCCTGGATTCATTAATATTTTGAAGGGTTTTTTGTGTCTCTATCTCCTTCAGTTCTTCTCTGATCTTAGTTATTTCTTGTCTTCTGCTAGCTTTTGAATGTGTTTGCTCTTGCTTCTCTAGTTCTTTTAATTGTGATGTTAGGGTGTCTATTTTGATCTTTCCAGCTTTCTCTTGTGGGCATTTAGTGCTATAAATTTCCCTCTACACACTGCTTTAAATGTGTCCCCGAGATTCTGGTATGTAGTGTGTCTGTTCTCGTTGGTTTCCAAGAACTTCCTTATTTCTGCCTTCATTTCGTTATGTACCCAGTAGTCATTCAGGAGCAGGTTGTTCAGTTTCCATGTATTTGAGCGGTTTTGAGTGAGTTTCTTAATCCTGAGTTCTAGTTTGATTGCACTGTGGTCTGAGAGACAGTTTGTTATAATTTCCGTTCTTTTATATTTGCTGAGGAGTGCTTTACTTCCAACTATGTGGTCAATTTTGGAATAGGTGTGGTGTGGTGCTGAAAAGAATGTATATTCTGTTGATTTGGGGTGGAGAGTTCTGTAGATGTCTATTAGGTCCCCTTGATGCAGAGCTGAGTTCAATTCCTGGATATCCTTGTTAACTTTCTGTCTCGTTGATCTGTCTAATGTTGACAGTGGGGTGTTAAAGTCTGCCATTATTATTGTGTGGGAGTCTAAGTCTCTTTGTAGTACACTAAGGAGTTGCTTTATGAATCTGGGTGCTCCTGTATTGGGTGCATATATATATTTATGATAGTTAGCTCTTCTTGTTGAATTGATCCCTTTACCATTATGTAATGGCCTTCTTTGTCTCTTTTGGTCTTTGTTGGTTTAAAGTCTGTTTTAGCAGAGACTAGAATTGCAATACTTGTTTTTTTTTTTGTTTTCCATTTGCTTGGTAGATCTTCCTCCATCCTTTTATTTTGAGCCTATGTGTGTCTCTGCACGTGAGATGGGTCTCTTGAATAGAGCACACTGATAGGTCTTGACTCTATCCAATTTGCCAATCTGTGTCTTTTAATTGGAGCAGTTAGCTCATTTACATTTAAGGTTAATATAGTTATGTGTGAATTTGATCCTGTCATTATGGTGTTAGCTGGTTATTTTGCTCGTTAGTTGATGCAGTTTCTTCCTAGCATCGACGGTCTTTACAATTTGGCATGTTTTTGCAGTGGCTGGTACCGGTTGTTCCTTTGCATGTTTAGTGCTTCCTTCAGGAGCTCTTGTAAGGCAGGCCTGATGGTGACAAAATCTCTCAGCATTTGCTTGTCTGTGAAGGATTTTATTTCTCCTTTACTTAGGAAGCTTAGTTTGGCTGGATATGAAATTCTGGGTTGAATATTTTTTTAAGAATGTTGAATATTGGCCCCCACTCTCTTCTGGCTTGTAGAGTTTCTGCCAAGAGATCCACTGTTAGTCTGATGGGCTTCCCTTTGTGGGTAACTCGACCTTTCTCTCTGGCTGCCCTTAACATTTTTTCCTTCATTTCAACTTTGGTGAATCTGACAATGATGTGTCTTGGAGTTGCTCTTCTTGAGGAGTATCTTTGTGGCGTTCTCTGTATTTCCTGAATTTGAATGTTGGCCTGCCTTGCTAGATTGGGGAAGTTCTCCTGGATAATATCCTGCAGAGTGTTTTCCAACTTGGTTCCATTCTCCCGTCACTTTCAGGTACACCGATCAGATGTATATTTGGTCTTTTCACATAGTCCCATATTTCCTGGGGGCTTTGTTCATTTCTTTTTACTCTTTTTTCTCTAAACTTCTCTTCTCGCTTCAGTTCATTCATTTGATCTTCAATCACTGATACCCTTTTTCCAGTTGATCGAATGGGCTACTGAAGCTTGTGCATGCGTCACATAATTCTCGTGCCATGGTTTTCAGCTCCATCAGGTTATTTAAGGTCTTCTCTATGCTGTTTATTCTAGTTAGCCATTCGTCTAATCTTCTTTCAAGGTTTTTAGGTTCTTTGCGATGAGTTTGAGCATCCTCCTTTAGCTCAGAGAAGTTTGTTCTTACCGATCGTCTGAAGCCTTCTTCCCTCAACTCGTCAAAGTCATTCTCTGTCCATCTTTGCTCCATTGCTGGCGAGGAGCTGCGTTCCTTTGGAGGAGAAGAGGCGCTCTGATTTTTAGAATTTTCAGCTTTTCTGCTCTGGTTTCTCCCCATCTTTGTGGTTTTATCTACCTTTGGTCTTTGATGATGGTGACATGCAGATGGGGTTTTGGTGTGGATGTCCTTGCTGTTTGTTAGTTTTCCTTCTAACAGTCAGGACCCTCAGCTGCAGGCCTGTTGGGAGTTGCTGGAGTTCCACTCCAGACCCTGTTTGCCTGGGTATCACCAGCGGAGGCTGCAGAACAGCCAATATTGGAGAACGGCAAATGTTGCTGCCTGATCCTTCCTCTGGAAGCTTTGTCTCAGAGGGACACCTGGCAGTATGAGGTGTCAGTCGGCCCCTAATGGGAGGTGCCTCCTAGTTATGCTACTTGGGGGTCACAGACCCACTTGAGGAGGCAGTCTGTCCGTTCTCAGATCTCAAACTCCATGCTGGGAGAACCACTACTCTCTTCAAAGCTGTCAGACAGGGACGTTTAAGTCTGCCGAAGTTTCTGCCATTGTTTGTTCAGCTATGCCTTGCCCCCAGAGGTGGAGTCTACAGAGGCAGGCAGCCTTCCTTGAGCTGTGGTGGGCTCCACCAATTTTGAGCCTCCCCGCTGCTTTGTTTACCTTCTCAAGCCTCAGCAATGGTGGACGCCCCTCCCCCAGCCTCGCTGCCACCTTGCAGTTTGATCTCAGACTGCTGTGCTAGCAGTGAGTGAGGCTCTGTGGGCGTGGGACCCTCTGACCCATGCACAGGATATAATCTCCTGGTGTGCTGTTTGCTAATGAGAGGTGATAACGTGCTAGCAACCCTCGCTCGCTCTCGGTGCCTCCTCGGCCTCGGCATCCACTCTTGCCACGCTCCAGGGGCCCTTCAGCCTGCCGTTGCACTGTGGGGGCCCCTTTCTGGGGTTGGCAGAGCATGGAGCCCACTCCCTCTTCTCATGGGGAGGTGTGGAGGGAGAGGCACAGGTCGGAGCTGGGGCTGCGTGTGGTGCTCACGGGCCGGTGCTGGTTCTGGGTGGGTGTGGGCTCGGTGGACCCTGCACTTGGCACAGCCAGCCAGTACCTGCTGGGCTTGATAGGAGGCTGGGTCCCGTGCATGGACCACCGTTCTCTCTTTGTGGGGCCGTTGGCCAAAATGGCGGTTCTCCATCTCTTTCTCACTTCCCCTCTTTTCCTCTTGGTTGTGTGGGACGAGCTCCCTCTGGGCTACCGGAGTGCCCGGGCTAGGTGCTGCAAAGTCCCGTGGTGAGTGCCAGTGAGAGGTGAAGCTGTCTGGGCTTCTGGGATGGGTGGGGACTTGGAGAACTTTTCTGTCTAGCTAAAGGATTGTAAACGCACCAATCAGTGCTCTGTGTCTAGCTAATTGGGTGGGGACCCGGAGAACTTTTCTGTCTAGCTAAAGGTTTGTAAATGCACCAATCAGCACTCTGTGTCTAGCTAAAGGTTTGTAAATGCACCAATCAGCACTCTGTGTCTAGATAATCTGGTGGGAATTTGGAGAACTTTTGTGTCTAGCTAAAGGATTGTAAATGCACCAATCAGCGCTCTACGTCTAGCTAAAGGTTTGTAAATGCACCAATCAGCACTCTGTCAAAACGGACCAGTCAGCTCTCTGTAAAATGGACCAATCAGCTCTCTGTAAAATGGACCAATCAGCTCTCTTTAAAGTGGACCAATCAGTAGGATGTAGGTGGGGCCAGATAAGGGAATAAAAGCAGGCCACCAGAGCCAGCAACAGCAACCCACTGAGGTCCCTTTCCACACTGTGGAAGCTTTGTTCTTTTGCTCTTTGCAATAAATTTTGCTGCTGCTCACTCTTTGGGTCTGCACTACCTTAATGAGCTGTAACACTCATGGTGAAGGTCTGCAGCTTCACTCTTGAAGCCAGCGAGACCACGAACCCACTGGGAGAAACAAACAACTCCAGACGTGCCACCTTTAAGAGCTGTAACACTCACTGCAAAGGTTTGCGGCTTCACTCCTGAGGTCAGTGAGACCAAGAACCCACCAGTAGGAAGAAACTCTGGACACGTCCGAACATCAGAAGGAACAAACTCTGGACACGCCATCTTTAAGAACTGTAACACTCACCACGAGGGTCCACAGCTTCATTCTTGAAGTCAGAGAGACCAAGAACCCACCAATTCTGAACACACTACGACCACTGGAAAAGCTCAGTATTAGGGTAGGAGTGTCCCGATTTTCCAGGTACCATCTGTCATGGCTTCCCTTGGCTAGGAAAGGGAATTCCCTAACCCCTTGCACTTCCTGGGTAAAGTGATGCCCTGCCCTGCTTCGGCTCACACTCCGTGGGCTGCACCCACTGTCCGACAAGCCCCAGTGAGATGAACCTGGTACCTCCGTTGGAAATGCAGAAATCAACCATCTTCTGCATCGCTCATGCTGGGAGCTGTAGACTGGAGCTTTTCCTATTCAGCCATCTTGGGACCTCTTCAGTAATAATTATTGGTTTGAAAAAATAGTTAAGGAAACCATCAAGAACAATATAAAAAAATTCCTTGGATCCTTCATTGATACCTATTTATCTATCTCTAGATATTTTAAGAACCTGGTAACTTTTTAATGTAATTTTGTGAAAGGATATTCTTGCTGTTTTCAGCCTACACATAGCCATGTGGAGGATGTTATTACTGAATTTATGATCTGCTAAAAGATGTGAATTAATGATTAAGAATATACCAGAGTGGGTGAGCTAATGTCCGATGTGGCTTCTTTTGGCTAAAAGAAGCTGTATTAGTTTGTTCTTGCATTGCTATAAAAAACTACCTGAGGCTGGGTGCTTTATGAAGAAAAAAGGTTTGATTGACTCACAGTTCTGCAAGCTATACAGGAAGCATGACTGAGGAGACCTCAGGAAACTTAAAATCATGGTGGAAGGTGAAGGGTAGTAGGCACTTATTCACATGGTGGAGCAGAGACAGAGAGGGAAGGGGGTGATGCTACACACTTTTAAACCACCAGATCTTGTGAGGACTCTGTCAAGAGGTAGCACTAGGGGGATGGGGCTAAACCATTAGAAACCACCCTCATGATCCAATCACCTCCCACCAGACCCCACCTCCAACACTGGGGATTACAATTCAACATGAGATTTGAGTGGGGACTCAAAGCCAAACCATGTTAGAAGCCCTTTGGCCTTTACAGTATTTAAATTTAAAAAGAATAGACAAATTATCAAGATCATATGGTCACAAAATGGAAGAAAGGAAACAGAATTATTAAAGTGATGAACCTGCTGGTTTTTTATAGAGGGAAAAGACCACTTAAAGTGAAACCACTTGGCCAGGCATGTTGGCTCATGCCTGTAATCCCAGTACTTTGGGAGGCCGAAGCAGGCAGATCATGAGGTCAGGAGATCGAGATCATCCTGGCTAACACAGTGAAACCCCAACTCTACTAAAAATACCAAAAAAAAAAAAAAAATTAGCTGGGAATGATGGCAGGTGCCTGTAGTCTCAGCTACTTGGGAGGCTGAGGCAGGAGAATGGCTGAACCTGGGAGGCGGAGCTTGCAGTGAGCCAAGATCGTACCACTGCACTCCAGCCTGGGCAGCAGAGCCAGACTCCATCTCAAAAATAAATAAATAAATAAAATAAAGTGAAACCACTTAAATAATGATCAAAGTTTCATAGTGGGAAAATCAGGTTTTTCAACATTATCCTGAGGAATGCTCTCACTTCTTTTTTATTTTTATTATACTTTTGGGATACATATGCAGAACGTGCAGGTTTGTTACGTAAGTATACATGTGCCATGGTGGTTTGCTGCATCCATCAACCCACCATCTACATTAGGTATTTCTCCTAATGCTATCCCTCCCCTAGTCCCCCACCCCCTGCCAGGCCCCAGTGTGTGATGTTCCCCTCCCTGTGTCCATGTGTTTTCATTGTTCAACTCCCACTTATGAGTGAGAACATGCAGTGCTCTCACCACTTCTGATCAGTATTATGCTGAAGTTTCTAGCCAGTTCAGTAATGGAAGAAAAATAAATAAAAGATGCACATGTATTTGGAAAGTAAAAAGGAAAGCTCTCTTTGTTTCATATAATATGACAATGAAAAACTGCTTCTATTTCATATGACATGATAAAATAATTTACTAGAATTAATAAGTGAATCTAACACGGACTCAACTGTATTTCTCTATAACAGCAATGAACAATTGGAAGTTGAAAATTTAAAAATACCATTTATCATTATATCAAAATATTAAATAATTGGGGGTAAATGTTACAAAATATGTCCAAGACCTTTACACCTTTACACTGAATACCTCAAAACATTGCTGAGAGTAATTAAAGAAGACCTAAATAAATGAAGTGATATATTGTGTTCATGGCCTAGAAGACTCAGTATTTTTCATGTGTCATTTCCACCCAAATTGATCTATAGATTCAGTACAAATACAATAGTCTTAACAGGAATTTTTGAAGAAATTGTTAGGCTGATTCTAAAATTGATATGGAACTCAAAATAGCTTAAAATAGCTGAGACAAATTTGAAAAAGAATAATGTTGGACGATTTATATTATCTATAGTGTGTAGATATGTATTCCATAGCTATAGTAATCAAGACAGTATGTTACTAGCATAAGTTAGATTAGGATTTCTGAACCTTGACATAAATGACATTTGGGGCTAGATATTTCTTTCTTAAAGAGTGCTGTCCTGTACTTTTAGGATGTCTCATAGCTTCTCTGACCTCTACTCACTAGATGCCAGAAGCACCCATATCCTCTAGTTGTGACAACCAAAAAATGTCTCTAGACATTCCTGAATTTATCCTGGGGCACAAAAATCATCCCCAGTTTAGGAACACTGAGTTTTACTTATACAACAATTGAACAAAATACAAGCATTGAGAAATAGACCCTCATATATGTGTTCAGTTGATTTTTTTTTTTTTTTTTGAGATGGAGTCTCACTTTGCCACCCAGGCTGGAGTGCAGTGGCACAATCTCTGCTTCCTGCAACCTCTACCTCCTGGGTTCAGGTGATTCTCCTGCCTCAGCCTCCTGAGTAGCTGGGACCACAGGCACACACCACCACACCCAACTAATTTTTTTGTAGTTTTAGTAGAGATGGGGTTTCACCATTTTGGCCAGGCTGGTCTTGAACTCCTGACCTCAGTTGATCTGCCCACCTCAGCCTCCCAATTAGTTGATTTTTAACAATGGTGCAAAGGCAATTCAATAGAGAAAGTATACTCTTTCAGCAAATGGAATTGAAATCCTTGGATTTCCATTTTTTTAAATGAACCCTTAATTTTCATCATATATAAAATTACAACTTGTCTCTATTTGGGGATTGCTGAGCTTCCTGTGTCTGGATGTCTAAATCTCTTGCCAGACTTGGGAACTTTTCAGCTATTATTTCATTAAATAGATTTTCTATCCCTTTCGTGCAAAATGGTACACTTGGAAAAACAATTTGGCAATTTTTATTACCTGAAACATATTACATATTTACAAAGTATTGGACCACCCCTTGGTGTTTTTTTACCTAAGAAAAATGAAAGCTTTTTGTCCACACAAAGACTTGTACTAGAATGTGGATAGCAGCTTTATTCATAATAGTCTCTAACTGGAAGGGACCCCAAATGTCTATCAGCTGGTAAATGAATAAGTTGTTAAAAGGAACAAACTTTTTTTTTGAGATGGAGTCTTGTTCTGTCACCCATATTGGGGTGCAGTGTCACGTTCTCTGGTCACTGCAACCTCTGCCTCCCGGGTTCAAGCAATTCTCCTGCTTCAGCCTCCCAAGTAGCTGGGATTACAGGCATGCTCCAACATGCCCACCTAATTTTTGTATTTTTAGTAGAGACGGGGTTTCAGCATGTTGGCCAGGCTGGTCTCGAACTCCTGACCTCAGGTGATCCACCCACCTTGGCCTCCCAAAGTGCTGGGATTACAGGTGAGAAACAAACTGTTGATATACACAACAATATGGGTGAATCTTAAAATCATCATGCTAAGTCAAAGAGACCAGACACAAAAACTGCATTCTGAGCTCATTCATGTGAAATTCTACAAAAAGCAAAATGTAAAGCAATAGAGGCAGATCATTGGTTCCCAGAGACCAAAGAGTCTTGGTAAGTGATTGCAGAGGGGCAGAAAGGATTTTTTGTGATGGTAGAATGTCTCTAAGTCATTATTGTAGTCGTGATCACTTCAGTAAGCCTGATTTTTTTTTAAACAGGTAAAAGGCCTATTTCTTGGTCACATAATCTTTGCCAATCTCTTCGGCCCTCAGGCCCACTCCATCATGTTACCTAGAGCTCCCTCCCAACTTTAGCTTTAGCTTTTCCTGTTTAGTGCCTTGTTACCCTGTTGCTGTTTAGACTTTTCCTGTGGATGACTATTACTGAAAAACACTATCCAGGGTCCCAGTGTCTCTGAGCTGAGTTCTCTGTGTTCTCCAAATTAATATATTAAGTGAATCTTTTTTTGTATATTAAAGTCGAGGCCTAGAGAAGGCCTCATCTTAACACATTGGCAGAATAGTCATTATTAATATAGCATATGTTTTTAAGACTCTAGAAGTTTACTTTTCTGAAATTCACTTTCTGTCTCCTCCATATAATGTTTGAAATAAATTTCTGCAGATTAAGGCCTACATCTCCAGTTTGCTAAATTAATCTCGAGATGGTCTCAGGAATCTGTGTTTTAAAAGAATGCAACAAGTTATCTTACTGATCAATCAGGCTTAGAAACTACTGGATTGAGGTAGTTTCTGACCCCATCTTTTAAAAACAGATAAATAAAATCTTCATAAAATCTAAATAAATAGAAAAATAAAATATTTTATCGTTTCATACCTTTACTCAGACTTCACTAAGGTGTACAAATGCAGATTTTATCAAAAGTCTTTGCAGAATACTTTTTCACCTGCCATTATCTGCTGTCTTTTCACTCTCTAAAAGAAAGCAGGGTATTATGGAGCTAGTTTTATTAGGTGACTACTATGTGCCAGACATTTTACAAGGGCTCACTATTTAATTCTCATAGATAATAAAAATGAAGTTAGAGATGATAAGTAACTTGGCCAAGGATGTAGCTAATAAGTACCAGGAGTGAGGTTTGTGCTTGGCTTTAAAACAAGGGTATTTTTCTTTTTTAATATATTTGTATAAATTTAAAGGGTACAAATGCAGTTTTGTTAAATGGATATATTGAGCAGGGATAAATTCTGGGCTTTTAATGTAACCATCACTCAAATAGTGTACATTGCACTCATTAATTAATTTCTCATCCCTCAACCCCCTCCCACCCCCTACCCTTCTGAGTCTCCAGTGACTATTATTCCACACTCTGTCCATGTATACACATTATTTGGCTCTTACTTATAAGTGAGAACATCCAGTATTTGACTTGTTCCTGAATTGTTTTCACTTAACAACATGGATGGCCTCCAGTTCCATCCATGTTGCTGCAGAAGACATGATCCCATTCTTTGTTATGGCTGAGTAGTATTCCATTTTGTGTGTGTGTGCATGCACGTGTGTGCGTGTGTGTGTGTTATTTACCACATTTTATTTATCCGGTCATCCACTGGTGGACACTAAGGTTGATTCCATATCTTTGCTATTGTGAATAGTGTTACAGTGAACATTTGAGTACAAGTATCTTTTTAATATGATGATTTCTTTTCCTGTGGGTATATACCCAGTAGTGAGATTGCTGGATTGAAAGGCAGTTCTACTTTTAGTTATTTGGGAAATCTCCATACTGTTTTCCATAGAGGTTGTACTAATTTGCATTCCCACCAACAGTGTATAAGCATTCCCTTTTCTCCACATACTCATCAACATCTGTTGTTTTTTGTCTTTTTAATAATAGGCATTCTATTGGCATAAGATGGTATTTCATTGTGGCTTTAACATTTCTCTGATGATTAATGATGTTGAGCATTTTTTCATATGCTTGTTGGTCATTCGTGGGTCTTCTTTTAAGAAATGTCTATTCATGTCCTTTGCCAGTTTTTTAATGGGGCTATTTGTTGTTTTGTTATTGTTGTTGAGTTGTTTGAGTTACTTGTAAATTCTGGATATTAGTCCCTGTTGGATTCATAGTTTGCAAATATTTTCCCCCTATCTGCAGGTTGTCTGTTCACTTTTTTTTATTATTCCCTTTGCCATGCAGAAGCTTTTTAGTTTAATATAGTTTCATATGTCTGTTTTTGTTTTCGTTGCTTATGGTTTCAAGGTCTTATGAATTCTTTGCCTAGACAAATGTCAAGAAGAGTTTTCCCTAAGTTTTCTTATAGAATTTTTATAGTTTCAGATCACAAATTTAAGTCTTTGATTTGTCTATATTTGATTTTTTATATGATTAGAGACATTCTTCTACGTATGGCAATCCAATTTTCCCAACACTATTTATTGAAAAAGATATCTTTTTCCCAGTGTATGTTCTTGTCAGCATTGTCAAAGATCAGTTAGCTATAGATATGTGGCTTTATTTTTGGGTTCTCTATTCTTTTATTCTTTTACCTTGATCTATGTGTCTGTTTTTATGCCAGTACCATGCTTTTTGATTATTATAACCTTGCAGTATAATTTGAAGTCAGGTAATGTGCTCTCTCTAGCTTTGTTCTATTTGCTTAGGATTGCTTCTGCTATTCAGACTGTTTTTTGGTTCCATATGAATTTTAGGATGGTTTTTTTCTCATTCTGTGAAAAGCGATGTTGGCATTTTGATAGGAATTGCATTGAATCTGTATATTGTTTTGGAAGTATTCTCATTTTAATTATATTAATTATTCTGATTCATGAACATGAAGTGTTTTTCCATTAGTTTATGTCCCCTGCAATTTCTTTCATCCGTGTTGTATTTTTCTTTCTTTCACCTCCTTGGTTAACTATATTCCTAGGTATTTTATTTTATTTTTTGTAGCTATTGTAAATGGGATTGCCTTCTTGATTTGGTTTTCAGCTGGATTATTATTGGTGTATAGAAATGACACTCATTTTTGAATATTGATTTTGTATTCTGAAATCTTACTGCTTACTCAATTCAATTATCAAACTTAAGAATTTTTTGAGGAGTCTTTAGGCTTTTCTAGGTTTACGAGCATATTATCAGTGAACAGAAATAAATTATTTCTGACTTCCTCTTTTCCAACTTGGATGCCTTTTCTTTCTTTCTTTTGCCTGATTGCTCTGGCTAGGACTTCCAGTACTAAGTTGAACAGGAGTGGTGTAAGTGGGCATTCTTGTCTTATTCTAGTTCTTAGGGGAATTGTTTTCAGCCCTTCCCAATTCAATATGATATTGGCCATAAGTTTGTTGCATATGGCCTTTATTATTTTGAGGTATGTTTTTTCTACTATGCCTAGTTTGTTGAGAGTTTTTATCATGAGGGGATGTTCAATTTTATCAAATGCTTTTTCCACATCTATTGAAATGATTATGTAATTTTTGTCTTTAATTGTGTTTATGTAATAAATCACATTTATTGGTTTGTATATGTTGAGCCATCCTTGCATCCCTGGAATACAACCCACTTGGTCATGGTGTGTTATCTTTTTGATGTGCTGGTGGATTCAGTTTGCTAGTATTTTGTTAAGGGTTTCTGCATCTATCTTCATCAGGGATATTGGTCTGTAGTTTTTTTTCTGTTTGTTTGTGTTCTTGTCAGACTTTGGTGTCAGGGTGATACTGGCTTCATGGAATGAGCTAGGGAGGATTCTCTCCTGCTCAGTTTTTTTTTGGAACAGTTTCATTAAAATTGGTACCAGTTCTTCTTTGTATGTTTGATAGAATTTACTGTGAGTTCATCTTGACCTAGGCTTTTTTTTTTGTTGGGAGGATTTTTTTTATTGGTCTGTTCAGGATATCTAGTTCTTCAAGGTTCAGTCTTTCGAGGTTTTATGTTTCCAGGAATTTATCCATTTCCTTTAGGTTTTCTAGTTTGTGAGTGTATGGTAGAGTCTGATGATCTTTTGTATCTCTGTGGTATCAGTTACAATGTCTTCTTCATTTCTCATTATGTTTATTTAGATATTCTTTCTTCTTGGTTAGTCTAGATAGCAATTTATCAACTTGTTTATCTTTTCAAAGAACTGACTTTTCAATTCAGTGATCCTTTGTTTTTGTTTTGTTTGGTTTGGTCTCCATATCATTTAGTTCTACTCTGATCTTTGTTATTTCTTTTCTTCTGCTAGCTTTGGGTTTGGTTTTTTCTTGTTTTTCTAGTTCCTTGAGGTATGATGTTAGGGTGTTAATCTGTAATCTTTCTATTCTTTTGATATAGGCATTTGATGCTATAAACCTCCCTCTTAGCGCTGCTTTGGCTGTATCCCAGAGGTTTTGGTATATTCTGACTCCATTTTCATTTGTTTCAAAAATTATTTTAATTCTTTCTTAATTTTGTCATTGAACCAAAAATTATCTAGGAGTGTGTTGTTTAATTTCATGTATTTGTATAGTTTTGAGAATTCCTCTTGATATTGATTTCTAGTTTTATTCCATTGTGTTCTGAGAAAATACTTGATATGATTTCAATTTTTTTCCATTTTTATTGAGGCTAGTTTTGTGGCCTAACATATGGTCTATTTGGGAGAATGTTTCATGTGCTGATGAGAAGAAGGTATATTCTGCGATGTTGGATAGAATGTTCTGTAAGTGTCTGTTGGGTCCATTTGGTCTAAAGTTCAATTTAACTCCTGTGTTTCTTTCTTGATTTTCTGTCTCAGTGATCTGTCTAGTGCTGTGACTCGGATGTTCAAGTGCCCCAGTATTATTGTATTGCTATCTGTATCTTTCTTTAGGTTTAGTAACATTTGTTTTATGAATCTGGGTGCTCCAGTGTTGAGTACATATGTATTTAATATTATTATAACCTTTTGTTGAATTGATATCACCCTTTATCATTAAATATCATTTTCCACCCCTCTATCTTTTTTTTTTTTTTTATATAGAGTCTCACTCTGTCAGCAGGCTGGAGTGTAGTGATGCAATCTCAGCTCACTGCAACCTCTGCCTCCCAGGTTCAAGTGATTCTCCTGCCTCAGCCTCCTAAGTAGCTGGGATTACAGGCGCACGCCACCACACTCAGCTAATTTTTGTATTTTTAGTAGAGACGGGGTTTTACCATGTTGGTCAGGCTGGTCTCAAACTCCTGACCTAATGATCCGCCTGTCTCGGCCTCCCAAAGTGCTGGGATTACAGGCGTGAGCCACCGCACCCTTTATCTTTTGTCTATGTGTCTTTACCAGTAAAGTGAGTTTCTTGTGGGCAGCATATAGTTGGTTCATTTTAAAAATCCATTCTGCCTATCTATATCTTTTAAGTGGAGCATTTAATTCACTTACATTCAAGGTTAATATTGATACGTGAGGTTTTCTTCCCGTCATGTTGTTATCACTAGTTGTTTTATAGATTCTTTGTTTCTTCATTTTTTTTCTTCTGCGTCTTTGTGATTTGGTTCAGTTTTTTCTTTATGCTATGCTACCTCTAGACTAGTAGAAAAACTAAGAGGTTATCCTTAATAATTTCTACTGGCCCATTTGCTCCTAAATTTATCTGCCTCTTTATCCTTGGACACAAGCAGAAAGATTAAAAACATACTTTATCCACTGGCATATAGTATGTCTCCATTTTAACAAAATCCTGACCATCTTTTCCTAACTAGAAAGTTTTTCAGTGGTGAGTTACTTGCTTGCCTCTTGCAAGTGGGATCATTGTTTTTCACTAATTGACTTATACTATAATTTTTTTTTTTGAGACAAGGTACAGTGGCACTATCACACAGCTCACTGAAGCCTTGACCTCCCAGGGTCAAGTAATCCTCCAGCTTCAACCTCTCAAGTAGCTGAGACTAGAAGTGTGTGCCACCACACCCAGCTAATTTTTTACTTTTTTATAGAGAAGAGGTCTCCCTATGTTGCACAGGCTGGTCTCGAACTCCTGGGCTCAAGCAGTTTCCTGCCTCAGCCTCCCGAAGTGCTGGGATTACAGGCATAAACCACTGTTCCTGGCTGACTTATACCATAATCTAGTTAGTAACGATTCTTTACATTGGTCAATTATAAATTTATTTTTAACACACAATTTAAGAGTTACTCAGAGCAACCTTATTTATATTAGACATTTTTTTCTCCCCAAAATATCACATCCTCTTTGACCTTAGTTTCCTTTTAGCTAAAATGATGGGGTTTCGAAGTTTCCCTCTATCTTTAATATTCTGTGAAGTTTGTCATTTAGTATACAAGTGGCCAACAAACATATGAAAAAAATGTTCAGTACCACTAGTCATCAGAGAAGTACAAATCAAAGCCAGAATGAGATATCATCTCGCACCAGTCAGAATGGCTATTATTTAAAGGTCAGAAAATAACAGATGCTGGTAAGGTTGTGAAGAAAAGAGAACACTTGTACACTGTTGGTAGGAATGTAAATTAGTTCAACTACTGTGGAAAACAGTTTGGAGATTTCTCAGAGAACTTGGAACTACCATTCAACCTAGCAATTCCATTACTGGGTATGTACCCAAAGGAAAACAAATTGTTCTACCAAAAAGACATATACACTTGTGTGTTAATTGCAGCACTATTCACAATAGCAAAGACATTAAATCACCCAAGGTGACCATCATTGGTGAATTGGATAAATAAGATGTGGTACACATATACCATGGAATACTATGCAGCCATAAACAAAAAATCATGTCCTTTGCAGCAACATGGATGCAGCTGGAGGCCATTATTCTGAGTGAATTAATGCAGGAACAGAAAAATCAAATTCCACATGTTCTCACTTATAAGTGCAAGCTAAACATTGGGTACACATGATCATAAAGATGAGAACAGTAGATACTGAGACTACGAGGTAGGGGAGAGAGGGAGGACGGCAAGAGTTGAAAAACTCTCTGTTGAGTACTATGCTTACTACCTGGGTGATGGGATAATTCATACCCCAAACCTCAGCATCATGCAATATACCCATGTAGTAAACCTGCACATATATCATTTGAATCTAAAATAAAAGTTGAATTTTTTTTTAAGTTTGCTATTTAGAACACATATTTCTGTATGGAGAATATTAAAATGGGTATTAGGTTTCTAAGCTAGTTCATAAAACGTCCTGAACAAGTAGAGTACATAAAATATTGTCTAAATAGAATGTTATTCAACTATGTCTAATCACAATTTATAATGTTGTTTGTAATATAGCCCTGAAGCAACTCTTACCCCACTTTTCTACCCTATCCTCCAGCAGCTTGGGGAAAGACAAGAGGCTGTGTTAGAGAGATAAATTAAATCCTTCTGGGCGTCAGAAATTCCACGTTAAGATGCAAGTGGCTTAATCTGCACAACATCTAGATCTGTGCTGCCCAATATAGTAGCTACTAGGTACTTTTGCTATTTAAATTTAAATTAATTAAATAAAAAATTGATTTCTTCAGTCACATTAGCCACATTTCAAATGCTCAAAAGCCACATGTGACTAGTGGTTACCTTATTGGACAGAGCAGATATAGAACATTTTATTATCACAGAAAATTCTACTGGGCAGTACCGATCTAGAACTGAACCTCCCTATGCCTACTTCTTACTGCAATGAAGGCAGCATATTGTACTTTCATGTCTTTGTGTTTGGTTCTCTTGTGAGGACTAATCAGTCCAAATTGGATTAGTTTGCAATTGCCACATCAATTTTAATAAAAAATTTTCTTGACCTGAGTTTGAAAACATTCTTTTGATAGCTTTTAATGCTTGGCAGTGGTGTTTGTGATGAAAACAGAAATTATTCATCTTTGGTGTCTGTAGAGATAACTTTGAAAAAATACTTTGTAGGCAGCTGAGATTCTACTACAAAATGGAGCAAACCCTAATCAAAAAGATCAAAAACAGAAGAGTGCTTTGGATGAAGCAGATGATGAAAAAATGAAAGAATTACTAAGATCTTATGGTGCTATTGAGACTGTTAATAGAGATGAGAGTGATGCTATAGTCAATGGTATGTATATCAATATTGCTGCTATTTTATATAGAGATATATCTCTGCTTAGGAAAATCTTCTGATTTGTTGTGTAAATTGTTTCATAACTGGGATAGATGTGTCCTATGTTTATTAAACTCTTCAAAAGCCATTATTTATTTTTAGAAATTGGCATTTACAATTTGGTTTAATTTATAGATCATATGATCCTACTGGATTGGAGTTACATGTTGAAATGAAACCTATAGCATTCATCAAGCAAACATTAATGTCCCTAACATTGGGTTTGAGATAGAGATGTAATTGAAGCCAGGCAGATCAGTTTAGTTGTAGTAGGGCTGGAAAAGGGCGACATTATACTGAAGTTTTTGCAACTAAGAGGAATATAACATATATTACAATGAAAAGAATATTTCAAGGGAATGTACAATCAGGAAAAATTTTATGAACCATTTTAGCAATACTTTATATTTTATTAAGTATTGAGGGGAGGGAATTGTTCTTCCTTTTCCCTCATGCTCAAACCTTGACTCATAGAAGAAGATACTCAGGAATGTATCTATATTCTCACCATGAGGGAGAATGCTGGGGAGAGCAATTGTGTCACACACTTCTCCCCTAGCCTACCAACATCCTTACCAACTGTTGATTTCCAAGGAAGAATTACCGATATAATTCGTCAGAGCTAAGGATATTCATTGTGTTATATTTCACCAGAGGGCTAGATCATGGATAGGTCAAGGTCAAGAGTGATACAAATTTCCTCTTTTCGTTGCCTGCTTCCATATAGTAAGTCCATAGGGTCAGGGTCTTTCTTAGAGGCCCAGCCATTTCACTCTCCCTCTTCACAGCTATACCTGAAAGTTCCCATGATTTAGATTAGCTCAGCTTATCAGGGAAGTCTGCATTTGGAGTTGTTGATAGATCTATTATAAAGTGATAGATCTATTCCCACATATCTACTGTTTCTTGTTTCCTTGATCAGGTACCCCAAAGGATGAAGAATATAGGGTACAATGATAATATAGAGAAAGGGAATCCAGAATGGGAGTAGGGTCCAAGAGAACTTTACAGAGGCAATTAATCCAGTCATATTGGTTAAGAGCATGGACTTTGGAATCAGATAAGATCTGGTTTCAGTTCTAACTGTGTGACATTGGGCAACTTCTTGAACCCCTCTAAGCCTCACTTTCCTCTTCTATAAAATGGATATAATAAACTACCTACTTCACAGGTTCATATGAAGATTAAATAAGATGATTTATGGAAAGTTTTTGGCACCCAGCATATGACAAGTGCTCAGTAAATGCTAGCCATAAGTAGCCAATTAATGACGATGATGAGTGTTGGTTAAGATATTATAATAGTTGCAGACTTGACTTATCCTTCTCATCCCCATCACATTAAAACTGAAAAATGAAACTATATTTTTGCACATTCTTATTATATTTTCTAATTTTACTTTTTAAAGAAAAAATTCCTGCTGTCCGGTCTAAAAGACATAAACAGTGTTTTTGTGATGATGGCAAAACTATTGACTCATCTTCCCTTTCACACCAAGAAAGATCAAGAGAAAGCCTTTCTGTGGTGAGTGAAGTTAAAATTACTTTGTTCTTCATCTTAGAAAATGCCATTCTTTGAGCCAGCCAGTTAGTTATTGGCTAATGGCAGTACTTTCCATTTTAATGATACAAAGATAGAAATTTTTTATTTATTTTATTTATTTATTTATTTTTTATTATTATTATACTTTAAGTTTTAGGGTACATGTGCACAATGTGCAGGTTAGTTACATATGTATACATGTGCTATGCTGGTGCGCTGCACCCACTAACTTGTCATCTAGCATTAGGTGTATCTCCCAATGCTATCCCTCCCCCCTCCCCCCACCCCACAACAGTCCCCAGAGTGTGATGTTCCCCTTCCTGTGTCCATGTGTTCTCATTGTTCAATTCCCACCTATGAGTGAGAATATGCGGTGTTTGGTTTTTTGTTCTTGTGATAGTTTACTGAGAATGATGATTTCCAATTTCATCCATGTCCCTACAAAGGACATGAACTCATCCTTTTTTATGGCTGCATAGTATTCCATGGTGTATATGTGCCACATTTTCTTAATCCAGTCTATCATTGTTGGACATTTGGGTTGGTTCCAAGTCTTTGCTATTGTGAATAATGCCGCAACAAACATACGTGTGCATGTGTCTTTATAGCAGCATGATTTATAATCCTTTGGGTATATACCCAGTAATGGGATTGCTGGGTCAAATGGTATTTCTAGTTCTAGATCCCTGAGGAATCGCCACACTGACTTGCACAATGGTTGAACTAGTTTACAGTCCCACCAAGAGTATAAAAGTGTTCCTATTTCTCCACATCCTCTCCAGCACCTGTTGTTTCCTGACTTTTTAATGATTGCCATTCTAACTGGTGTGAGATGGTATCTCATTGTGGTTTTGATTTGCATTTCTCTGATGGCCAGTGATGGTTAGCATTTTTTCATGTGTTTTTTGTCTGCATAAATGTCTTCTTTTGAGAAGTGTCTGTTCATGTCCTTTGCCCACTTTTTGATGGGGTTGTTTGTTTTTTTCTTGTAAATTTGTTTGAGTTCATTGTAGATTCTGGATATTAGCCCTTTGTCAGATGAGTAGGTTGCAAAAATTTTCTCCCATTTTGTAGGTTGCCTGTTCACTCTGATGGTAGTTTCTTTTCCTGTGCAGAAGCTCTTTAGTTTAATTAGATCCCATTTGTCTATTTCGGCTTTTGTTGCCATTGCTTTTGGTGTTTTAGACATGAAGTGCTTGCCCATGCCTATGTCCTGAATGGTAATGCCTAGGTTTTCTTCTAGGGTTTTTATGGTTTTAGGTCTAACATTTAAGTCTTTAATCCATCTTGAATTGATTTTTGTATAAGGTGTAAGGAAGGGATCCAGTTTCAGCTTTCTACATATGGCTAGCCAGTTTTCCCAGCACCATTTATTAAATAGGGAATCCTTTCCCCATTGCTTGTTTTTCTCAGGTTTGTCAAAGATCAGATAGTTGTAGATATGCAGCGTTATTTCTGAGGGCTCTGTTCTGTTCCATTGATCTATATCTCTGTTTTGGTACCAATACCATGCTGTTTTGGTTACTGTAGCCTTGTAGTATAGTTTGAAGTCAGGTAGTGTGATGCCTCCAGTTTTGTTCTTTTGGCTCAGGATTGACTTGGCGATGCGGGCTCTTTTTTGGTTCCATATGAACTTTCAAGTAGTTTTTTCCAATTCTGTGAAGAAAGTCATTGGTAGCTTGATGGGGATGGCATTGAATCTGTAAATTACCTTGGGCAGTATGGCCATTTTCACAATATTGATTCTTCCTATCCATGAGCATGGAATGTTCTTCCATTTGTTTGTATCCTCTTTTATTTCGTTGAGCAGCGGTTTGTAGTTCTCCTTGAAGAGGTCCTTCACATCCCTTGTAAGTTGGATTCCTAGGTATTTTATTCTCTTTGAAGCAATTGTGAATGGGAGTTCACTCATGATTTGGCTCTCTGTTTGTCTGTTGTTGGTGTATAAGAATGCTTGTGATTTTTGTACGTTGATTGTATATCTAGAAAACCCCATTGTCTCAGCCCAAAATCTCCTTAAGCTGATAAGCAACTTCAGCAAAGTCTCAGGATACAAAATCAATGAATTTTTTTATTATAAAAGATAAGATGGTGAACAGAATGGGCTGGAAGTTATGCTATGTGGTTAACTCTTAATTATCTGCTTTGAATACAGAATTATGGAGTAGCTGCTATCCTTTATACCTAGTTTGAGTTCTTTGGCTACTTCTTGTCCATAGACACTGCCACTGTCATAAATGTGTCTTCACTCACTTCCATAAGTGTCTAGGAGATACAGGATGTAGAAAAGATTCTGGAATCCAGACAGAGAAGAGGATTAAGCAGCCTGGTTTAGCTGCCCTCGATCCCATATGGTTTATAGTAATAAACTTTGCTGCGAAACCCATCATGTAAAGGTAACTTTTGAAAAAAAAGAACATAGCAGTTGCTTAATAAGATATACATATTGATTGAAATTCTTAGTTGGACAAAAACACAAAGCTTAACTAGACACAAAATCTTAACCAAGGTAGCATCCTCAATGAAACCTTGTTTTAGATAAGTCTTGGCCCACAGTGTCCGAGACTGAGTACATCTACAATATGAGCAAAGGAGAAAGGAAAGTTGGCACCAAAAGATGTTTTCTTTATCCTAATCTGTGGATAGAGCTTAGCCTGAGCACAAATTCTGGCCTTTTGTTTGCTTTTATAACCATAAATCATTCACTGTATGAAGCGGTAAACCTTAGTGTTGTTTTTATTTTTGCTTGTTTTTTATATTTGTATTTTATAATTTCACTTTGATGCATTTAATAAATGACAGCAGTAAGACTGTTTTACCAAATAATTAGGTTATTTTATTATGTACTTTTAAAATATCTTTTATGGGCACCAAAGTAAAATTTCAGGGCAACATACTTCAGAAGGCTTTGAGGACCTACATGTTTTAGAAATGAATGTGTATGGAGAGTATATTAAAGGATAGGTAATGTGAGTCAAACCATCCGTCATCATTAATGGAGCAATAGCTATGAACCCACAATGTTGAAACCATATACAAATATAAAAGGCATGCTTCTGCCTACAAGATCTCATTGTCCTGATGAGGAAATATAATGTACAAGACATTATTATGTTAGTGTTAAATTATGTAGCACCGAATTTCTTAATTCTGAGAAAAAGGAAATCAGCATGGATTGGATAAGTCAGAAGTTTCCTGTATGAGATGGGTTTTATATGATTATAATATTCACTATTTAGTGGATTCTTACTTTGTGCTGACATTGTCCTTAGCATTTTCATGTGTTATAGAATTCAGGCACAGAGAGGACAAGTAACTTGCTGGAGTCACCCAGATAGGAAGAGGTGAAGCTAGGATTTACACCCTGAAAGTCTGGTTCCAGAGCCCACTCCACGATTCTCTCTCTCATAGGGAAAGAGAAGGATCAGGGCAGAGTGAATTGAAAGCATTCCAGGCAGGAAGATTAGTACTGACAAGGACATGTAGGAGTGGTATTAAGTCCCCTTTGTGAATTTTTGAGAGCATAGTGTTTTGTATTTCTAAGATTATGTATAAGATTTTAATAGTGTGCAATGAAAATCATAAGGCCTTAAAGTGAACTTGTTATATGTATGCACTTTCAATGTTATGTGATTTATTTTTCTCCTACACCTATAGTTTCAACAGAAGTCAGTGAGAAATTGATTTCTTGTGATTGCTACTTTTACATTCTATTTTCCAGGAGATCTACTACATAATTCAAAATATATTTGTTTGCTTTTGTTCAAATCTGCAACATTTATACAGTTAAGCTTATACAACGTATGAGTACATTTTGAGCATAAAGAGGAATGAGCATTTTTAGGAACACTTTCTTTAGTATTTTATTTACTCTGTGTTTGTCAATGGCATATCAGAGAGCATATCTACCCCTTTATAATGAAGTTTCAAATATTTTTATCTGATAGCATCAGACCCTCAGTGCCATTCTACAAGATATAGAAGAAAAACAAGAATATTTATTAGAGTTTGAAATAAGAAACCCTGAAGATGCAGGTAAATATAGACTCATACTCAAGTATGATATTTTCAGATACCCAAGGTCATCTTCTTAAGGTACATATTTATTTCAAAGCTCACAAAGGCTGAAAAAGTGGTGTTCTATTTTTATGTGAGAGTATTTAAAGTGCTAGGAATTATTAATATCATTAAAAGTAGACTTACTTTAAAAGTAAGTCTCAAGTAGACTTGTAATGATAGCTAAAAGGCTGATTTTATCATGATGCAAACCAGTAGTTTGTGTTGTTAAAGATACTTCTAGATGCTGGCGGGCGCTTGTAGTGCCAGCTACTCGGGAGGCTGAGGCAGGAGAATGGCATGAACCCTGGAGGCGGAGCTTACAGTGAGCCAAGATCGCGCCACTGCACTCTAGCCTGGGTGACAGAGAAAAAAAAATACTTCTAGATGCAAAGTGTTGGATGAGTAATTTGAGAGACATTCAGAACTATGATCAGAGATAAGCTATACCAGTGATATGTTTAGATAATCCTATGACAGAAAATGTAAGATTGTGACAAGAGATGAGATTATGTTACCCTGTGTGTTGTCAGCTTCACCCAGCTATGGTAACCCTTAAAAGTAGATCAGAAATAGTGCAGTGGAAGGTGGTGCAGCAGTGACACAAGGTAAGCAAATCCTCCTACTTTCAGAAGAGCATATGTAACAGGTGGATGTCTTACTGCAAAGATATCTTCCTGTTTTCAAAACACTGAAGATTCAAAATAGCAAATTAGACTTTGATCACTGACCTAATAATCTTATTTTCTCAAACTTCAGTGAATATATGCAAGCCCTTGATGACTCACATATTTTTTGAGTTATGATTTATAAGGTGGAAAGTAGTTCCTGATAAATTCAGATCTGTGAATGTAAAAATTAGTTAAAAGTAGTAGCTAAAAGTAAGGTAATTTAAAGTACCTCATCAACCTTTTGTATAGCAGGATATAACTGTTCATCTCTTGTCCTAACTCATGTTTGTATAGTCTTTAAAAAAATCATCTCCTTTAAAATTTTGCACATTCTACTTTTCGTCCTGGCCTAACATGGTACGTGTTATGTTTGGAGGAAACTAATATAAAATAATTCATACCCCCAAACAAAAAAGTACAGTTAGTATATTTATTTCATTTACTATTTGTAATGTCTTTTGCATCCAAGATGATTTTTCCAAGTTTATAATTTTTTTCATTATGAAAGTCATACAGATATACTTCGAGAAAAAGAGAAAAATGCTAAAATTAGCTACTGTCCCATCACAATATTTTGTTGTTTTATTTCCAGGCCCCCCTCCCCACATTTTTTTTTTTGTCTAAGAACATAGTAATGCAATTGGACCTCAATAAAACTCTTAAAAACATAGTTTTGATCATGATATATATGGTAATTTTGCATTTTTTTCATAGTCTTCATTCTTAGTGTTTAATAAATGTTCCACAGCTTCCTAAATTTTTCCCTTTTTGTTGAACATTTGATTTCCAATTTTTTGCTGTTCTACAATATGTAGCTTTTTCCACACGTATTATCTTCTTAGGAAAGATTAACAGAGTTGTAACTATTGGTCAAATTATATAAGCATTTTAAATCTATTGATTTATATTGATAAATTCTATTTTATAGATAGTACTAATTTTCAGTTTGGAAGTGAAAATACTGATGCTACTAGCAGTGTACACATTAGTGTCTTTGTGTACACTGCTAGTAGCATCAGTATTTTCATTTTAAATAACCTTACGAGTTTAATAAGAAAAATATGCCTGATATTTTCATTTGCCATGTTGCTTATTAGTGGTGCTTTTTTTTTTGAGATGGAGTTTCACTCTGTCACCAGGTTGGAGTGCAGTGGTGTGATCTCAGCTCACTGGAACCTCCGCCTCCCAGGTTCAAGCCATTCTTCTGCCTCAGCCTCCCGAGTAGCTGGGAATACAGGCGCATGCACCATGCCCAGCTAATTTTTGTATTTTTAGTAAAGACAGGGTTTCACCATGTTGGTCAGGATGGTCTCGATCTCTTGACCTTGTAATCGGCCCACCTCGACCTCCCAAAGTGCTGGGATTACAGGCATGAGCCACTGCGCCTGGCCCAGTGGTGCTTTTTCACTAGTTTTATTCCCTATTTTGAGAACTGTTTCTGTTCTTTGTTTATTCATCAAGTGGAGCCTATTTATGTAATACAGTTATTTACTCCTTCTCTACCATAACTGCTGCAAATACTTTTTCAGCCACTTGTCTTTTTCTTTGCAATGTGTGTTAGTTTTTGTTTAAATATATACAATTACAAATTCTGTAGAGTAAAAATTCATTGGCCTTTTTCTATTTATTTGAATGCCTCTAAAATCAGAAACTTCTCCCCACCACCCCCAGGTTTTTGTAGTTTAATTTTATTATATTATAACCAGTACATTGAATAATCTTGATGCCTTTATTTTTGTCTTACTGCCCTTAAGGAAGGAGAGGTAAGGCAGTGGGACCCTGGAGCTCTTGGATGGTAACTAATTACTGACTGTGGTTGGCTCTGCCACTCCCTGACAGGTGTTTAAAACTCAGTCTCTGGAGAGCAGTTTTCTAAGACTCTTCTGAAATTTCTCTTTGGTCCATCAGGCTGGAACTTCTATGATGCGGGCAATACACATTGCCCTTTCCCTGTGCCCTCTCAGTCTTCTCTCAGCTTCTATTTTTTTTTTCTGATGGACCATCCTACACAGA